>NC_000005.10:126359807-127609807 GCF_000001405.40 Homo sapiens | reverse complement strand
GGAGATATTTAGAATGGCAAAATTTGCATAATAAGAGAGAATAAGAAAGCATGCATCTGTTTTCTTATCATTACAAAAAATCAAATGAAAGAAAACCCACGAGAACAGTAAACCTGGAAAATGGTGAAATTGGCTAGAAAAGGTAGTGGTGCTACAATACAAGAGTAGTATTGTAAATTATATAGTCAGAGAATTTTGACTTTTAAAAGCATGATAATATCCTACACATTCAAAAATAAAATTGCATCAATAAAGACAAAGGGCAAAAAGCAAAACAAAGCAAACCAAAACAAGTGAACCTGACTATGTCATGTGAATACCACAGCCACACAGAAAAAAAAGAAGAGAGGAAGGAAAGGAGGAACAGGGTTGTCAGATACAGCGAGAATTTTTTTAAAAAAGACAAACAACAAGACACTTAGTTAAATTTTAATTTTAAATAAGTAACAAAAAATTTTAAGTATAAGTATGTCACCTGCAATATGTTGCCACCAAACACCCCATCTCCTCCCTATCTCTGTGGCCCTATCTGGTATTTCTCACTCAGCTCCCACCACATGGACTTTCCTGTTTCCTGGAGGTGCCAAGCAGTCCCCGTCTCAGGGGCTTTGCAAAAGCTGATAAGGCTCTTCCTCTTCACGTCTTTAGGATTCTGGTCAGAGGTCACCATAATTGAGAGATCTTGCCTGCCTACCACACTCCTTTTTTCTCTTACTCTGCTATATTGTTGTTTTCACCAAAACCTACTAGAAAATGTATAGATACATCTATGTATCATATGTGTGTGTGTGTTAGTGTGCCACATAGTTAGTACTCAATCCCCATTTGATGAAGGAAGAAATGGTATTTGTTGTGCCAGTTGAATGAGTGCAGATGCAAAGCCCCTGACACTATGCAAGTGTTATTTCCCATCCCTCACCCACTCTTCTTTGCATAAAGGGCCTAGAAGCTGAAAACCAGTGAAGAAATTCAGCAAAATAGTGCAAAGGGAGGTGCTTTGTCTCTAGCTCTCTGTAACTAATCAGCTCTGCTTCAAGGGCCTTGAGGAGCTATTTTTCTTCCAGCCACAGTTCTTCCATTTAAAATGGTAATCCCAGGTCTCATTTTGTATTTTCTCCTGTGCAAGGATATGAAGGTCACCCACTTAGCCAACTCTTCAGTTCATGCGAAAATGCATTTAGAAGCAGCAACTAAGGCAATATAAAAGTGAAGATGAATTGAAGTTATTTATATTCAGTAAAAATCTGTTGTAGGAGTAAGGTAAGAAAAATGTGTCTCCACAGCAGGAATGCTTTATACACGGTTAAGGAAAACCCATGAGCCACAAACCACTAACCAAGATTACAAACTCACTTCATTCCAGAAGCTGCTGAGACAGGTAAGGGGCGGATGAAGGATGGTAAGTATGTGCCTAAGGTGCTTCCAAAGCGGAAGCACCAAAGTGACTGAGAAAAAAACTTGAAACAAGTATATAGGTATACTACCTCAAAGTGATAACCAGTGGGAAAAGAAGAATTCGATGAGCTCATGTTTATGCTTACTCAACAGATTAGTTTTGGTTTAAATTTGAATCACAGAATAAAGAAGCATCTTACTCTACAGATTAGTTTTGGTTTAAATTTGAATCACAGAATAAAGAAGCAACTTAATCTTTTCTGGACTGACACTTCGAAAGGTGGTCATTTGGCCCTTTGTTAGATCACATTCTGCTCACCTGCAAATGTACACTTCACCTTTCTTTGGTCAAAACTTCACCTTTCTCAGTAATGTGTCTTTTCCTGTGACCCAGTGAACTACCTTTAGAACTTCATGAAGCTACCACCAGCTGGATGTAATCTTGATATTACTCCAAAACAAAAACTTTAGTCCTTGTAACTTCTTTTTTTTTTCTTCTGAGTCACAAATGATAGAAAAAGTATTACTATTTTACTTCCTTGGATACCTGCATTTAGTTTATGTTGACACCCTTGATGTAATTCTCTATGTGCTAAAATTTAACCCCTGGTGTTTATAAGCAATACAATGGGTTACAGTGAAATTGTGACAGTGTAGGGCCTTAGCATCTTTTTAAAAGTATTATTTTTATTGATAGCTGGATTACCCAATATCATTATTCCAAAAGTTATTATACATCTACCAATAATAAGTTTTACAAAAATTTGAACCATGTTCTTCATGATTCAAGGATTGAACTTTTAATCCCTTTATAATTGAAGATGTTCAGGCAATTAACTTGGATTGTACTTGTGTTTTTCTGACTCAAAATAGAATGGGTTTTTGTATCACTTAATAACACAATATTTTTCACACTTCTGGTCATGAAATCAATTCAGTGGGTCATAACAAGCATTTTCTTAATGAAATAGAATAAAATAGAAAATATTAGAGTACAGCTATAGGAAGGACATTATTTTTCATAAAACTTTTGTTTCAAAAGTATGTAAATATGTATCTATAATATGTATATGTGTTAGGATGCACTATGAAATGTACTTCTTAATATGATAACAGTAAAAAAAGTGTGAAAGTCACTGATTTAATATTTGTACTTTCATAAGCAATTAGCAGGCACCCATTGTAACAGATAAAATCCAATTCTTAGATTAACTAAAAAAGGAACATCACTATACATGTGAACTAATTTCAAGATATGTGTTCAAAAATGTTTATGTTTATTAAGAAAAATATGTACTTGACTACAAAGAAAATTCTTCTGACTTCTTGAAGTCAAATCCCTAACTCACTTGAAAAGCTGAGGAGTAAAACCAAACAAAGACATACACAAAAACTCTTAGTTACCTTAAATAAACTTTTAAACTAGGATTTAAGATGACTGTCCTGGCCGGGCGCGGTGGCTCACGCCTGTAATCCCAGCACTTTGGGAGGCCGAGGCGGGTGGATCATGAGGTCAGGAGATCGAGACCATCCTGGCTAACAAGGTGAAACCCCGTCTCTACTAAAAATACAAAAAATTAGCCGGGCGCGGTGGCGGGCGCCTGTAGTCCCAGCTACTCGGGAGGCTGAGGCAGGAGAATGGCGTGAACCCGGGAAGCGGAGCTTGCAGCGAGCCGAGATTGCGCCACTGCAGTCCGCAGTCCGGCCTGGGCGACAGAGCGAGACTCCGTCTCAAAAAAAAAAAAAAAAAAAAAAAAAAAGATGACTGTCCTTTGGTGGCATTTGGATGACTAATTTGAAAGGTTTTTGTTAAGCTGAAATGTAGACATATTTATTAGGATTTTAAAATCTTAAAAGAGGCCTTTTCAGGGCTCATTTCGTTATGACAACAACCTTGTTGAGCCACCAGTGAGAGGAATGACATCTCCGGCATCTTAACGGGTGACGTCAATGATGGGTACTTGATGGAGGCTGTCCTGGTCCCAACCCTTGTTCTGGAACCTTCAGTGGCTGCCTGGGTGAAAATTCTGCAAAGTCAGACTGTGGAGGGAGAGCAGCACAGAAGTTCTGTGGAAGTCCACACCAGCAGAGTGAGATTCTAGCATGGGGGCTGCTCTAGGACTGAATGGAAAATCTAAGAACTTGCATATGCAGATTTGCCCTTAGGTACTCTGTGGGCAGTGATGGCCAAGAGTGCTTCTTGAGATCCCCTGAGATGACCCCAGGCTTCCGAAACAAACTTGAATATGGGGGGTCATCACTTGTGCCAGTCTGCGATGGTGAGTGGCCTGACTGCAACCAGTCAGCCTGTTTTGCCCTCTGCTAATTAGTGTACCATTCAATGTTCTCTGCTGGAGTTTTAAGAATTCATTTGTCCTTATCTCACTCCCAAGAACTTCTTTATTGAATGCCCCTCCTTTTTTTTTATATAGAGGATCAGCACAGAATGTGGCATCTGAGTAAGAACTGAACAGTTGACAAAAGCATCTGCATCTTGATTTAATGCTTTTGAAAAAGTTGTGCTGTAAAAATTAATCTAGTCCATCCATAAGAATATTTGAAATTCATTGACCAGCCTCTAGAAAGCTTCACAAGTCATTTTAAAAAGGCACAGACTATAAATGGAAAATGTTTTTGCTGGGAAGAAATCCAAAAAAGTAAAGCACTTCTAAAATTTATATCACACCATCTAGATCTTTCTGCCCTCGTTTTCTCTTGCAAACAGTGGTATAAGTTTTAAAGCTAAGTTCCTAAGTCCAAACTCCATGAGTAAACCTTTACCAGAGACCCCTATGAGACAAGGTGGTATAAATGTTAGAATTGTACCAGTAGTTCCAGCTTAAACTTTTACACTATCCTTTCATGCCTCTTTCCTCATATATGAAAATAGTCTGCTAATTCTAGGGCATCCTGTTGATTTGTTGTTGAAAAGAAAGTCCAACTGGAAAAGTTTTAAGAACTACAGAGTATTTGCTTACTATGGTATACAGATCAATACTCCCCCAAAGATATGCACACATACTAACCTCCAGAACCTGTGAATATGTTACCTCACAGAGCAAAAAGAATTTGCAGATGCCATTAAGGACCTTGAGATGGGGAGATTATCCTAAATTACCTGGGCAGACCAAGTAATCACCGTGGTCCTTACAGGAGGGTTGCAAGAGTTGAAGTCAGAAAGAGAAGATGTAAAGGTCAAAGCCGGGGTCAGAGAGGACAGAAGATGTTACACTACTGGTGCTGAAGATGGTGGAAGGGAACATGAGCCATGGAGTAACGAATGCAGGCAGCCATCAGAAGCTGGGAAAGGCAGGAAATGGATTCTCTTTTTACAGGCTTTACTAGGAAATGACCCGGCCAGCATCTTGAGGTTAGCCCAGTGAGACTGATTTCCAATTTCCCATCTTTCGAATAGCAAGAGAATAAATTTGTGTTGTTTTAGCCCCTATGTTTGTAGTAATTTATTACAGCATCAATAGGAAATGAATACACTTATTAAACTCTTTTTAAAAGAGGAAAATAAAGGATGAAGCCCTTTGTCTCACTTTTACTTTGAGGCGAGTGTGTTCGATTCTTAGAATAGCCTCAGGGTCTCTTCCTCATCCAACCTAAAACTGGCCTTAGCCTGAGCACTTAATAGTGAAAAATGGGGGTCAACAAATTGCCTTACTCTCCCAAGTAACATGAAAAATTCTATGATGGAAAAATTCTTTGACATAACACCTCAGAACACACTGTTAAAGAGGTAAGAATCAGAATGTATAACTAGCTAAATAAATACAGATAGTATGCTTACTAAAACAACTAAAACATATGTAAAATACGGAAGCTTTCTAAATAAATCAGGCTTCTATGAATGCTATCTTAATTTCCAGAACTCCTCATACTCATTTTCACTTACTTTGGTTTGTGCAGAAGTTTCTAAAACAGAAAAAAATAAGAGAGAGATGGATTTATTTTGCTTATCTCTTTTCCTATTTTTACCACTATTTTATTACCAGGTAATTTTTCACATTGGATATATGTTTTACCATTTAGTTTGGACTAGATCAGGTGACTTAATTGAAGTTCAAATCAATCTTATTTCAGCAATAAGGTAATTTAGTTATTTTATTTTAAATTGAAACTTGGTAAAATATTTTCTCCATCATTAAAACTTCAAGAACAAATCTGTGCAGTCAAACAAAATTTATTCTCCAAAGTTTCTTTTTTTTCTTATTTTAGAACTTATTAGTAAATAAAGGACCCCTTCTTAGAATCTCATCCACTCATGTCAGTAATCCTTCAAGCTAGGAAGGATAAAATAGAGGATCCTTTTGATCCTCTATTAACATTGTACTTTCATGTAACAACAACAACAAAAAACTATTAAGAAGGAAAGTAAAAGTCAAATTCTGTGCAGTTTGACTTTCTGCAATAATCTATGAAGCAGGTATATTTCTTCAGGTTCAGTGAAAGTGCTTACAAAACATAAAGAGAGCTCCTGAAAAGTCAAATTTGCATAAGACTTGAAATGGGAAAATTTGAATCCTAGAATTCAAGAGCTTGCAGGAAAAGCTAGGATGTTATTACTTCATCTTATCTTGGCTGTAAGTTACCCTTTTACAAGTGAGACTGAGCCCCAGAGTAAAATACAGCCTGAGGTACAAAGAGTTCACACAAGAAAGTGCTCACCCTAAAAACTTGCAAATAAAAAAGGGCCACACAGCAAGCTGGCAGTAAAATGAGAAACAACCTCTCAGGGAAAGGTCAAGAGAGGATGTGGAGTGAAAAATCTTTAGGGAACTGTCACTGTCTGAAAAGGAAAGTGACAAAAGTGACAAATTTCAGAGAGTCAGAGGAGAACAAAGGATGGGAGTTGAAAAACGACTAGAACCACCTGCCTTCTTTTTTTGAGAGACCACTCAAGGTCATTTCCCAGGAATCCTTAGGAATTCTCCCCCAGATAAAAAAGGGGAAGTGTTGGTCTCAGATTGCTGCTAACTGGGAAGAGGTACCTCCAGAAATAAGGTGGAGCTGGGAGGACAGAGATCTGGGTTGTCTGAGCTGGCAGCCCATGGCCCTAACTTCATCACTCGAGCTCCTTGAGGGTTTTTTTTTTTTCTTCAGGATTAAAAATAGAAATGCATACGAGTGTCGTGCCAACCAGTCTCATAATGATCTGTGTGATAATGACCAAGCTTAAATTCACACGCTCCAGGCACGGATATAGACATACACACACACACAAACACACACACACACACACACGCACACACACACACAGAGTTCTTAAGCCACTTCCCAATTGGTATCAATTTGACACGTATGTATAGAGACTTTTAGTTCTTCCTGAGCCTGGGGATCATGGGGACCTTTACCCCTGGGACACAGGGGTGCCCACACAGCCTGTGGAGCTGAGGCTCTACTTTAGCACTGATGATAGATCATGCAAGGCATATAGTTCATTTTAAATTTTTGAGCAGCTACATTGAGCAGTAGGTGAAATTAATAGTAAGAACACATCTTATTTAACCCAATACATCAAAAAAATCATTTCAACATGTAATTCTCAAAATGTGATATATATTGTATAGACACTTACACTACATCTCAATTCAGCTAGCCACATTTCAAGTGCCCAGTAACCACATGGGGCTAATGGTTCCTTTAGGGTCAGCACAGCTCTAAGGAGTGAAAGTCATGAAGGTTTGGGGGAGCAGGGATAGGCTCAAGTGTTACTCCAGATGAGCACCCTGGTGGCCTTCAGTAGTGATTGCAGAGCAAGAGTGGATGCAGGAAGCTCAAGGAGAGGCTGTTGTCAGAGTCCACGTATGAGATGTCGCGGATGTGAGCTGCAGCAATGGCAGTGAGGACAGACTTGAGAAATGTTCAAGAAAAGGCAACATTAGGACTTGGTGATTAGATGGGGGTAGGGTAAGATGGAATTCTTTAGGATGATTCCCAGATTTCTAGTTACCATGACAAAGTCAATAGTATTGCAATTTGTTGAGACAAGGAATCCTGAAGATAACATGTCAGGGACAAGATGAGGTGGGCAGCAGGGATAATTTATTGCTGGATGGGTTGAATTTGAGTTGCCTGTGTGGCATTCATTACTGGAGATGTCCAGCAAACTTTCAGCTACGGGGTTCTGAACTTCAGGGAAAAGGTTGGGTCTAGAGATTTAGGTATACAGGTTTAGAAGTTTTCCATAGATATCATGTGTTCTTATAAGACCCCCCAGAAGAGCCATGAGCCAAGCAACGGATGGAGGAAGAACAGCGCTTGGAGGGATTTACGCTTTGGTGATAACCAGGGATGCTGGGATCAGTTGGGTGTGAGTTTATAATGGAACTGGGTATCACTGGACATCACTGGTAGAGATCCCTTTCTCTCCTCTTTCTTTCTTTCTTACTCCTTCATTTTGTCCCTTTCCATTTTCCCTCCTAATCTTGGCTTTAAAGGTACTGGGGGAGTATCTAAAACGCATATTAGCACGGCTGATAATATTCAGTGATTTAAAAGGTTCCCAAGACTTACCCGTTATTGTGTTTTAAGCATTGTGAGAAACAATGCAACTCTAGTCAGAGAGCCCCAAACTTGTGGTCATATGGAGGCTGAACTGAGAATAGTTCTGAAGGTGCTCAAATAAATATGCAAACCTATCTTCCGACTAGTTCCTCTAGCCTCAATGAGATAAAGAGTTGAAAAGCTTCTCTTTAGAGATTAAAATATGCAATATTTGTTCAACAATGAAAATGCTTTTAATATCTCCAAACTTGGCACATAGTTTAAAATATACAGATATTCATCATTTACTTTAAGATAACTTTACATCTTTGAGGTTTTAATCACTTCTTTTAAAAGTTATTTTTAAAGATGTTCACTTTTGATGAAAGCACATTACAATGTCATTCTGTAACAGCAGGTTTCCATCAAATGCTTTTTTTTTTAAGTTGTGAAAACAACATTGATTATACTGCCAAACACTGCTAAAAAATGTTCTGCATCATAAAAGCATTTGGAGTCCCATTTATTATCATCTAAATTGTATATTGTACACTCCATAGCAACATATCGTAAACTAAACAGCCTTTCCTATTTAAACCAAGAGATATTGTAAAGCCTTTTTGGAAAGCATAATTTGATGGATTTCTAACCTAAAACTAATCTTCTTGTTTCCTCCAAACAAATGCTAATGGTGTGCTTGCCTTCATAGTTTCATCTACCAGTTTGGTAATGTTGGTCACTTAGCATGGCATTGAGAGAGATTAGGCTGAATGACAAGGATGCTAAAAGTGGAGCAAATCCATGAGGCATCATGGCTGGTTTTTGTTTCCCACATTTCGTTACACAGAGGTAGTTGTGTTTTCCTCCTGGGAGCCATCGAATAAACTTCAGAAAGACAAACCTATTAGCATTGACCAAATGAATCCAGAGCTAACAATTTTTTGCCAGTTTTGAAACTGAACTTGAGGTACAAAATTCCCAAGGTGGTGACCATATTTCTTCAGGTAAGTAAGAGTTGGGAAGCCAGTAGTATTTCTGTGGCCTAAAATTGAGGTTCAAAGCATCCTTTCCCAGTACTGCTGCAAAAAAGGGATTTACTATTGGGCACTGTGCATTATGATATGAAAAATATAGGCTGAGAATGAACCAACACTAGTGTGGAATTCATTCAACTGACTTTTGTAACAGGAATAACTTTTGTTTATCTAGTATCTCTTATACCCTCATATAGCATACTTATTAGAAGCTAGTAATGCTGGGTTTGGTATCTAGGTCTAGTTTCTTACAATTGATGAAATAGTCTGAGCTGAACTTAAGCATTGAGTGTGTGTGTTTGTGTGTGTGTGTATGCGTGTGTGTATTTGTATGTGTGTGTATATGGTACACTGTATATTATACATGGTATAATTATATATGGTACACATATATACATATATAGGGTACACATATATACAACGGTGTAACTAAAAAGAATCAAATGATTTTAGTTATACCATTGTTTTTTAGTTCTTTTTCATGGGATTTATTACTATCAGAAAATATAAGCTTTATAGCCTTTATATTGTCAAAAATGCCCATGTTCTTACAGATCTTGTCACTTCTCATCAAGAAGTGGAATCTGTCTCTTCCCCTTGAAACTGGGTGGTCCCTGACACAAATAGAACGTGGAAGATGTAATGCCACATGACTTCTGAAGCTAGATTAGAAAATGCCATGTAGTTTCTTCCAGTCTCTCTTGGGACCCTCACCAGTGGAGCCCTAAGCCTCCATGTAAGAAGTGCCAGGCTGCCATACTGTGAGAAAGACCAAACTAGGCCACACAAGGAGACCAAACGGAGAGGCCCCAAGACTGCATGAGCAGAGAGAGCTGCCTGGCCAGTCCCCAGATGCTTCAGCCACCAGCTGACTGCACTCACACAAGGCAGTACAAACAGAAGATTCTTGCCAAGCCATTTATGAATTTCTGACCCACAGAAACCAGTGGGTCAGTTAATTATTTTTGTTGTTTTAAGCCACTACGTTTTAAGGTGAGATGTTACACAATATTAGATGACAGTAACAAACTTTCGCCGTCTACCTTAATTAAGGGGCCTCTTTAATAAGGGGACTTGCTGTAGATCTTTAGTGTACTGCCTTAATGCCCCCTCCACTTCTCTCCATTCCAGTCAGAACCATGGAACTCATTTTGCCAGGTGAGAGGAATGTGGGCTGTTAAGGGCTCACAGCTGTGTCCCTTTCCAGGGATTGCCTTCAGCCAAAGGAGCTGCCTTGCCAAGGTACAACCCTCCCTTAGGAGAGACCTCTTCCAATGACTGATTAATAGAGGAGGCAAAGACCCATCCTGCTTGCCTTACTCCAGGCAAAACAGAAAGGTCATCACAGCTCCTGACCTCCTTGTGGGATAAGCTCAAACCTCAACTGCAACCATGTCACACACGACTTCTTCGTCTACTCAGTCTTGCTTCACTTGCTCCCTTACTGGTGTTATTCTTGAGGGTGGGCCTCAATAACCTCCCACACACAAATCTCCATTTCAAAGGCAGTTTCCAGATAACTGGAACTAAGACAGCCACGATCCAAAGTTAACTGCCAATAGAAAAAAATCATAAAGTCAGGCTAAGAGATTCTGTAAGTCTCTGGCTTTCCAGTAAGCAGCAATAATATTGAAAGATACATTGATGCTATGAACAAAGCTTCCAACCAACTGATTAGCATCTGTAGACTAAGATGGTTTCCTTAACAGTCTTTACAGCATTTTTTTTTTTTTTTGCTTATTCTTACTGCTGGACATGATCTAATTTGCCTGACCAAAACCTATTTTGGCCTTGGGAAGGCCTGACTATTTGATGTTTCAAAAGAGAATATGTTAAAAATAAAGCCATTTTTTAAATGGATCTGCATCAGCAATCAAACACTTAAAGCAAGACTGCAACCTATTTCTAAATCTTGGTCTTGGATATGTGGCAGAATTTAAGAAGATATCTGTTGTAATTATTTAAGAAGAAAACTTTTAGAACAAAGCTCATGAGAGTTGACAGTGCCTAGTTCCATTTTTCCTGGAAGTGAATGTTTTATTTCTTATTTTATCCACCAGTCATCTTCCAGAAGGATTCATTATTTCACAAGGACTGAAAAGAAAGACAGGGTTCAGAGATCATTGCTAGAGGCTGATGGTGTATGGAGACAGCTCAGTGATTTAAACCACAGGACATTCTTATTTTTCAAACCAAGTCCTATCTTCTACTTCAGGCACTTTATAATTAATTCATGAAGACAAGCTTCAAACTTTTTTTCTCTCACTTGTTTATCCTGTGTTTGCAAGCTCTTCCATATCTTCACATGACCACAGCTACCAGCAGGAACTACTGATTTCTCAAAATTTTCAAAGTCCTATCGAGACACTAAAGACAGCACTAAAGATAATTGGAAAGTGAATAGGAACATACATTTACTGGCGTCTCAGTAATCTGCACAGTGTAATATGGAATTGTTCTGTCCTTCTTTACCAACTTGGGAAGCAAAATAAGGTACCATTTTTTAAAATATTCAAATTAAATGAAGGTATCAGTACACCCATGGAGGAAAGTGTTTCTTCCATTCCTGGGGCCTTCCTTCCCAAAAGAAGTTCTAAGACCCAGAGGTATTTACTTAGTCAAAGGGGTCATTTTGATAGGCAGCCCTTTCAGGAGAGAAAGTGAGACATCTTCCATGATCAGTCAAGTAGTTTATGCTCGTCAGTGGTAGTGGCTGTTATCGCTGCTGTGTTAAGGTAGCCCTCCCTGCTGAGCAGACCACAGCAGTCCACCAGTGCTAACCTGACAGGAGTTGCTCCCCGCTCAGGGGAGAGAAGCATTGGTATTTTGTTCATCTAAGATTGCTCTCAGCCATACAGCTCTCTAGAGACATAGCTCCCCACCCTACACACAAACTCAATCACTATCCCAGACTACTCGGGATGCTAAAGTGGCTAGGTCAGAGGTGTCCAAGCCTCCAACACATGTTTTGCCCAGAATGTCATCCCTCTGCCAAAACACCACTTACCGTCATGGCTAAATTAGGGCACTCTCCTTGGAAAATGAGTCCCCAGACTACTCCACTAGTGTCAAAGGGGTAGGCCAGATCTAGAGAATCAGTGGTGCTGCTGACAGCCTGGCCTGGCTATCAGTAAGAAGAGATCCAAAGTGGCTATTGACCTTTCCTCTTTCTGTTGACTGAATCTCTCCAACTTCCTTTCCCAGCAGGAAGTTGAAGAGATATAGTGTGGCTATTGACTTTCACTTGGCTTTGAGGGAAAGTCAGTAACCACACTGGATCTCTTCAACTTTCAGCCTCAGGGCCCCTTGATTTCCTGACCCAGCATGGTTCTCAGTGAGCACTCTGCCTGTCTCATCTCATAGCTTGCCATCAACAATCAAAGCAGAGACCCACCTCCAAACACACATATGCTTGATTCCCTATAGCGTGTAGGGGTAGCACCCAGGGGTAGCAGAAGTTTTAACATAACATCATTACACAGAATTTCTCTGATTCAGCCTCCACTGAGTCAGGAGGAACTCTAGCACACCTCTCCCTTGGGAATACAGCTTGTTAATAATGGGAATTCTCAAAGAGGTCCTGCCCATGTTTTGTGAAGCCCTTCTCTCTGTTTACAGCTATTAGTGCTGCTCACTGTACAGTTGTCTCTTGTCACAGTGATCTTCAAAGGCAATTGTAACCCATCGTCAGCCATCACTGACAATGTTCACTAGAGGCACAGCACTGTGGGCACACACCAGAATGCTGCCCCTGCAGCTCCTACCTGGCCAGGGCACTAACATATGACAAGGCCACCGGCAGTTCCCAGCAAAGTCACATCAACGCAGGTACTGTCCACACTGAAGGAGTGGCCGTCCATCAAAACCAACTCCAGAAGCCTGGATCGCTGGCACTTCATCATCAGGAGCTCTTAAGCTTCATCCACCATCTCACTTCAGCCCCCTCCCTTGGACACAACCCAACACCCCTGGGGGCAATTATGGATCCACACAGTGCTTCCTCAGAACTCACTTTGTGCAATCTATGCAGCATAACTGACTCTGCTTTTAGAGCATCTTCTTGCCTAGCAGATGCCCTGGTCATCATGGAAACTGCACCTGGCAGGCTCACCTACTTGTCCCACAGGCATGCTCATACAAGCCTGTATCTTGGGCAAGTGCAGCCCGGTCTCCTGCTGCGACCTCTGCCGCCAGCATTAAGCCCCATTTACTTTATGGATTAAGAGATGGCTGATGGCTGTGGGCTCAGACCTCTGGAGAGAGGTTGAGATCAGGGGGGTGCTGTTCAAGTGGGTGCTGAGATTTCTTCAGCAGGACTAAATCATGCATTAAATTTCAGTGGGGTGAGATGGGAAGCCACCAGGAAGTTTTTTGAGGAAGAGCAGGAAGAGTGTTTAGGGATCACAGCTCAATTATAACATTTCTATTTTTCTCCAGTTTTATCACCAAATACCCCTTTGCTTATCTCTTAGGACCTACATTTTCCTGCAAGGATGAATAACATCGTGTTTGTTGTCTGACGAGAAAGACTCTCTAAGAAATCAAGTCATCTGTTTTATGATAGCCTCCTCCACAGGCAGGGGGATTTAGAGAACAATCAAGTTCTTGGAGGAAAATATTTCAACTTTCTAAAATCCGTGAAAGGGAAACTGTCAGCTCTATTCCTAAGGACTCAATTAATTAAAGTTAAGTCTCCACAAACTCTGCCAAATGCCAGCTCCAGATTAAAGGGCGTGAATGCGCATTTCTGTTTGACCTCATGTTACCAGTTGAGTACCTGGCAGATTTGTGAAAAGTAGCTTTGTGTGCTGATCTAACAGAAATGAGTACTAACTAGCAAGGAAGGAAGATAGAGTTCAAGGAAAACCTCAAGCGTTTAAAGTTGGTGACTTTTCCTTTCATCTTTTACCCCTCACTGCTCCTCTTTTCAAAGTGTTCATCTTTTACTTTTTCATCTTTTACTTTTCTCCCACATATGTGTTACTTGAACATCTTCAATGCTCTCTTCTCATAGGGGTGCGTCTGGGATGATCAACTGCTTTGAAGTTTGCCTGGTTTGGGTCTCTCAGCTAACAATACCTTTCCTTTCAAGATGTTACAAAGACACAATGCGATTCTGTTGTAAAGCTCCCAGTTTAGAGCTGGGCACAGAGGAGCTCAGAGCAGGTGGCCAGTCAAGGTGGCAGATGTCAGCTCACTGTCTGCTCATCGGCTGTCATAGTTGGATGCCCACATTGGAGAAAAGGTAGTTTTGTCTTCTGTGAAGACCCAGCCTAGTGCAGGTGCTTAACGTGGCTCTGCAGCCCTGGACCTTTCCCAGGTCAACACAGTGGGGATGTTCAGGGTCTGAGATTTCTCCTCTGCTTTCCAGCTTCCAAATTCCTCTGTTAAAAGGGAATCTTCAGTCTAAGCAATTATCATTTATTTATATCTTATTAGAAATTGGTTTAATAGGTTACTTTCTCAAGTAAGTAAAGCAAACAGGGCACAGAACAGGGAAGTTTAAGAATGCTAGCCTCCCACAGAGGGGTTTTAAGAATTAAAAGAAAAGAAACACTGCCAGGTAAGATGGGAAGAAGGAAGTAAATGAACTGGATTTCCATTATGTAGCACAAGAAGCCAATTAAGTAGGTATTAAACCTCCACAATAGGTATATATTATTTTTGGATTTTTAAATTGGATTTCTAAATCTCCATTGATTGTGGAGACAACATTCAAAGTCAGGATGGCCTGACCTGTCTGCCATGGTACCTCCCTGGAGTCCCACCTGTCACCTACATCAAGTTTTCCCAAGGAAGCCACAGCTCGTAGAGAGGCCCACCACCTCTTAGCCTGGGGAGGGATGGTCTCAGGGCTCACTCTACAGAGGCCTGGAACTGGATGAGAACTGCTGAGGGTCTAACTGCATATGTTTTAAATCAGATGGCTTGCAATAATAATTAAAGATAATGAGCATAATAACATTATTATTTATCGAGGGCTTCTGCTATACCAGACTCTGTGCAAAGCACTTTACAGACATTGTCTCAGAGAGAATGCAAGTTAAACAGAAACCATTATTGGTCACTGGTATTCAACCTCTTCCTTGGAACCCAAAAGCCACACAATTTAAATGTGTGTTCAGGTCACAGAACCAGCTTATCAGTTGACCTAGAAACCAATTTTTTATTTTTTATTTTTCTCTATTAAATGCTCTCAATTCATCTTAAGGAGTTCTGTGGTTTCTTTTTTCTTTTCTTTTTTTTTTTTTTTTTGAGATGAAGTTTCAGTCTTTTTGCCCAGGCTGGAGTGCAATGTAATGATCACGGCTCAACACAACCTCCGCCTCCCGGGTTCAAGTGATCCTCCTGCCTCAGCCTCCCGAGTAGCTGGGATTACAGGCATGCACCACCATGCTCAGCTAATTTTGTATTTTTAGTAGTGACGGGGTTTACTCCGTGTTGGTCAGGCTGGTCTGGAACTCCCGACCTCAGATGATCCACCCCCTTCGGCCTCCCAAAGTGCTGGGATTACAGGCGTGAGCCACCGCGCCCGGCCTAGGAGTTCTGTGGTTACTAATCATGCATAGATAACAAAAGCTGTAGTCACCTTCAAACAGTATTGAGCTCAGTTTGGTCAGAAGTTACAGAGTTTGTCTGTTCTGCTAGAGAAACAAAACTTCAAATTCATTCAAAGTCAAAACAAGCGTCTTTCCCCTGCTATCTTGTTGCCTTCCAAGGAAATGCTCTCTCCCTTTGCTCTGTCAATTCAAGGCTGATTTAGTCACAGTTCCTAGGCTAGGATGGGGTGTGCGGGCACAAGGTCATGCTGTCTGAGTGGTTCCTTGAAGCTCCTCTCACTTGGCTCGGGGGTAACAGTCTCCACTACCCCATAGCAAGACATGGAGTGAGGGAAACAGGGAGAAGAGAAACACCACAGCATTCCAAACTGCCTCCAAAGAAAATGTCTAAAAACTCTTCATCAGTTTCACAGAACTATGCCATCTTCTTAGCCTGCCCTGCAGATTGGGGTCTAACATCTTTGGCAGCTTGTCTTTTACTCTTGGGGTTGGGCTCAAGCGAGACAGCAGAAAGTCTTTTGAATTCCCATTACACTTCAGTGAGGATACACATTCACACTGCCACCCTTTTATTCCGCCATTCATACCTTCTGAGAAATGCAGCATTTTCTGAGAATCAAAGTTTCTTGTGTTGTCTGGCTCTTTTGTAGCAAACAGCACACCCTACACTAGCTCTCAGATATCATGACTGGGTGCAAATCCCTGCTCCCTGGACAAAGACTAGGCCGCACAGATTTTCACACTTTTGAGGCTATGAAACTTTTTTAGGTTTTTAATAGTTATCCCATCTCCCTTCCACCTTAACAATTTCTGGAACACTATGCAGTGGGACTGAAACAATTTTATAATTGTTTTAAAGTCCTTTGAAAAAGTCTTGAAGAACCCAGGATCTCCATTAAACCTGTTTTTAAAAAATCCTCTGTCCTTGTCCAGCTGTCTTCTCCAAACTGTAACTATAACTATCTAAGACATTTTTTTTTTCTCTCTTCAGAGATAATGTGGGCCAGGCATGGTGGCTCATGCCTGTAATCCCAGCATTTTGGGAGGCTGAGGTGGATGGATCACGTGAGGTCAGGAGTTTGAAACCAGCCTGGCCAACATGATGAAACCACGTCTCTACTAAAAATACAAAAATTAGCTGGGTGTGGTGGTGGGTGCCTGTAGTTCCAGCTACTTGGGAGGCTGAGGCATGAGAATCACTTGAGCCCAGGAGATGGAGGTTGCAGGGAGCTGAGATCATATCACTGCACTCCAGCCTGGGCAACAGAGTGAGATTCCGTCTCAAAAATAAAATAAAATATATAAAAAATAAAAGATAATATGAAGCCCATATAATCTGGGATGAATTTTCTATGAGAACAGATATGAAGATAATATTTTCAACATGTGTTTTTCCATTATCAACAATAAATATATATTGATCCATCTTACAGTGGCTTCTGAAATGATGACAGGATAAAGAACAATGATCAAGTTGTAGCTTGAATTCTTGTCATTCAGTCTCAACTAAATTTAGCTAATTTTTTTTTTATTTTGTTATATTTTTATTTTGTTATTATTTTTTTGAGACAGAGTTTCACTCTTGTTGCCCAGGCTGGAGTGCAATCACGCAATCTTGGCTCACCGCAACCTCCACCTCCCGGGTTCAAGTGGTCCTCCTGTCTCAGCCTCCCGAGTAGCTGGGATTACAGGCATGCACCACCATGCCCGGCTAATTTTGCATTTTTAGTGGAAATGGGGTTTCTCCATGCTGGTCAGGCTGGTCTCGAACTCCCAACCTCAGGTAATCCACCAGTCTCTGCCTCCCAAAGTGCAGGGATTACAGGCGTGAGCTACCGCGCCTGGCTAAATTTTATTTTTAAAAGAAAAAAAAATGCTTTGCATGTTGCCAATTGCTTGATGAAATTTCACTGACTCTTCTCATTCATCCCTACTATTAGGAATTAATATCAGGCCGAGAGTCAATATTGTGAATATACACATAGACCTTTTTTTAACTGTGTAATATAATATAAACACCATTATTTGTGGTAGATAAGTTATAAAGCCAAAGCCCTGGATATACATGTCTACAAGCTCTTTCTAGAAGAGAACAGGCTCTTGATTAGAATCTTGTTTAAGTCAAATTAGCTGCCTCCCTTACTTCTACTGGTATAGATCACAGAGCAATTGTGAAGGTTGAGGAGGTTGCCTTCCTGAGGAAGAAGCTGTGCATAAAGTTGTAAGCTCATCAAGGGCAGGGCTGCATGCTACATAAACTTCCTTTTAACAGGTCCTAGAATAGTATGCTCTTCCAGTTTTTGATACATAATGCATATTCCAGCTTTTGATACATGATTCTCCTTTGCAAAATATCACCAATATGTGCATATTACAGTTTTTGATACATGATGCCTATTTGCAAAATATCACTACTATGTGTTCATTTCTTTCTGAAATGCTAGGAAGATGATAGAACCTCCACGAAACTGATGAAGATGCCACAGTTGTTTTCTCTGGAGGCAGTTTGGAGTGCTGTGATCGGCCACACACATTCAGGCTTGTACCAGCTTTGCAGGACTGGTACTTCTCACCACCAAGGCCTCAGCGGCAAGGTCTTCTCTTCAGAACCCCCACTGCACCTCTCAATCATGTTCCCCTCTTCATAGCCACCAAGGGATTCATCACTGTTTGAAAAGATCTTGTTCATCTGTTCTTTGTTCACTTGTTTATTGTCTGCCTCCCCAACAGATGTTTAAACTCCAAGAAAACAGGGATCTTGATATCATTTGTGGCTGCATATCACGACCTAGACTAAGGTCTGGCACACAGTAGGCACTCAATAAATGAAGTTCTGGCCAGTAACCAGAGGAAATTTAAATAAGTTGCTCCACCTAGGCCTTGGGTCTTCACCCACAGAATCAAGGCACTCCTAGGTCATTGTTAAAGTCCCTTCTGACTGTTAAAAATCAAACTCTTCAAAGTATTCATATCCTTAAACTAATATTAAATATTAATGTTTGCATACTTTGCCTTTGTCACAAATTTAATATATTTATATTTTATAGATTTAATATGCTTAAATGTATTAAAGTATTTATATATTTTATATTTTATATATAATATGAATACAATCACTATTATGATATTAAATATATTTAATATTTTAATTTACCTTAATAAATTAAAATTATTGATGAAAGTAGGAATGGGGCATAGTTATTGATCTCCATTATGGACAAATTTTAATTGGTCCCCATTATAGTTACTGGTCCCCATTGAGGGAGCATATAGTTTTTTGTTCCCATTATGGTCCCCATTATGCAATTGGTCCCCCGTTGCAATATATATTCTTAGCCCAGTCTTCTTGTTACATGGAAATAATTTTAATATCCAATTAATCTCTTCCCATTAGCTGGTTATTTTTTCCTTAAATATTTTATCACAAGCTGTTAAATCCCTCCTGCAGAGTTACATTGCCAGACTTTACAGTCCATCTCTCTGTGGCAGAAAGGCAGTGCTCTATTCTGTGCTCAAGGAATCCCTGAAGAAACTGTAGAGATGAGGTTAGGCAAAGCTAACAATAGAAGACACCAGTGCATTTAGCCAGGATTATATACAACTACTGGAGGGACAGAGACAAGGAAAGGCATAAATGAAATCAGATCCACAGACCCAAGCAGCAGTAGGAGAGAAAGACATTCGTACCAATGCCTGGAGACTCGAAGAAAGACCCATAGACATTATTAATAGTGAAACTCACACCCAGCCCTCTTTAATCGTCATAACATTAGCACAGGGACCTAGACCGTGCACCAGATATAGTAAGTACTTTGGGACTGATAATAATAACTAAGAAAACATGAAGCTGGAAATTCATTTCAGCTCTGAGATAACACCAAGAAGTTTCTGAAATGTCTTATATAAAAGTGCAGCCAAGTGAAGAAATGCAGCTCCGCTCAACATTCGGTCTTCTCAGCTTGTCAATCAGCATGTGCAAACACTTGCTTTGAAGTGGCAGGAAACATCAACAAAGGAGCTCATTTAAAGTAAGAGTTTTATTTGGGTACCTACTATGGTTTAGAGCCCATTTATTTACTAGCAATAATCAGCTTTCTGTTTTCCAGAGATCATTTTTGCCTAGAGTTAATCTGTAGATAATCTGGATTAAGAAGTTCCAGCCTCTTAATAAGGCTCACCCCCACTTGTTTGTGTGGCAGGTGCAATATTAGAAAAACAGAGTGATTCTCTATCTTCTCCCCTCCCCAGCTTTTTAAGAAAGATTGGAAGTCTAGCTGAACTGCTAGATTCCTCAGCCCTTGTCTCATGGATGAAGTAGTGGGTAGAGTGAAGAAGCTGAAAAAACTTGGAGATACTGTACTTATTTACATAAGAAAAGGCTTGAGTTCTCCAAAAAGGAAAATTCCCAAAGCAACAGCAAGGAGAGGAAAAAGCAAGCCAGAGAATCAGGAGCATTTAAGAGAAAGCCAGTGGGTCCTGGGAGGAACTGGAGGAGCCGGAGCCGGTGCTGGCAGTGCGGGGCTTCAAGGAGCTGAATCGCAGAGGGGTTTCCAGGCTGTTCCATTGTATGTTATATGATGTAACCCCCTTCAAACGACTTCAGTAAAGACTCACATTACATTTCAAGGCTTGTGGAACAATGCAGAAGTGTTCTTTTCTTATGTGTTATTGTCTTGGCCTGATTGGTAAAGCAGGAGTATGATAGCGCAAATTATTGGAGTGGTGTGCAGAAAGGTCACATACGGTGGGGCTGGCATTTAAGGCTCTGTTCTCTTGCATGAAAAGTGACTGAAATGGCACAAAACCTGGCAAGTGCATTTAACCCTAACCCACATGTGCTTACAAGCATGACTGATGGACTCCCACGTAAGTGCCACTCAAGCCTGCTCCCGCTCGTCAGTGCCTCAGGTGGATGCTGAGGCTCCAGCCAGGCATCACTGCAGTGACCAGTGACCACAGAGCACTGCCAGGTCTGTCGTCCACCTCTCCACGGCTTCATCACCTCACAGAGACCCCACCATACTGCTCCCGGGAAGAAATACCCCCAAAAATGTATGACTGTCTCTGAAATTGTGCATGATTCATTTTCTTCCTTAGGTTTTTTCTATATTTGCCAAATATGCTGTGTTAAGCAAATCATACATGGTTTTGGTACAATTTTTAAAAATTGGTTTTTCTCCCCAGTTCCTTGCACAGAACACCTAAAACCCTTGGAATTTATTGAGACATAGCAGTATCTTTTGTTATTAATGCCGATCCCCTTTGGATCACCCCAGAGTTTATGCTAATGAAGTAACTTTGGGTGGGGCCCCTAGATAGTCTCCCTTGGGTCTGGTCACCAGAAAGAGCAAGTGATTATAGAGCTAGAATTTTCATCCCCACTCACAGACCTCCAGGATGTTGGGGAACTGGGGATGGCTAGAGATTAAGCTCTATAAAAACTCTTGAACAAAGAGATTTGATAAGCTTCTGGGTGGCTGAGCATGTGAAGGTGCTGGGAGGAGGCACCCTGAAAGGGCTGGAAGCTCCGAGTCCCACCTCCATATCTTGCCCAATGCATCCCCTGACTTAGTTTTTCCTAAGTTGTATTCTTTGTAATAAACCAGTAAACATAAGTAAAGTGCTTCCCTCAGTTCTGTGAGACATTGTGGCAAATTATTGAACATGAGGAGGGGGTCCTGGGTACCTTGGATTTATAGTTGGTCAATCAGAAATATCAGAGGCCTGGACTTGTGATTGGCAAGTGGGGCAGTCTTGTGAGATTGAGCTGACTCCAGATAGTGTCAGAATCTAATTAAATTGCAGAATACCCAACTGGTGTTTGGAGAGTTGAAGAATTGCCTGGTGTGGAAAACCCCCACACATCTGGTGTCAGAAGCGTTGTGTGAGGATGTAGAAAAACAGAGTGTGTTTTCCCAGTGGCTACAGTCCCTTAACATACACATGTGTTACTTTAAAAGAAAGCAAGCAAACCATCTTCTTAATTATAACAATGGTTAAACAACGGGGCGGGCCACTTACAGTTGCTTATACAGTCAATCTCTCTGGACATTTCTTAGAAAAATCAATGACTTTGACTTTGGTAATTTGGAAGTCAGCCTTCTTGGTAGCATGAAATTGTAAATAGTCTATACATTTCTCTTCCTTCTCTTCTCATCCTGGAGGTCTGTGAGTGGGGATGAAAATTCCAACTCTGTAATCATTTGGTCTTCCTGGTGCTTCAGGTATTCCCTGTAATAAAGGAATTTTATTTACCCTTCTAGATTTCTCCCTCCTGATCCATTTTCATACTGCCGTTCTCTAGATCTATGTCAAACAACACACACTTTGACCGTGCTCACAAACCTGCAATATTTCCTTGTTATCAGCTGAATTAAAACCACACCCCTCAGCCAGATTATCAGGGTGGTCCATAAACTAGTCCACTTCACCTCTCAGACCTCACCAACCACACCCTCTGCCTAATCCAGGCCCAGCGTTACCCCCTGCCCTAACAGAGACTGTTCTCAGCCCTGTGCACATTCAGGCCCCATCTTTTCCTGTTGGTCTGAAACCCTCCACCCTACCCCCCACAACTTCTCTCCACTGCCCACATCCGCTAGACCTCATAAGGTCCAGTTCAGGCATCTCCTCCTCCCGTGCACCCTTTCCTGTTGGCAATAGTCCATACTATGCCCATAACTGCAATCTTTAAGTTCCTGTGAATTTATTGCCTACACTATTTGCAGCTATTTACCTGTGCTCTGATACACTCCATATCTGTTCCACACAATTTAGTCCTTCAGCATATCAGTATGACAATGCTATTTTGATGCTGCCATTGTAGTGGGTAAACTTAGGTGGCAGATCCTCCTAGAAGGGGGCCTTGCCAGCCCCCTTTGGCAAGGAAGCTCACCTGGTTCAAATGGTCAGTCCATCTGGCTTCCAGAGATCCATCTGCTTCAGAATCCCAGTTTAATTACCTTGGAAGGGCTCTTATTAAGATTGTAAAAAGACAACAACGAAAAAAAGTAAAAAGACAACCAAAAAAGATAACTTAAGAAGCAATGGTTTCACACTACAGGCTATGAACTAAATTATACTACTAGGCATTCAAATGATGCATTTAAATTATACAATAAAATGCATGGAAATTTTGTTCTTTGGGACATTTACAGATGTCATACAGATTCACAAAGAATGTTCAGTGGTCTTATAAATTCAGTAAATACTAGATTAAGCAAACCAGTTTCTCTAGTCTAGCATTTCTCAGAGTCTCTGACATTTGCACTGGGAATACCCCTGAGTGAGTTAGTGTGTGCACTGTTTCTCCACTAAGCTGACCACAGGACCAATTTTCTATACAGAAATTTCCAGTACTCATGTTCTAAGGAGCTCATTCTGGCTGACACTGGTATAGGTAAGGTGTTATCTTCCAGCACCCTCCTCATCAGGGTCTTGCTCCAGCCCCTTAGCAAGGGGCAGCTGGAGGGAAGGTTTATTTTGTTTTTATTTATTTACTTAATTTTTTTTTAGATACACAGGGTATATATAGTTGTTTGTTACATGGGTATATTGCATACTGGTGGAGTTTGGATTTCTAGTGTACCTGCTACCCAAATAGTGAACATTGTACCCAATAGGCAATTTTTCAACCCTCCCCACACTCTTTTGGAGTCCCCAGTGTCTATTAACAAATGTTTGTTTTCTGCTTCTAATTTGATCTGTGTCTTTGTCTCCTGGCTGTGTGAAAGTCCTCTGCTCTTTCATTGCATGTCTCACATTTTTTCATCTTCAGTATTGAGTCAGACCACAAACTGCAGATAATTCTTAGCCTCGTTTTGCATTTGCTCAGGCAACCTCTTGTTACTGATTAACAGTGTGGATGCTGGAGTCCCACAATCTGGCTTTCAATTACAGATGCTCCATTTAAGAAGCTCCAGCTCTGTAAGAAGAAATTTCTTAAGCTCTTGGTGCCTCATCTATAAAGTAGGAATAATCACAGAACACCCCTCACATGATTTTGTGAGAGACGAATAGATATAAAGTGCTTGCAGAATCTGGCCCCTAGTGTGTGCTGTTTGTGTGAATTTGCGGTACAGTACTCCATTCTATTTCCTTAGCTATAGCTAACTATTAGCCATTTAGACGACCCATGTAAATCCTAAAACATCGGAAGCCTGACTCTTGACTTTCAAAAACTGCTTGCTGTAATTGCCTAAGAAAAATCTTTCTGTGCTTTGGTGGAAAAAAGAAAAAAGAGCCATAGCATGAATTAACTGCTTTTGGTGAGAAGACTGGCTTCTGGGCTGAGTGCTACCTCAAAGAGTTATTCTCTATTAATCTACTACAGAGTTCAGCAAACTTTTTCTGTCAAGGGCCAGAAAGTAAATATTTTAGGCTTTGCATGATGTAAGGTTCACATTGTAACTACTCAACTTTGCTATTATAGTGCAAAAGCAGCCGTAAGCAATATGCAAATGAATGGACATGACTGTGGTCAAATAAAACTTTATTACAAAAACAGGAAGCTTGCTGGATTTCACCTGCAGGCCCTGGTTTGCAGACTTCTGCTCTATTATTATCAATCCTGACTTTCCTAGCCCCGTGATGATTAGAATAGCAGTTCCAGGGTGGCCCTGTTTGTCAAATGTGAGCGAGCTGACCCCTCTGGGAGCCAGAAGAAGTGAGAGAAGCCAGTTCAAGAAAAAAGCCAACAAATTTCAGAGAGTAGGGGTGAGAGAACTGCAGAAAACATTTGAATTGTATTGTAAGCATTTGAATCAACTTTGTTGATGAATTCTAAACATCTGAATCAACTTTGCAGAAACCCACCCTCTCTTGGGGTTTTATGGTTATGTAAGCCAGTAAATTCCCATTCTTGTTTAAGCCAGGTTGTGTCAGGGGTTTTTTGTCATGTGTAAACCACAGTCTTCTACTGACATATCATGATTACAGCTATATTAAATACATCAATGAAAACTTTATGGTGAATTCTCTTGGTGTTCAATTTGTATTTTATATCTAGCTAAAACTTTTTCTGGGTTATTTAGAAAAGAAAATTTAACAACTAAAGCCCATTCCAAAATGAATTTAGAGCCATTCATCTAAAAATTTCTACGATACTTTAGACATTTCTAAAGTGCTTGGGGACATTATCTTTCAAGTATCTATTACTCTTATTTTGTTTATAAAGCTCTCTTGTATTTTGGTTATATTGCTTCTGGCTCTTCTGTTATTTTACATAATGAACACAAGCAAATTCACCCATCAATCTATAACCCCTCAAAGGTCTGAATCTAGATGAGAAGTTCTCTAAATAAAAACAAAAGACACATTTACACTGCCTTCCTAAATCAATTTCTTCTGGTAAGATTTATTTAATGTCTGAGAGTCAGTTTTAAACATAAAACTCCAGAATGCTGTGGCCACTGTTTATCTCCTGTTTAGAACAGACAGGGTAGTACAGGGTTCTTAGGCAAAGTATTCAGAAATGTCTTCCAAGTCCACGTAAAGATTCTCAATCTTGAACACTAGAAATGGGAGAGCCGAGCATGGTGGCTTGTACCTGTTGTCCTAGCTACTTGGGAGGTTGAAGCAGGAGGATTGCTTGAGCCCAGGAATTTGAGGCTGCAGTTAGCTATGATTATACCACTGCACTGTAGCCTGGGTGAGAGAGAGGGACCCCCGTCTCTATAAAAACAAAAAATAAAATTTGAAAAACAGTGGAAATGATAAAGGCCTTACCTCTTAGCATTTAACCCAAGGATAGGAACAGTGCCTGTGAGGTCTCTGAGTATATGGCAGGAACTCTTTACACAACAGACAAAATCCCTCACTCACACTTACTCACACATACCCTGAGACACTCACTGTGCTCACAGACTTGTTCATCACCACTGGAGAAATTTATGACAAAATAGTCCTTGTGTTACATATGAGTTCCCATACTCATCAGACCTGAGATCCCACAGGGACGTTAGCAATGGGATTTTGTTCATGATATGAATGAGTTTTCTACTGCTGCTGTAACAAATCATCACAAATTTATTACAGGAAAGGAATGCTGTCTTGTGTTGTTTTGCTTAAACAACATAAATGTATCTTCTTACAGTTATGTAAAGAAATCTGACAGAGGTCTCACTGGGCTAAAATTAAGGTGTCAGTTGGGCTGTGTTTCTTTTGGAGGCTCTAGGGAAAAATCTGTTTCATGTTTTTCAGCTTCTAGAGGCGGCCCACAGCCTTTGGCTCATGGTTCCCTTATATCTCCAAAGCCAGCAATGGGAAGTTGAGTCATTCTCACATGGAATCACTCTACTGTATTTTCTGCTTTCTCTCTACTTTTCAGGTCCCTTGTGTTTATACTGGGCCTACCACATAATCCAGTATAATCTCCTCATCTCAATGTCAGCTGATTAACAACCTTAATTCCCCTCTGCCATGTATAACATAATCACCAATGCCAGGCATTAGGGCATGAATATCTTTAGGGGCCATTATGCTGCCTTCCACAAGGGAAATAGATAAGGAAAAAAATCAGTAAAATATAATGAATGACAGGTGGTGATAAGAGCAATGAAGATGTAAAGCAAGCCAGGGTATAGGGCATGACAGGACATACTATGTGTGGTTTTATATGGGTCGGTCAGAGAAGGCCTCGTGATTAAGGGACATCAGAGTAAAGATCTCTAAGAGGTAAGGGAACTAGCCATGAAACTTTCTTCATGGGGAGCTTTCCAGGCAAAAGGAACAGTAAGAGTCAAGAGCCCAGAAAAAATCATGCCAGGAGTAAACAGGAAGGAGACAGGTAGCCAAAGTCATCTGCAGGAGGGAAGGAATGAGAGAAGAGAAGGGCAGAGAGGGAATGTGAGCATTACATCAGGCTTAGAAGGCAATTAAGAATGACTTTGAATTTTACCCAGCATGAGATTGAGGGGTTTATCTTCTCAGTATTTTTAGAAACATTTTACTTTAAAGTGATTTTAGAAGAGTTGCAATGATAACCTAGAGTTCCCATATCCCTTTCACCCAGCTTCTTCTAATGCTGATGTCTTATGTAACCATAGCTCATTTATCAAAAGTAGGAAATAAACAGTGGTACAAAACTATACAGACTTTATTCAGGTGTCACTGGTTTTTCCACTGATGTCCTGTCACTGTCTCAGGATCCAATCCAGGAGATCATGCTGCACTTAGTTTTCATGTCTCCTTACTCTCCGCCAATCTGCGACAGTTCCTCATTCTTTTCCTGCTTTTCATGACCTTGCCACTTTTGAAGAGGACTGAGCAAGTATTTGTAGAATGTCCCTTAATGTGAATGTGGTTGATGTTTTCTCATAGTTACACTGAGGAAGTGCCCTTCTCATTACATCTTGTCATGGGGTACATGATATCCCATGGCTTACCACTGGTGATGTTGGCTTTCACCACTAGGTTAAGATGACATCTTGCCAGGTTTCTCCACAGTAGTTACTATTTTTTCTTTTCCATGCTCTATATATAGAAGTAGGTCTCACTTCTAGGAATCCAGCCCACGCTCAAAAGGAAGAGAATTAAGCTTTATCTTCTAGAGAAAGGAGTATCAAATAATTTGTGAACATAGGTTAAAATTGCCACAGTAATTAATGAGTACTTTTAGAAGAGATACCTTGAGGCTATGAAAATGTCCTGCTTCCTCTTAAAATTTTGCCCAGTAATTTTAGTATCCATCAAAGGCTCTCAACTATAGCCAGTGGTATTATAATGGTGATTTTTTATTTCCTTCATTCCTTCTATGTTTAATATTTCTAAGGAAGATTCACCCCTTCCCCCTTATTTGCTTATTTATATCAGTATAGACTCATAGATAATTATTCTTTGAGTTACACTCTAATATTATCATTACTTGTTTTTTTTCCCCATTTGTTCTGGTTTTGGACATTGGCAATTGTTTCAGATTGGCTCCATTTGAGATGAACGTTTTGTTAAATCTTGTTTTTAATGTATGTTCCATCTCCTGGTACTATAAGATGCCCCAGGCTCATCTTCTGTGTTCCCTGCCCTCGCCTTGGATTCAGCCATTTCTCCAGGAAGCCCTGGTTCAATTTATCGGAACATGGTATCAGGGAACCAAGATCTGGAGGCCTGGTGTGGTGGCTCACACCTGTAATCCTAGCACTTTGGGAGGCTGAGGTGGGCAGACTGCTTGAGCCCAGGAGTTTGAGACCAGCCAGGGCAATAGAGCAAAATCATGTCTCTACCCCCGAAAAAAAAAAATTAGCTGGGCATGGTGCTGTGCACCCGTAGTCTCAGCTACTTGGGAGTTCCGGCTACTCAGGAGGCTAAGGTAAGAGGATCACTTGAGCCTGGGGAGGTCGAGGGTACAGTAAGCTATGATCACACCACTGTGCTCCAGCCTGGGTGACAGAGTGAGACCCTGTCCCAAAAAGAAAGAAAAAAAAAAGAAAAGAAAAGAAGAAAGAAGAAAAGAGAGGGGAAGAAAAAAAAGAAAAAACAGAAAGGAAAAGAAAAGAAAAAAGAGAAAGGAAGGGAAGGGAAGGAGATCTGGGTGCAGGTCATTGCAGAGATTTGAGCAAAAGAGAGAAACACTCTGACTTGGGTTTTTGAGATTTTTTTTATGCATTGCAGATTCATTGAGGTATATTCGCATACCATAAAATTCATTCATTTGAAGTGTAATTCAGCGGTTTCTAGTATATTCACAGAGTTGGGCAATCATCACCATAATCAATTTAGAACATTTTCATCACCCATGATAAATCTGTACCACATTTATCAGTTCATGGACATTTGAGTTGTTTCCACTTATTTTGTTTGTTTGACTTTTTTTGATTTTGTGCTCTTTGAGATGAAATTCACACACTATCCAATTCACTCTTTAAGAGTGTGCAGACCAATGGTTTTCTTGTAAATTCCAGAACATATTCATCACCCCAAAAAGAAATTAGCAATCATTCTTAATTTATCTTTCCTTACATCTTGGCAGTTACTGATCTGCACTCTATTTTTATGGCTTTGTTTAATTCTGTACATTATATATAAATGGAATTATATAGTACATAATTCGATTGGCTTTTTTCACTTAACATATTGTTTTCAGGGTTTATCTATATTATTATAGTATGAATCAGCACTTCATTCCTTTTTCCCCCAACTTTATTGAGGTATAATTGACAAATAAAATTGCATATATTTAAGGTGTGCAACATGATATTTTATGTATACACTGAGATGATTACCACAATGAAACTAATTAACATATACATCACCTCACATAGTTACCTTTTTTCTTTGTGATAAGATTTAAGATCTACTCTCTTAGCAAATTTCAAGTATATATTATATTAACTACAGACACCATACTATACACGATACTGAACTTACTCACCTTATAACTGAAAGTTTGTACCCTTTCACCAACATCTTCTCATTTCCGCACCCTCTCACCTCTGGTAACCATCTTTCTATTCTCTGTTTCTATGAGTTTATCTTTTTAAGATTCCAACTGTAAATGAGATCATGCAATATTTGTCTTTGTGTGTCTGGCTTAGTTCTTTTAGCATAATGTCCTCCAGGTACATTATTCATGTTGTCACCAGTGGCAGGATTTATTTGTTGTTTAAGGCTGAATAATATTCCTCTGTGTGTGCATGTCACATTTTCTTTATCCATTTATCTGTTGACAGATGCTTAGGTTGATTCCTTATCTTGGGTATTGTGAAGAATACTGCAATGAACATGAGAGTGCAGACATCTCTTCAAGAGAGTAACTTAGTTTTCTTTCACTATATATCTAGAAAAGGAATTCCTGAATCATATGGTACTCCTATTTTTAATTTTTTGAGGAAATTCCATACTGTTTTTCATAACAGCTATACCAACTTACAGTCCTACCAACAATGTATAAGACTTCCTTTTTCTTTATGTCCTCAGCAATCCTCATCATCTTTTGACTTTTTGATTATAGCCATCCTAACAGGTGTGAGGTGATACCTCATTGTGATTTCGATTTGCATTTCTCTGATGATTAGTGATGTTGAGCACCTTTTCACATACCTGTTGGCCATTAATGTATCCTCTTTGGAAAAAAGTCTATTCATGTCCTTGCCCATTTTTAAAATTGGGTTATTTGGTTTTTTGCTATTGAGTTGCATGAGTTCCTTATATATTTTGTATATTAACTTTTTATCAGATATATGGTTTGGAAATATTTTGTTTCATTCCATAAGTTGTCTTTTCATTTTGTTGATTGTTTCCTCTGCGCTGCAGAAAGTTTTTAGTTTGATGTAGTCTCTCCTGTTTATTTGTGATTGCCTGGGCTCTTGCTGTCACATCCAAAAAATCATTGCCAAACCAATGTCATGGAGCTTTTCCTTTATGTTTTCTTCGATGAACATTTAAGTTTTTAATCCATTTTGAACTTATTTTTGTATATGTTATGAGATAAAAATATAATTTCATTCTTCCACATGTGGATATCCAGTTTTACCAACATGATTTATTCAAGAGACTATCCTTTCCCCATTGCAAATTACTGGCAGCTTTATCAATGATTAATTGACCATATATGTGTGGGTTTCTTTTTGAACTTTTTGTTCTGTTCCATTGCTCTATGTGCCTGTTTTTATGCCAGTACCATATAGTTTATAGCTGTTGTGTTTTTAAGAGACAGGGTCTCACTCTGTCATCCAGTGTAATGGTACAATCCTAGCTCACTCACTGCAACTTCAAACTCCTGGGCTCATGCAGCCTTCTCACCTCAGCCTCCCAGGTAGCTGGAGACTACAGGCATGCACCACCACAGGTAGCTTAGTTTTTTAGGTTTTGAGTTTTTTTGTTTGCTTAGCTTTTTTTTAGAGAGACGAGGTCTCACTATGTTGCCCAGGCTGCTCTCAAACTCCTGGCCTCAAGCACTATATGGTTTTGATTACTATACCTTTGTATATAATTTGAAATCAAGAAGTGTGATGCTTCCAGCTTTGTTGTTAGTCAAGATAGCTTTGGCTATTCAGGGACTTTTGTCACTCAATATGAATTTCAGGATAGTTTTTTTCATTCTGTGAAAAGTGTCATTGGAATTTTAATACGAATTGCAATGAATCTGCAGAACACTTTGGTATGGACATTTGACAATATTGATTATTTGGTCCATGAATACAGAACACCTTTCTGTTTCTTTGTGTCTTCTTTCATTTCTTTTGTCGATGTTTTATAGTTTTTATTGCAGATGTCTTTCACTTCCTTATTACATTTATTCCTAAGTATTCTATTCTTTTTGATGCTATTATAAATGAGATTGTTTTCTTTCTTTTTTCAGATAGTTTGTTGTTAGTTTATAGAGAAACAAGCACTTTTTGTATGTTAATTCTGTATCTTGCAACTTTACTGAATTCATCATTAGTTTTTTTTGTTTGTTTTGTTTTTTTGTTTTTTTTGGACAGAGTTTCACTCTGTCACCCAGGCTGGAGTGCAGTGATGTGATTTGGCTCACTGCACCCTCTGCTTCGCTTCCCAGGTTCAAGTGATCCTCCCACCTCATCTTCCAGAGTAGCTGAAACTACAGGTATGCACAACAATGCCCCAGCCAATTTTTGTGTTTTTAGTAGAGAGAGGGTTTCCCCATGTTGGCCAGGCTGATCTCGAGGCCTCCAAAAGTGCTGGGATTACAGGCATGAGCCACTGTGCCTGCCCAATTCATCATTAGTTCTAACAGTTTTTGGTGGAGTGTTTAGGATTTTCTGTGTAGAAGATCATATCATCTGTCAAGAGCGGCAATTTTACTTCTTCTTTCACGTCTGGATATCTTTTATTTCTATTTCTTGCCTAATTACTGTAGAACTTTCATTATTATGTTGAAGAGAAGTGGCGAGAGTGAGCAAACTTGTCTTGTTCCAAATCTTAAAAAAGGCCTTCATCTTTTCACCATTGAGTATAATGTTACTTAGGGGCTTGTCATATATGGCCTTTATTGTGTTGAGGTACATTCCTTCTATACCACATTTGTTGAGATTTTTTTTATCATATCGTGAAAGGGTGTTTAATTTTGTTGAATGCCTTTTCTGCATATATTGAGATTATCATATGGTTTTTGTCCTTCACTCTGTTAATGTAATGTATAACATTTATTGATTGACATATGTTGAACTATCCTTGCATCCCAGGAATAAATCCCACATGATCATGGTGTATTATCCTTTTAACACTTAATTCAGTTTGCTAGTATTTTATTTTGGATTTGTGCATCTATGTTTATCAGTGATATTGGCCTATAGTTTTCTCTTCTTATAGTGTTCTTGTTTGAGTTTGGTATCAGGGTAAAGCTGGCCTTACAAAATGAATTTGGAAATGTTCCCTCCTTTTCAATTATTTTCCAAGAATTGACAATTGGTATTAGTTCTTCTGTAAAGGTTGGATAGAATTCACCAGGGAAGCTATAAGGATGTGGGCTGTTTGATGGGAGATTTTTGATTGCTAATTCAGTCTCCTTAGCTGTTATTATTCTTCTTGGATTTTTTTCATGATTTAGTCTTGATAAGTTGTACGTTTCTACAAATATGTGTTTCCTCTAGATCATCCAGTTTGATGGCTTATAATTTTTCATAGCAGTTTAATAATCCTTTGTATTTCTGTGGTATTAGATGTAAGGTCTCTTTCATTTCTGGTTTTCTTTCATTTTTAGTTGAGTCATCTCTCTTTTCCTCTTAGTCTAGCTGAAAGTTTGCCAATTTTACTTATCTTTAAAAAAAAATCAGCTCTTCATTTCATAGTTCTTTGCTTTGTTTTTCTAGCCTCTATTCTATTTGTTTTATTCCTGATTTTTATTATTTCCTTCCTCCTACTAACTTTAGGTTTAGTTTTTCTTCCTTTCCAGTAACTTGAAGTGTAAGGTTGGATGGTTTATTTGAGATCTTCCTTTTTCATGTAGGTATTTTCATTACTCTAAACTTTCCTCTTAGAGTTGCTTCTGCTGCACCCCGTAAGTTTTGGTCTGTTGTGTTTCTATTTTTGTTTGTCTCAAGGTATTTTTTAACTTATCTTTTGATTTCTTCTTTGACTCATTCATTGTTCAAGAACATATTGTTTAGTTTCCACATATTTGTGAATTTTCCAGTTTTTCTTCTGTTGTTAATTTCGAGTTTCATACTATTTTGTTTAGCAAAGTTGTGTGACATGATTTCAGTCATGTTAAATTTTTTAAGACTTATTTTGTGACCTAACATATGACCCATCTTGGAAAATGTTCTGTGTATACTTGAGAAAAATGTATATTCAGCTACTGTTGGATGGAATATTCTCTATATGTCTGTTTGATCCATTTGGCCTAAATCCCAGTTTAACTCTAATGTTTCCTTATTGATTTTCTGTCTGGATTATCTATCCATTGTAAAAAGTGGGGTATTGAAATCCCCTACTATTAGATTGCTATCTATTTCTCCATTCAGTTCTGTTAATACTTGCTTTATATGTTTAGTTTCTCCAATATTTAGTGCATATATACCTATAATTGTTATATCCTCCTGATGAATTGTCGTTATATAATGATCTGCTTTGTATCTTGTTACAGTTTTTGACTTAAAGTCTCTTTTGTCTGACACAAGTAAAACTACTCCTACTCGCTTTTAGTTTCCACTTGCATGGATACCTTTTTCCATTCCTTCACTTTCTGTGTGTGTCCTTAAAGCTAAAGTGAGTTTCTTGTACATGGCATACAGTTGGGTCATGCCTTTTTATACATTTAGTCACTGTATGTTTTTTGATTGGAGAATATAATCCATTTATATTAAAGTAATTATTGCTAGGTAAGGACTTACTATTGCCATCTTGTTAATTGTCTGCTGGCTGTTTTGTATATCCTTTGTTCCTTTCTTCTCCTCTTGCTGTCTTTCTTTGTGATTCGATTATTTTCTGCAGTGGTGTATTTTGATTTTGCCTCATTATCTTCTGTGTATCTACATAGGGTTTTGCTTTGTGGCTACCATAAAACATCTTATAGTTATAACAGTCTGTTTTAAGCTGATAACATCTTAACTTCAATTGCATACAAAAACTCTACACTTTTGCCCCATCCCTACAATTTGTTTTTGATATCCCAGTTATATCTTTTAAAATTGTGTATTCAGCAACAAATTATTGCAGTTGTAGTTTTTGGTTTTTTGTTTGTTTGTTTGTTTGAGACGGAGTCTCGCACTGTTGCCCAGGCTTGAGTGCAGCGGCGCGATCTCGGCTCACTGCAAGCTCTGCCTCCCGGGTTCACACCATTCTCCTGCCTCAGCCTCCGGAGTAGCTGGGACTACAGGCGCTTGCCACCACGCCTGGCTAATTTTTTTGTATTTTTAGTAGAGACGGGGTTTCACCATATTAGCCAGGATGGTCTCAATCTCCTGATCTCGTGATCCGCCAGCCTTGGCATCCCAAAGTGCTGGGATTACAGGTGTGAGCCACCGCGCCCTGCCAGTTGTAGTTATTTTCAATATTTTGTCTTTTAACCTTTATACTAGAGTCGTAAGTGATTTACACATCACTATTATAATTTTACTCTAAATACGACTGTATACTTAGCTTTACCAATGAGTTTTATATTTTCATATGTTTTCATGTTACTAATTAGCATGCTTTTATTTCAGCTTGAATAACTCCCTTAAGCATTTCTTATAAGACAAGTCTAGTAGTGATGAACTCCCTCAGCTTTTGTTTGTCTGGGAAACTCTTTCTCTTTCATTTATGAAAGAAACTTTGTCAGGTTTACATATTCTTGGCTTTTTTTATCTTTTCTTCTCAGCACTTTGAATATATCCTTCTACTCTCTCCTACCCTATAAGCTTTCTGCCGAGAAATCTTCTGATAGCCTGATAAGAAATCTGATAGTGTTATGTGGGTTACCTTGTATGAGATAAGCCTCTTTTCTGCTGCGTTTAAAACTCCTTGATTTTGACTTTTGACAGTTGATTGTAGTGTATCTTGGTGATCTCTTTTTCAGGTTAAAGCTTATCAGAGACGTTTAAATGCCACATACCTGGATGTCTGTATGTTTCCCCAGATTTGGGGAGTTTTCAGCTATTTAAAAAAAAAATCTTTCTGCCTCTTTCTCTTTTCACCTTCTTAAATTCCTATAATGCAACTGTTAGCACTCTTAACTGTGTCACATAAATTTTGCAGGCGTTCATCATTCCTCTTCATTCATTTTATGTTTTTTCTCTGACTGGATATTTTCAGAGGACCTGTCTTTTGTATTTACAGGTTCTTCTGCTTGATTGAGTCTGCTGCTGATGCTCTTTATTACATTTTTCATTTCATTCACTGTATTCTTCAGCTTCATAATGTATGTTTAGTTCTTTATTATTTGTATCTCTTTTAAAATGAATTTTTTAGGATATAGGGTCTTGCTATGTTGCCCAGGCTTGTCTTGAACTCCTGACGTCAAGTGGGCTTCTCACCTCAGCCTCTTGTGTAGCTAGGACTACAGGAATGTGCCACCATACCCAACTTTTTGATTTCTGTGTCTTTATTGAACTTCTAATTTTGTTCATGTATTGTTTTTCTGATTTCACTGAATTGTCTATCTTGTTGCTCACTGTGCTTCCTTAAAATAATCATTTTTGGCTGGATGCAGTGCTTCATGTCTGTAATTCTAGCATTTTGAGAGGTCGAGATAAGAGAATTGCTTGAGGCCAGGAGTTCAAGACCATCCTGGGCAATATAGTGAGATGCTGTCCCTACAATTTTTTAAAATTATCTGTGTAGGGTGGGATGTGCCTATAGTCCTAGTTACTCAGGATGCTGAGGCAAGAGGATTTCTGAAGCCCAGTAGTCCAAGGATGTGGTGAATTATGATCATGCCACTGCACTCAAACCTGGGTGACAGAGCAAGATCCTGTCTCTGAAACATAAATAAATAAATATAATTTCAATTTTTTTGTCAGGCAATCTATAGATCTCTAATTTTTCTGAGTTGGTTAGTGGAATATTTTATTCCTTTGGTGGTGTCATGTTTTCAAGATTTTTCATGTTCCTTAAAGTTTTGCGTCATTGTGTGTGCACTTGAAGAAGTAATCATTTCCTCCCATATTTACTGATTGGCTTCGAGAGAAAAATGCTTTAACTAAATAGCCCAGCTAGGGATTCTGAGGCTCTCTCAGACCTTTTCTATCAATGTGCCCACTCTGCCCCTTATTTCCTCTTGGTGGGGGGAGAATTCTTAAGATTGTATGGCTTATCATGACCCCATAAAGCCGAAGTGGGTGCTAAGTGCCTCCTGTTTGTTTTTGCTATGATGGCACCTTGAATTGCTTGAATTTGTATACCTTCTCCCAATCCTGCAGAGTCAAGCCAGCTGTCCACATGAGATTGTTGTGCTCAGCCTCCTGTGTAGCTAGGACTACAGGAATGTGCCACCATACCCAACTTTATGATTTCTGTGTCTTTATTGAACTTCTAATTTTGTTCATGTATTGTTTTTCTGATTTCACTGAATTGTCTATCTTATAGCTCACTGAGCTTCCTTAAAATAATCATTTTTGGCTGGATGCAGTGCTTCATGTCTGTAATTCTTATGTGTGGTGTAATTCTTCATGTCTTGTGGTGAGAAGGTGAAGCATATAGAAAATATGGAGTGCCCATGGGGCAGTGGGTATGGGGTTCATAGCTGAGGTTCCTCAAGTGGTTTGTGGGCCTGCTTCCTGATGGAGTAGGCAGAACTTAGTAAGGTCCATGGCAGCCTTTCTTCCCTGCTCCCAGCATCTTCCAACCACTCATTTATTCCAATCACTCCAGTATTCCGGGTGGGTTAAGAAAGAAGCAGGCCTCTTGGGCAGCATCTGATGTGGCTGGGGGAGCCAGGTACCCCCTTACTACACTTTCATTTTTCCTCATGGGAGAAATCATGGGCCAATAACGTCTCTCTTGGCACTGAGCTATGCCACCTTGTGAAAGGGGTGAGGTAGATAACATGAAACTGTTCTTCCACACTCTTCAGTGCACCTATTCTTGGATTTTTGCTTCAGTGGTGTGCTGGAACTTCTCAGCTGCACTCCTAGACTCCAACAAAGGTACTCTTAACTGTGGATATTTGCCAAAATTGATTTATCTGTAGGGGAATGATAGTGGAATGTTTCTATTCTACCGCCTTGTTGACATCATTTCTTACTTATATTTGTAAAGGCTCCATCTTGTGGATGGGTTGAAAACAGCTACATGGAGATGATTGTTACACTAATTTAGACACCCCTGACTTTAATCTAGAAAAGCTGTTCAGTGATGTAATCACGATGCAGTGCCTCAAGTTGCCTTTTCATGAACCACCACACAGATCACAGCTATTCTTCAGTCATCAAACTTTTATTGAGCCCCACTGTGTCCCAGGCACATACTGCTCATATGGATATAAAGGGGTTTTTCTTCTCCCTTGGGTTTCACAGTCTGGTGTAACAGGTGCAACAGTGTGATAAGCACTGGAGTAAAGACTTGTAAAAAAGGAAAACCATGAGCACAAGAGGGAATAGTTATTTTTATTTAAAGACAGAAAGCAGGACACAATGTCAAGAGTATAATTCTAGAGTCATATTTATAGGGTTGGAATCTTGTTCCACCACATATTAGCTAATGATTCTGAATCTTTGTGCCTGAATTCCCTCACCTGGAGGTGTTGAAAGCCCTTCCCGCCCCCACCCCACCCACCATGGTAGAGGCAATGCTGCCTACACCATGTAGTTTCATTTTCATCCTGGACACAAGAGAAAAATACATTTCCTTGTTCTCTTGCAACTAGGAAGGACCATATATCAGACTTAGGGTCAATAGACTGTGGGGGAGGTGGTGAGATGTCACTCAGAGATGGCCCCTAAAACATCCATGTGATCCTCCACACACTCTCTCCCCTCTCTGCAAAAGACTCCAGGATAATTTAGCCACATCATAAAAGGAGTGCCCAACTGCTTGGAGATGATCTGCCCAAGAGAGCTACCCAGCCAGGAGCATGCACATCAGACTCTGCATGAGAAAAAGAAATACTTGGTCTCATAGCAATACTGATACTACTTATTATAACAATTAGCCTGTCCTGATTAACATACCACCTCTAAGATTGCTGAAACATTTAAATGAGATAAAAACCTCATGAAAAGCCTTCAATAACCTATAGCTGTTATTATTATTATAACTGCCATGACATACGAGAGGAACTCACTATAGAGCAGGAACTGGGGATTTGCTGGGTGGATGGGAGGTGACAGAGGGAGTCAAAAGTTTTGAGCAGAGGGGAACAAAATGAAAAGTACAGAAAGAGTGAGAATGTGACAGTGTAAAAAAATTTGAAAAGCAAAAAAACACAAAAAACAAAAAAACTGAAGTGAGACAGTGGGAAGCAAGAACTGTCCAAATAAAGTACAGGGCAGCTGCTCTGGAAATGTGTCCTCACACCCCTCCAGCGTCAGGTGTCTCTAATATTTCTCTCTTGTCTGTTCCAGATCTAGATTGAGAAACAAGAGGCCAGGCTTTTTCATCTGTTTTAAACTGATGGAAAGCTTCTTCCTGGATGCTTGTTTTACTACTTGAAATGTGTTTCTTTTATTGCCTTCTGGTCACAGGAACAGTCTTAATGGACTATAGGAAATTGAAAGGGAACAGAAAGCTCTGCAAAGGAGAGGCCTTCCCAACAAAGGACAGAAGCATTCTTTGACTCTTTGGGTTGTGAAGGAACAAAGGACAAATGTGTAGAATAGGGCTGGAAAAAGTGCAAAGGATGCTTTTTATTAATACCTCCTCTGAGCAACACAGTCATTTCCTTAGACTTGGGGTTCAACCTGTGGCCATGCAATGAGTTTTCTCTGCTCAAAGCCAGCTGATGGGAACTGAAACAGCCTTGACCTCCTTACCACTATGATCAAACTGGCTGAGGGGCCTCCTCGAGGAGGAGAGTCCTAGAGCTTGAAAGGGTACTACCTGTTTATCCTATTAAACTTACTACAGTTGCCTTAACCAGAAAGTTATTCCTCTGGGGCCCTTGTAAATGTCGTTGAGCTTTGGAAATGGCTAAGTTATAGCTTTTGTTTATGATTAAAAGGAACCACCTACAAAACTAGAAAATTGACACGAAGCTGACCAGACCAAATCAACCTTATTTATTATGGAAATCCTATCCAACAGAAAACCACATCAGAAAAAAATACAGTAGTTAGTGTTTCTAGGCAAAAGGATCACCAGTGCCTGAAACACAGGAAACAGCTAAAACAAAAATAAAAACAAAATATGGAAAAATAAGGGGATGCATGTGAAATTTATTAAATCTTTACAGTGAGATGTTTCAGCTCTGAAAATTCTCCTGTCCTGGTCTTCCCCTGTCACCTGCTGGCCTTGATATTTTCCCAGATTTACTGTCTACCAGCAAACATTTGGGAGCAATGCATCCTGCTGAAAGACTGACTTTAACTAGCCCTTACTACAATGCAAGCTTCTAAAACAGCCTCATGTGTATAAATTAAACTGTTAGCTCCTTGTGCCCTTTTCCTGGGAAAGAAATCACATCTATTTACATGTATCTGTAAATCAAAACCTACTTGCCTATGATGTTCTTGTGGACATGACAAAACAAAACCCAGGCTGGCTTGGCCTGGATGAGGGCTGAGTACACAAAGCGATCTATTCACATCTTTGGACTTCAAGAGAATCATATTGTGTCCGGAATTGGTGGGTTCTTGGTCTCACCAACTTCAAGAATGAAGCCGCGGACCCTTGCAGTGAGTGTGCCAGTTCTTAAAGGCGGCATGTCCGGAGTTTGTTCCTTCTGATGGTCTCGCTGGCTCAGAAGTGAAGCTGCAGACCTTCGTGGTGAGTGTTACAGCTCAAAAAGGCAGTGTGGACCCAAAGAGTGAGCAGTAGCAAGATTTATTGCAAAGAGGGAAAGAACAAAGCTACCACAGTGTGGAAGGTGACCTAGCGGGTTGCCACTGCTGGCTCGGGCAGACTGCTTTTAGTCTCTTATCTGGCCCCACCCTCATCCTGCTGATTGGTCCGTTTTACAGAGAGCCGATTAGTCCATTTAACAGAGAGCTGATTGGTCCGTTTTGACAGGGTGTTGATTGGTGCATTTACAATCCCTGAGCTAGACACAAAAGTTCTTCATGTCCCCACCAGATTAGCTAGATACAGAGTGTGGACACAAAGGTTCTCCAAGTTCCCCCAGAGTAGCTAGATACAGAGGGTCGATTGGTGCATTCACAAACCCTGAGCTAGACACAAAGGTTCTCCATGTCCCCACTAGATTAGCTAGATACAGAGTGTTGACACAAAGTTTCTCCAAGTCCCCACCAGAGTAGCTAGATGCAGAGTGTCCATTGATGCCTTCACAAACCCTGAGCTAGACACAGGGTGCTGATTGGTGTGTTTATAAACCTTGAGCTAGATACAGAGTGTCTGCCGATTGGTGTATTTACAATCCCTTAGCTAGACCTAAAGGTTCTCCAAGTCCCCACCAGAGTCAGGAGCCCAGCTGGCTTCACTCAGTGGATCCGGCACCTGGCCGCAGGTGGAGCTGCCTGCCAGTCCCGCGCCGTGAGCCCGCACTCCTCAGCCCTTGGGTGGTCGATGGGACTGGGCGCTGTCGAGCAGGGGACGCCGCTCGTCGGGGAGGCTCGGCCGCACAGGAGCCCACGGAGGCGGAGGGGAGGCGCAGGCATGGTGGGCTGCAGGTCCCGAGCCCTGCCCCGCGGGAAGGCAGCTAAGGCTCGGCGAGAAATTGAGCACAGCAGCTGCTGGCCCAGGTGCTAAGCCCCTCACCGCCCGGGGCCGGCGGGGCCTGCCGGCAGCTCCGAGTGCAGGGCCCGCCGAGCCCACGCCCACCCGGAACTCGCGCTGGCCCGCAAGCACCGCGCGCAGCCCCGGTTCCCGCCCGCGCCTCTCCCTCCACACCTCCCCGCAAGCTGAGGGAGCCGGCTCCGGCCTTGGCCAGCCCAGAAAGGGGCTACCACAGTGCAGTGGCGGGCTGAAGGGCTCCTGAAGTGCCGCCAAAGTGGGAGCCCAGGCAAAGGAGGCGCCAAGAGCGAGCGAGGGCTGTGAGGACTGCTAGCACGCTGTCACCTCTCAATATGGTCCAACCAAGGTCAACTAGTTGATTGCAGCCCGATTTCACAGGTTAGTTTTTAAAAGTACATTGCATAACTATTGTCAAAAGTGTTATTCTCTCCTTTAAAATCAACCCTTAGAGATACAAAAAAAGCATAAGAGAAAATGTCAAATCTGATTGGTGGTAGTATCTCTTTAAGATATCTAATTTGTATTATGTAGTGAATTGGCTGTTACATCTAATCAAAAAAAGCCTCTTATACTATGGGATTTTTCTCACTCATAAGATGTTGTATGGAGAACTTGCAATGTCCACAAATATCATCAATGTTTAAATTGACAAACTTCTCTCGTGTCTTAGTTGGCTTGAAGTCTTTTGGGGGAAATTTTCTTCGTTCTTTTTTTTAACTTCTTTCCTTTTGACTTTCTTCCTTTCCCTCATTTTTTTCTCCCTCCTGTATAGCTTTGGTTTTTTTTTTCTTTCCTTTTTTTTATGAAACAAGGGGAAACAAAGAGAAACTAACATCTATTGAGCACCCACTTTGGTGGTAAGTGGTTTCCAAGTATTATTTTATTATCAGTGCAGCAACGATAGGATTCCTTCCATTGGCTTAATCTGAAATATTCTGTCATGCTTCCAATCAATCCATTTTCAATTGAGATTTGTTTTTTTTTAAGTAGCAAAGGCAGTTGATTAAGTGTATTGTTTTAAGATGTCCAAGTCCTTAACATACTCAATATCTAGACAGCTGCCCTACCTGTGTGATCTAGACAGCATACAATTTGTCTTTAAGATAAAAACACACAAATATGCACACACAAAATATCTACTCTTTCTTTTGGTTCTGTGATGTGTATGCAAGGTTTTATTGGTTGTCCTGTGTCTCTCTCTCCTCCTCCTCCTCCTCCTTCCCCTCTTCTTCCACTTTCTCTTTCTCTTATGTCATACCCATCCACGATGACACCCCTGCCCTTCATTGCCTCATGCCCAAGGGCAGCTTATGGTCTTCCAACGGATGAGATCTGATGTGGCTACACAGACTTACTGATCCAAAACGGAGGGAGAGGTCTGCATTCTCTTCCAGAGATTTTACTCACTCTTCTCCATATGTTTTTTCATACCTGTCAATCCCTTTCTCTGTTGCTTTATCATAGTTTCTTCCACTTTTTTAAATCATATTGAGAAGATTAAGCTTCAAATATGCTTTTGGCCCAATAAACTTTAAAGTGAAGAGTTTTACTCTTTGCCAAAATAGCTTCTAAGATGCAGTTGGGGAAATTAACATTCGGTTGGGAGGCTTTACACCCTCATGCTCAACAGGTGTTCTCCACTGGCTTTTTAATGGTAATAACAATCCACAACTGTGGAGTTATTTGCCCCTTAATCTTCACAAAAAATAAAAGGAAGGTACTATTTATCCTCATTTTATGATAAGGAAGCATAGAGAGGTTATATAACTCTTTAAGGTTGCACTGATGGTAAACAGTGGAGCTAGAGCATGGCCCATATCTATCTGATCAAAAATCCATATCTTTCCCCTAAGCCACACTTTTCACATGTGCCAAGGGGACTCTGAAATGTTGCTCTGTCAATAAATATCTGCACACACGTACCCCACATCCTTGAATTCAGCCCCACAAGGGCTCTGTGGTGCCTTGTTTACAGGTGGTGATGATAGTAATAATAATAGTTGCTGTCGGGGACGTGACAGCTGGCTGGTGGTGTTCATAATGAAAGTTCACCTTCCCGCCACCTCCCCTAGAGCCAAGAAGATCATGGTTATCACAGTCTCAGGCCATTTTTCTTTGGGCTCCTTTACCAAGACAGTCATAGGTAAAGAAAGGTAGACTTATTAGAGGAAGCATGAAGATAATGTTGCAAGGATGCAACAAGCAGCACAGCAGAGAAGGGGCTGTCTGCAAAGATGCAGGGGCTGGAGGGAAGTTTTGTAAGGTCGTGCTGGAGAGGGCTGTGTGCAAGTAAGCTTGTGCTATGCTATATGCTAAGACTATGTTGGGGTAATTTTTAACTGTCAGCCCTTTCCTCTCCAGGTGCCCAAGGGAAATGCTTTGCTGTTGTTAGCCATTTTGCAACCCATATGCCTTCTGTTTCTGGAGTTGCAAGATATTGGTTGTGGTTTTTCACACAAAAGGGTTGCAAATGGGGTTAGATCCCTGGGTTAGGTCCAGTCCCTGTTCTACCAGCCTGGCTCCTTCCGGTTCCTTTTAACTTATTGATTTACTAGGGTCCCACGGTTACTGCTTATGCTGAATTTAACTGTCATACACTATTCTAAGTGCTTTTACATATATAAACTAATTTTACAGATGAAAATGGGGCTCAAAGTCAAATACCTACAACACAGGTGTTTCATGCTGTGAGGGTAGAGAGAAATCTTCCTCTTTGCCCACTGAGGGATTACTGAAAATGAATGGATGAAAGGCAGATTAGTACAAGAAAAAGGCATACAAAATGTATTTGAAGTGTCCAGGGGAAATCACAGTAGAGTGATTACCCAATAACCCAATGAGGCCCAGAGGCTTTCATACCCTTCTTCATAGGGGAAGGGAAGATGGTGATGAAGGAGTAACCGATTTTCCATGGAAATGAATGAGCCCAAAGAAAAATGGTCTGAGACCATGTTCCTCTGGGCTCTGGGCTCTGGGCTCTGGGGGAGGTGGCAGGAAGGTGGACCTTCATTATCAACAAAGCTTGTCTTATACAGATAGAGCCTCCCTGGTAATCTTAGTAGCTGCCTTCAGAAGAATAGATGAAAAGTTTGTCTGTCTGGGTGTGGTGACAACTCCCAGTCTCTTCTCCTGTGGTTAATCTTTCCTAGTTATTTGATGAGATTCCTAAGAACAGAGTCTTAAGACAATTGCATTTATTTTGGAAAAAAAAAGCTTCCTTAGCCAGATAAGGAAATTTGGGACAGAGTCCCTTCTGGTGCTTGGGAAAAGAGAGGATAAGAGAAACAGGTGTGAGGGGGAAGGTTCTGAGGCTTATTTCTGAGACCTTTCCATTTTCTTTCCTTCAAAGCATTCAGCATGCCAACTTACCGTATTTTGTGGTGCTGTTTTCTGTGCCTCAACAGTGCAAATTAAAGGGGCTGTCCTTTATTAAGAAAGTTTCTTCTGTATTCCAGGATTTCTCAGAGCCTTTTCCTATGCACTCTAAATTTTCTAGATGTGTTTGATGAAGGGATCCTTTGTTTGGATAGAAGCAGAGGGTTATTGTTCTGCCATACATCCTCTGGGAGATGCTGGTCTTGGCAGTCACAATTTTTCCAGGGTATGCAAGTGAATTAGTTTATCAGGCTTTTTTTCCTATTCTAGAAGGAAGCAGCAGATCTGGGGACACTGTGTGGCAGGGAAGAGTTGTCACCAAAGGGTGGTGACAATGCTGAGGGGAGGGGAGGATGGTGGTACACTTGGGTAGGTGATTTAACCTCTCCCAGCCTCAGGCTTCTCATCTACAAAGTGGGTATGGTGATGCCTCCCTTGTGGTGTTGCATCAGAGATAATGATGGTGCTTGGTACAGGGTATGTGCATAGTCAGCAGTGACTGATATTTGCCATCCTGTTACCTCTTATAGTAAGCAGCATAGCCTTGGGAAAATTTTTAAATCTAGAATAGCCCTCATTTCTTCCTCTATAGGACAGAAATAAGGGTTCTACTTCATCAGATTGTTGAGATTATGGGGCCAGGCATGTAGTGGCTTTTCAATATGTGATGCTGAATTGTTTTCCTCCAGCCAGCCCCACCTCACACGGGGAGTGCCCCTCCGACTCACTTGCCTCAGTTCTGGAGAAGACGCACAGATTCCAAGAGCAATTGGAATTTATACTTCTTCATCCTCCTTTGACGTTCTATTTGGGCCGATTCCTTTCGTCTAGGGTCAGGAAGCTCATCCATCAGGACTCACACAGTTTGTAAGGAGACGTTGGGTTCATTTCCATTTTTAGGGTGTACATTGCAAAGCCCACTATGACTGAAGATCTTACTGGACACCACATAGCAACTGCTGCCGCACAGTCAGGAATGTGCCTTTTTCCCAAGGCCAAAACGTTGTGACCTCTCATCATGCACAAATTATAGCTGACCTGATATTGGGTATGTCTGAGGTGTACAGAGTCTCTAATTCTATTCAGAACATAGCACCTGTCAGCAATCAACAGAATCAAATGGTCCTGGGGTGAATGTTCACTTCCTCCTTTTTTTTTCCTTTGCCAAAACATAACTATGGGTTGAGGGGACGCATCACAGATGAGAAACAATGAGCCTGGTCTTCCCAGTGTAAACCCAAGCAAGGGCTGGCACAGTGGGTCAGTCCCCCGAGGCAAAGCCAGTAGAAACCAGACTGTTGACAACTGCCTTACAACACTTTGTGCAATCCCATGAAGAGAAGAGTAACATAAACTAAATGCCTGGACAGTTTTTCTTTGTAAAATTTCAACAGGAAAACTCAACTTGTAGGTTTTCTAGAGACATACCTATACTCTATATTGAATGGTATATTTTAGCTTACAGGGGAGGCTTCCGGTTGATAACAACCATTTTCATTTGTTGCAGGATCTGAAATACAACCATGTGAAAAAATTCCTATAAGGTTTTACATATTACCCAGCACAGAGCAAGAGCCAGATAAATGGTAGCAAAATTGCCATCATGTAATCTTGTGAAAAACATTGATTCTTCATATCTGCAACTTTAATTAGAGTTTTGAATTAAGTGAAAATTCTGAAAGCACTAGAAAGTCAAATTTAGAATGCTCCTTTCAGCAGCAGAAATGGGGTAAATAAGAACAGGGACACTAGGGGAACCACCTTATTACAAGCCATTTCAATTTGACATTTTGCTGTATTTGAAGAATGTTTGTGGGCATTGACACCTACACATTAGATATTTGATGTGCAACTGGTGCCCTCTAGTGACAGGGTGAACAGTCTTCAGTCACTAAAGCTAAAGAAATCCAATCTTCCTAACTTAACCAACCCCAGATTTACGAGAAGGGAAGAGAAAGGGGAGAAGGTAGGAGGCCAGAAGGTGTCTGTCTCACTGTAATTCAGAAGGCAAATCTAAGCAGGCATCCTTTGGTCTCTAAGATAAGGGTTCTCAAATGCTTTTGAAGTTTCACTTTTCTTTTGGAGAAAGGACACTTTCTACCTTGTATCTCTCAGAACTTCCCTAGAATGGGAGCTGAGTTTTTAAAGGCCACCTCAGGTAATACAGCTATACTCCAAAATTCACACAATTCCTCTGCCCTCTGGAAAACCATGGAATAATGAGGCAGTGGATTTTGGTTCCATGGGGAATCCTGGAACCCATCTCCCACAAATACTAAGGGATGACTGTAAACATATGTATACAGTGTGGCAGATACAATATGATAGATTCCTGCAGGAACCATGGAAACACAATCCAGTTCATTTCTCTGATCTCACATTGAATGTATCTCTCCTTTCCACCATGATTTCATGCACATTTTCACTGGCATATGGCATAAACTGATTTTTTTTAACTAATGGAAGCCTATTCAGGGATCAATTATTACCTCATGGAAATATTTGTCAACCATTCCTTACTTTCCTACTTAGAAGCAGGGGGAAAGTGTGTTTTTAACTACTAGGTAATTTAATCATTTTTTCCCCTCTCACCTCCTATATATCTACTGGGGCCAAGTCAGCTGAAAAAATAAAATCATATAAGCAAACTGCCACTTCATCATCTTGTCTCAGAAACTCCTGCTGGCAGCATACATTTTATATACCCCAAATGGGGTGTTCTGAAACAGACAGGCGAATTCCAGCTTCCCCTAATTTACTGCCCTCCTTTCCATAGCATCAGATTCATAAAACATTGCCTGGGTGGCTGGCTGGCTGTCTCACTGTCTTGAGGCTGAAGCAAGGCACAGGGGACCAGGAAGGAGACATTAGTTGCCAAGTCTCTGCTGACAAGAATACTTGCCTCCGCCCTTTTAGAGCATTTAACATAAGCAAAAGAAACAGGGGAAAAAGACTTGGCTTGCCAGCAAACCATTACACAAATCTAAAGATGTGGTATTAAGTTTTGTTCCTGTAAGTGTTCTTTCCATGACTAGCCCTATTAATTGGTGCTTCAGCTTCAAAACTATTTCAGTTTTTATGTCACAGAAGAGACTTGAGAATCCAATTAGCTACGTTTATTAGAAACACTTGAACATTTTTCTACACATTGTTTTCATGTTAAATAACATAGTGATAAGGGGAAAAGTTAGAGGAAGTTTGAAGCGATTGCATTAGGCTTTAATTTTCCACCAAGTGTTTGCATGTATCCTGGACAAACCAACTCTGCAAATGCAAAAGGAAACTGGTTTTTTCACTCTTTGGGAGAAAGCACAAATGAAACAGCCCAATTATAGGGAAATAACAAAGAACGGTGGGTAACCTACTTGACAGACAACTTAATTTAACTCTATTTTCAATATCTAGAATACACATTAAGTAGCCTCCCATTCAATCCCAGCCCTTGAGGCCATGCCACCTACAACCATCAAAATGCTCATATGTTAAAGCTCCCTGGGGACTTAACGGGTATTAATAGGTTTATACAGTCTGTTATTTTCCTAAGGTCACAACTGGGAGCCCAAAGTGAATCCCAACCCCCTGTCCTATCTTCTTTGGTCAGGGTTTTAAGAATTGGGCAATTTTACCTAAAAACCCAGATATCTGAATTCTCTGGGGAAAAATCAAGTGATCTGGCCATACCCAAGTCCTCCATCCCACATGGCAACAGTTGGCTGAAACGGAGCATGCCTGTCCCCTGTAGATGGGATATGCCTATTTAGAGAAGTCCGTGTCTTCCTGCTCACTCACTTCTATTGCTTGCCTGACCCCTACAGGCCTTTGACTTTTCCACGGTGGTTTACAAAGGGCTTCTATGTATGGTGGTAATTAGTTTCTAATGGTTATAAGATAAATAGCAAGTTCAGTCTGCTCTGCTACAGCTCATGTTTCTGTAACAATTAGCTTAAATAAAATTGGTAAATGAGTGAATGTTGTTTGTATAACCTAGAAGTCTTTTTGGTTCGTGTAACTAAGTAGCAGCACCTAAATGCAAAATCACAAACACTCAATGGCCATCAGCCCATGTTCTTCTTTCTGGCTTATATGAGCCTCCAGTTTTGTCTGGAAGTGCTCATTGCACAGTTCTCCCTGATCCTTCTGTATTTTGCTCTTTCTGCATAGCTCAGCATGCTCAGTCCTTTGTCACTGCCTTCCCTGTCCATCAGTCTACCTTCACCTTTTTTTGTTCATTAAGGCAAAGGCCTCTTATTTTGGTGTATTTATTAGAAACATAAAATGTAAAATTTGTGCTAATATTCTAATTGAGGTCATTACCAGTTTTGTTAGTGCCTGGTTTCAAAGTTATATACGTTTTTATTGATCTGTCCCTAATCCCATCTTTTCCCAAAACTTCTGTTACCTCTAGCACAAAATTCTACCGGAAGCAGGGGTTTTCAGAAATATGTCTGTCAAATTATAATATGTTCGAAAGTACTACTGAAAAACTAAGACCTTCACTCCATAAGAAGGACCTGGAGTAGAGGTTGGCATGTCTCATGGTAAGCCCAAAAGTTAATTCTCCAGCATTAAAACAGGCAATTGTAAGCAGCTGGCTAGCATTTAGGGGCTACGTTTCATGAAAAATCGGTTTTTAAACATCACAAGCATACTCAGTGTGGGGAGATGTTCATAATAAATAGACTCACAGGAACTAAGTATATATATATTGCTTCATTTATTTCTAACAACATTCTTGTGCCTGTGGTATCAACACTTCTGTTTTACTGATGAAGAATCTGAGGCTGAAAGGGATGAAACACTTGCTTGGAATTTCATTCCTGTGTGGTGAGCACAAGTTTCAAATCCAAGGTTTCTAAACCTCTAGCTCTTCCATCCTTCAGTAGTTTCCTGTCAGAAGTGGAGCAGGTCTATTGGGCTCTCTTCTTAGATCAATTTCAACCCCTTTCTACAATATTATGCGATTCAAAGTCCTTTAAAGTCAGACTTACATGTGGTATTTTTTAAGTGTTTTTATTTAAAAAATTAAAACATTTATTAACACTTACACTGCATAGTACACGAAGAATATGGCCTATGGGGTCAAACAGACTTGAGTTCCTTTATTTAAAAATATTAATTTTTAATTTATTAATATTTATCATTGTGCGAGGCATTGAGGTGTAGTGGTAGACATGACCACATGGTGCTGGTGCTCAGCGGGCTTATATTCTAGTGGTACAATCTTTTGTTAAATGTGTGAAACAAAAATACTATTACCTATTTTAAAGGACTACAAAAACAAATTTGGAACTACATATGTGGTAAGGCGTCACACATAGAAACCATTTGACTGTTAGCAGTTGTTATTGAATTGATACAATAATACTAATTACACAGAAGCAGAAGAGGCAAGGAGATTTTAGGATAAGTAGCTGCTCCAGCACAAAAGCCACCATTAGCAGTCAACAATTATTCATGCACCTGTGACTCCCTCGTCCCCAGTGAAAGCCTCAGAGCTGTGCAGGTATACAGGCTGAGGTGTGACCTGGCTGTATATAAAAGCTAATTCCTCTACAGTCCCACTTGTTCTGACACATTACATTGTAAATGAACTTACTTGGAATGTAACAGATTTCTACAAATAACTATTCATTTCAAAAGTTCTGTTAAATCATAAACCCTATACCTCCCGCTCCCCCAGCCCCTGGTATGCTTAAAGGCCCAACAGCCACCCTTTAAAAAACTAAGAAAGTTTCACTTCTAGCAAGGACCAACTAGGTTTTTTTGATCCAACTGTCCCACCAGAAACAAATGAAAAAGCCAGATCAATATCATATAAAAAAGTCTGTTTAAAATCATCAAAAAGCTACCAAATAAATGAGAATTTGTGGGACCAATGTCCAGGAGGAGAGAGACAATGAAGGGCGTAAGCCTGGCACCATTTTGCCCCCTAGGAATATTGTGAGATATGAAAACAGTGGCTGAGATGGTAAGGAATTGAGAATAGATTTTGACAGATTCATAGGACTATGGAGATAGAAACTAGAGTGCAGGGCCTGCCCCAGGTTTCAGGGTTTCAGGTACAAACCAAGAGTAAGAGTACACCAAAAACAGAGTAGTCCAGTCCTCAAAAAGACTAAAAACACCTTAAATTATTTTGATGTCTAATGAGATTAAACTGATATACCCCTAACCTAGTTGATTGCCAGAGGCAAAAACGCATGCTCACTGAAGAAAGATAATGTCAGAGCCTCAAATTACCTCAACAGCTGGTCATATACAGTGTCTGGCCCTCAATAAAAAATAACCAGTCCAGCCTGGGCAACATAGGGAGACCCTGTCTCTACAAAAACATTTAAAAAAATTAGCTGGCATGGTAGTATGCATCTGGAGTCCTAGCTACTCAGGAGGCTGAGGCGGGAGGATCGCTTGGGCCCAGGAGTTTTAGGCTGCAGTGAGCTACGATTGTGCCACTGCATTCTAGCCTGGGTGGGCAATAGAGTGAGATCCTGTCTCTAAAAACGAACAAGAAACCCCAAAATCCTCAGCCATTACCATTACAGGAAGACAAGTTTTTGCCAGAAACCAAGAGATGAGAACAAGTAATAGAAACTGGGCCACAGGAGATTCAGAAGATACAGTTATCAAACATGGGCTTTACAATAACTAGAATTAATATTTTCAAGGAATTAAGAAACAAAAATGGAGAATTTCATCAAAGTGTGGAAACTATTAAAAAATCCAATGGAAATAAATTCTAGAACTGAAAAATAGACCAAGAACTCAACAGATGAGTTTAATAGGAAAGTAGACACAGGTGAAGCAAGAACTTGTGAAGCAGAGGAGAAACCGAAAGAAAATAGACTGAAGTTCAGAATCAAAAGGATCGAAACAGAAAAGAGGCATATGGGAAAAGGGAAAATGTCTAGCATATGTATAATTACAGTCTCAAAAGAGAGGTGATACAGAATTTGGCAGTTGAACATTCTAATCATGTCACAGCACTACTGATGAAATCCAAAGGCATAGACAGAAAACCTGAAAAGCAGGAGAGAAAAAGGGTGTATCACCTTCAAAGCAACAGTAAGACTGATCATTGGTTCATGAAGAGAAACAACAGAAGACAGATATTGATAGGTGGCCAGGCGCGGTGGCTCGCGCCTGTAATCTCAGAACTTTGGGAGGCCAAGGCGGGCAGATCACTTGAGGTCAGGAGTTCAAGATCAGCTTGGCCAACATGGTGAAACCCCGTCTCTACTAAAAATACAAAAAATTAGCCAGGCGTGGTGGCGGGCACCTGTAATTCCAGCTACTTGGGAGGCTGAGGCAGTAGAATCACCGGAAACTGGGGGGTGGAAGTTGCAGTGAGCTGAGATCCCACCACTGCACTCCACCCTGGGCAACAAGAGCAAAACTCCATCTCAAAAACAAAAACAGATATTGATAGGCTATAATGAACTAGAATTCTATATCCAGTGAAAATATCATTCAAAAATTAGTATGAAATAAAAACATTTTCAAACAAAACAAGAAAGCGAGGATGTTCATCACCATAAGATCTACAGTAAAGGACATTATAAAGAGGTTTTCTTCAGGGTAAAGGGAAAGTAATCACAGAAGGAAGCTGAGAAATACAGGAGGGAATAGAGAGCAATGGGAAGGGTAAAATGTAGGGAAATATAAATCAACGTTGACTCTAAACAAAACCAATAATGTCTACTGAGACCTTTAAATACATTTAGAATTGTTTAGAGAAGGGTGAGGAGGAAACACACTGGTAGAAGATTGTCAACTCAGTTAAAGTGCCCAATAAATCTAAGGATGGTCCTTTCAATAAATGACGTCAAGACAATAGGATATCCACTTTGGAGGGGAACACTTTTAATTTAACCCTTATTTCACACCACTCACAGGCATACAAAATAACTCCAGGAGACTTTCCCATCTCACCTGTGAAAACTAAAACACAATAAAAATTTTTATAAGTCAACATAGAATGTCTTTAAGAACTTGGGGTAAGAAAAGGTGTTTTTAAAACAGGACAAATTGCACTAACCATAAAAAAAAAGAGCGATACCACCTGTATGTTATGATTTTAAACTTTTGCTCACTGAAAGATACCACTACAGAAATAAAAAGTGGAGATATCTGCAACTCATAGTACCTAGAGTATACAAAGAACTTCTAAAAATCAGTTAAGAAATAGAGAAAACTCAAGGGAAAAATGGGCAGGAAACTTGATGCCTCACAAAGGACATTCAAATGGCAAATGCATGAAAAGTTGCTCAACTTTCTCCTTAATGTCAGAGAAAAGCAAATTAAAACTACAATATAATTAATTTTAAGAGACTTTGAGTCTTTTGACAAGGGTGTACAGCAAATAGAAATAACATCATAGTAATGATGGGAGTGGTAAATTTAGGCATAGTTGGAAAATATTTTGGCCATACCTACTAAAATTGACATATGCATACTTTATGCCCCAGCAATTCATCTTATCTATATTTCCAACACAAATGTCACATATGTGGATCAAAAGAATTGTACAAGATAACCAGGGCTGTATTCATTACAACCAAAAAAACTGGAAACAACCCAATTGTTCAGCAACAAAAATACATTGTGGTATATTCAGACAACAGAACACTATAACTTGCATAACACTATGCAAGACAAACAAGCAAATACTGCTATATACAACACAAATGATTTTTGCAAACGTAATGTTGAAGAAAAGAAGTCAGGGGTAAAAGAATATATCTTAGGATTCCGTTTATATTGAATTCAACAACCAGCAAGACTCTCTGTTAGAATTTAAGGTATTGGTTATCTTAGCAGGGAAGATTTCAGGAGGCCTAATGGTGCTCTGGGAGCCTGGTCTATTTTTTTTTTTTTTTTTATCAGAGCAGTGGTTACCTTTTTTTATCAGAGCAGTGGTTACCTGAGTGTATCCATGTTGTGGTAATTCATTTGTGATTTATGTAGTTTCCTACATGTACATGTCAATAACAAAAGTAATTTTTAAATATTTTAAAAGGCACGTGGTCAGTACCTTGCCTGAAGACTAGTTTAACAGGAAATTTTCTTCAAATACCTTCCTGATGTCACTAGAGAACATTTGTGGCTTTTATCCTAAAAATGACACTCAAACCTAGTTAATGGTTTCTCAAATTGGGGAGGCTATCCAAATGTCAAGAACATAGTTTCATACCAGCAGGAAAGCCCAAAACAGCCCTTTCAAACTCAAAAGAAAAATATGGAGTAAAAATTGTTTTCACTAAACGTAATAGTGTAAGATTAAAAGTATACTAAGGAAAAGTCGTCATGCCATTATTTGAATTCACTTACATTCAACAAATATTTATAGGATTATGTACCTATAACTTCCTGAAGTAAATATTCAGGATGGTGGGGAAGAGACTGGTTCAGCAAGTCACATACTGTTTGAATTCTCTGTGATTCATCTGTTTTGTGATACTGGGCAAGCAGTTTAATCTAAGTTTCAGTTACCTTACCTATAAAAATAGGAGTAATAAAATCTGTGGGCTCAATAACATAATGTTGGTTTTAAGTTTCTACTCCAGTGCCTAATAGAAACTTATATAAATGTTTGTTCCTCACTCCTTAGAGCTTTAAGAAAAATTTTTTAAAAATTTATTTAAAAAGTGTTACTATTATTCTTAAGAAAATGTGAGCTTTTTCTTAAAATAAGCTCACTTTAGTATAATTTATAAGATTTCCTTCCTCTGTAAATTTTTAAACCTCCTTGATATCATTTTGCCAATTTTGTTTCTATTGCCAACATATTTTTTTTCCTCCTCCAGTTAATTCTGAAATTAAATACAAAGAAACAGGGCCTTTCCCAGGTCCTGAACTGGTATTTTTCTGGTCTCTTTAAAACAGTATTATTGTCTTCTGACAACCAACCAAGAAACCCCACCCAGCAGCCCCTTCCCCAATCAATATTCTGTTGTTTTATGGTATCTCCTCTTCCCCTGCCCCAAATATGGTCAAATCAAGACAAAAATCTCTTGTCCTGGGATCATAAACTCAAAATACCAAATATAGTACAAAATAAACCAGGAAAAAAAAAAAAAAATACAGCCACTATACAAGACAGTTTGGTGGCTTCTTACAAAACTAAGCATTCTCTTATCATACATCCAGGAATGCCACTCCTTGGTATTCACTAACCAAATGAGCTAAAAATAGTCCATACAAACACCTGCACACAGACGTTTATAGCAGGTTTACTCAAAACTGTCAAAACTTGACACAACCAAGATGTCCTTCAGTAGGCAAACAGATAAGTAATCTGTGGAACATCCAGATGATAGAATATTATTCAGCACTAAAAAGAAATTACCAAGCCATGAAAAGACATGGAAGAATCTTAAATATGTATTACTAAATGAAAGAAGCCAATCTGAAAAGGCTACATACTGTATTATTCAGACTATATAACATTCTGGAAAAGGCAACACTATAGAGACAGTTAAAAGATTAGTGGTTGCCAGAGGTTGGGGGGATAGAAAAACATGGAGAGTTTTTAGGACAGTGAAAATCTCCTACAATATTATAATGATGGATACATGTCATTATACATTTGCCTAAACCCATAAGAATGTACAACCCTAAGAGTAACTAAGGTAAACTATGGGCTATGGGAGATGTTAGGTCAATGCAGGTTCATTGATTGTTTATTATTCATTGATTATGGACCACTTATTGTTCATTGATTATGGACCACTCTGGTGGGGAGTGTTGATAAAGAGAGAAGAAGCTATGCATATGTAGGGGAAGGCGATATATGGGAAATCTCTGTACTTTCCCTCCTTTTAATTAATTCTGCTGTGAACTGAAACTAAGAAATAAAACTACTCGAAAACCCAATACTCAAGAAGTGTCCTCATGACCATAGGCCTTAAATTCTTGCCTATTACCTTTATCTCCAATGTATCCTCTCCTCTAAATATTTTGAGTTCTTGCACCCTGAAGTTAGCAACTCTGGTATATGTGAATGTTACAGTTCCACTAGAAAGATGGTGGTTAAGTTGCTGTTGTACAAGAATTCTTGGCAGCCAGTAACAAATTTAGGTAAAAAGAAATATGCGTCCTTTCAATATAAACTAGCATTTAAAAAAAAAATCGCTATACAACTTTGGAAATAAGTCAAAGCATTGTTTATTTATGACATATTTACATATTTACAAAACTGATTTTACTCAATACATCATCCTGCGTAATATCATAAAATGAACACCATATCCTGGGAATAAAAATCCATATTTCTTAATAATTTATGTATAGCCCAACTTTTAGAACATAGAATATTATCAATTTGGCTTCCCAAACTACAAAGTCCTGTTTATAATTTTTTCTAGCCAAGGAACAGAGTAGATTCAACAGCATATTAAAGTAATTTAGTTAACCCTGAGTAATTACTAACTTGCATAATTTTGAATGGATGTATATAACACACTTTCATCTGCACTTAGATACTTATACTATCACACTACCTTTTTGTATTTATCCACCTCAATTTTCAACTTCATTAATCTTCAGAAGAAAGAGGAATAAAGAATAGGAAAGTAATAACAGAATCATTACGAGGAAATTACTAGCACTGCCTAAACATTCAGAAGTCTGTGACACAGTTTAGGTCTAGGGTTGTCTCAAAAACCTAACAAAAGGAGGATCCCGAATTGAATAATCTGAGCACCTTGTCAACTGAGGTTGATATTAAATTATTTTTCCTGCATTCTTTGTTTCCTTTCACACTAATTAAATATTGTGTACAAGCTTATAAAATTCAATAATTTGTATTAAAATACAAAATCCAATAACAACCAGGAGTTCTTCGGAAGAAAAAAAAAATCACAAAACAACCCCAACAGTGGTGAAGAACTATATTAAAGATGGCTTTTCCTAAGACAGAGGGAGAACAAAAGCAAATAGCACTCTCCCTCCGCCAAGGCTAGAGCAGGAGGTTCAAGGAAATGGGCAGGAAGAGAACAGAACACTCAAGCTGGACGATTAGTGAAGGAAACTGTGGCCTGAGACTGATGATCAGCATATCTTATGCCTAAACACCACCACTAAGACTACCTGGCTAAGCTGCCATGGTGTGTTAGAGATGATGAGTTACTTTTCTTGCCCCTTTTACAACAGGGAAATCTAAGGACAACAAAATAAACAAAAGGCTGAGAAAGCTGAGCATGTGAAGTCAGTCATGCTCCGCTGCTTTTCAAAAACTCTGGGCCAAGAACAGAACCAGAGAGGCCAGAGCAGTTCATGTATTTCTCTCTTCCATCTGACCATCTCTCATCTTCCTCACCCACTCACACGGTTCCGAGCAGGAGGCTTACCAGGTCACCAGGGGCAGGAAAATTTCTAGCTTCAACCAAGCCATGGACTGCCACTGCTCTTTGGGGATTCTAGGAAAATAATCATCTAATGAAATGTCAGTATTTGTGATTCTATGAGAACAATTCTCAAAACATCAAAAAGACATTTGTGACTTGGTAAAATAAAAATCAAAGAAAAATTAAGGTATTTTTAGAATCTGTAAGATTTCCTTATAATAGGAGGGAAAGTAGCAGAACTATTTTAAGTAAGGACATGCTTCCCTTCAGTCTGTAATGAAAGACTGTTGTTGTCATCATGCCATTGCCATGATAAAATACTACTAGAAAAGGATAGCTTTTAAAATAAAGTGTAGACGCAAATGGTAGAGAAAGCCTTCTTGTACTTGAAGGAAAGAAAGAAAGTATTCTGTCCCTGTTACTCCTGGACAAAAGTACACCAAGGCAACCTATAACCTCTCTGTGCTGTCTCTCATGACTTTTAATGACACGGAAGTCTGATATTCACTGAACAGTCATTATACAGTGCTTGGAAAGTAACATATATTTAATATTCAAATTTAATATTCATTCTTCTTATCCTCAGGTAAAAAAATAGCAGAAACCAAATAATGACTTGAAGTGGCATTAACACAAAGCAAACCTGATACCTATGATACCTAAAGACAGTGCAGGACAAGAGCTTCAACAGCTTTTATAAAACTGCCAGAGATTGTGCTAATTCTTTTACATCTAAAGAACTGTATAGAAGAGTAAAAAAATTAAATTACATTTATATAAGAAACTATCTTCGAAAAAGTTATTTGAACTTGTATATACAAAGTCCAACAGTATTAAGAAAAAAATTTATTTAATTATCATTTATATAAGTCCAAAAATGATATAATATATTATTTGAGGGGAAAAGGCTTCCACGAAATAGAAATACAGTAGACTAAATAAACTAGATTGAATATAAAATAGTTTCTTTGAAAACATCCATAAAAAGTAAAGACCAAATGGCACAAAGTTAAAAAAGTAATGCTTAAGGCAAACCAAATAAGTAACCTTAATTGAAGTAAGAGACATACTAACCCACAAGCAATAAAGTAACCCCCTCTCAAAAATTTCTGTATTAAAATGTGTAGAGAATATGAGTGGAAGCAGAAACAATGGCTGTTGTCAGAGCTTATTCTTGGAAGTACTGAACAGTATTATACAAAAATAATTTGAATACTTCTGATTTAAAATATACTTGAATCATTTGCCCCTTAGCTGTCATATAGCAATGAAAAAATAAAATGTATTACCCCAATGTTCATAGTATAAATCTGGGAAATGCCAAAAGTTATGTTTAAAATTGACAAAGGTATGATTTTCCAGATTACATGTGTACGTGATGGCCAAAAAGGAAAATAATCAATTCCATTATTTTGGCCCATATTACTGAAAACATGCACAGAAATGTGGAACATCTCCCGACAAGTAGGTGTCTTATAGTGACTGTTGAGCAGGCTGCTCAGCACCAGCCCTGAGATCGTGTGCACATACAAAAGTAGTCAAAGACTGACAGAAAAGAGATGAAGCCAAAGCAAATCATGCTTTTATAAACATTCAACCAACATGTTCTTTAATAATGTCTTCTTTAAAGAACAAAATAATCAAGTACATGGCATTAAGTTAAATGTCTCTGCACATGAATTTCCACCTTATAAATCTGGTATATTAAATTGTGCTGTAAATAGATTTGTATATTTTCTTTTTTGAGTACTATGATAGGTGAAATGGTATGACTATAAAAAGGATTTGTTTCTTTTTGTCTCCTGGAATGACATGATGCCTTTCTAGAGAAAGAAAAATTGCAGGCTACAGGAAAATGATAAAAACTACTGGATTCATTTAGACTATTCGATTTAGGAAGGTACAACCACTTCTTTAACATCAAGCTAAAAGTGGGGGAAAGTCTCAGTCTCCCAGGTAGGTCTCCTCTCACACTGTCCTGGGTGGCAGGCGCTGTTTATACATGCCCGCTATCGCTCTGGCTGCACTGTAGATCATCTGCCGACGGGACATCCCAGTAAATGCCATGTGCCAATCAGTCCGGCTGACATTCAGTAAACTCTTTTCCAGGACTTCACCCACTGTCACCAAAAGGCCTGACCACCTCAGATTATAGTCCTGGGGAGTTAGACTTTGAGCCTGTGGAAAGATGAAATTGATATTACTTATAATACATTTAAAAATATCATTGGAACTAGCTATAAGTGACATTTCAAAGTGTTTCATGTTATTTTAAATATAGATTATGACAAACTCTGAGAAATACAGCTAGGCTGCCAACTATATCAACTTACAAGGCTAGAACACAATCAATGTAACATTACACACATCTATTTTTTAAAAAATATCCCCATTAACGAGGCTAACAGTCGGAAGGTTTGAGTTCTAGTTCTAAATTAAGTGTCACTTCAGGTTAATAATAAGATTGGTACTAAAATCAGTGCTAAAGTTATCTTTTATAGTAGTAAAATTTCAACCAGAAAGAGGAAAACTGAAAATTAAGGCTTAAATCCATTCAGAAAAGAATTGCTCAATTATGGAAATTCTCTCTGGAAATGTGATTCACATGTTAATATGTATCAAGTAATATCCAGTCCTGGACAACATCAACCACTGATGCAACATTCCTAATTGACCCAACTCATATTTGCTCCTATTCAAATCATTTATTCATCTACAAAGGAATGACAGAAGAATAAACTCATTGCTTGATATCCAAGACTGATGTGGTTTTTCTGTTTTAGGGTGTTAGGTATAGTCCAGAGAAGTATAGCCACATCTAGAACGGATCTATACAGTTATACATGACTACCAAATGTGCCATGTATTACAATCACCTGAGGAGCTCTTGTTTCTTTTTTCTTTTTTAACGATATCCAGTTTCTCACATCCCACTAAGATAACTGAGACACCAAGATAACTGAATTGGAAACTCTACAGCTGGTTCCAAGAGAAACAGTACAGTATTACGTACGTAAAATAGCTTCCAAGTCAATCTGATGCAAACAGTCCAGCACTTGGGAACCCCTGCTCTAAGTACTCTCTTCCAATGTGTATACTACAGTATCAGTATTTCACTATATTTCAAAGAGAAACAGCAGATATACTACTAACGTCCTCAGAGACACCAGTAACACTGTGCTTCTCAAATTATGGCATGCCTATGAATCCCCTGAATATCTTGTTAAAATGCAGCTCCTGATTCACTAGTCCTGTGTTAGGACCCGAGAATCTGCATTTTAACAAATTTCTAGGTGCTGCTTATGATGTTAAGCCAAGGACCACACTTTTTAGAAACAAGGTATTCTATATTATTGGCAAAAATCCAGAACAGCTGGGGTTTTTTATGGGGGTGAGGAATCATTTATATTTAAGTTTAACAAGTACAAATTGTATGAAATTTATTTCCAGATTTTTACTAATATATACTGATAATTCTAATTACCTGAAGGGCTGATTTCCATTACCTTAAATTAAAAAATTCCAACAATAAAAAAGCATAAAACATTTTAGAATGAATAAAAAGAAACAGGGAGGAGAGCTGAATAGCTGAGGATAAAAAGAAGACATTTCAATGCACACAGTTTTGTATCTTCTAAATTTTAAAACCAAATGACACAAAATAAAACAAACAGAATAAAAAGCAAAGTAAAAAGCAAATAACACCCTTTAAATACCATTATTCAGAATTAACCACTATTAACAGTTTGCTGTGTTATCTTTCCAGGCCTTTTTCCCTATTCTTATTAAAATTTTAAAGCACACACATACACACGCCTGCTAGTAAATGGGATCATACTAGATGTGCTGTTTTTGACTTTTACTCAGCAATATGTAATAGCTATCTTTTGGTACTGGTACACACGAGTCCACTTCATTCTTTCATGTCTACTTCTTTCCAGTATATATTCCTAAAAACAACATAAAAATTGTCCTTTGCAATGGTCAGATATCTAACACAGGGGTCAGCAAACTTTTTCTGAAAAGAGCCAGATGGTAAATATTTTAGGCTTTGTGGGCCAGACATTCTCTGTTGCAACTATTCATTTCTGCTGCTATAGTACAAAAGCAGCTATAAACAATAAGTAAGCAAACTGGCATGGGTGTGTTCCAATAAACTTAATTACAAAAAGATGACAGGCCAGATTTGGCTGTGAGCCACTGTTTGCTGACCCCAGATCTACAGCAATGTTAACAGTGGCAGTGACAGGAGCATCCTCATAATTATAACGTTTTCAGTGTTTTATTTATTAGATCTGAAGTTTGCTTTGATTTTGTAGTACACACATACCCGTCTAATACTAAGAGCTATTAGTATGATTATTTCTAGCAAATACCTTCAACTCTTATCAAAATCTTTTTTCTCCTTTCAATGCAGATGTTCATGTACTGAATTACATAAATTTACTATTGTTGAACCATTCTGCTGTTCTTGGGACAAATTTTTCATGGTCAGGATACAATGTTCATCTAATACATTTCTGAATTTTATTTATTAATTTTACCAATGGTTTTGACATTTAGTTCTTTGGACTATAATTTCATTTAAAGTTAAAAGAGGCTAGTCTCACAGAATGAACTGGAAAACTCTCTACCTCTATTTTTGATACCTCATACAGCAAATCATCTCTGAACATTTTGTAGAACTCACTTGTAACACCATTGGTACTCAGTGATTTTTTTTTTTTTAGTTACATAAAGTTCTTCCATTTTAATGCTTCAATTAAGCTGAATCATATGAAACTGACAATATATAACTATTTCTGACCATCAAAGGCAACAACGTCATTTGGTTCAACCTAATACTCTTAACTATGGCAAAACTTCTATTTTCCTAGAAAATCCACTCTTTCACCTAATTTTTCTAATTTATTGGCATAACAGTATGCATAGTATTCACTTACAGTCTTTTAATCACCTTCATATTGAAATGAGTGTAATGTTAATATCTATAAAAAGGTTTTCTTGAACTTATGAAAAGAAATTACGGTATAAATAAAAGTTTCAGTAAAATTTCAAATTCCAAGCATCAATTCTTAGCCCCCTTTCTAAACTGTAATAAGTAGGCCAGAGGTTACTTTTAGGGATTATGTGAACACATATGCCAAAGTTCTATGAAAGTACACATACACGCATTTTTCTTGGGAGACAGCCCAATAGTTTTCTTAGATTCTCAAATGTCTTCATGTCCCAAATAAGTTTGAAAGGCAGTTTTGAAATGATATTTAACAATGTACAAACTACAACTGTAACAAAAATTTTATGAAATTGACAGAAAAAAGTCAATAGAATACCACTTAAGAGCACAGAGATTCCAATGCAAGTATATATTTATATTCCATTTTGTTCATGAAAGGATTAGAGAAAACACACCAAAAAAAAAAAAAAAGAGGAATAAGGATTATCATTTATACTTACATTCTCCTGGAAACTGTGTGGATAGGTACACTATTAGGTCCATTTTTCAGCCAAAAACCTAAAGACACGTGCCTATAAGGTTTCTAATGTTGATTTCACTAAAGATGAACAGGAGGACAATCAATCAAGGAAAAGGGAAATGGAGATAACAGTGGAAATGAAATGTGAGATAAAAGGGAAAGCAAACGAAAGGCGGACATAAAACAACTAGAAAAGGTAAATCTTTTCCAGAACTCAGAGTAAAAACAAAGAAAAAAATGAGAGAAATAATGATTAACCATGTAATGTATTACCTTTCAAAGACACCTGGAAAACAAAAGGAGGAAGGTACTAAAACAACATGGAAGGATCAGGAAATTAAAAAGCAAAGAAAAATACTAAAAGAAAAATGACTGAAACAAAATCAAGAACATATTTCTAACAAAAAAACCGAACAAATTTTTATTCTGAAAACAATAGTGTAAGTTTCTCTGGAGCATAATGAAAAAGCAAAGGAGAAAACCAACCTGCTGTACAAATTCCAAAGGCACTGGTGTGGCTTGTGTAAATGTTTCTAGATGAATGCCATGGACAGGATCTTCAACCACCAAACAACCAATGTCAAACCATCTGCAACAGAATTACGAGTTTCAAATGGTTTATATGCCAAATAAAACTTATCATGAATAGACAAAAAGAAAAAACAAGTACTATTATTCAGATAGAACAGATTTCAAAAAGGAAATCTTTTTCTTACCAACTTGCAAAAGGACAATTCATAAAAACAACAGATAAAATTACTCTGTATTAATTCTAAGAGGAAAAAAGACAATAACCACAAAGAAAAAAAATTTAAAAATACTTATCATGGAAAGCTTCCTCTCCATGGGAAGGGAGAATAATCAAAGTAAGGGTACTCAAATATGCAACAGGTAAATTTACATACATTGAATATGCAAACAGCTTATGAGTAATATTTTTCAATTGTCACTTGCTAAAATATGGGAAATTTTATAATACAAACTCTATCATGAATATGTACTCAACTAAGTTACTAACAAATTAAAAAATAAGCTCAGAGGAAATAATAACAAATACTCTCTTCATTAATAATAAATCCTTCTAATCACAATTTCTGAATTATTCACAATGAGTCAGTCTTTGAAAACAGCCTCATGAAATCCAGGAAACTTCTCTTCATTTAAAGAGACTTATATATCATACAAAATGATAAATTTTAAAAATGACTTTATTGAAAACAACTGTAGTACCACCCAAATTTTAGCTAACCCAAATCATGAAACAGCCAGATACCCTCAAAAATGAATTTAAACAATAAAAGGATATGAAGCAGGAAAATGTTTAATGCCTATTTTTTAATGTAAATCTAATAAAATGCAATGAAATATAAAATGGATTAGGAGACTTTTATTTACACATTCAAAAAAACAACAAAGTAAAATATACAGTAACATAAATAACTTTGCTGAATACTAAAATGGCACTTTATAATGTCTATAGTGTTCATATCCTAAAACTTTAAAATTAAAAACATTAAATAATGACATTTATTTTATTTGGTAGACTAATAGATATTTTGTATTTTACTACAACTTTCTCAATCAAGATAATGTATTTGTGAAGCCTCCATAAAGTCGAGCTTAGCTAAATTTTATTTTGCCTTATTTTGCATAATTTGCAGACAATAATCTCTATGGTGAATAACATACTAACCAAGCTTTCAGGTGTGGACATCCTAAAAAGTGTTACTGAAGGTATGAGGAAAGTTTTTTCTATGATGCCAGTGAATATACCTTAGAACACCGACCTAGACTTGACTCAGCTCAGACTGTGACTGAAGTACACTACATTACCCTCCCCTTCCTCACACCCCTACAATTGTGTATATTATTATAGAGGAAAGGATGAACCTTCTCAAGATCACTTAAAGACTCTAGAGTTTTGTTTTCTAAACAATGGTTTTCAAAGATTACTATGCATTCAGAGAGACAGCACCATATATTCAAACCAAAAGGAAAAAGGAGACTAACACAGACCACAAGTGACCGTGATATTGGAATCAGTAGATGAGGATTTAAAAGTTAACTATGGTTCATATAGTCAAGAAAAGAGAGGTAAAGACAGTTCAACTACATTTAAAGATACAGGCATTCAAAAGATAAATTGAACCTGCATTTTAAAAGGTAAGAACTCTATGTAAGAGTTTAACAACAGGCTGGACACAGCAGAAGGCAGGATTAGTGAACCTGAAGACAGGTGAATAGAAAATGTCAAAACTAAGGAACAGAGAGGAAAAAAAGAGTGGGGGAAAAAACCTGACAATGTGAGACACTGTCAAAGGTGAATGGGCATGTAATTAAGGTCCTACAAAGAGAAGGGAGAGAAATGGGCCAGAAGCAAGTTTTGAAGACATAATTGTAAAGAATTTCCAAAACTGAAGATATTAATCCACAGAATCAAGAAGCTCAGCGAATCCACAAAAAATAATTATGAGAGCAAGCAAGCAAGCAAATACATATAATCATACCATTCTAAAACCGCAAAAAATAAAACGACAGAGAAAATCCTAAAAGCAGCCAGAGAAAACAACATATTATCTTCACAGAGACAATACACAAGAAGATGGAGAGATGACTTTTTTTTTTTAAATTATACTTTAAGTTTTAGGGTACATGTGCACAATGTGCAGGTTAGTTACATATGTATACATGTGCCATACTGGTGTGCTGCACCCATTAATTCATCATTTAGCATTAGGTATATCTCCTAATGCTATCCCTCCCCCCACCCCACAACAGTCCCCAGAGTGTGCTGTTCCCCTTCCTGTGTCCATGTGTTCTCATTGTTCAATTCCCACCTATGAGTGAGAACATGTGATGTTTGGTTTTTTGTCCTTGTGATAGTTTACTGAGAATGATGATTTCCAATTTCATCCATGTCCTTACAAAGGACATGAACTCATCATTTTTATGGCTGCATAGTATTCCATGGTGTATATGTACCACATTTTCTTAATCCAGTCTATCATTGTTGGACATTTGGATTGGTTCCAAGTCTTTGCTATTGGGAATAGTGCCGCAATAAACATATGTGTGCATGTGTCTTTATAGCAGCATGATTTATAGTCCTTTGGGTATATACCCAGTAATGGGATGGCTGGGTCAAATGGTATTTCTAGTTCTAGATCCCTGAGGAATCGCCACACTGACTTCCACAATGGTTGAACTAGTTTACAGTCCCACCAACAGTGTAAAAGTGTTCCTATTTCTCCACATCCTCTCCAGCACCTGTTGTTTCCTGACTTTTTAATGATTGCCATTCTAACTGGTGTGAGATGGTATCTCATTGTGGTTTTGATGTGCATTTCTCTGATGGCCAGTGATGGTGAGCTACTGTGGGAGGAGCCAAGATGGCCGAATAGGAACAGCTCCTGTCTACAGCTCCCAGCGTGAGCGACGCAGAAGACGGGTGATTTCTGCATTTCCATCTGAGGTACCAGGTTCATCTCACTAGGGAGTGCCAGACAGTGGGCCCAGGACAGTGGGTGCAGCGCACCATGCTCGAGCCGAAGCAGGGTGAGGCATTGCCTCACTCGGGAAGCGCAAGGGGTCAGGGAGTTCCCTTTCCTAGTCAAAGAAAGGGGTGACAGACGGAACCTGGAAAATCGGGTCACTCCCACCCAAATACTGTGCTTTTCCAACAGGCTTAAAAAACAGCGCACCAGGAGATTATATCCCGCACCTGGTTCAGAGGGTCCTATGCCCACGGAGTCCCGCTGATTGCTGGCACAGCAGCCTGAGATCAAACTGCAAGGCGGCAGCGAGGCTGCGGGAGGGGCGCCCGCCATTGCCCAGACTTGCTTAGGTAAACAAAACAGCCGGGAAGCTCGAACTGGGTGGAGCCCACCACAGCTCAAGGAGGGCTGCCTGCCTCTGTAGGCTCCACCTCTGGGGGCAGGGCACAGACAAACAAAAACAAAGCAGTAACCTCTGCAGACTTAAATGTCCCTGTCTGACAGCTTTGAAGAGAGCAGTGGTTCTCCCAGCACGCAGCTGGAGATCTGAGAACGGGCAGACTGCCTCCTCAAGTGGGCCCCTGACCCCTGACCCCCGAGCAGCCTAACTGGGAGGCACCCCCCAGTAAGGTCAGACTGACACCTCACACGGCTGGCCGGGTACTCCTCTGAGACAAAACTTCCAGAGGAACGATCAGACAGCAGCATTCGCGGTTCACGAAAATCCGCGGTTCTGCAGACACTGCTGCTGATACCCAGGCAAACAGGGTCTGGAGTGGACCTCTAGCAAACTCCAACAGACCTGCAGATGAGGGTCCTGTCTGTTAGAAGGAAAACTAACAAACAGAAAGGACATCCACACCAAAAACCCATCTGTACATCACCATCATCAAAGACCAAAAGTAGATAAAACCACAAAGATGGGGAAAAAACAGAGCAGAAAAACTGGAAACTCTAAAAAGCAGAGCGCCTCTCCTCCTCCAAAGGAACGCAGTTCCTCACCAGCAACGGAACAAAGCTGGACAGAGAATGACTTTGACGAGTTGAGAGAAGAAGGCTTCAGATGATCAAACTACTCCGAGCTACAGAAGGAAATTCAAACCAAAGGCAAAGAAGTTGAAAACTTTGAAAAAAATTTAGACGAATGTATAACTAGAATAACCAATACAGAGAAGTGCTTAAAGGAGCTGATGAAGCTGAAAGCCAAGGCTCGAGAACTACATGAAGAATGCAGAAGCCTCAGGAGCCGACGCGATCAACTGGAAGAAAGGGTATCAGTGATGGAAGATGAAATGAATGAAATGAAGCGAGAAGGGAAGTTTAGAGAAAAAAGAATAAAAAGAAACGAACAAAGCCTCCAAGAAATATGGGACTATGTGAAAAGACCAAATCTACGTCTGACTGGTGTACCTGAAAGCGACGGGGAGAATGGAACCAAGTTGGAAAACACTCTGCAGGATATTATCCAGGAGAACTTCCCCAATCTAGCAAGGCAGGCCAACATTCAGATTCAGGAAATACAGAGAATGCCACAAAGATACTCCTCAAGAAGAGCAACTCCAAGACACATAATTATCAGATTCACCAAAGTTGAAATGAAGGAAAAAATGTTAAGGGCAGCCAGAGAGAAAGGTCGGGTTACCCACAAAGGGAAGCCCATGAGACTAACAGCAGATCTCTCGGCAGAAACTCTACAAGCCAGAAGAGAGTGGGGGCCAATATTCAACATTCTTAAAGAAAAGAATTTTCAACCCAGAATTTCATATCCAGCCAAACTAAGTTTTGTAAGTGAAGGAGAAATAAAATACTTTACAGACAAGCAAATGCTGAGAGATTTTGTCACCACCAGGCCTGCCCTAAAAGCTGCTGAAGGAAGCACTAAACATGGAAAGGAACAACTGGTACCAGCTGCTGCAAAATCATGCCAAAATGTAAAGACCATCAAAACTAGGAAGAAACTGCATCAACTAATGAGAAAAATAACCAGCTAACATCATAATGATGGGATCAAATTCACACATAACAATATTAACTTTAAATGTAAGTGGACTAAATGCTCCAATTAAAAGACACAGACTGGCAAATTGGATAAAGAGTCAAGACCCATCAGTGTGCTGTATTCAGGAAACCCATCTCACGTGCAGAGACACACATAGGCTCAAAATAAAAGGATGGAGGAAGATCTACCAAGCAAATGGAAAACAAAAAAAGGCAGGGGTTGCAATCCTAGTCTCTGATAAAACAGACTTTAAACCAACAAAGATCAGAAGAGACAAAGAAGGCCATTACATAATGGTAAAGGGATCAATTCAACAAGAAGAGCTAACTATCCTAAATATATATGCACCCAATACAGGAGCACCCAGATTCATAAAGCAAGTCCTGAGTGACCTACAAAGAGACTTAGACTCCCACACAATAATAATGGGAGATTTTAACACCCCACTGTCAACATTAGACAGATCAACGAGACAGAAAGTTAACAAGGATACCCAGAAATTGAACTCAGCTCTGCACCAAGCGGACCTAATAGACATCTACAGAACTCTCCACCCCAAATCAACAGAATATACATTTTTTTCAGCACCACACCACACCTATTCCAAAATTGACCACATACTTGGAAGTAAAGCTCTCCTCAGCACATGTAAAAGAACAGAAATTATAACAAACTGTCTCTCAGACCACAGTGCAATCAAACTAGAACTCAGGATTAAGAAACTCACTCAAAACTGCTCAACTACGTGGAAACTGAACAACCTGCTCCTGAATGACTACTGGGTACATAACAAAATGAAGGCAGAAATAAAGATGTTCTTTGAAACCAACGAGAACAAAGACACAACATACCAGAATCTCAGACACATTCAAAGCAGTGTGTAGAGGGAAATTTATAGCACTAAATGCCCACAAGAGAAAGTAGGAAAGATCCAAAATTGACACCCTAACATCACAATTAAAAGAACTAGAAAAGCAAGAGCAAACACATTCAAAAGCTAGCAGAAGGCAAGAAATAACTAAAATCAGAGCAGAACTGAAGGAAATAGAGACACAAAAAACCCTTCAAAAAATTAATGAATCCAGGAGCTGGTTTTTTTGAAAGGATCAACAAAATTGATAGACCGCTAGCAAGACTAATAAAGAAAAAAAGAGAGAAGAATCAAATAGACGCAATAAAAAATGATAAAGGGGATATCACCACCGATCCCACAGAAATACAAACTACCATCAGAGAATACTACAAACAACTCTACGCAAATAAACTAGAAAATCTAGAAGAAATGGATAAATTCCTCGATACATACACTCTCCCAAGACTAAACCAGGAAGAAGTTGAATCTCTGAATAGACCAATAACAGGATCTCAAATTGTGGCAATAATCAATAGCTTACCAACCAAAAAGAGTACAGGACCAGATGGATTCACAGCCGAATTCTACCAGAGGTACAAGGAGGAACTGGTACCATTCCTTCTGAAACTATTCCAATCAATAGAAAAAGAGGGAATCCTCCCTAACTCATTTTATGAGGCCAGCATCATCCTGATACCAAAGCCAGGCAGAGACACAACAAAAAAAGAGAATTTTAGACCAATATCCTTGATGAACATGGATGCAAGAATCCTCAATAAAATACTGGCAAACTGAATCCAGCAGCACATCAAAGAGCTTATCCACCATGATCAAGTGGGCTTCATCCCTGGGAAGAAAGGCTGGTTCAATATACACAAAATCAATAAATGTAATCCAGCATATAAACAGAACCAAAGACAAAAACTACATGATTATCTCAATAGATGCAGAAAAGGCCTTTGACAAAATTCAACAACTCTTCATGCTAAAAACTTTCAATAAATTAGGTACTGATGGGACGTATCTCAAAATAATAAGAGCTATCTATGACAAACCCACAGCCAATATCATACTGAATGGGCAAAAACTGGAAGCATTCCCTTTGAAAACTGGCACAGGACAGGGATGCCCTCTCTCACCACTCCTATTACCATCAGAGTGAACAGGCAACCTACAAAATGGGAGAAAATTTTCGCAACATATTCATCTAACAAAGGGCTAATATCCAGAATCACAATGAACTCAAACAAATTTACAAGAAAAAAACAAACAACCCCATCAAAAAGTGGGCGAAGGACATGAACAGACACTTCTCAAAAGAAAACATTTATGGAGAGATGACTTTTTAACAGAAATGACGGAAGCCAGAAAACAGTACCATGACATTTTTAAAGTGCTGAAAGAAAAGAAACTGCCAACCTAGACTTCTACATCCAGCAAAAATAAAGGTGAATTAAAGCACTTTCAGATAAACAAAAGCTGAGAGAATTGGTAGTGAGCAGCTCTGAACTATAATGTATTATCAAAGGAAGTACTTTAGGCTTCCTTTCGAAGAAAAATGACCCCAGACAGAAAAACAGAAATGCAAGAAAGAATTCAGAGAATAAACAAATACTGACTGCAAAGAACATTACCAGTTATGTCTTAAGAGCTTAAAATATATGCAGAATTAAAATACTTAACAATGATACCGCAAAAGGTGAAAAGGGAGTGAATAGTATTAAAAGTAGTACTAGTATTATCACAAGTTATAATTTTTGTTATATCAAAAAGGCATATTGTAATTTCTAATGTTAATTATTAAATGAACAGTAACAGGTTAATAAAAAAAAATGACACAACAATCACTGGACGGTTTCTCAGTGCTTACATAGAAAGTTGAAACTTATCAACCTAGAATTCAGAGCTCTTCACAATTTGTCCCGTCACCTCTTGATTTCCCATCCAACAAACCTTCAGCCAAGTTGATATAATCACTGACCCAAGAATACATTTCAATTACCTTCAAACTTTTTCTCCACCCAGAACATCCTACTTCCTTTGTTCCATTTGGCCAAGTTTCACCTCTTCTTCAAAATCCAGTTCAAGCCCTAATTATTCATGAATTTCACCTGACACTATCTCCACAGAGTTACCTCCACTGAAATTTTATATATTTCCTGTCAGCAAAAAATTATGTTTCCTTTTTACAATTACTTAAAACTGCTCATCTGTGTACTACATATATCTTCTTTCCCACTGGCCTATAATATGCCTCAAAGTTGGAGGATATATTTTGCATATTACAAGCCACAAAATGCTATGCCCATTGTTATTCAACACTGAACAAACAAATAAAAAATAAAAACAACAAAACCATAATGCAAATACAAAAGAAGGTAGATTTCAACAAAGGGAAGTTATTCTAATATAAATCAATTAAGCAAATTAAAAATTTTTCCCATAAAAAGCCACCTGAAAAACAATGATAAATTATGCTGTCTGGAGGTTTTTCTAAACTATTATGAGTACAGGAGAGATACTGCTCACTAGAAACTCAAACCTAGAGAATGCCATCAGGCCTTCTTGCCCATATATTCCACGACTTTGAATAACTATGAGAATAATTGTGTTTGCTACTCATGGTCAATTATATCCACACCAAATCTATCATCTTATACTTAGTGCCATTTTATTAATTATTAGCATGATCTCAGAAAGCAGGCATGACCATCTCCATTTTATAATTAAAAAAGAGACACAAGGATAGAAATGCCAGCTAAGCCATGCAGGACACACAGCTAGTTAAGTGATATAGCCAGCATCAAAATATACTTTTCTCTCTGGTTATAAAACAGGAGACACTTTTTGCTAAGTATTCAGTGTCAACTCCCAGACCCAATTATATTTTGCTTCCAAGAGAAACATAATACACTTACTTGTCAGGCAGCAATTCTGCAATGAAGTTTTCTACTGACACAGCTGTCTGTTTTTCATGGATCACCCCAGTTCGACGCAAGCTATCTATCCGTTCCTGAGCACCCTAAACAACAATGGCAGAGGTTAGAGACCATTTCAAATTATTACATATTAAATATACTAATTTATGATTACACAATACATGCATACATTTATATGCAAACACATATATATACTCACTGTAAACGTTCAAACAATACAAAAATGTAGAGTAAAAAATGACAAAATACAATTACATTTCCGTAGTATCAACAGTTTGGGGTACACCTTCCAAATTATTCCATATGCATTATGATGTTGGTTGCTATTGTGGATTATTTTTATATTACATTTTCTCATTGATTGTTACTGTTAAATAATTTAAGAAAACTGTATTTTTTAATGTTGATCTGGCAAGAGACCATCTTACTACATACAAAGTTTTTATCAGTTCTGGCAGTTTTGCAGTTAATTCTCTCTTGAATTTTTCAGGTAGGCAATCATATCAATAATAAATATGTTTTTCTCTTTCTTCTGATTCCTTTTAAATATACATGCACCAAAATGACCAGTTACTTAAAATAAAAAGCTGCAAATGTATACATTACACCACAGCTTATTCAACAAAATAATTACCATTGAAGACATGAACTGATTATATGTAATAGAAAACTAAAAGCTGGATGACTGAGGGAAAAGGTTTCTGTTTATTGCTTTTATCTGAATCCTTTCATAAAAGGTGACCATGAACAATGTGATGAATATGTGTTCAAAACGCAAGATAAGAAGTCTGAACAGAAGTAGCCATGGATAATTTTTATAAGGACAGCAGAGGTAAACAGACAATATCAGATTAAATGGTAAATTCTTATCCAAATGAAAATTAAGAAGGCTAGGACACATCTCGAGAAAACTCAATTTATTTCAGAGACAACTGAAGTGAAAAAGAGAAAGTGACAACTGTGCGAGAACGTGTAAGACAATTTAAGATACTAGCTTGTAAAGATGAAGATGATAGGATTTAAAGTACAATAAAACCAAGATTGTATATTTTTGCTCACTCTTCTATCTCTAGTTTCCAGCACAGTGCCTAACTTAATAGGTGTTCAATAAGAACTTACCACATAAAAAACTGAACAAAGAAAAAAATAAATGCTTCTGAAGGCCTATGTGGTCAATGTTAAGAATACAAATAGTGTAAATATGGCATCACCAAATCTAATAACACTTAAAGAGGCACCTGTTGATTTTGAAAGCAGTATTAACAGATAAGATGAACTTAGTTATTTATACCAGATGTTACAAATTTGCCTAATTCACTCCTCCCAGGAAGCAGTTATGGCTAAAGTTTGATTTTTAAAAAGCTTAAGTAAACATTCATTCCGTAAAAACTATTAAGGGATTAGTAAGATGTACAGAGATTCATCCCCTAACTCTTTGCAGGTGATATCTCAGCTATGCACTACAACAAAATATTCCTAGATTTTATGCTTCCAGGGAACAGAGACTAAGTTTGTTCATTTTTCACTATCCTACAGCACAGAGCTTTATATTTCACAGGATTCACAAAACATTTAATTAAAATTAATTAGTTCCTGCAAGAAACAGGATAATAAGCTAGGTAGACAAATTTCTTTTTTGTTTATAAAATCCATAAGAAAATGAAAATGGGGTTATATCTGGCCTTTCTTTTTCCTCTGACCACTACATTAATTAAATGTGGCCTCTTTTGGAGTTACAAATACAGACATTTTAATATTAGTCCCTACCAATGTTTTGAGAAGGAGATTTTATTTTTTAGCAATATAAGAGATCAAGAATTAGGTAGTTTAGAGACCATATTAAAATAATCATTTCAGAACTGAAGAACAATATTGTACTCTAAGAGCTTATACTAAGCAACTTGGTTCAGTGAATAGTTAAAATTTTATAATATTTTCATAAATGCTTATAGATATTATATTTGTTGAATATAAAACTATATAAAACAGTAGTCATAACTACAACTGGCTTTTCAATAAAGTTAATACTTGGCATAAAAGTTCTAGAAGCTTCCTAACTTTAATTTTGGCTGAACTGATTTACTTCCTTAAATAATTTCCTATTTTTAAAAGGTAACGTAAGTTTAGTTCAGAAAACCCATTTACTTCAAATAAAATCTGATTGGGGAGAACAAAAACAGGTTACCATTTTATACTCTAAGACTCTACATTATTTTTCTTCTCATTAGCTCCCTCTACTGTTTCTGAAAAAAAATAAAAAGCCGACAAATTTACAAATCACTTTCTTATATATTAGTTTCAATGAATTTTAGTTTTGAGCTTGAACTGAAAATTGTGGAAAATGAATTCATATTTGTAAATTTGAAGGATAAAAATCAGCAGCAAAAATAATCTGTCAAATGCTATTATAAAAAGATAAATGCAACTACAATAATTTCCATCAAATAAGGTTACCAACTTCCATATCACATTTATACAATGCTTCACAATTTACAGAAATCCCTTGTTTTAGTCTCTAATTTCAGTGAAATGTACTCACCATTTTGTCTAATAATCATTTCTACTTAGGATTTTCCTCAGTTTACTCTCTGCAACTAAATCTTGAAAAGTCTTCTTTCTCAGACCTATAAACTCTCTCCAACTTGCAAAACCTCTTGGGAAATCTTCAAATACATTCTCAATCTAAGTATGTGACTTGTTCCAGTTTTTCAAGTAAAAATCGCCCGTATGAATGCTTATGGTTTATCTTATATATATACAACTAGTTTAATGTACAATTATCATGTATACATACTTATTTTACCCATTTGCTGTATTTTTTTTTTCATTTCTAGATTAAATTCAAACCCTACAGCCGTCAGTTACCTTTGCTAAATTTTATTAAGTCCAAACACCTACCACCAAAGAAACTCTTATTGGCAATGTATACTAGGGCTCAAATTCAAGAGAAACCTACTAGAGAAAAGAAGCATTTCAAAGTGCATGTGCTTTTGGCAGCTTTGCTCTGTGTGTAAGGACAGACCACTGTGAAAAGTGAAAAGGCAGAAAACATGTAATTTAATTCATATTATATATAATGCATTACATTTAGATAGGGTATAACTACTGCCTAATAGCCCCTAATATAGAAAAGTGGTTTTGTGGTATGTGAGTATGCATATGTGTAAAAGAAAAGGGCTTCATATTCTATTTAAATAAAGTACTAAATACAACTCAAAGAACACCTCAAACTTATGTAGCACTACCTAGTAGAATTAAAAATAATCTAGTGTCAGTGTGGGTTTGTGTTTAGTGACTAATTATAATTAATGCAACAGACTTTTTCCCCAATGAAATATGCTATGTCAATTACCTCATTCTAATGCTTTACACACATCAAATGAATGCAGGTAAAGGGTCTATGTGCCTGGCTCAGGGGATGTTCTCAAAAAATGCAGGCTATTATAAGCTCCTTCAAATAAAACAACAGAATGTCATATATGAAAATGTGTTTCTCCTTAAACATAAATACAGTTGATCGATCCTATTAGTTTTGTGGATTCCATTGACTACACATGAAATTTATTTATAATCTCAAAATCGGACATGCACAGAGCTATGAGAAATTTGAGTTGCCTGATGCATACACTCCTAGCTGAGGCTGAACAAGGCAGTGCCCTGACTTCTTCTTTCAGCTGACACAATGTAAACAGGTATCCTTTTTGGGATCTATTTAGCACCTCTTTTTTGCATCTTTGTGTTTGTTGATGTTAACTGCTGTTTTCAAATGGCCCCCAAGTGTAGTGCTGGAGTGCTGTAGTGTTCCTAAGCACAAGAAGACAATGATGTGCCTTAATGAGAAAACGAGTGTGTTAAATAAGCTGCATTCAAGCATGAGTTACAGTACTGTTGACTGTGAGAGTTCAATATTAATGAATCAAAAATATGTGCATGTATGTGTATAAAAATGTATTTAAACAGAAAGAGGCATAAAACAAAGTTATGTATTGACAGGTTGGCAAAATGTGACCAGAGGCCCACAGTATCCTAACCATCGTATCTCCCCTGGGAGCAATGGCTCAGTATTCACAAATTCAGTCTGTAGCAACTTTATGGAACACAATTATGTTGAAAAACAAGAACTGTCTGTCTTACAAATAAGATTTCTTGATGGATTAGAAGTGGGTAATGAGAGAAGTCAGGGCTGACTCCAAGGTTTCTTGCCTGAGAAAACGGAAGGCTAGAACTGCCATCAATTAAGGTGAAGAAGGCTAGAGGGAGCAAGTGTGGAGGAAAGAAGTTTAGTTCTAGACATATTAAGTTTGAGATATTCAAGTAAACTTGTCAAAAAGGCAACTTATATATAAATCAAGAGTCTACAGGAAGGTCTCAGGTGGAGATATAAATTTGGAACTGTTAGCACAGAGACAGTATTTAAAGCCATGGGATAGTCTGAGAGTGAATTGATGAGAAGGTGACCGTCAGAAGACTGGAGAGAAGAGGAGGAATCAGCAAAGGAAGTACAGAAGGAGTGAGCAATACATGAAGGAGGGAAAAACTAAAGTGTGGAATCCTAGAAATCAAGTGAAAAAAGCATTAAAGAGAAGTGCATGATCAACTGTCTCAAAAGCCTCTGGTAAGTCCAATAAGATGGAGAACATTAGCACGAGCCTGAAAGCACTATCAGTAGAGTGCTGGACATCAAAGCCTAACTGAGGTAGACTTAACTGAATGTGAAAAGGATATGAGAAAAGTGCTGCCAACTCCTTGGAGTTTAGCTGCAAAAGGAAGCAAAATAGGTCATTAAGTTATAGAGGAAGGGAGGTCAAAGAATTTGTTGGGGTTTCCTTTGGTTTTTTCTTTTTTTTTCAAGGTGAGAAAGATGTTTGTATGCCAATGAACTGTTAATTTGTTCTTGCATGACTGTATGCTGGTAATAACACAAAGAGAGGAAAATAAAGTATGAAAGAGAGGACGGAATTCCTGGAACTTACATATTTTTAAGCATTATCAATAGGGATAATAAAAGCTTATGGGATTCAAGGGATATTATCATCTCAGTAATTGATTTGAATGTTAATGCTGGATTAAGAAGATCTCTTTTAGGACTAACTATTCCTTTTGTGCTCTCTCAATGTTTCTTTCCCTCCCACAATAATCAAAACCTATCTTAAATTTCTTTAAATTAAAACTCCACTATATCTTCATAATACGATAGGGCTGTCTACTAAAAGCAAAGTTCATTGTTATTTCAGTATGTAAAAGTCTATTAGCTCCATAGAGACAACAGATTATCAGAATTGTGAAAAAATTAAATGCCAGTTTCCATGTCCTGAAAATGGTGTTCTGTTACTCACTTTTAATCCAGCTGCATAGCCCACTGGTTGTGGGGCAATATTGGACTGTCCAGCTTCCCCTACAACCACAGCTAAGCCAAAGACCTCCTGGAAGGCATCTCGGACAGCAGCAACTTTTACTTCTTTATTTGAGGTCACTACAATATCCAGTTCACCTCCAGATTCTAAAAAGACCAGAGGAAAATTTAACTTTCAAATTAAAATAATGAAATTCTCATAATTACTACCATACCAGGTGCTAACATCTAATATACATAATTATTACCAGTTTCATAAAACCATGCAAGATATAGATCATTATCTTTTTTATATGCTTGAGAAAACTGAGGCCAACAAAGTTTTGCCCAAGGTAACGTATCTACTTAGCACTAATGTCAGGACTCAAAACTGACATTACATATCACAAGCCAGAAATCACATATCTGGCTTGTGAAGTGTAAGTTACATATTTAGTATACTCCACGGAAAATTAAAATAAAGACTTACTGATAGTAAGTGATTTGTCAATGAGTTGCAGAGAAGTTATGTACTAAACAAGCACTACCATGAAATATACTTTTTAACCTAGAAAATAGTTTAAATATGGGGTCATCAAGCTTTTTATTAAATATCCCCACAATGTTCTGAGCATACACCACAAATAGATATTTATCAATTATACATGTACTACTGCCCTAATATAAATATGCAAGCATATATGAAATTGAAATAACACATAAAACTTAAAATTTAAAATATTAAGAGTAATACGAAATAAAAATATTTTCAAATATTTTTAATTTTTCAATTACTTAAACAACCTAAGTACTACTATTTCTAGACAGATCAATTTGACCAAATGTTTCATTATTTTTAAAAATCTTAACCAAACATTTCTGTGATATAATGAATTCAAAGCCCTTGTTCTAAACACAGCACATTTTGATATTTGGCATTAATAGTTATCACCGGCAAAAGAGATTTTTCATGAAAATTGTTTATAATGTAAAACATTTTGCCCTAGAAACAAGGTTGTTTTTCCCTAATAAATATCATGTGGAACAGGGAAAGATATTTTCAAATATTTGGGTTTTAAAAATAATGGATCCCTTTTTCCTGACTGACATAATGTCTCACAGATCACATCTGTACTGGATACTTCAGAAGTTACTAGGACATAAAAGAGAAGAAGAATATACTTTTTTTTTCACTTTTTTCCTCCACATGGGACACATCTCTCGACCTTAGCTAAGTACTGCTCCATTAAGCTTCAGCTCAAAATGGCTTTTCAGCTTGTGATGAGTAGTCCTGCCATTTCTAATACTTTTTGAGTTTCTTGACACATACGAAATTGTTACATCAAATGATTTCTAGAATATTTGTGTAAAAATACCTTAAGATGGCCGGGCGCGGTGGTTCACGCCTGTAATCCCAGCACTTTGGGAGGCCTAGGCGGGAGGATCAAAAAGTCAAGAGATCGAGATCATCCTGGCCAACATGGTGAAACCCCATCTCTACTAAAAATACAAAAATTAGCTGGGCATGGTGGCGTGCACCTGTAGGTCCAGCTACTCAGGAGGCTGAGGTAGGAGAATCGCTTGAACTCAGGAGGCAGAGGTTGCAGTGAGCTGAGATTGCACCACTGCACTCCAGCCTGGCGGTAGAGTGAGACTCCACCTCAAAAAAAAAACAACAAAAAAAAAAACCTTAAGATTTACTTTGAGTTGTTTTGTTAGATCAGAATGGTGATGCTTTGCTGTCAGTAAAGATGTCAGCTTTCTTAAATTCGATTTTATTACTTTTTAAAGCTGATAAAGTTATGACATTTGCTAATAATAGAAATTTCATTTCTGTACCTTTCTTTTTTCCCCTTCGGTGTTACACATTTTTCTTGATGGCTCTACCTTTATCATTTACTAGCTTCTTTACCTTGTGGAAGTCACTGAGCTTGTTTCTTTGTAGAAAAATGCCTGCTATCCAGCCTGGCCAACATGGAGAAACCCCGTCTCTACCAAAAATTAGCTGGGCGTGGTGGCACACGGCTGTAGTCCCAGCTACTCAGAAGACTGAGACATAAGAATAACTTGAACCCAGGAGGCAGAGGTTGTAGTGAGCTGAGATCACGCCACTGCACTCCAGTCTGAGTGACAGAGTGAGACTCTGTCTCAAAAAAAAAAAAAAAAAAAAAAAGAAGAAGAAGAATAAAAACACCTGGCACCTCATAGGGTTTGCTCTAAGGATTAAATAAGGTAATTGCTTTCATAGTCTAACATAGTACAGCCATTAAAACAGCAAAAGCTCCAAAAATATTAATTCCTTTTTTTCCTTCATTCAAAATATGTACTTGCAAAGAAAAGAACATATATGGTGGACTCCAATTTTGAATTCTTTGGACAGTTACAAACACAAAGAACAACTCAGTTGATTTAATGCTTGATTCAATTTTCTACTACAAGGGAAGCAAAGTGGCTAAGTGTAAAAAAATTGAGCATGAGTTCAATACAGCTCCACCAAGTTGTGTGATCTAGGGTGATAACTTACATCCCTCCAAACCTAGATTCCTCGTCCAAAACTTGAGGAAAATACCTACCTTGCAGAGCTCTTATGAGAAAGTGCCTGGCAGAAGCATTCAATAAAGACACTTAACAATTGCTAGGCCTTATCTTTTGATATTTACTAGACAGTAAACTACCAACATAGTCAAGACTTGTGAAAGCTATTGGCTTTTTATTGCCACTGAAATCGCTGTTCAGGTACCTGCTGCACAATTTTGACTTAAAAGTTATCTTTTACAGAATTACTAATAATTGGTCACTAAGCCTTGTGATATTTTTTCACATATTGGATATGTACATAAAAATTAAATAGCAGACAGTATCTATCAACTGTCTGGATGATTCTGGATGATTAGTGTTCAGAGGTGGTTAAAAATAGCTTTCCCAATATACCCAGTCATTAGATATTATTAACTAGATTTGCTTCCTCCAAAAATATTATCCCTCAATTACACACAAACATTTAATTAAAATAGATAACAGGAGAAATGTAAAAAAAAAAAAAAGTATGAAACAAACATCACTTCAAATGTCAGTAGTGAATAAAGTAAAATTCATATAAAGCAATGCTAACCTATATTTAAAATTAAAATCAGCAAGTATACCAATAATTCATGGTTTTTACTCCTTCTAGGATCATTCTGTGGGATTTTCAAAATTTATTTAATGACTTTTAAAAAAGATGAATTAGTAACACCAAAAAATAAGACTGACAATTAAATTAATGCAAGAATATAATAAGAATTTCCACTGATTACACAATCAGTGGAAACGAACAGAGAATTACAATTAGTGGCTGATGTGGACATACCCTTAAAAAAAAAATGGCAGATACCGGTCTAACTTATGTACATACTGATATAGGGAGCCATGCCAGGGTCCAGCGTTGTAATCATGCTTTCTACTGAATGTTTTGTCTTATCAAGCACAGACTTCACCATAGGATTCCCAGCCACACCCTGCATAAAACAAATCAATATGTAAGTATTCACTCTAAGTGAGGAACACCATGATCTTCATGATTGTGAAGAAAACTTTTTTAAAAGTTTCCAATGCATCCTAAACCAGTACTTTTGTAAGATATATAAGGTCATGACAATATCAAATTGCTATTAAGTTTCTAAATGATACTCTCAATTTTTTTTCCTGACTCAGCAGTGTGTAGACCAGCAGCAATCTACAGATCACGCTTTGAGTAGCATGGGTATGGAAAGGATGCTATACTATATATACATATATATGTGTGTGTATATACATATATATAATTTCACTTCTACTTATTTATATAAAAGATTGGGCAAAACTTGTCCCTTAGGGTCCCAAATAAAGGTCCCAATCAGGTGTCTACGTAAGTCCATACTTGTTCCCTAATAAAAAAAATAAAAAGAGTAAAAACACCTCTCGTCTGGGGGCAGAACAGTTACTTATTACCTTAACGTACAACATTTTGCTATCTTCTACTAGTTTCTTCTTTTTCCTACTTCTTGTTTCTTGTTTTGTACATTCCCAAACTCGCCATTTATATTCAGATCTATTCCTCTGGATTCTTAGAGCCGTTACTACTAAAAGGAACCAAGTCTTGAGTATTCCTTCTTGTGCGATACTTCACAAAGGGTAAAAGACACTCCAGGGAGCAGTGCCTCCTGAGATGGCATCTGACTAACCTGCCATGATTCCCCATCTTCCAATCTGCCATTAAACTAAGGTGACTCAGGAAAAGATGAGTTCATAAAATTGAAATTTAAGACTGCCAACCAACCATATGCTGAAACATCATGACTTACTATTTACAAGACCTATAGAGTTGAACTGGGTATTACAACTCATGACAAACACACTGACACATGCTCTTAACGAGGGACAAAATGTTGTAGTCTGTATGCAAAAAAAAACTTTTTAAAAAAGTACAGAGGGGTATTAAAAAATAAACAAGCTTAGAAAAATGCCACATTCCTGAAACATGAAGCTCAAATACTACAAATCAGCCAATCATCTACCAATTTTAAATCTTTAATATAATAATAAATTATAATTATAATAATAAAATTGCAAACAAACCCTTAGCAGAATATTGGAACTTGGCAGAATGATTTCAAAATTCATTGCAAAAAAAATTGGGAAAGATGAGTAAAGAAAAATTTAAAAGAAAAATCAGCCAGCTTATACAACTTACACAACTAAATACTGATATACATTTATAAATGCAGACTTGAACTGTCCTATCTTACTTATCACTGAATGTTCCACATCCCCACCTCAGTACACGTTAGTACAATGAACACAAAGTAAAAGTAATTAAAACAGTGTGCTCTACTACAAGAACAGGGAAACAGCAGTGGACTAGAATACAGAGGCCAGAAGCTGATTTTAACACACAATTTCTTAAGGAAGATAATATAGGGATCATACCAAATCAATGGGGATATGATATTGAAATACTCCATTGAGTAGCTGGAAGAAAATTAAGTTTGATCTCTACCTCATATAGTAAAGAAATATCAACTATATTAAACGCTAAGTGTCTAAAAAATTAAACATTAAGGGAACTAGAAAGGGATCACAGAAGAACATTTATCACAGTATCGTAGTGAGAAAAGGTCTTTTTTAGCATTAAAAAAAAATGTAAAGAAAAGGAGAGGCTGCCTGCGGTGGCTCACACCTGTAATCCCAGCACTTTGGGAGGCGAGGCGGGCAGATCGCCTGAGGTCAGGAGTTCGAGACCAGCCTGGCCAACATGGTGAACCCCCGTCTCTACTAAAAATACAAAAAAATTAGCCAGGCATGGAGGCAGATGCCTGTAATCCCAGCTACTTGGGAGGCTGAGGTAGGAGAATTGCTTGAACCCAGAAGGCAGAGGTTGCAGTAAGCCAAGATCGCACCACTGCACTCCAGCCTGGGCGACAAGAGCGAGACTTTGTCTCAAAAAAGAGAAAAGAAAAGAGAAGAAAAGAAAAAAGAAAAGAAAAGACTGACAGAACTGACTCCTGAAATTGAACTTTTCTGTCAAAAAGGGTATTAAAATGAAAATGTAAACTAAAAATTGAGAAAACTGCAACATATGAGAGCATATAGAAAAGTATTCTTACTGTATTAGGAGCTCTTACAAATTCATAAGAAAAGAAAATCATCCCAATTTAAAACTAGGCAAAGAACATAACCGATATTTCACAAAAGAAGAATACAAATGGCTAAAAATCATACGAGAAAATGTTCAAATTCAGTAGCAAAGGAAAGCAAATTAAAATGTGGTATTATTTTTTGCCTGTCAAATCAGAAAATACCCTAGTCCAAATTAATAACTACTGCTGGCAAGTGAAAAATGTTATACCAGTGTATTTTGGTATAAACCTCCTGAAGTGGAATAGGTATCAATTTCTTCAAATGTTCACTCAAATGTTCATCAGGAATTAATTCGGAGGAAAAAAAGATGTCCATAAAGATTTACATACAACAGTGCTCATCATAGTTTTTTGGTTTTTTTTTTTTTTTTTTTTTGAGACAGTGTCTCACTCTGTCACTTAGACTGGAATGTAGTATCATGATCACAGCTCAAGCAGCCTGGACCTCCTGGGCTCAAACAATCCTACCACCTTAGCCTCTGAGTACATGGGACCACAGGCACACGCTACAATGCCTGGCTAATTTTTTTAAGTTTTTGGTAGAGACTGGGTCTCATTATGTTGCTCAGGCTGGTCTCATACAGAACTCCTCGACTCAAGCAATCCCCCTGCCTGGGCTTCCCAAAGTGTTAAGATTACAGGCATGAGGCACCATGCCAGACCTAATCATGATGATGATTTATTGATAAGAATTACAATTAGAAGAGATCTCTTGTACAACAGGGTGACTATAGTTAGGAACAATGTATTATATTCTTGAAATATAAGGTTTTATATTTCAAAATTTTAAGTTTTCTCACCACAAAAAAATGGTAAATATGTGAGGTATTGCATATGTTAATCAGCTCAATTTAGCCATTCCAGAATGTATACACACTTCATGTATACATCATGTTGTGCATAATAAACACATACAATTTTTGTCAATTAAAATAAATTAACTAATTTAAAAAAAATAATTACAATTAGAAAATGCCAATAGGCAGATTAGCAAAATAAAACACGGGAAATAAATGCAACAGCATGTATGGTGAAGCAGCCATAAGAGAAACCAAAATACATTTCTGAAAAAAATATTTTACGGCCAGGAAGATATCCATGATATATGCTCAGTAAAGACCAGAAAACATGAAATAGTATCCATCTGACCTGTCACTACTTCAATTTGATTTTAATTCAAAGGAACGTTTACACAGATATGCATAGGCAAGAGACTGAGAGCAGCTACAGAAAACTGCTAATAAAAAAGAATTTTATTTTTCCTTGTGCCATCCTGTATTTTCAATATTTTCTCTAATGAATATCTATTAGTTTTATAATTAGAAAATTAAACATAATTTTTAAACACGTCTTACCTTAATAAAACCCCAGATTCCACCAGCAGATGCTTCATCCTGACCTCTAGTAATTCTAGGGTCTTCTTGCTCCTCTGGGAAAGTAATGGCTGATGTGGTTCCAGTTCCCTGTGCCAGAGATGTCAAACTGGCTTGCTGAGTAATAGGAGTTGGCAAAAGACCTAATCAATGGCAAAAATTTTCATATGTATAATTTATTCCATAAACTTTTTCCTATAAAAAGGAGTGGCTCAAACAACTTTAATATTAATATTCAGGCATTTGAAGACTGAGTTATACAATCAAAGATTAACACAAACCTTTATAAAACGCAAATTAAACAGAATTTCAAAAGAAATTTATTTCCCTTTATATAGTCTTAAACCAAGTATCCTGAAAATGGACAAAAAGCGTATATCCAAAAGTTCTTCAGGTCTGTCCTATTCAGCACTTGGATATGAACGGCTGTAGTTCAGGTCTCTTTAATCCATAAAATTAATTGAGCACTGAAGTTCATCACAAAAAAGCACACAATTATTACACATACTCTATATACTTCATGTTAACTCAGAAAGAAAATTCACATATACATAGACATGAATATAGTACTTGCACTCTGCAATAATTTTCATTTGTAAAGGTAGACAGGGAAAGATAGATAATAAAAAGCACAGCAAAGCTACTGCTTTTCCCTAAAATGAGAAACAACAGGCAGAGGATGACAAGGACGAAGTTTTGATAACTCATTTGCAACAATTATTCCAAAGAAACAAAACAAGTAGATTTAACTGACCTAGGGAAAGGAAATGACCCAGTATCACAAACTTTTGGCATACATGAGGTTTTATTTGTTTCTGACTTTTTACCTGGCTAAAAAAACACTACTCCCTGGAACAGTCAGTCCTGATAATTTTTTCAGTAAAACTTAAAAAAACTCAGACTTCACCTTTAAATTTCTCTATAAATGCACAAATATTAGGACAAAATTTTGGAATTTTCTGACATCCCATATACTAATCATCTACTGAGTTGTATATCACATAAAAAAATCATATACTAAATTATACCAGCCTTATTTTAATAATTTAAATGGCAAAAATGTGAAATAGGTAACTCTGGAAACCAAAGAAATGAATAAAGAGAAGAACATTAATGCAGAGAAAGTGGGACCCCGCCCACTGCTAATAAGAAGGTAAAATGGTACACCTGCTTTAGAAAACAGTTTGGTGTAGAATTACCATGTAAATCAGCAATTCCATGCCTAGGTAGACACCCAAGAAAAATAAAAACATGTCCATATAAAAACCTGTAAACAAATATTTATAGCAGCATTATCTAAATAGCCAAAAAGTGGAAAACAACCCAACATTAACTGATTAATTGAATAAATGAAATGTGGTATACATATTCATAAACTGGAATATTATTCAGCCATGAAAAGGAATGAAGTACTGACAAATGCTACAACATGGATGAACCTTGAAAATATTTAAGTTAAATATTTAAGTGAAAATATTTAAGTGAAAGTTGCCAGTCACAAAAGACCACGTATTATATGATTCCATCTATATGAAATGACCAGGATAAGCAAATCCATATACATAGAAAGTAGATTAGTAGTTGCCTAGAGCTGTGAGGATTTGGGGGACAGTAGGGGCTGACTGCTAAAAGGTATAGGGTTTCTTTCTTAAAGTGATGAAAAGGTTATAAAATTGCGACAAGGGATGCACAATTCTGATGTAAACTAACTATGGAACTGTATGCTTTGAATTGGGTGAATTGTAGAGTACATAAATTATATCTCAACAAAGCTATTATTTTAAAAAAGAATAAAACATTAATTAATAGCCATGTATTTCAAAGTATCAGAAAGAATTACCTGTTCCTGAAGGTGCAGAAAATGATGGCATCAGGGGTGTCTGGGGAGCTCTCCCAGCATGTCCCCTTGTAATGTCATAAGTTGAACCAACAGAAAATCCTGATATAGGAGGACCCGAAGGGGGTGCAGGTAAAAGAGTGTTTGGGGCAGAAGTTGAAGGTGGGAAGTGAGATACAGGAGGATTACCGAAGGCAGCAGCAGTTGATGGAGAAACAGGAGGTGGCATAGAAGTAACAAGTGGTGGGACAGAAGGAACTGCAGGAGGAGGCACAAAAGGTAATGGTGCTGAAGGCCTCACAGGAGGAAGGGGCGGCTGAGGAGTAGAGTATGCGAGTGGTGGGAAGGACTCCATGGAGGATACATTTGGAGAAGAAAAAGAACTGGTTGCCGCTAGAAAAAAGTGGAGAGGATAAAAGCACAGAATTAGAAATGTTTTTTATTTAGTTTTCAAACTGTCTAATTACTTTCTTCTTGCAAAATTTTTAACTTACCAAAGCATATCCCAAGAATTATTTTAAAATGTGTAATTTAAAATATACAACAAATATAATTGAGTGTAAATGACTTTCAACTCCCATAAGTAAAAGAAGCAGCTGTATGAACCTATGGCATTGTTCATTTTTGCTTTTTGGTTTGTTTTGGTGTATTTTTAATAAAATAAAGCGATTTTTCATCCCTAGTTTGAGCATAAAAACCTATGCCCTGAAGGCTCAGAAAGGTTAATCACCACAAAGTCATAGAGCAGTAGGCCGAGCGCAGTGGCTCACACCTGTAATCCCAGGACTTTGGGAGGCTGAGGCAGGTGGATCACCTGAGGTCAGGAGTTTGAGACCAGCCTGGCCAAAATTGTGAAATCCCATTTCTACTAAAAATACAAAAATTAGCTGAGCATGGTGGTGAGTGCTGTAATTGCAGCTACTTGGGAGGCTGAGGCAGGAGAATCACTTGAACCTGGGAGGCGGAGGTTGCAGTGAGATGAGATCGCACCACTGCACTCCAGCCTGGGTGACAAGTGAAACTCCGTCTCAAAAAAAAGAAAAAGAACAGAAGACAAAGCTAACACATGCTTTTTAGGATATTTCTGCCATAATATAAATGATGGTAAAATTATGAACATAAAGAACAAAAGTCCACCTAAAGCAAAACACTGATGTTTTCTTACTTTAAATACACAAGACTTTCTTTCTATTCTTTAAATTAAAAAGGCTATTTCCTTTCATCCTGAAAAATAATAGAGAAGTTTTAATATATGCATTCTTTTCTTAATTGACTCTGAGAAAAGATGATAGTATCTTCACTATTCTCAAAACACACGAGATGTTAGACAACTACATGTACCTAATGGAACAGGGGTAGAAGACATAGCAGTAGCAGCCAGCCCTGCAGGATTTGGTGGAGGAGTCCCAGGTGGTGTTGTCTCTATTCCACTCTCTTCCATCATTTTTCTTCAATTATGGTATACTATAAAAACACAAAAATGTAACAAATATTACACAGTAACCAAAAGTATATTTTTAAAGCTTGAATAGAGAACGACTAAAAAAAAAATCATCAAGAGATAGATGTCCACCTTTACTGTTTATAATGCAACTTATTTCCAGACGAAGAGTTTGTCCAAATTTCTAAGAAAGCAATCTATGAGAATATTTAATATCAAACAATCTGTAACATTCCCATGTAGATACTTTATAAGTGGGAAATAATTTCATGTTATAATAACAATATAACTAATTATCTACTACATTTCAAATAGTAAATTACTAATTTGATTTCTGCCACATGAATGCATGTTAGAGATAGTTATGTCTGGGCCAGGTGTGGTGTCCCATGCCTATAATCCCAGCACTCTGGGAGGCCAAGACGGGAAGCATTTGAGGCTAGGAGTTGTAGACAAGCCTGGGCAACATAGCAAGATCTCATTTCTAAAAAATAAAATAAGTAAATAATATAAATTTCAGTCATTATTAAATTTAAAATAAAAATGAGGCTGGGCACAGTGGCTCACGTCTGAAATCCCAGGACTTTGGGAGGCTGTGATGAGAAGATGCCTTGAACCCAGGAGTTCAAGGTTGCAGTGAGCTATGACTGCACCACTGCACTCCAGCCTGCGTGACAGAGCAAGATCTCTAAAAATAAATAAATAAAATATTTAATGTATTTTTGAAGCCCTTCCTCTTCTCTCATAAAGTACTGTGTATAAGATAACCCCATTAACATAAAAAAAAAATAAAGCCAGGCACAGTGGCTGACCGCTGTAAACCTACACTTTGGGAGGTAGAGGTGGGAGGATCCCTTGAGACCAGGAGTTTGAGACCAGCCTGGGCACCATAGGAAGACTCCATCTCTACAAAAAAATTAAAAAATTAGCCAGGCAGGGTGACATGTGCCTATGGTCCCAGCAACTCAGGATGCTGAGGTGAGAGGATCACCTGATCCCAGGAGGTTGAGGCTGCAGGGAGCAGTGAGAATGCCACTGTACTCCAGCCTGGGCAACAAAGCAGGACCTTGTCTCAATAAAATAAAATAAAATGTGCTTCACTTGATAAAAGCATTAATTCACAATTTTCCTAGTTCACATTTTAAAGCATATCCAGTAACAGATAAATTGTATATCTGAGGTTTTAGAAAAGTTAACTATAGCAAAAATGCCATTAGATAGCAGCATCCTAATAGACAACAATGGATTATAAAATATGAGAAAACTTTCTTTAAAATTACAAATCCTGAAGTGTATCTCAAGTACAGAACCAACTTCTAAATATGCTATATTTGTTTTTAATATTTTTATTCATTTAATAAGTTTTTAGCGAAGGTCAACTGCTTGACGAGCACTATACTGATGCCTTTGGAAATGACAATGATTAGCAAAAACAAATAGGATACTTACAGTCTAGTACACGAAACAATCAAATAATAAACCAATTTACAATGAATGGTAGCTGAATTATGTGCTCTGAGGGTAAGAACACAGTTTTGTTTGACAGGAATATGATTTTGACTTGGAGGTAAGGAAAGGGTTCCCCAAATAAGTCACAGATAAACCGAGATTTGAAGGATAAGAACTTAATTAGGCAAGGGAAGAAAGGCAGAGTCCAGAAAAAGTGAATATATAGCAAATATATATACCAACTGAGCTGGGAAGAACAAGATACATTCAATAAAATCCATGTGAAGGGAGAGAAAGAAGAATCAGGACTGGAGGGACAGACAGAAGCCCAGAAGGTGTTCAGCCTCATAAACCAGGTTAAAAAACTTGGGTTTTTAAAGAACAGAGTGTCACTGTGTTAGAAATAAATTTTCGGTGCCACAAAAGAAATAGCACTCGAACATAAATTTAATTTTCTCAGCAAGGCAATTTTACTTCTATAGAAGGGTGTGTCTCACAGATGGAGCAATGTCAAGAGCACACCTGAACAAGGGAGGGGAAGGGGTTCTTATCCTAACGCAGCTAGTCCCTACTGCTGTGTCTTTCCCCCATTGGCTAGGGTTGGACCACGCAGTCTAAGCTAATTCCAACTGGCTATTTTAAAGAGAGCAGGGGTATGAGCCAGAGCAGCAGGGTGAGTAGTTTGGCGGGAAGGACGGTTACAGAACAGGTGATCCAGGATGACTAAGAACAGAGCAGATGACCAAGGATTACTAAGGTCAGAGCAGGTGACCAAGGGTGACTAAGGTCAGAGCAGTTGATAGAGGCTAGAAGGGGATTGTTTACTGAAACTGGGGGCAAGGAGAAATAAAGAACTAGGAATTTAAACTTTAAAATGAAGAACAAAGAACAGGGGAGCTGAACATACTGATACACTGGTTCTTTGGAGAGGATCTCAGAACTCATTGTACTTAACAATTTACAGGCTAAAATCTATGAAGAGAAATTTATCATATCCTACAACTGTAAGGCATTCAAGCTGAGGGTAGCATAACTGTCTTTTGTTTTAACTGTTTTGAAGGAATTTTAGGTTCAAAAAAAAAATGTAGAAACAGCAGAGTTCTTGAGTACCCCAAACCCAGCTTCTCTCAGTAACAGCATCTTACATAACTACACTACAATGATCAAAACCATGAAACTGACATTGGTACAACACTATTAACTATAGATCTTATTTGTATTTCACATGTTTTTACATTTACTGTGTGTGTGTATGTGCATAGTTCTATGAAGCTTCATCATATGCACAATCTCGTATAACCACCACCTCGACCAGGACATAGAACCATTCCATCACTAAAAAGAAACTTCCTCATGTTGTTCCTTTATCTACCTTCCCGTCAACCATAAGCCCTGGCAAACACTGCTCTGTTTTCTATCACTTTCTCGTTCCATGAATGTTACATAAATCGAATCATACAGCATATAACCTTTTGAAGTTGGCTTTTTTTCATTCAACATAATGTTCTTGAGATTCATCCAAGCTGCTGCATATATCAAATTGGTTCCTTTTTATTGCTGAATAGTATTCCATTGTATAAATGTACCTGCTGAAGGACATTTAGGCTGATTCCAGTTATTAGCAATTCATATTTATTTTTTGAAAAGATCTGAACAAAGTATGCAGCCTGGGCCACTGGGCAGACAGAGCAGATGCAGACAGGCCATTAAGGAAGATATAGAAGTAGTTCCATCAGAAGTAAGTAACAACCTAGACTAATGATTTTCATAGTGGGAAGGGCTGATTATGCCCCCAAGGGGTCACTTGGCAATGTCCAAGACATTTTTTATTGTCACTACTAGAGGGCTACTACTGGCATATAGCATGAAGAGGTTAGGAATACTACTAAAAATCCTCCAATGCACAGCCTACACACAAGAATTAAGTGGCCCCAAATTTCAATAGTGCCAAAGTTGAAAAACTCTGACCTAGACTCAAGTGATGATAGTGGAGATGGAGAAAAGTAAATAAGTTCAAGACAAGATTAGGTGGCAAAATTCAGTGACTGGGTATGGAGGAAGGGAAAGGAGGCATGACTTGCACAACTAGATAGATGGTGGTGCCATGCACAAAGATAGGAAACACTGCAGAAGGCCAATGTGTTTGATGTTCTTTCTGGGGGAGTCGGATGGGGGAAATCATAAAATGTTTAGTCTTTGACATGCTGTTTAAGTTCCTTGAAACAAACATCTAAGTAGAGACACTGACTTGGTCTGGAGCTTAGCAACCACATAAATGTGGGTGTCATCAGTGTACTGATAGTCTAACGTCATGTTTTGAGATGAGATTACGTAAGAGAATACCAAGAGAAAAGAGAATATGATGTTAAACCAATTATTGGTTTAGTAAGATGGAAGACAAGTTTGCAGAGAATAAGAGATGAGCTAAAAGAAAGGAAGAAAACCAGGAGACTGTGGTGTCCAAAAGCCAGAGTTTCGCAGTATGAATGGGCAACAGTATTAATGCTGCAGAGAAGCCAAATAGGATACTATCTGAGAAGTTCAATGGATCTGCCAAACTGGAGATGAATTTAGGGAGAACGGTTTTCATATAAAGAGTGGAGAAAGATTCCAGTGTAAACTGAATCGAGCAGTGGCAGGTGAGACTAACACGCATGACACTTTCAAAAAGTTTGGCTGTGAACGTAGGAAAGATCTATGGCACTAAGCAGAGAACAGGGATCCGGGGAGGCTGAATCCTTTCATTCAGTACCTATACATCGAAGGTAAATAACCTGAGATAGAAATGCCCCTTTGGAGATTTTACCACTCCTCAACCAAAGCTCCCTCTTTTCTTCATTTAATTTTTTATTGGTCATTCACCCTCTACTACAGATGCTCCCCAATCCTTACAATGACTAGTAGAAGTCCTATTGTAAGAGAATCCCTAACATTAACAAATGTGTCTGCAAAAGAAACTGTACAATGAATACAAAGTCATTAAGTGGAATAAATAATCAATTTCTTTGTCTTTAATGGCTTTTTATATGAAAACTGCCGTAATGGCAATACTGAGGTAAATTTTACATGCATAAACATAGTGCCTTCTACTAAAAAAACCTATTATGATAAAACAATACTGAAGTGTCAGAGTTGGTAACTGTTTTAGGGCTCAAGTCTTGTCACGAAAAGTACTATTCATATATCAACACTAAAGAAAAAGTGAAGAAAATGGTTTGGAAAACTGAGTTCTCAGTCCGGCTAGACCCTGTTGTTCCAATTTGCTTGTGCCTTGGTTTTTCTGTTAAAAAAAAAAAAAAAAAGTGGATGTCTATTTACAAGTTTACAAGAAATGGAAGAGTGAAGCTCTGATAAACTTTAAAGCATTAAGAGCAATTATTGCTGACCTACTCGTGCCACAAGATTGTCTCTACTACCAAACAGTGAGCGCTAGTTAGAGCCTAATCTGACCCCGAAATAAAATTTTATAAATTTTCACTGAATTAAACACTGGCTGCACAGGAGAAAGACTGAATGCCAAGATGTGTCACGATCGCAGAAATGCACATGTTGTCTCTCAAAATAACTACTTCGAATGACAAAAACACTATTGGCTATAAATTCTGTCAATCTAGGAAACGTGCTATCTGCAAATTTGCCTGAAGCAGGTCCCAAGACCAAACAAAGAAACGAGAGAATGCAAAAACTCTCCCAAGCGGCGCTAAGCACCGATGGGGTAACCTCAGGGAAAATAAGCTTCCTTTCATTGCAGGTCCTGGTGTGATGACTCTCGAGCCTCCTGGGCCTCTCCAGGGCCAGAGCGGCCGAAATCCTGTTTCAGGAGACAGCGGCTTCCCCTCAGGCTCTGCCACGTCTCCAGGCCAGACAGGGCCGGGCTAAGGTCCGCCGGCGCTCCCGCCAGTCTCCCCTAAAGTCAGCGCCCTGGAAGGTGGGGCCAGAGCGCTCCTGCCTTGGTCCTTGGACAGGAGCAAAGTGTCGCGGGGCGAGACCCTCGAACCGCGCCCACCGTGCCATCCCCAGCGGAAACTGCTCACCTTGCGATGTGCACTCCTGCCTGCTGCACCCCGCACGCCGCCACAGCTGAGCCTGGACCACGGGACTAGGGGGCTCGCAAACGACATCGGCGTCCAGTGGCGCCGGCCGGCCCGCCCACCTTCCAGGGACACCGTCCCTCGGGGTCTGGCTCTGGCGCCTGCAAGCCATGCCATGCCATGCCACCCCCCTCATACACGCCCCTCGGAGCCACCTGGCGCTCACCTGGGGACCGGGAAAGTGCCTGCGTGGTCGCTGAAGAGTGTGGTATGATAGGGAGGTCGGGACGTAGAACTACAGCTTGGAGAAGACAACGAAGGCGCACCCTGGAAGTTACCTCGGCGTGTCCCCGCCTACAAGATGGCCACGGGCGGCGCATGCTCCTGCGGCTGCCACGTCGGCCGCGCGCCGCACCGCGCCGCGCGTCGCCGCCCCGCCCCGCTCCGCCCCGCATCGCATCGCCCCGCTCCGCCTCCGCATCGCCCCGCCCCCCCTGTCCCATGCGCTGTGAACCCGGCCGGGACGCTGCAAGTTAAACTTTGGAGCCAAGATCTTCCTAACTACCGAGACTTGGTTCTGCCCACACCCTCTAGAAACATCTTCCAAAGGGCTGGCCTCCTTTCTACTTCGCAGCCCCCTTACACGAGAGTGGCACTCTTGTTACCAGGCGTAGCTCACTCATCCTGTGCCACAGCGGCCCAAGGGATAAGATCAGTTAGCCAAGGTCATCTGGTTGGCGGTCATCTAGCCAACATCAGCTAGTCCAGTCAGCACCTCCAGGAAGGACCTCGCGGCAGATACAGGGGACTTAGCCTGTATAGTCAAAGATTTCCAGATAACAGTGATTATATCAGGAGAGAGGGATTAGGAGAAGAGGGAGAGGGGAGAAGAGTAGCAGTTACTGTACTGAATTTTTCCCCAAGTGCATGTATTGCACATTCTTTTTTTAATTGTAAAATAGACAGATTATCAACTTTCTTATTATATGCTGCACCTAACACAGTACCTGAAATAGTTGGTGTTCAATAATGTACATTAAATAAATTAATGGAGTGCGATAGAGGAAAATAAGGAACTTCAAATCAGAAGTCTTGATTTGAGTCTGAGACTACTCTAATGCCAGTTGTACAGTTGCCTGCCCTTGTACAGGTCACTTAGTCTCCATAAGTCTTCATATTTCTACCTGCAAACTGAGAATAATACTATCCACCATCCCTAAATCAGGCAGGTGACAGACTCAAATAAAATAGAGCATATGAAAATTTTTTAAACTTTTTGTCTTTTTGAGATGGTGTCTTGCCCTGTTGCCCAGGCTGGAGTGCAATGGCGCCATCTCGGCTCACTGCAACCTCTGCCTCCCGGGTTCAAACGATTCTCCTGCCTCAGCCTCCCGAGTAGCTGGGATTACAGGCACAGGCCACCACACCCAGCTAATTTTTGTACTTTTAGTAGAGACAGGGTTTCACCATTTTGGCCAGGCTGGTCTCGAACTCCTGACCTCGGCCCGCCTCGGCCTCCTAAAGTGCTGGGATTACAGGCGTGAGCCACCGCACCTGTCCGAAAACATTTTTTAAATTGCTTAGCATTAAATATATAAAAAATTGTTTTTGTTGTTCTCAATTTTTTTTCAGGAACTCACTTAGAGATTTCACATTAATCTATCTCTTGAGCTTCACAGTTGTAAGCATTCCAAAATACCTCACTGAAAAGTTAATACTATGTAGCAATACTCTGACTTCAGATCTCACTGTGCAACTACCATGGGCGGTTTTCTTTGGCGGTGGCTCCTATCCTCTAAGAATGTGTGTAGGTGGAGATCCAGGTTACTGTCCGGATCGTGCTGTTTGGGGTGGTGCTAAAGACAGATAACCATCTTCATCCTCTCTGATCAACACCCTTAATAGCTATAAGGTATGTTGGTTTCTCCATCCTTTCAGCAAATATTTATTAGTGGCTGCAATGTGCTGAGCATTGGTACTGGAAATGCAGTAACGAACAAGACAGACAAGGTCTTGATACCTAGGGAGCGTTCTTTATAATAGGAGAGAGGGTAGGAACAGGAAAATAAAGTAAGTACTGTTTGTGATGTGCAGTTTGAGGAGTCAACAAAGAGTGATGTAATATTGACAGTAATTGGAGTAGACCACTTCAGATAGGATGAATGGGCAAGGCTTCTCTGAATAGGTGAGATGTGAGCAGAGACGTGTAATGCAGCAGGCCTGTGCTTATCCGGACAGAAAGAAGGGCATGCAAAGACTTAAGGATGGAGTGTGCTCGGCATGTGCGCAGACAACAGGGAAGCAGGACTGTGAGAATGGTAAAGAAGACAGGACAGGGAGTGGGGCCAGATCGTGTCTAGCCTTGTAGGTCATGGGAAAGCCTTTGATTACACTCTGAGAGAAATGAGAAGCACGTGGAGGGTTTTGAGCAGAGAACTGACAATATTTGATATCAATTTCTGATCACACTCTGATTGCTGTGTGACTGCAGTCCATGTGAGGATGAGTGCAGGATGACCAGTAATGAGATGATGATGGCTTAGTGTCCCTAATGGAGGTGGAGGTGGCACACGGTCTGGATGTATTTTGAAGATGGAGCTGTCATGATTTACTGATGGGTTGGGAGTAAGCTGCATTAGTTTCCTAAGATTATCATAACAAATTACTGCAACTAATGTTTTCGTTGGCTAAAAACAACAGAAATTGATTCCTTCACAGTTCTGGGGGCTAGATGTCCAAAATCAAGGTGTCAGCAGGGCCTCTCCAAAGGCTCGAGTGGAGAATCCTTCCTTGCCCCTTCTAGCTTCTGGTGGCTCCAGGTGTTCTTTGGCCTGTGCCAGCATACCTCCAATCTCTGCCTCTGTGCCAGCACACCTCCAATCTCTGCCTCTGTCTCCACATGGCCTTCCCCCCCATGTCTCTGTGTCTCAAATCTCCTTCTGCCTTTCTCTTATAAGCATACTTCCTTATAAGTGCATACTCATTCCGCTAAGGCCCCACCCTAAATCCAGAATGATATCATCTCAATATATTTGTAGGTCTTATGAAGATCCTGTTTCCAAATAAGTTCACAGTAACAAGTTCCAGGTGGGCATATCTTTTTTGGGGGGTGGGCACTATTCAACCCACTACATGGACAATGAGGTAAGATGAGCTTTGAAGTTAACCTTGATTTACATTTACTATATTTTATGTTTTACTTACCACTTTTCATTTGAACTTCAAAAGAACTATGTGTGGCAGGTATTATTATTCCAGTATTAGAAACGTGGAAACTAAGGCTATGAAAATGGTGCATAGAGCTGGAGATGGAACCTAGAATCCTTAGGCTGTACCTCAACTGCTTGCCTGCTTTGTGGGTGGTAAGGTGAGAAGATTTCTTCTTAGATGGCAGACAATGAAGGGAGTCAATGGAAAATTATGGGAGAACGAAGAGCTGCTTGGTTTGTTATTTTTTCAGTCATTGCTAACAACTCATCAAATTCTTCCTTATAGGAATTCTCTAACATGATAGAATTCATTTGTGAGCTATAGTGAGTGAGCAAGTGCCATGGTGGAATTTTGCTTTACTTGCTCATGAACATAGGCAAACAAAAAAACTCTTTCCTATTTGAGTGGAGCTTTTTTTTCTAGCCCAAATCGGGTTTATTAGGTCTATTCTTAAATACTCTTGGTTTTTTTGTTTTTGTTTTGTTTTGTTTTGTTTTGTTTTTGAGATGGAGTCTTGCTCTGTTGCCAGGCTGAAGTGCAGTGGCGCTGTCGGCTCACTGCAACTTCCGCCTCCCGGGTTCAAGCAATTCTCCTGCCTCAGCCTCCAGAGTAACTGGGACTACAGGCTCCCGCCACCACACCCAGCTAATTTTTGTATTTTTAGTAGAGTTGGGGTTTCACCATGTTGGCCAGGGTGGTCTCGATCTCTTGACCTCGTGTTCCGCCCGCCTTGGCCTCCCAAAGTGCTGGGATTACAGGCTGAGCCACTGCACCCGGCCTATTCTTAAATATTCTTAAGATAGTCCTTAATGTTCATAATATTCATATGAATATGCAAACATTCAAAAATATTCATATGAATATTTCCAGGCAGATCAGAGATGAGGCTGAGACTAGGTATCTGTAACATAACCAGGAGTAGAGGCAGAGCTGATTCTGGCTTGAGAAATGATGGGCTCTGCTGGGAGACCAGGCTCTGAGAACAGGCTGTGAGTTATACAACCAAAAAGAACACTTCAGCAGGTAATGCCAAGGGTACTGGCTGAGACACAGAGATCAGAAGCCCACACCCACATTCAGCACTCAACCACACCGAGGATAAGTAAGCTCCTTTGGCAACCAGGAAAAAGGAGGAGCCTTGTCTCAAACGTTGCATAGGACACACTTGTTCTAAAAAAAGAAATTATTGTTCATTTAAAATTCAAATTTAGGAGGCAAGTGAGCTGAAGCTTAGAGTGTGAGAGGCAATGTAGCATGGACTGGGACAGCTGGCACCAAAAATCCTGGATTGGAATCTTGGCTCTGCTCGGTCACCAGCTGACCTTGGATCTTTCACTTAAAACAGTCTCTCCATTAACACCTATAAAGTGGAGCAAATAGTCATATTAATACCTACCTCATAGTTTTTGTATGAAGATTAAATGACTTAATAGGTGTGGAGTGCTTAGCACAGTGCCTAACTCACAGTGTTAGCTCTTATTCTTTGAGTTTAAAATTGCCTAAATATTCATCTTCATCTCATAATAACTATTTTAAGCCAAAAGGACCTTTATTTGGCTGAGTCTGAATTGTAACTTCCAAATCAAGGTTTGTTTGCTTGTTTGCTTTCAACTAAAGGATATGTAATAAGATATAGTGGGACCCTACCTCTCAATTTGTCTGGGACACTCCCACTTTAGGGTTGTTGTCCCAGCGTGATTTTTTAAAGTACCCACCTCTTATTCTAAAAAATGTTCCAATTTGGACAGTAGAATTTATGGGTTATCCTATTACAGAGATATCAAGAAGTCACTCATTTTTACACGAGTTCAGTGTGAAAATTTCAATACCTGTCCTTTGCCCCCACACACAATCATCACTGGAGTCTGTTTTAATTTTCCTTAAAGAAGAGCAAACTCAGCCTGTGTCCCACTTGTTCGTGGCCTATAGCTTGGTGTGTCCCTTTAATACAAGTGGAAACTGAACAGCCAGAAGAAAGCTTCCCTAACACTGAAACCAATGGTGAATTTGGTAAATGCCCTGCAGAAGATATGGAAGAGGAACAAGCATTGAAAAGATCTAGAAACACTGATGAGATGGTTGAGTTACACATTCTGCTTCAGAACAAGAATTCTGGGGCAGTTATTGGAGAAGGAGGTAAGAATATTAAGGCTCCCTGTATAGACTACAGTGCCAGTGTTTCAGTCCCAGACAGCAGTGGCCCCAAGTGCATACTGAGTATCAGTGCTGGTATTGAAACAATTGGAGAAATTCTAAAGAAAATCATCCCTACCTTGGAAGAGGGCCTCCAGTTGCCATTACTCACTCCAACCAGCCAGCTCCTGCTGGAATCTGATGCTGTGGAATGCTTAAATTACCAACACTATAAAGGAAGAGACTTTGAGTGCGAGTTGAAGCTGTTGATTTATCAGAGTCTAGCAGGAGGAATATTGGGGTCAAAGGTGCTAAAATCAAAGAACTTTGAGAGAACGCTCAAACAACCATCAAGCTTTTCTAGGAATGCTGTTCTCATCCCACTGACAGAGTTGTTCTTATTGGAGGAAAACCCAATAGGGTTGTAGAGTGCATAAAGATCATCCTTGATCTTATATCTGAGTCTCCCATCAAAGGACCTGCACAGCCTTATGATCCCAGTTTTTACAATGAAACCTATGATTATGGTGGTTTTACAATGATGTTTGATGACCGCCCTGGATGCCCAGTGGGATTTCCAATGTGGGGAAGAGGTGGTTTTGACAGAATGCCTCCTGGTTGGAGTGGGCGTCCCATGCCTCCATCTAGAAGAGATATGAACCCTCATCGAGGACCACCTCCTCCTCTTACTGGACGAGGTGGCCGGGGTGGTAGCAGAGCTCGGAATCTTCCTCTTCCTCCACCACCACCACCTAGAGGGGAAGACCTAATGGCCTATGACAGAAGAGGGAGACCTGGAGACTGTTACGATGGCATGGTTGGTTTCAGTCCTGATGAAACTTGGAACTCTGCAATAGATACATGGAGCCCATCGGAATGGCAGATGGCTTATGAACCACAGGGTGGCTCCGGATATGATTATTCCTATGCAGGGATTGGTGGCTCATATGGTGATCTTGGTGGACCTATTACTACTGCACAAGTAACTATTCCCAAAGATTTGACTGGATCTATTATTGGCAAAGGTGGTCAGCGGATTAAACAAATCGGTCATGAGTTGGGAGCTTCAATCAAAATTGATGAGCCTTTAGAAGGATCCGAAGATCAGATCACTATCATTACAGGAACACAGGACCAGATACAGAATGCACAATATTTGCTGCAGAACAATGTGTAGCAGTATTCTGGAAAGTTTTTCTAAGACTAGTGAAGAACTGGAGGAGTCCTGCATCTTTTTTTTTTATTTGCTTCTGTTTAAAAAGCCAACATTCCTCTGCTTTGTAGGTGTTCTGCATTTGAAGTGTAGTGAAATCTTTGCTGTTCACCAGATGTAATGTTTTAGTTCCTTACAAATAGGGTTGTGGGGGAAGGGCGTGCAAAAACTAACATTGAAATTTTGAAACAGCAGCAGAGTGAGTGGATTTTATTTTTTGTTATTGTTGATGGTTTAAAAAAAATTCCCCCCATGTAATTATTGCGAACACCTTGCTTTGTGGTCACTGTAACATTTGGGGGGTGGGACAGGGAGGAAAAGTAACAATAGTCCATATGTCCCTGGCATCTGTTCAGAGCAGTGTGCAGAATATAATGCTCTTTTTAAAGAAACATTTTATGATTTTTAAAATAAATTTAGTGAACCTATTTTTTGTGGTCATTTTTTTTAAGACAGTCATTTTAAAATGGTGGCTGAATTTCTCCACCCCCAAACTAAACACTAAGTTTGATTTTCAGCTCCTCTGTTGGATATGTAAGTGCATCTCTTCTTGGACATAGGCAAAATAACTCGGCAAACTTAGTTCTGGTGATTTCTTGATGGTTTGAAAGCCTATTTCTGGGAAGAAATTCCAACATACATATTCATGCTTATAAAAAGCTGGGCATTTTTTGTTTGTTTTTGCAAATGCTTGCCCCTGCTTTTCAACAATTTTATATGTTAGTGGTTGTGAAGAACTAAAGTGGGGAGCAGTACTACAAATTGAGTAATGGTATGAGTATATACCAGAATTCTGATTGGCAGCAAGTTTTATTAATCAGAATAACACTTGGTTATGGAAGTGACTGATGCTGAAAAAAACTGATTATTTTTATTAGATAATTTCTCACCTATAAACTGTCAACTTGCTCTAATGTCTTATTAAACTTTATAAAATACATATATACTTGTTTTTCCATTGTATGCAAATTGAAAGAAAAAGATGTACCATTTCTCTGTTGTATGTTGGATTATGTAGGAAATGTTTGTGTACAATTCAAAAAAAGATGAAAAAAGTTCCTGTGGATGTTTTGCGTAGTATATTGGCATTTGTTATGATAGTTAAAATTCACTTGCAAATAAATAAAACACCCATGATGCTAGATTTGATATGTGACCAATTTGAACAAGGGTTGATTGACACCTGTAAAATTTATTGAAACATTCCTCTTACAAGGAAATACAGTAATCTTAAATTGTAAAAAAAGAAAGAAAAAGAAAAAAGAAGAGCAAACTCAATTATTTTTCTCAAATACATATTTATGAAAACGTCTATCACTCCTTCTTTCTCATATGGTAAAATCTTAAAAACTCAATTTACTCTTGCTTTCTAGACTCTTCTCCTTTTCCTACATCCTGCTCCATATTTCCCAGGCACCCACTGCAAGAATCTGCCCTACCGAAGCCTGAAGCCATGCACCTTTGCCCCTATCAATCCCTTTACCTGAGCATGTTTTTCCCTTTCCACCTTCTACTAATAGGTATTCTTCACTTTTCAAGGACTTGCTCAAAGTTTTCTTCTACCATAAAATCTTTTTACATTGTAGTATTGTTGGCTGTACATGCTTATATTCTCTATTCATTTATGAGCTCCTTGATGGTAGTAACTTTGGGTTTAGAATACCACTACATTCAAATTTTTACGTGAGTGAGTACTACGAACATGTTTTGAATTTAGTTGAATTTTCTATTAAGATTCATGTGCAGCACACACATAGCAAAACGTCCTCATAATCATCTTTTTTCTCCTCCAAATATGAGTTCACTAAAAATATTCTTGTAGGAGACAGAACAAATGTTTCTTTTGAAAAATTTGAAATTTTCCTTTGAATAAGAAACCATGCCACTAAAATTAGTTCTCTGGCCAAGGAATCCCTGTTAATATGCAATAACATATTGCAGAGTATTCTAATTGTTTTCTAGAATTTTGTGTTTTTACAAAGTTAAAAGTTTGCATAACTTCAAGCAATAGCTCTCAGTGCATGATACCTCCTAAATATTTATATCTGTAGTAGTGTTTCTCAAGACTTTTAATTCACAGAACATTCCACTTTTCCCTTTTAATTTTTATGATAGTTTAGAAAAGGAAACATAACACAATTGTTCCTACAAGCACCTTCATTTTCAAGCAATATTTAAAGCTCAGGGCCATGTGCTTTTTCTTTTGTCAATTCAGCATTTCTTTAATGCTTAGAAGTGAAATTTTGACAAGAGAGCCTGTGAGGTGAATGAGTCCAATTTATGTAACTCCCCAATCAAACCAGCTGCATGGGAACAGCCATTTGGTGTCCTTCTGCTTCCTATCTCATAGAACTAACTGCTTCTAAGCAGGTCAGCAGGGTTAGGTGGAAAATACACTAGATTAGGAATCTAGCACAGCTTCTGCCACTAATTAAGAAAGCAACTCTTGTCTGAGGGTTACCTTCTCTGAGCTTTAATTTCCTCCCCTGATGAGTGAGGGATAGTTAAATGATTTCTGTAGTGAGCATTCATTATGGTTAGCTTCCTAACTAGACAAAAGAAAATAAGACATTCTCCCTTATCAACATAGATGAAAAGGCTAACTCTGGGCACACTGCCTCGGAGTTAGCCCTGCAAACAAAAAAAAAAAAAAAAAAAAAAAAAGAAAAAAGAAAAAAAATTCTAGGTGAAATGTTAGAAAATTGAATTGGGTGATAGTGATGATGATGATTGATGATATACATTGTGACTAAGTAATGTTGTTTTCCTCCCAGGAATAGAAGAGTGGTCCTACGTCAGAAAAATTTATTGATGATTTACCAAATTTAAAAAGAAAAGGAATCTGATAATACCAGTAGATACAGTTAAAAACATTTGATAAAATTGAACTCTTACTCATAACTCTTGTTAAACTAGGAATAGAAGCAATCATTAACCTGATAAAGGACATGTACAAAATAACATAGCCAACACACTTAAGTAGTGAGATAGAAGCCTTTCATTTAAAGTAACAATGTAAAAAGAGATAAAAAAAATTTTAACATGGAAAAAACACAGCTATCCTTATTTGTAGTAAAAATTCCTGTTGAAATGATCCAGTAGGTAGTACTTGTATTTCTTTTCAAGCTCCCAGTGATCTTCACCAGTCCACAGCCTTAAACAACATCTGTATGCTAATGACTTCCATCTCTATATGTCCAACCATAACTTCTCTCCTAAACTCTACAACTGTTTAATAGCTTCACTTTGGTGTCTAGGCAGGAGACTAATTAAAACTCTCAGTGTTTCCCCAAAATATCCTGCCCCTCTTGTACTCTTCCTACTCGGTAAATGGCAACTATGCTTTTCTAGTTGCTCTGATAAAAAGCACCATGGGTCCAATACAACATCACCAGTAATAAGTCATGTTGAGAGAATGTACTTTTGATATAAAGTAATGAAAATGACACTTTTCCTCGGTGGTCTTCCTCCTTCAAAACCGTAATCCCAGTGTAATCATGAGAATAGAGAGATATTCTGCAGTATATCTGGCCAGTATTCCTCAAAACTGTCACGGTCATTGAAAACAAGAGAAGCCTGAGAAACTGTCATAGGCAAGAGGAGCCTAAGAAGACAATGACAGCTAAATGTACTGTGCTGTGGAAAGAAACAAAGAGAACCTAAATTAGAGCAAGAAAAGGCTATTTAGAGCTTACTATAGCAGAGGAGTAGCCACCATCACTTGCATTTGGTGGAAACTCAAAGGCAGACTCACAGCAGTGGAAAAGCTTCAGAGTGGGAAAAAGAGAAGCTTCAGATTGGAGGCTTTTATCATGGGGAAGCTGTAGGTGGGCCAAACAGAAGCAGGGTTAAGGGTGCAGTCATTCATTTAACAGAGATTGGTCGACCATTCAAGTGCCTCCTAAGTACTTGGGACTTAAATGGCTTTCTTTAGTTTGTCTTAAGTTGGAAGCTGCGGCAAAAATTACAGAAGCTGTTTGTCATTAGGTTCTGGCCATGTGGGGCCAATTGCTATAGGGCTTGTTGTTTAGCTTCCTGGACTGGTTGCTACAGGTTGTGGGTCAGAGCTCTGTTTTTATATATGGTCTGTCATTACCCAGTATTCAGTCTCTCCGTGGTATCCTGCATGAGATCCTGGAACAGAAAAAGGCATTAGGTAAAAACTAAGGAAACTGAATACAAGTATGGGCTTTAGTTAATAAAAATGTAGCAATATTGGCTCATTACTTGTAACAAATGTGCCATACTTATGTAAGATGTTATTAATAATAAGCAAACTGCACTATCCTTTCAATTTTTCTGTGAATCTGAAGGTGTTCTAAAAGTAAGTTTATTTTAAACACACACACACACACACACACACACACACCTTGGAGACCTCCTTGACTCCTCACTTTCCCTCTCACTCCACATCCAGTCCTTTAGCAAATTCTGTCAGCTCCACAGAGGAAACAGTCAGTGTTTGACCACTTCCCCTCCACCCTCCTGCTCCCACCTGAGCCCCAACTTCACCCAGTGTCACTTGGAAATCTCACTAGCACTGTAACGGCCCACTTGCTCCACGTCTGCTTGTCTATGGTGCTTTTCCACAGAGCTTTACCATGGCCTGCAAGGCCCACGTGACCCAATCCCTGCCCCCGCTGCCTTCAGCCCTCACTCCCTACCGCCCTTTCCCTCACTCCCTCTGTTCCATCGCCCTGGCCTAGTGGTGTTTCCAGCTCCCTCACACCTTGGGCTCTTTGCAGCTGCTCCCTCTTGCTGAATGGAGTCCTGTTTCCTCATATCATCTGTCCCAGGGAGGCCTTCCCTGAACACCTTGCTTCATTTTTCTTCATAACACTGAGCACTTCCTGATATTACAATATAAATCTATTTGTTTACTGTCCATCTTCCATAAATATAAGCTTATGAACTCAACGGCAAGTCTGTCTGTTTCATTCACCACTGTATCCTCAATGTTAGCCCCAAGTACTTAGTAGACAGTTAGCCAATCTTCGTTAAGTGAATAAATAAATGAATGCACCAAGGATCATAAAGTTTCATCAGTGCACTGCAGTTGCTGATGCTGCAGAGTGCTCTTATCATTCTTTTCCAAAAGGCTCATAATTTGCTCCCATCATATCAAAAATATTCCAGAGATAATTTAGTTCTTCGTTTCCTCCACATACATAAAATTCATTTTACTTAATGTGAGTCAATTAAACTTGGCCTCAGAATATGATCTAAGATGGGAGCTAAGATTCCTTCCAAAATTTATATGCATAGGCATGTGGCATTGCCCACAGCTTAAATTTCTAGAAGCTACAATTCCTGGAAATATTTCAAAATATTCACATGACCAACATTTATTGAGTAAAGCACTATGCTAGAAGCCATATACCAGAAATAACAGGAACTAATTCCTTCCCTAAAGGAGATTACAGGCAGCAGGAAATATATCTATCAAAGCACAAAAAATGCAAGAATAAGAAATGCCAGATACTATAACAGAAGTACACAGAAAATGATGCGGAGAACACAAACTGTATGGCATAACTACACAGTGTTGTATGAAAAGAGAAGGGTAATTGGGAGAAGAGTCATTGCAGCTGGCAGTCAGGAAACAGATCTGTGGTGGTTTTGTTATTCTCTATATTTGTTCATACACTATTACTTTTTTTTTTTGAGACAGTCTTACTCTGTCACTCAGGCTGGAGTGAGGTGGCATGATCTCGGCTCACTACAACCTCCGTCTCCTGGGTTCAAGGGATTCTCCTGCCTCAGCCTCCAGAGTAGCTGGGATTACAGGTGCCCATCACCACGCCTGGCTAATTTTCTGTATTTTTAGTAGAGACGGGGTTTCACCATGTTGGCCAGGCTGGTCTTGAACTCCTGACCTCAGGTGATCCACTCACCTCGGCCTCCCAAAATGCTAGGATTACAGGGGTGAACCACTGCGCCTGGCCTGACTATTACTTTTATGGAAAAAAAAGCCATTCCTTTTCAAGACTCTTTCTTTGGGTTCATGATGCTGCATTCGTCTATTCTCCAACTCCTTTTAACTTCTGCTTATCTCTTCCAAATTTACTTTCTTTTAGGTCTCTCTACCTTCTTATTTGAGAAATACTTATTTCAAGTGAGTATCAGGCACTGGAATCATTTAACAAGGGCTGGCTCTGTCACCTTTTATTTCTGCTGTCCCCAGACGCACACTTATGAGAGATGACACCAGGACTTAAATCATGTTCCTCTGCTCCAGTCGAGAATGGCAGGAACCAGTACATAGTCAACTAACTTTTAGCATTTGGTTTGCAAGAGATTTTCACCGGCCACTGCCCCACTGCCCACATCTATCTCCCTTCACCCCACCACTACATTAGACAGAAAGGGTCTGTATTAGTTCATTTTCATGCTGCTGATAAAGACATACCTGAGACTGGGCAATTTACAAAAGAAAGAGGTTTAATGGACTCACAGTTCCGTGTGCCTGGGGAGGCCTCACAATCATGGCAGAAGGCAAAAGTCACGTCCCACATGGTGGCAGACAAGAGAAGAGAATGAGAACCAAGCAAAAAGGGTTTCCGCTTATAAAACCGTTAGATCTTATGAGACTTTTTCACTACCATGAGAACAGTATGGGGGAAACTGCCCCCCATGATTCAATTATCTCCCACTGGGTCCCTCCCACAACACGAGGGAATTATGGGAGCTACAATTCAAGGTGAGATTTAGGTGGGGACACAGCCAAACCATATCAGGGTCAGACTCTTGGCATATCTCTTTACAAGATGGCAAACCCAATTGTATATTCCCTGCTTATACACAAGAGAAAGAATCTACATTCAAAGCCTTAACAGAAACACTTGATTCTACATCTCCCTCTCTAATCTTTCTCTAGAATGTCAGTTCCAGTTTCTAACCACATAGAAAGCTCACTATCTTCTCAAATGCAATCAGATAAAAGATAAATTAATTACCTTATCCATGAAACTATTTTCAGATTTTGCCTTTTTAATTTTATTAATACTGTCATTATTATGCAGTAATTATAAATAATACTCCACAGCTCTCCCTCCTGCACCAACTATAGTCATCAAAATTCTGAAACTGTAAAGCTTTCTATGGCCTTTTGCATCAATGGCTTTATCATCCCCACAGCTCTGGTGCAAATTTAAGGCCTGTGCTGGAACTCTTGACCCCAACTCAGATTTCTGCATACCACCACCAGGCTGACCACATGATCCTTGCTTGAAAACTTTGATTTCCCTCACTTGACTACAGGATAAAGTCCAAATCCTTTAGCTTAGATTTCAGATTGTACTAACATGGTCCCATTCAACTTTCAACTCTACTACCTCCTTGCCTAAACCTTCCATGAAGAGAGTAGATTGCCAATTATTTAACTTGTATTAATTCTGAATATTTAGTTCATTTTAATCTTTTGCTAATCCCAGCAATGCTATATTGATCCTACTTAGATATGTCTCATTTTACACATGTGCAAGTATTATCTGTAGAATAAGTTCTCAAAAGTAGAGTTGTTTGATCAAATGATATGTGTCTTTGGAATTTCAATGGATATCGCCAAGTCGCTCTGCATTGATGTCATACCAGTTTATACTCTCACCAGTGAACTATGAGTGCCTGCTTCCCTACTTCTTCTCCAACTACAGTTTGTTACCAAAGATTTGAATCTTTGCTAATTTACAGGTGTGTTTATCATATTAAGAGTAAAATTATTTTATGTGTTTAAGGTTATTTGTGCTTCTTTTGCTGTGATCTCCATCTTATATTATCTTCTTGATTTTTAAAAGTTAGTTTATGGGAGATCTTCACACCATAAGAAAATTAGTCCTATATATGCAATGCATGTTGCAAATATTTTGCCTTCTTTGTGATATGAATTCTGTCTTTGTGTGTGTGTGTGTGCATGTTGCCATATATAAATTTTTTCTAGAGCAAAATTTATTATATCTTTAAAATCAGCTCATCTATATTAAAATAAAACTCAGATGGTATTTTTATGGGGATCCTATATTTTAAAATATAGATTAAAAAGATTCATTTTAATTTATATTGTCTTATAGATAGGGTCTCACTACATTGACTAGGCTGGCTTAGAACTTTTGGACTCAAGTCATCCTCCCACCTCAGCCCCTGAGTAGTTGGAACTACTGGCACATGCCATTGTGCCTGGCAGAAATATAGACAAATATTTTTCATAAGCTTCTCTTAGGTATTTAATCTTTTTTCTTGCCATTATTGATAGAGTCTTTTATTACATTTTATGGTTGATTATTTCTTGCATATAGGAAGGCTATTTATTTAATATTAATTTTGTAACCAGTCACCTTACTGAACTGGCTTGTTTCCAATAGCTTATGAATTGATTTGCTTTTATTTACTCTTCCTTTACAATATTTTTACTTCTTATATTCATATTTTCATCTTCTAATTTTGAAAAATTGACTAAGGTTTTATTTGTGGTCTAAAATATGGTCAGTTTACTCCAATGCTTTGTGGGTATGTGAAAAGAATGTGAAGTCATGGAATTTAATTCCATGCAGAGCAATTAGTTAGCAAACTTAACTTATTACTTACATTATTTATGTGTTCCATTTACAAACTTATTTTTTATTCACTTGCTATGTCATGAACTGAGATATGGGCATTAAAACTGCCTGTACCTAATGTGTTTCTATTTCCTCTTGTGTTTCCTGTAATTTTTGCTTTAAGTATGTTGATACGAGGTTATTTTATTCATAGATATACATAATGATGAGATCATTGAAGTGGATTGTATCCTTTATTATTTTCTTTACATTTGTCTGATAGGCCTTTACTCATTCTTTTGTTTTCATTTTTTCTGAGTGATTTTATCTTAGATACATATCTTGAATTTGAAAATATAATTACATTTTGCTTTATGATTTAGTTTGAGACTTTTTAAAATGAGGAGTTAATCTACTTACCTTTATTTATATGGCATATATGTTTACTTTTTATCTGATATATTTCATATTATATTTCATATTGTGTTTTCAGTTATTTTTTTCCTTTTTATAATTTTTTGTTATATCATCTATAATATTTTGTATATGTGTGTATTGTCTGGTAATTTGGAGAGTTCATGTTTTTGTACTAATGGTTATATTTATAACTACTACTTTATGTTGTATATTTAACTTTATGTATTAGCATCTATTGATTCCCTACTATGAGAAAAGATGAAACCAGTATACACCCATGGTTCTCCTGACTGCTACCATCTCACTTCAGTTGATTATATATTTTTGGTAGTATCTACCTTTTCTCTTTTTTGAGACAGGGTCTCACTCTGTCACCCAGGCTGGAGTGCAGTGTTGCGATCACGGCTGACTGCGGTCTCAACCTCTCTGGGTTCAGGTGATCCTCTCACCTCAGGCTCCCAAGTTGCTGGGACTACAGGTGCACCCCATTACACCTGGTTAATTTCTTTGTATCTTTTTGTAGAGACGGGGGTTTCTCTATGTTGCCCATGTTGGTCTCGAAATCCTGGGCTCAAGCCATCTACCCACCTCATCCTTCCAAAGTGCTGGGATTACAGGTGTGAGCTATCACTCTCAGTGGTAGTATTTACCTTTAAATTTTAAAATGAGACACTTGTGTTACTTGACTTACGGGCTTAATATGATTCCCAAGACCCTTCCTAGTCTTCTGGTCTGTACCTCCAATCTAAACTTCTTACATCTAATCTGAGAGTCAAAATCAGAGTCTAGACAAGCTTAAAACTAAGTCACTGTGGCAGAAAATCTGAGCAGGGCAATATAAAAATTAGCAGCTATGGGCAAATCTGGGATCTATATTTTCAGAAATTTGGGCAAAGAGAAGCAAGGAAGCATTATAGGAAGCAATGATTTTCAATTAAATTTGGAGGAGCAAAATAAAATGGACTTTGTAAGAATACTCTTGGAAATGAATATGAAGTTTGTGAAGTTGGAATCTATGAAGGAGTCAGTGAAGCCAAGTTCATGTTCTGAATGTGGGATTTCTGCTGCCACTATCTAATGAAGACAGGTGCTTCTTGTTGTAAAGCTAAATATATGGCCCAGTGCGGTGGCTCACACCTGTAATCCCAGCACTTTGGGAGGCAGAGGTGGGCAGATCAACTGAGGTCAGGAGTTCGAGACCAGCCTGACCAATATGGTGAAACCCCGTCTCTACTAAAAATACAAGAATTAGCCGGGCATGGTTGCGAATGCCTGTAATCTCAGCTACTCAGGAGGCTAAGGCAAGAGAATCGCTTGAACCCGGGAGGCGGAGGTTGCAGTGAGCCAAGATCGCGCCATTGCACTCCAGCTTGGGGGACAAGAGCGAGACTTCATCTCAAAAAAAAAAAAGAAAAGAGATAATGTGGGCCTTCTTCATTTATCAATATCAGAACCCTTCTACCTGAATATAGGCAAAGTAAAGCCCTATATAACTAGAAACATCTATCAGAAAGAACAGTAGACGAGTGGTATGCTCACTGGAACATATATAGATTAAACACGAAAAAGGTGTTAGGACTGATTACTGACACATTTCTTACATTACTCACCAACACTGGTTTTGGCTGGAAAAACAAATCAAGCAGCCAAAGATGTAAGAATATAAAACTACAATATTAAGGGTAATTGTTCTGGTTTTCAGACATAAAAATATCTTGGCAACTGTTGTAACTACTGCCAGACACTCCAACAGTCTGATTTTGTCATGAGATTTTATTTCTCCTTAACGAAGCAACTAAAAATCAGTAAAAAATCCTACTTGTACAAAATTCTAACATAAAATCTTAACTGTGTAAGCATTTTTAAAAGTCAAAACAAATTTAAGAAATGAAATTTTGCATCCATGTTATCTTTGGAAGAATAATGATCAAATCAAAACTTCAACTGTAATACCATGTTATTATGGTCATCAAATCCAAATTTGACAAAACATTAAGCAATGTAAATTTAATTTCAGCAATAGAAAATAGAAAATTTTTTCCTCAAAATGAAAAAATTATTGATTGTTTCATGAGACTCCATATGCAGGTTCAATTCCTGTATGCTTGCATTGTTGAGGGTGAGATTAGGTTGAAGGTTAGCAGGAAATTAATAAGGTGGGATTGGGCTGGCCCAAGGAAACCTGGAAACTTTGTTATGAACACATGGTGTTGGGTTTTCTAGGAACCCCGGAAACAAAGAACAACCACTGCTGAAGCTACAATTTTGTAAATTGTTAGTGCCTGAAGTATTGCTCCCTCCACTTTGCTTGTTTTTTTTTAATTACAGCTATAAGAGGTATAGTTGACATACAACTCATCCATTTAAAGTATACAATCCAATGGCTTTAGTATATTCACAGAGCTGTGTATCCATCACCGTAATCAATTTTAGAACATTCTCACCACCCCAAAAGGAATCTCTATTCCCCTTAGTCATGGGCAGGTGATGACCTGCCCATACCCCTAGCAGACCTCACCCCTAGTGCTAGGCAACTATTAATCTGCTTTCCATTGCTACAGATTTGCCTTTCCAATTTACCTATTTGAAATGAATGGAATCAGACAATATGGGGCCCTTTATGACTGGTGTCTTTCACTTAACATATTTTCAAAATTTATTCATGTATCAGTACTTTATTTCTTATTATTGATGAAAAATATCCTACTGTATGAATGACACACATTTTATTCATCCATTCATCAATTGATGGGCATTTGGGTTGTTTCCGCTTTTTGGTTATTATGAATAAGGGTGTTGTGAACATTCATGTACAAGTTTTTATGTGGACATGTGTTTTCATTTCTCTTGTGTATACACTTCAGAGTCTAATTGCTGGATCATAGAGTAACTCAGTGTTAAATCTTTTGAGCAACTGTTGGTCTGTTTTCATAAATGGCTGCAATGTTTTATGTTTCCACCAGCAATATGAGAGTTCCAATTACTCCAAATCCTTGTTAACACTTGTTATTATCTGTTCATAGTATTCCTTCATAATCCTTTTTATTTATGCAAGGTAATGTCCTCTGCTTCATTTCTGATTTTAGTAAGTTAAGTCTCCTCTGTTTTTCTTTGGTCAGTTTAGCTGAGGTTTGTCAATTTTGTCTATTCTTTCAAAAAACAAAGTTCTGGTTTTGTTGATTTTCTTCATGGTTTTTCTAGGCCCTGTTTCATTAATTTCTGCTCGAATCCTAATTTTCTTCCTTGTTTGCATTGCATTTAGTTTTCTTTTCTACTGTCTTAGGTGAAATGTTAAGCTGTTGATTTGAGGTCTTTCTTCTTTCTTAATATAGGTATTTACAGCTATACATTTCCTTTTAAGCACTGCTTTAGCTACATCCTGTGAGTTTCATTATGTTGTGTCTTCATTTTCATTCATGTCAAATTATTTTCTAATTTTCCTTGCTATGTGCTTATCATTTTTTTGAAGATTGTCTAAACTGTCCAATTTGACAGCCACCAGCCCCATATGACTACTTAAATTTAAATTGAAACATAATAAAATAAAATAAATTTGTTCTTCAGTCATACTAGCCACATTTCAAGTGCTAATTAGCTACATTTGGTGAATGCCTACTATATTTGACAGTGGACAAAAACATTTCCATCATTTTACAACATTCTGTTGGGCAGCACTGCATAAGCATTCTCACAGAGTGGAATATTCAAAGATGAAGTGTCAGTTCACAAGACAGCTTACTGCTCATTTTCAAATGCCACATAGTGTATAAATTTCAATCCAGTTCAGTGCCTCATTTGCTTAATATATTCTCTTATTCACAGTAGTCTCTCGACAGGAATGCTTTTTATGTTATGCAGCCTCAAAAGTTGATCTCTTTGTTAGATCATCTCTGGCATCTTCAACTACACTTTTGCTTCTGCTACTGCTCCTGGTGATTTCTTGCCCATCTTCTCCTACATTGTTTAGTAACTATCAAGTAGTAATGTTCATAAAGAAAGGGAAAGCTAGAAGAGTTAATAAATGCTGAATGTCTACTGTGTACCAGGCTCTCTCTGGAGCTTCTCATGTATTAGCTCACTCAAATCCAAAATAATTCTAGGAGGTAAATATTTTTATCTTTATTTTCTGATGAGAAAAAAAAATCAGTTTCTAAAATGTCAGGACAGAAGCCCACACAAATTATAAGTGAGAGAACCAGGATTTGAATCTTTGTTAGGCTCCAAAACCCTCTCTCTCTTGCTTATTTAATTAATCAACTTTATTTTTTAGAGCCATTTTAGGTTTACAGAAAAAATAAGCAGAAGATACAGAGGGTTTCTATTTATCACCCCAATCACAGTTTCTCATTTTATTAACATCGTGCATTAGTGTAGTAAATTTGTTACAATTAATGAACGAATATTGATGCATTATTATTAACTAAAATGCATAGTTTACATTAAGGTTCACTCTGTGTGTTGTACAGTTCTATGGGCTTTTGCAAAGGTATGATTCATATATCCACCATTATAATATGGTACAAAATAGTTTCACTGCCCCAAATTTCCCTATATTCCAACCATTCATTCCTCCTTCCCTCACTTTGAATGCCTGGAAACCACTGCTCTTTTTATTGTCTCCATAGTTTCGCCTTTTCCAGAATGTCATATACTTGGCATTATATGCTGTGTAGTCTTTTCAGGCTGCTTTCCTTTACTTGGTAATATGCATTTCATGTTTCTCTATGTCTTTTCATGACATGATGGCTCATTTTTTCTATCACTGGAAAATAGTCTATTGCATGACTCTGTAACAGTTTGCTTATGCATTAGCCTATTGAAGAACATCTTGGTTGCTTCCAAGTTTTAACAATTATGAATAAAGCTGCTATAAACATTAATTTACAAGTTTTTGTGTATATATAAGTATTCAACTCATTTGGGCAAATATCAAAGAGCACAATTGTTGGATTGCAAGGTAAGAGCATGTTTAGATTTGCAAGAAACTACCAAACTGTCTTCCAAAGCAGTTGTGCCATTTTGCATTCTCACCAACTTTGAATGAGGGTTCCTGTTGCCCCACATCCTTGTCAGCATTTGGTGTTGTCAATCTCTTGAATTTTAGCCATTCTATGGGTGGTAGCAATATCTCAATATTGTTTTAATTTGCAATTCCCTAATAACATATGATGTTGAGCGTTTTTTCAGATGCTTATTTGCCATCCGTATATCTTCTTTGATTATGTGTCTGCTCAGACCTTTTGCCCATTTTAAAATTTGGTTGTGTATTTTCTCATTGTTGAATCCTAAGGGTTACATTTTTAAGAGGTAGACTGTGTCTTTCAAGGAATTGGTCCATTTCATCTAGGTTATCAAATCTGTGGTCATAGAGTTGTTCCTAATATTCCTTTATTATCCTTTTAATACCCATTAAATCAGGAGTGATGGCCTGTCTTTCATTTCTGTATTAGTAATTTGTATCTTCTCTCATTTTTCCTTAGTTAGCCTGGCTAGAGCTTTATCATTCTATCGATCTTTTCAAAAAGCAAGCTTTTAATTTCATCATTTTTCTTTATTGGTTTCCCCTTTTAAATTACGTTGATTTCTGCTCTTATGCTTATTATTTCTTTTCTTCTGCTTCATTTGGATTAAATTTGCTCTTCTTTTGCTACTTTCTTAAGGTGGAAGCCTTGATTGTTGATTTGGGATTTTCCAGGTGTCTTTCTGTTATTAATTTCTAATTTAATTCCATTGTGGTCTGAGAGTACACTTTTAATAACTTCTATTCTTCTAAATTTGTTAAGGTGTATTTTATGGCCCAGAATATGGGCTTTCTTCGTAAACGTTCCATGTGAGCTTGAGAAGAATCTGTATTCTGCTGTTGGTGAAATATTCTATAAATGTCAATTTAGATTCACTTGATTGATAGTGCTGTTCCGTTCAACTATGTCCTTAATGATTTTCTGCTTGCTGGATCTGCCAATTACTAATAGAGGGATGTTGAAGTCTCTAATTACAATAGTAGATTCATTTATTTCTCCTTGCAGTTCTGCCAGTTTTTGGCTCACACATTTTGATGTTGCGTTGTTAGGTGCATAGACATTAAGAATTGTTATGTCTTCTTGGACTCCTTTATCATTATGCAATATGCCTCTTTATCCCTGACAACATTTCTTGCTCTTAAAAATCTGCTTTGAATGACATTAATATAGCTACTTCAGCTTTCTTATGATTAGTATTAGCATGGTGTATCTTTCTCTATTTCTTTATTTTTAATCTATCTGTGTCTTTAAGTTTCTTGTAGACAACATATAGTTGGGTCTTGTTTTTAATCTATTGTGATACTCTGTAAATTAAATGGCTATTTATTTATTCATTGATTCATTTTTCCTCCCACAAGTTTTATTTGTTATTATTTGTGTGTGTGTGTGCAACAAGAACACTTAACATAATACAGTATTAACTATAGGCACTATGTTATACAGTAGATCTCTAGGACTTATTCATCTTGTGTAACTGAAACTTGCATCCTTTAACTAATACCTCACCAAACCCCTACCCCCACCCCAAACCAGCCCCTGGCAACCATCATTCTACTCTTAGCTTCTATGAGTTGGACTGTTTTAGATTCCTCATACAAGTGGGACCAAATGGTTTTCGTCTTTCTATCCAGTTTATTTCTAAGTGATATATTTAGACAATGATGTTTCATATGGTTATTGGTATAATTGGATTAATATATACCATAATTGTTACTGTTTTCTATGTGTTGCCCTTATTTTTTGTTTCCTGTTTTTGTCTTCCACTCTTTTTCTGTCTTCTGTGATTTTAGATAAACATTTTATACAATTCCATTTCTCTCCTGTCTTTGCAAATAAATTATGCTTTCACTTTTTATTTTTTAGTGGTTGTCCTAGAGTTAACGATTTGCAATTACAACTAACCCATGTACACTTTCAAATAACACTATACCACTTCACAAGTAATGCAAATTCCCAATGTTTTCCTCCCATCCCTTACAACATTGCTATTATTCTTTTCCCTATCCCCAAACTGAGTACAATATTGCTGTTATTCTTTAGAACAAACTGTTATCTGTTAAATCAACTAAGAAAAATAAAATATTTTATTTTGCTTTCCTTTATTTCTTCTCTAATGCTCTTCCTTTCTTTATGTAAATCAGAGTTACTGACCTATATGATTTTCCTTCTTTTTGAAAGACTTTCAGAATATCTCATGTTCAACTGGTCTACTGGATACAAATTCCCTACTTTTTAATTTGTTGAGAAATTATTTCTACTTCACTTTTGAAAGATAATTTTGCTGGGTGCAGAATTCTAGGTTGGTTTTTCTTGTTTCAACACTTTAAATATTATGCACCACTGTCTTCTCACTCGTGGTTTCTTTTCTTTTCTTTCTTTCCTTCCTTCTTTCTTTCTTTCTTTCTTTCTCTTTCTTTCTTCTTTCCTTCCTTCCTTCCTTGCTTCCCTTCCCTTCCCTTTCCTTCCTTCCTTCCTTCCTCTTTCTCTTCTTTCTTTCCTTTCTTTCTCCTTCCTTCCTTCCTTCCTTCCTTCCTTCCTTCTTTCTTTCTTTCTTTCTTTCTTTCTTTCTTTCTTTCTTTCTTTCTTTCTTTCTTTCTTTCTTTCTTTTCTTTCTTTCTGAAACAGGGTCTCCCTCTGTCACCCAGGCTGGAGTACAGTGGCATGATCTCAGCTCACTGCTACCTCTGCTTCCTGAGTTCAGGTGATTCTTGTGCTTCCTAGCCACCTGAGTAGCTGGGATTACAGGTGTGTGCCACCACATCTGGCTAATTTTGGTATTTTCTGTAGAGATGGGGTTTCGCCATGTTGGCCAGGCTGGTCCCGAACTCCTAAACTCAAGTGATCCTCCCACCTCAGCCTCCCAAAATGCTGGGATTACAGATGTGAGCCACCATGCTGGGCCCTACATGGTTTCTACATAAAAGCCTGATGTAATTATCATCTTTGCTCCTCTATAAGTAAGGTGGGTTTCTTTTCCCCTCTGGTTTCTTTTAAGCCATTATTTTTGTCTTTGCTTTTCTGTGGTTTAAATGTGATTTGCCTATGTATAGATTTTGGGGGGATATTTATCCTGCTTTGTGTTCTCTGAGCTTCCTGAATCTGTGATCTGGTGTCTCATTAATTTGGAGAAAATTCTCTGTCATTATTGCTTCAAATGTTGCTTCTGTTTCTTTCTCTTTCTTCTCCTTCTGGTATTCCCATTATATGTATTTATACCTTTGGCAATTGTCCCACAATTTTGGGGTATACTATTCTGTTTTTATTCATTCTTTTTTCTCTTTGCTTTTCAGTTTGAGATGTTTTTACTGATATATTTTTATTTTTTATTTTTTTATTTTATTATTATTATACTTTAAGTTTTAAGGTACATGTGCACAATGTGCAGGTTAGTGCTGATATATTTTTAATTTCACTGATTCTTTTCTCAGCCATGTCCAGTCTACTGATAAGTAATCGAAGGCATTCCTCCCTTCTATTGCAGGATTTTTAATTTGTATAATAGCATTTACTTTTGAGTCTTTCGTAGAGTTTTCATATTTGTATTTACACTACCCATCAGTAGTTGCATGTTGTCCACTTTTTCCATTAGAACCCTTAGCATATCACTCAGAATTCTTTCAGATTCCAAGTCTGATAATTCTAAAATTTCTGCCATATATGAGTCTAGTTGTGAGGCCTGCTCTGTCTCTTCACACTGTGGTTTTCACCTTTTTTCATGCCTTGTAATTTTTTGATGAAAGCTAAATATGAAGTACTGGGTAAAAAAAACAGATAAACATGTCCTTAGTGTGAGGTTTTATGGTTTATATATTTTATGTCTTTAGTGTGAGGTTTTATGTCTTTAGTTTTATGTCTTTAGTGTGAGGTTTTATGTCTTTAGTGTGAGGTTTTATATGACTGGGAGTTCGACTGTGTTTCCTCTTTGCAGTAGCTCTGTCAGAGGCTAAAGTTTCCTCTGGTGTCCCTGTTTTCGTCTCCTCTGTTGTCTTTGGATTTCCCTGGACACTTCTTAAATCATTCCTGAGGTTTGCAGTTCTTTCCACTGTAATTCCTGTTGTTGTACAGGAACCCTATTAAGGAGAAGTAAGGCGTAGAGTGAAGGAAATTGTTCATAGTCCTAAAATTTGCTTCAGTATTTTAGTGAGCCTGTGCCCCTGGACCATGACACAGTCATAAATTTGTTGTATTTCCTCTAGCACAAAATGACAGGTTAGGCTGAATCATGTCAAGAGCCTCAGCTAGTGCTATCTAAATTCTCTGATTGCAATAATTTAATCTCTTAGTTTGGTAATATCTTTGTGTCATTTTTGTAAACATCCACTAGGGGGAGAGAAAATGTGTCTCTCATCAGTAACAGGATAACAGGTAGACAGGAAAGGACATTCCCACAGCAACATTTGGATATGCTCAGTTTTTCCCCACAATGAATGCTCTACTTAAAGTAAAACAGCAATCTGAACATTTTGAAGATGTTCTTAAAACATCTTTATTGGAGATTTATTACTTAAGTAAAGTTGTCTTATTGCTTCTGGGAATTTTACCAAAGGCCATTAGAGGGAGCTCAAAGCTTTTAAAATAATATATATATACATATATTTTTCTTTCTCTGCTTTCAGCACTTGATTGTCATTGCTAGCACTTTATTCTTAAGGCCCTGAATTTTCCTCATTTTTTTTAAAGATCAATTGAAATGCAGGAGATTTACCCTAATGTGTCTACCTGAGAATAAAAAGAGAATAAATTGCTTTTAACGAATTACTTAAATAATATAAACATGTCATTGAAGTATCGCAGTATTTAGAGAACAGTCCGTTTTCATTATAACCATGTGAAGAATAAGAAATTACTTTAGAGATTCTCATAAATTAAAATTTTTTAAAAGGAATGAATTGCTTTCTAAAAAGACACAAAGAATATACATGATCTAATACAACAAAATCTATAAGCAACATCTTACTGGCATTTAGTAAAGGTTAAATCCTTACTCTATATAGGCAATTTTCCCCATGTAATTATATTTTAGTTTAAATTAAATTTTAGGTATACAAATTTTGATCCACAGGGATTTTTTGGTAATTCTGTTCTAATTATTTTTTAATTTCCATTATCTTCTTTGATTTATGACTTATTTAAAACTGTGTTTTAAACTTTCCAATTGTATGAGGATTTTATCTTTATTTTTTGATTTCTAATTTTGTTACATTGAGATACAAGAATGGGTCTACATTATGTTTGGTTTTTTTTTAAGGCTCAAATTTTGGGTGCAGGTAGGTGTGTGTGTGTGTGTGTGTGCGCATGTGTAAGAGAAAGAGAAGATTTTAGCTGTGACTTTTTTGTTATCTTGATGTTTCAGCTAAAGTCTCAGCTTCTCAATGTGCATGTTTGCTGGGCATTCTAAGATAATGTGAGACTGGGTTTACAAAACTTAAATCATCCTTCGCTTCAAATGCTGTATGAAACCAGGCTAGAGAATTGGTTATGGGATGATAAAGATGAAGAAAAGAAGTACAGTATTTCTTTAAAGAGAAAATTGGAGAATCATGATGTTTCTCGTCTCCATCTAGATGTGGCGCTAATGCTACTCTCATTTTAATCCCAGCCAGGGACATATATTGACAGAAACAATCAAAGAGCAAGACAGATGCTCCCTAGAATTTGAGGACACAGTAATTGGTATGGGGTTCATGAGTAAATATATTCTAAAAGTTAGAGCCAAAGTGATCTGCTTAGAAATGGACTGCACTTTCATAGTCTGTTAGGGCAAAAGTGAATGTACATTTCTCTCAAGATTTTATGGCTACTTGGGAGGGACATACTACCTAAAAGTATTACTTAGAAGAATAGGTAGCCACAACAGTAGGGTGAGCTGCTAGAATCTAGTAGCTAAGCTTAGGGTTTGTAAGCTGTATGCATGAGCAATACTGCGGGATCTTTCACAGTTTTTTACAAAACTGCCTTTAAAAGAAAGAGCACTGCGTGTGGAATACAAAGCAAAGCTTCATACCAGATTGTGACCCTGTGAGCCTTGAAAAATTGTTTTCTCCTTAATGCCCCTTTTATATCCTTCCTTCTCTTCCCATTGACCAAAAGCACATCCAGCAAGTGAGAAGGGGGTGTACGAAGAAAGAGGAAAGAAGCCAACCACGTCCTGCTTTCTCGTTGTAAGTTTTTGAACCCATGTGAGCTGAGCTGGGGAAGGAGAATCATCTAAAATTGGATGAGAATGTAGGGTTTATATTTGACTATGCTGTATTTTATCACATGAAAATGATTAGAAGAGCTATAAAACTTGTCAATATTTCATTCAGGAGCAAAGTCTTTAGAAGTTGAAAGATTAGTTAGTTTCTCCTTGCACTTTGCAACAAGCTTGATAGTTCAATATACCATGTATAAGGATACAAACAAATATAGCCACATTCTTATCCATATCTATTCCTATATCTATGCTATGTACACACACACACACACACACACACACACACACACATTAGCCCAAGATGGTTAATTCGATTTTTTAAATGTGTATACTTTTCCCAATGTTTGACATTTTCTACTTTTTCTCGAAATTCTTCAAATTTTCTTTACATAGTTTGAAGCTATCTTGTTCACATGGGTTCAGAATTATGGCTTACGGGTAAATTGTTTATTTAGCCACATGTTGGAATTTGGTTGTCCCTAATAAATCTTTTGCCTTACAGTCTATTTTGTTTGAAATTAATGTAATAACAACCATCTTCTTTTGGTTAGTGTTTGCTTTTCCATCTTTGAAGTTTCTATTTTTCTGCACCATTATGCTTTAAGTATGTGTTTTTTTTTGTTTTTTTTAGATGGAGTCTTGCTCTGTCTGGAGTGCAGTGGCACTATCTCAGCTCAGTGCAACCTCTGCCTCCTGGCATTTAGCAAAGGTTAAATCCTTACTCTATACAGGCAATTTTTTCCCCTAACATATGTATTTATATTTCCCTTTCAATTAAATTTTAGGTACACAATTTTTGTATTTTTAGGAGAGACAGGGTTGCACCTTGTTGGCCAGGCTGGTCTCAAACTACTGGCCTCAGGTGATCTGCCAGCCTTGGCCTCCCAAAGTGCTGGGATTACAGTCGTGAGCCGTTGCACCTGGCCCTTTTGAGTACGTCTTTTAAATAGCACAGAGCTGGGTTTTGTTATTTTACACAATATAAAACTCTTTGTCTTTTATCTGGAAAGTTTAATTCATTTTATTATTTTTATTTTTATTTTAGATTTATTTCTATAATCTTATTTTGTGCTTTTTATCTCTACCAGCTTTCTATGCTTCTTTTTCCTTCTTTCTCATTCTCAATTGGATTAATCTAATTTTTTATATTTCCTTTTTGCACCATCACTAATTCCACTCTGCATTGATTTTATTTCTATATTTTATAGGTATACTTCACTGAATAAGTTAATTTTCATAAAGTCATACAAGAAGCTTAAAAATCAAAACTTTCATGTGTAGGCTTATGAGGAAAAGGAGCAAGCCTAGCCTGTCTATTCTTAAATCCCACCCCCCAGAAGCAATCAGTTTAAACACTTTAGTTCTTTCTTCTAATAATTATCTTTATTGTCTCTAAATAATATTTTTTCTGCTGCTTTTTGAATTTTTTATTTTGGATACTGTCTGTTGACTTGCTCCTATGGCTATTGCCCTGGGACTTTCTTTACTATTTTCCTGATATTTCTATATTGGATCCTGTACTTCCTAGACCCCATGGCTTCTCATTTCCTAGTCCACCAGCTTATTTTGGGAAAATACATCCTTCTGCAGATTACTAAAATTGGATGCCTGGAGGAGAATTCTTCTCAGAGCTTACATATCTGAAAATACATTTATCCTACTCTCACACTTGATTATTAGTGAGGTATGAAGATATGAAATTTTAAATTAACTATCATTATCCCTTAGAATCTTAAAAGCATTTTTCCATTGCTTTATCCCTTCCAATATTCTGTTGACAAGTGCAATGTCATTCTCTATATGACTTCATTATTTCTCTCAGAAACTTTCAAGTTTATCTCTTAATTGCTCATGTTCTGATATTTCACAGTGATGTGCTTTGGTAAGAGGTTTCTTTTCCTTCATTGATTATCCTTTACACTCAGTGGGGCTCTCCAGTCTACAGTCTCATGTCCTTAGGCCCTCAAATATTTTGTACTGTGTTTTTGATACTTTCATTTTCTGAGTTTTCTTTTTTTTTCTTTTCTTCATAAATTACCCAGTCTCGTGTATTCCTTCATAGCACCACAAACAAACACAAAACAAATTAGCAGAAGAAAGAGAAAATAATGTAACTCCCTCATCTGTTAGGTCAGGGGTCCCCATTCCCTAGATCGTGGATCCGTACTGGCCTGTCGCCTGTTAGGAAGCAGGCTGCACAGCAGGAGATAAGCAGTGGGTGGGCAAGCATTACCATCTGGGCTCCACCTCCTGTCAGATCAGCAGGCATTAGATTCTCACAGGAGTCGGAATCCTATTGTGAACTGCACACGGAAGGGATCTAGGTTGTGCCCTCCTTAAGAGAATCTAATGCCTGATGATCTGAGGTGGAACAGTTTCATCCCAAAACCATCCCCCATCCCCATCCATGGAAAAATCATCTTCCCTGAAACCAGTTCCTGGTGCCAAAAGGGTTGGGGACCGCTGTGTTGACTTATTAGATATCATTGGCCAAGAAAGTTTTCTCTTCTCCCCTTCAGCATTTTGGCCATGCTATCTGTGAAAGTACTCAATGAAATCAGTCAGTTGTATAAAATTAATATTTTTGAGAATTCATACCTTAGTGGTTAGGAACCCAGGATCTGGAGTCAGACTGCCTGAGTTTAAAGGTTTAAAAGCTGGCTCCTCCACCACCTAGTTTATGACCTTGGATAAGTTCTTTAGCCTCTGTTTTGTCACTTGTAAAATGAGGATAATAATGGTTCTTACCATTAATTCTCCATGTTGTGAATATGAAATTAGTCAATAATGTAGAGCTTAGAACATTGACTGGCATGTATGCTGGTAGTTACCCAGCTTTGCATAAACTACTGGCAGGGCACTCGGTGAGGTATTGGGAATACTAAGCTGAACAGGGTTCTTATAGCAGGAAGATAGGAAATTGATATTGAGCTAAACATTTGTCAGAAAGTATAGATTAATGATTGAGTGGGAACAGAAACCAAATAAACTTGGCAAAAACCTTGATATAAACCACTACCTTTGATTTATTTAAGGAAAAGTAGATTTAGCTCTTACTACCTGTATTAATGGGAAGAGCAGTGGTGCTGATAATCACAAACAGAAGATGATCTGAAATTCATTTCCATTTGGCTTTGAAAAGTCTGACATTATTATTCAGGGGCCATTTGTCTTAGTATGTCTTACTGAAGTCAATATTGAAATGATTTTTCATTTTATGAAGACAACAGTCCATGGTAGAAGGAAATAGCACACATCTTGGCAAGGAAAAGCCAATTTGGATCATTAATTGGTTGCAGAGAATTCACAAGTTATATAAATACAGACAGAGAAAAACAAGCATTAGTAAAATCTCTCAAGTGAAACGGTAATTCAATATGAGTGTAAAATCATTTCAATTGAAAAAGAGGGGTTAAAATCTAAGAATTTATTATATCATTGAATTAAACTAAATTCTTAATGTGAATGAATTTAAAGTTTATCTTTGTTTCACACAGGTTAGATTACAATCTTTGCACTGTCATAATATATGCTTTAAGGAGGTTGTTGAAATTAAGATAAAATAATATTGCAACAATTTGTTTTTTCTTTAACATCATCTAAACTCTATCTGCTATGGAATACAGAAAGAGGCACAGTTTCATATTGAGATAGCTTTCTAATATGATAGGATGAAAGATCGATGACAGAACTAAAGTATAGAATTTAAAAATTATAAGTTATGATATGTCATTTTTGTAACGTTCATTTAGGTGAAAAATCTTTTTGGAAATATAGAATGTAATGTTGATATAATTGTGATTTCCACTCAGAAGATTTGTGAATCTCTATTTATGCCAGCTATTTTATTTCTTTTTTCTTAGGCTTTTGTTGAAAACAAAACTTTTGTTGAAAATAGTGAAACATGATATGAATTTCCTGCCGTAGATATTTTCCACTTTTACCAAATAGAAATTTGAAGGGCCCAATGGAGAACCTGTCTAATAGATTTTCCTAATGGCTTTTTTCCTATTCATTTTGACTATATTAATTCATAGAATTGTCTTTACTAACAACAAACTCTAATAGTAAATCCACTTTAAAATATTTCTTGGTGATACTAAATGGTAGACTGCAAGGAAAAAAGAGTAATGAGACATGTAGTAATGCAAAATTCAATCAAGCATCTGTTTGTGATAGTGCAGGAGTGCAATGATATGGGAGTTGAAATGCATTTTATCATGAAAGGCATCAAAATTCAACATGAGATTTCTGAAACTTTTGAGGGAAATCCTGTCAAATGGGGGCCTGCTAACACAATACTTTCACCCTTACAATAAGCTATTATGTTTCATGCATTTAAACATTCCACTATTTTTTTTTCTGCCAGAAGCGTAGAATTCTGAACTCCAGCAGACAATGCACAGAAACCCAAAGATCAATGTGTTTCTAAAGGATTATATTGCTGTCAATGCTTCCCAGCCTGTTTATTTATTGTGAGAAACTTAACTCCTTCGAGCTTTTCAGTAATTCACCCCTTTTGTCCATGTCAAGATGAAGTGGTCTCTTGTTTCTAACAATGGACTATTTGATGATCACATCATCAAAGCCACTGGAAGTGCACAAAGCAAGGAGGCATGTCACACTGTGCAAATGGCCTTCAGCTTGACTGCCATGGCACCGCCACCATTGTGTCACATACGTGGCAAAGCCAGTGCCACAGAGGACACAGTCATCAGGACAGACCATCACCCAGGATGGGAGAATTCGCTTAAAATACAGAGTCCATGACCATACTCATGGGGACATATTTTACATTCATTATTGATAGCAGCAAACCATGAACAGAATTTTCAACCCTGCCTGAAAGATGACTTGAAATAAAAGGAGAGAATGGGAGAATATAATCAGAGAAGACTGTATTAAAGGACGATTCTTCCCCACAGGGAGAAGGCATATTTGATTTAGTAACAATTCCTCTTGGATTTTGCTTGCATTTGCTTCCTTTGTTCACGAGAATCTAGCAGTTTTAGGTACCATTGAGTCCTGTGTTTCAAGTTGGTAAATGAGGCCTGTTTTCTTAGAAAGTTGTATGCTAACAGTAAAAAAAAGGGGGAGGGGCATTGTACAATACTTTCCCTTGCTTTTATAAGAAAATCACTATCACAATTAGGCATTTCCTCTACACTCAATCTGTACAAAATCGATTTTATTTCTCACATTGTATTGTCATTTTCATGTAAATGTTCGTATCCTCCATTATCCTGTAAGTGCCTCATGGGCACATACAATGTCTCTCTCATTCCTTGTTTACTTAAAAAAAGGTTTGCAAATCTAATATTTGGACATGGTTAACAAAAATTAGTACAAAAGTATATACAATAAAAAAACAACTTTCCTTCTCACTACAGAATGACCGTCCTTTAGCCAGAAGAAATTACCATTGGTTTTCGTGTGCATGTTCTTCAAGAAATGTTCTGTGCATATAAAATGTTTATAACATGGTGGTATGTTACATGATCTTTCCTGAACACTGTTTATTTCCCTTTAACAGTATTTTTTTGCCTAACTTTTCACATGAGCCTATGATCTATGGATATGACATATTTTATTAACAAATTTCTTATGAATGAACATTTGGATGGTTTCCAGTTGCTTTTGTTACAAACAAGACCTCAATAAACATACTAATTACATTTTTATGTACATATATGAGTATAACTGGATGCTAAATTTCTAAAATAGAATTTCTAAGTTAAAAAAGGCTATCACTTAAATTTTGTAAGATATTTCTGAACCTCACTAAATTTTACTTCCATCAACAGTGTATGATAGTCTCTTTTTCCCATGACTTTGACAATGCTGTGTATCACCAAACATGATGACCTTTTCCAATCATGTAAGTGAAACATGACGTCTTATCTAAATCTGTGTTTTTTAAAGTAATGAATGAATTTGAGCATTTAAAAACATGTGTATATACTAGTTATATTTTATAAGGTATTTTGTAGTGTAATTGTGGTTAGTTTTAGAAAATATTACAAGAGTAGAATGCAAGGCGTATTCTTTGTCTTCAGAGTATAAAGTTCAATTCATCTTATTAAGTTACTTTAAGTCCTTTCTAGTCTCTTTTTTTCTGATCTGTTTGTCTACTTTTTCATGAACTGACTTTGGGAGTTAAAGCCTCTTACTATTATAATGTTTATCATTTTTCTTGTATTTCTTTATTATTTTGATTTATAAATTCTGATGTTATATTTATTGTGATAAATAGTTTATTGAACCACTTATTGATATAAGTTGTCTTTCTGGTCTTATTTAATGTTACCTACCTGAGTTTAGCAGTCTGATATTAACATTAAAATTCCTGATTTTTGTAATATTTTCCTGTAATACTTTCCTGTAATATTTTCCTGTAATATTTTACTTACACCTTCACTTGTAACATTTCAAACACTTTATTGTTTATATGTATTTTGTATATCCAACATAGTTGTTTTATTTTTATCTGTATGTTGTTTATATTGCCTGTATATCATTTATACTGAGATGTTAATGTTTATACTATTTACATTTGTATGTGGCATATGTATTTGATCTTTTTTTGCCATTTTGTTTTATGCCTTCTGTTTTCAATACTTTTTTAGATTTTAATATTTTGCTCTATTGATGTGTTTTGTTTGCTTTTGTGTGTCCATGCTTTTCCTACCATTTTAGAAGTTTGTTTTCTTTTTTTTCCTCAGTGGATTTATAACTTGATGTAATTTACTTAAATTTTTATTCCTTTATCAACTTTAGACAGCATCTATAAAAATGTAAATTTTTACTGCAAAAATGAAGAATTAATACACTATCTCACATTTCCCACTGAGATGAGGAATTCACCAAACTGTACCATTGGATTTTTGGTGGCTATAATGTATACATTACAGTATGTATGAACTTAGACAACTAATTTGAATGTGTATGACAGCTTCCATACACATTCAAATTAGTTGTACTTTTCCAAACAAGGGTTTATTAATAAGACTTCTTAGGAAGTTCAACCTATCTTTGGAGAACTCTGAGTTTTAGAGAACTCACTGCCTGAGATGATTAGAAGAAAACAATACATTTTCTTGTGGCTTCCTCCCTTGACCATGTCCAATTTGTTCTGCTCTCAGCAATACTTCTCCACAGATAGAAGATCTGGGTTATGGCTGTTGTCTAAGTTCATGAAAAGTAATGAAGCACAAGGGATCAAATATAGCTTACCAAGCCACATTTAAACTAAAGTCTATTTATTTGTCTACTTTTGGTGGCTAACACAAAGTTAATTCTTGGTTAACATTTGTTAAATTAAGAACAAAAGAGTCATCTCTAGAGATTCTGGAGTATATCCATACTGTAATGTATACTTTGCCAATAAGTAATTCCTATACTTGCTTTTTTATTTTTACAGTAAATGTCAGTTACCTTGTACCTATGATTCACAATGTTGTTTCTGAAATTATGTATCATTCTTGTATCTTTAAGATCAGAGTTAAAATTTGTGACAAATGAAATAATGTGGATTTGATAAAGGAGAGAGCTTCTCTTTGGTTAAGAAAGGAAGGAATAGGCTGGGCGCGGTGGCTCACGCCTGTAATCCCAGACACTTTGGGAGGCTGAGGTGGGCAGATCATGAGGTCAGGAGATCAAGACCATCCTGGCTAACACGGTGAAACCCCGTCTCTACTAAAAATACAAAAAAAATAGCTGGGCGTGGTGGCAGGCGCCTGTAGTCCCAGCTACTTGGGAGGCTGAGGCAGGAGAATGGCATGAACCCAGGAGGCGGAGCTTGCAATGAGCCGAGATCGCACCACTGCACTCCAGCCTGAGCGACAGAGTGAGACTCTGTCAAAAAAAAAAAAAAAAAAAAAAAGAAGGAATAAATATAAGGAAATACTAAATTACCTTTCACATTTGACCTTAGTCATCAACTAATATCATGGTTTATAACATCACATTAACTCATGTTAAAAAGATTCACTTCTAAAATTGCAGTAACATAGTTGCTATGGTTTGAATGTGTCCCCCAAAAAGCATGTGTTGGAAACTTAATCCCCAATGCAACAGTGTTGGGAGGTGTTTAGGTTATGAGGGTTCCACCTTCATGAATGAATTAATGCTGATTATAAAAAGCCTGGAGGTAGGGGGAACCAGGGGACAGAGAGATATTTGTTAAAGGATACAATATTATAACAAGGTAGGAATAATCAGCTCTAGTGTTCCATAGCACTATAGGATGACTATAGTTAACAGTAGTATATTTTTGCAAATAGCTAGAATAGAGGATATTGAAAGTTCCCAGCCCAAAGAAGTGATACATTTTTGAGATAATGGATATGTTTTATTCCTTGATTAGATCAATACACATTGTACGTATCAAAACATCACTGTGTACCTTATAAATATACACAATTAGTATGTGTTAATTAAACATTTTTTAAAATCTTTTTGGGGCAGGGTTGGGGAGGTAGCTTATTAAAAATGCAGGTACTGGCCCCATCCCTAGTGAGTCTGAGAGATTTCGTGGCTGGAGGACAGAGGAGATGGGCTGGAACTGTAGAACTGAGAGCAGAGGTGATTCTGGTTGTGAAAACAGATTCACAGACTAGTGCCTAGGCCAGAAAGGCATTGAAGAAGAAGGCAGGAAACAGACAGGAGACAGGTTCTGCACTCATGTTAAGGAAGGAGGAATGTTAAGGAGGGTAGGTTTTTGTTTCTGGAGGAGTTTGCAGAACTAGGCAGCCCTAAATTATGTGAATATTTTTTCTACCCATACCTTTGAGGTAATATTTAATAAAGTTAAATATTTCAATCTAGAGGGTAGACCTAAGGGGACTTTGATCATGACACTCAAGAAATGAGATGGTTATCACTTCAGATTTATGGAGAAGTGATAGTTGTTACCCTCAAGCTCTAATGCTGCTTCTGCAGCCAGTTTTGATACTATGTGAGCCCCAGGTGTCAGAGCATCCTTCACCATATACTACAGCTTGGCCTCACTTTTTACAATGAGAAGATGGGTATGTTAATTCGTTCCACTATAGTAACCATATATATATGTATATATGGATATACACATATATATGTAAGATAAATAAGATGAATGCACTGTTATATATAAATACATATTTATGTTTCTTATAACGTCATCTTGTATATCTTAAATATACACAATAAAATTTATTTTTAAATAATGTTAATATAAACTAAAACTTCTAAGGCCCCCAACCATCTGAATGGACTCCTTCCTTGGTCAGGCACTGCAAAATGTAACCTGAAAGACTGGTTCAGGCAGTGATAAAAAGCGGGGGTCAGATATGCCTCATTATACCCCTCTAGCATTAACATCAAACAGACTTAAGTCTGATAAGAAACATATACAATTTATTCTCTCTGAAGCCTGTTACCTGGAGGTAGCATGATAAAAGTTTTATCTTAAGGATAAAACTTTGGTCGCCACAACCTCTTTCAACCAATTGCAAACAGAAAAATTTTAAATCTACATATAACCTGGAAGTCCTCCCCACCTTCAAGTTGTCCCACCTTTTGGACTGAACCACTGTATATCTTGTGTATTTTATTGATGTCTCATCCCTAAGATGTATAAAATCAAGCTGTGCCCTGACCACCTTGGGCACATGTTCTCAGAGTCTCCTGAGGGCTGTATCATGGGCCAGGTTCACTCATATTTGGTTCAGAATAAATCTCTTAAAACATATTACAAAGTTTGACTCTTTTTATTGACATTAAATAAATCAATTAAATTGAAGGCTTAAGGCTGTGGCTGCAAATTTGATCTCTTGCTCCCTCTTGCCCTCTCTTTGCCCTTCTGCCAAGTTATGATGCAGCAAGATGGTCCTCACCAGATGCCAGGGCCTGATTTTGGGCTCCCCAGCATCCAGAAGTGTGAGAAATCAAGTTCTATTATTTATAAGTTACCCAGTCTCATGTGTTCTGTTATAGCAGCACAAAATGGACTAAGGCAACATATAACTCATTTAATATATTTTTAACTGTTTTGTTGTTTGTTTTACAATTTAAACACAAAATGTTTACACTTCACACATCGATCTTCCACCCTCACCCTCCTATGCACATACACACGCGCACACACACACACACACACACACATTTGTCTCTAATTATTCCTTTTCTTAATACACTGATTTAACCACAGGAATCTTGACAAAAGTACGCTAGCAAAAGGGTCTGTGAGTCTGAAGGGCTTTATTGTTCTTTTCCCAGTAGTTATTTTTAACAATATATTTAACTAATAATCAAATAGAGGAGTCAAAGACAAGGAAAGTAGTCTCCTAAATCCTCTTTTCCAATGTTGGTCTTTCTGCCTGATGAAAGGGCCATATGTAAGTGCCCACTGTAATATGCAACCACTCTAATTTTCCTGCCCTAAACCTTGAACCAAATGCTTTTTAATTATTATTCTTTTTGCTAATTAACACTGTCCCCCATTACACCCCCATTAATTTCTTATGCTCATAGGCACCAGCAAAAGGCTTTGTAGGAGATTTTGCCTTAGGTATATTTGTCCCTCTAATAAGAGAACCTCTTTTTTATTCTGGGGACAGAGGATGGTGGGGAGAGAGAGAAAAAAAGACACATAAGAAAGAGAAAGAAACACATGAAAGAGAATTTAAAAAACTTTTTGTTAAATGCATTGCCTACATGTTGATGTCTATTACCAGACATTTAATTCTTCTCTACTCCATCTTGTATCAACCTCTGAAAATTTCAAATAAGAAAACTAGACCTTGGTTCATCGTATGGAATGGGAATCTACTAACAACTTGCTCTTTTCTTCTTTTCTTTTCTTTTCTTTCTTTTCTTTTTTAAGATGGTGTTTCACTCTTGTTACCCAGGCTGGAGTGCAATGGCACGATCTCGGCTCACTGCCATCTCTGCCTCCCGGGTTCCAGCGATTCTTCTGCCTCAGCCTCCTGAGTAGCTGGGATTACAGGTGCTCACCACTGTTCCCGGCTAATTTTTATATTTTTAGGAGAGACAGGATTTCACCATGTTGACCAGGATGGTCTCAAACTCCTGACCTCAGGTCTCAAACTCCTCACCTTGGCCTCCCAAAGTGCTGGGATTACAGGCGTGAGCCATCTCACTTGTCCTGCTCTTTTCTTTTAAGGTGAAAACATTTATAGATAGGTTGGCACTAAATCTTTCAGATGGTAATTTGGCTACAAGCATCAGATACTTTAGACTTTTGTGTGTCCCTTGAGTCATAAATGGCACTTTTAAACATTTTTCCTAAGGAGATAATTAAAGCTAAACAAATGTGTTATAGTACTGTCTTATTAATACTGAAAAATTAGAAGCAACATAAATATCCAGAGAGACATCACTAAATAAATTATATGGTAAATATATAGAAGAGACTAATAAAAGCTATTACAAATATAGAAGAATATTTAATAACATTTAATGATAAAGAAAACTGTTCAATGAGAAAAGATTTCAAGACAGAACACACAGTGTGATCTTTGTGTTGTTTGTTTAAGGAGAACAAAATGTTATTTGTTCCTGTCTCTGGAAGGCAATTTTATTTTCCTTTATCTGGATTAAAATAATTCACAATGGGTATGTACTGAATTGGTAAATAAAAATAATTATAAATAGTCATTGAAAAAAATAACAAATAAGATGAATGCATTAGGGTTTATAACATATTCTAAGCACAGGTAAATAATTTTCTCTTATGTTTTAACCAGTTTATCACCCCCAACAAATGTTTACCAGTCTTACAATTGATTTGACAGTACAGACTATCCTGTACTTCTGATGGTTTGACTTAAGATTTTTCAGCTTTTACGATGGTGCAAAAGCAATACACATTCAGTAGTAACTGTACTTTGAGTACTAATACAACCATTCTGTTTTTCACTTTCAGTACAATATTCAATGAATTACATGAGATATTTAATGTTTTATTATAAAATTAACTTTGTGTTAGATGATTTTGCCCAACTCTAGGCTAATGTAAGTGTTCTGAGCACATATAACATAGGCAAGGCTATGCTATGATGTTTGGTAGGTTAGATGTATTAAATGCATTTTTAACTTCTTATGATATTTTCAGCTTCCAATGGGTTTATCAGGATGTAACTCCATCATAAGTTGGGGAGCATCTGTATGTGCTCTAAATCATGAGTCCTATGAAGCATCATCAATCATAATGCTATGGGGATACAGAATCACTTTTATATAAGCTTTTGGAAGCTGTTACCTCTCTCTCAATGACCTAAGGTTCCATGTCCTTTCTTGACCCTGTAATTGCCTTCTTGAGAGTTTAATTAAAATTTTTGTCAAGTCCATAAAACGAATATCCCTGAGACCCTTTTAGAGAACCTCCATTGAAGCCTACTGGGTTATTTCCCTGATGATCAGAATAGTTTAGTAGGTTTAAAGATAAATGTTAGCTTTTACATTCCCAATGACATACAATAAGACCAAAATTTGCACATCCAAATTTTGACCTTTGCTGCTAAAAAAGTAAGTATTCGAACCTTTTGGGTTGATTGCCATTTATTAAAAGTTTGTAAAGATCACAATGCCAGACATCTAAGAAATGATTCAAATTCAAGCATTTCTATACAATGCATTCCACTTTAGGCATACATGCTTATAGCCAAGCCAAAATCAAACTGTGCTCTTGGTATGAGGGCTAAGGCTCAAGTCAAACTGCTATTTGCCTCTCTGGGTATTCTCTAACCTGGACATCCCACAGATGGATCTCTGCTGGGTCAGAGAGCACTCACCAAATGTTCATGGGATTCCTTTGCAAATTGTTATTAATCTGTACTGTTTCTCCTCTGATTGGACATAAATCTATGGCAGGAGCTTAGGTTTTTCATTCCAGCCTTGAAGGATGTCTAGTTCTTCCTGAGTTTGTATTGAGGTAGAATTCCACTTTTTGCATAACCCTTTTGGTTTCTGAATGAAGCTTTGATGTAGGAGAATTCAAAGCCCTGCAATGGAAAGTGCCAAGTTATCATGAGACTGGACTTTCTGCATTTCATATTGCTGTTTCACAAAAATTTCATGATACTAAGGAAAAACAAATAGCAAATCCTTGGGGCATTATATCTGTGTGGACATGATAATGAATTACATTCTAAAGTAAGCTTTTAGCTGTGGACTAACTAAAAAAAAGCCTAGCCCCATCTGATTGATGCACTGAAGGATTGTGAACGAATCTTTTGCTTTCAAAAGTGATAAATGACCATACTCTGTTTTAATTTAAGCCATGGAAATACATTTTTTTTTTTTTTTAGTTTTTATGGGAAGATATTTCCTTTTTTTTTTTTTTTATACTTTAAGTTTTAGGGTACATGTGCACATTGTGCAGGTTAGTTACATATGTATACATGTGCCATGCTGGTGCGCTGCACCCACTAACTCGTCATCTAGCCTTAGGTATATCTCCCAATGCTATCCCTCCCCACTCCCCCCTCCCCACCACAGTCCCCAGAGTGTGGTATTCCCCTTCATGTGTCCAGGTGATCTCATTGTTCAATTCCCATCTATGAGTGAGAATATACGGTGTTTGGTTTTTTGTTCTTGCGATAGTTTACTGAGAATGATGATTTCCAATTTCATCCATGTCCCTACAAAGGATATGAACTCATCATTTTTTATGGCTGCATAGTATTCCATGGTGTATATGTGCCACATTTTCTTAATCCAGTCTATCATTGTTGGACATTTGGGTTGGTTCCAAGTCTTTGTAAACTAGTTCAACCATTGTGGAAGTCAGTGTGGCGATTCCTCAGGGATCTAGAACTAGAAATACCATTTGACCCAGCCATCCCATTACTGGGTATATACCCAAAGGACTATAAATCATGCTGCTATAAAGACACATGCACACGTATGTTTATTGCGGAAATACATTTTTTAAAAACGCAGTATAGATTACATGTGATTCTAAATCTGTGCAGCACATTCTTTGATAGCAGAAGCAAAGATGATGCCATGTATTGAAAAGTAATAAGACCATTGAACAAGGTATCTGAAAATAATTGCAAAGAAATAAAAGGTTAACAGAGGTATCCAACCCTTGTTTCTCTTGGGTTTGTCTTACTAATTTAAGCAACTGTTTTGATGCCTTGATCAGAGATAAATGAAATCACATTGCTTAAAATAGAAGTGATTTATTGCCCAGCAGTGTCTTGACATAAAAGGATTCAGCCATTATTTCATATATGTTGGATGAGAAAAACAAGAAAAAAAAGTATAGAATCATGCAGTTTGTATGCATTTTAGACTCTTTCAAGAAAATAAAGCAGCAGTCTGACTTAAGCAGTATAAGAACATTTACTTACATTTATTTTAATGACAATTTTAATAAATATTGTGAACCTTATTCTTAGGCTGCATATTTTGCTTTTTAATATTTTAGAACTTTTATTGTAGTCTGAGACCAGCAGGTACCGAGAAGAGATGGAGAACATTAACATTTTTCTCTTGGCTTTGCCATCATACCCTACGAAAAATGGCTGCTGTATGAAAGGAAGATAATTCACTTTAGACTGGAAGCTCCCACAGGGTAAGGATAATTTTTTTACATACAATATGTCATATGGCACCATATATATATAATATATTTATATATTTATATATTATAAATATATTTATATTTACACAAGTTACATAAAATAATAAAAATTAAACTTTTCAATATGCAAATTTCTTCTATTATTAAAAGAAAAGGAACAGTTGAAATGTTAATCATTACAAATTCCCAGTAATACAAAATGGGTCCTTTTAATTCTAGTGTTGAACTAAGGAGCAAGAACCTTTGGCATATTCAAGAAGAAAGAGTGAATCCAGCATTTATTCTGCAAGGCAATTTCATGTCCATAATTTTAGGAAGCCATAAAAGTCATTAAACATAGAAGTTCTACTTTAGGCTCCCAGTTTCTGTTCTGGCACATAAGGAGCTTGTAAATCGCCATTCCATTCTTAAAAGGGTAAAAAGCTAAACAAACTGAAAAACAACAACTCTTCTCAGATCTGTCAGAGAAGTAAGTCCACAGGGCAAATCACTGCTCCCAAAACTGGAGAGACAGACAGGGGGATACAGAGAATCACGATTTACTGAAGCAGAAACCCAGGAATAGGAACCTCTACAGGAACCAGTGTCAAGGTGGGAAAGCCTAAACTATAATTGACAAATCGCTGGCGGCTCAGTATGGACAAGTTTGAGAGCTGGAAACTCCAGTGGGGGGCTCAGTCATGGGGATCCTCAGTGCTTCTGAGAGTTTTACCTTCAGGAGCTGGACCTGGTCCTCACAGTGAATATTACAGAAAAAAAAAAAATCCACTCTTGCTAGGAGGAGAAAAAATGGCCATTTTGAAATATTCCAGAGCATTCTGTTCTGCTTTACAAGTCCTGCCTACAGGACAAACTATCTTATCAGACCCTAACCTGCTGGGGTTTTATCACAGCTAAACTGATGTGGGGAAAGGAAAATATCCAACTCCAGCCCCCTGTAGCCATCCTGTCTCACCTAAGAGGGATGGGTATACTAAACAGCACCTGTGAAGTTCACAGCTCAAGGGTACAGGCTTACCAAAAGATGGAGACTAATAAACACCAGGACTATAGAATGCTTCCCCTCCCCCTACACCTTACTACTACTTTACTAAAGGTTTATTTATTACATTTTCTTCACCCAGTACATCATGCCCACCTTTCAGTAAAAAATTACAAGGCATTTGAAAAGGAAAAATACAGTTTGAAGGACCAGAGCCAGAGTCAAATATGTAAGGAATGTTGGAATTATCAGACCAGGAAATTTTAAAAAACCTAATTAATATGCTAACGCTTTTAATGGAAAAAGTAGGCAACAATGCAAGAACAAATGGATAATGTAAGCATTTGCTGCTGTTAAGAATGCAAAATGGTGCAGCCACTTTGGAAGACAGTTTGACAGTTTCTTACAAAACTAAACATACTCTTACCATATGATCCAACAATCATCCTACTTGGTATTTACCCAAATGAGATGAAAACTCATATCCATACAAAAACCTACGCATGGATGTTTATAGCGGCTTTATTTATCATTGCCAAAACTTGGAAGTAATCAAGATGTCCTTTGCAGGTAAATGGATAAATAAACTGTGGTACATGTAGACAATACAATATTATTCAACACTAAAAAGCAGTGAGCTATCAAGCCATGCAAAACTTGGAAAAAACATAAATACACATTAGTAAGTGAAAGAAGTCGATCTAAAATGGATATATACTGTATGATTGCAACTGTAAAACATTCTGGAAAGACAAAACTATGGAACTAGAGAAAGGGTCAGTCATTATCAGATGTGTAGGAGGAGGAAAAATACAGAGAATTTTTAGACAGTAAAACTATTCTGTGTGATACTACAGTTGTGGACACATTTCATTTATACATTTGTCCAAACCTGTAGAATGCACAACACAAACAGTGAACCTTAATATAAATTATGGACTTTGGGTAATGAAGGTGTGTCAATGTAGGTTCATTGATTGTAGCACATGTACCATTGTGGCAGGAAATATGGATGGGGGAAAGTTGTGCATGTATAGGGAGAGAAGGTAAATGGGAACTCCCTGTACTTTCCACTCAATTTTGCTGTGATCCTAAAACCTTTCAAAAAATAAAGTTTATTATTATAGTTAAATATGATATTTCACTTATATAAGATCATCTCTGTATTAAAAATAATATTTATTGTTTTTATAGCAGCATTATCCCAAAAAGGTTGGAATCTTTCCAGAAATTATCTGATGGACTTTAAACGTTTCCATCCTTATTTCTTTAATGTGGTCAGCTACTAGAAATGCCAGATGACACCCATAAGATGGAAGGCAAAGTTGTTTAAACAGTGCTCCCCAGAAAGTTCATCTTAGAGCTGCATAGGTTAAATTAGGATTTGGGACTACCAATCTTATTCTTTCCATGTTTACACCCATGACCCTATTCTGTAAGAATTTATTGCACGACATGTCAGCACAGCAATGTATTTATGACATTTTGCTATTTCTAGGAAATCACATTTATGTCTCTTCTTTCTTGATCCTTCAAGAATGATAATTTTGGTAAATTCTAGCTTCAACAGATTATCTCAGTTACTCTTAAGCTATTTTATGTTATTTTCCAGCAGGTAGCACATTCACTTGGAGTTTTAAAATATTGTACACTGCACATGCTGTGACAATTCTATGAGGAAAAATCAAGTCAATATCTTTCCTTTTCAAGCAAATAAACTAGACTCAATGAGATGAATTACCTTGATCAAGATCACACAAGGTATCAAAACTGGAAATCTGTCAACAGTCTTGTCAATTTCACATTGTCTCTTGTTTCTATATGGTTCTCAAAATGATTTACCAATTTAGAGTACATTCCTTTCAATCCTAGAAAGAATTTGAGGTAGCCACAATAAAAGCCGCTTCCACAGCACTGCAAAAATAGACAATAAAGATAGTAAGGTACAGAGAGAAGGTAAGATAAATAAATACAGAGACTTAAATAATGACTGTGACTAACCATTAAGTTGAGATGAGATTTCCTTAATTATAATGGCAAAATCTTCTGCGCATTATAAAGCAATGCTACTTGGAAGAGGTAGCATGGTTTGTGCATGGTGGGGTGAGAGGAAAAGGAGAGGAGTTCAAGAAAGGATGGAATGATCCTCTATATCCTAGTAGAGATAAGTCAAATCAACATCTTTAAGTTCTACTTAAGAATGTAGCAAGCTGCCTATTCTAATCAGAAAAGAAGTGGGGATGTACAAGCATCCTTCTCCACTTTTGCATGCTTCAGGTGGCAAGATGCTGAGAACAGCTGTGAGTAAAAATGTCAAGAAGAAATCCACCACAGCCAGAGGATTTGGATACTGGCTGATCATATTCAAAAGCGCTGGGTTCACCAGCCAGCTCTGTCACTGGGTAAGGGGACACTACATTCACTGCCTCTCTGAGCAGCTACTGATTGTCTCCGATTCCTCTGAGGTTTCCCTCGAATAACTTGCTTTCCCTTCGCCTCTGAACTGATTTCTAACAATGTAGAGCTCTGACTACAGAAGTGGTGAGTCTGGTTTTTAAAAATGAATAATTCAGGATGTGAACAGCCAAGCAAATGTTTTCCTGGAAGGCATCACCTTGTGTAGTAACACCATTATTCTAAGAGATGCTGTCTTGGCTTAAATCAGTCTGCCTTTAAAACCAGTAACAGTCACAAAGGAAATTTGTATTGCATTATGTAATATAGTAATACTTCATGTATGTTGCTTTATTGAGCTTCTCAGATACTGCATTGTTGTTGTTGTTTTATCCAATTGAAGGTCTGTGGCAATTCTGCATTGCGCAAGTCTATTGGTGCCATTTTCCAACAGCGTGTTCTCACTTTATAACTGTGTCACATTTTGGATATTCTTGCAATATTTCAAATTTTTTATTATAATTATATCTGTTATGGTGATCCGTGATCAGTGACCTTTGATATTACTATTGTAATTGTTTTGGGGCACCACAAACTATGTGGATAGATGATGAACTTAATCAATGAATGTTGTATGTGTTCGAACTGCTACAACTGGCAGTTCCCTTGATTTTCTCCCTCTCCCTGAGCCTCCCTATTCCCTGAGACACAACAATATTTAATTAGGCCAATTAATAATCCCACAACGCTTGTAAGTGTTCAAGTGAAAGGAGGAGTTGCATGTCTCTTGCTTTAAATTAAAAGCTAGAAATGATTAAGCTTAGTGAGGAAGGTGTGTTGAAAGCCAAAATAGGCTGAAAGCTAGGCCTCTTGTGCCAAACAGTTAGCCAAGTTGGGAATGCAAAGGAAAGTCCTTGAAAGAAATTAAACGTGCTACTCCAGTGAACACATGAGTGATTTAAAAAGTGAAAGAGTCTTATTGCTAGGAGAGAGAAAGTTTGAGTGGTCTGGGTAGAAGATCAAACCAGCTACAACATTCCTTTAAGCCAAAGCCTAATCCAGAGCAAGTCCCTAACTCTCTTTAGTTCTGTGAAGGCTGAGAGAGGTGAGAAAGCTGCAGACCAAAAGTTGAAGCTAACAGAGGTCCGTTCATGAGGCTTAGGGGAAAGAAACCATCTCCATAACACATAAGGGCAGGGTGAAGCAAGAAGTGCTGACGTAGAAGCTGCAGCAAGTTATCCAGAAGGTCTAGCTAAGATCACTGATAAAGATAAATACACTAAACAACAGATTTTCAGTGTCAGTGAAACAGACTTGTATTGAAAGAAGATGCATCTAGGACTTTTATAGCTAGAAAGGGAACATCAGTGTCTGGCTTCAAGTTTTCAAAGGACAGGCTGACTCTGGTTAGGGGCTAATGCAGCTGGTGACTTTAAGTTAAAGCCAATGCTCATCTACTATTCTGCAAATCCTAGTACCTTTAAGAATTATGCTAAATCTAGTCCTCCTGTGCTCTATAAATGTAACAGCAAAACCTGGATGATGGCGTATCTGTTTACAGTATGGTTTACTGAATATTTTAATTCCACCACTAAGACCTACTGCTCATAAAATAATATTCCTTTCAAAATATTACTGCTCACTGACAATGTACCTAGTCACCCAAGAGTTCTGACAGAGATGTACAAGGATATTAATGTTGTTTTCATGGCTGCTGGTACAATATCCATTCTGTAGTCTATGGGTCAATGATCAAGTCCAACTTCAAGTCTTTTTATTTAAAAAAATGTATTATAGAGTTATAGCTGCCTGGAAAAGATTCGTCATTCTAGATGCCATGAAGAACAATTGTGATTCATGGGAGGAGGTGAAAATACTAACATTAATAGTAGTTTGGAGGAAGTTGATTTCAGTCCTCATGGATGACTTTGAGAGGTTTAAGACTTCAGGGAAGGAAGTAGCTACAGATGTCATAGATATAGCAAGAGAACTAGAATTAGAACTGAAGACGTCACTGAATTGCTGCAATCTAATGTTATAGCATGTAAGGAGTTACTTTTTATGGATGAGCAAAGAAAGTGATTTCTTGAGAAGAAATCTACTCATAAAGATGCTGTGACCATTGTTGAAATGACAATAAAGGATTTAGAATATTATATAAATTTATTCTTAAAGAAGTGGCAGAGTTTGAGAAGATTGACCCCAATTTTTGAAAGAAGTTCTACTATGGGTAAAATGCTATCAAGCAGCATCACATGCTACAGAGAAATCTTGCATGAAAGGAAGAGTCAATCAATGCAACAGATTTCATTGTTGTCTTATATTTAGAAAACATCTCAGCCACTTCAACCTTCAGCAACAACCACCCTGATAAGTCAGCTACCATCCACATTAAGGTAAGATCGTAAACTACCGAAAAGATGATTTGTCGAAGGCTCAGCAGTTTTTAGCAATAAAGTATTTTTAATTATGTTCATTTTTAGATATAATGCTATAATGCACATAATGCACACTTAATAGGCTATAGTATTGTGTAAACATAACTTTAATATACACTGGAAAACCAAAACATTTGTGTGACTCACTTTATTATGATAGTATCTTTATTGCAGTGATCTGGGACCTGCAATATATCTGAGGTATATGCCTGTATGTAAAGTTGCATGACAGTGTTTTAATAGATTGTGCTTAGTCTTTAAGCTTTCACTTAATGGCAATGTGGCTTCTTAATATTTATGATATTTAATACTGATTTTTGTCTTAAAAGTGTCTAAAACATTTAGTGAGTTACATAATGTTTTTATATTGGCTCACGCCATCAAAAACTTTCAGTGGGAACCTATCTTACATGTACCATGTGCTGATGTCAAAGAGAAGTGAGTTTTCTCACCAAAGGAAAAATGCTCTTTTAACAACAAAAAGGCATTTTTCTATTAATTAATATACATGGTTCCTCACTCTGGGTTTAAGGGTATTCATTGGCAATCATCTTATACTTTTCTCTAAGAGGGAAAAGAGCAATATTGTAAGCCTCTGTATCTTTTTTCTTGCACTGTTTTCTCCCTTTCTCCACTTTATAAATAATGCATCGTTCCTGAAGTCCAACATTTCAGAGCCTGTCAAGGGTCTCTCTCAATATCGCAGGCAAGTAAGAAAAATCTAGCCTTTCATTCTGGTGTTTTAAGATTACCTTTTTTGAATGGCTTAACTCTAGTTTGTTTTCTGCCAGAAGTAAGATCTACCTGCAGTAAAAATAAAATATTCAGTACACTTTATTTTTACTTAATTTGCAGCTGAAACCAAGGATAAAGGCCAACCATTGCTATTTATCAATGCCCAGCTAATTAGTGAGTAAAAAGATGAAAGTGAATCTTTTAAAAACTAGTCTAATATGAAGAAAACAACAGTTAACTGAGCTCTTATAACATAGTCGTCTATTTTTAATGGCCTCTGTTAATTAGGCATGCATCCTGGGAAAAGTCTCCAGTGGGCTCTAATAAAGTTAAGGAACACTGTCTGTGTATACTTATAAACAATTGATTAAATAGCTTTGTGCATCAGTGCATTTTTTTTTCTGATTGGCAATTCATAAATAAATCCTCATGCAAAGAGTTTATATATTAAAGGGAATCTGGGACCTTTTAGTAAAGTCATCCTCCAACTCAGTGTTTCACAGGAAAGCCACTAGAGAATAGAACTCCTCCAGGGCCAAATAATTCATTGGATGATCTATTAACAAAAGAGGGAATCCAATTTCCATCATCTATTCCTGGTAAAATGAGTATATCAGAAATATATACACTTGAGGAGACCCAGTTCATGGCATTTTCCTTACTTGAATGGATAAACTCTGTGGACATCAATTTTCCTAGACATAAAATGAACAAGTAGGAGAAAAGCTGCTCTCAGCTCCTTTCCAGCTCCTCTATGGTATAAGTCAATATCAGTGGCTTGGGTAGAGACCTTGTAACCCCTGCTTGAACAATCAGAAATCAAGGTTGTGGTAAACTAGTAATGTGCTGAGGCAGCTCATACAGACTTATGAGAGCCAATTGTTAAATTTTCCAGAATTTCACGAACCACTTGTTAAACACAGCCATTATTAAAATTATTATAGCTAGGTGTGGTGGCTCACACCTATAATCCTAGCACTTTGGGAGGCCGAGGCTGGTGAGTCACTTGAGCCCAGGAGTTTGAGCCCAGCTTGGGCAACATAGTAAAACCCTGTCTCTACAAAAAATAGAAAAATTAGCCAGGGTAGTGGTGCACACCTGTAATCCTAGCTATGTGGGAGGATCACTGGAGCCCAGGATGTTCAGGTCACAGTGAGCTGTGATCACACCACTGCACTCCAGCCTAGTGACAGAGTGAGACCCTGTCTCAAAAAAAAAAAAAAAAAAAGAAAAAAGAAAAAAATTAAAGTATTTGCTACCTTTTACTATTAGCTATGTCCTTGAGGTTAGTTGCATCTATTGTATCTGTAGTGTGAAAATGCTGTATAATGGTGAGCTACTCAGCATCTCTTTCTTACTCTGCATTCAGGGATGACATGTTGGAAGCTTGAAATTACCCACGGTGGGAGGATTTACACTATAGGAACAGTTAGGTGCTACATATCAGTGCCTTCTAATTTTATTTTATTTTATTTTATTTTATTATTTTACTTTATTTTTGAGATGGAGTCTCACTCTGTCGCCCAGGCTGGAGTGCAGTGGTGCCGTCTCGGCTCATTGCAGCCTCCACCTCCTGGGTTCAAGCGATTCTCCTGTGTCAGCTTCCCGAGTAGCTGGGACTACAGGCATGCGCCACTGCACCCAGCTAATTTTTGCATTTTTAGTAGAGATGGGGTTTCACCATGCTGGCCAGGCTGGTCTTGAACTCCTGACTTCAAGTGATCCGCCCGCCTTGGCCTCCCAGAGTGCTGGGATTATAGGCGTGATTATCTGGCTTTTAAAAATTTTTTAGTGAGTTGGTTTTTCAACATTTACCAGCATACCACTGAGGTCACTGGGCTGAGACCAAGCAGAGGGAGCAGTGGATTTAAGTAAGGGAATCAGAGTCCCACCATAAAGCAGACTACACAGATGTCTCTATAGGGCGAATTCCACATGAAATATTTTTGCCTAGGCAGATGGGCTCCTATATTCTCTTTAGCCTGATGCAAGTTGGGTCCTGTAAGGAGAGATGGAAGGAAGGAGAGTTGGATAAGCAGAATCTTAGACTGAAAAAGCAGTTCTAAGGTAGTTTAGGTCAGGTCAAAGTGGAGTCTTTTAGCCAAAGTCACCCATCAAAGGGGTCCTGCACCTCACAAAAATAGGCCTTCCTTAATTTTCCCCTGTGCTCAATCATTGCCTGAGAGCAGCCTGTTGAAAGTGTAGTCCTGGTGCAAATGTGGTGTAGGCAGCCACAAGGGCAAAGGTAGAGATGAGAGAAGTTCAGGGAAGAAGATGGTGGGGGCTGGAGGGAGAATGAAGACCAGCAAATAGACCAACTTGGCTGTAATGGAGGACTCATAGAAGCAAAGAAGGGAAATGTTGAATGTAACATTTCTCATTAAAATGCATTGCTTAGTGTCACCTATTGACACATATAATGAAAATGCTCTTGACACACAAAAACTCTAAAGCTGGGGCTCTTAGCTTTGTGGATAAGTATCAAAGACCTGACTTGAGCCTTGAAGTAAAAGAAAATATTTTTCTAAACAGACAGGCTCTTTTTATCCTATATCCCTTTAGGTTACCAGCTTCCTCAATTTGCAGCTCTCATTCTGAATTATTGCAACTGTAGGATGTGAAAGGAGAATATTTCCCCGTCACCTAAGATGAATGCTGAGGAAGAACAAAGCCAAATTTGGCATTGACAAAGTAAGAAGAAGCCATTATTCATTTATTCAATCAATCAATATTTATTGAGCCTTTGCCATGTGCCAAACAGCAGTAAACCATACAGAAAAGATCTTACCCTCATGGAGCTTACATTCTAGTTAGAAAGGCAAACAATAAATGAATAAACAAAATAATAATACATCTTTAAATACTAAGCCTCGCGCAGTCAATCAAGCAGGGTAATAGGATACAGAATGATAGTCCTATACCACACAGGTGATCAAGAAAGGCCTTCCTCCAGAAGTGATGACTGAGCAGCAGGCAACATTAGAGCTTTTCCCTTTCCTGTTGAAAACTATAATTTTACTCTCACTATGCTGGTTTCCTTTGCTAAGAAAAACTGCATCTCACCTAACATAGCCTCCACTTTATATTGACTCCATTCTCTATTTACCACCTGCTCGAAAGCTAATATGTATTATAGATACACACATTGAAGCAGAATAGCCTGTACTAGTTTCTTAGTTCCAAGAGCATTTGTTAAAAAGAATCCTCCTAATATTTTTCAGGATGACAAAAAATAATTTTTAAATGGTAATGACTAGAATCTCACAAATGTGTAAACAAGATCGTGGGGATTTTTTTTCAATGTTTACTTTCTTCTTTAAAAACAATAGTTTCTTTTATGTTTCCCCCTCAAAGCATAAGGGTAAAAAATAAACAAGTTCTTATACGTTTAGATATATATGACTTAAGCATTATTTTCTTGAATTGTTAAATTCTATTCGGTTTTGGAAAATTTGTTAATATACAAAATATCGGGGCCAGAAAAACTAAAACTCTTTTCTTTATTGTTACACTGAACATTAGATAACTATCTAATATTTAGATATTTAAGTTGGGGCAAAATAAGTATTTTGGCTTGCCTCTACATTCGCATGTTGATATACTAATTAAATCATTATACTCAGTCTTATTGTCAAGCCAGGTTTACCAACCATCCATACAAACTAGGTAATAAGAAAGATGATCTCCTTCCCATTAACTATAAAATCAATCCTACAACATGACTTTAAACATTGGAATGTGATAACAAATGCTAGCTCTGTCATTCATAATCCTTTGTAACATGATGGCTAGAATTCAAGCATTGAAACCAGTGTTGAGCCTCCAGAAGTGCGTGTGATGTGTAATGGCTACTGTGTCAGTACACTTTGACTTCCTACAGTCTCTCAATTCTTCACCTTAATTTCAGTATGTATGGAATCTACAGTTCCCTTCCAAACACTTGGGAAGCAATGTCTCAAGCTGCTGATCATGATTGGCCTCCAGAGAAGACTGTTTTTGTTTGTTCTTCTAATTGTCCCTAATGTCCAAGATGCAGGTAAAGCAAAGCTGGTCTGTACAGCCAGTTAGAAGCCTACAAAATGGAAAAGCTCAAATGTTAATTCAGTCGTGTATTCTCCGTTTTGTGGAGTGTTCAGCAGAGGTTACAAGAAATCAATGGACTTCAAGTTCTGGTCTTAGGTATTTAAAGATTATCTGTTCCATAAACCTCTCCATTATATTCCAATCATTGAATATACCATGGTGGATTAGCCACTGTGTGGCATATTTGGATTTTTCTGTTTCTTAATCTTCAGTATAAAAAAGTCCAGGTCATCAACATAGAAGGAAGTACAGCATGCCATAGGCCAAGAGCCACACAAGGCTTCCAAAATTTTCAGGTTGAATTTTTTTTCTGATTCTTTAATAGCAATTCAATTAATCCAGATAAACAGGAGCATCTGTCTCACCAGTCCATCCTGGCCAGATTATCCAGTGCCAGTCCATCATGTAGGTTCCTTCTCTTCTTCCTGTTGCCACTGTCTCTGTCTGGTCTAAACTAGTTGGGGTCAGAGATTTGAAGCAGAATGAAATGAGAGCTATTTAACAATCTGCTGTCAGGTAGCCATTGCTGTCCTGGGAGGAGGGACAGCTTATGCTACCGCTGGAGAATAGCAGGCAGGTGCATAATCCACTTTGCCAGGCAGTCACCTGTCCTGACCTATGTGGCTTTCTCCCTATTCCTGCTCCCATCTTACACTTTTCCTATTTGATGCAATTATCTTTCCTGTGTAAGCCATATGTTAATTCTGCTTGTACAATTCTAAGTTTGTTTTTCTATCCTTAGAGTTCAGAAATTTGACTAGGATGTATTTCCCTCCATAGTATTTTATTAATTCTGTTTCATTAACGTGGTAAATCCTTTTATATCTGAAATAAAGATCTGAAGATCTGAGATTCATATTATGGAAAGGCGTAGTTTATGGAAGTTTTTTCTATTATTTCTTTGATTTCTACTTCTCCGTGGTTCCTTATTTCTCCTTCTGGATTAGCAACTACTTAACTATTGGGTCTCTTGGACCAGTCTTTTCTGTTTTCTCAACTATGATTTCAATTTTTGAAAATTTACTCTCCTAAGTCTCAGCAGTTAACATACAAAATTCGTGTGCAAAAATCACTAACATTCCTATACACAAACAACAGTCAAGCTGAGAGCCAAATCAGAAACCCAATCCCATTCACAATTGCCACAAAAAGAATAAAATACTGAGGAATACAGCTAAGTAGGAGGTGAAAATCTCTTCAAGGAGAATTACAGAACACTGCTCAAAGAAATCACAGGTGACACAAACAAATAAAAAAAGTTCTATGCTAATGGATAGGAAGAATCAATATCATGAAAATGGTCATACTACACAAAGCAACTTATAGATTCAATGCTATTCCTATTAAACTACCATTGACATTCTTCACAGCAGTAGAAAAACCTTTTTAAAAATTCATATGGAGCCAAAAAAGGGCCCAAATATCTAAGGCATTCCTAAGCAGAAAGAACAAAGCTGGAGGCATCACACTACCTGACTTCTAACTGTACTACAGGGCTACAGTAACCAAAACAGCACGGTACTGGCACAAAAACAGACACATAGACCAATGGAGCAGAATAGAGAACCCAGAAATAAGGCCACACACCTACATCTATCTGATCTTCTACAGGTCTGACAAAAAGAAGCAATGGGGGAGAGATTCCCTATTTAATAAATGCTGCTGGGATAACTGGCTAGCCATATGCAGAAGACTGGAACTGGACCCCTTCCTTACACCATATTAAAAAATCAACTCAAGATGGATTGAAGACTTAAATGTAAAACCCAAAACTATAAAAACCCTGGAAGACAACCTGGGCAATACCATCCTGGACATAGCAACAGGCAAAGATTTCATGACGAGGATGCCAAAAGCAATTGCAACAAAAGCAAAAATTGACAAACGGGATCTAATTAAACTGAAGAGCTTCTGCACAATAAAGGAAACTATCAACACAGTGAAAAGACAACAGAATGAGGGAAAATTTTTGCAAACTGTGCATATGACAAATGTCTAATATCCAGCATCTTTAAGGAACTTAAACAAACTTACAAGAAAAAAACCATTAAAAAGTGGGCAAAGAACATAAACAGACACTTTTCAAAAGAAGACATATATACAGCCAACAAGCATGTGAAAAAAAGCTCAACATCACTGATCATTAGAGAAATACAAATCAAAACCACAATGAGATACTATCTTACATCAGTCAGAATGGCTGTTACTAAAATGTCAAAAAATAACAGATCCTGGCAAGGTTGCAGAAAAAAAGGATCATTTATACACTGTTGATGGGAGTGTAAATTAGTTCAACCATTGTGGAAGATAGTGTAACAATTCCTCAAAGATCTAAAAACAGAAATACCATTTGACCCAGTAATCCCATTACTGGGTATATACCCATAGGAGTATAAATTGTTCTATTATTAAAGACACATGCACACGTGTTCTTTGCAGCACTATTCACAATAGCAAAGACATAGGATCAACCTAAATGCCCATCCATTGCAGATTGGATAAGGAAAATGTGGTACACACGGAATACTCTGCAGTCATAAAAAAGAACAAAATCATGTCCTTTTCAGGAACATGGATGGAGCTGGAGGCCATTATCCTTAGCAAACTAAGGCAGAAACAGAAAACCAGATACCACATGTTCGCACTTATAAGTGTGAGCTAAATGATGAGAACACATGGACACATTGAGGGGAACAACACACAATGGGGCTTATCGGTGGGAGGAGGGAGAGCATCAGGAAAAATAACTAATGGGTACTAGGCTTAATAACTAGGTGACGAAATAATCTGTACCAAAAAACTCCATGATACATGTTTTCCTATGTAACAAACCTGTATATGTACCCCTGAACTTAAAAGGTAAAAATAAAAATAAAAATAAATAAAAACATATTGCTTTTGTTTTTACATCCTTCTATTGAATTTTTTAAATTAGGAAATCATTATTTCTAGTTCCAGGGGCCTCTCACTTGTCCTGTGACTGTAACCCTTCAAGAGTTTTAATCATATTTTATCTAAGTTTTCTTCTATTTTCTACATTAGCTCTACCTCCATAGTAGAGGCTTATTGCAGTTTTTCAGTTTAATCTCTTCTAACTGGGCTGCAATGTTCCTGAGTGGGTTGTGATCTTTCTTTGTCTATTTATACTGAGAGGGTGCAGGTTTGTATTGCCTCTGATTTGACAGTTAGGGTAGGCATTTTTTCTTTAGTGACTAGCTGGTGATTAGTTTAGTCCCTTTGTTGTTTGTTTATTTGTTTCTTTTTTGAGACAAGGTCTCACTCTGTGGCTCAGGCTGGAGTGCAGCGGTGCGATCATGGCTCACTGCAGCCTTAAACCTTTAGGCTCAAGCAATCCTCCTATCTCAGCCTCCCGAGTAGCTGGGACTACAGGTGCACATCACCATGCCCAGATAATTTTTTGTATTTTTTGTAGATACTGGGTTTTGTCATGTTGCCCAGGCTGGTCTCAAACTCCTGGGCTCAAACAGTCCTCTTGCCTCAGCCTCCCAAAGTGCTGGAATTACAGGCATGAGCTACCAAACCCAGCCTTATCCCTTTTACTGATGTAAGTGGCAGAAGGCCTCAGTTCACGAGTCCAAGTGGAGATAGGTTGACCTCAGCCCAATGTGGAAACTGCCTCTCCTAAGTGCCATCACCCGGGGAACAGTTTGCCTCTTTCATTGCCGCATAATGCAAACAGCAGAAACATTTCTACCTTCCCTTGTCTTTGTGTATCCACCCAAGATAGCTGACTCTCATCATGCACCCTCTCCACCTCGCATTAACTCTCATTTACATCTTTAGCCCCAACTGGCACATTCTTTCAAGGACTTGATGCCTCCCTGTATGCAGAACCCCTTCTGGTTGCCAAAACCAGCCCTTGACTTTTTCTGGATGGTCATATTCTCTAGAATGTTCCCAGGTCACCATTTTCCTCAGAAACTCACATCCAAATGTTGTAAAAGCATTCCTAATTCCAATTAGATAACATGTTACTGGAAAATATAAACATATTATTGCTTTCCTAAATTACATCTCTAGAAATAAAATATGTATGGAATTTTGTGCTAGTATAAAAATAGATCAGGATATGGTCATTCAAATGTATAGCTTCTATAATATTCATTAAATACTCTCTTCTGATCTATTAGCCCCATCATTCATCTGGTTATTGCAAACTGGTTCATATTATTAGCTAATTTTTCATAATAGCAATGTCAGCTAACATTTACGAGGTGCTTAGTGTATGCCAGGCACTGAAGTGTTTTGTATGTATAAAGTTATTAAATTCTCACAAACCCTATGAAATTTATTGTACTGTTACTTCCAATGTATTGCAATATAGAAGCCAAGGCCTTAAGAGGCTAACTTAACCCACAGAACCAGTCACACAGCCAGCCATATGCTTTATTTCCCTAACTAAATAATGAAGGACTCCAAAACAGCTCATGCCTTACACGTCTCTGCATCCCCAGCTGTGCTTGGCATTCAGGGCCCCAGTAAAGAAACAGCTATTGAAAGAAGAAACAATGTTTTACTCATGTTTGATCCCTGCTCCGCAGTGCTATAATGCAAATGTTTCAAAGATGTTTTAGTCATAAATGAAAGTACTAATGGGCACTGAGATTTAGAAAGCAAATCCACATAAGATAACCTAAAGCTAGTTACAGAAGACTTGACTATCAGCCCCTAACCTGAGTTCCAGGGATCCAAATATGAATAAAATGTTGCCTCTGTCCTTCAAGAACAAGAAAAAATATTATTTTTTCCATACGAGCACAAGGTTTTTTCTCTCATTAATCAACAGTAGAATCAGATATAGAAAGAAACACTAGAGTTTTTTATTAGAAAGTTTATTGCATTAATCTATAAACTCATTTGGTGATATAAATGACAATGTAGGCTAAGAACGATGAAAGTTTATCATCTTTGGAAAATAGAGATATTTCAACACTGAAAGCATTTTTTGTTTGTTTGCCACAACCAAGTAAACCCTAATGTATTTTGATTTTTCTTTTTAAAAATATAGATTGCAATTCAGTCATATCAAAATGAAGCCTAGACCAAATACTGAACTAGCATAAGCAGACCCAGTGTTAGGACATCAATATTAACAGGACTCTAAACGGGCAGTTTGCTGTACATCTTTAGTTAATAAACAAGCAAACATCCATACCACGTAATTCACACTTGCATATGCATGTACACTTTCATGATGTGAAGCCTTTAAGACCAAAATCTCTCTTAAACATTCAGCTTGAATAATAAAGACATGTTGCCTAGAGATAGAAAATTCATTATTTTAAAAAATATAACCTTAAAACTTGATTTTTTATGATTTTATTTTAAGCATAAAGTGGACTACTAATATTGACATCAATTATAAATGATATTGTGGTACCCTTGTTTAACTTTTGCAATATTTACCATTTAAAAATCTCAATAATTGACAGCTACTGTGGCTCTTTGGGGGTCAAGATGACCACACTTTCATAAAGTTGTTTGCATTTCTCAGAACACACAGTCATTATGCTGATGGATTTGGTTCAGTCAGGTTATAACTGTCCTATTATAAAGTTCTATGGTTGGTTTTCCTGAAATTGGTGAATATAAATTCCATAAAGATAATGCTAAACATATTAAACTCTCTGTTAACATTACTACTGTATCATAGGACAGCAATTAATGTCAAACACTGTAAATAATTGTAAAATGTTCCTCACTATCATATAATTAACCTCAAATAACATATTTTCCTTATTAAAGCAAACATGAGTTATCATGTGGGCAAGTTCTGATGTACTTATATATAAATACAAATAACTTATAAATTTTCTGATACATCAACTTCTAAGGAAGGAATAATAGTTTGGCTAACAATACTATATGAATGGCATTTGCTAAGTATCTCTAAACTCCTTTACTGCTTTGACCACCATGGGATACAGAAAGGAAATTAGTTATAGGGTCCAAAATTAACATGGGTTCAAAGTTCATGAGAATAGATTCACTTGGTATGAAGAGTGACATCAATGTCAAATTAAATTCGATACATCTGGAAAAGTTCCTAAAGTTTGTAATTTCAGAGGGAAAATTTTGCCAAGATTCTTTTGTTTTCTCTTTAATTCTCATTCTAACAAAAGTATTCCTTTCTTTACCCAAATTGATATCAAAATATTTAGAAAATTTTGCCTTCTCAACAAGACCTCTCCAAATGTAACACGTAGTTTTACAACATCCAAATTGCTATGTGTGTCCTGATGTTTGAAAAGTCCTGAGTAAGCTCTAATAAGAATTGCCTCAGGTACAAATGTCATTTCAGGACATCAGCTAACTGGAGTGATTTACTTGTCAAAAAGAGCACACAGGAAGGGATGGCAGTGGCCCCTTGGAGTCCACATCTATTGTCCAGATTTTCTTTTTTAAGTTGCTGTTGCCTTTGTACAGCAAGCTTTCAATTTATTAATAGTGGAATAAGAAAAGAAACAGTTGTTTTTTTGACCTAGCTCTAGAGAACAATGGGGAAATTCAAATTTACCATGCAGCTCTGAAGAGATGATCTTTAAAAGGGAGAAAATGTCTTATTTCTTCTCACCAAAAAGGACCCCGATGGCTATTGACTCACACATGTCTCAATTAGATGCCTATCACCTAGAGTTGGGAGCCAGCCAGTGGTTAACTATTGGAATAAATCAATTGTTTCTAAGGCCTGTTCCAGGTCATTCCTTATTTCCTTGAATTGACTTTGGAGTTCCTCAAAATGAACAGCCACCAGTGCAGTGAGTGTTCTAAGTGTGTCTGCTGTATTATCCATCTGACCAAACCACCATCATACGTGCCGATGTGTGACATGAAATAACTGGATATTCCAACTCGATACCTGGCAGGGATAATCACTTATGTGCACTACTAGCAGAAGGGTTGCACATACGTATTTGTTAACTGACTCACTGAGACAGAATGCCATATAGGATTTCATGTCTTTAAAAGATTGAAGACCACTGTTTCTCTTATAAAGTTGTTTCCTTATTCAGTTTTTCAGCCCCTTTGCTTGGTCAAGTAGATCAACAAAAGGGAAACTGGCTTTCCTGCATTGTGTCAGCATTCTCATATTGCAAGATAAGTCTGGTTTGCCTGGAACAGTCCAGATTTAAGTTCATTACAAGATAATTATTAATAATGCCCTCCATTTACTCTCAAGAGTGTCCCAGTTTGGATGGTCAATTCTATGATCACCATAATGAGAGTTTTTTTTAAGATGAGTCTGTGGTACTCATCAGTAACAACGTTTCCTTTCTGCTCCCCTTCTCCCTGGTTTAACCAAGGCTCAGCACCAACAGATCAAAAGGAACTCTATTTTGGAATATTAAAAAGCATTTCTACTTCATTTATAAGCCAATCACTTGTGGTTACTATACTATTTTAGTAACGACCAATTTTAATCAATTCAAATTATATATTTTCATCTTGTCCCTCCAAAAGAAAAAAGAACAACGCATTTTTATCAAGCAAAAGATAAGTGGCAATAATACAAGGAATAACGAACATATAATATTTTTTCATTAACAATCCAAACACTACAAAACATAGAATATGCAATTTAAAAATGGAAATACAAATTAATGAAAAGTTGGGTACATGTCACATTAGCAATGCAAAAGACCAGCTTAAGCATAGTTTCTCTAAATTGACAATTAATAAAAGGAAAGTTCCCTTTCTCAAATATGCACAAAAATATTTCAGTCACTTCTAGGGAAAGATTAATCAAAATGTTCCACTAATTCTATATTACAGCATGTATTACTAATGGTTTACAGAACGTAAGCGTCATCTTGCATTTAAAATTTACAACCTTTATCAATCATTACACACTCATTCCATCCAGTCTGTCAAAAATAAAATTATTTCATTTCTATATTTATGAAATAACTATTGATATGTTATGAATCTCAAGTGGTGAATATGTATGATGGAGCCAGTGATCAGAATAATGTCATAGATCTGAAGTTGGTTGAGAGTCAAACAGAGAAAACCACCTCTGCCTGGCACATTTGTGTATTGACTTCTGCAATACTTCCTACTATTTCTAAAATAATTCTAATTGTATATTTTCTCATTCTAAACAAAATCTAAGATTTTCGTAAATTTTCTGTCCACTTTTAGAGTATATTCAAAGTCTGTCCAGTCATACCGCCTGACAGAATGTTTCCTCCTGCATTCATATTATCCCTACAATTCTGAGTCCAGTTGAATAAAGTTAAGAATCAGGAGTTAACAATATGTTCCTTGTCTTCTACATGTTCAGTGATTCCCACTTTCATGAAGTAAATTTTATGGTAAACTGTACAATCCTAGGTAGAGCTGTATGATGCAAATGAGAGAGAAAATATTCAAATTTTAATTTTTCAAGCAACAATCCCAATGTCCACTGCAACCTGCGTCTCCGAGGGAGTTCTGCAAGTTCATGCTTTCAGCCAACATCTTACAATAAGTCATGCTTCACGGGTATAGTTCTAAAACTAACAGCAATGGGAAATCACATCTCTAACTCCTTCGAATCCACCTGAACAAAAAGCACCTACAGTCCGTGTCAGCCTCAGCTTTCAGCTTTCTGGTTCATGTCCAAAAATTGCCCACCGAATTGACTAACATTCACATGAAAGTGGCAAAATTGAGGATGGAGAAGAACCAAACAGCAGTTCTGGAAAGGGTTCCAGTGGCTACCAAGCGGTCCTTTGGTGTCATTCACTGCTGCTGCTGCTGTTGCTGCTGCTACCACCACTGTCCTCTTGCTTAGGGGAGGATGAACTGTCTCGGACTGGCAGCAGGTCATAATGACAAGGGATGTGACTGTTCTTTGGGAGGTCATATGGATCCTGGGAGAGACGCCCATTATTGCTGAATACTCCTTGGACAACACTCACTGTAGGTTCTGTGATAACCAAGGACATATTAATTTATCAGCAAAGGAAATGTTTTTAAAAAGAATATGGCATTTCTTGCAAATGTCAAACACACCAAAGGGACTTTTAAAAAAATATAAGGAAATGCTGGTTTTAAAAACATGATTTTAAAAATCATCACATACAGGTGGCAACTCTGTGTAGTTGGATCAACTGGCAAACACAAATGGTGTTCAGAACAAAAGGAGGACCACATAATCGGGATGAAGATATTAAGGGAATATACAGAATCCTGGAAATAAATCATGGTCTGAAAAACACCTTGGGGATAAGGTAGGCCAAGCCCCTTATTCCACAGGTGAGAAGACTGACATTCTCAAACGTTAATTCAGTTCATGAAAACACTCAACATGTTCAGAACTTTAGGACTCAAGACTCAGGCTCTCATTTGAGTTCCCATCCTACTGTGGCAGGTTTGTGGGACAGTTTAAAGGAGAATTGTTACTGACTTTCCAAAAATAAATTTAGTTCACTTTGACTTGCATTTTAAAAAGCTGTCTTAATACTTTAAAAATAAATTATTTTGTATATTTTTTCCCAGGGATGTATCTGGCATAAAATAAATTACTAGTAGTAAAGTAGGCACTTCATTTACAAGTAGTAGAGAATATTTTAAAGTTAAAATCATAAATACTCAGAGAGACATAGAAATAGAGACAGAGAGAGAGAGAGAAATGAAAATATATAGCCCTATTGTTTAGCCAAGAGTAGTGGTGGAATGTTTTATCATTTCCCAAGTGGTATCTGCAAAAGACAATCAAAATAACTCCAATTTTAAATTGAATTCATATTAATTTGCATCACATTCACATCAGAGAATATTACTGCTCTTTTGGACAAGTTTAAAAGTAAAATGTTTCAATCTTGCTAAATGCATTATATTAATATAATGAACCAGGAAATGGAATCACCTGTTTAATCCACTTGAACCATTTGTTTCGGCTAAGTAGATATATTAGCTAATATGATACATATGCTATCCACATGTGTGCCAAAATATTCACTATGGTTACAAAACAAAAGATGGATGATTAGGTGAAAAATAAAGAAACTTTACCTTAAATTTTTCTAAATAATATTTTCCCTGGAAAATTCCTTTGGCACCAATTAATATGATCGCTAAAAACACAGGTCGCATCTATTAATAAAATATGGTGACAAAACCCCGTCTCTACCCAAAATACAAAAAATTAGCTGGGCGTGGTAGTGCGTGCCTGTGGTCCCAGCTACTTGGGAGGCTGAAGTGGGAGGATGGCTTGAGCCCGGGAGGTAGAGGTTGCAGTGAGCCAAGACTGTGCCACTGCACACCACCTGGGTGACAGAGAGACCCCATCTCAAAAAATACATAAAATAAAATAAAATAAAATAAAATACGGACCATTATTTTCAATAAGATTTCTATGACCTGCAACTATTATATTCGTAAAGACTTTAAAATTGTTTTTAAAAACTTAAGCACTCGGTTCTTTCTATGGTTAAGGGAACTCACCAACTTCATAGACATTCCTGTTGGCTGAAGTTGAGTTATTGATCTCTGCATATGGGGAATCTCTTCGTGCCGGCGATTTCATCTCCACATAACCACACTCTGAGCTTTTCGGGATAAGTACAGGTGGGTCTTTAATAGTGGCATATGGGTTCTCAGAACTGCTTAGGGAGCAGTTACTTGAATTATATTCAGAATTCTTTCCCAGGTCTGTGAAGAGAAATGAGAAGAGAAAGCTAATGCTGTGTCACTGGCAACATCATTTCTTGGTGATATTTTACTGTTTTTCTTTATAGCTAGGTTTCCATAATTCTACACACTGAAAATAATACTGTACCTTTTCCACTTGTTTTGGAGAGAATCTGCTATAAAATGACCCATCCCTAAAGTAGTTTTAGCTCCTCTCCAAGATGAGTACTGACATCAATATCATTAACTGATTTCATTTTTATGATCACATTAGAATATAATCAATTACGTTTTGTTTTATTAATAGAAAATTTACAGAAGTTCAATCAAGAAACCAGCTGTTGATGGCCCCAGGAGCACCAAGAGGGCTCTATTATCATGACAAGAAGGCATTTGTGCTGGGAGGACTCCTAGTAAAAGCTCTGTACTAGGCATCTAATCATGCACACCCATCCTGAACAGCAGAACTTGGTCAACATGTAACCATGTGGATCTTTTCTTATTGTCCCGGCTATTTCCCTTTATATGTTTCCGTCTCCCCATAAGCCATATTTCTTTTAAATGAAATATGAGTGTTTCCTCAGCAAACTGAATCTTTTGTTCCCCAAAGACTTAAGCTCTACCAAGGACCACCTCTGGTCACTTTCTTGATGTCAGTCACACATGTTTGTGTGTTTGCTGTAGTAACTGACCACACTAAAAATTCTACATTTTCTCTTGCCATTCTAGCTTGTTTAAAAACTATTTCAGTCTTTGAGGTTAAAAAAAATTTAATTGTGCTTCTGATTTCTTCTTCAAATTTACATGATACCTTTTAAGGATTTTCCCATATAGCTTCTGTCAAGTCCAAAAGCACCTGTAATAAAGGAAGAAAAAAAACACCCAGTGAGAACTGAAAGGAAGAAAAACCCCATCCAATATCCCAAGGTCCTGGAAGAGGATCTCCCACTGCAGCAAACAACCAGGCTGCTGCTCTTCAAGCCTTTACACCAGATCAGTTGTCCCAGATGTCCCCAGTGCCTAGAATTAAACACACACACATTTGGTCATTCACCTAGTCATTTACAGTGACTCAGGAAAAGCTAGTCAAAACAGGATAGAAACTGAGGCCCAGAGATAAATCAGTATACTTGATTCAAGGTTGCACAGTGAAAAGAAAGGATACAGCCAAGACCAGAGTTGACATTTCATACCTACGTGCAGCTCTTTCAAGGCTCTGATGGTTTTCAAATAGTTTTCCCAATAATCATTATTCGGTTATATTATTGTCTTCACTATAAGCATGTTTTCTGGAGACTGGAAGCTTCGAACACTGTTGACTAATACTTTACAGGTGATACTAGCTCTTGCCCTTCTTTATTCAGCTTTTCATAATTTGACTTTTCCAGGTATGGGGACATAATTGTGTATGAGCCTAGATACACACAAAAAAACCTGCTTTCTCATTGGAAAATGGCCAGCCTTTATTTCGTGGGTGTGGGGAGGGAAATAGGAGTGTTCCGGCTCATGCTGGAAAAATTGAGCATGTAGGCAAGAGAACGTGCAACCACTTACAGAAATCAATCAGGTCACAAGCATGTTGTATAAAATATAAGCATTTAATCACAAATTCGCACTACTAAAAACAAAATAAGACGACATTACCTAGCCCATTTTATACTATCTGGTGTATACGTGCAAAATTGCATTGTTAATACTGCATGGGAGTCAATTATTCTATTGGAGCTGTGTTGTGACAAAAAAGGAGAAAACTATAGATTAGGAGACAAAGGAATTACATGTTATAACTTATTGGCCATAGGACTTTGGGCAAGATGTTCCACCCTCTGAGTGTCAATTTTCTCATCTCTAAAATGGGGAAAACAAAATTTGCCTTCCAGCCTTCCAGGGTTTTTGTCATCATTAAGTGAAACAGAGCATATGAAAAGGCTTTGTAAACTCTGAAGCACCATACAAATGAAGTGTGTCAATTACTCTAACGCTCAGTGCATTATACTACCCTCTGCTTCAGTCTTTCCTTAAGCACTCCAAGGCATTTTCAATTGCCTTTCAAAAGAATATTACAGGCCGGGTGCGGTGGCTCATGCCTGTAATCCCAGGACTTTGGGAGGCCAAGGTGGGTGGATTGCTTGAGCCCAGGAGTTCAAGACCAGCCTGGGCAATATGGCAAAACTTCATCACTAATCTTTTGAAATACAATACAATAAGAATGTTACAGACTTAGGTTAAAAGCAGAGAGTAAAGTAACAACTAGCAATGAACATTCCAGGTAAGTATTTGAGAATGTTAAGGAAACGATATCCTTGCCACTGTGCATGCATCTCTTAGAGAGATGTTAAGCTCAAGTTCTGATGTTGGTGTCCCATGGGGATCACTGAGTAAGCACACACTGTTGTGGAGAAGGAAGCAGCCTCTCCTAAAGGGAGAGGGTCTGTCAGATATCAATCATCGTGGGACAGGAAATGGGAATATTTTCCTCTCTCAGGCACACTCTCTTGCATCTGGGTTGTGAAGAGTCTAACCAAGCCCATAGCTGGGGGGAAGGGCACACGGTTATGCAGGGAGGCAGCATAAATGGGTGTGTAGTGAAGAATTAACCTTATCAAAGAAAGGGGTGGCCTTTGCCCTCAGCTCCTGGGAGGTGATCTTGAAGTCCTTGGACTGTCCTGCCCAATAGGAGTGCTTTTGTTCACCCGGAGGCCCAGGGATACACCGGATAGTGTAACCAAGTGATTTATGGTGGGGGGTTTGGGCCATATGGTATCATCTCCACCTCTGGAAGGGGAAAGACTAAAGGTCAATCATGTCTACATGATGGGAGTCAATCATGTCTATATGACTGAGCCCCCCATAAACTGTAACCATGAGAATGCCCATTCAGTGAGTTCAGTGACTCCTTGTAGCAAAATGTTGATCCTGAGGGTCGTCTTGGTGATCTTTCAACTTGTAGCTGATGTCAGAAGTCAGGGTGGTCTTGGGAATTCCCAGACTTTATAAAGAGGACCCATGAAGATGGGGCACAGTCTGTGGCCTCTGAGAACAGCTTTATCAAGGAGCTCTGTCTATGCTCCTCTTTGCCAAATACTCTTGGCCATCTCCAGACTGTAGCAAAGTCTTATTAAATGCCCATTTTAATCTTAGCTGTGCAGTGGCTAGCCTTCCACCAAGGTGTGAAAGAGAGAACCAGCATGGAGCAGATAGTAAGTTAGGGAATAAGAGCTGGGGCTATGAGGCCAGACACCCCTGCCAGATTCTGTCTTCATTGCCTTGGAGGATCAGGGAGCTGTTTTAATGAGGGAGCAGTCAGGATTCCCTATAAACTCCTATATACACCCATCCCTGGAGCAGGGCTTTCAAATGCTTGGTTTAATTTAATTCACAAAACGAGCCAGTACATGCTTATTACTCCCATTTCACAAATGAACGAATCAAGGGTAAGTGAGGGTAAGTGACTGGCCCAGTGCTATATCTCAGGGTCTTTTGTGTCTAGTTCAAGGCTCTTTCAGATACCATGACGACAACTATTCCATCATTTAAAGCACCTGTAAGCTTTATCATCCATAACATGCCTGACTCTGTCCTTTGTGAAGAACTTTTTCTGTGCAACAACTTTAAAGGGATGTTAAATGCAGAATTATTCCTGAGTGAGAACAAACCAAGAAGATCCAGAATTTCCAATGAAGATCCTAGGTTCCTAACACTCAGTCCCTTGGGTCTCATTGAGCCAGAAAGCAGAGACATTTACATGTGACCAGTACAGTGATGCCGTATCTTCTGGAGTCTTCACAGTGGTCTAAGATAGAACAAGATGACTTTTCTTTCACTAGCGCTGGTTGGTATTTTGCTGAATATCAATTCATATATTCCTTTGAGCTAAATTATAAATGTAATTAAGACTCCTAAAAAGTCTCCTTTAATGTTAGATGATGTTACCAATAAGCATATTGTGAGTCTCGTATGTAAATAATTTTACTGTGGTTAGAAATACTCATCCTATTGATAAAAATGGTATAGAATACAGATAAAAGTTAGGAATTTGTACAGCGAGCGTGATAACGACTACACTATGGAAATGACTAAGAATTTGTATTCACCAGTAAAACATTTTTATTTCCATAGAAAGAGGCATTCCCACAGGGATCAGTTCCTATGACTGGCTCAGAGAACTTGACACTGCTTACAGGAGAAGCAGTGTTTAAGGGGAGCAGTCAGAAGATCAACTTTGAAATCTGGCTTTACCCCTTTCCTTCTTTGAAATTTCAGACAAGAGGGTTAACCTCTCTGTGCCTCCCAGTCTACTCCTCTACAAAACAAGATTCACAGGAGAGAGTCCACCCAGGAGGATCATCCAATTTAGCAAATGGGCCAAGTGTGGTGGCTCATGCCTGTAATCCCAGCACTTTGGGAGGCTGAGGCAAGAAGATCACTTGAGGTCAGGAGTTTGAGACCAGCCTGGCCAACATGGAGAAACCCTGTCTCTACTGAAAATGCAAAAATCAGCCAGGCATGGTGGTGCACATCTGTAATCCCAGCTGCTTGGGAGGCTAAGGCAGGAGAATCACTTGAATCCAGAAGGCAGATCTTGCAGTGAGCCGAGATCGCGCCACTGCACTACAGCCTAGACGACAGAGCGAGACTCTGTCTCAAAAACAAAAACAAAAACAAAACAAAACAAAACAAAACATTAGCAAATGAAAATACACAAAGGTCAGTTATATTAAAATTTAAAAGAAACAAAAAATAATCTTTAGTGTACATCCCATGTAATATCTGTGATATGTTTATACAAAAAAATGTGTTGCTTATCTATCTGAAATTCAAATTTAACTGGGATTTCTGGCACCTACCTCCAAATAAATGTACGTGAAAGGATTTGCTATCCGTAAGACACTGCACACCTGTAAGTTACTACATCATCAAACTCCTGTCTGAAAATATGGGTTACAGGCTTGGAAACTGCACTGCATAATTAATGGTATATCACAGAAGTTCTTTAAGTATGGACCAAGCATTCCTGCCCCCTTTTCAGGAGGCCTATGAGATCAAAACTATATATACACATATATATTTTAAGAGGTGAGTCTCGCTATGTCATCCAGATCAGACTCAAACTCCTGGGCTCAAGCAATCCTCCTGCCTCAGGCTCCCAAGTAGCTGGGGCTATAGGCCTGTGCCATTGTGCCCAGCTGCAAAACTATTTCCATAACAATACAACAACAATATTTGCCGTTTTCACTCTAATTCTCTTTCAAGTGTACAGTGGAGTTTTTCAGAAGCTACATAAAGTATGAGATCAAAACCAACTGAACGTAAAAGCAGACATGATAATCCAGCTATCTTCTATTAAGCTGGACATTAAAGAGATTTTTTTATAAAAATGTAAAATAGCATTGCTCTTCTCGCTAATTTTGAAGGGTTTTGGAAAATGTAGTTTTTTTTAATAAAAACACAATTTATGTTACCATGAAATGTGATTATTATTAATTTAAATAAATTAACATTCTATTTTTTCCAGTTTTTATTTACATATTAAATTTCATTTAGTATGGTAAATATAAATAGATATAGCCCCTATCAACAGAAGCTCTTTTGGGTCCTCAATAAATTTTAAGAATGCAAAGGAGTCCTAATTTCAAAAAGTTGCCCGAACCACTGATCCACTGTATTCCTGTTGGTATCTCTGATTCCTCACCTGAAAGGGAAGGGGATCTCAAGTACAGATACCCTATATCAAAAGAGAACAAGGAAGAGCACACAGCTGTGAGCCAAGCTGACAGGGTCCAATACTAGCTCTAACATTTAACAGGCGATGAGGTCCTGTGCAAGTAACATAACCTTGTTATGACTCAGTTTCTCAACTGTAACATGCAGATGGTGATAACAATAGTACCCACCTATTAGAGTACTTGTGAGAATTAAGTTAACAGGCATAGAGCAAGAATGTAAGCTACGAGCAGGCAGAGATCCCAATCTCTTTTGATCAATTCCTGGCACATAGTAGGAACTCAATAAATGTTTGTTGAATAGATAAAGCCCTTAGGACAGTAGATAGCCCTGTACAGGTGTTAGGCATAATTCTGCTATTGTGCTTTTTGATGCAAGTTTTCAATAGAACACCTTGGCACAAACAGAGATCCGTGACTGTTTCAGGGACTGACAGGTCAAGGTGCTTCTGGGGACGTGCGTTGGGAGAACTCACCGAGCTCGTTGAGGTAGCCGCCATGTTTCCAGTCAGCCGGCAATGTCCCAGTGCAGTCCCCCACAGGGCCTCTCTTCCCAGGGTTCACATTTTTAAGATTCACAAACAGTTGATTGTTTTTTGACTGTTAAAAATATAAACAACGAAAGATTAAAAACAAAATACAATGCGGCACAGCACAGCGTTATGGACCTGGGGAAAAGTCCAGGGCACATATTGAGGACCAGTCCTTAGAGTGACCTGAGCTCAGGGGCCGAGGTGACTGCTTGTAACCTGGTGGGACTTGCAAGCTGGCAGGAGTTCATGTCCTTCAGTCCTAGCTACTCCCTCCACCACCTCAAGATCTTCATTTCACTCTGTCATCCTGTGCCAATTAGACCTTATTTGGATTTATACACATGTAACTTTGATTTGGAAAAAAAAAAAAAAAAAGAACTCTTGGTCTAAGTTCTTCCATCAAAAATTGTATGTTTGTGTGAATCACAGGTGACTCTTAGCAGTTATCCTAGGCGTAAACATGAGGATAAGATTATCTGCTTTGCCTCCTTCCCTGAATTTGTATGAGAATAAATTGATGAATGTGAAAGTCTCTGGGGTATGTGGAGTGATATTTAACCATGAAGCACTATAATTAAAATCTATAGCTGCATTAATTAAATTACAACTGGATTAACTTAATTAGCTTGATTTTTTTTCTAATAGAGCACTGGAATTAGACAACAGAGATTAGAAATATAATTTGGGTATGACTGGAAGAAAGAAATGTTTGAGACTTCAGAGCATTGTGGGGAAGACCTGGGGTGAGTTGGGTGCTATTGGAGTAGCAGCTCTGGGTTCTAGACACTCTGTCTCCAACCTCTCTGTGACTCAGTTTCCTCATCTGTAAAATCGGCATAATAATCACTCTTGATTTATAGGACTGGTGTGAAGATTAAATGAGTTTATATTTTTAAGTGATTAGAAATGCTTGGCACATAATATTAGGTTGTTGCTATGTGACCACTGTTGACCTACAAAAATAGCAATTTCATGTGGTTCAACCCAAATCAGTGCCTATTACTGTTGTTGTTACTAAAGCACAGGTGGCCAGGAACGGGTACTGGAGGACGGGCGGTCAGAAGAGACACACTTGGAGATTTTGCCCACGGCTGATTCTGCTATAGGTCTTTATGTTTTTGTTAATGTCATTATGAGTCATTATTTTAAAATCTCATGTAAAATTAGAAACGTTTTTCTAAAGCGGTGTAATGGAAACAGTACAGATTGTAGAGACAGAGAGACTTTGACTCACACAGCAGCTGCCTCACTCATTATCGGGCAGCTATGTCTGGAAGTAACTTAAACTCCCTACTACTCAGGTTTTCATCAGTAAACTTGAGATTCCCAAAGCACACTCAGAGGACTGTTTAGAGGAATAAATTAGATAATATATGTAAAGTACCTAGAACAGCCTCTGGTGAACAGCGGCCCTCAATAAATGCTGGTTCCCTTCCTCTCTCCCCAGCCCACTTCCAAAGACTTGAACCAATTCCTCTCACCTTCGTGACAGTCATCCTGTCCCTGTTGTTGACGTGAGGGGATGTGGCACACTGGGTGAGCGTGTGGTAACTGGGATTGGTGAAGTAGTGGCTATTAGCGTTTCCACCATTGCTGTGAGGAAGGGTTCCTGCAAGAAGGGAAGGAAATGGTTAAGGCAGCAGGCTCCCATAAATGTGTGTGAAAAAAGGGAATCAAAATAACAAAACAGGCCCAGCGAGGTGGCTCACGCCTGTAATCCCAGCACTTTGGGAGGCCAAGGCGGGCAGATGACGAGGTCAGGAGATCGAGACCATCCTGGCTAACACAGTAAAACCCCATCTCTACTAAAAGTACAAAAAAAATTAGCCGGGCACGGTAGCATGCGCCTGTAGTCCCAGCTACTCGGGAGGCTGAGGCAGAAGAATCGCTTGAACCCCGGAGGTAGAGGTTACAGTGAGCCGAGATCGCACCACTGCACTCCAGTCTGGTGACAGAGCGAGACTCCATCTCTAAATAAAAAAACAAATAAATAAATAACTGAACAAATGTCCGGACTCCTTCCATATCACAAGCTGGGCAGAATCTCCTCCTGCCCAGCCTACTCAGCAAAGCTTCTAGAAGCAACAGGCCTCTACCTTCCTAACTGCCTCCTTGGAAAAGTATGAAAGCTTGTGAACAAATGTGAAACTGAAAGAACCAATTATTTAAGATCCATAGGAGTGGCTGCCTAGGCCTAAATTTAAAATCGAGTCAAGCAGGCCTTTGCTGACTAAGGATCACACCTGTACTCTGAGTTCCCTGAAAACCCAGCTTTTTATCTTTGGGTCTTTCAGAGCTCAGCTGAACCAACCAATCAGAGCTTACCTGCCTTAGCTAATCAGGGCTTAGCTTTATCAAAGGATCAGGGTTCCGCTGTGTCAACCAACCAGAACTCAGCTGCACTGATCAATTAGAATTAAACCAGTTTCAATCCTTCACTTTCCTAAAAGGGCCTGATTGGAAGCTGGGTGGGGACTTTTGCTATAAAACCCAAGCCTTCCCTTTGTTCTCTGAACTGCACTTTCATTTTACACTGGCTGCAACTCCTGGGTTTGCAAACCGTTCACTGGAATAAAATCTCTTTCCCCCAAATTCCTTTTCAGAGAACTTTTGTTCACAGTATCCACAGATAACTGCTCTTTGCTTTGGGGCTGGTACAGCTGGGAAGGTATCATTTGAAGCTACTCTGCAACTTTCCTTTTTTTAAACACTTGAGTTCTTGACACAATAATTCTGCACTGAAAATGCACTACTATGTAAATCAGCTACTTCTCATATTTCCACGGAATTTTGTAGTTTTAAACATGTAACCAACCAGAAGGCCTTCAATAATCACCCAAAAAGTAATAAAGATTTTAAACTTTTAAATTCCTCCATGTAAATGGTTGCTTCTACTGATGATTGATTATAATTTTATTTTTCCTTTTATGAGGCATTGTGACAGAACAGAAAAAATCAAGAGTTTTCTTAAAGGGCTGCCTTGGTTCTTGCTAATACCAAAAAGCTGTTTCTGATATAACTTTGTTCCCTTCAGTTAACGATTCGGGTAGGCCTAGGGAGAGGCTGGGAAGCACATAGAAAGTACCCTCATTCAGAGACAGGAGAACTGGTCCCTAATCTGATCCATGACCTTGGTAAACTTATCATCCTCTCTTCCTCCTCACCCCCCTCACATATGACAAAAGCTTGAGGCTGGATACAAAGCTCCTTATGGATTGAAATTCCCTAAATCTAAACCACAAACACAATGAGCTCAATTTTAAAACCCTTATAGCAAACCACAGAATGACAATTTACTATTGTTGAAATAAAAAACTCATCTCTAGCAATGTATACCTTTTCCAAACATAGAATTCTCTCAATGAGAATTGACAGAAACAATGGACAGCACAGCCAAACACCCAGTTTTAAAGAACCCGAATGAAATTTAACTTTTCAAGAAGCAAAATGCCTCTCCTGCCTCTGCTCTTACCTGAAATGGTATAATCTGCATTGACGACCCTCATAGCAGGGGTGTAGGTAACTGCTGGCATGCTTGATTCCTTTCCCTTCTGCTTGTGTCTATAAATAATGAACAATGCCAGTAGGAAGAGAACAACTAGGACAAGAATGATGATGCCTGCAATGGCCCCGATCTGGTAGGAATCAGCAGGGAGAGCAGTACTGGTTCGGCTTAAGCTGTTCAGATTTCCAACTATGATAACACCAGCTAGAAAAAGAAGAGAGACTTGAGAAAGGATGACAATGTGCTGGATAAACGTTTGATCTCTACTTACAAAAACCTCCTTCTGTGCTAATGCCTGCATATTTTCAGTTCATAAAACATTAATTTGGAAACAGAGCAGGAAGAAAAAGCAAACATTCCTCATTGTCAGATGTTGTCGGCCTATCCATGCCCAGAGAAAGGCTGCTGTAAGCCTCAAAAAGAGACAGAAGCTGGGCACAGTGATGCGTGCCCGGAGTTCCAGCTACTCAGGAGACTGAGGCGGGAGAACTGATCTAGCCTAGCAGTTAGAGACCAGCCTGGCCAACATAGCAAGACCCTGTCCCTAAAAAAATATAAAGAAAGAGACAGGATTTTCTGAACCCAAAGAGATTCAACAGTAGGATTTGAGAGCTTCTTATATATTTCCGATTAAATACTTAGACTGGCAATTAATTTGGGGTAACAATTTATCTAATTTTTATTTTGCTTTATTTATTATTCAATACTGAGCTTATGCAGAGTTAAATGCTAAATGTCCCAACTGCTTAACCAAATTTTATGTCTATCCTTAGCATTTCTAAGAGTAATTTTCCTTCCAAGCAAGCATAACACCATTATAAATCTAGTCTAAGAACAGGATCTACCTTTTGCTAATTTCAATGGGTCTTTTACCTCAGAAGATATTGTTCTGTGCAAAGTTATTTTCCATGACAGAAAGATTTGTCCTGATAATACCTGATAGCATTACCCTAATACCTTACTCATTAAATTCAAAATTGGGCATTACATAGTTCTTCCTTATGGTCCGTCAAGTGATAACGCTAAAGGCATGGGTTGAGATTCAAGAAATCTGGCATCTAAAAAAATTGACCTAGATATTCTGAACTTTCACTTAAGCTTTCAGGCTGCAGTTTTATCATCTATAAATGAGAAAAGAGGCCTCCATGTCACTGCTTCCAGCTCAAGTAAATGTTCCTATGATTTTATGATTCTAAATGCTGAAGGACCTTTTTACAAAACAATCTGCCCTGAAACACAGACCACCAAGGATAATGTAGTGAGATTACAGAGTATTTGTAATTATGACGTGATAATGAAAGATCACATTCTATTGTTATGACAGTCAAATGTAAATCATAAGCATGTAAAAGTCATTTTACCAAAGAAATTAAATGTTGTAAATATTTACATGGTCTGCAGTTTAAGATTACTCCATCTACAACAGTGTATCAATTTTCTAAAGCCTTTTATAGCCCAACTGCTTATTGCCTACCAGGGAGTACCACATGCAGTAAGAGCTGTGGCTCTCTGGAGGGCATGCTTCAGAACCATCAGAAGCACTTTCTCAAAGTCCCCAACCCTGGAATCGGAATTTCCCAAATAGGACCATGTACCTGACAACTATTCCCAGGTCGTTATGACATACACCCCAATTGAAAACCAGGGGCACAAGTTTTACAAAAAGTTAAACATATGTCTACTATATACCCCAATTATTCTACTCCTAGGTATTTACCCAAGAGAAATGAAAGCACATGTCCATGCAAAAACTGGATTCACTCTTGTTCATAGCAGCTTTATCTGTAATAGCCCCAAACTGGAAACAATCCACCTGTCCATCAGCACATGAACAGGTAAACAAATTATAGTATATCCATACAATGGAATAGTATTCAGCAATGAAAAGAACTGAATTGTTGATATGTGCTACAACATGGTTCCATTTCAAAATAATTATGCTGAGTAAACAAAGCCAGACCCAAAAGAGTACAGTATGATTTCATTTATATAAAATTCTAGAAAATGAAAACTAATCTATACTGACAGAAAAGAGATGAGTGATTACCTGGGGCTTAAGGGGTGGTAGAAGTAGGGAGGGGCATGAGGAAACACATGGTGATGGATATTTCATTTATTATGGTGATGGTTTCATAGGTATATAGATAGTCGAGATTTTATTAAATTGTACACATTAAATAGGTGTGTTTTTTGTGTATCAATTACACCTCAATAAAGCTGAAAAAAAATCATAGACCCAGTAGAAAGTTCATGAGTTTTGGAATAACAAAAATCTGGCACAAAAGCTGTGACATATTCTAGTATTAGCTATGTGACTTTGGGAAAATTACTCAGCCTCTCTAAGCTTTTGTTTCTTTATCTGCAGGACAGCAACAATAAGGCATTCATCTGGCAATTAAATAAGTAACCAATTATGCCATTTAGAGTTGTGGTGAAGATTCTGCTGGATAACATAAGTGAAAATACTTCACATTGCCTGGTACATGGTGTTCACACAATACTGCAGTGCTACAAACATTAGCTAGTATATTTACCTTGATCACATCTCGCTCCCTTCCATCCGGGGCTGCAGTAACAGGTCCCAGTGATGTGGTCGCAGGTGGAGTTGTTCAGACAATCACATATCTGGCGACAGCCATAGCCATATGTTCCTGAAGGGCACTCTAGAGAAGGAAAGTCAAATGTAGCTTTCCAACCTTGGGAATTTGGAGCAAGGCTGTCTCTGACTGCAAGCCCTGCACATCTAGAGCTGAGTCCTTTCAGGGGATTCCTATTGAGGCTGACTTGTACCCCCAAGAGTGTCCCAGAACTGGACAGCATTCCTGGAATCATGGTGGCACTCACAGTCCAGACTGCACAGGGCTAGAGACAGGGCTGCTCAACATTAGAGCTCCTGACACTTTCAGCTGCTACATACTTACCTCTATGATGTGTATATGGAGAGTCTGTGGAATTCCCATGGAACAGATGAAGATAATCACTAAGGGCAATTTGATACAAGTCCACCAGGCAAAACTGTAGGCTGGAAGGGGCCTAGACTGAAGAGCACTAAAGATGCTTTCTTGAGAACATATATATTTTACTGTAGGCTCAGGGATCTTCATAAACGCACATTCTCAATTGAATTAGCCAGGAATAGGGGAAGATGCAAACAACAAGTTTTGCTGATTTTCTAGGTAAGAACTTCATTTGCTATGGAGTGATTCAAACTCTGGATTTTGTTGAAGTCTTGAAGACGAAAGTAATAGGATTCTTACTATGCGGTCTTAATAAGAGTTAGGCATGAATTTCAAAGGATAGTGTAAGCATGTTAAATCTAAAAATCTTCGTGACAAAATATTGATATTTTTCATAAAGTGAGCAGCAGGGGGCAATGTGCTATTATTATTAGAACTCTCTGTCAAACACAGGGTTTCTGTTTACAAATAAGCATTGGGAGAAGTCTCCAAAAATAGGGACACTTTAATTTGCTGTTGAGAGTAATCATGGAAGCACTTAAGAGGTTTTCTTATTTAATAAGACCTTAACCAGTCATCTGGCATTCAAGTAAAATTTTGAGCCTATTCTGGTTTCCATGCATATTTAGACATTTATACACAAACACACAATATTTATATGCACAATAGAGTTATGTATGCAACTGTGTCACTCAGTCAGGATCTGTTTTCATGACTCAATGAAACAGTGATGCAAAACTAAAATTGGGCTGTCTCTGTTGTGAGCTGATTCCTGGACGTCACTTTTGTTATATTTGCTAGAAAGAGGATATGCAAAAATACCCTAGGGTTTAGCACATAAAATTGAGGCAACCAGGTTCAGAGTGGCTCTGTGAGGTGCCAGTGGAGTGGGGTGGGGAGGGGTGCTTTATTGTCAGAGTCCTGCTATCCTGATCAATCTTTCCAGGCCACACCACTCCTATGGCCATAATCTTGGCAGATCCTTCCCAAGAGTACAACCTCTGGTGAACAGGAATTGTTCTTCACCTTTTCCCGCCCAAAAGGTTTTATCATAAGAAAGTGGGTCTGATACAGCCCTAAGCCCTTATTTATTTATCGTGAATACTGAAAGAAAGTCATAGAGGAAAGGAATAATAAACTAATTTGCAATATTCAATTTTATTAAGACTAATGTTTTTATAACTCTGTGAGGGGATGCATAGCTAGTGGGGTGGAAATAAAAAAATAAGGATGAGTAATTCCAACGGCATATTCTCCCCCAGTGGGACTTAAACAAAATTTTAAGGCAGTATGTTGTCTGGAAGGTTGTTAAGACTAAGATGAGAAGTTGTTAATGGAAGCAGTATAAAAGTACGATCTAGAGAAGGTTGTTGAAAGGGTGGCAATGTTTGCATGGATGTGTTCCCTCACCAGCAACAGGGATTGGCCCTGGGCCACCAGCCCTCCTCCCCACCGAATGTACTGTCCTCCAATGTGAGACCCGGGTTCTGCCTCTGCCATGAAGAAAGCTCGACTGGATCTTTTAAGGCTCTGAGCAGCCACATTCCAAAAATAAGAAGGAGAGGAAGGGAGAGCCCAAAAGAACAGAATGGAAAACTTGAATTCTGTCTTCATTCTTGTAGTCACACCTCCTCCGCCCAGAGCAGTGAGTAACCAGCGATGATCCCAGGGAGGCCTGACCTCTGGGAGGGGAAGTCAGTCATGCTGAGAAGTAACCAGCCATCAGCTCAAACAACCTCGGAGTGGTGAATTCTGCCTTAATATTTCCTGGCATCTAGGAAATGTGATTCTAGAGGAAAAAAATACCACCCAGTGATGCCACACTCTCATACTTACTCTGCTCACAGTGCCGTCCCATGAATCCAGTGCGGCAAGTACACTGCCCAGAAATGTGGTCGCAGTCAGCTCCGTTTTGACATTGGCATATCAGTGCACAATCTTTTCCATAAAACCCTAGAGGACATCCTGTGGGAGGAGGGAGGACAGTAGGAGTCAAGAGGCTGCTGAAGAGAAACACTTGGAGGCTCGTGCCTCCAACATATTTGTGTTTAAACTTGAATGACACTGAGCCATCAGAGAATACAGTGAATAGTACATATCTGAGCTTGCCACAAGAGCTTCTTTGAAGTCCCAAGACAGGGCTCTTGCAAGGAGGTTGTAATTCATAAGCAGGAGGCAGAAGAGTTCCATTCCTGTCAGTGTAACCATCACTGGTACCCCTGGAGGCAAGACTAGTGCCTTCTAACAAAATATCCCTTCAATCCTGGAAGAATAGGACATTTCCTTTCATTCTTTCACATTTCTACTAGAATCCTGGACTCAAATTCCAATGGACTGAGACGGGTACTTTATATTAAAATTACCTGTATGCTTTTACTTGTAGTACAGAACATCTCTATTGTTGCTACTAGCCTTGTCCACTGTATCTGTTATTATCTTAGATAATATCAACTTCCCTGAAGAGGTGTACTAGAATGCTTACCTTAAAAAACAATTGTACTTCACAGGTGCTTTGTAAAAAGCAATAACCCTTCACACTGCTGCATGATTTTCAATGCTTAGACCGGCGAGTCTCTTGAGCTAAAGACACCCACAAATTCTGTTGGCTTACATGGGCTGGCAGCTGCCCTGCAAGAGTGTCTTGGGGATCTCTGGCGTGATGAAAGATTCAATGCAGGCTGATTCAATGATTGTTTCCAAATATTACATATGCTTTTCATTTTCTCATTTTCTTATGGAACTTTCAAGAAGCAGAGGCAGTGCCCAGATGCCAGTATGCACCGATGACTCCCTGCTGTCATGCATTTATTTAGCACCTACTCTGTGCCAGATTCTTTTCATGCGTTCTCTTGTTTAATCTTTACAGCAGGCCAGAAATGCAGGGATGGATATTCCCGTCTTGTAGACAGGAACTAAGCCCCAAGTACCCTAAGTCACACAGCTGGCAACTGGCAGGACGGCAGGGCCATGATTCAAACACAGGGAGGTCTGGCTCTGGACCCCATGTTGTTCCCACTATATCATGTTACTTGCACTTGAAAAAGGGTTCTCTCTTTGAAGCACGTTCTAATTTTAGAATTATAAATAATATCTTACAAGTACCTTTCTCTAAGAAGTTAAACAATATTTATAGATATACGAACTCTGAAGAATATGCTTGGGCCAGCTACCTTCCTTGCCAATTATCCTTTTCAACTCTTGGTTCAAGGTCTACATTATCTTCTAGAAAGTTTCTAAGACTTTTTCAGCCTATTCTTTAATTATGTACTCTAATTAGTATTAAATAAGAATTGCTCAATTTCAGACCCATCTGTCCTCCTCAGCTTCTTGCTATTATTTTAAAATATACGCTATTATTAGTACTTAACCATAACACATGCCTTCCTTTCTTGTCTCCTTTATTCAACCGAAGGTAAGAGGTCAGAGAATGATCTTCCTTCCCCAATGATGCTCAGCTTTGGAGTAAGTACTTTGCACACTATATCCTATCATGCTAAAAGCCTAATGGAAGAAAAAATGGTTAGGATGCTATGAATTACAAAATGGGGAAAAGAACTAGGGCAGTGGCTCTCAAAGCATGGTCCCAGCCTGGCATTACTACCAGTTGATAAAAATGGCAATTCTCAGGTGCCAGCCCAGACTCGCTGCTTCCGGCTTTCTGGGGATGGAACTAGCTTCTGTGTTTGTTGTGTCCTCCAGGTGATTCTGAAGCTTGCTACCATTCGAAAAACACGGAACTCCACCTTTTCCAAGAGCGCACATTAAATCAGGCAGTGAGGCTTGTTGTCTTCTCTACCTTTCTAATCTCTATACTTATCCTAACTTTTGTGCTGTTAAAGGATTGAGAATTTGATCCATATAAATATGATTTGGTTAAAGGAGAGAAGAGAAATAAACTGCATACCATCACACAGCATTGCTCTACCTCAGTGGAGATAGAACCTAGAGACAGAATACTTGGAATGAAGTAGCTCTTAATCACTTAGAGAAATTTATATGTCTACAGGTCATTAGGAGAGGGAAGTACTCCAACCTCAGGGACCTTTGTTGAGCTCCAGTCACGCATGCGGAGGGTAAGGCTGTTTCCTCCTTGGACAAGGCTCCCCTTGGTGAGCCTCAGAAGGCTTGTCACTTACTCTGAGTGCAGTAGAGCCCTGTCCAGCCAGGAGTGCATTTACATTCCCCATCGTAGGCGCTGCAGAAAGCTCCATTATGGCAGTTGCACGTGTGGATGCAGTTTGGGCCCCAGTGGGCAGGTGGACATGCTGAAATTACAGGTATGGAGAAGTCCATCAGAGTTCTGAGGCCAATACTAAGTAGGGAGAATTCCATCCACCTCTACACATCTCCCTGCATGTGAGAGGTTAGCAGTGTACATCAGGACTAAGAAAGCACACTGCTCTGAATTCTGCACTAAATCCCAGATGGCCATGGCAACTTCAACAACGACTGTCATTATTGACATATGTATTCATTTACAACTGCAGAGTGAGGTGGCTGGGGCAAAAATCACCTCAAGTTTACAGATTCAGTTATTAAACAAACACATATTCAACACCTATTATGTACCCAACACTGTTCCAGGCCCAAGGGAGATAGCAGAGTATAAGACAAAGTCCAAACCATCCTCTGGAAGCTTCTATTTTGGTAGGGGAGGCAGGCAAACCAACCAACCAACCAACAAAATGAAAAATCAATGGTGGTAGGTATTATGAAAAAACATAAGGAGGATAAGGAAGACAATAATTTTGGGAGCTACTCCTCTGAGGAAGGCCTCTGTGAGGAGAGGACATTTGAGCAGAGATAAGGTGTGGAAAATGACTTGACTCAAGAGAGGTTAAAGGACCCAAGGCCATGTAGCTCATGTTCACAATTTCTAAATCCTGTACCCTTCAGTCTACTCTAGAGTTGCCACTTCAGGCTCCTTTTAAATATTGAGGTTCCCAGCGGTATGTAAAAATTGGTTTCCTTGTAAAAACTCTTAACTGGAAGATCCAGAAAATAATACAATTAAATCATTAGGGGTCACTGCCGATTGAAGAGACATCAGAAAGTCAGATAAAGTATCTGTGAAATAATAGCATAAGATCAGGGGGTAAAATAATTTCATTGACAAAAAATACTTTTTATTCATATTAATACTTTAGGAACATAATTGCATAAAAGGAGGACCACCTGTAATTTCTATACGGCTACCCCATAGGGAATGTGGACCTATAAAGACAATCAATAATACATATGAAGTAACTTTTTAAATGAAAAAAATTCTTCCATAATTGTGTGCACCATGTCCAAGAGCAAGGGGAAAATACTAGCTGACACTTGAGGTCTCGAGTGAGCATTGGAACAAATTTTCTAAATACAACACCTTAATTTTACAGATGAAGAAACTGAGCACACAAAAGGTTAATAGTGACTCGTACAAGGTCACATAGATTAATAATAATATTTGTTATTTGTTAGACAAATACAGCTTTCCCAAAGCCACAGTGAGACTCAGTGAAAACTGTTGAAGCGTCTAGCCCATTTGATGCTCAGTGAAGCACTCTTTACCTAAAACAACCTATTCCTTAGATGATATTTAACCAGCTTCTGTAAACCCATTTATGTTCACAATATATTTTTCTGAGGTAACCCACTGCCATTAGGTTTTTCTCCCTATATTTGTTATGATCAGAGAATGGGAATAAGCATCACTCAACTTTATATTCCCAAAAGGTAAACGTAGAGATAGTGCTTTAAAAAATCATTTTCCCAAGGACACCTGCCCCTTTAAATGTACCCCTTTAAGTTTTCAAAGTCTGTGTTTTCACTGTGAAGGACTTTGCTCTCTTTAGACAGGCTCACAATCAGCTAAGAAGAAATATGAAGATGGTTCCACAGAGTCCATAAGGGAATCAATGAAATCAATGATCCCCAGGAGAAGCAAAGGCTTTTGCCAAATAAGTCAGCTTCCTGTGGAGTGATTATTGGGACAGGCAACACTATAGTCTCCATTCATAGTTGTGTTTCTATTTTTATTCCTTTCAGCACATTCCTCCTCCAAATGAGGAAGGGACAAATTTCCAAAATAAAGACTACTTTTTAAAGGAGCAATATAAATCAATCATTTTGTGACAATGATATTGGACCTTTTACTCTTCCCAAACCCATACGCCCAACCATCAGTCAGAGCCCTTGCAACACATGTAGATTTAAACAGACTGATTTCTTCTGAAGTGATGCCCCCAGAATGGAGTGAAATCATATCGCATAACACTTCTTTCACCAAAGAGCTACACTTCTGAGATTTATTAGCTCTCTTCCCTTATTCCTAAAAAATGGGGTACAGCCTGGACTACTTATGGAAAAAATTAACATTCAGAAAAAAATCTTCCAGCAAAAAATATATTGCTCATCAATTAGTATTTGCAGGTTGCTTGTAACTGTGAAGTTTGAATTAAATTATCAATAAAGCACCATGTAAAATGACTGCACACAGTCATTCTTTGATTTCTCTTATGTGCATGATGGGGGAATTCAATATAAACTGAGAGTGTTTCATAAAATTTAAAATGAATGAAACCAGATTACTCCATACATATGCTATTTTTTGGTCAAAAGTTGAATACTTTTAGACATTGCACTGACCCTTTCAAAACATTCATGAATGACTTATAGTCGATGTCATTTTTTTCATGACATGGGTGCTCTAAGAGTCATCTATATAGTCCCTTATAGGGTCACACAATTCCTGTCTGAAATCCAGTGGTGTGGAAGGCACTTGGGTGATGCCAAGGTGAAGCTAAGCATATTAGGTGGGCAGTTCGCTCAGGTTCCCAATAGGTTTCTAAGGCTCACATCATTTAATTCCATTTTTTCTTTCTCTGTAATTAACTCTCCAGATAAACACAAAATGAAGAGATAGATTTCTCAATACAGCTGTTTTTGCTTTATTTCAATGGACGATGAATCACTGAAAAGGGGATAAGGAAAATGTTACATATTTAGGTTCTTTCCAAGACATTATTTGGATTTAAACATAGGACCATTGCATAGAGGTCGTAATGGGAAAAAAAAAAAGAATTTTAAAAAAAGAATTTAAAGTAGAATGTGTCTTTTAATTAGTCATATATTCTTTCTTGATTATATAAAAACACTCATACTTCAATCCTAAAGAATCTGAAAACAAACAAATAAGAACAGTTTATTAATTGTTCTCAAACAAGACTTACGTTGAGAGCAGTCACTGCCAATCCAACCGGGGTAACACTGACAAGATCTGTCAATGGGGTTACAGGTTCCGTTGTTGGTGCAGGTACAAATTCCTGCACAGTTTTTCCCAAATCTGCCACTGGGACACACTGTGAATAAGCTATAGGTCAGTAACTCACAATCAAAACCCCTCTCGCAGAACCCTAGAATCTTAGCACAGGAAATAACTTTAAAGGTCACAGGCCCAGCTGCTCATTGGTAGCTATCTCTGCTCAACAGCATCCTTCATCTTGAATGGGCTCATTTTTACAAATCCATGAAGCCAAAGATTTGCATTAAGGCATCACAAACCAGGGGACATCATTGCACTTCTAGAAATATGACTTCACGACTTCTTGCTCTGGGAGTCTAAAATTCTTCCGCATATTGATTTTTTATGGGAGGACATGTCCAGCTAAAACTGAAGAGTAGCACATCTCAGGAAATAAAAAGGTTTTGCTGGAGTGGCAAGCCAGCTTTTCCAAAGCTCAAAGTCCTATCTGAGAAGCTGCAGACACAGCACAGCAGAAGACATTCCCAGCAGACAGCTGAAAACATGGCCTTCAGGAAGGCCAAGGGGAGGCCTGAGGACAGACTCTCCGGGGCGTGCTCATCACCACCCAGCTGTCCGGGATGCTTCGTGCCTTACCTTCATTGCAGAGGGCGCCTGTGAAGCCAGGCAAGCAGTCACACAGGCCGGTGATGTGGTGGCAGGGCCCGCTGCTGTGAACGCACTGTGGGCATGTCTGGCTGCAGCGATGCCCATAAAAACCAGGGGAGCAGACTGAAAACAGAAGGGAAATCAGCAGTTATCCTTCTGAGATGCGTTTGTCTCGCATTCCAGATCGGGATCTAGTTAAAGTTTTAGAGGTTAAAAAGCAAAACCTTAAAAAAAAGTAAAAAAGATACGGAGAATTTTCCAAGTAGAAAACAAGAACAACAAAGGAACAAAGGAACCCTTTAATGAGGAAAAGAAGCCACTAAACTCTGAGTTTCTTGAGAGCAAGCAAATGTCTTAGTCTTCTTTATTTTCCCATTTAAGGCCCCAGTTAGCTCAAGTCTTGGCATAAAGCAGGGCTCCAGGAATTTTCATTGAATAAATAAAGAGATAAAAAAATTGAAATACTAATAAGTCTCAAATAAGTACTCTCAAACCATTTGTTGATTCTTTATTCTTTAAGAGTCGTTTCTGGCAATAAAAATCGATCAACAGTCAAAATTTGAAGATTTTTCCTCCTCAAAATGGTCCAGGTTAATGACTGTAATCGAAAAGTGATTAACCAAAATGCTATATACTTAAGTTCTTGCCAAGATACTATTCAGATTTAAATATATGATAACTGCATAGAATTCTTATGGGGGGAAAGGCAATTTAAAAAATTAGAATAGTATAACTTATAATTAGTTACATATTCTTTTTTGATTGCATTTACTAAAAGATTACTTAATCTTCTAACTCAGAAGTCTTAAGGACCAATGTCAACAGTCTCCTTTTTCAACTTTGCAATTCCATTTTCCCCATAGCACTGATTTTAAGACTACTAGCAGGATGAATGATTTGCCTCAAGGTTTGGCTGATGTTGACGTCTGGTAATTGAGGTAAGGCCAATGCCAAACTGCTGAATAACATATTTACAGGTCAGTGAATTTCTAGAACACCATTCCAAAGCTTTCAGGAAGGGTGAAGAAATATATCCTGATGGTTGTGCCAATGAGGCAATGAAGTAATTATTGAGAAGAAATGGTTAAATCCCCATCTGTTAGGTTAGTTCTGAAGGCTGGAAAGAATGAAGCTCTTAGGGAACACAGTTCTGCAAAGGACAAGTGAACCATTACACTCTCTTTTGCCTTCAACTGCAACAGGACATCACTATAAACTGAGAGGTGGGACAGAGATCATTATTCGATACATGGTGCCCAGGGAAGGGAAGGTGGAAATTACTGCCTAATGAGACACTTACTCCTCTGACAAGTGGTGCCTCGGAAGCCTGGTGCACACTCGCAGATGCCATCATCAGGGGAGCATGAAGCCCCATTTTTACAGTAGCAGGGCAGGGAGCAGTTGGGGCCCCAGCGTCCCTCAGCACACACGCTGTCACAGTGGACACCTGAAATAATGCACATGGGGCAAGGCTGAGTGAGAGGCAGTGCGGAGTTTCCGCAGATGCTAATTCATAGATGAGGACTAAGCTCACAGTGTTAAACCTGAGGATCACCAGCAGCAATGAATGGAGAGTTACCATCTTATAAACATCAATACACAGTATCATAACATTAAAATAATACCCAGACCGATTTTCTATGGAGTCATGAAGAACGAATAACAAACTTTTGTTATATTGATTTTTCTTCTTCAGGAGGAGGCAATAAAGTGGAAGCCCAAGGGCTCTGTCTATTGCAAGTAAAATTTATCAACAATACGATATCTTTTAGCCCTTGGTGACTTCCTCCTCCTCCTCCCATTCTTTGTTTTCACAGAGAAATAAAGTGTAAAAGGATAAGGCAATGAACAGTTCCATAAAATGTTTTACATAAAGAAAACCCTCCCCTGGATGAAACAAATAAACATAATCTTAAAATAACTTGATGGTGCATTGTGCAGAACAGAAAGATGCACTGACACGTGCCACCAAATTCCTCCTTAAAAATCTTACCTGACATTGGAGAGATATTGGCAGAATATCACAACTGACATTATTTGTAGCTGTTGTCTATGCTATCGATTATTATGAAACTGTATGCAGTTGTTTAACTCTAATTTTAAATACTGAGAAACTTTAGAATTAAAAAAAATGACAAAAGGAAACAGAAAGGAAAGCTAAGTTTGCAAAAATAAAACTAAAACCAGGTTTTATTTGAGATAAATAAAAGTCTCTTCTGTACATTCGTATTGGAAATACAACAGGGGCCTCTTTCTTGCCAGAATTCCTCACAACTCAAAGAAATGTTCTTCACATTGAAAGGCAATAAGTTATAATTAGTAGTGAACTGGCAGTTGCTGGCCTCAGACCAAATGAAAACACATTAAGAGCAAGCACGCAGACCCTCCAGGATTCCAGAATACTAACAACCACCCAGTACCACGATGCTGAGACGGTCATGTCTTGTGTTACAGTTTTGGCTTCTAAAGTAATCAGGCAAAAAGTCACCACAGTCTGAACCTTAACATGGAAGCAGTCCCAAACTATAATGTGAATGTTGTTAATTGGTACACCATTTCCGGTGAACACTGGAATAGCAAGAAGATCCACTTTTTACTGTTCCTGTTTTTTTCCTTCTGAAAGTCTCCCACGTGGTAAAGGCCATTAAATAGGCAAGAAAGCATGCAGACCTCATTGTGTCTAGCTTGACCCAACAATAGACTTTTATTTCATTCGGACCATGGGCTGAAGAAAGGAGACCAGGTCTGTTCATAAACCAATTGGGGTTTAAATGTTTCCCATAGAATAAAGTATGAAATCTGGGCCTACTATGTTGATTTTTTTCTTGCAATCATAAATATATTATTTTTTTTTCAAATCTCTTTTGAAAATCTGAGATGAAATTGCAAACTCTACCCTCACCAGATGTGATACATCAGCCACAGAATCTTACCTGGAATTTATATCCACACCTATACTGGGCAGAAGCATCAAACATATTAAGCAGTAAACCACTTCAAAATGAGGCTGCAAACCTAAACTTTGTTTTGAGAATTTAAAGAAAGTACCAACAAGGGTAACCTGCTAAACACTTCGCTCTCAGTTCAAATTCAGGTCCTAGACTCTGACCGTGAGCCAAGACTCCTGCTTAACAACAGCTAAGATGGGGACACCTGCTTATCACAGAGACTTAGACAATCAACCCAGGGCATTTTGGTCTGATGCCATCAAGACAAATCCCAACGAAGATTTTGAAGAAGTGGAAACTGAGTAATTATCCTGTTAATCTGACTGATCATCATCCTGAAAAAGCAGTCCCGATTTTTTATGCTTTTTTGTTAGGGTGGGGACTTGGGGGACAGGTAAGATTTAGCCATTTATGATGACTTAGTTTATCAACTACTTGCCAAATCACTACTTCAAATTGCACTTAATAAATTCAGTTAAGATGGAATGGAGTACACTTTAGGTCAAAAGTATTTGCTGCTTTTTTATATCATAGGTTATCATGATTTATGTATAGCTTAGCCTATTCTCAATCAGAGCATGGTAAGAAAAATGACTACAGGCCAGATAGGCAAATCTGAATAAAGAGATCCTCTCTTTCATAACTTATTCTTCTTCCCTTAAGAGGTTTGTTCAGCTGATTAGCCTAGCCATCAGTCATAATCAACTATATCCTGGTAATGTTTGTATAAGTAACAAGGCCCACCCTATAGCAAGAAGATCCACTGCAGAGATAAGCTTGTTTCATATGGTTTACCCATCATTTCATTTCCAGAGAATCATAGCAAATTCTATAGATCATTGATCAAACCTTCTGTGTCCAATCATATAAGCATCTTTCAACAGACCCAAGCTTACTTGAAAATAACTTTTAGTTTAGAATTGCAAAGAAATGTTTCCTTTGAATATAAATTATAAAAATTCTATTACCAACACCCTCTTAAAAATTCAAGCCCTTTTATTTACTCTGTCATCAGTAAAAAATGAGTCAGCATTTTGCAGATACTAATGCCTAATCTATGTGAAGATAAATATCAAGTATGTCTCAGTTAGGGGGCAATTCCAGGGAAAGGTGTGGAGTTGTCTTTCCTCCTCTTGCTGTACCCTCTTCTCCTATTGCTGCTTCTCCCCTTCTGGCCCTCTGTGCCCTCCTAGTTATTTTTCCCTTCATCTTACAGTCAGAAAAGGACAAGATACATTTATTATTGCTGAGTAGTACCTTCTCTGGAGAATATTGATATTCTAAGAGAGCATGCATTCTAAGAGCCTAAGAAATAAATATCTAATTGTGGAATTTCAGGCAGTAAGTATCACTAAGAGAGTGTTGGGTAAGTGTTTCTCTAAGTCGCACCAGGTATATGACTGCTGATGTGACTTCCATGTAAGGATAACCCTGCAATGAAATATTCTCCAGGATGAAGAGTTGTAAGTTTTGCTTTAACCATTATTTCTGGCTCTGTGTGGGTACATGTGTATTATTTATATTTATCTCCTCTTATTTTTTGCCAGCTTTGCTAGGGTCCTACAAAACATCTTTTTGTTTCTTTGTTTGTCAAAGGCAGAAAAGGAAACCCAACTCAGCAAACATTCAAGGGATCTGGCCAGCTACTGGTTTGCTGTGAGAAGTTTTCTTAAAAATGTAACCCCAGGGTGATAATGACCACAGAACAGGCACACCCTGCTCTGCCTGGGGATCATGATCAGGAAGGGAGGTAGCTTGTGAAGGGGGAAGAGGACTGCAGGCTAAGGGAACAGTGGTGGCAAGGCTCAGAGGCCCAAAGAAGTGTCTGTCCTTTGGGAATTGCAAGTGTTGGGTACAGCTAAAACTCAGGGGCTGGGGAGAGCAGGTGAGACATCTGGGCAGCCAAGCAGTGGCCAAGTTGAGTTGAGCCAAGAGCGCCATGCTATAGAGTGTGAACCTCCCCCTGGTGTTAACAGGGACCAAATGAACAATTTTAAGAAGGAAGGGGCACAACTAAATTTGTGCTTTATAGGAGGGCAGAAGATGGCCAGAAGATGTTGAGCCTGGGAAGAAAGAAAACCTGTCAGGTGCTCTTTTACCTGCAGAACCCCCATTTGGGGTTCCCCAAATAAAAAAAATGATCAAAGTGACAAGGCATGAAACTAAGTCAATGTCAGCAGAGATGCGGGGAAGAGGAATTCTGGAGAGATATAGAAGAAAATGCAGATGAAGACTCCCCTCCAATTCTCCACCAAAGGTAATTAATTCTGGCAGCTCCCTGAGGGAGAGACAATGCCTGTTTTTGCTCACCATAGCACCTAGCACATGGGAGGTGTTAAATAAATTTATTTGTTGAATGAATCGATACACATAATTCCTATTTCCTGTATGATATTCAGGACCACTTTCCAATGGGATGGAGCAACCACAGCATTCTTTGCTTTCCTGAATAAGTCTTCACTCAAACCAGGAAGCCCAACATATTTATAGGTTGTATATCAAAAATGGTGACCCTTCCCTGCTAAGGAGGTGGAGATGTCTGCCTTGCTTATTCTTGAGCAGATACACATTTAGGGGCTCAGGTCTGTGTTTTTACATGTAAGCCCAGATTATTAGGCCATAAAGGAATTATATGACATCTTAAGGAAATTCCTTCAGAAGTTTTAGCAAAAAACAGATAGAAACTTTAATAGTTCAGGAAATAACTTCTAAAATATTGGGAAGAAGGGGCAACGTGGGAAGGGGGTAGGTTTAAATCTGCAGCCATCTCTGGTTCAATGGGAGCATTTCTTTTCTGATAAATGTTCTAATGCTGATAAGGAGATCTGTAAGGGACTGTTTTTGCCACGACTGAGAACAAAGAGCTCTTTGATAGCCTCCACAAGTTGCTAGGCAATGGCTGAATGATCGTGATAAACTTCAGCTAAGCAGCTCTAAAGAAATGTTCGTGCAATTAATGCCTGATGCATTATGCCAGCGGCCTCAATGTGAAATCAGCATTCACTGGGCATTTGTGATTGCATGAATGCAGTAAATAAATCATCTGGGGTGTCATTCTTTCCCCTCTCATAGATATAACCCCAAATCCTTGTCTTACTTAATTGCTTATATTCCTTATGCCAGTATTCCAATATTTGGAGCGTTAGTGAATGAAGGAAATTATTTTGATTCTATGTCTAGTTCCTGGGCAACAAGCTATTAAACATATATTAGAGCAAAGAGAGATATTTGTTAATAATAATTGGGCTTGGTAATTATAAGATGGAGGAACTATAGTATTTAGTCACAACACTTTTTCTGCTTTTCTAATCCTTTGACCAACAAAGCAGTGGCATAGTGTAGTGTAGTGTAGTGTAGCGTAGTGTAGTGTAGTACAGCATAGTGTGGTGTAGTATAGAGAAGTTATTCACTGGTATATCCATCTCTGCTGATAGAGCGACTGTCCTGATGCAATGTGAGCTTCTGCAGGATGGGAGTTGGCTTCACTTCCTCTCTGTGTTCCCAGCACCCAAGCATTATGGTTGCATAGAACCTGGAGACACTCAACAAATGGTTGTTAAACCAAATCTTTCTATTTGGATACTATGGATTTTAAAGACCCAGTAAAAAAGAATCTGCTTTATATAGTTCAACAAAGTTGAAAAAAGTCTTAATAAGTCATATAAATCAGAGGTGTTTGCCTTTGCACTTGCAAGACAAAAAAAAAAAAAAAAAAAAAAATACCAGACACCATGGCCTGCCTCAGTCTGGACCCAGATAAAAGCAAGTAGAAAGGATTGCTAGGCAGATCTTGGAGCTTTGGTTTTTTCTGTGGCCTTTTCTTGTTGGGGGAAATGAGCACCTCCCTTCACCCTCACAGCAGGGGCCCAGCCTTCTGCTTTTATATGATCCCCTCTCCCAAGACCAAACAGACAGACATATACATATGAACCTGCAGACACACTCTCCAGCCCTCAATACCCAAAAGGGTCAGATAGTGAGTCATTTGTACTTGTGGCTGATTGGGTGCAGGCATGTTAATTAAACTCATTTGACTAAAGTTATTACCTCCAACTTGGATTTGCACTTATATGTCACTGGACAAAGGAAGGTAGGTCTCCCCTTATTTTAACAGTTCAGGCATCCCTTAGCTGCATGAGACATCACCTCACGACAGATTAGTCCCTGAAGTAGCAGCTCACTCACTCAGCTGGTCAAACTTGCTGTTTGGTAAAACATGGAAAGGAGAGCTTTCCTTGTGGAGGGAGGCTGCGGCCACTCTAGGCCTAGTTCTGCTTGCTGGGAAGAGCGGAGAAGTGGGCTCTTCACATCAACTTGCCCACAGGTGATCCTCCTTCCGATTACACCCTTCCTGGCTGGGCTCAGATGAGCCCCCAACCTCTCCTCTTATTCTCCTACCCCTCCCCTTACAATTATACCATGCCTTGATAGTCTCTCCTCTCTTTCTCAAGACCCCTAGAGTTTCATTGGGTGTCCTATTCTCCTTTTTATCTGTTTAGTGTTTAACTTTTTTATTCTGGTATAAACACATCCTTGAACCACCTCTTCTCATTTGCCATTGATTATGTGGTTTCTGTCAAAGAAATGCACCCCAGACCCCAAGTTCTTCAATAACTAGAGTAATATGACACAGCAGATGCCACTATGCAGACCGTAACTGCCACTGCCTGCCTGGGTCACCAGGGCAGACAAAGCCACCAAGTAAGGTTTTGCAAGTTGTGCACTATGCAAGAGCCCCTGCCCAAGGGGCTAAGTTGGGGCAGAAATCCGGCTTGCACTTCATGTGCCAAGGAGTACATCCTGAGGGATTTCCAAATCTTTTCCAAATTTGTATCAAAGTTGCTTTCTGGATGGGCAGAGGCTCCATAATCTTCCTCCTCCTCAGCCACTTTCCAAATTCTCATTTAGTAGGTGTGAGGTGGGGACTGGGAATATGCAAGTTCGAAGAGTTCCCAGGTGACAGTGATCTTAGCCAGGGCTGGGAATGAGGCCGGACACTGCACATGTTCCCAGTCAGCTGGAATGAAATCTTGATTAGCTGTAATGCTCAGCAAATGGGTGTTCTGGCTGACTGAAGTCAGAGCAGAAAAGAAGACATAAACTTCAGCCTGTTTCTGTAATTTTGGGAAAATGCTTTTATAAAGTATATCACTCCACTACTCTGGAAACACACATACATAAGTATACACAAACACTCATAATTATATTTCATTGACATCTGAAATTTCAGTATAATCATTTTGAAAAGCGAGCCTCATTTTATAGCAGAGAGAGAGAGAGAGTGTGTGTGTGTACCAGAGGTCCAGAGGTGTAGGAGAAGCAGCATAGGACACAGCCTAAATCCTGAATGGTATTTCATTTTCCTCATTCTTCTACTGCAATCTGCCTCTTTTTGATAAAATAGTGTATTGGCTAAAAATGACAATAAATTAAGGTTTTAAATAACCACATACTACAATAAAATGGTACTTTTTTTGGAAATAGGATCTAAAATGTCAAACACAACTTTTATTTTGTTTACTTTTCATAACAGTATATTTTGAGGACTTATTTTATGACTAGGTAAAATAGGACTATCAATTATAATAGAAATAAAAAAGCCTCAGTTCCTTTGAGAGAACAGTCAAATGCTAGATAGTGGGTTGAAGTTATAAGAAATGGTGGATGTGGGTACACAGTAAGACAGCAAGCCATCTTCCTTGGCATCTCACCTTAGGGTGAGACTTCCTCAATTTAGTCATGTCAATTCCTTTGTAAAGAGGAACAAGGCCCTCCTGACTCTTATCTCTGGCTCCAAATCCAACTGATCAGCCTCTCCCCACAGTGTCCACAGTTGACGGAGCACTTAAGGCCATCTTGTTGATTTGATCAGGGGAAGAGCCCTGGCTTCTGTGTCAGATTTCACTGATTTATTCATAAAAGCCTCACTACACACAAGCCTCCTATCCTACATACTTCTGCCCTGTCCAGGGATACTTAATATTTCACCTACAGCAATCTCAGCAACAGGGATGAGAAGAAATAGAATTGCTTGCTTCTCTGGGCTTATGTTTATCTTTTGACCTCAAACCTGGTGTCTTAAATGGAAAGTAAAACCTTCTTTACGTTCAAAAAGGTCCTAACAGGGTACTAACCCTAAACAATTTTATGGGTAAAAAATTATTAGTCTGTCCAGTGCAGACAATGAAATGATGACCTTTGTAAATAATATACAGAAGCTGCTCTTTCTTTAAAAAAAAAAATAAGCCAATTCTTGGTCCAATTGTAGGTGTTTTTTGGAACTTCAGTAATTTTCTTTTCCTCTACATGTGTTTTTGTATACCAAGTGTATTCTGTAATTGTGAGGGATGACCTCACAGCAGGCTTAGATACTGACAGATGCTTACAGACCAACAGCCCACACAGAAGACCCAGAAATGAGACACTGGGGCAACTTAGCTGGTCTAGGAGCAATAATGACTGACAGACCATGAGGCAGAGATGGTAGGCAACAAGCAATAGAGCAGCATGAAGCAGTAGTCTTCCCGTTTAGAGAAGCAGGCCGGCCACAGATGGACAGAGGATTACAAGATTACATTGTGTGACAAAGCCACTGCATTCCCGTAGGAGCTTGATAGGTCTAAGGTCAGATGGGATAATTTGTCTTACCCCATGACCCAGACTGTGGAATGCAACTAACACATTTTCCGGCTGGCTTCAGGCCAAATCCTATCTCTTGCTCTTCTCATGTATACTAGAGTGTGCCTTTCACAGGATAGTTCTAAATCATCAAAGCAGGTGGACACTTGAGCAGTGACTGGTGTGTTCAGGAACACCTCACATTCTTTCTATCTTTATAAGACAGAAGTAGATTTGGTGGAGTGTTGTATAAAACAAATGATGTGGTCTCTCTGTTAGAAAATTCTGAATTTGCCAGAAGGTTAAAAATGTTATTTTGCTTCACCGTGGTCATTGAGAAATTAGTATCGATCTCTCCATTTGAGAACTTCAAGAACCCTAGTGAAGTCACAAAATCTGGTTCAATCCCTAGTTGATGCAGTTTTAACATTTGGGGATGAAGAGCCAAGCTGAAACATTGGAAGGCAGAATTTCCTATTGTGAAGTCAAGTTATCTCAGGTTTTGCAAGTCAAGATGGAACTACAGGGTTGGGGAGGCCTCGTGTCTGTGGGTAGCTCCTATTGGTAGAAAATAAAGTCCATTGCACCAGCCTTAGCCTGTTTCCCAAGGTAGCTCTCAGACACTAGAAATCAAGCACATGACAGTTCATCTCAGTTTACTCCTTTAGAAACCAAAGAAGCTCTCAACATTTTCCAAGGGGCTGAGAGACACTACTGAAGAGGTTGCTGGTGACATCCCATGTTTATGAATCTGAAGACTTCATATTGTTAAGTGGACAGTATTCCCCAAATTGATCTATAGATTCAATCTCCATTAAATTTCCACCTTGCTTCTTTGTGGAAATTAACATATTGATGTTACCATTCACATGGAAATTCAAGGACCCAGAATAGTCAAAACAATCCTGAAAAAGAAAAACCAATTTAAAAGGATTTCAATTTCTCAGTTTTAATGCTTCCTCCTAAGCTACAATAATCAAAACTGTATGGTGCTGGCATAAGGAGAGATATATAGACAAATGAAATGAAATACGGAGTCCAGAAATAAATCCTCTCACATTTATGGAATGCTGAATTTTAAAAAGGGTATCAAGACAATTCAGTGGGGGAAAGAATAGCCTTTTCACAAATAGTGCTGGGACAACTGGATAGCCACACGCAAAAGAATTAAGTTGGACCCCTACCTCATATTGTATGTAAAAATTACCTCAGAATGGATCAAATATCTAAATACAGAAGCTAAAACTATAAAATTTTTAGGAGAAACATGGACATAAATCTTGTGACCTTGGATCAGGCAATGTTTTTTTACATTTAACACCAAAAGCACAAGCAATGAAATAAAAAAGATAAACTAGACTTCATCAAAATAAAAACTTTTCTGCTGCAAAAGTCATCATCAAGAAAGGAAAAAATAACTCAAAGAATGGAATAAAATATTTGTAAATTATATATCTGATAAGGACATATATCTAAAAAATATAAAGATTATAACGCCATAGTAAAAAGAAAATCCAGTTAAAAAATTAACAAAGAGTCTGAGCAGGGATTTATATAAAGAAGATAATAGAGATGACCAATAAATGCACAGAAAGATGTTCAATATCATCAGCCATCATGGAAATGGAAAGCAAAACCACAATGAGATACCACTGAACACTGACTAGGATGGCTAGAATCAAAAAGTCAGATAATAACTAGTGTTGGTGAGGAAATGAAAAAAATGGAACCCTCGTACATTACTGGTAGGAATGTAAAGTAGTCCTAGAAGAAGAACAATGTTTTTGCTCATGATACTTGGAAGGTGGCACTAAATATCTTAGCAAGTCTGTATACCATGAGCAGAAACTTCTTCTTTCAGTATCACTTTTAGCTTGATAAACTTCCTGGCTGAAACGGTGAAGCTATATAAATAAGGAGAAACTCCCACCCTGTGGTTACAGAATTTGTACTCAGTCATATTATGAATTTGTCATGACCAGAACATTATCGTAAAAAAAGAAAGTTTTAAAACTTTTACTTCCAGCAATGAACATTTTAATATTTGCATATTAACCATACAATAATATGCATATGCATATTCACCATATTAATATCTGTATTTTTTTGCCTCACTAAGGTGACCCTTGTCATATTTTTAGGGTTTATTTCAATCATTCTTTCTTCAGTGCTCAAAATATACCACAGTGGTCTTGCTGAACTCTTCAAAGCAATTCACATTTTCCCCATCTTGCTGGCCTGAATTTTGACAGCTGGACCTTACTTGTAGCTCAAGAGAACTGCCCCTACACAAATCAACAAAAAATCAGTCCTGGATTATAGATTAAAGGTTTCAGTTTACTGGAAACCTTATCGAATTTTCATTTTTTTTGAAAAGTTGACTGGTGTGTGTTTCTGTGAAGTGATAAGGAACAGCACTAGGTGTTAAATTGGCGGGTTTCACCTTTCAATTAGCGGTCCTTGGCTCTCACCTGACCATCCGGGGAGGCAGCGGCAATGGCCCGTGGTAGGGTGGCAGCCATCTGCGTGGCTGCAGTCGCAGCGCTCAGCACAGTTCAGCCCGTACGTGCCATCCTGCATGGAAAACAGCATCAAAGGCAGCAATGAGGGCCTGGGAAATCCCACAACAGAAGAGGAAAAGGCCACTGTCAGCCATTTCACATACAGTACCCTGCTGTCCCAAACGCTTCTTACAGGGATGTATCTTTATTTATTTTTTTCTTTTTTTTTGAGATGGAGTCTCGCTCTGTTGCCCAGACTGGAGTGCAGTGGTGTGATTTCAGCTCAGCGCAACCTCGGCCTCCCGGGTTGAAGGAATTCTCAGCCTCCCGAGTAGCTGGGACTATAGGCACCTGCCACCTTGCCAGGCTAATTTTTGTATTTTTAGTAGAGACAGGGTTTCACCTTGTTGGTCAGGCTGGTCTCGAACTCCTGACCTCAGGTGATCCACTCGCCTCAGCCTCCCAAAGTGTTTGGATTACAGGCGTGAGCCACCGCACCCAGCCAGAGGGATGCATCTTAATCACCTCTTTCTATGTCTTCTTAGTCCCCAAAATATAGGCTCCAGGAAGTCAGTGTTTTAAAGTCACTCAAACCCTAGTTTATGCCTGACACAACGGTTGGGACATATAAATAGTGAAGCCAATCATGCCAACACACTTTAAAAATTTTTTAAATTATAAAATTATAGTTTTAAAACTATAATTTTAGAGCTTTTTTGTGTGGGTCAGGGTCATTTTTTTTTTTTTTTTTTTTGAGACGGAGTCTCACTCTTTCACCCAGGCCGGACGGCAGTGGCGCTATCTCGGCTCACTGCAAGCTCTGCCTCCCGGGTTCACACCATTCTCCTGCCTATTTATATTTTATAAAATATAAAAAAATTTATAATTTAAAAAAATTTTAAATTATAAACTAATCTTAAAAATTATAGTTTTAATTGAATTAAGTTCATTGCCATAAGTTGCCAACGAGATACATGGTACTATAAAGAAAAATGAAGATATTTTGTTACTTTTCTCTGATTATTATCCTGCTTTTCAGGAAGAAGTCTAAGCCACACAAAATATCCTGACTCACAGTCCTAAGTATGAGTTGACACACCTCCTTGCTCCTCCCCTTCCAGATCTTTTATACTTTCATGTGCACGTCAGTTTGGATGGTCTGATGGAGACAAGACTCCTCATAGACATGATTGTTTTGTTTATGGAGAAAGAATGGAAAGTTCAGCTCTTTCACCACAGATCCTGGGAAATGAGGGAGGCACTACAAGCCTTCCCAACACCACCCAAGAACTAAGAGAAACAGGGGTACAGAATTACCACAGAGGAGGAACATGGGAACCAGCATAGACAGGTAGTGGGTGCTAGATGAATAATTATTTGTCTAGAACTTGTTAAAATAAGAAAAAGAAAACAATCATTTTGTAGACCCCACCAATGTTTGATACAGCTACACAGGATTTAGTTTTGTCATGATATGAACCACTAAACCCTCAGCCTTCACTGATTTACTAACTCCTCTAAGGTATGAAAAAGGACGAGATTGTGCCAGGGGCTTTGCTTTGTCTACAATCAGATAGGGAGTAAAAAGTGATCTTCAAGCTCATCTCCAAGTACTGATAATTTGTTCACTAGAGTGATGAGAGGCAGCAAAGCTGACAGCTCTGTCCATGGGATATCCATGAGTGGGATCCTTTCTATTTTGGGAAGTGGGTTGTACTTAATGAGGAGGAAGCCCAGAGAGACAAGAGCATTGTGGAAGGCCCTTCTCGAGGGGCCCAGTTCAGGGGGTCACATTGTTAACTCGCCATCAGATGATGTCCTGGAGGCAGAGAACACACACCACAGAGAGAATGCCTAATGGCTCAGGAGAAAATAATTGCTATAGAAAGAAAGAGTGATGGAAAAGAAATCAGCAGCTTACTCCAGAATGCACTTCCCGTTTGCACTCCCTGACAGCTTGAGGTAGATGCAGTATGAGATTTCTAATGACCTGTATCTCCAAAGTAGGTCAAGGGAATAGAGTGAGCTATAGGGACATCTTAAGAAATTTTTGTGGCTCCAGAGATACTTATGTTAAAAGACATTGTTTCCAAACCTTCTTTCAACACTTCCATGAGCATTTCTATGACATCAGTCACCACCCTCCTTTCAACTCCCTGCCACTTTCTACCATAAAGGCAGGGAGATTTCCATGATAGTGGAAACAAAATATTTGGAGACCAGTACTGTTCACTGGCTGCCACCAAGAGATGGGTGAATAAGAAACAGAAAGTAAAGGGTGGGGGTTGAGGAAACTGAACAAGATGAAGGAAAAGAAGGAAGAAATTCTCGCAGAGCCTATCTAACCAGTTTCCATGTCTATCTCTTTTCCAATCCTACGTCCAATTTGAATCCAAATACCTGGATTCTTCCAGTAGTTACCGAAGTTGGGTTCACAGTGAGCCACTTGAAGTCAGGAAAAATGCAAAAAGAAGCCAACTTTACAACATCAGTTCCTCATAGGCGTTTTCCGTCAGGGCGCTGATTTGTGCATACCTGGCAGGGAAGTTCGCATTTCTCCCCGCGCCATCCAGGTGCACACGTGCAGGTCCCGTCCAGGGTGTTGCAGGCTCCCCCGTTGAGGCACTGGCATGTTAAGTTACAGCCAAAGCCCCATGTGCCACTGGGACATCTGATGGAGCAGTCCACCCCGTGCCAGCCTGTGCGACAAGAACGCCAGAGCACGTGAGCGAACAAAGGCAGCAGAGAGCCTTGTTGAGCCTTTCCAAACCACGTTTCTCTTTAGAAACGCCTTGGAGATGCAAGCCCCAGCCACAGCAGCAGAGAACACTGGTTCTGCCAAGTTAGGCCTCCATCAGAAATGAACAGAAGGCACCCCTGACGACCCAAACAGCCATGTGTGTTGTGTGATCTGTCGAGGATGCCAGCACTGCATACTAGTGGGCTACTGAAAAAGAGATATAGAGTCAAAGCACCTTTAATGGGCAGTGATGCACACTGTGGAATGCTGAGTTTTGTTCAGATCAGGAAAGTGAAATATTTATATGGAAGGGAGACAAAGGATTCTGCTTGAAAACACAACACCATCTTTAAAGCAGGACCCCATTAACCAGCAACTGTGTATATCCAGGATCCTGGCTGCACCTATGGATGGACACGTTCTAGTGCTCATATAAAATTGGTGCTTGGCTGCGTTTCTTGTCATGATTCCAAGCCAGTCAATTTAGGGGCATGAACACATGTCTGCTTGTTTACTCTTCCCAAAAGTGCACAGACACAGAGACTTTTGGAGCTGGCAGTGACTTCAGAGATCATCTAATGTGAGCCTCTTCCCTTCACTCAGGAAAGCGTTCCAGCCCATACTGGATGAGGGGCTTGCGGAGGTCAGACACTGAATTTTGGTGCAACTGGAGCTAGAACCCTGGTTAAGGTTTTTCTTTTTTGTGTCTTTAGGAGATAACGTGACCAGGATCAAATTAAAGACTTATTTACCCATTCTTACCTGCCTTGCAAGTACAAGACCCGTCCACAGGAGAGCAGACTGCATCATTTTTACAGCCACAGCGAGAGGAACAGTTTATCCCATAGGTTCCCAGAGGGCATGGGGTAGAGCAGTCAATTCCCTAGACAGGCACAAGTAGCAAAATGCATTCAATTTTGCCAACTGAAATAAGGCCAACACAAATAAACAAAAATATATCTTGGCAATGCTAATTATACTTCCTCTCTAATTTTAACACACTGTATTTTTAAAATTTTGTCATAATGTCACCACTATACAAATTTTAGAAATTTAAGGGCAACACTAGCTGGTCTATGTTTAGGATATATTATTAAATGGGATCCAAAAAAGCTTGCACCTACATTAGCTTTGCCTTCATAGCAGAACTAAAACAAAACAACAATAAAAACCCTTTTTCATTGCTCAGACAAGTAGATATATAAAAATAAATTGTATCTGTAAAATTACTCTCAATAAATAAACATCAATATAAACTATACATTAGATCTCAACCCTTCCTAGATATCCTTGTATGATATGTAATATTTTTAGTAGGTAAAGCAAAGCAACAACAGAACACATTCAGCAACATGATTCACTTTATCCGACAGGGAGCATTAAAGGCAGAATTAAGCTACCAAAGGCAACTGGAGGTCATCTCCTTTCAAAACAGAAGGGACTCTTAAGACAAAGCTAATTCAAGGGCTGAACCAAAGGGTTATGACATAGGTTAGAAAACCCTTTAAAGATCCTCTCAGCTCTGTGACCTTATGATCCACCAGTTCTACATTATGTGCTCTGGAATAATCATCAACATTCTTCATAGTTCAATGTGCTCTTTAAAATGGGAAGGAATAATTCAAGAACAACACATTCTCCTTTAAAGCAAAGATTCCTAGCCTATCACTATGAAATCTTAGAAACTGTAAGCAAAATTCTGCTCTATTATGCATGGAATATAGACATATTTATAGGGTCTGGATTTTCAAAGGGACCTAAAAACTTATGTACTACCAACTACAGAATGTAAATACATTACAAATGCTAACTCGATGTGTCTTCAAATTTTGTGGAATTAAAAACAAAAGCTGTCAACAATAATAATCTACTTGGAAAAGTAACTTCTTTGTCACCTATAAAACACAATAAAATAAATTACTTAAGGAATAATTATAATATGCTTTCTGACATGTGTTTATATTAAAAATTAATGCCACATTTATAGTTTTACCAGTTTTCGCAGTCATTATTCTAAGGTAATTCCTTATATCTCTATTAGCATTTTTCCCCTCATTTTCTCTCTCTCTTTAATGATGTGGATGACTTTAGCACATTCACTGTATTTCACTGGAGGTCATATAAATCATGGTATTGAGATGCTTCACACTGCACCCCTCTTCTCCTTCCTCCAGAGCCCTAGTCACTCACTTTGAATCCTGGGGCACAGGTGCACTTTCCAGTCACACTGTCACAGTCTGCCCCATTTTGGCAGCTGCAGATCTGCTGGCAAGCTTCCCCGTAGAATCCAGGAGAACATGTCTCATTACAGTAGAGTCCTGACCAGCCCGGCTTGCAGGCACACTCTCCAGACATGGGGTGACAGCTGAGAGACATGGATGAAAGGAATAAGTCACTTTGGGGTAAACATGACACCCAACTTCTGTGCAAATGTTGCTTTAGCAATGATCACTAAATGTGTGGGTAATTCCATGCAGAATAATTCAAACTTCATTCCCAGGCTTGGTATGATTTAATTAATTGGCTGAAACCTGATGGGTACTACAGGAATGTTGTATGAAATCAGCATCATCAGCATCATCTCTAGCAGGATGTATTACAACCACATCCTTTTGTCTGAAATTCTTTTTAATTCTCTTAAATTGAATGCACTAATTTTGTAAGAGGTCAACTCTATGAGAGGAGCTAAAAAAACTCCATCCAATGGACAATACCAAACCAGTTAACTAGTATGATGTCCCAGGAACACCAAAAGCAGTGACCTTGTCAGCCTGTTTCTCCTCTCAGTTCCCTATACCTGGTAGCTGGCAGCTGTCTCCACCTGAAACAGCAGCCGCATTGACCCACCAGGCAACCAGCTGTTGCTCCATAGCAAATGGACATATCAGCTGCGCTGAGATGCACGCGTAAGTGAGTTGACACAATAGGGCCCTCTGTGGCATGCTGGCTCAAAACACATGTGCTTCTCACCACTAGAAAATCTTAACAATCAAACTAGTTCTCCTGACAAGAGGAAGACTGTTTAAAGATGGTCTTCCTTGCCTGATGGAGCTAAAACCCTCCCTTAACTAGGGCCAAAAACAAACACCTGTGTCATATCCATACATTTGCTAAGTGACCTCCCATCAGAGGACTGTTCATAGATTTTCTACTCTTGGAAAGAATGACAACCTGGGAGGGATGAAGACTGAGGATGTAATCCCAGTTCTCCCACTACCTAAGTAGCCTCAGTGAAATACAGCTTCCTTGGGCCTGATGTCCTAGTCTGCCAAGTGAGGGTCTCAGCCACGCCCCATAATCTTATATCCTATATTCCTCCTCCTCCTTGTTCAGAAAATTCCTGTGGGTTGAACAGTTTGGTGCTCATTTTTGGAATTTTATTTAAATATACTTTTAGAACCCTGCTGCACCTTAGTGTTCACAGGCAAGGGCCTAGAAATTCATCAAACACTCAGAAAACATGGCATGAAGAATACCTAAGTACAGCTCTACATATAAGGTGGTTTCTTGAGTGTAGGTTTAGATTCACAGGACCAGAGCGTGAGTCTCAGATCTACTTAGAACTACTCAAGTCTGCTTATCTTCTATTATCCTTGGGCCAATTTCTTATCCTTGAGCAGTCACATGGCATCTCCACGGCATCTCAAACTTAACATGTCAAAAACTGAGCCCTTGGGCCAGGCATGGTGGCTCAAACTTGTAATCCCAGCACTTTGGGAGGCTGAGGCGGGCGGATCACGAGGTCAGGAGATCTAGACCATCCTGGCTAACACGGTGAAACCTCGTCTCTACTAAAAAACACAAAAAATTAGCGGGGCGTGGTGGTGGGCATCTGTAGTCCCAGCTACTCAGGAGGCTGAGGCAGGAGAATGGTGTGAACCTGGGAGGTGGAGCTTGCAGTGAGCCAAGATCACGCCACTGCACTCCAGCCTGGGGACAGAGCGAGACTCCGTCTCAAAAACAAAACCAAAAACAAAAACAAAAACAAAAACTGAGCCCTTGTTCTTTCCCTCAGTATCTACCCCTAATTGTCCAAATTTCCATAAATAGCACCATCAGTCACTTAGTTTATCTAGAAGTTATTCTTTTTTTTTTTTTTTTTTTTTGAGATGGAGTCTTTCTCTGTCGCCCAGGCTGGAGTGCAGTGGCACGATCTCAGCTCACTACAATCTCCACCATTCAAGTGATTCTTCTGCCTCAGCCTCCCGAGTAGCTGGGATTACAGGCGTGTGCCCCATGCCCAGCTAATTTTTGTATTTTTAGTAGAGATGGAATTTCACCATTTTGGCCAGGCTGATCTTGAACTCCTGACCTCAAGTGATCTGCCCGTCTCAGCCTCCCAAAGTGCTGGGATTATAAGCGTGAGCCACCATGCCTGGCCTAGGAGTTATTCTTGATAACTTCTTCTGCCTCATCACTAGAATTTAACCATTCTAACTCCAAAATATATTTTGAATCCACCCACATCCCTTTATCTTTACTGTCCTCATTCTGCTCCAGCCAATGCCATCTATCTCCTCACCTCCTGAACAGCCTTCCAACTGTGCTGCCCATCTCCACTCATGCCTTATCACCTAAAGAGTAAATCATATCATTCTCCTTCTTAAAACTCTGCAAAGGCTCCCCACTACCCTTAGAAAAAAATCCAGACTGTTTAATATAGCTACAGTGACTATACAATTTATTGTCTAAACCAGGGCATTTTTAAGAGTGAAGAGAGAGCTGCTAATAATTATACTAGGACAACAGGCCTAAACCAGACTATCCTTGTGAAACCTGATATACAATCACCCTAAATACAGCCCGTGGGGCCTCATCATCTGGCCACTGCCTACTCCTCAACCTCTTCTTTCATCATTATTCTCTCTTTATTGCTATGCTTGACCACATTGGATTTCTCCTAGTTTGTAAAAGCATCATTTTTTTTTTTCAATTTAGGGGCGTCCACATGGGCTATTCCATGTTCTTAGGATGCAGTTTCCTTACTCTCTGCCTATCTCTCTCCAGTTTGTCTTTCCAGTCTCAGCTTAAACATCCCTTCCTCAAAGAAACCTTCCCTGTCCACCCAAATTGAAGGTAGGTCTCTCCACTTACACTCTTCCTTACCACCCTGATCCTTCTTCCCATCTCACTTTTCACAATCTATAATTCTGTTTATTTTTCCAGTCCTTTAATGTCTTCTTTCTCTTCTACACTGTGAGTTCCAGGAGGGCCAGAATTAAATCTGTTTTGCCACCTTTCACGGGCACATGGTAGGCCCACAGTAAATGCAGATTGAATGAATAAGTGAAAATGCCACAGGTGATACACAGCGGATGTGACTCCAGGGATCTAGCTTTCCCACATTAATCTGCTTCTCCCTGACATCTCAGAGTCACTGAACAATGTTAAATTATCCTCAGTATATATGTATACAAAGGGGAAGATTTCCTCTAAAATTCGTTTTTAAAATGTCAAAGTCTTGGCTTAAAGGAAATAGCCATTAATCACAGAGAACAACTCATGAATGTCACCATGTTTGTGATGATATTGTAAGTGAACGCACAGACCAGGAGTCAGCATTTACTGGGCACTGAGTAAGTCTCAGCAATGTGCTGAGCACCATTTAGTTCAATCCTCACAGCCATCCTAGATGGTATGATCCCATTTTATAAATGAGAAAATAGAGGCCTAGAAAGGGTAAATTATTTATTCAAAGTCTCACACAGGTAGTGAGGCAGAATCAAACTTGAACCCAGGTTTGCTTTTATACCAAAGAAAAGGGAGGTTTGCTAACAGCCTGCTGAGGGGACCAGACATGAAGGACAATTGCTAAGATTTAGAATTTGGCACATATAAAGGGGTCAACAGGATCAGTAAAAACAAATATTGTACAAAAAACGGGAAATTTTTAAGTTTACTTCAGTAAGTCCTTACATTTGATAAAGGGAAAAGAAATATTTCAAGTGATAGATTGGTTTAAGTAGCCTACCTTATCTTAACATATTGTAAAACAAATGATATTTTTGGTAGAAAATATTACTTTACATTGAAAAGTAGAAAACAGTATTCATGGTGTAGACATAATGTTAAAGAAAATAGACAATTTGGATGACAATGAATTCAACAAAGCAAGAGGCAGGCTGAGAAATTGATATTCAATGCCCCCCAGTGAGTGTTAGTGCAGCACACTGGTTTTCAGACTGATTGACACCAAAATTAGTATTCTGCAATTTATAATTAGATGTAGGAAGCTAGAGCACTTTGGAGGCATTTGATGGGTTCTCATGCAGGCAGCTTAATTGGTAATGAGATTTACATGTTGTTGTAGAAGCAGCAGTTTGGAGGTTGAAGGGTGATATACTCATTACCTGTTTTCTGTCTAAAGAACAGATTGCTTTGTGTATATGAAAATAGGATTATACACATATGGGAATAGTTGTCATTTTATAAACACATATAACTATATACATATATTCCAGGAAACTGTTTAATAGTTGAATTACAACAAAAGTCCAATACTATATAATATTGGCTGAAACAGAGTCATTGAACTTCTTTTTATTCATTTCCTTAGATGTTATTAATGATCAAATATAATGACAATTACATGACATTTGCAAATAGGCACATCCGGATTGTCCATGGCTATTAAATGTCTTTATTACCAAAAGCAGTTAATCTATCTCTCTATATTGCATGTGGAATATTATTAAATCTCAAATTTTATTTTCTTGTTCAAAATCATTTCCACCATAACAGTTAGTTTTCAGTTGAAAAGTCCAGGTCACAGTGAATATCTTTAGGCTCAATAATACTGCTAAAGTTTGAAATACTAATATTACTTATAAATATATTTAAATTCATTTCAGCTCCATGATAGATTGCAAAATAAAAATGTCTACAAATTCTTTGCAACACCTCCCATCGAGAGGTGGGGTATGTTGAATCTGGACTTGGTTAGATGACTTGTCTTATCTAAAGGGGTATTAGCGAACATGACATAACCAAAGGCTTAAAAAGTGTATGTTGGGGGTCTGTACTGTCTTCTGTTTTAGAAACCAGTCACCATGTGAAAAAGCCCAGGCTAGCCTGCTAGATACTGGAGATGTGTGGCTCAGTCAGCCCCATCACCCAGCCAAATGCCAGACATGTGAGTGAGGATATCCAGGACCAATTAGCCTCCAGTTGATCTGCCAGCTGAACACAAGGAGACCAGCAGAAGAACCACCAAGTTGAGCCTAGCCCACATAGTCAAGCAAAAAATCATCAGTTAGTAAATAATTGTTATTTTACGTCATTGGGTTTGGAGTAGTTTTTTTGTTTGTTTGTTTGTTTGTTTTTTAATGCTGCAAAAGCTACCTGATACAAACCCTTACCCAACTATATGGCTAAAATATATGTCAATGTGTATATCCATAGAACTCAATATGTACCTAAAGACAATGTACATTATTAATTTACACTGTATTTGTTATCTCATTAATTATAATGGAAGGCTTTAGTATATCATAAATTATGTAACAGCAAGGCTCCACTTGCTTGATAAATGCTAATGTGAACAAACTAGACTTTCAATTAATACAAGGATTCTATGCCTTTTGGTTTGAAGGGACCTTGGGCTTCCAGGAGTTTTACACATAGAAGTTTAAGATATAAGAACTAGATAGATGGCTCCAATGATTAATTCAACAAGATAGAGTCATATAATCAACATTAAACTTGTTTTAATAGAAATTCGTAAAAGCTAATCTTTAAAAATACCTTTCATGATTTACAAAATCATGAAAAGACTGATTTTTTAAAATATTCGGATTATTTGGTATACAATATTAGACAGATTTTAGTGTTATTGATCTATGTAATTGTCAAAAAATGTCATGTACTTCTTTGTTAACACATATATGCTTAGGTACATATGACCTATGTCAAAATTACCACAGTATTGCCATCAATTAACTAATTCTCCACTTTGCACCTTGCCACTACTAATATGGTATCCAATTCCAACAAAACCAACATGCTCTCTGCTTCTCCAATTCTTCTCATAGCAGAGCTCTTCCTTTGCATAGATTTATTATTCCATTTGATTTCAGTTGTCTCTATGTACAACGGAACAGCACACTGGTGTAATGTTCTTAGTTGTCACTACATGAGGCTTACTTTTTGCTGCAATAAGACTTATACTGTAGGAAAGGGACCCAAATTCATGACTTGTCCCTAATCCTGCCAGCTCCTTAAATATTAGAGAGTTGAAAAATAAAACCCTGTGGAGATTATTCATTTTTATTCCCCCAAATATTTACGTAAACTTGTCAAGTAAAGAAAGGCAATATTTTCCAACGAAGAAAACCAAAGTTGACTAATATGGCTTACAAAGTTACTTGAATCATATTGAGAATACACTTCTTTCATATGTCCCACTAAAATGTATTACAGCACACATATGCGCGCACACACACACACACACACAGAGTGCAAACTCTATATTTTTGTTACTAACAATGGTTTAAAGAAGAGACCAACCACACGCTTTTGTTTACTTTTAAATTCTATGCATTTGGGATTTGATGTGGCTATGAGTTATCTTTCAGAAGTATAAATGAAGTAACAGCTGTGCTGAATGCAAATAAAGTAATTCTAGTAAGATCTGAACTGCTATATAACGCACTACATTTTTGTCAAACTCAGCTTTTCCAGCAGTCTGCAAAGGAGGCCCAGAATTCTAAGTTATGTGTATCTGGTCCCTGGGGGAGGGAAAGAAGAAACAGGGGTAAGAAGACATTTTCAGGGCAGACAAGGTACAGTAGGGTGGGTAGGATCGTGGTTTCCTGTTCTCAAATTCTTGGAGAGGTTTTTGAGCTAAAAGTCCCTTGTGAGTTCTATGTCAGAGTAATCAATTCGAAAAAGATATTTCACATGTGACAGCCACATGTGAAACACTTTCACAAAACTTCCACCAGTTCACTTCCTCTCTCTAGCCTTTTTTTTTCTTCCACAGATGTGCTGTCGAATAAAAGATGCTGCAGTAAGAATCACTTTTTGATATTTTTGCATACTAAATTTGGCTAAACTCCTTGTCTCTCATTGCATCTTTGCTTCTAAGGGAATGTCACAGAATCCCTTGCTTAAGGGAAAGTTCTACTAACCTCAGCAAATTTTGTTTTTATCAGTGGTCATTAATAGAGAATAGAATTTGCTATCCACCAGTAACCATTGAACAATTTTAGCACCTCAAATGTAGACCATCACACATTAAGTTAAAATGTCTTCCTTTTACTCGGCGATTCCTGCCCAGAGTAGCCTAGAGGCAGGAGGGGGCTTGGGGTGAGAATCACTCTATCAATCCCTCCTTCCAAATCCTGAAAACCAAGGTTAAAACTTTCACAGGACACGTCCTTCCAGGGGAAGCTGACACTCACCTATGAGTGTTTTCCAGGTGGCAGGGACACCGTTTGTCACATTTGATGCCGTAGAGCCCCTCAGGACACAGGCGTGCTTCGCAGCGCTCGCCAGCAAAGCCTGCTTCACAGAGGCATGCGCCGCTCACGTGGTAACACTTCCCTCCGTTGACACACTGGCAGGTCTCAGCACAGAGAACGCCATAGGTCCCAACAGGACACTCATCCTGGCACCTACCAAGCAAGAGGCAGGAGCAAGAAGAAAGATTAGTTAGTGCCATGTGAAAATAAACAGTTAATTTGGAATGGCTTTGTTATGCATAAATCGAAGCTGCTTTTTGCTCTTGCAATTATTTAGTGATTGTCCCATTACACGGATGAAAAGCGTTAAGATACATTACTCTGGCTACATATTGTAGTAACAGCAGCATGACCTGTAGAAAACAAAAACAAAACAAATAACAACAGCAACAAAATGAAACCAAAACAAAAATAGGAGCTTAGGACATGAGGCATGTTTACACTTAGTGCTTGCCAAAGTTACATAGCACTTTAGTAGATACTAAGAAAATGGGAAAAAAATTTTCAAATGTTAGTCCATAATTATGAAATTTCAAAACATACTTTCCCAATTCCAAAGAGAAAACTCTGTGTCAAATTTGAAACTAAATTTTAATTCTCTTGGCTTTTATGTGGACATTAATTTTTAATCTTAGCCACGTTTTTACTCTTACTTAAAGCTGAATGGTAATCATTCCTCCTCAGTTAGAAAGTTCTTTAACTAATAAGCCAAGTCCTCTTTAGATCTGGGAAACTCTGAGCTACCAAAATCAGACGTCCTCGATTCCAACATGGGAAGTGCCTGCCAGTAGGAAGGCTTGGAGTTTTCTAACACGAAATGTTTGGCTAGTGGGGTATTGCCCTCTGTTGGGAAGAAGGGCTGCCAAATGGCAAGGAGTAAAGATCAGCCCTCAAAAATTCACTTCATTATCTTTTTAAAAGTGGCATTGGAGCTCTGTCCAAGAGAAAGGATATGCTCTAGGTAAGACGAATGAGGTGGGAGCTGAGTTGCTAGAGGGAATCGAGATAGAAAAGAGAAAATGATCGCTCATTGCTCCATGGAAAGCACAAATAGTTCTTAGACTAGCCAAGTTTCTTTTTGACTAGGCCAGGTGACTGGCTCTCTGCAGCAGAAGGGGAGCTTTCTGCCAAGGGAAGGAGACAGGGCTTTGCCCAGCCGAGCACTTGCCGCAAGAAGGGTACACTTTGTCTCGGCAGCCACTTCCCATGTGGCTCTCAAGTCAGGCCAGAACCAGAGTCAGAAATGTAGGTCAGCCTTGCATTTTTTAGATCTGTATCATGTGAGCAGTAAGGCATAATAACAAATTCAAGCACACTTAAAAGAAGCAGAAAAGAAACATACTTCAAAGAAATAGTGTTTCCACAAAACTTTGCATATTTTTAATGATAGGGTGCAACAAGTAACAATACCAGGGTGGGAGGAATTCTATTTTAGTGTAGAGGACAAATCTTGATACTTTTTTTTGAGACAGGGTCTGCCTCTATCACCCAGACTGGAGTGCAGTGGTGCCATCATAGCTCACTGTAACCTCGAACTCCTGGGCTCAATTGACCCTCCCACCTCTGCCGCCTGAGTAGCTAGGACCACAGGCACTCGCCACCATGTCAGGCTAATTTTTAAATTTTTTGTAAAGATGAGGTCTTGCTATGTTACCCAGGCTGGTTTCAAACTCCTAGACTCAAGTGATGCTCCCGCCTCAGCCTCCCAAAATGTTGGGATTATAGGAATGAGCCACTTGGACCAGCCCTTTCGATGCTTTTCTGGTTACCTCTGGCTCTAGCATATATTTAATGTGATGGAGACAAGGAAAAGAATCTCATGTAAATTTAGTTTCACAGATTCTAGACATCTTCAGGTGTATTTGTTAACAGGTAAAACCTTCAACTGCTCAACAAACCATTAGAAAAGTTATGGAGTAATTGACCTAATACTCAGCATAAAATAAAACGTGTGCCTAAAAGTTATACATGGGTACACCTATTTTTGGACCAGAGTGTATTTTTAAAAGGTGCTCTTTATTTTTAACCTCTAAGAAGCTTCAATAAGCTAAGTCATTTAGTTTCTTCCTTAAAGATGTAAACTTTAAGGAAATAAATGCTTAAGTACAATAATGTGGTCTCATTATGGCTCCTACTGAAGGCTGTCAGGACAACTTTTCAACCTGTCTGTTAGATTTTCTTGCAAGTCAGTTCCAAAAGGAAAAAGGTAAAGATAAATAATATCATTTTCTGTCTCCTAAAAGGATTTGAAAACAAACCCAAATGTTAAGTTTTAAACTATCTTCATTATTTCAACTTGGTAAAAAGCACAGCTTTAAAAGTGGTTGAAAGTAGTATAGATCGGAAGCCTGGGAAATTATCTGTTACCAAATTACAGGGAACCAGTGTGTATATTTTATCATATCTTGGCAGAGACTTCCTTTCTCAGGAAAAATAAAATCTATAATAGCTGGCCTTGACCCACATTTACCTTTCTAACCTACAATTAAACACACTACTAGTTTGCATTATAAATATAAAACAAAAAGTCCTATTTGAATGTTACTTACTAAAGCAGCCATTATTTAAGCTGGATTCATATTCCCATTTTATGTTTTGTCAATGTTGCACTTGTAGGACAATCCTGTTAATAATAGTTATGTCTACTTCTATCTGCCAAAGGAAAATGGTAGGATATCTTTCTAGAAGTATATATTCTCCATCTTGAAAATAAACATAATCATGAAATAGCTGATGCCTGTCTGATTGGCTGCATTAAAAGTCTTTATCAAGCAGTTTTATCTCCTTCTTGGTCTCTTTATCTTCAAGAAGCACCATTTCCCAACAAATTTTATGCCCTTAATGCTGCTTCTGCGGTTCCAAATGGAACAGAAGCTCTCAAAAATCAGTGAAATAGGAAATGCATTTTCTTAGGACAGATAGCAGAAAAGTAATAAAGATATAGCAATAAATATCAGCCACAGTAGACATATGGAAATTTGGGGTTTCCAATTTTTTTACATTTCAAGTAATGTCCTGGAATTGGTAAGAATGGATAAGCATTAAGTAGAGATAAAGTATTAACACATCAATTCCCAAAACCAGTGAGGGTCATAGACTGGTTTTAATATTGTTTCTATTATTATGTTGTATGTCATTGTGAACTTAAGGAAAAAAGTAAGTGAGTTAACGTGTAAGGGGTGACAGGTACCGCTTTCACCCCTGACCTTCTGTGCATGTCCTTCCCTAGAGTGATTTGAATAGTTAGGCCAAACCATGATTTAGTGTGAAAGAATCACATTCTTCATTAAACCTGGAATCTACGAATCAGCTGCCTACCTTTCTAACATCCGGAACTGCTGCTCTGGGGGAAATGTAAAAAGCACTGGGAAAGAGCCAACATCTCCACGCTCCTAGACACAGGAAAGAGCTCCTCCATTGACGACCAATGCTGCATTCCCCCAATTCCTGTCTATAATTTTTGACTTCACCTCCTTTCACCCACATTTATCTTCACCTTTAGGGTACTATGGAACACAGACTTGGCAGAGCTGTTTTGGACTTCACCTTAACAGAGTTCATCACTGAGTCATGCATCCCTTCATCCAGCTAATACTCACTGAGCACCAATCATGTGCATGGGCCCCTAATAGGCTGTCGCAGGGCCCAGAGTGATCCTACGGCAGCACTATCGGCATTCGAAACTCTTTTAACCCCTTCAGAAGGTGTTTTTTAAGGATCTGGAAACCATTGTCTCTTCACTCTTACTTGACTGTGTCATGTTACATTTACTCACCACAATATCCTCTCAACCTTTCCACAAACCCCAAAGCCTTTTATTTGGGCAATCTATGCACTACTCTGCCAGCCTACAGGGTGTCTGTTTGGATTTTTCTTATTTCTCTCTGGCGGGGAGGACTGTCCCCACATCCTGGGAATTCTGTGCAGGCTCCTAGGGCCAGCAGCCCTCTGCCCTAACCTCACTGATCAAATTTCACTGACTTCTCAAAACAAGGGAAATGGCAAATTAAGACCCCAGCCTATCAAGGCCTTTCTCCCCACACCTCCCGCCACAGACTGACTCATGGCCATTCGTTGTTGTCCTTTCATAGTGACAAATGTGTTTGTTGTGTACATGTGTTAACTATAGAGCCCAGACAGGGATAACAGCTGAAAACAGGAATCATGTCACTGGCTCATCAGAAAAACAATAGTTACAAGAGCAGCAGGTCGAGAAGCAAGTTCTCTCTTTACTTCCCTTCTCTTTCTCTGGCCCCTGGCCTTCCTTGGCTCAAATGTAAAATTCATCTGAAAATTAACTGTTATTCCCTTTCCCTGTACTCCAGATGAAATAGGTATAAGCTCATTTGCCTTGTATGTTTATTGTTCTTGTGCTACCTCTAATTTGAAATTTAAATCCCTAGAGGGCAAAAAAAAATTATATTGCCATTTTAGTGGCCTAAAATATGACAAGAAACTATTATTAAGATAGTGCTTGGTCTTGTGTCTCCCTTACCCCAACTCATTTTTCTATAATAAGATGTTAAATGGATCCAGAAATTATCTAACAGCCTAATCTATCCAAAATACAACCTAAAACCAGGATGTCAGTTACAAAATCTGAGTAGTCCAATTACATGTTATAAAAACTGTGTACTAAGGATGTCAATAATTCATTGCATGAAAAATTAAAGGAAAAATATGTAATTATATTAGCAAAAGAAAAAAAGGCATTTAATGAAATTAAGCAGCTACTATTAACAAAATTTTTAATTAAAAAAAGGGATTTAAAAAACTACTTAAGAATGAAGAAAATAATTTACTAAATACCAATAGCAAACATGAGACTATACTGAAGCCATTCCAATAAATTTGGAAACAAGACAGGGATTTTTACTTTTACTGCTGTTTGTCAACATTAATTTGGAGGCTCAAATTTATGCAATAATTCAAGGAAATGAAATAATCATTATACATATTGAAAAGAAAAGACTAACTTATGTTTATTTGTAGATGATATGATAGTATAACTAAATAACTCCAGAGTTTGCTAAAAACAACATTAAAATTACCTTGAAAGTTTGGTAGTATGAATAAATTAAAAAGTAAATAGTCAAAAGCAAGTTTTTCTTCAACCAGAAATATCCAATTACAGGCAGAAATGAAATTTTAAAAAATTACAAAATACTCAGAAATAAATTTAATAAGAAAGTACAGGGTCTAAGTTGGAGGCAGGAGGCAACAAACATGACAGTATCTTATTAAAAGTCATAAAATTAGACCAAGATTTAGAAAGAGAAAAAATAAGGGGAAAAAAGTTGAGGGAATTCTTAATTCAAAGACATCATAAAAAATAATGATAGCTAATATTTATGCAGCTTGTAAACAGCACTCAAACTGATAATCACTAGTATTTACATAGTTCATAGAAATTGCTCTAGAATAATAAAATCTGATAAGTTCCAGGGCTGTTTTAAATGTTTTAACACACTAACTTATTTAATCCTTACAACCCTAGAGAGAAGCACAATTATTATTAGGATGTTACAGACAAAGGTGTTTCCAACGCCTGTAATCTTAGCACTTTGGGAGGCTGAGGCAGGCAGATTGCCTGAGCTCAGGAGTTCGATACCAACCTGGGCAACACAGTGAAACCCCATCTCTACTAAAATACAAAAAATTAGCCTGATATGGCAGCATGCGCCTGTAATCCCAACTACTAGGGAGGCTGAGGCAGAAGAATTGCTTGAACCTGGGAGATGGAAGTTGTGGTGAGCCGAGATCATGCCACTGCACTCCAGCCTGGGGGACAAAACAAGACTCCATCTCAAAAAAAAAAAAGTGTTTCCAGGGACACATTTACCTAAACCTAGATTCCAAATAATTGTTTTCAATCACTATGACCTTCTGCCTCTCAAGTCTCTTCTCAAATCCTACACACACATCCAGTGAGCCTGGCTACCTAGTCTTCCAGGACATGACAGATTCAAGAGCATTAAAAGAAGGATGCACACATCATGTTAAAAATTTTCTGTAGAGCAAAGAATACAATCAACAAAGTGAAGAGCCAGCCCACAGAATGAGATAAAGTATTTCCAAACTATCCATCTGACAAGGGGTTATAGGTTGGTGTAAAAGTAATTGCGGTCTTCACCGTTACTTTCAATGGTAAAAACCGCAATTACTTTTGCACCAACCTAATGACCAGCATATATAAGGAGCTCAAACAATTCTATAGGAAAAAGTCTAATATTCCAATCAAAAATAGGCAAAAGATTTGAATAGACATTTCTTGAAAGAAGACATACAAATGGCAAACAGGCATATGAAAAGGTGCTCAACACAATTGATCATCAGAGAAATGCAAATCAAAACTACAATGATTTGCATTTATATATGCAATGAGATATAATCTCAAGCCAGTTAAAAATGGCTTATATCCAAAAGACAGGCAACAGCAAATGCTGGTGAGGATGCAGAGAAAACGGAACCCTTGTACACTGTGAGTGGGAATGTAAATTAGTACAACCACTATGGAGAACAGTTTGGAGGTTCCTCAAAAAACTAAAAATTGAGCTACCTTATGATCCAGCAATCCCACTGCTGGGTATATACCCAAAGAAAGTAAATCAGTATATGGAAGTGATATCTGCACTCCTATGTTTGTTGCAGCACTGTTTACAATAGCTAAGATTTGGAAGCAACCTACGTGTCTATCAACAGACGAAAGGATAAAGAAAATGTGGTACATATACACAATGGAGTACTATTCAGCCATAAAAAGAATGAGATCCAGTAATTTGCAACAACATGGATAGAACTGGAGATCATTATGTTAAATGAAATAAGCTAGGCACAGAAAGACAAACATCACATGTTCTCACTTATTTGTGGGATCTAAAAATCAAAACAATTGAACTCATGGACACAGAGAGTAGAAGAATGGTTACCAGAGGCTGGGAAGGATAGTGGGAGGGTGTGGAGGAAATGGGGATGGTTAATGGGTACAAAAAAAATTAGAAAGAATGACTAAGACCTACTATTTGATAGCATATAGGGTGACTATGGTCAATAGTAACTTCATTGTACTTTCTGAAATAATTTGAAGAGTGTAATTGAATTGCTTGTAACTCAAAGGATAAATACTTGAGGGGATGGATACCCCATTCCGCATAATGTGCTTAGTTCACATTGCAAGCCTGTATCAAAACATCTCATGTACCCCATAAATATATACAACTACTATGTGCCCACAAAAAAAATAAAAATAAAAAAATTAAAGAAAAAGAAGTAGGGTGTGCAAAGCGCTCTGAGATAACAGTTTACCATTAAATACAGAGGATGATAAACAGCGGCAGTAAGACCCGCATGAGCACAGCCATTTTTTCTGTTTCGTGTGGGACCAGAGGGCCCTATAAGTTCCAGCAGATCTGACTCTATCGCCACCACACAATATAATGATCAATATTCTTAACAGAATACTGAATCATAAGAAAGTAACTTTATACTTTTGAAAGGTACCTAAGTACACATCCCATTTAAAAATAAATCTATCACCAAGTACTTACAATGTAAGTGGCAGTACTAAACACTCAACTCTCTAGAATGACATTTTCATCATGGGTTCTGAATAGCTGATATTTTATGGTCTTTTTTTTAGTGCTTTTTCTGTTATCTTCAATTTACCATTGCTATTTATAATTCAGTTTCTATACACTGAATTAAGATAGAATCTGTCAAACACATTGAGGCTGTATAGCTACTTCTGAAATATTATGGAAGAGTCATGGACACATGGTATTGAAGATGCTCCCCGGACCCTACAAACTTTCCTTTCACATCATTATAAACAGTCAGAGAAATACAAGGGCATCCCTTACCGTTCCCCTGTGTATCCTGGACTGCAATGACATTGGCCTGTGGCAGCATCACACGTCCCTCCATTATGGCACTGGCATTCTTGGGAACAGTTCTTTCCAAAGCGACCCTCGGGGCAAGGCTGACCACACACTGTGCCCTGCATTCAAAGAGACTTGGAAAATTAGATGGGCCTCCAGCCAGGGAAAGACAACTGATGGATGAAGAAGAAAAGAGAGGAAATAGAAAGGAGGGATGGGGAACAGGGCTGCAAGAAAATTAGATTAGAGAATTTTAGAGCACATAAACTGTTCATCATCTTTAAAATATTAGAAACATTAAATTGACTTAATTACTCAGTAAGCCCAAATCTCAAGATACATTCAAAGACGGCTGAATAGTAATGTTAAGCAAAATCCATATTAAAAACTGAAGTTTAAAACAAAGTTACATCAAATTATTATGGCAACCTAAGGAATGTATAAATCCTCATAAGTGTTCTTCCTTGTGTCTTACATGCACAATAAGTCAACAATACTTATTGAGCATCCGTTACATAAATGGCAACATCTGCCGCACATGGAATATCCAAATGCTTTACCATGTGTTCTAGAGAAAATACATGTTTTATCATTGGCTTTATTTCTTAAAATGTAGCATAACACAAGATTGAAATTTTGTGTACCTGAATTAACAATCACATTGCCGAAGACAGACTTCTACAGGAACGAACCTAGACATTTATTTCAGAAGAAAAACATTTTATTTTCAGCAGATTCAACAAGCATTGCTGAGCCAAGATCAATAGGAAAACTTATTTCCTGGGGAGAAAAACCAAGAGAGTAACGTGGATATTTCTCCTCACCCTAGAGGCTGTCCATCTTGTCAAGCACAGTCATTATATTTACTCCAATCTTGCGTGGATAGGAATAAGATACTGTACCAATAAGTCAATGAAATACTCTTGTTTTCTTCTTCACTTGGCTGTATCACTTGGGCTCATAGCTTCTCATCTATTTATTGGAGTTATAATTAGACAAACAACATATCCCAAATAACAGGGATTTTTCTAATGTTTTTAACTATTGGAAGCTGTTGCTCTGTCCTCCCTCTCTCTAAAAAAAGGCAGACTGTGGGCACTCTGAAATTGGAGGCTAGTGAACACCAGATGGTTTCCTAAATGTTTATTCTGGACAGCATAAGAAAATACACTTCCTCTAACTCCTGGCTACCCACAAAGGCAGTTGGTGTGCTAATTAAGTCTCCTCTGGTGGTTTCTAGCTATCTACAAACAGGGAAATTTCTTCCACAGACTCTTGGAATGGAAAAGGCCTTTGAGAGATGATTCGAATCAGCACTTAACTGAGAATCATCTATGTGCCTGTGTTGAGCTAAGCACTGAGAATCAAAGATAAGGTAACAACCCTCAATTAGCTCACAATGTGGGGAGGGGAATGGATGTAAAAATCGCTCTAGTCTCTCCATTCTAGCCTGACATGGTATACTTAATGTGAGGTAAAAGCATGACTGTAGGAATAACATACTGAAGGTCAGTCTGTGGTAAGAAGGGGTGAAAATTCTCACTCTCCCAGGGCCTGACTTAACTACCCACAATGGTCCCACATAAGCTTCAGAAATGCGCTGAAATATTTTCGTGCATAAAGATTAACATTCACAAGCAGCTTTAAAGAGGACATGATTTCTCTTCGTTTCAATATGAAGGTATGTGTGTCTATAGGAATATATATTCATCTTTGAAAAGCACCTAGGATGACAGCACAAATAACATGTTGTAAAGAAGAAGTATAAATTGAAAGCTCAGCTACACAGGAGAAAAAAACAAACTGAAGCATTTTTGAAGCAGAAGTAAGGTAAGGGGCCTGGGACACAGATAAAGAGGTGAGAGGAGGCTCCCTTAGGCTGCTAGGGAGGGGTCCATCTGTCCACGTGCTGGGACTCATAACCCAAGCCTGTGGTTACCATTAACCCACATCCTGACCATCCCAACTGAGAAGAGCTTCAGCCTCAAGGCAAGGCAACTCCACAGACAATATCTACACAGAAGTCCTAGGAGTAAAAGGCCTGAAGATCCTTATCCAAAGAGCATGGAGTTCTCAACACTCTGCTGCTCCAGCAAAATACTTTCATTGCAAAAGACCAACACTGGCAAAAGGCTGAGTATAGGAAATGAAAGAACAGGAGGAGTCAGAAATAACCCAGCTTCTTTACCTCAGACAACTAAGAGAGAAGTGTTAGTTTTAACCAAGACAAAAAAGGTAGAGAAGGAGTAGCCTTACTAAAGGCTTGGGTGTACAAGTTTGGATTTATTAAATTTATTATCATTGACTCTGCCAGGCCTACTCAAACCTGCTCAGTACTCCTTAAACAGCTTCTTTTTCACCTTGTCTTCATCCTCAGGCACTCAAAGTTCTCCTCTCTCTCTAACTCCATTGCCTCATGCTGTTTCTCCATGCTTTGGCTCCAGAATGAACTTTGTCTGGGCTACTCACCATTTCTAACCCTCTCAGATCTGATTTTTATTGTATACTTGTCCCAGTGGCCTTGACATCTTAAACTGTTCTTACTTCCCAAGACCCTCATGGAAAAGTGGACTCCAGGTCTCCTTTGTTCCATAGCCACAAGAAAAGGCAATACCAGACCAATTCTACTACCAGGTCTGGCTGTGGAGACTCTAGCTTGGGCATTGCCCAAAGAGACGGTGGCTTTGTGTCTATAGGTTATCAAGGTTGGGGTGACAAATATAAATCTAAGCTCAAGGCAGGTAAGATCAAAATCTGGAAAAACCATCAAGTACTTCTTAAAGCTATGGGTCTGGATGAGATTGCCAGAGTGGATTTATGGTGAGAAAAGAGAAGAACAAGACTTAAACCTACAAAATCCTGTAATGAAGAAGTATGCAGAAGAAGGGAGATTAGAAAAAGGATCTTTAGTATGAAAGGTAAGAGACGGGATGATTAGAAAAATAGAAGGCAAAGGGATTAAGGAAGGGAGGTTGGTACTCAACAGAGTGAAAAGCTTTGGAGAAATGAAGCTGAATGAGAACAGAAGGGTTTTGGTAATTAAGTCCCTTGTAACCTCTGAAAGAACAGCTTTAGCACTGCTCATGGAAATAGAAGGTGATAAAAAAGTCAATTGCTCTGTTAAATAGTTTGTTAATGAAGGAAACAGATATTGGTTGCTCACTCATCTGCCTTCAAGCAGACACAGGCACAAACCAACTCAGAGAGATGACATCAATATTATTATATTTCCTGATTTCAGATGTCTAATTTGAAGCTAATTGTCACTGTGTATTCTACATAACTCTAAGCATGTGAAATTGCTACATGAAGAAAGGGTATTCTCGTCAAAATTTGGAAAACATGTTGAATAGCTTCCTCTTGGATTATCACACTCAAGGCTCTGAGAAGTCCTGCAATACTTGGTAAATGTGGTTTACCTCAATGTATCCCCAGATTTCTATGATTTTTTTTCAGGTGACACTTGCACTGTTAAGAATAATGTTCCCAAAGAACAACAGCAACTCATGGAACAAAATTATGAAAATGATTGTTAAATAAATCCAGTGTTTATCAGCACTGACTGTCATGTGAGACTAGATATTTGTCTCTCTTTTTTTTATCCTTAAGGGAAATGCAGGACAGATGGCCACTACCCTTTACATGACAACCTTCAATGCACTTCAAGTCTAGGACTAAATCACCTTCTTCTGTCTCCTCAGAACTGAAGAGTTTCAGATTTAAAATGGCTTGAGTCTTTCCAATTTTGGAATCTTCAACCATCATGGTAACTTTCCTTTGTGCTAAAGTCTCCTGCATGTGTATGCACTGAGTATCCTGGAATGGGTGACTTTGGGGCAGGGGCAGAGGAGGTGGGAAGGAAGCTTACCATCCAGCCAGAAGGGCAAGAGCATTCTCCAGTGACGTGATGACACACTCCTCCATTTTGACAAGGGCATCTCTGCTCACACTGTGGACCATGTTTACCAGGAGGACAAAGATCCTCACAGCTGAGGGATTAACATGTGACAAAGGACACTGTTATTTCCCAGACACATGACCCTCGGGTTCACTGTACCCAGGGTCCCCAAAATAGACAAGCTTTCTGTGTTCAATAATTGTTCATTTAATTAATTAACATCAAGAACATTAATCATATTGCCTGGAAGTGTCTTTGAGGAGTCACCCAGTCCTTCCCTTTGTTTTGGGGTACTTTCTAATAAAGCCATTTCGGTTTGAAGAGAAGCTATCCTATCTGAGAACACTGAGGAAGAAAACTGGCCAAACACTCATTGATGACAGGAACTTCTCATGTAACACTTATAAAGCGCTTGTGCTCCAGTTTAAGTCTACTTTTGTTTATATGTTTGTTCTGTTCCCAAAGAAAATTGAGATGTTGCACATCACACCCTTTGTGCACATATTCATCATCCTTTTTTTTTTAATTTTTAAAATTTTACTTTAAGTTCCAGGATACATGTGCAGAATATGCAGGTTTGTTACATAGGTGTACATGTGCCATGGCGGTTTGCTGCACCTATCAACCTGTCATCTAGGTTTTAAGCCCCGCATGCATTAGGTATTTGTCCTAATGCTCTCCCTCCCCTTTCCCCCCACCCCCAGACAGACCCCAGTGTGTGATGCTCCCCTCCCTGTGTCCATGTGTTCTCATTGTTCAACTCCCACTTATGAGTGAGAACATGCGGTGTTTGGTTTTCTGTTCCTGTGTTAGTTTGCTGAGAATGATGGCTTCCAGTTTCATCCATGTCCCTGCAAAGGACATGAACTCCTTCTCATCATCCATTTTTGGTGTTCTCTCCTACTGACTGACAAGTTTCCCTTCCCTCACCCACCCACGTGTCGCATGGCCCTTCTTCTTTAAGCCTTTGTCTTTCCTGCTCTCCTGGGAAATTGCTCCAAGTTTCCCACAGCCCAGTTCAATTGTGGTCTTGATGAAAACCCATAAAAGCAATATTAACAATTAAACAGTTTGAGATAATCATCAATTCTGAAAATCAGGGCTTTCTAGGCTAATGCAATTTTTTTCTTTAGCTCCACTCTACAGGCGTTTAACACTGTTGGCAGGAAGTGTTTACCTAATCAGCCACATTTTGTTTTTTCAAGTTTTAGTTCTTTGATTTATAAATGTAATTTTCTCAGTAAGGGAAGAGGATTTTTCTATCTCTTACTTTTTTTTAGCAACTTCTGCCTCTTAATTCTGTTGGTGAATAGAAGTGAACTGAAGAATGCCCTTCCAACAAAATAAAGACAGTGGAGGTTAAGTAGTTGCTTGAATGTTCCTCAGAAAGAATTAAACTATGTGTGTGCACAAAATCTACATAGATGTAATACATATATCTTCACATTCACAAAGCAATATGTATCCATGAGCATTAAATAATGTATGTATCCCTAAGAGTTAATCTTTTATTATGGATTATTTTTAACACCTTCCTCCTTTTCTCTTCTAATGCACTGAACCCACCCAGCTTTCCCCAGCTAATTAATTGCCACAAAGAGCAAAAAGACATGGACCATTAACAACCAGCAGTATAAATGAACATATTCTCGGGAGATCCAAACAGAATCCCAAATATGCCCCAACAACCCCCAAATAGTGCCATTCAACACAACATCCTGACTGACCCTCTCTCTCTTTGCCTGCTAGAAGGAAAGCATGGAAGCTGACCCTTAGATTCAGGCTGGGATCTGATGTGCAAGGGCCAAACAGCAGCAGCACCTAGTGGCCATCACTGCTGACCTCTATAACTGTGCCTGCAGCCTAGACCCATCAGTAACTCTTCAGGCAGCAATGCAAACTGAGGCACAAGAAATATGATGGCAGCAGCAGCATGAATGGAGAGGGTGGGTGGGCTCTGCTCTGCTGCTGGGCAGCATGTGACTTACAAGGCTCCGGTGTATCCTGGTGGGCAGCGGCATTCCCCCGTGACGTGGTCGCAGGTGGCTCCATTCTGGCACTGGCATCTCTGATGACAGTCGTTACCATAGGTGCCCTGCTCACAGCGGTCCTCGCAGCGCCAGCCCCGGAAGCCCGCAGCACAGTGGCAAGCCCCGGTGATGGGGTTGCACAGAGCCCCATTTTTGCACTGGCACCGGCTGGTGCAGTGGGGACCCCAGTGATCACCATCGCAGGCTGAGATTGAGGAGAGAAACAGTGGATATCAGTGGGTAAGGGAGAACCAGATTTCTTCGCCTCTCGGGGAGAATGGCTTGGTGACCTCTCATGGCCATTCATTAGCTGGACATCAGGGCCCTGGCCCCAACCCATGGCAATGCTTCACAAACTGGTGCTCAGCACCAACTGGGCCACCTCCTGTCACTCCATTGCTTAATTATCACTTCATTGACAATCATGTCAATAAATAAATAAAAAGTCTCCATGCCTTTACTCAGACTGTGTTCTGCATCCAGAGTGTGGAGTTTGATGTGGCTAGAGAAGTGGGCTAGGGGAAGAGCTCAGGGGTTCTGCAAGGAGAGCAGCCTGGCTAGGCAGACGGGAATGATCAGCTCATGCAGGGACTTTTTAGCATATTAAGGGGTTTGGATTGCATCTTGTGAACAAGGGATTGGTAGTGAAAGATTTTAAGAAGGGAGAGCACAGATTTGCCTCCTCCTACGTGTGTGGAAGGAGCTGACGATGAGAGGCAGAGAGATGGAGCAGGAAAAATGGCAACAGTCCAGATGACCATCACAGGCAGTAACCATGAAAAGGGAGAGGGGACACAGAGTCAGAAGTACTGGGGAGTGGACTGACCCTGCTACAGGTCTGGGCCAGAGTCCTGAGTCCTCTAAGAAGTAAACTACTGATCTGCTTTTAAGATATCAGTCAACGGTGGCTCACGCCTGTAATCCCAGCACTTTGGGAGGCCGAGACGGGAGGATCACGAGGTCAGGAAATCAAGACCATCCTGGCTAACACGGTGAAACCCCATCTCTACTAAAAATACAAAAAATTAGCAGGGCATGGTGGCGGGCGCCTGTAGTCCCAGCTACTCGGGAGGCTGAGGCAGGAGAATGGCGTGAACCCGGGAGGCGGAGCTGGCAGTGAGCTAAGACTGCGCCACTGCACTCCAGCCTGGGGGACAGAGCAAGACTCCGTCTCAAAAAAAAAAAAAAAAAAAAAAAAAAGATATCAGTCAAAACATCTGTGTTTGGAAGGTAATCTGAATTACTGACCAAAAAAAAGGGCAGAAAAAATGGACAAATATGCTTAAATATATTGACATATTTAAAAAATAAGACAAGCCTGAAGCCGAAGAATCCAAATTAAATGAAAAGATAATAGGCAAACGAAACCAGGTAAAAGACAAAGGAAGAAAATGGCATTTGAGAGATATATTTAAAGTGCAGTTCCAAAGAAAAGAAAGAGCGGCTGCAATACAAAAGTCAGTGAGTAGAAAAGGGGAGCAGGGAAGGAAAAAAACTTCAATTCCAAACATTCTAAAAAATTAAAGAGGGTGATGATAAACAAAATCTACTCTTAGTATGTATTGCTGAGCCAGCGGTATATTTATTAGATGCTATAAAAATCACTTGAAGAAGAAGCACCCTGCCTAGAGCTCAAAATAAACTGCTTTTACAATTAAAAAAAAGTTTCATTTCATAAAAATTTTGTAACTTCAACAGATCTGGAATAAATTGTTCAAAAGAAGAAAACTCTAGGTACACAGCAAACAACTCATCAGAAGTACTGAATTCGTCTTCCAATATTAGACTCTACCTTGGATTTCATAATATCAAAAGGTTTAAATGAATAATTCTGTTTTTAATCAGTATGACTTTGGTCTCATTAGTATTTTAATAAACACACTTTAATACAATTAAAAACAATGAGAGAGAATTATTGAACCTAAAGCAGATCAAGAAAGCAATTACCTAAGAACTCACAATCTTCTTTCACAAAATAAGATTAGGTGGTAGTTTCAAAATGAGACTGAAGCCTAATTGTTATTCATATGAGTTGTTTCTTTTATTGCCTATGGATATGGACAATGAGTCTTTTTTCCACTGTAATTCTTTTAATCTAGGATCTCAAAAGAAAAAAATCTTTAAGAAAATTACATGATATGTCCCTTTTGATCTCAGCTACCCCAGGTAGAGAAGACTCCATCCTGTTTTGAAGGGACTCCAAAACAAATTACACAGGCCTTTGTAACTTGTTACTTGATTCATCAATCCTCAAGAGTAAGAAAAATCATTCCGTATGAGCTAAATCCATTATCTTATCATTGAATCCTTTTTTTCTCCTGACTTTTTCACAATATAGTAAACCAGTTCACCACTCTCCTCTGTATTAAAAATGACCTTATTCCCAAATGTGAATGCAGCTTGGCCTGCTCTTCTCTAGATACTACAACTCCAATACTTTTCCATACTTTCAAAAAGTTTATTCAATTTCATTTATCCTTTTACTGAATGCTCTCCAAAGTTTCCATGTCCCTCTTAACTTCTAGGAACCTCAGATATTGAATTAAATATCTGTCAACTCCTTATGTTCAGTAGAGAATTAGTTGACCAACAAAAAAGAAATTTTACCTAATAAAAATTACTTTGATAAAAACAACAAGATCATGTCAAAACACTTTTAAAAATCACGGTGGGTTATTACAGAATTTTCCCCCATGTGACACTGTGGTCAGGGTGGCCCCAAGCACATACACTTTACAGAACATGTTTTATATAACAAGAGAGAGGTAGGGAGAAGTAGAGGAACTGAGGGGACAGAACTGATTTTTCCTCTTCTTCACAACCCTGTTCTACACCTCATTCAACAACTTATCTCCCAGTGGGGCAGTCAGGCAGACACCAGCTCTGTTTTCTTAGGATTAGAACAAAAAAAAAAGAAAAAAAAAAACTTTGAAGATATCTTATCATAATACAAGTGAGTTTATAGCAGAAACTGATAACTATCAGCATAGAAAAATGGGTTTCAGGCTTTTCAAGAAATATTATCATGCTGACATGGTTAATTTCCTGGCTATGTCCAAGCATGATGACATGTTTTCAAGTGATAGCTTCCCCACTTCGGGCTATATTTTCCTAAAATGCCACTAATACATGGACCTCACAATGTGAATACCATACATCAACATGGTCTATTCAGGAAAAAAATCCACATGTTTACAGACAAATAGGTATAAGAACAAGTAGGACACAGAAACCTGGGTTGAATTCAGACATTACCGTGACTTCCTTTCCTTTCTTCATTTGTCATATTTAACCACTTCAATGCATCCATTTTTAAATGTATCCCAGTGAGTTACACAGTCTACAGCATATAAGCCAGCTCTCATCCCTGATAACTACAAGGGTACACTGACTTTGTCTAGACTGGAGGCAGAATTCATTCCTTATGTTTAGTGCAGAATTTGACCAGTTATCCTGAATTCAAGTACCACATTTGGAGAGACAGCTCGGAGAAGGTCTGAATTCAAACTATCTGACATCTTTTCCTTAACACCTCACTCTAATCTCACAGGGCAAGAGTTTCTTTCACTCCACAAGAGAAAGTGACTGGTTGGCTATTCCCACTAACAACTTAGAAAATATATAGTTAACATGAAAATAGCTTGAGTATCCTAATTTTTAAAAAAGAAGTAAAGGAACAGAATTTTATTTCAGATTAAATTGAAAGTGACCTAAATGCTAGTGAGCAAGTGCCGACTCATTTTCAGCCTCTGGTTTCAGTTCTAACTGCACTAACCGCCGGAAATGGGCTCTCAGATGCAAGATGCCCAGATTCATGCAGATATTTCATGGAATGGCTTAATGAGAGTCTCAGACAGGCACAGACAGCTTGCTCTAATAAGCTCTCATAATAAGTTGGAAGTTTAAACTGCTGGGTACTACTTGGATTACATATAATCCAAGCTCCAGTCCGTAAGTGAAAACTAGTAGAGAACTGGATCTTCTCAAGACAATAGACTCACATTGGAACCCTTACGGTTATAACTTCCAATACCCCAGTAACCCCAGGTTACATTCACGGGCTGGGTACTGAAGTTCATTCAAGTGATATTTTTTAAGTACCTGTCATGTATCAGACATGGTGCTAGACTGGAATTCAAAGGAAAATAAAGAGCACAGGCTTCTAGCGGCTTTCCATTTAATGACAGAGACACCAAGTCTGAAGCAATACAATACTGAATAATAAGTAATAAGGTCAGGGGATGGCTTAGGTACAACGGAAAACATAAGGAGATGGTACTTAACCAACCAGTGTTGGTGCATCAGAAAAGGCTTCCCAGCTAAACTGATGCCTAAACTGAGACCAAAAGGCAGGGTGTGCCACATTTAGGTACAGGGTAGAGGACTGTTAAGTAGGAAGTCTGGGTGTGAGGGGTGCAGGGGCTGCAGGGAATGATACATGCAACAGCCAAAAGTTTATCAACACGAACTTGATTCTCTCTGCTATTGTACTATGGCCATTATCATTTTCACAGCTCTGTACACAACAAAAAGAAGTAGAAATAACTATGGAGAGATAGTAGACCTGTCCTCTTGCTCCCTCAGTACTCCCCAGCCTTCGAAATGCAGCTCAGGAAACTCTGTCCTTAGGCACACTTTTGAGAACCGATCTAAGATGCTCTCTGAAAATGGCATTATCTATTTTCCATGGCATTCACTTTGAACTCAGATGATAATTTTTCTTTATTTTACTTTTTGTAGAGATGGGGTCTCACGATGTTGCCCAGGCTGATCTTGAACTCCAGGCCTCAACAGATCCTCCAGCCTTGGCCTCCCAAAGTTCTAGGATTACAGGTGTGAGCCACTGTGCCCAGCAACTAGTTCATAATCTTTATATTTGCTTGCCTTGTTCTGTAATTTCCAAATGAAATGGAATTTCATAGATGTTAGGATGCAATGACACTCTTTCTTCATTTCAGCAGAGTCAATAGAAGGTTTTGTACAATCATGAATGACAGTCATCTGTTTGACGATGATGATTAGATGCATTCTGATTTCAGAGGTGAAAATCTGTGCACCCTGAGTCATAATAATAATAATAATAATGTTGAGACTGATACTTACAGTGATAATGGTAGCCTCTCCCTTTGTGTGGAAACCAGCACTCTCTTTTTTTTTTTTTTTATTTTAGACAGGGTCTCACTCTGTCACCCAGGCTGGAGTGCAGTGGTGCGATCTTGACTCTCTGCAGCCTTAACCTTCCCTGGGCTCAAGTGATCCTCCCACCTGAGTAGCCGGGACTATAGATGCATGCTGCCATGACTGGCTAATTTTTTGTATTTTTGGTAGAGATGAGGTTTCATCATGTTGCCCAGGCTGGTCTTGAACTCCTGAGCTCAAGCTATCTGCGCACCTTGGCATCCCAAAGTGCTGGTATTACAGGAATGAGCTGCTGCACCCAGCTAGAAACCAGCACTCTTATATAGTACTACAGGACAGTAAATTACCACATCCTTATTAGAAATTAGTCTGGCAAAGTCTAATAAAGCCCCTTTACCATAAATTCTTCTCTTGGGAGTTTTTCCTAAAGAAATAAGCATGTATGTGTGTGTGTGTGTGTGTGTGTGTGTGTGTGTGTGTGTGTGTGTGTGTGTGCGCGCGCGCGCGCGCATGTGTGTATGTATGTATATATACACATAAAGACAATAACCGTTCATAAAAGATAAATAGCTAACTCATTAATAATACCTTAGCATGCCCACAGACACTGTTCCAAGCATCGTGATAGATTAACTCTCATAGTGACCCTATGAAACAGGTGCTATTGTTGTCCCTATTATGTAGATGAAGAAATTGAGATCCAGGTGACTTGCTCAAAGTTACGCAGGTAGCAAGGGGTGAAGCACAGACCTCCTGCCTCCAGAGTCCGTGTTCTAAACCACTATATTTCACTCTCTCCAAAGCTATAAGGACATTTATCCTAGCACTGATTATAACAATAAATTGAAAACAACCTAGTTTTCCAGGAATAGGCAGCTGGTGAAAAAATTGTGGTACAGTCATACAATGGAATACTATCGATTAATTAAATGATTTTTATAGAAGATGATTTTATGAACTGGAACCATATTTATGATATCATAATTATAAAAAGTAGATTTTAAAAAGGCCAGGCACAGTGGCTTATGCCTGTGATCCCAGCACTCTGTGAAGCTGAGACAAGAGTATCATTTGAGGTCAGGAGTTAGAGACCAGCCTGGAAAACACAGCAAGCCCCTATCTCTACAAAAATATACAAAAATTAGCCCAGCGTGCTGGCTTGCACTGGTAGTCTCAGCTACTCAGGAGGCTAAGGTGGCAGGATCACTTGAGCCCAGGAGGTTGAGGCTGCAGTGAGTCGTGATTGCTCTACTGAACTCCAACCTGGATGACAGAGTGGGATTCTGTCTCAAAAAAAAAAAAGATGCCCCATGTAATCCAATTTTAGCAATATATCAGAATGAACCTGATGAAACTGCCATTAATTTAGGTAAGGATGCAGCAACTGCATATGGTTGAAACTACTATCTGGGGAAAAGAGGGAAAAGGGTTAAAATGAGAAAGAGAGACAGAGCTACAGTGAAATGGCATCAGTGGGTATCTCTGGGTCTTGAGATTATGCATGATTATTCTTTTATTCATTTGGTTTAACCAGGTTTTCTAAATGTTTTACAGTAAATATGTATCCTTTTGGCAGTAAAAGAAAATCAAGCAGTAAGGTTTTTTAAATGGTTCTATCTGCTGGGCATTTACATCATGCCAGGTTCAGTGCTTTATGCTTTACATATCTCTTCCTTTTTAAAAAGGAAGTATATGTGCGGGTTTGTTATGAAGGTAAACTCATGTCATGGGGGTTTGTCATACAGATTATTTCATCACCCAAGTACTAAGCCTAGTACCTAATAGTTATTTTTTTCTGATCCTCTCCCTCCTCCCACCCTCCACTTGCCAATAGGCCACAGTGTCTGTTGTTCCTCTTTATGTGTCCATGTGTTCTCGGTATTTAGCTCCCACTTATAAATGAGAACATGCAGTATTTTGTTTTCTGTTCCTGCATTAGTATGCTAAGGATAATGGCCTCCAGCTCCATCCATGTCCCTGCAAAGAACATGATCTCATTCTCTTATATGGCTGCACAGTATTCCATGGTGTATTTGTAGCACCTTTTCTTTATCCAATCTGCCATTGATGGCCATTTAGGTTGATTCCATGTCTTTGCTATTGTGAACAGGGCTGCAATGAACATTGACCTGCATGTATCTTTATGTTGGAACAATTTATATTCCTCTGGATATATACCCAATAATGGGATTCTTGGGTTGAATGGTAGTTCTGCTTTCAGCTCTTTGAGGAATCACCACACTGTTTTCACAATAATTGAACTAATTTACACTCCAACCAACAGGGTATTCCCTTTTCCCAACAACCTCGCCAGCATCTGTTATTTTTTGACTTTTTAATAGTAACCATTCTGACTGGATTACAGCTATTTCTAGTCCTCATGACAATTATGACAAGCACATAGAGGATATTTAGGATTAGAACATTTAGGTAAAATGTCCCAAAACTAGTCAGTGGTGGCATCAGTACTCAAACCCAAGGCTTTCTGCATACAAAAGGTCAAGGGCTTTACATGAGGCCATTCTGCTCCTGAAGTGCTGAAATGATATGTTTCGGTTAAGTATAATATTCCACCATTATATTTCTCATCTAATATGAAACCAGCACTCTTTCTAAGGCAGAGCAACAAATGATTAATGATTCACTGAGTAAGGCTTTGGGGGTCAGCCAATTACTCAGTATTTAGGGACACTGAGAAAGAAATTACCTCAGTAGTGAGAACATAAGACATTTCTCAAAGAAAAAATAAAATTGGCCAGGGGCAGTGGCTCATGCCTGCAATCCCAGCACTTTGGGAGGCTGAGGCGGGTGGATCACGAGGTCAGGAGATCGAGACCATCCTGGCTAACACGGTGAAACTCTGTCTCTACTAAAAATACAAAAAATTAGCCGGGCATGGTGGCGGGTGCCTGTAGTCCCAGCTACTTGGGAGGCTGAGGCAGGAGAATGGTGTGAACCCAGGAGGCGGAGTTTGCAGTGAGCTGAGATCGCGCCACTGCACTCCAGCCTGGGCGACAGAGCCAGACTCTGCCTCAAAAAATAAATAAATAAATAAATAAATAAATAAATAAATAAATAAAAAGAAAAAAGAAAATTAAGGAGCTAGCCAGATTTGAAGAGCTTCTAGAAGTTGATAATAATTCTATGTAGGCTGGGCATGGTGGCTTACGCTTGTAATTCCAGCACTTTGGGAGGCTGAGGTGGGTGGATTGCTTGAGCTCAAGAGTTAGAGACCAGCCTGGGTAACATGGCGAAATCCCATCTCTATAAAAGATGCAAAAGTGAGCTGAATGTGGTGGCATGCACCTGTAGTCCCAGCTACTCAGGAGGCTGAGGAGGAAGGATTGCTTGAGTCCAGGAGGTCGAGGCTGCAGTGAACTGAGATGGTGCCACTGCTCTCCAGCCTGGGTGACAGAGTGAGATCCTGCCTCAAAATGATAATAATGATAATACTATACAAACAAAAAAGCTAGAAAGCTTGCTATGAACATAGTATCAATGTCATTAGCTTTAAGAGTATATGGATCTGAAAATTAGGCCCATGTAGTACCTGGCACATGGCTGGCATTCAGAAAATATCTGGTGAATAAATGAGAGTGATTGTGAGTGTAGAGCGCTATAACTTTCACAAGCAGAGAAACCCAGAAAATCATCATCAAAATTCTAGGTACATTCTTCTCTCCTAACCTGCCTCAAACCCTCAGCCTAATTTTCCATGCAAACGACACGAAACAGAGAGTGGAGCGGGAGGCTTTCTAAGATACATTGAGTTTCTAACATGTGCCAGGCATTATTACATTATGAGGGACATTATGCAGCTATTTTATTTAAACCTCACAATAACTCAATGAGTTAGATATAATTATTCCAATATTTCCATTTGCAAAATGAACTCAAATGGCAATTTGCTCAAAGCCACTTGGCGTTTGAGTGGCAAAAGCAAGGGTTCAACCCAAATCCATCAATGCAATGTCTCCAAAGCTGCAATCATCCCTTATGCCACGCTGAACACCCCAAAGAAGTGATGGTCATCAATTACAAAACCGGAATCAGTGCAGATTAACTGCTTCTGCCTGGTTTTCAAAGGGGAACATTCTAGAACAAATGTCTCACAACTGTTTATCTGAGAAATAATAGTTGTTTGCTTAAAATGACAGTTCCCAGGCTTCAAGATGTAGCAGCAGGTTCATCAGAATAGTTTTGATAAGGAATATCCTATCATGTCCATAATCACACAGGTATTGACAAAAAAACAAGGCATTAGAAAAAGTCTTTGAACACATGGAGAGAATCTAGTAAATCTCTTGTTTTCAGGTAGACAAAGGACAAGAAAGGGGGCACGATTAGAGATAAACAGAAATGTTAAATGGAGAGGTGCTCTGGAGGAAGGAATAAGGGTACATTAATACATTGTCTCATCCAAAGGACTCTATCAGCAACCAACCAAGCAATTGATAAAAATAGATGAACTCATTTTGCCCTTTAAGAAAGAAGTGATGTTTACCATCATGTTCACCTTGTTACAAAATTCCTCAATCACTAGCTGGCTCAAGGAGGGACTGTAGCCTCTTTACATTGCCTAGACCTGGGCCCTAGCTAGCCCATGGCCAATTCATCGCTACAGAACCTTGGGGTAGTCCCCAACCTTTATTTGTTGTAAAATGAAGATGGTGGAACACACTAATTACACAAAAAGTACTTTTTGTTATATGTGACACTGCACAGATCTAGTAACAGCAGAAATTCCCTGATTTGCACATTGGGATGTCCCAGCCCAGCAAAAAGAATGCCCTAGAAAAACATCCTCCAACTGTGTATGAAGCTGCACTAACGTGTCTGACCTTGGTTTGTATTATTTGTTTGTCTTGCATGAATCATTCATGCCAGAAAGGACAACTTAGTTCTCACAATGTAAAATTTCAAAAACGAAATTGCCCAGTAACTCTATCAAGAAAAAAACAAGGCTTGGACCTTTTATTCATTTTTACAAAGACAACTGGAGTGAGTTCAGGCCTGCAAGGAAACCCAGAACTACTTTACATTTAGTCTTTTTCATTGCCAATTAAAAACTGGAGTTTAGACATTTCCTACTTGCTGGTGACTGTATGTCCAGAAGTGTAGGCTTGTATATGGGGTCCGGAAATATGAAAGGAGAAATAAACAAAAACATGACTTTCTTAGCAATCCCCACTTCAGTATAAAAAGATGTCATAAATAAAATCTGGACAGCATTGCCAAATTGAGAGGCACCAAATAATCTCACTGCCTTGATTTTTCTTCAGTTTATCTATGCCCATGGTTCACCAACTAAGACAACAGATACAACCTTGAAATGCATTTTGAACTGTAAGATGCTTATTAAAGGAACTGATTCTAAATGACAGCAACAGAAATGCCCAGTTCTGTGTACCTGTACTAGGTGTAAACAAACCCTAGGTGAACTGAGCAGGTCAGGTGTTTTTTATTGTTTGTTTTGTTTGTTTGTTTTTAGAGACAGGTTCTCACTGTGCTACCTAGACTGGAGTGCAGTGGCACAAACATAGCTCACTGTAACCTCTAACTCCTGGGCTTGATCGATCCTCCCACCTCAGCCTCTAGAGTAGCTAGAACTACAAGAACATGCTACCATGCCCAGATGATTTTTTAAAAATATTTTGTAGAGACAAGGTCTCACTACGATGCCCAGGCTGGTCTTGAACTCCTGGCCTCAAGCAGTGCTCCTGCCTGGGCCTCCCAAAGTGCAGGGATTATAGTCATGAGCCACCATACACAGCCACGTTGTTGTTATTGTTGTTGTTTTAAAGTCTTAGTTTAATAGCCTTGGGATCTAATTGTTGAATTACATAGGGGTCAAGAACTTTAAGATACATCTCTACCAGATACTTACAGTGGGATAACATATCAAATCTTAGAACTCAAGCTTATCATAGGGAAAGAGATGTCCGCTTATAATACATAACTAACCCCACTGGTGTTACTGTTTGCAATAACTAACACTACATATGCCTTCAATATTATAAATGTCGGCCCGGCACAGTGGCTCATGCCTGTAATTCCAGCACTTTGGCAGGCCAAGTCGGGCAGATCACCTGAGGTCAGGAGTATGAGACCAGCCTCGCCAACATGGCGAAACCCCATCTCTACTAAAAATACAAAAATTAGCCAGGCATGGTGGTGCGTACCTGTAATCCCAGCACTCAGGAGGCTGAGGCAGGAGAATCACTTGAGCCAAGATCACACCACTGCATTCCAGCCTAGGCAACAGAGTGAGACTCTGTTTCAAAAAAAAAAAATTATAAATATCAAGTATTTATTAGGATGCATCAAAATCAGTATACTGACTTGACAATATATATTTATATGAGGTTTGGCTATAATGTTCTCCATGGACTTTAAACATAGGAAAATCCATGACTATGAGATAAATTAATAGAGAAGAAAATTTAATACTTTATAGTCTAAAACATGGGCAAAGTACAAATAAGTCACTTTCAAGAAGATATCTCTACAGAGTGCCTTTTAGAGGAGACCAAAATAATTTTCCACTGTCTCAAAGGATAGAAAAACATGGTTCTTCCTGAAACATACACCCTTTCTTCTTAAGCCTCAGTTCCCTGAGGGTCTTTTATCTCCCTGGGATTTCATTCCTTGCGCTTCAGGCTAACAAGGCTGTGGTGTGTCATTCCCTTTGTTAATGGTAGAAGAAAAGATCCTCATTCAAAACATCAAGCACTTTAAAAATAAAACAACTTCATAAAGCTTTTCCATCCATGAAGAAGAACAATAAAAATGTATTTTCCAGATACTCTGAAAGCACTAAAACCCCACGTCCTTCACATGTCAAAAACCCCTCTGGAGAGCTGACAGAGTGCCAACGATCACCGTGGACAACCACCCAGTGCTGTTTATATTAATTTTATTCAGTGACTGAGAGAGAACCTTTATTCTTCTTTTAAAATGTTTGTTAAATGAACTGTCATTTTATAACTTCAGTGTAAGCTTATCTCAAATTATGAACCAGAAAAAGGGGTGTAAAATATTTATTCTCTATTGTGCTGAAGTGCAAATGTTGATGTGTCTCTATGACAACATATTGATGACCCTATTCACGGTGCAGGAAAATCTCAAGGATATAACTTGTAGGCTAAAGTTACATAATTTGGGAGGATTACATTCATTCACTGATGTGAAAAGAAGAATAACAACCTCAGGAGCCCTTATAAGATGTCTTGCTATAAAAAGTCTTGTCATATTTTTATTCTGTTGATCATTTATTCTTTCATTAAAGATTTGTTAAGCATCTTCTCTGGCTACGAAGTTCTATTTATTGAGCACTTACTACTTGCTCCTTACCAAGACATGTACCATAGCTAAGATTTCCTTATCTATTGGAAGAGACTGGCCCACAGTGAGATTTATCACAAAAGAATGTGCTAGGTGTTACGAGACAGGATTGCACACATTGCTGGGAACATAGAGGACCTATGTCCATGTACCTTTGGGCAGTGGAGAGAAAGGAGGGGGAGAGAAGGTTTCCCAGAGGAAGTAGGAATTGAGATGAATATTAAAGGATGAATATTCAGGACCACTGTTGTGAAAATGCTTATCTTCCTTCTGGACACATGAGGATAAAGGATAAAGGCTTTCAATGACTTCCCTAAAATCTCAGAGTAAGAAAACTAGAATCCTTAATGCTAATTGTTTGGTCTGAAAGATTTAATATGGTTTTCTTGAGAAAAAAATTTAAACGATGGGACTATGAGAGACTACGAATAATGCTATAACAAAGGCTCATGTACCCACAGCAGAGACTTAACTGTTTATGAACATTGTATAACATTTGTTTCCTCACTGAATTCAAGAAATAAAACATGGCAGATAAAGTCCTATCTGACTCCTTTGTGCCTGGTTCCCAGCTCTTTCCCTACCCTTTTCCCAAAGGTAAATGCTGTGATAGTTTTAATATATGTTCTTCTGGTTTGTGGGTGTGTTGGGGGGTGTATTTAGAAATAAGATATAGAATTATTTTATATATGTATTAGCTTTATATAAAATGTTCATGTTGCTGTGAATCTTTTGTTTTCACCCAATATTATGATATTGAGATTTACTTTTTATTTTTATTTATTTATTTATTTATCTCACTCTGTCTCCGAGGCTGGAGTGCAGTGGCATGAGCCTAGCTCACTGCAGCCTTGAACTCCTCAGCTCAAGTAATACCCCCACCTCAGCCTGCTTGGTAGCTAGGACTATAAGCTGATTAATAATGATAAATCTGCTAATATAATGGAATGCTATATACAAGTTTATAGTAACGGAGTTCATTATTATACTATAAACTGCTATGTAACATTTCACTACATTAACAGCCTCCAAAAAATTTACCTTTTCCCATATACACAGATATTTTTAGTTGTTTCCAAATTTTCACTGTTAAAAAGATGCAAATAATCTATCTCCTAATACATGTTTCCACAAAATATATAAACAAATTATAAAGAAGTAGAAATAAAAATTGCTGGGTTACATGGTCCACACATTAAAATTCTACTCTAGACATAGTCAAATTGATCTCTAAAGTTACTCTGCCAATTTGCCTTCATGGAAGTGGTATGTGGAAGCTTCCTTTCACATCCTTGGCAACACTTAACTTTTTAACCATTGCCAGACTTCTTAACCATTGCCAATCTGATGGTGAGAAATGACATCTTGTTTCTTTATTATGTACTTTCCTGTTATTACAAAGATTAGCATATTGTCATGTTCATTGGTCAATCAGGTTTCTCGCCTCTGAATTACCTTATCCTACCCTTTGCCTATTTTAAAGTTCAGAGGTTCTTTTACTTATTAATTTGTGGGGGTTCTTTACATATTTTATAAATAATCATTTGTCTGTTTACTTATGTGGCAAAAATATTTTCCTAATCTCTCACTTCTCCTTTAACTTTGCATATAGTATCTTCTGTCTTAAAAATCTTTTAAACTCTGATGTGGTCTAAATATTCTAAAAGCTAATTTAAGGCATGGATAAATCTGCTTATATAATACTGATTTTACCACATAAGTTTCTTTTTTCTTAAAATGGCTGCTTTTCTTTAATGTATGAACAAAAATTTCCAATTATATACTAACATCAAGTTCAAATCAATTCCATTAAAATTTAGACTTTCTTTACAAGCTACCTACCTCCACTAGTTTTATGCAAAAATAGTGAGTAGTAAAACCATTTGGTTTTCACAGAATTTTAAGATGACACCATTTATTTATGGACCAAGAGCTATGTTCTTATAAACTCTACTATTTGTTCTACTGGAATAGTCTATATAACTAGGACAAATATTATTGTCTTTTTACTTCTGCCCTTCATGAGTTTTATCCATCTCAAGAACACTTAATTTTCTCCAGGCTATAGGCACAAATGTTCAAACTCATTAAAATTAACTAGGTTGTGTATGAATTTTAAAAATACTTTGATCAAAGAAGGAAAAAGAGTCATTAGCTTTTGGGGGGAAATTCTGACCTGGGGAAATTTTCAAGTGTTTTAAAAAGTTCTTTAACACACTCACAAAAAATAAGATATCAGATATAGCCATGACAGACGCCGAATTATAAAAATAAACCAGAACAGGCTGGGTGCGGTGGCTCACGCCTGTAATCCCAACACTTTGGGAGGCCAAGGTGGGTGGATCATTTGAGGTCAGGAGTTTGAGACCAGCCTGGCCCACATGGTGAAACCCCACCTCTACTAAAAATACAAAAATTAGCTGAGCATGGTGGTGGGCTCCTGTAGTCCCAGCTACTCAGGAGGCTGAGGCAGGAGAATCACTTGAACCAAGGAGGTGGAGGTTGCAGTCAGTTGAGATCACGCCACTGCACTCCAGCCTGGGTGACAGAGCGAGACTCTTGTCTCGAGAAAAACAAAAACAAAAACAAAAAGAAACAACAACAAAACACAATAAAATAAACTACAACACCTAGTTTCAGCCAATGGACAGTGGACAGTATAATCCCCTGAGACAAGACACACATGGCTCTATTAGAATCGGGCAGTAGCCCAAGACAGTAGGAGAGGGAAACAAGCAGGTCTACAGCACCATCTCGTACATATCATCACTTCACTCTGAGCACGGCAGCCAGCAAACACATTGGTACAGTCAGAAAATGGTTTGTATATGTTTCATGTATATGTTTATATGAAAGAAATTATAAAGATTTATGATCTAATATTTCTGCTCCCTGTACAAACATTCTTTTAAACCGGGCTGTTATTTCCTGCTATTTATTTAATTAAAGAGGAGTCTAAGAAGATTAATGAAATTCGACTCATCACTATGTGATTAGAAATAATTTGTAGTCTGCATTTCTTTGCCTAATTTCTTACTGTTCATTTGCAGTTTGTATGCATTTGTACACCATTTGGGTACAAATTTAACAACTAAGTTCTACATCCTCACATAGAATTTCCACCTTGAGAAGTAATATGAGAAAGTTTAGATAGCAAAATTGTTAAATATTCTCCACTCAAACAAGGGCTGATTTTCAAACACCTTCCTTAGTCATGGGGCCACCATTTCAGAAGTCACTCCTCCCTCTCAGTAATAACCTTGATGTTTACATTATAATTTTTTCTCTCTTGAGGGTGAAGAACTCCGAGACACACATTTTCCTCAAAGTTCACAGAAATCACACCCAGTACATCTTGCCTGACTTCTATAATTTCATTGCAGCTACCAGTCTATGGCCAGGGGATCTTCTGCCAAGTCATTAAGAATGAATGTGTCAGCTGGGCGCGGTGGCTCACACCTGTAATCCCAGCACTTTGGGAGGCCGAGGCGGGCGAATCATGAGGTCAGGAGTTCGAGACCAGACTGGCCAACATGGTGAAACCATGCCTCTACTAAAAATATAAAAAGTTAGCTGGACGTGGTGACAGGCACCTGTAATCCCAGCTACTTGAGAGGCTGAGGCAGGAGAATCGTTTGAACCCAGGAGGCGGGGGTTGCAGTGAGCCAAGATTGCGCCACTGCACTCCAGCCCGGGTGACAATGCGAGACTCCATCTCAAAAAAAAAAAAGAAAAGGAAAGAAAAAAAAGAATGTGTCTACACTGCACATAGCCAAGGTGCGTCCTGAAGCCACAGAAGCCTGAGCAACCTTAGGCCACTGAAGGAAGGACTTCGCATCACGCCCTCTCTGTCGAAAACCTTTGGTCCCTTCCTCCCTGGCTGCTTCGGATGCTTTGCCAATCTGTTTGTTTACATACTTCAGCTCCTCTATCAAACTAAGAGCCCCTAAAAAGAAGAGGCAGTGTCTTACTCATCTCTCATGTCTCATTTTTATATCTGTCACTGCTCCTGGCACATTTACGCCTTCATTCCTTCCATCCACAAATATTTATTAAGCATAACTGAGTGCCCAGGACTGTGCTAGACATTCAGTGATAGCTAGACAGCAGGGATAAAACAGACAAAAACCCATGTTTTCATGGGGCTTACATCCTGGAGGGGAAGACAGACAAGAAAAAAAAAAAACAAGTTAACAAATCAAGTATTTTTAGAAAGTTCCTATTTAAAAACGTTAAAAAGGAGATATGATACAGAGTAATAGGGTCATACTCTGCATATGGAGGTCAGAGATAGTGTCTGTATGGTGGTGGCACTTAGGCTGACTAACTGACCTACAGAAGCCAGCCGTGTGGCCAGGCGTGGTGCCTCACACTCGTAATTTCAGCACTTTGGAAAGAAGCTGAGGTGGGCAGATCTCTTGAGGTCAGGAGTTTGAGACCAGCCTGGCCAACATGGTGAAATCCCATCTCTACTAAAAATACAAAAATTAGCCAGGCATGGTGGTGGGCGCCTGTAATCCCAGCTACTCAGGAGGCTGAGAGACAAGAATCACTTGAACCCGGGAGGCACGGGTTGCAGTGGGCTGAGATTGTGCCACTGCACTCCAGCCTGGGCAACACAGTGAGACTCCGTCTCAAAAAAAAAAAAAAAAAAAAAAAGAAGCTGGCCATATAAAGAACCAGGGAGATGAGTATTATTCTGAGCAGAGGAAATATCAAGTGCAAAGGCAAAAATAAGACGAGTGTGTTCCATAAATGAAGGGCAGAGACTGAGCAGTGTGATATCCTGAAAGGTAGAAGAATGAGAAGACATCAGGGAAACAGGAAGGAATAGATCATGCATGGCTAGATGGATTGTGCTCAGGGCTTTGGAGTGTATTCTAACTGTAAGGGGAAATTCCAGCCAGTTTTGGGAAGGAGAGCAGCATGCTCTAAAGTACATTTTTACAAGATCACGCTAGTCTCACTCTGGTCATAGATAATTGACTTGGGTGGCATCTGAGGAAGAAGCAGGGAAACCAGCAAAGAGACTACCGCGATCACCAGTTTAGAGAGAACGTGGCATGGACTGGAGTGGCAGCAGTAGAGATAATGAGAAGAGGTTGGATTGGGTTATATTTTGGAGTTGAACCAACAAGATTTGCTGAAAAATGAATATTGCACCAAGTATCAAAAAAAAAAAAAAAAAAGAAAAATCAATGAATGATATGAAGTGGAGTTAAACAACATGACAGCCCAGTCTTATCTTTAAAGCCACTGCATGAACTCACTAGCACAAGTAATTTAAACATCATTAGTATTCTCACTATGCCAGAAGCAATATAAACTGGATATGATTTCATCTGGTAAGGACATCTGTGATCAGAGGTTGGAAATAATGCACCAAAAAAAAAAAACCAAAAACAAAAACAAAATAAAACTTTACTAGGTCTTCTGTCTGGGGAATCTTGTGGCAAGCAACTGTGGACAAAGAGAGCCTCCATTTAAAGCAGGGTGTAGGGGGCGGGGCACGGTGGCCCATGCCTGTAATTCCCAACACTTTGGGAGGCTGAGGCAGGAGGATCTCTTGAGCCCCAGAGTAGGGACCTGCATGGGAGACATGGGGAGACCCTGCCTCTACAAAAAATAAAAAAATTAGCTGGGTTTGGTGGTGTGTGCCTGTTGTCCCAGCTACTCGGGAGGCTGAGGTGGGAAGATGGCATGATCCCAGGAGGTCGAGGCTGCAGTGAGCTATGGTCACACCACTGCACTTCAACCTGTGTGACAGAGCAAGACCCAGTCTCAAAAATAAATAAGTAAATAAAGAAGGGTGTGGCCTGTGAGACAGGAAGAGATGTCACAAAGGGCTGCCCCATCCTCTGTTCAGTCAAAAGACTGGGCCATGTGTGAAGAAGTGTGGTGTAAGCTATGTTTGTCACACAAGGAATCATAAGTAGCATTTACTTGTCATTATATACTGCCATGCACAGCACTGGCGAATACCTGTTAAGTCTTCATTTAATCCCCACAAGCCTATGAGTATAATAGATATTCTTATCCTTGTTCAAAGCATGAGGAAAGGGAGGCACAGAAACATCACAGAAAGGAGAGCAGTTAGGGGGATAGCAATTCCATTCCAGGGTGGGTGACAGAGGGTGGTGGTAGTAGTTCTTTGCCCCTCCTGAAAGTGGCAAAGAACAGTCCAAATTTTGGACTCCTTAGGAAAGGCAAAATCAGCAGTTTCTGTCTGTGACCTTTATCAAACTATTTGGATGGTCCATCAGTGAAACTACCTTTGGGACCGTTCTGATGAACTGTTCAGAACCCAATCCTTCCCAGTTATCATCATCAGCCTGACCCTAACACCAGTGAACCCAACTGATCTACTCTTATTCTTGCTGCTCCATCAACCTGATTTCGAAAGTAATTCTGACAGCGCAACAGGCCTGTTAATGACTGCAGCGAGGACTGGGCTCCCAGCGTCTACTCTCCGCAGACAGCATCGATCCCACCATTGTTGCCAGTCAATAGATCTTTACAGCAGACTTTGCTAGGAAATATGTCAGCTTTTTGTGCCTTATGTTTCTGGCTCATAATATCCTTCAAATGGATTCCCCCCATTCGAATATCCTGCAGGCAAAATCTTATTACTTTCTCCATGCTGTACATCATGCCTGCTTTACACAAAAGGTTATCAGTGTTCCTTACGCTGCACCTGAAAATGTTTGAGCTAGTCTTGCCTCCTAGGGATATTTTCACTACTGCCAAGTATATTTAACCGGAATGCTATTAGTGACTCAATAAAACCCAAGTTTGGAGTTTCTAGACCAAAGCTAATTTCTATTTTTGCCGCTATGTGGTACTAATGTCAAAAGCAAAGAGCCCGAGGGACAAGCATTTGAAAACCATATGCTGGCTGATTTAGGACTCTACCATTTGTGCCCTATAGCTGTAGGTGAAATAGATTTCTCTATAGATGTTTGGGAAATTATAAATAGGATTATATGGAATAAGAAAACAAATGTGTTACTGCTATTCATACAAAAGGTTTAAAGGGTTTCCATCACAAAGAAAGATCTCAGGAGTTGCATATACATATTGCTTAAAGTAAGTCATACATAAAATCACAGAATTGAAAAGGATCATAAATAGAATCTGCCCCAACATTCACAAGATTATGAATGAGGAAAGTCTAGATGGGTGCCATTATGAATTCATCATCTCTAGTATTAATGGGCCCTCAACGTCTCTCAGAGGGTTTGTTTTCATAATCGTCCGGTGTCATCTGCCCCTGTCTCCTGCTCTCATTCTCCTCACTGTTGCTGATTCTTGCTACTTTCAGTAAACCTGTTTTCCAACTTCCGTTAGCCCCATACCACGGTGATTAAAGTTACTGGCTCTGAATGAGATGCAAGTTTGGCTCCACCACTTAATAGATACATAAATTCAGGCAAGTCACCTAAATGTTCTGCACCTCCGTTTCCTCATCTGTAAACTAGGAACAATAACTGCAACCATCTTATAGTATGTTATGGCCATTAAGAGAGTAATTCCTGTAAAGCTCTTATAATGATGATTGCATATCAAGTGTTCAATAAAGGTGAACTATTACTATCATCATGATCATCAATGTAACCGCCCTTCTGCCCCCTTTTATATCAGCAGACTCTCTCTCCTGACAGTTTATCAAGAGAAGGAAGGTCATCTGATATAGACTTCCTCAGATTCTCCATCCCATTGCCCACCAGCACCCCTGATACCTAGAAACCTGTTTACACCTATTCTGGCCATGGTTTTCTTCCTCATTCTATTGGGAATGGGCAGTACTCCTTACTAATCTCTCTGTCAGTGCCCAGGATCCCATCCCATCTGCCAGCTGTCTTCTCAGGTGCCTTGTTGCCTCTATTCCGCAATCCACTCTCTCAACCCAGTCTCCAGCCTCTCCCTCTTTTCTTTCACCATCTTCTCAGCTTCTGAGTCTTTTTTCACCTTAAAACATAGACAAAGGCATGAAAACAAAAAACTTTTTCTTGACCGTACACTTACTTCTTACTAACTCTCTATTTCTTTGCTTCCTCTCCTTGGCTTCTCAGAGAAGTTTCTGGAAGAGTAGTCTATTGCAATCTGTTTTCTGTCCCCAACTGAAAGTGAAGGGCTGTACACTCTTAGCCCTTGTCTCCCTTGTCCACTCAGAAAATCTCTCACTACCTTATCTGACTCCATCCAGTTTCCCTCAATCTACTTCTTCTACAGAGGCAGTTCTCTTTCTTTCACTTTATTTTTCTCCCAAGCTATGAGCTCTGTCAGAGCAGCAACCATTACTCATTTGTTCCTTTATCCCCAGCATTCAATGCAGTCCCTTGCACACAGTAATCATTCAATGAAAGTTCACAAAATGAACACATGAATGACCTTCTCAGAATCATATAGAATCATATGGTTCCTTCAATCTAATTAAATGGAAGTTTTACTGTGCTCCAACCACATGCCAGGCACAATGGAGGCTTACAGAGATTAATAACATATGGCCTTTGCCCTCCAGGAGTTGTTTATCATCCAGTGAGGGGAGAAGAGCAATGGAGGATTGATGCATGGGCAGATAAATTGATGGGGGGAAGAACAGAGCTAGAGCAGGGAAGAGGGGAGGGAAGAAGGAGATGGGATAAAATAGATTAATGTCATTCACTCATAAAAGCTAGGATACGCATTAGGATGCCAATAAAGGTAAAACACATGTGTGCTTTTTAAAAACAATAATTTAATCAAATTTAAAAAGAAGGAATATGTCTAAGCCTAGTCAAATAAATCATGATTTCATTTTGGGAGAACAAACTTTTTACAATTCTCTGACATACCTGGTTTTTTATACAGAGAATACATTGAGACCCAGGAAAGCCAGGAACACTGACTGTTTGTCACAGGCAGGAACCCTTCCCTCAGCTGCCAAGGCAAACAGACATATCAAATCTCAAAGAGAAGCCTTTTGAAATTGGACTGAAAGTATTTGTCAGTCCCTTAATCACCCATGTATTTTAGAAAGGAAAAAAAAAAGACAGCTATGTAGGACAGTTATCAATTGATTACCATCTGACCATTTTAGACTCCTAATGTCAGTAAAAGGAGTTAAACTTCTGGTTGGAGTGATTGATCCAGATTATCAAGGGAAAATTGGGTTGCTGCTGCACAGGGAGGGAACACCTAGGTCTGGAACCCGAGGATTCTGTGGAATACCTCTTAATACTCCCATGACAGTAATGAAGTTGATGACAAATGTCAACAACCAGAAAAAAGGCAGGACAAGTAGGAATGCAGATCTTTCAGTAATGATGGTTTGAGCCACTCCACCAGGTAAATAACCCCAAGTAACTGAAGTTTGGGCTGAGAGTGGGGGAAATATGGGATGGGAAGTAGAAGAGGGAAGCCATAGATATCAGTTACCACCTTGTGACCAATTACATGAAAGACATTTTTAATAGCTCTTAATGTTTGTTATTTGTTTGTTATATGCATATGTTTATTTTATTTGCTATTTTCTTTTTTTCCTTTCTGTTTTACATGCTAGTTGTTTCAAGTTAACTTTAGTATCTAGGAAACAGAATATTCAGTAGAACTGTGACTTAATTTGAAAAAAATTTAATATAACCAGCAATGAATCCAATGAATGTTGGGACTTGCATCTCCTCATTTTAGGAAGAGAGTATGAGCATGTTCACTTCTAAGATGAATTGCTGTATATTAGGTGGAAATACAGGGGTTTTTTTTATGTATAGGAATGCAAACATGTGTGGAGGGTGCATATAGGAATTGGATAACCAAAGGAGTATGCGTCAACAGTTATCAGTTTATTGCCTTTCAGCTCTAAATTTATCCTTCATTGCCTGCTCTACAAAAATGGGTATGTGCCCTCCAAATATTTTTCTATTGCTGGTTGGCCAAATGTTAAGTATTTTCAATAGGGGGCGCTAGAGAGACATTGCAAAAGGAGTTTTTCCATTCTACTTCCAGTGCACTCAGAGCACGTAGTGCACTTGTGCTCTTGGCTCCTAAAGCACCAAGCTTCTGCAATGTAAGCGCAGTGCCAATAGCTGCTCCAGTACCTGGCTCCTGGAGCACCTATGGCTTTTCCAATGCCTTGTTTCTGTAGCACAAATTGCTTATCCAGAACCAAGCTCTTGCAGCACGGACAGCTTCTCTAGCATACCGCTCCTGCAGTACACTGTGGCTAGCTGCACCCATCAGCCAATGACTTCCCCTTTTTTGTAGCAGAGTGCTTCTGGTGAGACTTTTCCATGAAGAGTTTTTTCCAAAGTCCTATAAAAGTCCTAGAGGGCATATTTCCAGCAAGTTCTGCTAGGATAGTACCACAGCACCTCTCTGGATCTGAGTGAGCTGTGACTGTGCCCTCTCCAGCAGGTCTGGATCGCACCCTTAGTGGGGTTTCCTTTTTGGACATTCTATGTCCACCTTAGAGGTAGTGGTTGCTTCTTATATCTGCTATTCCTATATTCTCTAGAGATCTATCTACTTCTTACTAGCCCATCCCTCATTACTCCAATCTCCTGTTATAGTTAGTTAATATTCTTTATATTAAACTTTCTCCTTTCCAGTTACTCTGTGTTGCAGTAGCAATGACCACACCAGCACCTAGATCTTGGTTTATAAATACCACTCTACAATAAAAGGTACCAAGGCTTCTTTGAAAAATAGTTCATTTTAGGGCTGCAGTAGGAAAAATTAAAAATTAGCCTGGAATATCTTCTAGCACCAGAAAGTAAGAAAGCACTCAAAATCAAAAAGATGAGTCATGTCAAAGGGACACAATGGGTTGGGCGCAGTGGCTCACACCTGTAATCCCAGCATTTTGGGAGGCCGAGGTGGGTGGATCAACTGAGGTCAGGACTTCAAGACCAGCCTGGGCAATATGGTGAAACCCCGTCTCTGCTAAAAATACAAAAATTAGCCAGGTGTGGTGGCACATGCCTGTAAGCCCAGCTACTAGGGAGGCTGAAGCATGAGAATTGCTTGAACCCAGGAGGCAGAGGTTGCAGTGAGCCAAGATCAGCCATTGCACTCCAGCCTAGGTGACAGAGCGAGACTCTAGTCTAAAAACAAAACAAAAAAAAGACACAATGGCCAAAGCTGGAATGACCTGGGCAACAAAATAAATTATGTAATACTGTTTTATAACCCAAAATGTCAAATAAATATACATGAGTTCTTACTGATATAAATAAATGTTTGAATAAATGCAGGAGAAGAAGCAAATCTTCCTTACAGAAAAATTCCAAATAATATAGGCAGATATTCCTTCCTCAAAGACATGGAGCTTGAGTCCTGCCCTTCATCCCTGAAGGCTCGATAGTCTTAGTGACTTGCTTCTGCAGAGTAGAGTACAGAAAGGGGAAAATTGTAACTTTATGTGGAGAAGCCTAGCACACTACCTTAACCAAGTGATGAAGGTTAACCAAGTGATGACACCAGTGATGTCACATGGATATCATGATATCATGTGAAGAGAAAGAGCACTTCAATTCTGGTATTCTCTTCAAAACTCATAACCCATGTCTGATCATGAGAAAAGCACCAGACAAACACAGATTGGGGAACATTCTACAGGATACCTGGCCAGTTCTCCTCTAGACTATCAATTTCAAGGTCATGAAAACAAGGAAAGACTGAGAAACTGTCACAGACCAGAGAAGACAGGGGAGACATGACAGTGAAATGTAGTGTGTTGGCCTGAGCTGGAATCCGGAAGAGAAAGAGGACGTTAGTGGAAAAATTGATAAAATCCAAATAACATCTGCAGTTGATTGAATAGTAATATACTATGGTCAGTTTCCCAGTTTTGACAAACTAATAGTAATTTAAGAAGTTAACAATGGGGGAGACTGGGTTTGAGCACACAGGAGCTCTGTACTATCTTTGCAACTTTTCTATAAGTCTAAAAGTGTTCCCAAATAAAACCAATTTGTATTTTAAAAATTTAAAAATTACTGTGGTTTCTATCTCCTAATTGGATCTTAAGTGATACAAGGAGCCAGTCTAATTATCAAAGCAATTATATTATGGATCTAATGTCCACCATCAAATTGATGCATAACAATAACCAAAGCAGGGGGGAGATGGAAATAGAATCCTTAGAAATTAGGCCATTTAAATTTTGCTAAGTAGCATATTACTAGACAATAGATTTTGGTTCCAGAATTATCTAGTCAAGAGTGAACAAAATGATACATTTCCTGACATTAGGTTGATTGCCACAGACAAAACCCAGATAGCAAGACCTATATTCTGGGTTCAGCTCAGAATATCGTTTTTTTACCTGCTTAAAAAGGTATCAAAGATGTTTTTCTCAGAACACCTTTAAACATTTCAGACATCTGTTCATGTTTATTTGTGCTTTTGTTCATCATAAAGCCAAAACGTGAGTTGTAAAAAATAAACTAAAAGTTGCTTCAATATCATATTTCAGTGTTAAAAGAACATCTGTTCTCAGAATTCTAGAGTCTTCATTAAACTCCAAAATAAAGCAACGGTTTATTTTCTAGAAGGTCCTAATCAGTTCTAGAGAGTCTGAAACCCATGTAGGCTTTTGTTTTGCTTACACAATCACTTCAGTCTGAGCCCTTAGCTCGAGGTAGTCTGCAATTCTTAGGAGACAAAGTATGAATACAACTGAAGTTATTCTGTGGCATTCTTGCCCTGGAATTAGTGGCAAACCACATAGTTTTAAATGACTAATACGCCCACTCTTCCCTATCCCACTAGTTTATAATAATGTTATTTTTCTTCAAGATGTCTAGGCACAACTGATTTTTAAACTGGAAAAGTTAATGAAAGCAACATCACATTTGAGGTCAGTCGGCCAGAAAAATGGACATGAGCCAAATCCCACATCCCAAACATTTTGCCTCAATGGCGTGTGAACAAAATGCCCACTCTCCTCCTGATTTCCAACAGAAGCAAAACAAAACCCTGCAAGACAGTTTTCCCCTGGAATTGAGAAGCCTGTCAGGGGCAGAAAGACACACACACACACACACACACACACACACACACACACACACACACACACACACAGTCCCAGTCCCTGTTTAAGGTACAGTTAAAAGGCTCTTTCACACCAAGTGTTCTGTGCACAGACAGCACAAGGGCTTCCCCTGGAGAAGCTGCTTCAAGGAGAGCCAAGAGATCACAAGTCCGAAACAAGTAGTCCTAGCAAGATAAAGAATAATCTCCCCAATTCCAAAATAAGCAAGTAAAAATTTTTAAAATCAGCTTATTGAAATAAGTCCATTCAGACTAATTTCAAAAAATTACTTGGTGGCAACGAAGAGAAATGTGTGCTCTCATGCGAACTTGCTAACTTTTTAAAACGATGGCTTCCTTTTTCAAAATGTAATGTTTCACGCATTACAATTTAGTTGCACTTTAATTCCTTCTCACGTTTCTCAAGGCGAAAAAAGAAGTATAAAGGAAAAGGAAGTGGATGCAATTACGTGTACAGCAACAAGTTAGCCAGAAGATTTTGGTTTAAACTGTGAAATTTAGAAAAGCAACTGTATTACATGACATTCCATGATATAATCTTTGTGATAATGCATATGAAATGTTACGTGTAGACTGCTTTTAGTCCAAAATACCATCATTTTAGAATTATAATTCTAACATAATGGAGACAAATTATATACTATGTTAGGAATTGATTTAACAAGTACCAAAATTTTCATGAATTTTCTTTTATTACAGATAAGTCTCCCTAAAGTTATCTGAACAAGTACTCGTTATTTGCATCTCAGAATTCAGAGACAAAAAGATATGTTAGTGTCAAAAATGCCAGTTTCACTTCTGAGTTAAAAACCAACAGGTGGTAAATTTTAATCACCAAGAGATTTTCTTAGAGAAATCAACAGGTAAAAACAGAAGTTAGGATACAATAGCTATGTTACCACAACTGCCTTACTGAGGTAAGGAATCTAAATTGTGGACCCTACTCTAGAAAATGCATTCATATCCACAGAAGTATGAGCTGTTGTATGATCACTGAAATTTCCTTCTTTCCAAGAACTTTTCTTTATACTTAATTAACGAATAATGTATATGTACATGTACAGATTTAAAAGAAACTGTATGACTGAGTTGGTCGTGGCATTTACACTATGCTCTGTGTAGGGATGAAGAGGGAAAGCATGGCTCAGGGTCATCTGCAGACAAGGAGGGCCTTACAGCAAAAACATCCCGAGACAGACAACAGCAGGTGGAAACTTACCACTGGAGCAGTTGGTCCCTCCCCAGCCAGGCTCACACTGACAGGTGTTTGGAGCAATACAGCGACCATGGACACATTTATCAGCACAGTGGGCTGTCAGAGAGAAAATCAATCAAATAAAGAAAGTTGGCACAAGAAAAAAAAGCCAACAACACAGCTGTTGCACATCCAAGTCTCAAGTATCACTTAAAAACAACATGCATGCTTGATAATTTTCTTCAGTCCGTTCCTCAGCCCTCTTACAGTCTGCTGTAGGACCAAACAATTCCCCTTCTTATTTTGGTATCACCAAATAAATCCCATCATTTCTACTATTCTATTCTACTTCATGCTAAATTAGAAAAGAAGTTTCAAGGAAAATTGCCTAATTCACTCTTTAAAAAAATTATCAGTGAGTATCAAATATTCCTTTTTGTTTCAGAAGAAGCCTATATAGAGAAACGAAACACAAAGCAAGATATCAGGGCCTCAGAGTGACAGAGTAGATGGGGAGTATTATGATTATGTATTATGATTTTTTTTACATAATACATTCACCAGAAACAATAGTCACACTTCTTTGTGAACACGTTGTTCACAACTATGACACAGCAGAATTGCTTGCTCTTTTTCTGTTGAGGAGAATATTTGAAAAATGCCACCCAGGTCTTTGGGAAACAGTAAATCTCAATCCTCTTTCATTAGTAAAGATCTTAGGTGTACTCAACCCTTGGAGACAAAAGGGGCATCACTGCAAACATGAGTGAATGGACAGTCTGATGATTTCCAAAATAGGCATTAAAATATGCTGTGCCAAATCATTATCATCAACCTTAGTACCATGCACATCAGTTAAACATTCTTTAAAATATCTGGATATATACATAATTGTGAGAACGACTTAAAGGGTTTGGGGTTCGGATATTCTAAAATTTTATTTAAGGGTGGGATGAGGTGCTCTGTACTTTAGAGATGCATTTTATTAGTGTATGTCTTATTACAAAAGACTTACTGCTCAAATATATAAAACACCAAAAAGTAAAATAAGCCTTATCTCCAGTAGCTCAAACTGGTAACATTTTTGTGGATGTAGAACCTTCAGAAATTTTTTTCCTACATATTTTTCTCCTCAAAAAAATAGAATCATATTTTTCAATGTGCTTTTTCCACTTAATATAATGGCAGTAATATTTCCATGTCATTAATATTAATATATGTGATTTATGCACTAAGGTGTATATTTAATATGTGTGTATATATGTATATACACACGTGTGCACACACTCACAGTGCATATATTGCTGAACCAAAAATGACTACTTCTAAGGTCTTGATCATAAGATTTAGAGATGAAGATATATAAGGGAGGGCATTTTAGGTGAAGAGAAAGCAAAAGCAACAGGTAAAAAGAGAAACAAATGAAATAAGTTCTGTTGGGTGCAGTGTTTGGGGCAATAGCTTTGCAAGGTAGAGAGAGAGACCCTGAAAAACAAATTAAGGTGTTGGGGCTTTATTGTGAGAATTCGCTAGGAACAGTTTAATGAAAAGTATACATTTGTTATAAGAAACCAACAGGGAGAGGACACCACAATGAAATAAAGTGGCCATAAATTTTGGAAAACACAAGCTCTCTTGCTATCATCAGAACAACTCTTTAGCACCTAGGCGATTTAGTGAGGAATACCAGGACTGGTGACCTTGGGACCCTGGTCCAGGGTAGAGTTTTCTGGTACTAGAGTTTGAAGGAAGTGCTTAGCAACCTCATAATATTTGAGTCAGACAATTACATATTTCATTGCAATTAAAAGCAGAACTTGCCTGTAACATATGAACACACTGGCCCTGCACTATTTTGATTTTTGCTGCCAAGTTAAGTCAGTATGTGCCAACTTCAGGGTTCAGTGTCTGCTTCCACCTGTAGGTATGTGTTTGAACTTGTAGATGTCATTCATTTGTAAGCACAAGGTACTGGTCTTTTGTTAAAATTTAGATATGTACATACCTAAAGCCAGCAAACTACCATACTTGAGTGTGGGAAGTTCAACTAAATGTCACAGTAGGCTTGGGTCTAACAGTGCAGGGTATGCTCTGGATGCTATCTCACACTGTGTTAAATGGCAGCATGGGTACAGGAGACTCTCCCACCAGTGAGAGCTCTGGCACCAACTGTAAATATGTCAACACGAGAGGGTTTTGCCTCCCACTTGTCTTAGGTACTGATGGCATCTATGTTTGCAGCTATTACAGTGAATAGCCTTCAGACCCAAGTTTACCAATTCTCCTTCTTCAACATAGTAAAGCTACTAAAATTCTGTTTGAATATTTCCAGAAGTTTTAAAAATTAGATACTCTTTGCCTTTAAAGTGAAACAAGACTTCTTTGACACCGTGCATTTAAACCAAAACACAGAAATTGAATGTGGTGGCTGATGAAAGGAAGTATTCTCCATATTCTTGAATTTCAGACTTTTGTGTTTAATAGTGTAGTTCTCACCAATTAACTTCATACTAAAGAAATGTTATAAATGTTCATTTATATGGTAAATTTATATTAATACTACTTAAATTGTTTTTATATCTTGGGCATCTATGTAAGATTTTATTTGACAAAAGGATTAATATTACCATTTGAGAATTTGAAAACTTCTGGGTACTCAAAAAGCTGGATTCCATCAGAGCAACCTAGAGTTTTGTATTCATCTAGCAAGAAGCTGGCTATGAGGGGAGAATATTTCCAGTATTCTATGGACAGGTCTCAATTCACTGCTCTCCCTTTCTTCTCTATCCTTTCATTTTTTTCACTTTTTATCTTCATTTTCACTTTTTACCACTCGTCTTTCTCTTCCACACACTACTTATTTGATATACACCATAGAAGCTGGAGATTAAACTTTGGTTTTAATTGTAGTTGTGTTGACTCTTAACTCCAGGATGACACCAATTGAGTTCCACCTGAATCAACTGGTAAGAAAGGTAAGATTGAGCAAGCCAGCCTAGCACCCTGCTCTAATATCAAGATAACTTATTAGATTGGGTAAATAAATGCATGACAAGTTAAGCATATGTTCCAGAGAAGTAAGAATCAGAATTGCATATGGTTGGATCCCAATCCATTGGTTTTTTGTTGCTTTTATTTTGTTAACTCCAAAAAAGATAATAAGTAAATTTCTAAGTTCAGAATCAAAGGAGACCTGCTTCAGAATGCTTTGAGATTGCTAGATAATCACACAATGTTCTCATGCGTGATTCCTGATAGTGCAAACTTTGTGTTTTATGAAATGAATTCCAAGAAGTTCAGTCAATTGTAATAATTTTTTAAAAAAATCCGTGATGGTAATTTTAAAATATGGATTACATTTATGAAAACCTTGAGCTAACATTTGGCCAAAGTCTGAAACAAAATGTGGATGCGTCATTAGCAGAAAACAAATTTGCCTGTAAGTTAATTAGGAATTGGAAGGGGGAATCTGCTTCCCTAATGATTTCTTTTTTCTTAATTAAAGCTAAAGCCAATGGAATCACCTCTGAGCATTGATGCCTAAAGGCAAATAATGATCTAAATGATGAGAAATATTGTTGGGATGGAGTCTAAAAGGAAAGAACACAAAATCCTACTTCCATGATGGAGAATCTTCACACATTAGACTCGCTTATACAAGTGCCATCTCTGCTGCATGCCCTTTTCCACCATCTCTGGGCTCTCCACATCCAGCAACAAACCTCGTCAAAGATGGAAAAGAGCAAAGGGAAGCAACAGAGGAAGGCAGAGTAAGCTATAGAACTCTCTTTATTCTCTGATGTCCCAACTCACCAAGGTGCAGAAACACTGACTATGGCACATTCATGACACAGACGCCCACACCACCACCAAGAGATTAGCTGAGCTCAATTACTACCTTGGTCTTACCTCCCCTATTCAGCTTCAAATGCCACCTACTCTGGGTGCTGCTTCTATAACTAACATGCTCCACATGAAAAACCAATATAGGCTAAAGACATTAATTGTTCATGTAGAAAACCCCAAAATGAACTAGAAAAGAAAAAAGGGAACAGAGGTCCACTTAGCAGATGTTCAGTAGCAGAGATATAAAGAATAGGTACAAAGGACCCATTATAAGTGTGGTTGTCCCATGAATGGGAATAGATATTTTATTCCCTACCCATGTCCTTTCTTCTTTTTTTAAAAGGGCAATTAAAACTAGAATAACAAGCAAAGATAATCTATCCAATATGATTTCTTTTCTGCACCGATCTTTAAGAAAATCATTAAAGATCATATTCTGAGTCCAGATCTTTTTTAGAGGCCAGATATAAGCTGAATCTCAACCTACTCTCAGTATGCTCCTTCAGACACAGCAAGCTGCACAGGGCAGCCAAGACGTCTTTTCCCTCAAGAACTAGGAGGCAAGAGACACTGATGAGAAGAACAGGCCATGTCTTTGAAATGAAAGCTGTGGACAGTCTGTCTGCCTGATGGACAGGTGGGCACTGACATGATGACCCTGGAATCTTCTCTAATTAGGCTCCTGTTTCAGTCTCAGTTCCTAAATCCATTTAAATCCCATTACCAATGACATGGACCTCATTCCTTTTACTTGTAAATACTTGGCTTTAATACTGAGAGCCATTAACTATACTCAATAGTTTTTCTTCTGCCACATACAATTCCCTTTGGATTTTCACCTAGGGATGGCAAAAAAGTGAAAGGAGGAGTAGAAAGACTAAAGCCTTCTTTATAAATCAATTATATCTCTAAAGAGAGTATATACCATTGTCTTAAAGAATATATTTATTTAAATTAATATGGAAAATGTTTTCAGAATCAAAATAGTTTTTTAAAGGAACAATTATCCAACAGAAACACAAACCTTCCAGCTAACCTATCTGTCACCAGAAGTTCCTTTTATTCTGACGCTATGAGCAAAGAGTGTAAGTCACAAATCTTATTTTCTCTCATTTATTCAGTGAGTTGCTACAGAGGAATATAGAGTTTTAGAGTTAAAGGTGCCTTTACTGAGCATCATTCCTACATTTTTCAGACAAGAAAACAGATCAGGAAAATGGGTAATTTCCCCAATATTCATAGTTGGTATTAAAGACAGAAATAGGATTAAACCCTGGTCCCTGACTCCCAGTGGACCAAAACATAAGATGGATTTTAATGGGAGTGAGAGGGAGTAGGGGTGAAAAGGATGATAGAGGGTGTTCTGGGTCAGATACCATGGCAGGTGTACTAGATGGCCAGGAGTCAGGAGTCAGAAGATTCGAAGGAGGAAGGAGAAAGAAGCAAACAGAGAGTTGACTTCCAAGATATACTTTATCTTCCCCACACTTTTATCTGAGGACAATTACATGCAAAGTCCTTACAAAATTACAAAGTGCACAGGAATCGTTTTGCTTTCATATTTCCAAACATTATATTGCAGCCTACCCTATTGTGTTTGCTTATAAAAAGGAAAGGGAATTCTCTTTTTCTTCAGTTTAATATGTACTGATGCACTAGGTACACTGATAGGCACTACTGTGTATATTAAGATGGCAGACTGGGAACTCTTAGTCTGTAAAGGAAATCTGATGTAGATCCATCAAACTCAATAAATGCAGAGTAGAATCCAGGGATAATAAGAGAGGTTTCAGAAAAATACTGTGAGAGCATATTGAATGACTCAATTTATTTGAAATGTCCAAATGGACAATTCCATATGGATAGACAGGATATTAGTTGGTTGTCTAGGGCTGTGGGTTAACGTGGATTGATGGGTAGTAGGTACAGGGGTTGTATTGAGATGATGAAAATGTTCAAAACTTGATTATGTGATGGCTGTACAACTTTGTGAATATACTAAAAATGGTTGAATTGTACACTTTAAATGGTTGAATTGTATGGTATGTGAATTACATCTCAACAAAACTGTTATAACAATACTGTGGGGACTGTGGAAGCAGTTAATTCCAACTGGGGTGAGATCAAGGGGATCTCATGAAAGATAAAACATCTGAGCTGAAAAAGTGGATATCTTTGAAATAATGTTGCAGGGAGGAGTGCCCAAAAACAGCTGCTTCACACACTTTTTTCCTTGCATCCCATCCCTGAAGTTCCATAACGTTTTACTTGGGGTCAAGGGCTCTTACCCCACAGCCACCAGTGGTCCACATGTGTGATGTCCATAAATGGCTGATCAGTGGTGGAAAGAGCTTGAGAATGCTAGGAACCTAGATGTTTGCACTTAGTAAATGTAATAATAATAATACAAAAACTTTGTATCTATAAGTCTTTTCTCTCCATTCCTTATAGGGCTTTCGTGTCATTTAAGGGCAAGTACAAAGAGCTATTACTGGCAGTATCTTTGGCAGACATTGCCAATTGTACACCCAATGTCTAACCTTCAACCTTTATTAACAGAATCTTACTTGTACCAGGGCCAGCAGTGACGTCAGCAATAAACTACATTTATTGTCCCTCTTTCTAGATTGAAATGCCTATGTGGAAAACAGTTTCAAGAGACAGATTCAGGTGGTAAGTGCGACTCCCCTTCTCTTTCTCCTTCCTGCTGCCCGGTGTGAAGACATGGCTGAATCTGCAAAAAGCACCAGGCAACTCTGAGGGAAGGACCAAGAGAATCATGGAACCCTTCACTCTGAATTCTTTGCATGGATAAATAAGTGCCATAAACCACCCACTTCCAGACTTATCATGACATAAGGATCCTTATTATGTATATGTTTCTATTTTTCAAATCTCTATTTATTGCAGTAAAACATGATTTGTAACTAATACACTGCTCTTTTGAACGATCTTTCAGGTGAGTCAGTTACTAAATTAAATAAAAATCTATACTAGCAGAAAAATGGAAGACCCATCTATATAAGGAGGAGATACAAGAACTCAGAACTTCTGCCATACATTTTAAGTAAAGGTGTCACGACCTAGTGCAAGTGGGATGACCAAAAGATATGAGGGGAATTAGAAATCTGGCCATTAGATACATACCTCATTCTCTCCCTGAAGCATCATTTTGCCTCAAATTACAATGTGAGAACAGTTAAATGTGGATACTATAAACCCCAAAACAACCACAAAAACAATACAACTAACAGTTATAGCTAGTAAGCCAATGAAGAAGATAAAATAGAATTATAAAAAATATTCAACTTAAAGTAAAAGTATAAAAGAGAAAAATGAGAACAAAAAACAGGACAAGAAGAAATCAAATCTAACTACATCAATAATCATATTAACCATAAATGGTCTAATATCTAAATTAAAAGACAGATATTAACAGATTGGATTAAAAATGTAAGACCTAACAATATGCTGCTTATAAGTACAAGAAACACACTTGATAAAAACGCAAATATTTGGCCGGGTGCGGTGGGTCACGCCTGTAATCCCAGCACTTTGGGAGGCTGAGGCGGGCGGATCACGAGGTCAGGAGATGGAGACCATCCTGGCAAACACGGTGAAACCTCATCTCTACTAAAAATACAAAAAAATTAGCCGGGCGTGGTGGCAGGCGCCTGTAGTCCCAGCTACTCGGGAGGCAGGAGAATGGCGTGAACCTGGGAGGCGGAGCTTGCAGTGAGCCGAGATCGCGCCACTGAACTCCAGTCTGGGTGACAGAGCAAGACTCCGTCTCAAAAAAAAAAAATAATAATTTTTTTTTAAGTAAAGGTATGTAAAAAAAAAAAAAAACCATACTAACGCTAATCAAAAGAAAGCTGGAGTAGCTATATTAATATCAAATGAAGATTCCAGAACAAAGACTATTATTAGAGATAATGAAGGTCACTTTATAATGATAACATGTTCAATTCATTATAATGAAATAATAATCCTAAACATTTATGCATCTAATAACAGTTTCAAAAACTGCAATGAGAAATAGATACAATTAAAGCAGGAGATTTGAATAACTAGTCTTAATAATTGATAGAACTATTAAAAAGAAAATAAGAAAAGATATAGTAGATTTGAAACTAAAAACCAACTTGATGTAATTAATATTTATAGTACGCTCCACCCAATAACAGCAGAATATATTTGCTTTTCAAGAACATACAGAACAATAATCAAGTTATATTCTATGAAATAAAACAAATCTCAATCAATTTTAAAAGATTCAACGCATGCAAAGCAGTTTTCTAACCATAAGGAAATTTAGTTAGAAATCAGTAACAGCAAGATATCTGGAAAATCCTTCTAAATATTTGGAACTGAATAACATACTTCTAAATAACTCAAAGTCAATGAAGAAATCAAAAGATATATTAATCAGAAAGTATTTTAAAGTAAATGAAAACAAAATCACAACATGTCAAAATTGTCAAATGCTCTTAAAGCAGCACATAGAGGAAATTTTATAGCACCAAATGCCTACATTATGAAAGAAGAAAACTCTGAAATTATCTCAGCTTCCACCTTAAGAAACTAGAAAACAAAGATCAAATTAAACCCCAGTGAAAGGGGGAGTAAAAGAAATAATAAAAATCAAAGCTGAAATCAATAAAATAAAAAACAGAAAAGCAAAAGAGAAAATCAACAAAAGTAAAACCTAGTTCTTTGAGAAGATCAGCAAAACGGATCAACTTCTAACTATACTTACCAGGAAAAAAAGAGAGAAGACACAAATTACTGGTATTAGAAATGAGAGAAGTGATATCGCCATAAAATCTATAGATTTTTTTACAGGTAAATGTTAATAAAAACTTTATGCCAATAAATTTGATAACCTAGATGAAATGAAGAAACTGCTAAAGCTTATTCAAGTAGAAATAAATAACCTGAATGGACCTATATATTTTAAAGCAATTAAATTATAGTTAAAAGCTTTCCCATTTTAAAAAACCTCCAATTCCAGATGGTTTCAATGATGAATTATACCAAGAATTAAAAGAGGAAATAATACCAATTCTAAAAAAAACTTATTCCAGAAAATTGAAGGCCAGAGACTACTTCCCAGCTTCCCAACTGTGAGGCCAAAATTACCTTAACACTAAAACCAGAGACATTTGCAGTAAGAAAGAAACAAACTACAAACAAGTATCACTCACATAGGTGCAAAGATTCTAAACAAAATTTTAGTGAATTAAATCCAACAATATGTAAAAGGATTAAACTTTATGACCATGTGAGGTTTGTTCCAACATATATATATATATACACACACATATATATACACACATATATATGTTCCTTCATACATATATATATAACCTATATATATAGTTCCTTCATATACATATATATAACCTAAGTAGACCTGAATGATACAATAATCACATATATGGTTATTTCAAAAGATGCCTGCATTTAGCAAGCATTTAGAAAAATGTATTTATTCCTAACAAAAAATTTCTGCAAACTAGAAACAGAAGGGCGTTTCCTCAACCTGATAAAGGGCAAATATGTAAAACCTACTACTAACATAGTCAATGGTAAAAGAATGAAATGCTTTCCTCTAAGATTAACAACAGAACAAGGATTCTTGCTCTTACAATTTCTATTCAGCATGATACTGGGGGTTCTAGCAAGTGTAATAAGGCAAGGAAAAGAAATAAAGCTTATATAGATTAGGAAGGAAGAAGTAAAACTGCCTTAATTTACAGACTATGTAAATATATGTATTTAGAAAATCTAATGGAATTTACAAAAAAACTACTAAAAAAAGAGCACTTAACAAAATTACAGATAAAAGTCACTACGCAAAACCTCAATTATATTTCTATATATTAGCAACAATCAGAAATTGAATAGCCATTTACAATAACCTCAAAAAATATGAAATACTTAAGGACAAATCAAGCCAAAGATGTGAAGGACCTGTACACTAAAAACAAACAACATTGTTGAGAGAAAGTAAAGAAGAATTGAAAAAAGCTGTCAATCAATTTGATCTATTTGACATTTATAGAACACTTTACCCAACAACAGCACAATATACACATTATCTTAAATAGTGAGACAGCACTTGTTTGTGAGTCAGATGACTCTATTAATAAGATATCGATTCTCCTCCAATAGTTGTATAGATTCAAAGCAATACCAAACATTTCCAGATTTTGGCTATTTCAAATAAAGTATCTCTGAACACTTCTGTATCAACTACCAAGTGGTTCAGCCATCCAACTCCAGGTATTACCCAAGAGAAATGAAAGCATATGTATGCCCATACAAAGATGTGTACATAAGTTTTCAGAGAAGTTTTATGTGTAATTGTCAAAAACTGGAAAAAATCCAAATGTGCTAAGTACATGAAAGTATAAATTGTGGTATAGCTATACAATAGAATCCTACTCAGCAATAAAAAGGAATGAGCTAACAGTGCATAGGGCAATGTCATAAATCTCAAAATGATTATGATGAGTAAAAGAAATCAGATATAAAAGCGAGAATACTCTATGAGTCCACTTATATAAAGCTCTAGAAAATACGAAGCAATCTAGAGTGACAGAAAGCTGATCAATGGTTGCCTGAGCAGGGAGGGGTGGATAGGAGAAATTACAAAAGGGTATGAGGAAACATTTGTATGTGATGTATAGGTTCACTATCATAATTGAGGTGAGGGTTTAAGGGTTGTGTACATATGTCAATATTTATCAAATTGTACCTTTTAAAATGTGCAGCTTATTGTATGTCAATTTTACCTCCATGAAGCTGTTTAAACAACAAAAAAAAACCCTAGAGTAAGAGGAGAACTTTTACAGAAAGGCAAAGAGCCCTCTCTCCATAGAGAAAAAAAAAAATCTGAGCTAACACTCAAATCCTCTATGTACATACTATTCAATTTAACTAAGAGTCTGTCATCACTGGAGGGTAGAGCTCTTTAAATGCCTATGAAGGTATTGGCTTTAGACCCTCCCAATAAATATTTATTTGGGGAACTGCTAATACTAAAAAATGACAATGTGATGTTCTACTAAGCTTTTCCTCTACAAAGTAATTGACTCATACAGAAAAAAAAAAAAACAAAACAGCTTGTGTTGAAATAGTCTGTTGTAATGGATCCCACACAAGGGATTGAAATACCATCTGTGGGGCACATAATCCTATTCATTTATTTGAAAACAGAAAGAGTTTTTAGCTTAATTCCACACTTACATAGGCATTATCTATTCTGGCCACAACTCTCACAGTGTGTCTCTATAGGTTGAGTCAGATTTAAGTAACGTAAGTAACATGACCTTAATGGACTAAAACATCAAAATGTTAACCAGCACTGGAATAAACTCTAGTTTTCCTGAGCACAAATTCCTAACAACTGAACCTACAACAGGTCTGATGATACAACTGCAAATTGATTCAATTTGAGAAGGATTTCAAAATCGTCAGCATATTGTTTAGGGAAGAAATCAGAAGGAAGGTACCTTCATTTGGGACAAATTATTTACCAGCTGGTCCTGCCATGTCTGTGTCTATAAGGAAAGCATGACGCTTCTATGCACAGGAAGTGCCATCCCAGGCTCTTCTGTTTTTAGAATGGCATTTCTCTTGCCCTGACCACTCTCTATGGAGCCATAAATTCTTTTACAAATATTGTTTCCCACAGCATGTTTTCCACCACATGGCATTTCCCCTGGTCTGCCCTATTTCATCTTGCTGTCATTTTGCTTCCGGTTATCCAATACATCTGAATCACATATGAATAATAAAGGCCAGCCCTAGAGAAAGTTAATAGGGCAGTGGAAGTCATAATTAGAGTACCACTTTTCCCACTCAGTTTCTTTTGCCCCTTCTCCCTCCTTAGTGGTGGTCCCTGGACATTTCCTCTAGAACTCTGGTGCCCTCATGTTCTTTCCACTCTCTTTCCCTGTCTACACCAGCTTGAGAATAAATGGAGTCAATGACTAATAACAACAGCTGAGATTATTTCCCTTGTCAGGAACCTTTGCATTTCGGTATGAAAGTCTTAATTCAAATGTATAAATCAAGCAGTTAGAATTTCTTCAAAAGGAGAAGTGCTACAGTTTCAAGAGAAAGCTGGCAGCAGAACCTTTGCTATGAGAATGCCCCAAAACCAGGGAACACAAACTCAAATGCCTTCAGAGGCCACATGGATAAATTAAAGAACTATTACAAATCAGGTTAGACCTGGGGAAATTCAGGGAGCACTTGCTCATCCAAAGTGGGATGCTTTCCTTCAGTTTCTTGTCTGTTGCCACATAGGAATATCAAGCCAGTGTTACCAATAGCCTGATTTTTCCATGGAAGATGAAAGTCTCAAGTTTTAAGTTAAAATTGTTTAAAATATAAAATTGTATGGGCCCTAAAACCCCTACAATTATGCATCAGATCATCCAGCCCCTGCTAAGTGATGGTCCTAAAAGAACACAGAATAAAGGGATTTTAAGTTCTTAGATGGGTCACTTTTTTTTTTCTTTCTCCTGTTTTTAAATTTTATTTATTTATTTATTTATTTATTTATTTATTTATTTATTTTGAGGCAGGGTCTTGTTCTGTCACCTATCCTGGAGTGCAGTGGCACAATCTCAGCTCACTGTAACCTCTACCTCCCAGGCTGAAGTGATCCTCCCACCTCAGTCTCCCTTTTGTCTTCATTTCACTTTTTTGACCCTGTATCAGCTGCCCGATCTATCATTTATATAGCTATTTTGATTCTTTTCTTTCTCTCTACCCTATTAACCGATCATGTAGTTATTTTGAATTTCACATCAGGAGCCACTTTATATGCATATTTATTGACAGCTCTACTTTTGGTGAACAACTGTTTGTCATAAAATACCTCTGTTGATAATAGTTCAAAATTTGGGGGAGAGGTCTAGAAGAAGTTGTCCCCATCAATGAGGCAGTAAAATACGCATCTCCTCCATGCCATAGCAAAGGTAAGGAAGTATCTATTATAGCCTTCCAGCTTCAACTAAAGCTTTCCCTTTCTTGAGTTGTTAGAACAGATAATATAATTGTCCTTAGAAGAAATTACAGGTCCAAAGAGTCTCAAATAAATTATAAATATTTAAAATTACCCAGTGTATGTTTACAGAAAACAAAATCCCTCAAAGCAGTGTTTTCCAAGTAAGTAGATCCAGAGAACTATTTCTTCCCTTATGTTCTTGGGGAAAGAAAAGGGAAGAGGGTATAGGGAGTAAGGAATTCCATGGTCAAAAAAGTTTGAGACATGCCTTTACTGCAGGCATTCCCAGAGCCTTTAATAGGCTGAAGCAAATCTTCAAGAAATGGGATCCAACATACTGCATTTCCCAAACTAACTGGATAATGCAACAGTGAATTCTGCAGGATGAGTATTCCATATCTCACACTAGAGGGATTCAACTACAGATAATGCCTAGGATCCAAGTTTCTGGAAACCTATTCTCCTCCCTGGATCAACATGTATGTTTCATTCATGGTGGCATATTTCCTTTTATGTCCCTCAATTTCATGCTAAGTACAATAAATTAACTTAGCTATTGTTTTTTAGCTTAAATCTACATTACTTTGATGGCCATATCTTTAAACTTGCCATAACCACTTTTGCCCTTCCAACGTGGCCAGCCGGTCAGGGAGGCCCACCTTGAGCTAATGCTGCCTTCTGTCACTTGAATCAAGAAGTCTGAGTTTCTCTGTCTTAACTCTCTTGGAGCTCTCTGATTTTTTTCCAGCCTTTTTTAGAATTGGTTATCAATAAGCAATATAGGTCTGGACCTTGGGCTACTACTACAACCAAAGGAAAGAAGAATGTCAGTGCAGCATTGATTCTACCAGCGCATCAATCTCTCCCTCCTTTAGCATCTCTTGTGTGTGGCCCAGATGGATGCACTAGGTTTACCACTGGATTATCTGTAAAAGCGCTGGCCGGCGCTATACCAGACTAAAAACATGCAAGTTCTGTCACCACCTGGTCATGTCAATGTTTTGTGGTTGGTCACTTAGATCAAACTGTGTTTTTTCCATTATTTTTAAATTACTTTGCCCTGAAAAGATTTGAACCATAGTACAATAAAAATTGCTTCTCAGTTCTTGGCTTTTATTTTAGCCATTTTCTATCCCTGCAAGGGGATTGCATAAATTATTAGGCCTGTAAAAATCCTACCTGTCCTGCAAAGACTGCAATTTCAGGAACTAATTTTCTAGAGATAAGGCAAGGATTTTTTCATTATTTCCTTTTGACCCTGTCTCCATGGGACTCTAAAGTCAGGCTTTCTCAAGAAAAAAAAAAATAGGCAGCAGATATGATCTCCTTCTGTTTAGATTGAGGCTATCTTGAATTTATAGTGGATTTTTTAAAAATTAAATTCTTAGTTTCTATTTATAAAATCCTAAACACTGAGCAAGCATTGTCAATCAGTAAAGCAACAAAGGTTTCTTGTTATTTATTAGATTTCCTATCTTCCCTGCTAGCAGAGACCAACGACCCAAACTGGAAAGCAGAAGTTTAGGTTCCGATAGATGTGTGGGAAAATTGGAATTTCTGCTGGCACGGTATGTGGACAAAAGGCCTTCCCCTGTATTTACTGGTAGGTTCCTCTGAACCACGTCGGACACCATAGCAACAGAGTACAGGGTCCCTATGGAAACAGGAAAAAAATTCAATGCCGGTGGCAGGGAGGGCATCATGGGTAGGTATATTTGGGAACATACCATCTGATTGTTGTCAGTCAGGCTCTCTTTGACTAGCTTAACAGGATTGTCTCACTTTTATCTCTACTCGAAAGGATCTGCTTAAATGGATCAAAAGACTATGGTTTTTTTTTTAATATTTGACAAGATCACAATTTTATCATTAAACAAGCCTGAGAGAATCAAACAAATCCAAAACAGAAGGCTCTGTCTGCCTCAAACTCCAATAAGAGGTACTCCTCCTTTCCTGAAGCTCTCCTTTTGCTTCCCCAAATCCACCCAAGGAGCCTAGCTTTCCCCTAAACAGACCTCTGCCGAAGGCTAACTCTTCTCACCCCAAAACAAGGCATCTTCCCTGCACTGCAGCTCCTCTCAGCCTAAAGAATCTGGGCCCTAAACTTTTCAGCAGGAAAAGACCAAAATGATACAAAGCCAGGATAAATAATTAAATGTGTCCTCACATAATTGTAAGGTAGGGAAAGAAACTATCTTCAGTTCAGCTCTTCCCAGAAGCCGTGCCCAATTTGCTCAAGCCTGCCAATCCCTCTCCTAATCAGACCCCCCTGTGGCTGACACTGAGGCAAAACATAGCCATTGAAAATCCTTTCCCATCCCCAACACAAAACTGTTGACAATATGATCCCGAGTTAAGCATGTCAAATATTCCAGCTCACAAAGGAAGGTAATTTTTTTCTGGGGACAATAGCAAGAACAGTAAATATAACTTCTCACTTAAATGACAGAGGTAGGTATAACAGGAGCCTTTAGCCAGGTGTGTGATTCAGGAGCCTCGGTTGCTATCTCCATGATTCCAGAATGCCACAGGATACTATGCAGTCAAATACAGGGATGGCAAATGAGGCGCACTCGGGCCACCCACTGCCACTCCAATCCCGTGGCAGAAATCACTAGTGAGTCACTTTGCTCTTTCTCTCTTAGCCCAGACACAGCCTCAGAATCCTTCTAAACACAATGTTCCAGGCAGCCACTTCCAAGAGGTAGCACTCCCTTTCCCAAAAGAAAGCTTTTTGTTAATTCCAGTCTAAAATAACATAATATTCCAATTTTAAAAAGAAGAAATAAAGGAAAACGTATTATATGGCAAACAGTTATTGTGACTCCCAAAGTGCCACCTGTGTAGCATATCTGCCTCCTGGAAGGAAAAGAGTCCTGGGTTAGTGAACTGCAGGTGTTTTTTAAGCCCTCGCCTCAAAATTTGGGCTTAAAACCCATTGTTTTCTGAAGCATGACATTCAAACAAGAGTAAAGTTCATCTACAGAACTATTTTTCATATAGACACCAACCACAGTTCCAGCTCCTTATCTGCCCACAGCCGGTTCAGTTTTACATGAAGTTGGCCAAGTTAAAAATCAGCTGTGAATATTCATTCACTGCTCTGGTAATCAATTGTCACACTCCTTTCTGTTAAGAACAGGAAATCATACACAGTTCAGTGTGTGGGAGTTAAGGCTTCTTATTTACGGTTCCAAAGTTCTCTTAACCAGTGCCAACGACAGGCAGGACACATCCATGGGAACTGATCTCTCACCATCAGAGCTGGCCTGCCAGGCAATAAAGTGAGTTACCCAGTCCCCAAACCTCTTCCCTCTGTCCTTCTTACAAGCCACACTTGCCTGGACGCCCCCATTAGAACTTGAACTTTGAGTTACCATTTGACTTTCTCCATCTAACAAAAACAGAGTTAGCAGACTTAAGTCTACCCCAAAGAAAATAATCATCAGAACAGTCCCTTCCTTTACAGCAGTATCCAGCAGGAGAAGACAAGGCATGTGGGGCAAAGAGAATGGGAGCTGGACTGGAGAAGGGACCCCTGGCCATCTCCTTTGTCCATTCACGATTCTGCTGCAAGCAGCGCTGCTTACAATGATTCGCTTTCTCTGCCATCAGTGGAGATGAAGCCAAGAACATCCGACTGAGAATGTATGGCCAGCCTTCTCTCTGGATTAACCAATCCTTCCCACAGAGGGTAGCTGCCAACTTCCCACTCTGCTCTTCTGCTGCTTTTCCTGTGAGCTTTTCCAAGTCCCATGTCACTAAATCTATAAGCAGTCCCCAACATGCTAAGAGGTCGGGTTTCAAAGATGTGTTTGGAAACCAGTTGTGTAAATTTTCTTGGAGTTATAATGTTGTAAATAATGGTTAGGTCCCTAGGGCAACCTCAATAGTTGTTCATTTATTCCAGCATGTGCCTGAATGAACCACAGTATGTGGGGATCACGAGTCTCTCTCCTTTCCATAGGTCAAGCCATTCACATATCAGTTTGGACTGCCAAGAGCTTACCTCACTGCCAGAAATCAGAGATCATTCCTCTATCCACAATGCTCATGGGAGAGGTAGGTAGTAGGAGAAGACAAGAGATTTCCCTGGCTCCAGATCATCCCTGCAAACTGCAGACAGTTGAGGTCTTGGGAAAGGAGGCCTAATGGAACTATGGGGTGAGGAGAGAATGAGCATCCGTGATGTCGATGAGTGCAAGAGCTAGGAAGGGCCTGGGCCTCCTGCTGCTGCTGCTGGGCACATCCATGGGAACTGACCTCTCTGGGGCATATGTTAGTAAAGTCTCTCTCTCAAACTGTCTTCTTTATCAGCCCCCAAATCAACCTGTTTCTCTTTCATTTGCCACTGTCCCCTGTTGCTTCTATTCATTGTTCTTATGGCTCTCTGAAGAACAAGGCAGTCTCACTGTATCTCCCACCCTGGTCCTGGCCCTAAAGCCAAAATACAAATGGTAAATAAACGCTTTTTTTTTTGTCTTTCTTTTTGAGACAGTCTCACTCTGTCGCCCAGGCTGAAGTGCAATGTCGCCATCTCGGCTCCGGCTCACTGCAACCTCCACCTCCTGGGTTCAAGCGATTCTCCTGTGTCGGCCTCCCAAGTAACTGGGATTATAGGTGTGCATCACCACGCCCAGCTAATTTTTGTATTTTAGTAAAGACGAGGTTTCGCCATGTTGGCCAGGCTAGTCTCGAACTCCTGACCTCAGGTGATCTGCCTGCCTCGGCCTCCCAAAATGCTAGGATTACAGGAGTGAGCCACCATGCCCAGCAATAAACATAAGTTTTTAAAGTGAACAGCATTATTAATGATTAGGAAATGCAAAATAAAGCTAGGTACCATTTTTCACCCAAAAGGTTGAAAGCAATAATAATACCTAGGTCAGCAGAAATGTAAGGAAGTGGGTACCCTCATACATTACTGGTGGTCATGTAAGTTGTTACAACCTGTCTGGACAGCAATTTGGCAATGTGTCTCAAAATGCATTAAGATGTGGCTAAGATTATTCCTGTCTCCCAATATCCATTTTACCCTTCCCAGAGAAATATATATATTTATATATATTTTTACTGGGCCTCTGACCACACAGACTAAAGATGCATTTGCAGCTTGGTGAGACCAAGTGACCAGTGGGATATAAAAGGAACATGATCACTGCTAGGAACCTTCCTTAGGAAACAGTTGGCATTGCCATTTGCCTCTTTCTCCCACCTATTCCGTCTGTTGATGTGTGGAGGTCAATAATGGTACATGGAAATGAAGACCATACCTTTGTAAATGTTAAAATGATGTCCCATTGCACTTTGCAAGTCTCATGGCTATGTTTGGAAGTGAAATCATGACCTCTAAGGTCATCTTGTTCACTCTCTTCCACCTTGCCTTTGGGCTCATTCCATGTGTAGTGTGAAGTTACAGGAGTGGCAGAATAAAGATGCCCTTGTAGCTTGGCGAGAGCATGTGACAAAGAGATGGTGGAGCAGAAGGGTAAAAACTGCTTGAGTCCCCTGCTGGCTTGCCTACTTCTAGGCACTACATAGCCAAATCTAATTCTAAATGATACAGTATGCATACCTCTCATTCCAGAAATTCCACTTAAAATAATTTATTGTATGAATCACTCACACATGCAAAGGGATAAATAAAATGATGCTCCCTGTAGCCGCAAAACTACGTGTGCCTAACGTTAGTATATATTAATATAGTAAAATGTAATTATAAGATTATTATTTAGATGTAATTGATAGACAAGAAAATATGTCTACAATATAATACAAATGAACAAAGCAGCTTACAAAAAATATGCATGGCATAACCTACAAATTTATATTGAATTTAAAGAAATGGAAATATATCCGGAAAGATACAAACAAAAATGGCAGGACTATGAATGATTTATTTTCTCTTTTTGCTCATCTGTTTTCCAGTTTTTTACACAGATAAAAAAATAGCTTCAGTATGAAAAATAATTTTAGGTAATTAAAAAATATATACAACAAAAAATCCAATTTACTCTTTTAGTTATTTTTTAAAGTACAATTAAATTATTACTGACTATAATCACCCTGTTGTGCTATCAAACACTAGATCCTATTCATTCTATTTTTTTCTACCCATTAACCATCCCCATTTTCCCCCTACCCCACCCCCACTATCCTTCCCATCCTCTGGTAACCATCATTCTACTCTCTACCCCCATGAGTATAATTGAATTGTTTTCAACACAAATAATAAATGCTTGAGGTGATGAACACCCCATTTACCCGGATGTGATTATTACATATTGTATGCCTGTGTCAAAATATCCCATACACTCCATAAATATATACACCTACTATGTATCCACAAAAACTACAACTTCAAAATTTTTTTAAAAATCAATGAAAAAAATATATATACAACAAATTTATGTCTTTTTTGAAGTGGCCTAGGTGTTTTACTTCTGATAAACAGTGTAGCACAGTTGAGAAGGGAAGGGCCCAGGGGTCTTTCCCTTCCTTCCACAGTTTGTATTTCATTCCTTCTGTTTAGTACAGACTGAGCCCTGAAGAACATCAACAGTGATTTACTCATCCTTCAGTCTTCGGTGTGCCTGCTGCTTAGAAAGGAAGGAGAGAAGAAGGGGAAAAAATGGAGGAGAGACAAAAGGAGGAAGAGAACCAAGGAAGGAAGAAAAAAGGAATGGAGGGCAGGAAGGGGCAGGGAGAAAAGAAGGAGAAAGTGAAGCAAGACAGGCACAGCAATTGGGAGGGAACAGACATTAACAGACAAGCTTGGGACACACAATATTCAAGACAACTTGAGTTATACAAATTTTTATCTTAGGAACAAGGTCAAAATTCTAAATTAGAGAACTATCTGGAGCCTTGGGCAGGCTGAAAGGTGGGGACAAAGAAATGGGAAGTGTCTAGAGATTGCTGATACTGCAGATGAAATTAACACCCTGGAGAAAGAGCTACACCAGTGTCACTGGTGTAACTTCAGACTATATGTGAGATGAGCCCAAAGGCAAAGTGGAAGAGAGTGAACAAGATGACCTTAGAGGTTGTGATTTCACTTCCAAACATAGCCGTGAAATTTGGAAAATGCAATGGGATATCATTTTAACATTTACAAGAAATAAAGGACCACACATCTTATAAGATTTTCATATAAGAATTATATTAAAAGAATACATAATTCTGTCAGTTATCATGGTACTTAGGCCAAAAATATTTACATATCTCAATGACCAAAGATATGCACAAAAATTTAATCAATCAGAGTAGCCAACTGGATTGAGAGTTCTAATCTAATTTGAAACTAGTACTAGGAAATAATATGTCTTACATTGAATGAATACTGGGTACGCCATCTAGAACAGGTGGTAGGTTCAGTATGATCCATCAAGGTAGTAGTCAAGGACCATGTTCTCTGATATTTAAAATCTTCAGAAAAAATATTGTGTAGCCTAAAAAAAACAAAAAAAAAAAGGAAGTCCTGTCCCATGCTGCTACGATATGGCTGGACCTCAAGGACATTATGGTTACGGTAAGTGAAATAAGCCAGTCATGAAAGGACGAAGTCTGATTCCACTTATATGAAGGACTTAAAGTAGTCAAAATCATAAAAACATAAAGTAGAAAGGTGGTTGCCAAGGGCTGGAGGTGGGTAGGGGTAGTTAGTGTTTAATGAGTCTAGAGTTTCTGTTTTGCAAGACAAAAATGTTCTAAAGATATGTTGCACAAAAATGGGACTATATTTAATACTGCTGAATGGTACACTTAAAAATAGTTAAAATGGTAAATTTAATGTCATGTGTTTTTACCGTATAAAAATAAATATCAAGAAATTCAATGAATTGAAGAGACTACCAAACTTATATTAAAAATTAAACCAAAAATTATGAGGTGATGCTTAGAAGGTAACTATCTTTCAACCTTGTGAAGATTTTCAGTTAAGCACAGAAATGTGAGAGAGAATCAAAATCTATAGCGTTCATATTTTTAGTTTTAAGAGGACATTTATAATATTTAAGAGAATGTGGTCCGTAGAATAAAAGGTCAGCTTACTAATTTTATTCTTTAAATGTATACTGGAATAATTGATTTTAAAATGTTATTTTAAAGTTTAATCTTACTAATACAAATTTTTTTTTGAGATGGATTCTCGCTCTTGTCACCTTTCAAAGCGCTGGAATTACAGGCGTGAGCCACCGCATCCAGCCTATATTTTAACATTTTAGAGTTCATAAGATTTCACCTTATTTGTAAGTTGGGCTTATTAGATTTACAAAAATTATTTAAGTATATGGGAAGGTTTGTCAGCCTGGAAGCTGAATTATTTAAAATGAAAATCAAATCTATTAAATGTACGAATTCCATTTTAAAAATTTGAAGGTGTTTAAGTTTATAAAACATTAGTCAAAGGCTTCTTAATGTGTTTGTTAAATTTGTTAGACCAATGAATGAAACATCTGCCAGCTGAATTTTGCTTAAGAAGCAACTATGTTTTTGGATTTATAACTATAGTAAATCAAATACTAATTATTAAAAACAAAGTAAATCTCTGAATAGGCTTTTTCATATTGCATATACGTGTGTGCACATATGCACCCACCTACACATATAGAAGCACACAAACTTCACGTTTAACAAATACTGAATAGTAGTTAGCATATTTGGGTGACCTGGCTTATTGTATGAAAAATTCATTGCCTTTGTAGTTTGAGATAAAAAAATCAAAAAAGTATTTTTGATATAAAAATAATTCTACATTTAAATTTGATTGCATTTCCATTTTAAAATAGCTACATGTGTTACAAAGCTAGAATCAGAAAAAGAAGGCAGGCTTTTTCATTTCAGGGACACTCTTCTGCTGAGAGAAAAGTAAAAGACAATACATTTTATATGACTAGAAAGGAAGATTTGATCATATTTATTATCTCTAATCACAGTAGTCATAAGCACATGGATATAAGCAAATGGATCATGGTGCATAGTTTAGCAAGTCAGTTTGATATTCGTGATAAAGAATTGCCATGAGAATTACTTTAAACCTCATGAAAATCTTATGGCTTAATATTTACTCAACTTTAGAGCTACAGCAGAAGAATTCTTATCTTCTAATTGAAATCCAAACATCACAAATATTACTAAAATCAAGTCCAGAACCATCACTTTCAGTTAGTTAATACTGTACATGCAAGTCTTTTGCATTTTTCAAAACACTTTAATATATCTTACTAGATCCTAACAGCAACCCTACATGATTAATAGGCATGAGAACCCATCTTACAGATTAAGAAGTGAGGTTCACAGAAATCAAGGATGTTGTGTCCCAGGGACATTACACATGCAGGGTAGCTTTGGGATTTGAACCTAGGTTTAATTCATGTGTTTTCTCCATTCTATGTTAACAATCTGAACTGAACTTTTTTTTATTGGAGGCCAAAAGGGAGAGATAATAAATATAACAGTTTTCCTTGGAAAACTATACATTGGTCATGTGCACTCCACTTAGGATGTCCATATTTGAATTTACAGTCAAATGATGGTTATATGTTGAAAGCAGAGAATAGTATCCAGTGATTTCTCAACCATAAACATTTAAACTAATCATACTTCTTGCTTCTCTAACTCCCTAACATAACTATAGTTCCTATACATGCATTAGGATTAATGTATATAACAAAAAAGTGTTGGTTAACTCTAAGCCATCCCATGAAGAACCACAGAAGTCTCTCGAATACATAAATATTTATTATAAAAACTGATATGTGTTAATGAAAATATATTGGAATGTGTTTGGATCAATATTTATTTAGGTACAAGAACTGAGATTTAAATAAATAGCAATTTTATAAGAGGCAGTTATGTGACATTAAAAAACATACAATATATATGTATACACACAACACAAACACATATATACAAGTACACATATGTATATGTACACACACACATATATTACAACTATTTCATTCCTCTGGACATTTCTCAATTTCATTTCTCTGAGGATTTCTTTATTAATGCAGGTGGAGCATCCCTAATGCAAAAACCCAAAAGCCAAAATGCTCCAAAATCTGAAAATATTTTGAGTACTGACATGAAGCCACAAGTGGAAAATTTCATTCCTGAGCTCCTGTCATAGGCAAAACAGTCAAAATCTTGTTCCATACACAAAATTATTTAAAATGTTGTATAAAAATACCTTTAAGCTGTATGTATAAGATATATATAAAATATAAATTAATTTCATGCTTAGACTTGAGTTCCATCCCCAGAATATCTCATTATGGATGTGAAAATATTCCTAAACTCAAAAAAATCCAAAATCTGAAACACTTCTGGTCTCAAGCATTTTGGATACTCAACCTGTACTTAAAATTCTCCAAATTATTATGACCAAGAACGCAAAAGCAAATGCAACAAAAACAAAGATAAATAGATGGGACTTAATTAAACTAAAAAGCTTCTGCACAGCAAAAGAAATAATCACCACAGTAAACAGATAACCCACAGAGTGGGAGAAAATCTTCACAATCTATACATCTGACAAAGGACTAATATTCAGAATCTACGAGGAGCTCAAACAAATCAGCAAGAAAAAACAAACAAACAATCCCATCAAAAAGTGGGCTAAGGACATAAATAGACAATTCTCAAAAGAAGATATATAAATGGCCAACAAACATATGAAAAAATGCTCAACAGCACTAATGATCAGGGAAATGCAAATCAAAACCATAATATGATACCGCCTTACTCCTGCAAGAATGGCCATAATTAAAAAATTCAAAAATAATAGATGTCGGTGTGGATGTGGCGAAAAAGGAACACTTCTACACTGTTGGTGGGAACATAAACTAGTACAACCACTATGGAAAACGGTGTGGAGATTCCTTAAAGAACTAAAAGTAGATCTACCATTTGATTCAGCAATCCCACTATTGGGTATCTAGCAGAGGAAAAGAAGTCATTATACGAAAAAGATACTTGCACATGCATGTTTATAGCAACACAATTCGCAATTGCAAAATTAAGGAACAAGCCGAAATGCCCATCAATCAACAAGTAAAGAAAATGTGACAAATACATACATACATACATACACACCATGGAATGCTACTCATCCATAAAAAGGAATTAAATAATGACATTTGCAGCACCTGGATGGAATTGGGAACCGTTATTCTAAGTGAAGTCACTCAGGAATGGAAAACCAAACACTGTATATTCTGTCTTATTAAGTAGGAGCTAAGCCATGAGGATGCAAAGGCATACGAATGATACGATAGGCTTTGGGGACTTAAGGGAAAGCGTGGGAGGTGGGTGAAGGATAAAAGACTAGACGTTGGGTACAGTGTACATTACTCGGTTGATGGGTGCACCAAAATCTCAGAATTCGCCAATAAAGAACTTATTGATATAACCAAACACTACCTGTTCCTTAAAAAACAATTGAAATAAAAGAAAAATCTCCAAATCAAAAATAATGAAACATGTCTAAATTCTTACCACAGATCAGGCAAGAATATTAATCTTAAAGGATGAACAAATTTAGAGTCTAATTAAATTTATAAACAGAGTAAAACCACCACAAGGAATCACAGATTTCTTCCTGTCCTAGTAATATTTTAATTAAAAAATTTCCAATCCTTTCTTTTTTTCTAATCACATTCTAAGAAAAGGCTTCTAACCACACTGTTGCCCACACTCTCTGCTCTGGTCTTTCCTGCCTGATGACATGCATTGGTCTTTCGGACAGACAGCCTTGTTAGTCAAAGTCTGCTCTGTGGACCAGGAGTTCCACACAGCCTGAGGGTTCAGTAGAAATGCATACCTTTGGGCCCCACTCTGGACCCATGGAATCAGAATCTGCATTTTACCAGCCTCCCCAAAAGTTCTGTGTGCTCATTCCAGTCGGAAGCAGAGCCAGTCTCTTCATCATGCTCTATATACAAGAAAACTAGAGTTTTTTCTCCAAGAATCTCCACAGCTGACAGAATGAAGAGCCATTCAGTGACCACCTGCTGCTTCTATTGCACATAAACATGAAATGAGAGCCTCGTCCTGGGACAGTTTCCATGTGAATCTACATGAAAGACTAACTCCAGGACGCTCTGGCCCTCAATGTATTAATATGAAACTTAAAATCTTCAGGATCTTTCTGAGCTACTGTCCTTTTCCCTGGAACCTTGACACTACAGAGAAGGCAGGAGCACCTGACTAGGCTGCCTTGCTAAATTTCCCAAAAGTTTAGAAACTGCAGCAGTAACAACAATCCTGAATATCCACTAACGATACCTGTAAGGTCAGCGATCAGTCCTCTGGTCGATGTAGACAGAATCACCGCATGTGTAAGATCTATTTACTTAATTTCTCTAAAGTTCTTTGTTTTCAAGAACATTTTAAAAATCCAATTTCAAAAGAAAAGAGATTTTTACTAATTTTAGTCACCTTAAAAAGAGAGATGGAATTGAACATAGAGAACGGAGAATTTTCTCAACTTTTTTTTTCAAGTCGAAATTATTTAATACGTATGTTTTATTTAAATATTTGAAGTCATGTAATGAGATGCAGCTGAGAATTTCTTGACAACATGTGACATGGACAGGAGTTGGATAATCCTTGGTTCATAAGCTACTCTGCCAATTTCAGTTATTTTATTTAGGTAAAGCATCTCATTCTCTGTTCAGCATAAATATCTGCATCCTCCTCCTCCACTCATCACCGATTGATCAGAATAAAAAAGTTATTTAATTTCTCAAAGCCACATTTTCCTCATCTTTAACATGGGTACGATTATATCTGCCTCATAATGTTTTAGAAATTTTATAAGATAATGTATATACCTGGTATGTAGTAAGCACACAATAAATTTAACCATGACTTCGTTGTTGTCTGAAATGCATTAAAAAAGATACTTAGACTGCAAAACTCTTTGATGGCAGAAAGTATGTCTGGCTCATATATACATACATAATCTTTAGGGTCTAGCTCACTGGTTTTTACATTGTAGGTCAATCAATGCATGTTTTATTCAATTGAATTGAATCTACTGTGTTGAGTCTGATTTTTCCTGTGAAAGAGGAAATGACTACGATAAAGGAACAATGACTTCCTTTATATGGACAAGTAGAATAGAAACCTGCTTTTCTCCCAAAACAAGTTAAACTAAGCTGCATGGTCCTACCACCATCCTGGTGACATCTACAAGCTGTCCTTATGGTTCTGAGACTGGCACTATTCCATAGACTCCTTCACAAGGTGAGCCTGGCTCCTGGAGGCCACTCAGCTCCCCTTCCTCAATCATAGCTGACTTTGAACTGGCAGCCCACTCTTCAGTAAAGTCTCTGGAGCCTAGAGAAGATGACTTTTTTTTTTTAAGAGACGGGGTCTCCCTATGTTGCCCATGCTGGTCTCGAATGCCTGGGCTCAACGGATCCTCCCACCTTAGCCTCCCAAAGTGCTGGGATTACAGGCATGAGCCACCATGCTTGGCCCTGAGAAGATCATTCTTCACCAAACATATCCCTGACAATTTTCTAATGAAGAGCTACTTTTAATATTTGTGAAGTGTTCTGATCTCTGAAAGTGGGAGGAGTGGGTGAGGGGAAGATAAGAACCAAAAGGACATGTCACTAACACTTGATAACGAAGACAGCCGGTCAGGTCCCCACAGGAAACCTCAGAAAGCTGTGGAAAGAGGGTGAGGCAGCTGGCAGTTCCATGTCAAGCCTCCAGAATGACCATCTACAGTGGGGTCTATCATGGAGGAGCGGGTGGGGCAGGATGAAACAGAGGTGGGGAGGGAGGGGAAGACAGGACCTGCTCTCCTGAAGGTGCTACTTGAGTACATAAAAGAAACTTGTTTCAAATACAGGTATTTGCATTAAATCATCCTTGTTTTCCTTCTAGGTAAACTACCAAGAATTAATTTGAAATGATGACTGATTCCTGTGTTTAATTTATCTTGGTGACTGGAAACAGTTAAGAAAGGTGACCATGTTATCTGTCTGGCAGCAAAACTTGGTAGAAAAAAAGAGACTATGAAAACACAAACAAGAATCATGTATTTTTTGTTCCTTCTCTATCTACAAGCTTGCCTCACTTGTGCCAACTGTGAAGAGTACAGAAAAGTCACTGGGAGTCACCTCCAAGAACAAAGAAGCGTAACAATTGTTGGGCGGGGTGGGGGTGTGGGGAAGCAATGAAATCAAGACATCAGAGTGGAGAGACACAAAATATTTTAGAGACCAGAGACCAACAGCTTCCAGGCCAGTGAGACTAGAGAGTAAGCTGATTAAATATATTAGCATATCTAAAGGAAAAAATATTGCAGTCTCAGGGGCAGTTGGTCAGCAAGAGGCCTAGAAAAAAGGAGAATTTTTGAGGCAAATGCTAGAGGTGTCCATTCAAGCAGTTTGGGGGATGCTTTGCAAGCTGTCTAGCAGGAGAGAAAATGTATTTTTACCCATGTAATTTCAGGCGTGATAGTGCCAGTGGAATTGCCTAACTTTCTAAGAAGGGCTGCACTACTGAGTTAAAAAACGGAGGTGTTGAATTATGCGGCTGATGCCAGGAAACATTGAAGCTGTCTCTCTAACTGAGCTTGCTTGGATCTACACCCCCCCACCAGCTTGCCAGTGAAATCTAGCATCCCACATGCCAGGCCTTCAGGGAGAGAAGGTATGGCCAGAAGACAGGCACAAGCACCTTTCCAAGTTTTGTATGAGTTAGGAAAATAGCATCCTGGCTTCATATACAAATTCTATGACCCCTGGGTTAATAGAAATGTGTGCTGGGAGACAGAAGTACTCTCTTGGTATGTTGATGGTTGTGCTTGTAAGGTTGAACCCAGGTAAAGGCATCAAGATAATGTCACTGAAGGCCTCTGGGAAATGGCCAGCCTGAGTGGCCAGGCCTCCCCAATCCCCACCCCTGTGTGTACTCCACACTGCTTTCTTTTGAAAATTTCCCATCAGCCTGGGCCACTGAGATCTGCTCATGATTATTCTCTAAGATGTTTGATTATAAACATGTAATTTTTCTTATTCAGCATCATTATTAATCAAAGAAATGCAAATTAAGAAAAAATTAGTGAAAGGAAGATTGGCTCAGGGTATAAGCAAAAAGCCATTCTCATTTACTGCTGGTGGGTATTTAAATTAGAAATACATCGAAAGTCTTAAAATATGTACACTTCTAATCCAGCAATTCTACTGCTAGGAATTTATCTTTACTTAATGAAGGATATGAACAATTATTTAACCACAATGATGTCCTTTAGAGTAGTTTACGATAGGTAAAATTTGGAAATTGTGTGACCATTCAACAGCTGAGATTGATTAAACAAATATTTATAATGCAACAATATACTGACATTTGCAATATGTTACAGAAGTATAATTACTGACCAGGAAAAATATTCACAACGTATTTTTATTTTCTTCTTTTTGCTTAGTTACATATTCTAATTTTTCTTTCTATGAACATGTATTATTAAATATAGCCCTGATTCTGAATCCAAGCTAAGGAGCTGCCCCTGTCTGCATACAGAATAGAATCCAGGGGTTGGAAGAAAGACGAGATATGTACTATTCCAAGCCCTATCTCTGAGACAGCAAAGGAACCTCCAAGACGTATAAATGGTTTATCTGAGGCCACCCAGCCAAGTGATGGTAGAACCAGTGATATCACTGGGCTTTCCAGATTCTTAAGCTGAGATCTATCCAGTCATTCCTGGTGCCTCCAAATTACAGCAGAACCTTCTCTCTGTGCTACTCAACATCAGCATCTCAACTCAGAAAGCAGAGCTGTCCCTCTACCTGTGTGTTGAGCCATAATACTCAAATAAAATAGTCTTTAATGATCTCTCTTCTAAGTGACCTATACACAAAGAAAGAAATCTCAATTGCAAACTGCATCTCACATGCATCTCATATTCTAGGATTCTCTGAAGTGTGTCATAAGATACGAAACTTCTCTCAAGACATCTCAGAATGAACTGGTGAAGTGGGGAGGGTAGAGAAGAGGGAAAATGACAATGAAAAGAAGTTCTATTTTGTGATGCAGACTTATTGTCATTTTTTAATGTGAAAACTCCTCTACATTTAATAAGCCTCATCATTCTGTGCACCAGAAAAGAATATGCTGGCCTCTCGGAAGTTGACTCAGGTCAGCTGCAGGAAAGTTAGGTCTCTGTTCTCTTCTGGGACCCAGGTCCAATGAGTCCTGACCAATTTCCAATGAGACATTTATTGAAGAATTATAATTTACATCACCACATCCGGCCTTGAATCATCTTTCTGTAACAGCTGTTTTCACCTTAAGCAACATTCATTTGGAGACTTTGGATAAGACAGGAGGACAGAGTTAATGTTTCCTTCATTACACAAGCCAAGGAAAAGTAGCAACCAGAGGGAAAAGGAATGTTCCAAGACACCCATCTCCCCAGACCTCTGTCTCAGCTGCTATTAATGGAAGCAAACCAGCACTGGGAAAAACTAGCGAATCTCAAAGGGGTGACAGTCTTACTTACGGACACACATTTCCCCGCTTTCATAAAATCCAGGACAACACTGAGACTTGCGCCTATACATAGTCTTCTCCCCATGTCGATAGGCTGTCCGATAGCTGACTCTATAGAGAAGGAAAAATTAGCTATTAAACATAATAAAAGTCTGAAAAGCAAAGTATTTCAAACTAGTTATGAAGAAATATGGAATACATGTCTAGACCAATATAATACTAACTCATCAATTTGCTAAGAAGATATTAAGATTCCCTATTGAAGCCAATCTATGCTTTATTTTAAGGGGTCAGTAGTTTCATGATTTCCCTCTTTCACTTATCTTAAGATATGTTGAAAAGTATTGATTAATTCATATATGATACCCATCAAAGCATCATTCACTTACGTATGTTTTAAAGGAAGAATTCAGAGAATTCCCTTAAAAACCTTAGGGCAGTCTCATCCCATTATAATATAGAAGACTAACAGACAAAAGACCTCTCCATTGAACTAAAGTGCCATTTATTCACTGATTCACTTACATAGCATGTGTTTATTGAGCACTTACTATATCCTGGGCACTGTTCTAGACACTGGGGAAAGAGCAGTAAGCAAAACAATACAAATCCCTTGCTCTCAAGGAACTTACATTTTACTTGGGAAGACAGATCTGGCTGAATTTGTTAAAGTAAGGACATGCATTAAACAAATGATTAGATCATATAATGGCAGGTAATGATTACATGCTGTGAAGAAAAATAAAGCCTGAGTCAGGGAATAGAATGTGACAGGCGGGAAATGCTAATTTACACAGAGTGGCCAAGGCCAGCTTGTGTGAAGAAATGACATTGAGCATAACATCATTTAGTGCAGTACAATCAGCAGATGCTGCACTCAAGGCATAACTCATACACTATAAATGTTAGTATACTACCAATAAAATTAGGGCATCAGAGTTCCCTTCTATATTAACATTAATATTTAATTATATTTTAGTTTTGTTTCTGTGTTCACATTTATAGAAAAAAAATACATCTTGTTTTACTTAAGGGTCAAATTTAAGTTAGCCTAAATTGAGTCAGATGTTCAACTGGAAACATATGCGAAGATATGAATTGCTTGACATCTGCTGCTGTCCATAGGTAACAGTGTCTCCCCCAGTTATGCGCAACACAGAGGCTAGATGAATTCTTGTTAACAAATGATGGTAAACAGCAGACACTTTCTCTGCAGTTAGGCTGTAAGCTCCTTTAGGGCATGGGCTACCTTTCTGCTTTTCTACATCCCCTGTGATTTGGCACAAAAATAAGACAGGAGCAAGCCCTCAATACCTATTCACTGAATGAATGGATGCACTTTCTGCTGTCATTAATATCTCTGTATTAGAATCTATTCCCAGTTAGCCAAACTCACAAACATGCCTGAGCTTCTATTACCTGTGCCGCGTGCATTTAAACCAGTTTAGAATGTCAGTGCAGCTCGTGTAGTAAATTTGATCAAAGGGATGTGGGTATGACTCTTGCACAGTCACTGAGTAGCTGAAAAGAAATGGAAAAATAAGAAATCAGTATTTCTCTTTTTTAAATTAATAATATACTATGTATTTAAAAGTTTGTAAGCTAAATTATCTCCATTTGCAACTCCATAGTGACTTTTAACAGACAATTTCCATGTTTTTATGGGTTTTTATTTAAACTAGAACCCCAAAAGGATCAATTTTAACAATACATTTAAAATACAACGATTTGTGCTGTAAATTTTAAAGAAAATTCTCTTTTACTCCTCACTATAAACCCTAATATTCCCAAATTTAAAAATACCACTCCGTATTTTTCTGCATTTAATTCCCTCCTCTTACCCCAGGGCTCAAAGCATAACAAAGATCATTCACAGAAGGTTTTCATTCTAAGTCTGCATGCAAATAATGTTACTCAGCAAAGAAACAATTCAAGTAAAGTAATAGAGTGCATTTTGCTACTGATTCTTAAAATATCAGAAAGAACATATTTTTCTCTAGTTGGAACTTGGAATAATTTGATTTCAGGCAATGGAAGACTATACAGTATACAACAACTAAATAAATACTATAAAGTAGTCTTTAAACCTGGTTCTAAACATATGGCTGAGACAATTAGCCTAAAATAATCATACCAACAGCTTGCTACTACTTAAATAGTCTGTTTTCCAATACATTTTCACTAACAGGTTCTTCTTAGAGTGAAAACATACAAGCCTATGGGCCTAAGAACATGGGTGGAAAACATCCATGAAATATGAAGAATACTCACTGTTGAATTCCAGACTTCTTCATTTTAAACAGTCTATTACATGCTAAAGAGCTTAGTGTCTGCCTATAAGAAAACGTGGATAATCTTCTCCAAACAATTTATTCTATTTGCTTTAATTCTCTTAAAGATTTTCAGTAAAATCTTTAATTCACACAAACAAAAAAATGGGCCATAATCACAGACTCATTTGCTGCAAATCAATAGCCCAAGTTCACTAATAGGAAGGAAGGAAGTTAAAATGCCAGCATGAAGAATTCAGGTTAGACAGAACCTTCTCATTTGAAAAGCTATGTGGTGCTAGCCTCACAAACAATGGGTTTTCTTTCTGCAGCTGGTCTCTGGTAGTCATTATGTATCAGGCTTCAATAGGACAGCCATGAAGTAATCGTACTATTCATAGTTTTGTGTATTTCATTCTTTGGAATATTGCAATTTATTTCTAGGTAAATTTAGGGACCCTTCATAAATGTTGGGCAATGAAACAGGCTCTGTTGAAAAGAGCACTGGATTAGAAGGTTATAATTCTGTACTGACACTGAGAAACTGGGAGATGTTCAGCAGATAACCTCACTTCCCTGGGTCCTCATGATCACGTTTTAAAATAAAAGGAGTCAGAGATGGTGTTGAAGATCCCCTCTTATTTAGCATCCTGAATCTCTAACATATACTTTAGATGACTGTTTCTTTCTACCTCCAACAAATGTTACCCATTGCTACCTGCAAAAATAAGTTCAGATGAGGATACAGTGTGCAAATGCCTGCATGCTATGATATAACCCTTTTGGGTAAAGCAAGAGGCCCCTGCTAAAATATTAATATTCTTGGAATGACATATCACATTAAGCTATCTGTATTTTCTTCAGAACCCTAGCGGTGTCCTGAGGTTCTAAGACTTCCTTACCAATATTTTTTCATCCTGTGAAATTAAATAATTCAAATTTAAAGCTATTGGAACTTTAAATTATTTTGAGCCTTGAGAGGAATATAACTATGTGGCCTGAGTCATGCAGCAGGCAGCTGCAACTTCTTTTTCCTATAAATGATTAGAAATAACCAAATGGCATCAGAGATAAGACCCCCTCAGATCATTACCCTTCCTCATGAAATGTTGAAGCAATCTTCCTTGAAATGTAGCAAACTGTAATCAATCAAATCACTGTAACATATGTACTGGCTTTCTATGGAAAATGTCGAACCTTACTAAACTTCTCTGTTTCTGCCTATATAGGTGAAACTTTAACTTCCCCACTTGGGAACACTGAGCCCATTCCTTTGAAGTCTGTTTTCTGTATGGCCGTCCTCAAATTTTGCGCCCGAATAAACTCAATACTTAATCATATTTTCTGACTCTCATTGTTTAAAGTTGACACTTTCTATCCAGCTGCTTGTAAATAGCTGAATCTTAAGGCCTACAGCATTATATCTCTGTTCCATTTCTAGTGGAGAACAAAGTGAATGAACGTCCTCTGTGTATACAACTGGTGTACAGGTACAGTCCTACATCACCTATGAGCAAAATAGAGCAACTTACCACATATGCTATAAGAACAAAAAAGAAGCCACTCTAAATTAATGCCAGTTGGGAGAAAAAACTTATTCAACCAGTCTCTACAGTACTAATTTAGCTGAACTAAATTCATTTGTTGGAACTAGACCTGATACAGAGTTTCCAGAAAATTTCAAAGGCCATGTTATGATATTCAAGTCCGTGTGCCTTGGAGTGCAAAATGTTATCATCAGTAAATGCATCCTGGCCAGTTCTATTTGATGTGGATGGAAGAACCAATTCCATAAGCAAACAAGTAAAATGTTTTCACTGGTTTCTAGGAACCAAAAAGAGTTTTTAAATGAGAGGGAATGTTGGAGTACATAAATTTCCTCTTCTTGTCACTTGCTGCTCACCAATAGCTCTTTTATTAAAAGGACAATCAAAGTATTTAGGATTTCAATTCAACAAACATTTATTGAGCAACTTCTATGCAATTCCTGCCCTCAAGGAGCTCTCAACCTAATGAGAGACCAATATTTAAATGCTGAAAGTAATACAATATAGCTTTCCATGGAGAAATATATATAGCTTGGGGGAAATAGGAGTATAAAATTCATTATGTTTTGAGTATTTCTCCTCAATCTTGGCTTTACTCATTAAAATTATTTTGACACTCAAACCCAGTACAGAACTGACTGCATATAAATTATTTTGAACTATATTAAACTATAGTACAACTAATTTAACTATGTTAAACTACAGTTCAACTAATTTAACTATAGTTAAATTACTGTATAAACTTAAGTGGACGCTTCAGTTTCTGACCAATGATAATTACCTGCCTAATTATCATCGGTCAGAAACTGAAGCGTCCACTTAAGCTTATAGGAGAAAGGTACTAAGCCTTTTCAACATGAATTTCTTTTCTGTTGTTTCTTACACATTATTTTTCTTTCTATACAGTTTTTCCTTTTTTTCATTTGTAAAGGTATTATAATCACACTATGGAATTTGGAAAACACATTTTTAAAAAACAGAGCAAGAGACAGAACTCCATAGCTCTCACATAACCACCAACAGCATGTTGTTGTGCTTCTTTACAGTTTCCAGGAGGTTTTAGTTTTTGGTTGAGGGTATTTCTAAATTCTTAGGTTATAATAATCATGCCATGCACATATTTCTAAAACATTCTTTTTTAACTTGAGTATATCATAAGCATTTTCCCATGTTAGTACATAGTCTTCAAATTATGACTGCCAAATACTTTGTAAGTGACTACACCTATTTTGCTCAATACCCACCAATCATTAGGCAATTAAGTTGTCATTCTTCAAGGGGTCCATTTTCTGGAAGCGATGTGTTTGAATCATGAAGAAAAGTGTCTTCAAGAATGGGCCTGCCTCCTCTGGTCTTTATCACGGCCACTATGGCCAGTGCTTAGGCTGCTGATGGAACTTAATTAGTTCCTCTGCTAACACTCCATACCTCCACATTCACCAGCAGCTGCTCCTGAAGTCACAGAGTGTGAGGGCACCACTTCTATTATCTGGTCCAATCCTACTTTCATTGACAATGAGCAACACTGAGCTTCCATATAGCGTCAGCAGTAACACCAAGACCCTCAGACACTGTCCTGCCCCATCCTCTCTCAAACATCACTATAGAACATTTAAAGCTTCTAAAACAGACAAGGAGTGGGAAACTGGAATTTTAAAAAACTGATCCCAATTCTGCACAACTTTCAGCATTCAGAGGCAAAACTCTTTATTTCCTGTTTGTTTGTTTAATCTTCTCAAACATACTGAAAATATATCATTGCCGTGATTTTAATCTATTAAGTATTATCTGGGGAGAAACCCCAGCAAGATTTAATTTAAGGTCAAAGAACCAGGGAGTGGGGGAGGAGATGGAGAATAAGGGGAGGAAGACATTATCACTTGGGCACGTTCCAAAGTGGTTAATTACATTTTACCTGCCTAAATTATCTTGTTACTTTAATCAGATATGGTAATAATCTTCATTTCTTATCTCTGCTTGCTTCAGGACTGCTGATTCAATTACTCTCCCTTCTGTGTTAGTAATTGAAGGTTTGGTCAAAGTGTGGTTTCTCTTCACTTGTGCCTTCTTTAGAAGAAACCCCACTGAATGGAAAAGCTCAAATTCATAGAATACAGAAAGAAGGTTAGGAGAAGGAATAGATAATTTCTAGAGTTATTCATTTTCCAAAAAGACACTGTACAGAGTTCCTTTAATCATAAACACCCCTTGAGTATTTTAAATGATTTCATTTTCTTTAATTTCATTTTATGTACAATTTCTTAGAATCACAATCGCTGCATTAAAACAAGGCACATCTCTATTTCAAAATAAATATTCAGATATCAATTGGGATGCAGCTAGAAGCCATTGATGGAAGTATTTTTGTTTAGTGCTTCTCAAACTTGAATATGCAGACAAACCTCCCTGGGATCTTGTTAAAATGCAGATTTTGATTTAGTAGGTCTGGGGTGGGACCTGAGAGTCTGTATTTCTAACAAGTTCATGCCTCAGCTCTGCAAACCACAGTCTGAGAAGTAACCTCCAGGTGATTGCATGGTTCTGAGCCATTGGGTACAGGTGGTTTTGAGCATAAGAAGAGCTTAAAATGAGCCCTACTACCAGAATTATGCCCTTGGAGCTCATCTTCCTCTCCCCATTTCAGTTCAAGCCCATTTACATTTTTGAAAATACTAGACGAACCTGTCACCTGTGCCTTTATTTGATCATTTTAATTTATCTTCTATACTGGTCCCCATTCTTATCAAAACAATTCTACTTTCTTTTACCTTTCTTCTAGAAATCATTATCTAGCCTTACAACAGAAAATTTATCAGTAAGAAGATTATAGCTGTCAACTCTTCTTCCTGGCAGTACATTTAAAAAAACTGGAAGTTTTTTTCATCATTTTCCTATTTGTTCACATTCAATTTCCCTCCCCCTTCATGAGCATTTTAGAGTTTGCACTAATCACTTGCACAGTTGTTGGGTTCTATTAGGTTTAGAGATTAATGTGCCCCTTGTCTATCTGTCTTTCTCACTCTCCATGCCCCTCCCACATTGATGTACATATTTAGTCATTTCGTTTCCTATCAGAAGATGAACTCACTCATTCAACAATTTATTAAACACATGCCACATGCAAGGCAGTGTTTTAGACAGTGGGAATTATCAGTGGTGAGCCAGACAATGCACTTATGCATTGGCAGCTCTGGTCAACTGCTGACCAGGGAAGCAGGACAAAATGTGTATTTATAAGTGGGTGCCGGATTATTTGAAGCCTTGAAATGGTTTTCTCTCTCTCTCTTTTTTTATTTTTATTTTTATTTTTTTTGAGGCAGGGTCCGCTCTGTCACCCAGGCTGGAGTGCAGTGGCATGATCTCAGCTCACTACAGCCTCCACCTCCTGAGTTCAAGTGATTCTTGTGCCTCAGCCCCCCAAGTAGCTGGATTACAGGCATGCACCACCACACTTGGCTTTTTGTATTTTTAGTAAAGATGGGGCTTTGCCATGTTGGCCAGGCTGGTCTCAAAATCCTGGCCTCAAGTGATCTATCTGCCTTGGCCTCCCAATGTGCTGGGATTACAGGCTTGAGCCACCGCACCCAACCTTTTTTTCTCTTATAGTCTTTCCCTCAGAGAGTTCCTCTGTTCACATCTCACATCTCATCATGCTGGATATTCCCAAATCTATATTCCCAAATACTTCCAGGCCCATATTTTAAACTGATTTTATAAACACAACATGGCAAACCCACACTAACCCCTTCCCTTTCAAATCAAATCTCTTTCTTTTATTTTTCCATATGCGCAATGTCATCTGGATTACTTCACACAGCAAGTTCTAAATCCTCGTCTTCTCTGCCTCCTTCACTTCCTCAGTCAATGTATTATCAAGATCTGTTGATTCTTATTTCACAACATCTCACAAACTTGACTTTTCCTCCCATCCCAAATCTATCATCCCTCCAAGAAGTTCAACTACCAATGGTCTCTTCCTTTACTAAATTTGACCTGTACCCATTGATGTAGCCAATGATTCATGACTTTAATAAGTATTTATTATATATTTTATTGATGAAATGCCTTATGGGAGGTGCTGTAAATATTATAAAGAGCACTAATAGGAAGTCCTTCTGCTTAAATTCTGTATAATGTAGTTAATACCACAAATATATAGAACTTTATTATATACATATATTCTCTCTGCAGCTTAAAGTTTCATAATAATATATAACTCCATTGACTAATCAGGTAATTATGTTTTAATTACCCTGCTTGTAACACTACCAATGGAGGTAGGGATAAGCCCTTACCAAAAATAATACTGAGTGAGAAACCAGCATGTCCCCAGAATAATACCACTGCTGTGCTTGAGAGGCTCTGGGCTTTATGCATCCTAACAGTGGGGAACAAAGGTGATTAGAATGTGTGCTCTGTGGTTTGCTAATCATGGTGCTGAAGATCAAGAGTTTGATATAATTGTACTTACAGCTATTAAAAATACATATTACCCTCCAGTACTTAACATCTTCTCTTTGTTTAAAACACTTGCATTTACAGTTTTTGGATAAGATAATTTCTGGGAAATTCAAGTAGCACATTAGAGCAGAGCCAACTGGACTTGATTGTACTGCAATATCGCTGGATGGGTTTGCACTATTTTTGTGTTCCAAAAGGGACTATAAAGTCCCAGAGGATGATCTACTGTTTTGTACTTTCTACTGCAAATTGCTCATATCTAGACATTACATCATCTGCCTTCACATAACCACACCCTCCTCCAATACGGTACTAACTCTGCTCTGGTTGTGCACAGTTCTCGGTGGTCCACATGGCACTGATTTCAAACTGCCAAACTGACTCCCCTTCCAAGATCCCCTTCCAATCATTGCAACCCACTCATCTTATTCAGTTCTTCAAGAGCATCTCAGGGGACACTACCTCTATGCAGCCTTGCCAGTTTACACCAAATTTAGGTCTCCGTTTTCAAGCCATCTACAGCAAAATTCTTTTAAATCCCATATATTTCAATACTTTAGTATATTATCTCATGCTGCTTTCCACTTCTCACTCATGGGTTCCCATGCATAAGTCCAGCTCCCCAAAATTAATGCAAATTCAAATCAGAGACAAGACATTAGGAAGATCTTTTAATTGTGCTATTAATGTCTTCCCTGAATCTTACAATTGCACCTGCATTAGAATTAGATATATCAAGACTTTTTTCACATAATATATATGCTATAAGACCAAGGTGACTAACACCACCTAATTTGCTAGCTATGACTAATGATTTTTACATAAAAGTAATTTCACAATCTCTTCACAAATTCTAATTTTATACATCTGACTGATAATTACAGTATATAAGGGAACTTCTCAGCAATTCTTTGTCAGGCTCCTTTCAAAACCATTACCTTTCCCAGTGGCTACACACATTAGGGTCTTCAAGATTCAGAGGTGATGCTGTCCCAATCCAGTGGCATAACAATAAACAAATAAAGCTCAGGCATGAGTTCAAAGAAATAACCATTTTTTTCTGAAGAACAACCTACAAGAAAGAAAAAATCCCAATTAGAAATGCATTGAAATGACTCACACAGAATTCTTTTCAGTACAGCAACCACCAGGTACCAGTTGTCAGTGGGGCTGAAATGTGCATAACAAGCCATGTATTTCAATAGCCAGGTCACCAAATTCCATGGTCCAGGAGAGAGGGGTGTTTCTTATGTTGTGCAAGGTGGCTACTATTTTGTAAATTACTAAAATATGCAAATCATCATCAATTGCCACAAGAACAAAAGCCCTTCTCATTTATGCCAGCCAATATTAAAGAAATCTACCAGAACAATTCAGAGCAACACAAGCCTCCACATTCTCTCACCTGGCATATTTCCCTTCTAGAAGAGGAGGGCACACAGAGGTAGCTGGCCTCATTTGTTCTAGAAAATAAATGATGAAACAGAAGCTCCATCGAATCAAGAGAGAGGTACCTCAGGCTCAATCTGAGATTCATTTGATAAGTCACTCAATGCACTGAATGCCTGCTCCATCCTAGTCATCATTCAAAGACTGGATATAAAACACAGAACCAGTCCCTATCTCTGCCTGTTAAGATACTTATAACTTAGTAATCATGACATAAGTTTCTTAAACATAGTGCTTCAATTTCTCCATCTGCTGAACAGAAATGAAACCAAACATCTCACAGGGGTTTCTAAAAACTAGATTATACATAGAAAAAAATGTAAAGCTGTTTGCAGGTCGATGTTAGAGAAAATGAACCTAAAGACTGTAAAGTAACATTTAAAAGCTTGGAAAATAGATAGGCTGGCAAAGGAGATTGAAGAGGGTGAATGTTCCAGGCAGAGGGATCCACATGTAAGGGAGGGCCAGGTGCATTTAGGGAGTTCAAGTTAATTCATGGCAAGAAAAAGGGGACAGCTGGAGAAAGAGACAGAGGGTGAGTCGCAATGGGTTTCATAAGCCATTGTGCAGTAGGGAACTTCATCCAAGGATAACATGGAGCTAGTAAATGGTGCAGAGTGGCATTAGAAGAATGACTCTAGCTGCAAGGGGAGGCTCTTGGAGGGAGGCCAGGTAAGACATGACTGTGAGCAGATCAAGGCAGCAGCAATGGGGTTGCAGGAAGTGGAGTGGCTCTGGGAGATTTTTAGGATGCGGAATCGACAGGACTTGTCTATTGAACATGGATTAAGGGAGGGGAGGAGCTTCTGGTTTAGCCCCTTGTGGGGATTGTTAGCCCCTCGCTGATATGGGACTCATAGAAGCCCTCCTCTGGGGAGGGGAAGCTTTCAGTTCAGTTTAGATAGGTCAAGTTGAAGGTTCCTCTGATATCATCAAGCAAAGCCACCTACAAGCATTTATTGAACACATACGATATGCTAGGACCTGCGCCAGGCCCGGGTGTGTAACACCTGTAATGGTTTGCACCTGAGAATCACAGGCACTCCTGCAGCCTCTGGAATTTAGTAAGAAGGAAAAGTTTAATTGTCATACTATGTCATCTAATCATTATAAAAATGGATACAAAATTAGAAATCACTGATCCATTTCTTAATTACAAACAAAATAAGTGCCAACCTGCCTGTTGGTAAACTAGTGAAACTAGTAATAATGAGCCAGATTATTTGAGCAAAGCAGTGATTTTCTGGGTGGGAGCTGGCATTTTAAGAAGTTATACTCATTTTCCATGCCAAGAAGTTTTTAATATTTGGGAACCAAATGTATTGAATAATAACTTTATGGCTTGAAAAGGCAAATTTATCTTAAAATAAACAAATAAACAACAATAACAGCAAAAAACAAACAACTTTAGGAAATAGTTTATCATTCAAATTCAGGACAGATCAAATGAGGAAATATTAAATTCTTCAAAATCAAGATTCTTTAAGTATACTATGACAAGTTACCTATTGCTGACTCAACAAAGGCTAAAAGAAAATGTTTGACTTGGAATAAGGAAAAAATCATGAATTTGTAGTATAATTAAAAGATATTGTGTAAGCCATTAAAGAAGCTGTAAAATCTTAAAAAGGATATTTCAATGGTCACTAAATAATTCCAATAGATAAAGCGTAAATAGTTAACCAAAATTAACTTATAGATTAATTCAAATTATTGACATTTCTCACATGCATCATGAAGTTGTAAAATCTGAAGCTTAACATTATATAAAGAAGCTATTTCATTTAAGGGGAATGAATAAAAAATGATGATGATAATAATAAACAATAACAGATAACATTTCCTGACCGATTACTGTGTGCCAGACACAGTACTGAGCCATTTATGTGAATTATCTATGTAATCCTTACAGCAACTTAACTAAGAAGTAGTAGTTTTTATTGTCCCTGTTTTACAGTTGAAGCCGTGTAATATACAGCTAGTGTTTTCCTCATCCATCAAAAAAATCTTTAATATATTTGGCTGTAACAAATGAGCATGGCAATTATTTCCTTGTCTCATTGCTTTATCTATGTGAGAAGTATTTCCCTTCAACGAAGTGTGAAATGTGTTTAGCTTTCATTCTTTCCTCAAAGACATGAAGGCTGGTAAGCAGTAACCTACTCATAAACAATTACCCCAAATTGGAAAGTTTATTTCCTGAGTCATCTCAGACTCAAACCATCCATTTACCAATTAGAAATGTTTAGTCTATAAAGTTAGAAATTGTCCCAAGCCATGAATCAAAGTCCCAGAACAAGAAAGAGGTTGTGAGTTTTATTTTAATGTAAAAATATTGACACTAATCTTCTGGTTTCTCTTCTTGCTTTGTATCTGATGCATTGCCCTGTGAAGAGGAGATGACAGAGAAAAAGCAGAATTTGGCCACCTTCTCATTGCTTTGGAAGTTCAGTATACAGAAATATCAAACTGCATTGAAAAGTCGCAGGTACCATTTTTGAAAGAAAAAATATCAGTACATTGAAAAATATGTGTGTGTGTGTATATGTGTGGATGTATGTGTGTATTACTTGGTATCTTTGTCCCAATACGTTTTCCTAATTAAAATTAGAAAATTAACTGAGCTCTAGAATAGTCTGAAAAACCAAAAAGAATTGTTTGATCAAGAGGCAAGGATCATGCAAATTCACATAAGCTGGTTAAAACTGTTTGAGAAAATAACACAGATGTTATAGACGATGAGGAGAGAAGACATCTCACAAATATGCCAATAAGCTGTAGAGAACTAAGAAACACAGCATTTCTCTAAATTAGGAAACATGGATTGTCCTTTCATTCTATCTTGTTTAATAAAGGCACTGAGATGCAATCAAAATCAGAAGTTGATAGGACATTTAGGCCAGGCGTGGTGGCTCACTCCTGTAATCCCAGCACTTTGGGAGGCAGAGGCGGGTGGATCACCTGAGGTCAGGAGTTCGAAACCACCCTGGCCAACATGGTGAAACCCTGTCTCTACTAAAAATTAGAAGAAATTAGCCAGGCATGCTGGCAGGTGCCTATAATCCCAGCTACTTGGGAGGCTGAGGCAGAAGAATTGCTTGAACCTGGGAGGCGGAGGCTGCAATGAGCCAAGATCGTGCCATTGCACTCCAGCCTGGGCAACAGGAGTGAAACTCTATCTCAAAAAAAAAAAAAAAAAGAAAAGAAAAGAAAAGAAAAAAGCAGCAGATAGGGCATTCATTTACTTTTTCCCTATCTTCTTTGTTTTCTTCTATAGGTTTTGGTGAGTAAACATAGTGAGTACCCTTTTTCCACTATGCCTACTCTGAAGAAGGAAAGTCCAGTAAATTTATTCTTCCTCATTTCTCTCTTCTATGCTGTGTCATCCTGTCTTATAATTTTCCACTTTGGAATGCAAATGAAAACAAAATGCAATTTTTTAAAAATAGTATTATTTCAATTGAAAACAAAGGCAATGCAGTGGTGATTTGCTTCATTAAGATAGACATTTTGAATATATTCAAATCTCTAAATTGGGTGTTGGCTACCCTCACCCACTCAGACTTCCTCTTCAAATAACTTCCTTATGATTCCGTTTAACAAAATTTAAAATGTAAAAAAATAAAGAGTCATTTGCATGAACCCCCTAGTGCCAAACTTGATTGCATTTCAGATCATTCACTTAATTATTATGGAAAAATCAAAACAAAATCAGTACAACTGATTAGCATTGCTAAAGTGCTCCTATTAGAAAGGGAAACAGCCCACAGAGTTAACCCTTGCTGTCTGTGTTTTGCAGCTCCACTTGGAAGGCAAGCTTTGCTTATTCTACCACAAAAGCCTCAGTAAATAATCAGGATGAATAAAATCCTTACAATGGATGAGTCTTAGTTCTGATGATAAGCAGTAGTTTCTTTATCATTGAGTTAAAGAGAAATAAATAATGGGGTGTTGACTTACTAATTTATTTTTGAAACAACAGAGGGGAAAATTATTCCAGATGATTCCTTTTGGCTCCAAAATCTATTTTCTTCCTAGAATCAATTAAGTGCACACATAGAAATAACTTCGGTACCCTCAACCAGTTTTTTCTCAAGCTCATTTTCTGCTACTCACATATCGCTAAGATTCTCTCACATATCTCTAAGTTAAATTAAAACAAATTTATTGATTAAGAATAGCCACTTTTCAACAAGAGCCATCCATTTCACCTGACCACTCCATCGTGTTATCTATAAAGGATGTACTCACTGTTCCTCAAACTACTCAGAAAGGCCGGCAGAGGCAGTGTGCTAAGTTCTTCCTGGAGCTTTGAGGCCGTGAACAGAGAAGCAATGGTCCAGCTTCAGTGCATTAAAGATGTAGGATGAGTAATGCTTGCTGGTTGCCCTGAGAACAATCTCAGATGAGGACTTCCATGGAAATACTAGTTTGCTGATGAAAGGAATCCTTAAGGCATTAGCATGACTTCTCTGTTCACTGAGCAAGGCTAGTTATTCTAATAACATATTATCCAGGTATGACTATTCATTTCAAACAGTACAAGTGCTATATTTACTTTGTTTTGAGGGCTTCATGTCATTTTGCTAACATCAAACCCACAACAAGCATATTCTAAATCAAATTAAATCACATAATGGCAGGAACAGAGTATTCATTTAAGTTAAATGAGTGTGCCTACCAGCATTAATAAAAGAAAGGCCAGGTGCGGTGGCTCACTCCCATAATCCTAATACTTTGGGAAGCCGAGGTAGGAGGATGACTTGAGCCCAGGAGTTTGCGACTAGCCTCAGCAACATAGCAAGACCACATCCTTATTTAAAAAAAAAAATTAGCCAGGCTTGGTGGCATGCACCTGTAGTCCCAGCTACTGAGAGGGGTGGAGTATAGGGTGAGGTAGGAGGATCGCTTGAGCCTCGAAGGTCAAGGCTACAGTGAGCTGTGATTGTGGCACTGCATTCCAGCTGGGTGGCAGAGCAAGTCCCTGTCTTAAAAAAAAAAAAATATATATATATATATATATATACACACACACACATATATGTATATATATATATACACACATATATGTATATATATATATATACTCTCAAATCTGTTTATAAACTTAAAATGGTTTTATAAACAAGCCCCATCTCCACAAAAAAATCCCTAAACATTAGCATGAAGTGAAGTTTACTAATGGTTCTAATTCTTTGGGCACTTCACATCAAACAAAAACTGGGCAAGTCACTGACAATGTCCAGTGCTGAGCTATCCCGAAGGAGCTCACAGCCCCACATGGAAAATGGCCACAAACTGACCTATTCAATCAGCATGATGCACACCATGATTAAGACCAGAATAAGCTGCTATGGGAACAGAGACGTGGCCCTACCTACCTAAACAGCCAACCCCACGGTCATTATATAGGTGGTGTTAAGGGATAATTTGGGGAAGACCCTGGTAATTCACTCATCATCAGCTCTGGAAAATCCTCTACAATGTCTCTGTGAATCCATCACCCACAACATATGAGGGAAAAAATCTACAAACAATACTCATTAAAGATCTAAGGGCAAGAAACTATGGCAACTCCTGTGACTTGTAAAGCACAGTCTCTGCCCATAATAGCTTAAAATCTACTAAGGAAAAAATTATAATCAAAATATGATTATTTGCCAAATGAGTCCGTTTAGAGATGACTTGCCAGAGTTTTAAGAGGAGAGGAAGCCAACAAGAGCTATGAAGGCTCATGAAGAAAGTCAAACTTGAGCAGGGACTTGAAAAAGAAAGGAAACTAGAAATCACTGAGTGGCACCTCACACTAGCAATGAAACCTCACTGAGTCCACAGGAGAAGGTCTATTATCCCCATGCAGGGAATACTGAGATTAAATGTCTCCCTGGAAGTCAGACAATCAGGTAAGAGCAGATATACGAACAGGCCTGGCTGATGGCGACAATGCCTGTGACCAGCCCTCAGCATCACACCTGGATAAAAGGAAGCTTCTGAGTAAATAAAAACTCAAGGAGGGGCCACAAGGCAAAGAGAAAGATAAGAGCCAAGCCTTGAGGGTGGAGAGCAGAAGGTTTTATAACAGATTGTGAGAAGTAACGCTAGAAAGGAGGGTGGTGTTTGGTGGTGATAAAGGGCCTTCAGCACCAAGCTAAGGGGTTCAGTTTAATTCTTCCTCTCTGCAGTAGAATTTACTTGAAGTCTTTGAGCAAGGGCATTATTTGATGAAAGAGGTGTTTGGGAGATTAACAGAGAAGGTGTGCAAAAACCAACCAAGGGACCAAATCCTTTGGAGGCAAAGACAGAGTGTGGAGGTTACTGCACTCACGTGTGAAGTGGAACGACCTTCCTAGGGTGGTAGCCTAGGAATCGGAAGTATGTGAGAAACCAATGAGAGAAAGAATCAGCAGGACTGGGAGAAATAATAGAAATTATGGTAGAGATCAAGGAGAGCTGTTTTGGGTTTAAAGCATTCTGAATCCCCTGGTTATATATTCTGGGTTCAATCTGTTTATTTCCTACTGAGAAAACAAGTTACATCTCTTTTTTATTAGAGAAAGAAACTTCAAACACTATTTCTTGTTCCAAACTTTGATGAATAAAATCATATTTATTTTTCCAAATTTGTCATAATTTGATACACTTCAATAACATCCCTACTCATTCTTCTCAACCTTAAGAGTCTTAATTTTCCTGGCCTGTCCACCAAAATAAAAGCCCTCTTAGCGTTTTTATAAAGTTCACTCTTTTTTTCCTCTTTTTTTCAACGCTGCTACAGCAACCATAATTATACCCTATTATTGTAGCCAGCCTCCAAGATGGCCTCCAATGATCCCTGCCTGTGTAAGCCCTTCTCACAATGAATAAGTGGGCTTCTATAACCAACAGAATATTACAAAAATGATAAACTTCCAAACTAGGTCATAGAAGGCACTGAAATTCCCATCTCACTTCTTTGAACACCATTTCACAGGAAGCCAGCTGCTATGATATTCGGATGCTCAAGCAGCCATATGGAGAGACCAACACAGTAAGGAACTGAGGCCTCCTGCTAACAGCTGTGTGAGTGATCCATCTTGGGAGTGGATCCTCTAGCCCCTGTTAAACCTTTAGATGACTGCAGCCCTTGCTAACATACTTATTATAAACTCATGAGACCCTGAGCTAGAACCACCAGCTAAGCTACTCTCAACTTCCTAGCCCACAGAAACTGTGAGTAATAAATCTTTGTTGCTTTAGGCCACTAATTTTTGAGTTCATGTGAAGCAGCAATATATAACCAATATGCCTATGTTTAAGTATGTCATACCAAAATTAGTTTTACTTCCAAAATACCTCCTAATAATGCCCATCATTTCATTGGCATCTTTAGTAGCATTAACATACAGAAGTAACCACCTGCAATGATTCTGAAATCTTTTCTCTACATTGTAACTCCTGGCAAGAGCTCATCATCTTCTAATCACAGTTTGAGTTATTTTGTGCCAAGGGGCATAACCTCACAATGCCTGTACTTTGAGGTACATCTGCTATTCTTCCACACAGGGCACCATCCCAGATTATCTGGCCATTTAGGCATAGTCATCTAGCATGTGACTTTCTAGAAGAATTGACCTGCCTCATCATAACTTGGAGAGTTCATCATGTGCTGTGTGTAGGTCACTTATAAAATATTAAATAAATGAATTTCAGACTGTTCACTGGGTTACTTTTTCATCTACAAATAAATGTTTCTTTTATTTTTCCGCACTTGGGCTACTTTTCTATGATTATCCCTGATCAGTAATAAATAACAATTTAATTTTTTAAACTTTTTATTTTAAAATAATTTCAAATTTACTTGAAAGTTACAAAAATACCACAAAGAATGCCTGTGCATATACATATATATATGCATATATATGTATATGCAATGTGTGTGTTTGTGCGTATGTATATATATATACACACATTGTATGTGTATACACACATTGTGTAAATATATATATACACATTATATATGTTTTTTGTAATCATTTAAGGGTAATTTGTGCACATTAGGCTCCTTTACTTCTAAATACTTCAGTGTGCATTTCCTAAGAATAAGGACATTTACTTGTATAATTATCATACAATGATACACAAAAAATTTAACATTAATGCAATAGTACCAATTTAATCCATAGACCTAATTCAAATTTCATCAGCTGTTGTAATCATGTGATTACTTTAACAATTTTTCACATGGACACTTTTCAAATGCTTTGCCAATGAACAAACATTTGTTATTTCAACCAGCAAACACTGGTGAAGGCCATGTTTACCCTCAAAGAATTAACAATCTAATGTGAGAGTAGTACCACGTAGATGGTAATGACTGGGCAATGTAAAATGTGATTAGGGTCAAAGGAGGATTACAAAACATGTATGGGCATTCAGAAAGCACTTACAACCAGTGAATGGGGATAACAGATAGCATTATTGAAGACTCCACAGAAAAGGTCTTTAAGAAACTTTTTGCTGGGTAGATGGAGCAGTATAGGCAGAGGAATCAGTAAGAGCGAAGGCAGGAGAAAGTGAGTGCTCAGAGGAAAGGCAAAGAGGCAGGATTGTTTGAAGCACAGTGTGAAAGTGAGTGGGAAAGGAAGTTTAGGGCCAGATCAGGAATGGCAATGAATATTATGGCTTGAGATTTACTCAAGGTGAAACATCCAAACACCTCATGAGACTTCAGGCAGTTCAACAGTGAAGGAATCTGAGAAAAATGACCCAGAAAATGGAACATGATCAACCCAGGAGGAAAAGAAGACTTAGGGCTTTTTTTTTTTCTTTTAACCTAAAGCATTATTATTTTTTTTTTTTTGCAAAAGCGCTAATTGAAGAAGCTGAAAGATTTCCACTTTGACCAATCCTCTGATGATACAAGCAGGGGAAAAAATCCAATCATAACAGAATAAATGACAAAAGAAGGCAATTTCCTTGAGAAAAGAAAAGTCAAATTATAATAAGGAGAAGGAGGAGCAAATATAATTCTCTGACATGTAGCAGGGTACTTGAGCATCATCAGAATCTTCAGTCTTTCCCTTCCCATGGTAGGGGGAGGACAGGGACACTGAGAGGAAGCCTGAGTACAGGCAAGGTCCCTCTCTCGGGAAGATCCTTTTCAGTGGTGTCTGCAGCAACAGTCAGAAGGATGCAAACAGATATTCTGCCCCCATCACTGGCATGACAACGGGCACCTACATGTCATCTGCTCTCCTATCTTTGGGTCATTAAGCTGACCTTCAAATACTGAAGCACTCACTATCAGGACACAGATGAGCAATCCAAGTTAAGCCTTCCTTTCCTCAAAGGTCAAAAGAAAACCCCATAGAGGAACAAAGACCTTATGAGGAAAAGAATTTCTGTAAAACCAAAATCTTAGAAAATTTTCCTGTCAACTAAATCTATCCAGATTCCATTAAGGCAAGCATGAGCACACACATGCATGAACACGCACACACACACATACACACACACATACACACAAACACACCCTGAGCATTCCTCTAACAGGATACAGAAATTTGAGTTTTTAAACATTTACTTGGCTCCCAAGAGTTTCTAGAGCAATACATATGTCCAGAATCCAAAGAGCTCTTGTGTAAGAAATAGTAGAACAGAATGTTAGAGTTGAAGGCCTTCATGGAGTCCAATCAAAATCCTTTCATTTTATGGATAAAATAATAGAAGGTCAAGTTAAGATGACTTGGCCATGATCACAGAGCTCATTTGTAGGTGGCTCAACACTAGAACCCAGAACTCAGTTCTCTTAACTTACAGTCAAATCACCTGTCCATCAGGTAAAACAGTCTCAGTCTTTCTAAAATAACACTTCACCTGTGTATTGTAGCAATAAACGCTTCTTGGAATGCATATTCACTAAAAGTTAGATACTCTAAGAGACTAAGCTACTTCCTGGTCAAAACTGAATATGTGAATTGGAAAGTACAAAAGATATTTCCATATTTACACTGTACAGATGTTTTGAATAATCAGTGACATTTGTGACTCAGCTGCCATTCTTCCCAGTGGACTCAGTTCTGAACCACTAACCCAGACCAGGAAGCAGAGTGACCACAGGTATCTCGCAGCAGGCATTGCCACAAAAGAATCTGAACACATTTATCCTCATGGTTTTAAGCCCACATTGTCAAAGGCTTTGAAGATTTGAGGCAAAATGCGAGGAAACTGCTGAGGAAGTATAAGTAGGTAAAAGAATGTCAGTATTCAAAGCTGCATTTGGTCAGGACATTCAGGAGAAAATGCTTGGGCAGCCTCACCTCCCACTTCCACTTCCTGGCCAATCGCATATGTATGCAAATATACAAAGCCACAACCCAAATCCCATCTTTATGACTCTTAAAATGGGGCTTTGTTTCAGTAGATAAAGTGCCACATGCTGAATTAGCAACACCACTTCCTGTGGTATCTAGACTGATCTTTCACTCAAGAAATGACCCTGTCTGACCCTAATGGTTGGAGAACAATCTCATATTGTTAGGAAATCGAGTGTCATTTTCCATATTACTTCCTTCATTCACATCATCCATAATTATCTCTTCTAATTTCCCTGTGTCTCCTGGTTTGTCCTTCCCTGCCATTTTTAGTGAAATTCAGGACCTGATGCCATGGGGGCAGGTGGAGACAATGACAGGGGTAAATTCTAGTCTGATGCAGCATCAAACTGATCACTCACAGGTTACTGGCTCCCTCTCTGTTTTATTTCCTTTTCAGAAACATCAGTCAGGAAAGCAGCTTTCATGGCAAGCAAACTTATAATGAGAGTGATATTTTCTCTTTGCTTTTCTTATAAACCTCCAGAATGCCTAAGATTCATCGACTTTTGTGTGAACATAGCCTTTAGCAGAAAGCTGGTCCAACACTCTAATTTTACAGATGATGATGCTGTGGTCTGGAGATATTAAAAGTATGCCCAAGGTCACAAAGCTATTTTCTAAATGGCTTCTCCTTAGGCCACTATTAAGCCAAAATTCAAGATCCTGTCAGTCTGTCTTGCCCAATAATACGAATTGCTATACGCAAAGATAATAAAGATGCAATTACTTTCTTTCTGTGGCTGATGCCACTGTTAATAGGGTACAAATATAGAGATAATTGGCCCTAGGGTGCTTATAAAAGTTTAACAGTAAAAAATTGATTAGTTAGCCAAAGACTTTAATAAGGCAACTTGTGAGTGCTCCTTTTCATTCCCAGGAGGAAGAGCTCGCAGTGAATTATGTCTACTCAATCTATGCATCAAAGGAGCAGATTAGATACAAGCATGGTAGAAGTTTTGCCAATGGCCATGTGAAAGAGCTGATGGAAGGTAAACTGACATCTCCTAATTTCCTCAGTGCAATGATGCCTTCTTTTTTCTCTGCAGTATCCTCAGTACCTAAAACAGCACCCAGCACAGCAAATGAATGAATGAATCTAAACAAAGACATAGAGACGAGTCCACTATGTAAATCTGAACAAATATTTTAAGAAAAGAAAAACTAGTTTAAAGAAGAAAAGCAAGGCCAGGCACAGTGGCTCATGCCTGTAATCCTAATACCTTGGGAGGCCGAGGTAGGTGGATCACTTGAGGTCAAGAGTTCAAGACCAGACTGGCCAACATGGTAAAACCCTGTCTCTACTAAAAATACAAAAATTAGCCAGGCATGGTGGCAGATGCCTGTAATCCCAGCTATTTGGGAGGCTGAAGCAGGAGAATCACTTGAACCCGGGAAGCAGGGGTTGCAGTGAGCCGAGATCATACCACTGCACTCCAGCCTGGGCAACAGAGCCAGACTCTATCAAGAAAGGAAGAGAGAAAGGAAGGGATGGAGGAAGGGAGGGAGGGAGGAAGGGAGGGAGGGAGGGAGGGAGGTAATGAAAGAGAGAAGGAAAGAAAAGGGTTTGGAACAAGATTTAGAATTGGTGAGTTTGACAAATAAAAGTTTATTGAAAAATGTATATTTCAAGTCACAGGTTTTTCAGGAATTAGCAATTTTTATATACCATTAGGCAATTGTGCATTGCTTATGTACCGTAAAAATATTCTCTTCTGTTATTTTTTAAAAGTTCTGGGAAAGGAGTTTGAGTTTGTTTGTTTGTTTGCAATTGGGCATACATAGTTTTACAACTTTTATAGGCTTACCAGCATTTTAGTTTTTCCTCCCCTCATTCTCAGCCAATTACGTTTGATCTGCTTATTGGCAGTGTTTTTCATTAACCTATTTTTTTTATGTTTAAGTCAATTTTTCAATGGCAAGATTGTTGGAGAGTTCTCATCTCTTACTTCATGCATTTTTAAGCTTTGTATATTCTAGGATGATTTTACAAGTTTTTAAAGCATATCATCTGGCTACTTCATCTGCTTTTCAAAGTTCTTGTAGATGCATTTTTAGCCAGTGATGCCAACCATGGCTACTTGGTATGTTCCCATGATTTAAAACTGTTTATCATTTTTTATCTTAGCAAAAACTTCTATCAGGGATGAGGAAATGGCCACTTTTTTGGTTGGATATTCCTGAAAACATCATCAAGTTTTTATCCCTCAGTTTGACTTTTTACTGTAAAGATACAATGGGTGTGTTAGGTCAGGCTGCTACAACCTAGTGCCATAAACCGGGTGCCTTAAAAACAGCAGAAATTTATTTCTCACAGTTCTGGAGGCTGGAAGTCCAGAATCAAGGCGCTGGCAGATTCAGTGTCTGGGGAGGGGCTGCTTCCTGATTCATAGATGGTACCTTCTCCTTGTGTTCTCACATGGTGCAAGGCGCAAGGCAGCACTCTGAGGTCTCTTTTATAAGGGCACTAATCATATTTACTGATCCCATTACTGAGAGCAAAGTTTCAAAACCAATGTCAAGAAACACTAACTTTGACTAGTTTTTCAGTTTGATCAGTTCATCCTTTTTACCAATCAACTCAATTCCTCCTCCACACTGTCACCAATGCTTTAAAAACACAAGTCAGAACATCACACTCCCCCCTCACTTTTTTTTTATTACACTTTAAGTTCTAGGGGGTACATGTGCACAACATGCAAGTTTGTTACATATGTATACATGTACCATGTTGGTTTGCTGCACCCATTAACTCATCATTTATATTAGGTATTTCTCCTAATGCTATCCCTCCCCCATGACAGGGGACACATGACAGGCCCTGGTGTGTGATGCTCCCCACCCTGTGTCCAAGTGTTCTCATTGTTCAATTCCCACCTATGAGTGAGAACACGGGGTGTTTGGTTTTCTGTCCTTGTGATAGTTTGCTCAGAATGATGGTTTCCAGCTTCATCCATGTCCCTGCAAAGCACATGAACTCATCCTTTTTTATGGCTGCATAGTATTCCGTGGTGTGTACGTGCCACATTTTCTATGTAGAAAGCTGAAACTGGATCCCTTCCTTACACCTTATAAAAAAATTAATTCAAGATGGATTAAATGTTAGACCTAAAACCATAAAAACCCTAGAAGAAAACCTAGGCAATGCCATTCAGGACATAGGCATGGGCACAGACTTCATGACTAAAACACCAAAAGCAATGGCAACAAAAGCCAAAATTGACAAATGGGATCTAATTAAACTAAAGAGCTTCTGCACAGCAAAAGAAACTACCATCAGAGCGGACACGCAGAATGGGAGAAAATTTTTGCAATCTACCCATCTGACAAAGGGCTAATATCCAGAATCTACAAAGAACTTTAACAAATTTACAAGAAAAAAACAAACAACCCCACACTCCCCTTCTTAAAAGCTTTTGAGAGCTTGCCTTTTAGGTAAAATTCAAACTGGCATTTAAGACTCAAGATATCTGAGTCCAGCCTCATCACTCAACAAACTCATGTATATGTCGCTTGAACAATTCTCAGGTACTTGATTTTCCCCAAACATTAGAGGTTTTCACTCCTCTGTCTTCGCCCATGCTGTTCCTTCTTGGAATGCCCTTAACTATCTGCTCAACTTAATTCTCACTCATTCTTTAAGGATCAACTGTCACTTTCTTTTAGAAGAGCTCCCTGGCTAACCTTGTCATTCTTCTTCTTTGCTCCTGTAACACCCTGAAACATCCCAAGAGTAGCTGATGTGTTCTTCGTCAGAGTAGTAACACACACCACACCGCTCATCTCTCCACTAGCTACCAGACTCCTTAATGTCAGAATGGTACACTGTTCATCTCTACATGTTCTTGGTATTCTTGAATGAATGTATGGCCCACAGGAAAAATAAAGCTCAGAATATGCAAATCACTTGTTCTGGAACCCTGAAATCATTATTCTTAATATTTAAAAGGCAGAAATGGAAGGTCAAGATTATCATTTAATTGCTAATATACAACTGCAGTGGAAAATCCTAGAGTTGAAACAAAATGATTGCAATACCAGTGATTACAAATATGAAAAAACACTGAAAGTTTTGTTTGGGGGATATTTGTTTTAATTAGAGATAAAAAATATGTAGTCTCTGAAAAGAACGTATGGGCACTTTCAATGGCTTAATTAATAGTTAATCATTCTGTAAATTCATTTAAAGCTTAAGGCTTTCTACTCATTAGCCTTCCTGTATTGTCAATAATTGGACCTGCTCAAACATGGCTGCATTGGTGATGATTCTTGCAGGCATGGTATTCATATCAGCTGAGGGCAAGGTGAGGTGACTATGAGCAAACATTTGACAGCAGCAAGGGAGCATCCAGGAGGGGCTGGGAGTCAAGCAGCAGAAGCCAGCAGGAAGTAATAAAGCAAGATAAGGAGGCAGAGCAAAGGTGCAATGGCACCAAACTTATATGGCAGACTTTTGTTGCACTAAAGCGTCTTCTGAAGTGTTGCATCTCCATTGATAAAAAGCACAATTCCTGGGGCCTGCCTGTGGGCCTGGTACAGGGACCCATTTCAGCAAACTTCACCAGAAAGAACAATGTGTGGGAATATACCCTAGGATGAACCTTCAGTAATTAGCAGATTGCTACGGTCTACAGCAACTGAAAGACTGCTCTGCTTCAACATGTTCTTAGAGTGTTAGATTAGCACACTTTAGAAAATAAAAAGATTTTTATTACAAAGTGATTCAAAATATATGCTTGAAATATAGACAGAAAGAAAAAGGGTTATTTTGTTTTGGTTTGTTTTTTTAAGACAGGGTCTCACTCTGTCACCCAGGCTGGAGTGCAGTGACACAATCACAGCTCACTGCTGCCTCAACCTCCCAAACTGAATGGATCCTCTCACCTCAGCCTCCTGAGTAGCTGGGACTACACATGCATTCCAACACACCTGGCTAATTTTTGTATTTTTGTAGAGACGGGTCTCATCATATTGCCCATGCTGGTCTTGAACTCCTGGGCTCAAGCAATTCACCTCTATCAGCCTCCAAAAGTTCTGGGATTACAGCCATGGGCCACCACGCCCGGCAAGATTCATATATTTTTAAGTTTTAATTTTGAGAAGGAATTAAGATCTGTGATGGTCTTTGATGAAGGTCACATTGTGATTATAAATTTTAAAATATATTAATGGACCCCAAATGTACATAAGTGTTTGTATATTACCTAAATAAGGCAAGAATTTCCTTTATGCACAGGTGGGCATAAATGCACACCAAGTATAATGTTAAAAATAAATACATAAATAAACTGGAACATTAATATCAAGATAATTACAGTTTTTATGGGGAAAAAACCTTTAATTTTAAGCAGGTTCTGATAACTCTTTAAGGGCAATTTGAACTAAGGAAGCTAAAGGTTTTTGAACTAACACTGAGTTCTGAACTCAGCAGGGCCACAAGCTTTGCAATCTCTGACATTTTCCTTAATCTCTTCTGTTCTTGTCCTCATCAAATGTCATTTCCCTGTTGCCTTTATTATAAATTCTCTCCCTCAGCTCCTTTTTTTTAAGATTCAAAGTCTTTAATAGCAGTATCTTCATTTTACTGCAAATATTGGAAACAACAGCAGCCAAAAGCACTTAAAATTAAGTGCACCCCATCACAATGAATACATTCATTTCCTTCTTATAAATACAGTTTCCATAAACTATATTACTGTCATTTGTTCAAGATTTTAAACTTCCTAATCATTTAACTTAAACAGGAAAATAAAATCTAATGAATGTAAACCATACATGAAGAATATCTCAATTGAAGAATCTATGAAGGGTAGAAATAGTTCCTGCCTGGAATATATTTTTCATATCCCGCTAATTTGAAAGAGCCTATGATTCATTCCTAAAATTCCCTTAGTCCAACATGTAAGCCTCCCTAATTGTTTGAAATTCAAACCATTACATAAGCTTTCTGTCAACTTACTTCTCTCTTTGCAATAATTTATTTTCTCATCCAAGATCTACTTAACAGTGTGTTCAGGACATAAGTAAAAATTCTCTAGTCTTTTCACTAGAAACTGCATAGAAATCTCTAACGGAACCAACTCTCCACATCCTTCATCTGATATTTCTCCATTGCCTTGGGCTGCTGGTCATCTTTTGACATAACCAATCCCACCTCTTCAACTAGACTGTTGGGTCCTTGAAAGCAGAGCCCATGGTTTTGTCTTGTCTCCTATTCTACTCCTCCCTGACTTCTACTTCTCTCCCCATCTGCAAGAATATATAGATGATCAATATACGGTTGCTAAGTAAGAACAATACCAGGATCTATAAAGTCATGAAACATTAAAGTATATTGAGCACTTGAGGAGAGTCAAGAGATCATATCCTGTGAGTCCCAGACAACCGATCCAGAGGGGTGAGGTGGGAGAGAAATAACAGAGTGGGATCCATAACTGGGGAGAACAGATGCCTCAGCAGGCAGCCTGGGTAACTGAGAAACAATCCCTGAAGTGACCTATTCCGCCAGGAGGTGGCGCTTCAGCTCAGGGCCGCCCTTGGTTGGCCAACTTTCCACTTCATCTTCAAGGCATCTCCCCGAACCTACAGAAATATCTCCCCACCAGCAATGGAACCGAAAGTAAAACATGAGGTGTATCATCCCAGAAAGTCTTGCCCTTCTTAGGAAAAACTATAAGGAAGTTATTCTGAATCTTATTTAAAGAAAAGCTTTACTTTTTCAGCAATTGAATAATCCTGAGGGAGGTGTCTGCCTGACCACAAGTCTTCCCCAATGTATCTGGGAGTTCTCACTTTTAGATACAAGGTGTATATAGGGGTGGTTTCTTAAAACAAATTTTAATGTGGCAAAATCTGAGTCTGTACATTGCTGATTTTACATTTAGCAAGAAACATGTTTAACATCAATGGAGGAAAAGGTTGTCTAAATGGATAAAGGTAGTAAAAAGTGAATTGTAAATATTGTTTCAGACGAGAAAACAAATATGAAGTGCCATAAAGGTTAGTACTGTTTTTATATGTGTCCGTGCATATAAGTGTGTACAAATGTTAAATACACACAAATTACATTTTAGGCTAATCGGATGAGTAGGTTAAGTTTATGCTTTATTAACACAAGAATTGAAATTATAATTAAATCTTGATTCTTCTCCATAAATCATATGCTTTATGGGTCAGGTTAAGAGAATCTAGTCAACTACAAATTCTCTTGGAGGTACCCTGAAAACTCAGAAGTATGCATTTGGAGAAAGATAATAAAGCAATAATCTTACAAAGTGGATCTATGGCTACATGGAATTAGAAACAAACAAAAAAATTATCTCTGGGATATAGATGTGGCTTCCAAATCTACACGATCCCATAGAGCCGTGTCAGAAAGACAGCCATCCTTTCCCAAGAGCCCCAGGGTCACAGAGAACCAGCCTTCACAATCCAGGAAGAGCTAAAGAGAAAGTTTTCAGCTGTGTGTTCTTGCTGTTGAGAACGTATACTTTTTCTACCTGTCCCAAGTCATTAAATTCTTAGATTAATTTCCTTTAATGATGAGCCAGATTCATGTTCATCATTTAAAAAGAAAGAAAAACAACCTTAATGAAGACATTTGCCTTAGAAACTGCCACAATCAAAGACAGACCTTTTCAGATGTAATTAAATTTTTTTCAAGATAATTTATCTTATTAAAATATGGTAATTTACCATGGTTTCAGGTTATCTGAAACCTTTCTAAGATTGAAAGCTATAGTTAATTTCTTGCTATAAGCAGTAAAATTGAACCTAAGAGAGTCAGAGAACATTTTACATTTACAAAAGCACACAAAAGCTAAAACTGTTTATTTATATCCAAGGTACTTATAGGAAACTGGTTGTACCCCAGGATTCTGCATATGGTTTGGTATTGGAGTGCAAAGCACAACCCAGAAAGAACATAACTGTCCTGGCTAAAAGGATCCAACCTTCCCTCTGAGGCATCCTTGCTGATAAGAACTTCAGAAGAAAGTCCTTACAGAGATGTAAGTTTTTACCACATCAGTATGCCCAATTCAAAACTCTGTGCGATTGGGGGTTTAATGAAGCACTTTGTTATTCTCTGAAACAAAAATGAAAAAATAGAGACAGTTCTTCAGGCTTAATCACCACATCTGTTATTAGGCCCTTTACTGTGATTGACTGGAGTGTATGTCGGACACGGTGCCAAAAAGCTCCCCATAAAAGCAGCTTCCTGCTCACTGCCTGAATGGCATTGGTCTCTGTTATGACCAGGATTTATATGGCAAACAAGCAAAGCCTGGTGCCCACAAGCCACTGTGCCAGCCGAAGGCACTTTTTCCTGGTGCCAGTTAAGATAGAAGTGGGACCTGGGCTGCTTGCTCTGACTTCCATCCCTCTTTGCCTTCTCTCCCTCCTTCAAAACTGACCATGCTTCCCTGGAGACCATGAAAAGGAGGCACAGTGAGAGAGGAAGGAGCAAGGCGAGACGAGGTGGGGGCTGAGCTGTGGTTTTGTTAGGATGCCTACTTGCACACATTAAAATTAGGAGTTGTGATGGGATGCTGCTGATTTAAAGCATTTCCTAGCTCCTGCGGTAATTATGACTTTTTAAAGTGCACGCAACACTGAGAAGCTGGCTTCTCTGGATATCTAGTCCCTCAGATGATTGAGGCCCTGTGAATAAAAATGATTCTTTTTGAAGACCATCACCAAACGAGATTTCAGGAATTTAACGTTGCATTCTGTAACATGCATATTAGAGAAACTTACTGCCAGCCTTCCTTGACATCAGTAAAACTATTCTCCGACTTCTTCAAGCCTATACATAGGCGAGTGAGGGATCTACTAATTAAACTACAGTTCATTTGAAAAGAGTTCTCTTTATGAAGTATGTCATCATTCAACTTCTTAAAACTGCAAATTCCAGACACAGTTCTCTGTATTCCTGAGTCAAGTTACTGTGCAGGCAGCAGCACAGGGACAATTATTGGCACACAAAACCATTTTTCATACCAGACGTACAAGCATAAAAGCAAACACCTCACATCTGAACACATGCTGGGTAGGAAAATACTCAAATACTCACCTAACTCAAAACTGTCTGTCTAAAGTAAACAGCAGCCCTATGGCTCAGAAGTCCACAGCTGTGACATAAGTAATGAGAAAAGACTAAAACTTACATAACATTTAAATATATTCTTCTGGAACTGCCAAGTGTAAAGAAGAATGTCCTTCAGGCTGTCTCTGTATTTAGTTTGCTCTTCAAGATGAGATTGTATGAATTTATGATGTACTCCCCAGTTGCTTTTTTATACTAAGCAATATCTGTAGTGTTTGGATGTGTAGTCACTATTAAATGGTGATTTTTGTACACAGAATATAATCCAGAAATAATAGTGAGTAAAGTATGAGAAACTGGCAGGGAGGAAAAGGATTTTCAATTAGAAGCATTTTACCAACACTTAATAGAAATAAGAGGAATATATTGTGTTTTCTAAAAGGGAATGAACATTTATAAAAAGTCACTGTCTATATACTTGGAGAAGTTTCAGGCATGGAATATTATGTCTTTGGGAGGGGGACTGAGGTTCCTTAGAGGTTCAGCTAGGGGCCTGCTCACTTTTCAGCAATCTTTCCAGCCTGAGGACAAAAGGAGGGTGCTTTAGGAAGTAGATCTCAGCCTTCTTAGACAAATGGCAGTCCAGTTTGGTGTCACAGACTCCTTGCAAGTCTTGATTGCTAAAGAACCCACTCATATGCCCCAGACATTCTGAAACCTGCCCTTTCTCTCCTTAGCCCCTATACTACAAATGATTGAGGCTATTTTCAAACTAAGCCTTTCCCTCACTCCCTCTTTTCTTTTTATCCATAAATGAGCCTTTGTGATCTCCCTGAGAAGAAGAGAAGAGAATGATAGAGCATGGTGAAAGTGGAATCAACCAATTCCCAAGTAATAAAAAGGCCACTCTCCAAACAAGTAAAAAAGAGACATCTCAGAGCAAAATCCCTTCAAAGAGAAATTTCTACAAGTAATGGTTTTTGTGGTATTACAGAGAAAGGGGCTATCCTTAAAAAAAATCTAAAAGCAATTGGCAATGATTCTTGGATATGATACTAAAAGCACAAGCAATAAAAGAGAAAACAGATAAACTGAACTTCATCACAATTTAAAAATTTTTGCAACAAAGGACACTATCAACAGAGTGAAAACACAACCCACAGAATGAGAGAAAATATTTGTAATACATGATAAAGGATCAATATCAACAATATAAAAAGAACTCCTACAACATAGCAGTAACAAAACAGACAACCTAATTAAAATATGGGCAAATAACTTGCATAGACATTTTTTAAAAGAAGATATACCAATGGCCAATATGCACATTTAAAAAAGGCCGTATCACTAATCATTAGGGAAATGTAAATCAAACCACAATGCGATAACTTCACACTGATTAGGATTGCTATTATCACCCCCTCCGAAACAAAGAAAGAAAGAAAGAGAGAAAGAAAGAAAGAAAGAAATAAAGAAAGAAGGAAAGAAAGAAAGAAAAAAAGAAAGGAAGGAAGGAAGGAAAGAAAGAAAGAAAGAAAGAAAGAAAGAAAGAAAGAAAGAAAGAAAGAGTTGGCAAGGATGTGGAAAAATTGGAACTCTTGTGCATTGCTGACGGAAATGTAAAATGGAGCAGCCACTGTAGAAAAACAGTATGGTGATTCCTCAAAAAACATGGAATTACCATATGTTGCAGCAATTCCCCTTCTGGGTATATATACCCAAAAAAGAATTGAAAGCAGGGAATTGAACAGATATTTGTACACCAATGTTCACAGCAGCACTATTCACAATACTCAAAAGGTGGAAATGACACATATGTCCATTAATGAATGAATGGATAAACACAATGTGGTATATACTACAACTGAATATTATTTAGCCTCAAAAAGCAATGAAACTGGCACATGCTACAACTTGGCTGGACTTTGAGGACATTATTTCTAAGTAAAATCAGCCAGTTACAAAAGAATAAATACTGTCTGATTCCATTTATATGAAGTACATAGAGTAGTCAAATTCATAAAGACAGAAAGTAGAATGGTGGTTGCCAAGGGCTGGAGTAAGAGGAAAATGGGGAGCTGCTATTTAATGGGTACAGAGTTTCAATTTGGGATCATGAAAAAGTTCTGGAGATGGATGGTGGTGATGGTTTCACAACAGTGTGAATGTATTTAAAATGCCACAGAACCACACATTAAAAATGCTGAATTGTATGGTATGTTATGTGCATTTTACCGCAATATTTTACAAAGTCTAAAAGCAAGCTAGTATTAAAGCGTAAGTAACAGATGTCTGCCCAAAAGGTGAGAACTCCTTGTTTACTTCTTTTCACTACTCATCTGCATGATTAAGACAGACATTCATGAATTCTTCCATGGATCACAAGGACTGCACATGGACTGGTAATGCAGTTGCTAGGACTTGAAAGTGGAAGGAGGCAAAACATAATAACAACAGTGTGATCCTGTGTCAGCCTGGTCTCTTCACCCCCTTCTCCTTGGGCCAGTGTCCCAGAATTTTACATCTCGTTACAGATGGCAATCCCTCCAGAACCCATACACAGAAACCAAAATAGAGCAATTTAACTTTCTCTTAACCTTTTATTTTAATTTTTTTGTATTTTTACTTTTATTTATTTTTATTATTTTTTTAATTATACTTTAAGTTTTAGGGTACGTGTGCACAACATGCAGTTTAGTTACATATGTATACATGTGCCATGTTGGTGTGCTGCACCCATTAACTCGTCATTTAACATTAGGTATATCTCCTAATGCTATCCCTCCCCCTTCCCCCCACCCCACAACAGGCTCTGGTGTGTGATGTTCCCCTTCCTGTGTCCATGTGTTCTCATTGTTCAATTCCCACCTATGAGTGAGAACATGCAGTGTTTGGTTTTTCGTCCTTGCGATAGTTTGCTGAGAATGATGGTTTCCAGCTTCATCCATGTCCCTACAAAAGACATGAACTCATCATTTTTTATGGCTGCATAGTATTCCATGGTGTATATGTGCCACATTTTCTTAACTTTAAGTACACGGAAACCAAAAGGGCGTCAAGCATTTCGCAGCCACTGTGCAATGTCAGAATTCCAGCTCTCGATGATAGCCTGCCTGAATTCAAACTGATTTGTTTGTTGAACTTGGAATATCTTAGGGATCTGGACCTGTTTGTGTTCCTTACGTTCTCAGAAAAGTTCTAAGGAATTTGAGGTTTTAAAGGAGTTTGTCTTTCTCAATTTCAATTCTTATTTCCCTAATTTGGATTTTCTGCATCATAACAAAGTCACTTTGATTTTGGGTTTTATTTTTCTCCTCTCTCGTAATTGCTAATGAAGTTAAGATTACAAAAAACAATGCTTTTTGAGTACAGAATGCAGATCTCAAGCCCTCCTGGCAGGTACTCCCACAGAGCAGTTGTTATTTATAATACCTACAGGGAGAAAAGAGCTTAAAAGATCAAGTCACGCTGCACTTCCCAACAAAGCAGGCCACAGCTGTACAACGGACTGTGAGCAACTGCTCCATGAGGGGACAGCGAGACTTCTGTTTTCCTACAGGGTCTGCTCAGGTCATCGCATGTGGCATGGATTAGAATCCCAGGGCTCTATTACCCCATGGAGGAGGACCGGGGTTTACACACCACACTCCTGAACCGAAGCTCTGTGCCATCAGGGTCTCTTGGCAAACAGAAAACAGACTTTACAAAATTTTTAAAGCCAACAATTTCCTTTTTTTAAATTTGTAAGTTCAAAATAAAAGAAGATAGCAACATTAATTTTTATACATGTTCCCAAAGATCTATCATGGTGGGTTGGAAGAAAATATCTCCATCATGGATAGAAGAAAATTTGAATTTGGTCTGAAGTTAGTGAAATTTTGAGACTATGCTAAAGTTGTATTTGAAGAGACATGTCAGTAGAGCTCTTTAGGCTGTGCCCTCACCATGAGCCAACATAGAGGAAGAGCACCCAGGGAAACAGCTGCCCCACAGATATTAGATATTAGTATTCATCCTCAAAATAAACACTTTCAGTCACACAGTCTTATAACTTCCATTCGGTGTGCAGCTCCGTGGCCAGGCAAAACATCTAGCCCAGGCGAAGCTGGGGCTCTGCCATAGCTTTTGCCAGTGATGAACCCTGCCCACCCCATTCTCACCACTCAGCTGCACCCCAACAGCCCAGACATGGCCCCAGAGGCTCCCTAGTCAAGTTCACAGGGTTGGGAAGGGACTTTTTGATCTCTTTGTCTTGTGAAGAAAGAAACTGAGGCACAGAAGAGTTTTTTCAGGTGTCTAACATCATATGGTGTGGCAAAGCTACAACTCAAGGCAAGGTCTTTAGGCTCCAGAGCCAGTATTTTTTTTAGTATTCTGGGTTATCTAACAGAACTCTAGGGGAGAAGCGTGCTCCTTTCACTCCGGAAGGATTTCTTTGTTGTTGTTTCATTCAAGGCCATGCCAAAGCAAAATAAAACAAACATTTTCATGGATTAGTGACATTGGCCTTGAAATCTGCATCACTGTCAATGATTTTCATTTGCTCCAGGATTAGAAAACATTAAAAAAATTACCTCAAGTTAATGCAATTCTAAAAGCAGGCAGCTAAGCTTGGCTCATGAGTAATGCTGGAATCTCAAACTCGGCTGATTCCACCACCCCCCACAACCCAGCATAAAGTACCTTTAAGATAAAACTTGAACTGAGTCAATGAAGCGAAACCTCCTAAAAGCATGTCTCTCCTTAGGTAGCTCCGCTTCGCCTGGACTTCTTTCCTCTAACCATGGGTTCCCCATTGGGCCTTCAACAAGGAATCTGAGGCCCAGCGCTAACCACCCGCGAGCATCTTCGCTTAGCTGCCAACAATGATGGGCCACAGTGAATGGATGGGATGGCCACTGCACATGGCTCTTTCTTCTGGGGCACAGCAGCTGGAGCCAAGCTGTGAGGCCCAGTCCCCTCCTCATTTCTGTAAGTGCACCATGGAAGACGGGCATGGTAGTTCCCAGCATATGCTAAATGGGTTTTGCTCTACCTGGAGTTTTACTTATGCTGGATCCAAATCCTAGACACAGATTGGGAAGTTGCTTGTTTTTTTTAAAGAACTGTTCCTTAGAACTCAGTGACAAACCTCGCCTGGCTTGCACAGACCTTTCTTCACTCACTAACACTTTGTTCTGAAAATCTGCCTGTCAGGACTTGGTTGCCATCCTTCTCAGCAGTGACATATTCACCATTAAAGGAAACAGAGAGGGCACAGTCAGCCACTAACCCATGAAAACACTGTAGTCTCTCTTATGTACCAGTGAATGGATCCACACGGCACCGGGGCCCTAATTACATGGCCTCATTTTTGTAAATAGCACAACCTGGCCAAGAAATGAAAAATGGTCTTCCAAATTCTCTAGCTAAGCAGAAAACTCCTTAGGTTAAGCTACAAGAAACCTTCCTTGGGTGAAGAGTTAATGTCTCAGTTAATGCCTGCCACACCTGAACTCTAGAAAAAGTCAGAAAGATCAGAGTCCTGTCCTTTAGGGAAAGAGCTACACATAAGCACATGCTCGAGCTTCTATAAACAGATTAAGGTGATCACTTTCTGAAGATATTTGGCTTTCATAGCAATGCAGTATAATTCAATATCTTCAACCAAAGATGATTGTGCAGGGAGGTGACAACTAGACCTAGATGGTTAGCTTATAGGATATTCATAATCATAAAAATCAGATTCTATAGCAGCCATGGACTTTAGTGAGGCACTCTAAACCATCCCCGGTGGCTGCACAAACAAAACAGCATTTACATACTGCCTTGGAAGGAAAGCAAGGGACTTTTTTTTCCAGCCCTAGCTTGGCAGAGCTCCACATCACAAGCTTTTTTGTCTCTGTTTTTGCTTTGTTGTTTTTTTTAATGGCGGAAGAAAAGTGCCTTTGCTTCAGGTTGGCCTTCACCAAAATAAAAGTGGACCATCTGGCTTAGCTATAGTGAGGAACTCTCCACACCTGAATCCTTGGCTGGGTTCAGGCACAGTCATCACTCTTCTGGAAGCAGGATCTCTTGGGTGCAAGGAACCACCTCACATGTCTCCTAGGCTAGGTGAAGTGTTTCCTCACTGGCAGGCCTCTGCTACTCAGCCTCCCCTCACACTTTCACCCCCTCAAATCTGGGTGCATCCTATGAACACACAGCTATGAGGCCAATTGTTCAATAACTAAAAGTCTGAAATACAAACTGTCCAGACTCTTTCCTTACCTCATATTCTCCGACGATGGTTCTCACTAGTTTTGATCTATTTCACTGCTCATTAGCACCTCCTCTAGAGGAAAAATGAGTCTTGGGGGAATTTTAACCAACAAATTCTGTAACCTTTTGGCCTCACTAATGTATGATAGGAAATAAAGTCAACATTATCCATTTAAATGAGTATTAGGACTGTGGGTTAGGTTCAGTTTTTCATGTTTTTCTTATGTCACCACAATTCTGAATAATCTTGAAATTAGGTCCACAAATACTCTTTTAATGTTTTCGTCTGCTCAGGCTGTTAACAAAATACCATAGACAGGGTGGCTTAGCCAGTAGAAATTTATTTCTTATGGTTCTGGAGGCAGGAAGTCCAAGATCAAGGTCCTAGCCAATTTGGTTTCTGGTAAGGGCTCTCTTTCTCAATCTCTTTCCACAAGCTTCGAGGCATCCTTCTGAATACACTCATAGGAACACACCTCCAGGCCAGTTGCAGTGGATCACCCCTGTAACTCCAGAACTTTAGGAGGCCAAGGCGGGTGGATCACTTGAGGTCATGAGTTCGAGACCAGCCAGGCCAACATGGCAAAACCCTGTCTCTACCAAAAAATACAAAAATTAGCAGGGCATGGCGGCAGGCACCTGTAGTCCCAGCTACCTGGGAGGCTGAGGTGGGAGAATCACTTGAACCCAGGAGGCAGAGGTTACAGTGAGCTGAGACGATGCCACTGCCCTCCAGCCTGAGCGACAGAGGGAGACTTTGTCCCAAAAAATAATAATAGTAAACAAAAAAAGAACATACGTCCTGATAGTTGTTCTAGTTGGCTATTTCATCCCAGCTCATGGAAAGGGGCACAGAGGCACAGAGAGCTGAGGAGGCCCATAGCCCTTATGATGTGGTAACACAAAGAAATTAAATTCAAACTATGGCTTCTCCAGAGGGAGACTAGATGTCCTGAGGTCAGGTCACCTCTCAGGCTCTCTCAGGCCAGGATGCTTCAAAAGACTTCTTGATTCAGGGTCTAGAAGGAGCATTATCTAGAAGCTTCTGCCCAAAACAAGACCAGAACTGTGGTCTGTTGGAAAGAAGAATTTTGCAGCTTGCCTGAATTAGGAAGGCAGAGTTTGTATGCTAATTAATTCAACAAGTTCAATGTCCAAAATCATACAGCATATTAAGGAGAGCTCAGACCTGAGATACAATATGCCAGGATTCTGAAATAGACTCACTCAGTTAAAAACAGAAGTGACCTAGACAAATCCTTGAGTAGAAATTAAAATCTCAGATACAAAAAACAAGAAAGCCCTACTGAGCATTTGCTATATGCCAGGTACTATCCTAAGTCCTTTTCATTTATTTTCTCAATTAAACTTCATAACAGCTCTATTAAAGAGCTAACATAATTATCCCCTCTTAAATTATAAGGAAACTGAAGCATAGAGTAACTGTTTCATGGACATACATTCAGTTAACAATGGGGCAAGCCAGGATTCAAAGCCAAGAAATCTGATTCTAGGACCCATACCCCACTACATTCTAATACATCCACACCTTAACTTTTCAACTACATTTGTCCACTGGACATAGAAGTCAATGCTTGAAATGTGTACTAGAATGCAACTCCAGGAGGGCAGGAAATGTGTTTAATCTTAGATATTGCCCTGTCCCTAGCATAGAAGATTGCATGGAGTATGAGGGCTCAATCAATATTTACTGAATAAATAATGATGGGTTGTGTTGCAATTAGTGAAATTACTGCAATAGTCTCCTTATTGTCTTCCCCATTTTTATTTCATTTTCTGTTTTTATTATCAATGATAAGCCTTTGCTATCTACTGCCTGGTGAATTTAACTTAAGCACTGGCAGCCGGGTTTCCAGGACTTCCCTACTTGGCTCCAACCTACACTTCCAACCTTATTGCTTTTTTTTTTTTTTTTTTTTGACATGGAGTCTCGATCTGTTGTCCAGACTGGAGTGCAGTAGTGCAATCTCGGCTCACTGCAACCTCTGCCTCCTGAGTTCAAGCGATTCTCCTGCCTCAGCCTCCCGAGTAGCTGGGATTATAGGCGCACATCACCATGCCCAGCTAATTTTTGAATTTTAGTAGAGACTGGGTTTTGCCATGTTGGCCAGGCTGGTCTCAAACTCTTGACCTCAAGTGATCCGCCCACCTTGGCCTCCCAAAGTGCTAGGCTTATAGGCATGAGCCACTGCACTGACCCCAACCTTATCTCTTGATATTCCATTATACAAATCCTTTAGTCTGGCCATCCCTGCTTGTCCTTGCCCATACTCCTCTCCCTCCCCAGGGCTGTACATTTCTGCCATTGGGGTACTCTCTCCTCTTCTGTGATTACACAAAGCTCACAAATCTTTCAATGTCCCATCTCTTCCAAGAAGCCTTCTCTGGTCACCAAATCCGATGATCTCTCCTTCTGAGACGGATTCACTTGGAACAGATTACCTGCTTCCTCCTCCTTTCCTTTCCTCATAAACAGACTGGCAAGGCGCTGAAGGCTGCATCTTGCCATTTTTGGCATTCTCCTCAGTATGCAACAAAGGCTTGCCTCATAGCACACACGTGACCAGGGGTCAACTGATCTATGCAGACACATCTCACCTAAATGCAAACATCTGCTGATTTTTTTGAGATAACTTTTTTAACCTTTAAAAAATTTGCATAACCAAACATTCATCATTTTAACCCTGTTGTGCAACCATCATCACTATCTAGTTCTGGAATATTTCCATTGTCCTAAAAGAAAAAGCCATGCCCATCAAACAGTCACTCCTAATTTTTCCCTTCCCCCAGACCCTGGAAATCACTAATCTACTTTCTGTCTCTGTTGAGTTGCCTCTTCTAGATATTTTATATAAGTGAAACCACACAATATGTGGTCTTTTGTGTCTAGCTTTTTTCACTTAGCATAATATTGCTAAGGTTCATCCATGTTGTAGCATGTATCATACATACTTCATTTCTTTCCATGACTAAATAATATTCCATTCTGTAAATATATCACATTTTGTTTATCCCTTTATCAGTTGATAGACATTTGGGTTGTTTCCACCAAAAATAATAGTTTTGGCTGTTGTAAATAATGCTGCTAGGAGCATTTGTACACAAGACATTGTTTGAACACCTGTTTTCAATTCTGTTGACATCTTACTAAGGAAAAACAAATTCATTCACTAGCAGCCTCATCCTAATTCTATAGTTAAGATAAATAATTTTTTGTTTAGTAACATACTATCTTAAAAGACATTTATGCTTATAAGTAAATTTAACTGTTTTGTATTCCAAAATATTGTAAATTCCTTATAGTTTATGCCTTCTATCAGAGACTACATTTTCTAACGTCTGCATTTAATTAATAGAATCTTATTTAAGCATTTGAACGATTCTTTCATGAGAAGCAGACCTGATTCCTAGATGTGTTAATTATTCTTCCCTATTTTAACATTACTTGGTGTTAAATAATAATAACTAATATATATTGAGCATTTACTATGTGCCTACCACTATGCTAAATGCAACAATCTTTGAAGTATATGCTATTATCTTTTCACATTTGATGAAAAGAGGCTTTAGAGAGCTTGAGTAGCCTGCCCAAAGTCACCAAGATGTCAGTGGTAGAGAAGGGATTCCAGCCCAGTTTGTCATACCTCATACAGTAAATGACAAGGTCAGCAATAGACCCAGAACATCAGAATCTTGTCTGTTAACCCACAACTTTAATCACATGTGTTTGTGTAAATCAACATCCAACCTGTAAGTCCAATGGCCAAAATGAAGGGTACACATTTAGTACTCAGACCTCTCATAGATGTGCTGCACCCATTTCAAAGCGAAGGGCCCCAAACTCTCTTTTGGAGAAAAAAAAAATGCTCCTATTTTCTCCATTTCAGTCTACCAACTCCATATTATAAAAGCAAGCTGGAATGTTCTATCAGTACAATGACTCATGGCTCACTTTAGTATAATATATGCAGCGCCACACTGATGGAGGACAAGGGTCTTCTCAAGAGAAAAAGGACGACAGGTTGTTCTGGGACTGGAAGCATGGGTTTGCAGGTATTGCTCCTGTGGCTCACTGAGGAGCTCAGGAAGTGTCAGTGGAAATGAGTGACGGAGATAAGCCAAAGACTTCACCCCTCATATCAACTCATCCCAGTTAGAGAAATCGGAGGGAAACAAAGCATTCCACTATTAGACCATAAGAGAGATGTCATCCAAAGATTCAGGAAAACATCCATAATCCATAGAGTCTTCTTCTGATTTCTCCTGACAGACTAAAATGAGTGAAAGGAGGGTGGAAAGTGGGAATGAAAAGATTTGCTGCTTGGCCAACTTAGAGAGGTGCATTTGTTTTAGATTCTAAAGAGTGGGGCTCTGCTAACACTATTGATCTCTTAGGCATTGGAGTTGCTGCCTAGAGAAGTAAAGCAATCACCTATGATGGTGCTAATGCATTGCATTCTGACACACAGCTCTCTGACTGTAGAAGTAAGGGTGAATTGATGGGTATTTAAAGCTCTAGGCCCTCCCAGCTGCACCAGGATTCAAATTATGTGAGAGTTTCCAGTTTCCCATCATGATAGATCCTTAATTCTACATTAAACATGGGGCTTTAATTTTTGAATTTTTTATTGAAGTGTAAAATGCAGACAGAAAAAAAGCCATAAATCAAAACTGAACAGGTCAATAAGTTTTCACAAACTGAACATACCCATAACAACCAGTGCTTAGATTAAATGTAATGTCAGCATCCCAGAAGCCCTTGTTGGGCAGGACCCTTATTCTGACACAAAACTAAGTCCCATTAAGCATCCTATGCCTACAAAAGCATTTAGTATTATATATACTACTTGGGACACAAACAACAACAGTAAAAGGGACCATTTAACTTTCCTATTTTTAAAAAAAGTGCTGTACCTACACAGAACTTCAAGGATAGCACAGTATTCGGGCCTGGAAGCATTGAGGGCAAGCCTCTCTATATCACACAAATGGGGAGCCAAATGAACAGGCCTAATGGCAACAAATTGAAAATTAATGAACTAATCAGGAGAGTGTTTAGCACAGTCCTTTCGCCACCCACGAAGTCTCCTCTTCCCATTCTCCACTTCAAAGTCATCTATATCATTGGCAAAACCATTTAGTAAAGAAGAAACAAACTGTAACAGAGGGGGGGAATGAAAACATAATGAAGAAAATAAAGCTACTTGCCTCTCTGAAATCCGCTTGCTTCTCCTTCTTTAATGGATTTGCAATGATAATCTATAATCAAGGTACAATGACAGACATAATTACTAGGAGCTCTAAGTGACCTCAAGCAAATCACATATTGCCCTCTCCTGGACACAAACCTCTTATCTCAGAGACAAAAGGATTCCTACTGGCCAGGGAACACCAGCTGCCTAACACTTGGTGTAAATGGGCTCTCCAGAACCCATCACGTCCAGAAAAGGCTTTCCCTGTTCTGCCTCATTCAAGTCTGTATTCTGTGCCTAACTTAAAAAAAAAAAAACAAAAAGGAAAGAAAAGAAAAGCCACCTACAAGTATCCACAGGAACTAGGAACTAAGTCTCCCTTTGAAAGAAACCCAGAGGCAAAGGCTGAATGAATGACATACTTTTTCATAAAGGGAGTAATCAGGCTAAAAGAACAATCCTGTGGAAAAAGTCTGTGACCTTTGCAAAGGCTGTGACCTTGAATTTGAATCTTCTTCTGACACAAAGAATGTAAGCAATTGTTGGGCTCAGGATTAGATTTTTACAGGAAGTTTGCAACCCTTTCCCTCCAGGGCTAGAATCCAGTTTGAAAGTTAGGGGTGAGGGAGGGTATCTAGATGGCATCTGGAGAGTCCCCCAGCCTCATAACTGTCCAAACTTATCAATAACTTTCTAATGGCACTCATTGTATTTCAGACTCAAAAAATTCTTAGCTTCAAAACAGCTATCTAGATCTGGAAGGGAATTATTAATATATACACAGTGACCATTCCCAGGAACACAGAATTGTTCTCTGAAGTCATAGACCTTGATTTAGGCAGGCTTTCAGATCAGGTACCTTTGATGAGCCTGGGGACACAGGGAGGCTTTTTTATTTTTTAAATCAGTAATAAAATCCTGCAATCAGATAAGTCCTGCAATCAGTGTGACGCAGTAGAAAATAATTCTTCCTTGGCCAAAGATCCACTGGCTTTTTGACAGACTTGTGTTCCCCCAACGCCATGTCTGCAGCTCCAAAACCAGAGGATTAATGATGCTTCCTTGGAATTACTTTTTTCCTTCCCAGATCCTACCTCTGACACATTGCTGCAAGTAGTTTAACTGTGGAAGGCCTTGACCTCCTTTCTTTGTCTCTCTGATTTAAGTGTGTCTGTTTCCTTGGGGCTACCAAGCTCAGTTGGACGGCTGGCCGCAGCAGAATGGCACATCAGCCAACCCCTGAACAATGGGTCCTTTACTCCGGCTGTCACATGAACAGCGTTGTGTTACAGCCATTGTCCCTTCAAGTAGAGAGGAGAGGCATGGGTTCTCACAGACCAGCTATTCTCTGTGACCCCCTCTGGCCAAGTCACTAAAATTTAAAAACACACAAAAAAGGCATGCCTTTTGAATGGGGCACTATAAGTCCAACAAGGATTATCATGCATATATGGGCCACCTGCATCAGCACACCTTGTTAAAAATACACATCCTGGGACCCCACTACGCACCTACCGAATCAAAATCTAGGGAGGAGCCAGTATCTGCAGGTGATTCTCGTGCCTCTGAAGTCAGAGCACAGGGTAAACATGCCTCAAGCATTTCTAACCTCACTCATGGTCTGATTTTGCACATCTGTTTAAGGAACCAGCTGAAAGCAGGGAGGATACTGGAAGGACAAATACTTTATACTGTGGTTATCAAATCTTAGTGTTGGGGGAAAAACACCTGAGACGAAGACAGGTGAGAACGATGAGGGCTTCAGATGATAATAGGAATGTGGGTGTGGGTCATCAGTGAGCAAGAGAGGAGGAGTGCAGGGACAGCAGGACAGCGCTGAAGCCACCTGGTGGAGGTGGTAGCCTTCAGAAAAAGATGGGCGGTGAGAAAGTGGCAATGGTAGGATGAACTGTTAGAAAGCAAGGATGTTTAACATTTAGTTCTAAGTGTTAAGATATGAACTCTTTCCATAGTCCCAAACCTTAAAATTCTAAACACTCAAGCCACACATTTGGTGGCATTTTATGAAGTGAAGGTTATTCGTGGCTGGGTGAGTGGCTTCGGATCATTTTAAACTTCTTAAGGGAAAATATGAATTCAGATCCAGGTGACACTAGAAGAAACATGAGCCCTGTCTCCGTCTCTAGCCCCAAGAATCCCATAGTGGTTGAAAGGAAGAACAGTTTTCTCATTTTACACCTTCTCATGGAATAGGGAGGAAGATTTCTAGCCAATTTTTACTTGAATCTCAATAGGTCCCCCTAATCCCATCTAGTTTCTATAAAATAACTGCAGTGTAATGTGAAGGGTTCCTTTAACGCAGATAGTACTATGGGGATGGGCAGGTCCTGTAAGTGCCTATTATAAAATTATTCTCAAATGTAAACTCACCACTACTATGGAATGGTTTAATCACTATTGCTTGAAGATGCTTTGTAAATTCCTGCCACCACATGTTTGCTGAGCCCATTCCCCCACCTAAGATGCCCCATCCATTCAAATCTCTCCTTCAAGGTCCCACACTGCCAGGAAGCCTCCAGTGAGCTCTTGTGGCAGCTCTCAAAACTGCCACTTGGCTCTTACTATACCCAGGCTTACCTGCTCAGTTGTTGTTTTTTTTTTAATTGTTGAGGGTACATAGTAGATGTATATATTTATGGGTTACATGAGATATTTTATATGGGCATGCAATGTGTACTTTTTTAGTCTGTTTTTTCCTCGAAGGCAAGAGCTTCTTGGTAATTACACATGGTATTTTCCCCTATGCCCTACACAGCTAATAAATATCTGATAAACAGCCAGGTGCAGTGGCTCATGCCTGTAATTCCAGTACTTTGAGAGGCTGAGGCAGGCAGATCACTTGAGGTCAGGAGTTCGAGACCAGCCTGGCCAATATGGCAAAACCTCGTCTCTACTAAAAATACAAAAATTAGTCAGATATGTTGACACATGCCTGTAATCCCAGCTACTCGGGATGCTGAGGCAGGAGGATCACTTGAACCCCAGAGGCGGAGGTTGCAGTGAGTTGAGATTGCGCCATTGCACTCCAGCCTGGGCAACAAGAATGAAACTCCACTTCAAAAAACAAAACAAAACAAAACAAAAAAAACTGGTGGAACAAAAAGTAACTCTCCAACCTATTACTTTTTTAAAGAACCAAGTCACATATTTTTTATCAATTCTTCATCCAAACTCAAGTACTTTTCTCAAGATGTCAATAGGGGTGGATATTTAAATTTTTTTGTTTTGATTGTAGGATTAGTCTTCTGTGCCACCAAGCAAAAATTTCATAGTTCTATTTCACTCTGTGAGGAACAAGTTAAATTTGTGTGTTTTAGTTTTCAATTTGCCATCAAAAATTATTTTTTAAGAAAGCCAAAATTCTTCAGCAGAAGGTATTCAAAAGATCCATCTTGGGAACCACCACCTGTGGCTATGTTGAGAAACAGCCAAATCTGTACAGCTCATCTGGGTCAGATGAGACATTAATGACAAGGCACTTAGTCATCCTCTAGGATGTTCCCAAAGATAAGATGTTTTTAACAGATGCTAATATCCTGCACATGTACCTATCAAGATGAGGTTTTCCATACTGAAATACTGTTTTCTTTGTCTTAGAAGTGGGAAGGGGTACAATTTATTGCCCTCTAAGTAGGAAATTGAGGTGCTTAAATGCTTTACATAGTTTCTTTATCTAGGAGTATAAATCACTAGAAATGAAATAAGAGAGGAAATCACTAGAAATGAACAACCATAATAACAGGATGTATTATCACATTCACACTTTCCAGATTGGCTAATGCCACAGAGTTTGCATTATCAAATAACATCCACACAGTGACTTGCCATTCCACAAATAAAGTTCTATAAAGTAAAATAACATTGGTTTGTACCTTCTTTTTCCCTCATAGTATGAGAAATCCTTTTACTAAATGCTCTAAATTAGTCCTCTGCAATAACTATATTTAAAAAGAGTTAGAATGATCATGGTGAACAATAATGCAAAATGGTAAAGAGAGACAAAAGGTAAATTAAAAATTTCAGGACATTCAGATATGAAGAATGAATGAATGACTGAATAAAGAGATTAGGAGAGCAGTTAAAAGACTTCCAAAGGTTGGCAGAAAATGATACAGGCTTATGCTAAGCTAGAAAAAGTTCATTTCAGAAACATAATTTTAAAAGAAGACAAATCAACAGAACCCAGTGAATCTTGTATTAATTCTTAAAACTAAACTAATTATTAAAACCAGATACTGGGTACACACCCTTGAGAAACTGAGAGTAAAGGCAGTCCTCAATATTGCTTCGTTTGAAGTCCATCAATGTGGATATTTGTACTACATCTATTGATGCTACTACCTCCCTGCCCTGTGTCATGATGACACTCAGATGCCAGCTAATGAATGAACTTTTTATGTTGTTTATTTTATGGTGCAGCTGCCCTAAGCCAATAGTTCAATTTTTGCAGAATCACCATCCTTGTCATTACCCAGAGAATTATTCATTCACTTATTCAAATGTTACTGCATATTTTCATTATTACAAAAAAGTGAATGGGAAATGGGAAAATTAAAAGCCTAATAGTAATTATGAGAAGTGTTTGTCTCATAAACTAAGTAAGACAAAGGTAGAAGTTATTAGACATGCCAAAAATGGCAAATCTTTTCATCTGAATCAGACATTTATTGAACTTGAGCTGGTCAACTGTTATTGAAATGAGGAGAAAATAACCAAAATTGTGTAAAGTTTAAAGAAAGAAAAATTAGAAAATGGAGTATACACTGAATGCTGTGTCTAAATAGCAAGATATAATTAGAGATTTCATAATATATTTGGCTTTCTATGGCCAGAATCCCCTATAATATGTAGGCTTTTATACAATCTTCAGACCTATTTTCAGGAATGTGTCCTTTCAGGAAAGAAGGAAAGACAGTATTGAACCAGTCACCATGTTTCTGATCAAATACAAAAACAGAAGCAGAAGTGTTTTATAAATGGAAAAGCACAGAGCAAAGTTGGTTTTTATTGGCATTGGCACTTCCTTTCCAGTGCTCTGACACGTCATTCCAAAAACCAAACCAAAACCATCCTAAAGGATAAGCTCAGCTCTTCATTATACTGCCTGCAATAATGTTCAACATGTAACATTAATTCAGTGGCATTTGGTGTTTCATAAGTCCTCTTAGGATATTCTGTCTTGTCCTTTTTCTACTCCAAGTTATTTATTATTATTATTATTATTATTATTATTATTATTATTTGAGACAGAGTCTCACTCTGTCACCCAGGCTGGAGTGCAGTGTCGCGATCTCAGCTCACTGCAACCTCTGCCTCCCAAGTTCAAGTGATTCTTGTGCCTCAGCCTCCCAAGTAGTTGGGATTACAGGTGTGTGCTACCACTCACGGCTAATTCTGGTATTTTTAGTAGAGACAGGATTTCGCCATTTTGGCCAGGCTGGTCTAGGATCCCTGGCCTCAAGTGATCTTCCCACCTCAGCCTCACAAAGTGCTGGGATTACAGGCGTGAGGCACCATGCCCAGCCCCACTTGAAGTTATTAACTTCCTAGGCTATGTCTAGCCAAACTGGAAATTCCCAACTGGCTTTTCCACACCCTCCATATGTATACAATACTGTCCCAACCACTTTGTCTGCTAAGAAAATGTTGACTATCATTCATCCATTTACTTTTCTCCAACATTCTCTAGGCATTTATTCCATAACTACTATGGGCCAGCCACTTGTATAAGAGCTTACAATAAGGAATGATGAACTCACCAATCTGTTAGGGATAAACATTCAGATAATAAATATGGCTGATACAATGTGATTATGCTATATTAAATCTATCCACAAGAATGGGAACTCGCATGAGATATCGCTAAGTTTATGAGATAATTGGGAAAAACTTCAGAGGGAAAGTCTTCAAAGGGATTTGAATAGTGTCTTAAAAGATGAATGGGTGGTAAGTGGTTGGTTAGACAGGAAAGAGGGTCAAAGACATTTTCAGAGGAAGGAACAGCATATACAGCTGGGTCATGGAAGAGTGAAAGTGCACAGCGTATTCTTGAGATAGTAACAAGATCAAGATCAGTGGGAGCTGGAGAGCTGGGGACCAGAGAAGCAGAAAATAACCCTGAGAAGTGCTGCAAAGGTGGTCTTGTGTATAGCGGTAAGGAGGTGAGACTTTATGCTGTAAGCCAGTGTTTCTCCAAATGTGATCTGACGTCAGCTTTACCAGGTTCACCTGGAGATCTCAAAATGCAGATTACTGGCCCTTACTTCTGGGGTGAAGCCCTGGAATCTATATTTTCAACATGCACCCAGGTAACACTGACATTCACCATCCAGAGAGCTGCCAAAGATTTTTAAACAAGGGAATAACATGATCAGATTTGCATTTTAGAAATACACTATTAAACCAAGCAGACAATCACAAAGAAGGTAAATTCACTGCTGCTAAATGAGCATGTGACTTGAGTTTTGCATTAGAATCACCTGGGGAACTTGTAAAAATGCAGACTTCTCACAACTCACAGAAGACTTACTACTTCTAAATCAAGGCAGAAGGGATTAGGGTTTGTATAGTTTGAACCATACAAAATTGCCATTTATTTAGGTCAAAAATGGTCAAATATCAGCAATTTCTCATAGTTCACTCTAATATTTTAACAAATCTCCCCACTTCATGCTTCTGGTATAAACCAAAGTCTGAGAATAGTGAAAGACAGACAGAGATAAACGCTTTTCCCTTTTCATTAATTATCGATGTTGTTACTCACTTTGATGAATATGCAAAGATGGAAGTAACGTAATTTATGTACCTAAAACAAATGTTAAAAGAGAAAAGTGGGGGTTCAAAAACAGCCACCAATGAAGTAAGGCAGCTAATTTAAGGATTTTGGAGCCAGAAGGAACACTGGAGGTTATTCTACTCTTTCCCCACCTCTCAACACAAGTTTATACATAATAAAACTGATGCCTAAATGGAGAAAAGCAATCTGCTTGAGGTCATAGGGAATATTTTGTTCAATTTCTCAATGATACGTGCTTTTTATGTGCTCTTATGAGCATTTTAACAGGTATGGAAATTGTGTAGCTAAAAATACTTGGGATTTAATTTATAGAGTGCTAGGTCACACACTTGAAATGGGAGGAGGCACATAAAGCCAATACTCATGCATAGCCATTTTTAAAATATAAAACCTAAAACAGTGCTTGACATGTAATAGATGGTTAATAAATACTTACTGAACAAATGAGTGACCTCTAAAAAATAGGTTAAAGAAAGTATATTAATGTAAAGGATTTCCAAGGAGGTATACAGGCTGTGAACTGAGTGTAGATTTCCCACCTCCTCACCTGTTCCAAGTAGTCTTTGGTGCCCATCCATGACCCACCACCCTATAAATTCCAGCTCTGCCATATACACCTTTATTTTTCCAACTGAAAGTGCCACAACAAAAAAGCAATACAAAGATCATGTCTGAGCTAAGTTTGACAATAGGTGGTAGTGAAGCTTACAGATGAGCACAGTCTTCAAAGTCCATCCAAATAGGAATAATAGCTAACACTTACTGACAGCTAATAGAAGCTATACTAGAGGGATACAACAATAGTTAATGCTAGCTATACAATAATAATAAAGCTAATTTGTGCCTACTATGTGTCAGGCTTGTTAGTCCTTCACATGCATTAACTTACTTAATCCCTTTAACAATTGTCTGATGTAAGTGCTATTATTATCATTTTGATTTTACATATGTGGATAAACAGATTAAGTAACTTACCCCAAAATCACAGAACTGAAAAGTGGCAGAGTTGTGAGCTGAACCCAGGCTGGCGGGTGCCCAGAGTTTACCAACTGAACTCTTTGAACTCTCAGTGGTAAAATTAAAAGTTCCCTGCAAGCTGACCTCTTGGAGCACTCGTGTCAGGAAGATGACATTTCTGGATAATATAAATTGGCCCCAGTATTTCTGTCCATAAGGAATGAAGCATTTTTATTTGGGAACCCTATACACAAAGTGAGACCCAGGATATAAAGGAGTAAGGCAAGAAGAACAAGAAGAAATGTCATTCTCTTCTGCCTTGGCACAGCATGGTTATCACAGCCTAAGAACAATAATAATGGCTAATTTTGGCTAATAAGATCTCCAACTTTGACTTTCTCCTAAATAATGTGGGTCCTTGCGTGAGGATATTTTCTAAAGAAGCAGCAAAGATATTGCCATCATTCATTTGCTCAGTGGTGTCACTAAGAAAAATACTTCCAGAAAGAAAATTAAGGCCAAAACACTTCCTTAAACCAGGCGTAAAAGTCCTCTAACAAGGAATTTAAAAGAAAAAGATCAACACCGGATTTATCTTTCTTAAGTAACTATCACTTGAAAAACCGTCCCTCCCAGCACTCCTTAAGGAGCCAAGCATACTGACAAGGCCCCTTTGGTCTAAGACTGCGACCTCACACCCCTACTGATCGCTGAGAACTCAGGAAAGGGGAGCATCCCGCCAGCCTAGAGCGTTATCTGCACAATCTGAATACCAAGGACGGGAGAAAGAGAAGTTTAGAAAACAGTGAAGATCCCAGAAAGGAAGTTCAACTGACCTAGAAGAAAGGGCCCAGCTGAAACTGCCTTTCAAGCTCAGTCCGATTCCCCACAAATCTCCCTACATCCAGCTATATCGCCCGGCAAAATGAAACAAACACAAGGTAAGGCAATACAAGGGCAGGAATTATGCAAAATAAAATGCGTAATGAGGATGTCTCTCCATCAAAAATACTCCAGGATTTTCCTACACAATCCCATGTAACAAAACCAAATGCAAACAACAATAAACCCTTAAGAAGCGCATGAACAACGCAGACTGAGCCCATCTCGCCCCACCTCACGCCGCACCCCGGTACCCTGGCTAAGGAAAATGTGACCCCCGCCCATGAGAAGCCTTCCGGCGTCCGGCCAAGGTCCAGGAGCCGCCGGAGTTGAGTTTGCCCAACTCTTACCCAGGTCCAGAGATCTTGAGAATCGCAGCGCAACCTTTTCTCCCCGGTCTTCACCCAAAGCCAGCCAAGACACAAAATCTGTTCCAATCAACGCGGTTAGCGTCCAAGCAGCGTCCCAGAAGAAAGCAATCTTTGGGAGTCTTCTTTCAGGCGTAAAGGTGGAGAAGCGGGAAAGAGGAACGTCTCAACGCGTTCCCAGTCGCCCAGTTTTGCGCACCGGGAAAGTACTTGCTGCAAACTTGAACAAGGTTTTCTCTGTCTGGCCCGAGATGCTGGAGGGGGTGGGGGCGGGTAACCCGAGCCGGGGCCGGGATTCGAGCAGTTGCCGCTGCTGCAGCTGCTGCTGCCGGGGCAGTGGCCGCTGGGGGGTTGTCGCTTGGCGCCGCGCGCAGTCCCTAGCGCAACATGCAGGATCTTCCCGGCCTGACTGCTGCACCTCGATCGTGAGTCGCCCCTGCCTGAGCGGCTTCCACCGCCTGGTGGGTGACCCCGCCAAAGGCCTGGTCGCGAAGTTAGCAAATGTTGGGGTCACCGCAGGGGGTGACCGAAGGGGTGTCAGAGTGGGTGCCCGCCTGATTCCCAACCCACGTTGGGTGCAAGTCCCTCGGCAGAGTCCCTGGGAGGTGTTCTAGACCCTCTGTAAGGATTTGTGGGACGGTGGCCGGCGCCCGAGCGGCCAACTGGAGTGGACGGCGGGTCCTCAGTGGTGTCAGGGGAGAAAGCGCAAAGGTGGGACCCAGAAAGGATGGTGATTAAGCCGTGCCAGAGAATGTGATGTGGCAGCAAAGTACATGGAAAGGTGGGGCGGGGAGGTGAAGGCAGAGGGTGGAGGGTGGGATAGTCTGCTTTACCATGGAGGGGCGGAGAGAGAACTCCCCGGACGCGCAGGAAAATCCCCCCAGGTCCTCGGAGGCCTCGCGCGGCAATTTATTGGGGAATGGCTCCCTCTGCCGACTCGCCGAGGAGGCCCCGGGAGGCCCAGTGATGGAATGTTAAAACCATGAACGGGCTTTTCCATTTGTGGGTTAGACAGGACATGAATTCTGGAATCTGCTTCTCTGACTGTCCATCTTCCTCTTCCAGACTAAAGAGTTTTCCAGCTTTTACAGGACCCCAAAAGATACAAATTTGACTGCTGCAAAGTTCTTTCTTGTGTCGTTGAATTCTATCCCCCTCTCCCCACAAAAAAACAAAAACAGGTTTAAGCCCCATAACCACTCCAGGTAACCATCTCCTACCAGGCTTCTCTTCCTCCCATTAATAAGAACTCTTTCTTTTTAGAGAGACTTCAAGAGCGTTCGAGTCCCTACTCAATAACGCTCCTGGAAAATAGTACAGACTCCATATTATGTTTGAGTGAATAAATGAATGGAATGAATGAACATAGATATGTTTGAAGCCCCTCACCATCCTCTTTACTCTCCCTGGAAATACACAGGGGAAGACTGTTTTGGTGTTTGTTTATTTGTTTGTTTAGCAGTCATCATTGCCCCTTCTCTGGTAACAGTACCTCCATTTTTCTTTGAGATACCATCCCTGCCACAAGGACAGCAGTCTGGGTGGAAGGTCAGTCAGGATGGTCCAGCTTTTCCCTGTCCAGAAGAGAGCAACTGACCTCAGCTAAGCCCCTCAGGCCCTCTCTGCCAGGAGTTGGAACTTTGATCTGGGCAGCACAGGCACAAATAATTCTAGAGGTGATTAATCCATATGGCTGTTTTCTAAGGAAATTGGCTGTTAGTTCATGCCACTTATTACCCAAAGATATTTTGCTTTATGAAACTTGGTTGCCCCACTTTCCTTTTAATTTTTTAATCAACTTTATTGGGGGATAAGTTACATTCCATATATTACACTCATATTAATTATACAGCTTCATGAGTTTTGAATAATGTACACACCCATGTAACCACTGCTTCAATCAAGATAATGAACAATTCCATCACCTCAGAGGGTTGTCTTGCACCCCTTTAAAGTCAACTTCTATCCCACCTCATATTTGGCCCGCTTAGCTGTTTTCTGTAACTACAGATTAGATTTGTCTTTTCTAACATTTCATATGAATGGAATCACTTACATATTCCTTTGTGTCTGACTTCCTTCACTCCACACAATGTTTTTGAAACTCATTAATGTTGTGCCTGTATCTGAAGTTTGTTCCTTTTTATTGCTGAGTAGTATTCCATTGTATGGATATACCACAATTTGTTTGCCAGTTTACCAAATGATGGACATTGGGGATGTTTTCAATATGGGGTTATTATGAATAAAGCTGCTAGGAACAATCTTTAACAAGTCCTTTTGTGGACATACATTATTATTTTTCTTATCTTACAGGAGTAAAATTATTATTACAGTAACTGTGTGTTTAACTATATAGAAAGATGAACTGCTTTCCAAAGTGGAAAACATTTTACATTCTCACCAGCAAGATATGATAATTGCTTCACATCCTCATCAACACTGGGTAGTTTCTGTCTTCTTATTTTTGCCATTCTAGTAAGTATATAGTGGTATCACATCGTGGTTTTAATTTGCGTTTCCTTACTGACTAATGATGGTGACCATAAAAGATGTTTACCAGCTTTTCATGTGCTCTCATGCCACCTGTTCTTTGATAAAGTGTCTGAATTTATTGCCCAATTTTTAATCAAGTCTTTGGATTCTTATTATTGAGTTGTAGGAGTTCTTTATATACCAGGCATTTGTTAGATATGTATATAACCAATATACACTCCCAGTCTGTTTCTTGTCTTTCAATTTCTTAATAGTGTCTTTCAAACAGCAGTTTTTAATTTTGATAAAGTCCAGTTTATCAAGCGTGTTTTTGTGTGTGTGTGTTGTACTTTTAGGTTTTACATAAGTAATCTTTGCTTACCCCAAGGTCATGAAGATTTTCTATGGCTTCTTATAGAAGTTTATAGTTTTAGCTGTTATATTTAGGTCTACAATCTATTTGATGTTAACCTTTGTGTATGGTATGAAGTAAGGGCTGAGGTTCATTATTGTCTACATGGATATCCAGTTGTTTTGGCACCATTTGTTGAGAAGATTATCTTTTTTCCCATTGAGTAACTGGATACCTTTATTGAAAATCAATTGGCCATAGATGAGTGAGTCTATTTCAGGATTCACTCATTATTCCTTTCATTTGATCTATATTTCTATTCCTATGCCAAAACCATACTGTTCAGATTGCTATAACTTTATAATAGGACTCCAACTTAGATGTAATAAGTCTTCCAACTGTGCTTTTATTTTTTTTCAAAATTTGTTCAACTCTTCAGCTTTTGTTTTTGTTTTTATTTGGTTTTCATCTTCCATGTAAATTTCAGAATTTGCTTGTCAATGTTTTAAAAATTCACTTTTCTAATTGAGAGTGCCTTGAATCCATTGATCAATTTAAGGAGAACTGACATAAAAATATCGATTCCTCTAACCTATGAACATTTATCTCTCCATTAATTTAGGTATTCTTTAATGTTTCTCAGCAATATTTTGTAGCTTTGAACATGGCAGTATTACACACAATTTAAAAAATGAATCCCTAAGTATTTTATTTTTAATATTTCATAAATGGAATTATTTTTGAGTTCTTGTTTCCAATTGTTCATTGCTAGTATGGAGAAATACAGTGGAATTTTGTGCAGTACCCTCACATTTTGCAACATGGCTAAATTTACTTATTCGTTCTAGTAGTTTTTCTTTTTCAGTTTGCTTAGGATTTTCTACATGCTCTGCTTCTTTTATTTATTTGTCTTGCCTTATTTCACTGGATAGGATGCCCAGTACAACATTGAATACAAATGCTAAAATTTAGTATCCCATCCTTGTTGCTCATCATAAACCAAAGCAATCTGTCTTGTACCATTAAGTAGGATGTTAGTTGTAAGTTTCATTAAACTCCCTTTATTAATTGAGAAATTCCTTCTATTTATAGTTCACTAGAAATTGTTTATTTTACCATGAGTGACTATTTAATTTTGTCAAATGTTTTTCTGTATCAGTTGAAATTATTATACGGTTTTTCTCCTTTTTTCTGTTAGTTAACTGAACTGCTTATTAAACTTGCCTTGCATTCTTGGGTTAAAGCTTACTTGGTCCATGTAATGTATTATATATTTGATATACTGTTGGATTTGATTTGCTAAAATTTGTTCAGGATATTTGTGTCTATACTCATTAAAATTATTGGTCTGCATTTTTATTTTCTTGTTATCTCTTTGATTAGAAGTTCATCAATTTTTAAAAATCAATTCAAAGGATCAGGCTTTAGTTTCATTGATTTTTTTCTATTACTTACACATTTTCTACTTTGTTGATTTTAGCTCTTACCTTTACTATTTCCTTCCTTCTATATACATTAGATTTATTTTTCTCTTCTTTTTTCTTTAATTTCTTAAAGTCAAATTTTTGCTTATTGATTTTTAGATTTTTTTCTTATACAAGCATTTAAAATTATAAACTCCTCTCTAATAATTACTGTAACCATGTTCCACAAATTTTGATAACCTGTTTATATAGTTCAAAATATTTTTTCTTTAACCCATAGGTTATATAGAACACTGTAATTTAATTTCCAAATTTCAGGGAATTTTTTAGGTATTTGTTTTATTGATACATAATGTTTTACATATTTGCAGAATTCATGTGAAAATTTGTTACATGCATAGAGTATGTTACAAGGGGAGCATCTCGGGTATTCATCACCTTGAGCATTTATCATTACTATGTGTTAGGAACATTTCTAGTCCTCTCTTCTAGCTACTTTGAAATTACAACACATGGCTGCTAACAATAGTCACCCTTCTCTGCTACTGACCATTAGAACCTACAACTTCTATCTAACTGAATATTTATACTTATTAACCAACCTCTCTTCAGGTCTCCCTCTCACTCACACACTCTTTCCAACATTTGGTATCCATTATTTCACTTTCTACCTTCAAAAGATCAACTTTCTTAGCTCCCACATATGAGTGAAAACATGTGATATTCCTCTTTCTGTACTTGGCTTATTTCACTTAATGTCCTCCAGTTCCATCCATGTTGCTGCAAATAACACGATTCCAATTTTTTATGGCCGAATAGTATTCCACTTTGTGTATATACCACGTTTTTTAATCCATTCATCAATTGATGCATGCTTACATGGATTCCATCTCTTTGCTATTATGAATAGTGCTGCAATAAGCATGGGGCACAGGTATCCTTCTGATACATTGATTTCACTTCCTTTGATTAAATACCCAGTAGTGGGATTCAGATATATTTTTATTTATTTTAATTTAATTTTATTACAGCCAGCAAGAATAGTTCATCTTATTTCACTGCTTTTAAATGTGCTGAGACTTGCTTTATGGCAAAAATATGGTCTTTCTTGGTGAATGGTTCATGTGCACCTGAAAACAATGTACAACTGCTGCTGCTATTGGGTAGATTGTTCTAAAAATGTCAACTGGGTCTCATTAGTTGACACTGTTCATCAAGTCTTCTATTTCCTTACTAATTTTTACTATCTTTATTCTGAACACTACAACATAACTAATGCAATCTTAGATTAAGTAGACTTTTTTGTTGGTGGTAACTATATCACTCTGTTAACATAGAATTTATAATCTACTAAAATTCCAATTATTTTTCATATTTGCTATTAATCTTGACATCTTAAAATATTATTTGTATTTTTAGTTGAGAATTTCATAGTAATATTATAAGACTATTCATTTAGGTCTATCAAATTCCATTTTTGTATATGCAGTCCATCTTTAGAACCTGTCAAGGGCTTGGTGGAGCTAACTCTTTTCCTAGTATATTAGCTAGGCAGGTTGAAATCATGATATTGGGAATTGATCAGAAAGCCACGATGCTCTTGAACAAATAATTATTAGACATGTAGAAGCAGATAGAAATAAAATGCATATTCTAACGGAGACTTTCCTCTCCATTTATATTTATTCACATCCTGTAGTACAGTCATTCAACTGCTGATAAATTCTACAATTCTATTATTACATCCAGTCTGCTTTCTTCATCTGATCCACAAGGATTTTATGAGATATTTTTTCAATTACCTTATAAATCCAGAGATATTCTCATTTGTTCCATTTACCTGTCTGCTAATATTTTGAATAAAGAAAACTAAGTCACCCTACCAGTTCTACCTCTTAGCAAACAAGATTGGCTTCTTATACCCATAATTTCCTTTCAGTAGTGCTCTCAAATTATGCTTCTAAATCTATGATTTAAAAGCTTGCTTAGTTACAGCAATAGACTAGAGTTCACAGAGTTTACCTTCTTCCCACTTAAAAAAATAGAAGTGGGGGTTACAGCAGAGTGTAAACTCATAAGTATGGCAGAAGGTTATCATTTTTTTTACTTCATTCAATTCTAACAACAAGAGGCATGTATAATTATTCCTGCTTTACAGGTAAGAAAAAGAAGGCTCAGAGAGATCAATTATCTTGCCCATGATCCCATATCTAGTGAGTGGCAGAGGGAGGACTGACCCTGGGTCTGACTTCAAAGCTTATGCTCTCTCTACCACTTCACCTGCCTCAGAACTACATCTGTTTATTCTGGTCTTCTGATTGCTTACTGTGGTTCCTCAAATCTCACCATTATGCTATGTTTAAACACTTTTTCCTCATAGTCACTGAAAATCTACACTGAAAAAAAAGTGTTCAGGAGCCTTAAAGCTCTTGTGTGTACACAGCTTTATCTCTCCCCACAACACAAATGCAGGCAAGATTGGAAGAGGTCATGTCTTTAGCCATAGGTCTCAGCCAAGGGACATAGAGGATTAGAAAGGTGGGGTTCTTGGCCCATGAGTCTCCTCCCAGATGCCTTCATTTCGGTCTTCTTCTTCCAGTCCTAGATATTTTTTATGCTCCCTTCTCCAGTATGACTCTTGTCCAGGTTTTTGAAAAGATCACTGTCTTTTAAAGGTAGTGGAGGAAGAAAGGGAAGAGCAGAACAATGGATGAGGAAATTGTATTTGCAGCCTTGGACCCTGTATCAGGAGTTAGGAGTACTTTTCTGTCTTCTTCATGTAACATGTCTTCACAGATTTAAGGCAATCCTAGTATTCTTACTTTGAAAGGGGCAACAATGGGATTCCAAATTCATCCGTTTATTTCCCCTAGCTTAGTGTTTTCCCCCAAAAAAAGTTTTAATATGATCCACAGTAAGAAGTACATTTTTCATTATGAACAAATTCTTATCTTTGTAAGTATATAATTAGAACAAGTTTCATGAAACAACACTTACTCTTACCATATGTAATGCCCTCTCATGTTTTCTTAATGATGCTTCTCGAACTTTAATGTGCTCATTCATCAGCTAGAGATTTTGTTAAATATGAGGTTCTGATTCAGTATCCAGGGTGGAGACCGCATTTTAACAAACTCCTACGTGGATGCTTCTGTTTCTTGGATTGCACTTTGAGAAGCAAAGTTCTATTCTGTATTGTTTTATTTAAATGTTAAATTACTTTTAGGACTCCCAAATGTGTCTGGACTGGCAGTTTGTAAAAGCATTGCTGGTGTATTGGGGCAGCATGCCTATCTAGGATATTCTTGTAAACATAGACTTACTGTGGAGTGGGATCATGCTTGGAAGTAGTTCAGCAAGAAACAGGATTTATCTTCCATATACCAAGACCAGAGAATCACAGAAGTAAAGACATGAATATCTTCCTGAAATTGCTTTTTTTAAAATTTCAACATTTGATATAGTGAATACATCTATTACAATTTGGAATAAATAAATCTAAATATTCTGCATAATGAGGACTTATGAATGTGTGTGAAAAGAAAGTTGCAAAAGTTGACTGAAGGTGAATATGGCAATGATGTAAGTATCAGGGGGAATAAAACATTTCCTGTAGTATGATCTTCTTTTGTCTGCAATATGAATGCATACTGTATCAGTCAGGGTTCTTGTTTTCAAGTAACACAAACCAACTCCAACTAACTTAATAAAAACAACACTGAGGGATTCCAGAAGAGAGGGCAGCTGGGAGGCCCAAAGTTAAAAATGAGCAAGAATCCCTTTAGAGGACTGGGGAAAAAAAAATCAAAGCCATAGTCTCAGAGCTGAACCAATCTGGTCAGGCTGTCCCTGCTGAGATTGATGAACTTGAACCATTTCTTTCCTTAGTCTTCACATGATGCTCTCAAGATCAAAGTCACAGGAGAGAGCATTCATTTGACTGAACTTAGGTTTTGCACTTCCTCCTGACTATTCTGAGAAAACAGGAAGGCTTTGGCCCTTCAAACTTCCATAGTGAGACAGGTGCCTGATACACCATCCTTCCAGAAGCACAGAAAAGTGGGGAGAGGGGATGTTGTCCCAAAAAGAAAAGAGGATACCACTGGGAAAAGAAACTATTAGATTGGTACAAAAATAATTCCAGGTTTTGCCATTAAAAGTAATTAGAAGTAATGGCAAAGCCTGCAATTACTTTTGCACCAATGCAATAGATTCTAAGTCATCAATAAACTATACTGGACACAGCGCTGCGAATTGGTCAGGCCTTTATTACAAGTATAGCAGTAAAGTAAATGGGATTTCAATTTTGGGGAACCATGGGCATAGTCTCAGAGAGTAAATCATAATTGGTGCATATTTGAACGTGTATCCAAATCCACTCCTTGAAGGACTTAATAAAAGGCATCAGAAAACCAACTTCGACACCACCAGAAACCACTGCTGCAGCTACCCCAACCCCTATTCCTTTTCCCCTATAGGAAAAAACTAAGAAACTCAAGAGGAGTCATCAGAATTCCTGCCATGTGGGAGTCATCAACCCAATGGGTGACTTCTTTTCTGCTCCACATATAAGAGGTAAGAGGAATATTTCTACCCTCCTATGACAGGTTAAGTAAAAATGGAGGGGGAAGCAAGAGAAATAATCACAGTGATGAAGAATACTAGCAAGAGGTAGAAACCAGCCATCTCCAACCCTAGTTAGACTTCTGTGAAGTGGGGCAGGCAGATTTACTCTCCCCACACATTTCAACAGGAGGAAAGGAATTGGAAAGAGATAGTAGGCAGCTTCTGTTCCCATTGTTTGGTGAGGCAAAAATGCCTGAGTTTCCTTAGGGCCAAATCGACACCACAAGAGGTATCTGGGCTTAAGCAATCTTGTCCCTGCCCTGCCTAAGAGGGTTGCCTGCTAGTGGAGGAGCACAGCCAAGGAGCGGGAGCTGAAGGTGGAGGGGGCAGAAGAACTCGGGTTGTGGTCATCACCCACATCAGATGCCTGTGCAACTGGGGCCCCTGCTAGGCCTACTGAAGAGCCTGCCCATGCCCTGCCCTTCAGCAGTGTCCAGACATCTGCCACAGGCACAGTTGGCCATCCCGTGTGCACCACAGCAGCAGCAGCTAAGCAGATGCCTGTCCTTTCCTTCATCCCTGCTCCAAGACCCCAACACTCCAGGAGATACAGAAAAGACGAAGGAAGAGCGGGAAGCAGAGGAGCAGGAGAGAAGCAATGTACACACAATTCCCCCAGGGTAGGACCACTGGCCCCTGGTCACACCTGGACTGACAGGAAGAGTGAAAAAGTGGATATAATCTGACACTCGAGATATAAACTTAACTTTTTAAACCTGAAAGTGTCTGAAATGCCACAGACGCTTCCTGAGACGTCGTGAAGGGACAGAAAACTCTCATCAAAGCATGCCTGAAAACAATGTAGGAGAAATCAAATAAAAGGGCTTCATGTTAGTATCCCACTGACTCTCCAATAAACTGGTTACACAGCAAAAGAAACTGACTTCCAGTACTTTAAGCAGAAAAGGAATTTATCGAGAAGCTACTGGGTGCTGAGTATAACACCCAGAGGGCCGGAAGACTAGGTTAGGAAGATGGTGCAAGGACAGAATGAAGTTCTGCTCCCAGGGTTAAAATCATTCCTCGGAACTGGTCTGGGAAAGCCCTGCCACTGGATGCCAGATGCTGGAGTTCTCACCGTCAATGCCTTCAGCCCTGGACACTGACTCTGAGGCAACCACTGCCTCTGGGAATAGGAGGTTGCTGACTTCCCTGAGCTGCCAAAAGAATTCTCCATTGTCCCAGGTTCCAATTCAAAGCCCAGGGCTGATGCATCTGATTGGCCGAGCCTCAGACGCATGCCCAAGGCCCCTTTGGAAAGGAGTCCTAAGAAGCAAGTATATGCCCTTTGTTGTTTCTCTCCTGCGAGGAAAGCTCTTCCTCTCAGCAAGTCTCATAAGCAGCGTTGCTATAAGCCCATAAGGTGCTTTGTGCAAAATGAGGAAAATGCATGCCTCTAGTTGGGAAAATAAGCAGGAATCTTTCCTTTCTCCAGTGGCTACAGAACACTGTCAGCAATCAGGGATCCAGCATGCCTGGATTTCAGTCTCACGTGCCCTCTCTGCTGGGAGCCTTTGTGCAGTGCACAAACTGCACGCGTGTATGTAGTAGCCCTGCTAATAAGGTGAGTGTTTCTCAAATACAAACGGGAATGCAACTGAGGTAACAAATACATACTACAGGAGACTTCAGACAGGGAGAAACACAGTTAACAGATGATGAGCACACAACTTGATGGGGGCCAGTGGAGAAATGCTATTATGAAACCAAGACAAGTGAACAAAAGCCAGGCAAATATTGGACTTGGCTGAGCACACACTTCATGTATTAATAAAACTGAACCACCATCATGAGGAGCATCTCTTTGCATCTTGTATGGAATTTGTCCTCCAATGAATGGAGGCATCAAGTAATATTGACAGAGAGAAGGCACATCTGAATCATCACGCAGAATTACTTAGAACCAGCAAATGTTTAATCAGTGCAAATGTTATGATTTACAACACCACCCCTCCTGAATGAGAGGATCATTTTCTCATATTTAACAAAGAAGATTTATAAAAAAATTTTGTATGTTTTCATGTTAAAATTAATATTCATTTGTTCACAAGTACGACAATAATTTAGCCAAGTATTTTTGAAAGAAAACAGTGGATATTATTTTAATACAATATAATAATATATAAACTCTTTTGCCCACATATTCATGATCAAATTAAAAGTAAATACTAGTGAGTTATTGCTATTTTCATCCTGAAAGTAATAGAAATAGAAATAGAAAAGACAAATAGATTGATCAGATCATTTTATATCAACTAGTCAGGAGGGAAAAAGCAGATTTGATTCAATTAAGTGATTTGTCTATAACACCATCCTGCATCAGATCAATTGTATTGTGCATGCATTACCCCATCAAGCTTCTACCTTGGTTGATTTTACAGATGCTATGTCTGGAGTCTCTTTCTATAGTGGGGTGCTGGGTTGATAGTCTATTTGGGGAGGGTTCAAATTAGAATGGAAGGAGAAGTATTTGACACAGAGTATTGTCTTTCAAGTTTTATTCTAAACTGTAGCAAAAAAATGAGGCAGTAATTAGACAGGGATGTAAGATCACAGGAGAGTTTTCTGCGGTGGGAGGAACTGCTGTTTTCATATGCTGTTGGGAATGACCCGTGGAGATCCAGTGTGGCTGAGGGGTGGCTTGCTATCACTCCAACACTATTTCTGAGAATTCTTGGCTATTTTAGTATTCTCTGTGGATGACCTTTTCAACAATCCTGGGCACTCAGTTCCAGGATCTCCTTTCTTCCAATGAACATGTTCTCCATCCTACCTCAGCTACTCACTACTATTGCCACAACCTAGACTTTGTCATGATCAACAATTGCAGCCTCTCCATAATCTCAGTTTCAAGCACCTCACTCTTCCATAATTATTTTTCTAACTCTCTTGTTCACTCAGTCTGGAGCACCAACTCAAATAATTCTTCTAATAAATCAGTATCCAAATCCATTGATCCTAGCCTTTTCATGTTCCTCAACATTTTAAGTCTTTGCCTCCCTCCTTACTTGGCTTAAATACCATGGTCAGTCATCATGGTAATTTACTTCCATACACTCAACTCATTTGCTCCTCTCTTGCTGCATTTTACTCACCCGGCAAAATCCCAGTGCTGGTTCAGTCCAACTCTCCACAAACTCCATGGTGGCACTGGTGCAATTTAATGTGTTGGAGAAAAGTAAAAATACAAACATTAATGAGCATCACTCTAAATTCATGACTACTAGTACTAAGTGGATCCTTGGCACTACCCAGCAACCCAATTATAACTCCTTAGTTCACTTGCTCTTCCATTCTTCTAGATGGTGACCTTCTCTCTTTTCAAACATCCAATATCTCATCTTTCATCTTCACTGTCAGTTGAAGACCTTGCTTCTCATTTCCCTATTTCACTGAGAAAACTGAAGCAATTAGAGAAGAATCTCCACAAACTTCTGCAACTACAGCTGGTCATCCACCTTCATGTCTGGTCGTGTGCTTTGTCTTCCCTCCTGATGAATTGACCACACTCTCATTTAAGGCTGTCCTCCTCACTTATGCACTAAATTCTTTCCCTTGGGCCTCCCAAATGACGTGGATTTCTCCCTGTCTTTCCTGCATTATTAATTCTCTCCTCTCAACAAGAGTATTCCCATCAGCATTCACAAATATTTCTTCCACTTAAAAAAAGAACTCTGTTTGGTTCTCCTCCTACAGCTATTCTCTTCACTGTAAACTCCTTGAATTAAATTTCTAAACTTAGTATCATATATTTTCCTTCTATTCTCTCTTAAATCTCCTCTAATCAGGGTTTTGGCCCCAACCCTCAATTTAATACTGCTCTCTTTTTTTTTTCAAGGTAATCAAATGAGATCCAATTTGCTGAAACCAATTGTCAGAAACATTTTTCTCTTCCCTTCATTGAATATCTTCCTTGACTTGATATCCTGGATACCAGACTTTTTATAGTTTTCCCTTTTTCTCTCTGGTGGCTCCTTCTGTGTTACCTTTGTTGGTTTCTTCACATCTTTCCAACCTCTAAATTTTGAAGTGCCCAGGTCTCAGTCATTGGATCACTTTTCTTTTCTAGCTACAATAACTCCATAAACTATCTCATTCAGGCTCAGAACTATAAATACCATTCCTTTACTGACCACTCCTAAATATAGATCTTCAGGCTTGACCTCTGCCCAGCTGCCTCCTGGACATCACCACTTGGTTCACAGATGTGCATCTCAAAATTAATATGTTCAAAACCCAACTCCTAATTTTCCCCCAACAGTCTGCCCTTCCCAAATTCATCCTTGTCATCTCCATCTCAGCAAATGGCATCTTTTTCCTTTCATTTGCTTATATCAAAAACCTTGGTGTCATCCTTGAGCTGCTCTTTCTCTCACACCCTCCATTCAAACTATAAGCAAATTCTGTAGGCTCTACCTTCAAAATACATTCACCAACCTACTCCAGACCTTCATCATTACCCCTGAATTAATGCAGTGGTCTCTTTATTGTTCTCCCTGTTTCTGACCTTAACCCTCCACCAACCACTCCCAGTGCCACAGCTAAAGTTATCTTGTTAAAACATAAGTTAGATCATGTTTCTCTCTTACTCTAGCCCCCATGTTCTCCCATCTTAGAGTCAAAGTGTTCACAGTGCCTCTGTTTCAAGTCTTGTTCTCCAGAAAATGGACTCTGAGATGGAGATTTGTAAGCAGGAGGTTTCTTGGGTTTGCTCTCAGGAGTAACACTTGTAAGGAAGTGAGGAAAGCAGAATTCGGCAGAAGGACCAGTGGACTGTGATACAGTTACAATAGGCCCACAGAGCTGGCCTGAATTGAGGCAAGAGCACCCAACTCCTATACTCCCTCAATGACAGTCTTTGGATGTGGTCTGCTCCCAGGAGAGAGCATAACCTTGCAAATGAAGTTCTTTTCTGTTGAAGGCAATTCCAGATGAGGAACTGAGCTAGGAGCCATCTACATCCAAAAACTCTTGCACCTGGGGAAATGAGTGCCTTGGTCCTGAAGCGCACATGGTATCCACTACTCTCAGTGCTTCTTGGTTTTATCTTCTGCTCTCCTCTTGCTCTATACTTCAGATACTTTGCTCTCCTCTTGCTCTATACTTCAGATACTTTGGTCCCCTTGCTTTTATTCAAATACACCAGACTGACTTCTACCTTAGAGCCCTTGCAGTTCCCTCTGCCTGGAATGTGTGGCTTGCTCCCTGATCTCCTACACATCTTACTCAAATTTCATCTTCTCAATGAGCCTTCTTATTCAGTATTGTAGCCCATCACCCCTTCCCCAACACACCTGATCCCCTTTACCATGCTCTACCTTTTCTTTTTTAATACCACTTTTCACCTTCTACTATCCTATATAATTTACTTATTCATTATGTTTATTGTTTGCTATGTCTTTCTCCCACTAAAATAAAAACTTCTTAATCTTTGCCTATTTTGTGTACTGATGTATCTCAAGCATGAAGAGATGTCCTCATGCATAGCAATTCTCAAATATAATGAATATATTTTAAACAAAAGTTTTATAACTCAGTAGAGGATTTTTGTTTTCCACTTGGAAATTATCTTTCCTAAGTAGGAAATTCTTTTTAACATCACAGTCTTCTGAATATGAATTTATTAAGTCACTTAATCCATTTGCCCAAACCACAGAGTTGCCCAAACACAGCTCTCAGTTGAAGCAGGCTTATCTCTCAGATTATAATAATTATCTCACTCCTGCTATAAAAGTAAAGGAAGGGAGGAGAAGCTGCACATAATGAATTAATTAATCAAGGCTTTAATTTTTCTTTAAACCCAGGGAATTCATATTAGCCTGCCTTGTTATTTACCCAACTACCCTCTGGGATATTAATACTATATCCTACGGTTTACAGCCTTAAATGGTCATGATGTGTTTACACAGGTGAAGAGCAAGTGCTCTGGCAGAGCCTTTCCTTACATTTCTTGTACATTAATTTACCTCGGAGTCTTCACACTCTGGAATGTCACTGACATGAAAACAACAGAAGGTTGTTTCACTAAGTGCAGTGCTTTGACTACACTAAGAAAAAGATAGTTATGTTTATATGGTTATAATATGGTAAACAAGGGAATTGGAGCCCCTAGCAAGACTTTCCTGGTTACCCAGCCCTGCTCAGCCACCCCTACTACCCTTTGGGCTGGCTGACCCATCAGTTGGGGAAGCTCTGCTAGATTAGATGATGTCATAGGAAGTGAATTCTAACCAATTGGTGAGTGAAACCAATCCTCTATGACAAATATGATTCACAATTTCAAATTGCTTTCTTCACCAAATAGTCTCACAAATATCTTTTCCTATAACAAAAACAGTCTACTCTCGGTGTCAACAATCCCTTGAATTTTTAAATAAACATTCAAATATGTAGGAAAGTCCTTCACCCCTTCTGTTGGATTTGTCTATTGACACTCAGCCCACCTTATAAACTTTTCCATCCTTCCTTACAGTGCAGAGGCCAGAAGCCTGAGAAGTGTATTTCTGTGACATCCTAGCCAGCAGAGTTCTGGAGGTATTTTTAGTCTCCATCTTAAAGATAAATTCACATGATCTTCGAATTCGAAAGGCAGCAGTAAGGCAGAAATTATTTCTCTTCTTTCTCTGGCAGCAGTAGAAGGCATAGCATGGGCCTCCTAAATGTGAGTTTCTGTAGTAGTTTCTATGTCCCTTGCCATTCCACCCATCTTGGGGCTACAAAGTCCCATGAGATAAGCAGGAGCTTCCTGCAAGCTCCCGACTCTGATAGATAGAGACTCTAACTTTCTGTGGTGCTGCACCTAAAAGTTAGTGGCAGGCCCCTGACTCACTCTCCTTCAGCCCTTGATTATTTAAGCACCTGATGCACTGTAGTAAATCCTCTACTTGAAACACTTGGAATGCTTTTCATATTATTGTCTGATCCCTTCTTATAAAACAGGCATAGAAACTTTCCTTTTTGATATAAGACAGGCAATAAACATATACTTTAACTTTCGTTTTATGGTAACAGATATGTTAGTACTGTCTAAGCTTTTTCCTATCTATTTAACACAATATAATGATGGCTAGCCCAGGGCTTGTCTGCTGGTGCCTCAACAGACTTTCATTCTTTCAATTTCCTATTAAACTACCAACAAGCACTATGGTTTTTCCTTCAGTTATTTCTTAGCCAAGGGTAAATTAAAGAATATGAGGCTTATAATTTTCTATTACTGTTATTACACAAAACACATGACCAGAAAAATGAGAGGGATATGGATCCCTAAAGAAAAAGCAAGGGCTTTTCTAGAAAAAAATGGTAAATAAATTTAGAGAATCAAACAAAATATTCACTACCATCTAACTACCTGAACATAAAAGTCATCTTTATCTCATACATCACATCAAAACAAATTTCAGAGAGATAAAAGATTTAAGTATTAAAGTAAATGACCCATAAGAATACTTGAAGACAATCTCAGTAATTACTTTTAAAACCCTTGCTTGAGAAAACATTTTCTAAGTGTGACACCAAAGGCAAAATCCATTAAAAAAAATAGATTTTTAAAATCTTTTGATTTTAGAAGTTTTAAAATATATCAAAATTTAAAATAATATAATAGTTTCCACCACCTACATTTCACAATTACGGCATAGTTGGTTTACCATCTATTTTTATTATATCATTCTAAAGTAAATTTAAAATATGAAAATACTTTACTTCTAAATGCTTCAGCATAGATCTCCAAAAAATTGAAATATACTCTTACAAAACCATGATACCTTTATCACACCTAGCAAAATTGAAAATAACTCTATTGTATTATCTAATATCTATTAGTCCATTTTCAGGTTTCTTCATTGAAACAAAAATTTTTCACAAAATTATTTCCGTTCAGATCAGGATCAATCATTACATTTGGTTGTTAGCTCTTTTAAGTAAGTCTTTTTAAATCTAGAACAATATCTTCTGCCCCTACCTTTTTTTCCCCATGATACTGACTTTTATAAGATCTCAGATCTGTTTGGGTTTCTTTGTAGAAAACACCACATTCTGGGCTGATTGTTTTTTCATGGTGTTATTTACCATGATTTAAGATTGCTAGATTTCATTCTGAAAAAAGAATTGAGATAGACATCCAGAGCTGTCCAGTGGAATTTTCTACAATGATGGAAATGCTCTATATCTATGCTGTTCATTAAGGTCACATGGTCATTCATCACTTGAAGTATAGCTGGTGTGAACAAAGAAATGAGTTTTAATTTCATTTAATTTAATTTTAATTAATTTAAATTCTAAACTTAAATATTACATGCGGCTAATGCCTGCTGAATCATTTAAAGTACCTATATGCTGCCTGTACATAAGTAGGTATTTGATAAATGTTAGTTCTTTGGCCTTCCAAATATAGTTTACGAAAAGCATGCTATCAAATATACTACTATATAGATTCAAATGAAGCTGTGTGTATGACCTTATCATGTAATTAAGACCTTTTCAAAAGCAGAGAAGTAAAGGCCATCTGTTTACTTCAGGAATCTTCATGATCAGCACCAATTGCTATGGTTATCTGGTTTCATTATCCACATGAAAATATCTCATAAGTAGTGCAGTTATTCTGCAGTCTGTATCTTTAACATATATACATAAGGCTTAAGAGTTAGAATTCAAGGGATCCAAGATGGCCAATTAGAAGCAGCTGCAGTGCATGGCACTCACAGAGCAGAATGAAAGCAGGGAGTGAATACAGCACCTTCAACTGAAATATCCAGGTACTCACATTGGGACTGATGAGGGGAAACAACTCGACCCATGTCGAGTTTTTTTTTCGACATGCAGCAGCGTGGGGCAATAGCCCACCCAAGAGCAACATTGAGCCAAGGGAACCCCCACCCCTGGCCAAGGGAAGCAGTGAGTGAATGCACCACCCTGGGAAACCACACTTCTCCCACAGATCTTTACAACCTTCAGATTAGGAGATCCCCTTGTGAGCCCATGCCATCAGGGTTTTGGGTCCAACACACACTGCTGTGTGGAGTCTTGGCAGAGCAGCTGCTCCGGCATGCACAAAGACCTGGGAGCTTTACATACTCCAGCCCCAGGATCCCCAACAAATGTGGCTGCAACTCAGGCAAGGAGGGAGGTCTGTACATACCCCTAGGAAGGGGATCTAGAGATTGCCCTCTCTCACCACCCCTATTTTGGAAGTTCTGGCCATAGCATTGGAAGATCTGGCCAGGGCAATCAGGCAAGAGAAAGAAATAAAGCGTATTCGAATAAGAAGAGAGGAAGTCAAACTATCTCCGTTTGCAGATGACATGCTCCTATATCTAGAAAACCCTATCATCTCAACCTAAAAGCTTCTTAAGCTGATAAGCAACTTCAGCAAAGTCTCAGTATACAAAATCAGTGTGCAAAAATCGCTAGCATTCCTATACACCAACAACAGGCAAGCTGAGAGCCAAATCATGAATGAACTTCCATTCACAATTGCCACAAAAAGAATAAAATACCAAGGAATACAGCTAACAAGGGAAATGAAGGACCTCATCACGGAGAACTACAAACCACAGCTCAAGGAAATCAGAGAGGACAGAAACAAATGGAAAAACATCCCATGCTCATGGATAGGAAGAATCAATATCGTGAAAATGGCCATACAGTCCAAAGCAATCTACAGATTCAATTCTATTTCCATTAAACTACCATTGACATTCTTCACAGAATTGGAAAAAAACTATTTTAAAATTCATATAGAACCCAAAAAGAGCCTGAGTAGCCAAGGAAATTGCAAGCAAAATGAACAAAGCTGGAGGCAAACTATACTAACTATACTACCAGGCTACAGTAACCAAAACAGCATGGTACTGGTACTGGTACAAGAACAGACACATAGATCAATGGAACAAAATAGAGAACCCAAAAATAAGATGGCACACCTACAACCATCTGATCTTCAACTAACCTGACAAAATAAGCAATGGAGAAAGGATTCCCTATTTAATAAATGGTGCCATAAGAACTGGCTAGCCATATGCAGAAAATTGAAACTGGACTCCTTCTTTACACCATATACAAAAATCAAGTCAAGATATCCATCTTGAGACTTTAATGTCAAACCCAAAACTATAAAAACTCTAGAAGAAAATCTAGGCAATACCATTCAGGACACAGGCACAGGCAAAGATTTCATGACAAAGACCCCAAAAGCAATAGCAACAAAAGCAAAAATTGACCAATGGGATCTAATTAAACTTAAGAGCTTCTGCACAGGAAAAGAAACTCGAAATAGTGTATTAATCCATTCTCAAGCTGCCATAAAGAAATACCTGAGACTGGATAATTAATAAAGGAAAGAGATTTAATTGATTCGTAGTTCCACAGGGCTGGGGAGGCCTCAGGAAACTTACAATCATGGCAGAAGTGGAAGCAAACACATCTTTTCCACATGGCAGCAGGAAGGAGAAATGCCAAGCAAAGGGGGAAAAGCCCCTTATATAACCATCAGATCTTGTAAGAACTCACTCACTATCAGGAGAACAGCATGGGGGGTGGCCACCCCCATGACCACCCACTGGGTCCCTCCCATGACACATGGGGATTATGGGAACTACAATTCAAGATGAGATTTTGGTGAGGACACAGCCAAACCATATCAAACAGAGTAAACAAACAACCTACAGAATGGGAGAAAATGTTTGCAATCTATGCACCTGACAAAGGTCTAAAATCCAGCATCTATAAGGAACTTAAACAAATTTATAAGAAAAAAAAAACCCCACTAAAAAGTAGGCAAAGGACATGAACAGCCACTTCTGAAAAGAAGACATACATGTGGCCAACAAACATATTTAAAAAAGCTCAACATCACTGATCATTAGAGAAATGCAAATCAAAACCACAATGAGATACCATCTCACACCAGTCAGAATGGTTATTACTAAAAAGTCAAGAAACAAGTGCTGGTGAGGTTATGGAGAGAAAGGAACACTTTTACACTCTTGGTAGGAGTGTAAATTAGTTCAACCATTGTGGAAGATAGTGTGGTAATTCCTCAAAGACCTACAGGCAGAAATACCATTTGATCCAGCCATCCCATTACTGGGTATATACCCAAAGGAATATAAATCATCTACTATAAAGACACGTGCACATATATGTTTATGGCAGCACTATTCACAAAAGGAAAGACATGGAATTAACCATCAATGATAGACGGGATAAAGAAAATATGTGGCACACATACACCATGGAATACTATACAGCCATGAAAAGAAATGCGATCATGTCCTTTGCAGGGACTTGGATGGAGCTGGAGGCCATTATCCTTAGCAAACTAATGCAGGAAAATATAACCAAATACCGCATGTTCTCACTTATAAGTGGGAGCTAAATTATGAAAACACATGGGCACATGGCAGGGGAACAAACAAACTGGGTCCTATCAGAGGGCAGGGGGTGGGAGGAGGAAGAGGATCAGGAAGAACAGCTAATGGATGCTGGGCTTAATACCTGGGTAATGTTGACAGTGGGGTGTTAAAGTCTCCCATTATTATTGTGTGGGAGTCTAAGTCTCTTTGTAAGTCTCTAAGGACTTGCTTTACAAATCTGGGTGCTCCTGTATTGGGTGCATATATATTTAAGATAGTTAGCTCTTCTTGTTGAATTGATCCCTTTACCACTATGTAATGGTCTTCTTTGTCTCTTTTGATCTTTGTTGGTTTAAAGTCTGTTTTATCAGAGACTAGGATTGCAACCCCTGCCTTTTTTTGTTTTCCGTTTGCTTGGTAGATCTTCCTCCATCCCTTTATTTTGAGCCTATGTGTGTCTCTGCACATGAGATGGGTCTCCTGAATACAGCACACTGATGGGTCTTGACTCTTTATCCAATTTGCCAGTCTGGGTCTTTTAATTGGAGCATTTAGCCCATTTACATTTAAGGTTAATATTGTTATGTGTGAATTTGATCCTGTCATTATGATGTTAGCTGGTTATTTTGCTCATTAGTTGATGCAGTTTCTTCCCAGCATCGATGGTCTTTACAATTTGGCATGTTTTTGCAGTGGCTGGTACTGGTTGTTCCTTTCCATGTTTAGTGCTTCCTTCAGCAGCTCTTTTAGGGCAGGCCTGGTGGTGACAAAATTTCTCAGCATTTGCTTGTCTGTAAAGGATTTTATTTCTCCTTCACTTATGAAGCTTAGTTTGGCTGGATATGAAATTCTGTGTTGAAAATTCTTTTCTTTAAGAATGTTGACTATTGGCCCCCACTCTCTTCTGGCTTGTAGAGTTTCTGCTGAGAGATCCACTGTTAGTCTGATGGGTTTCCTTTTGTGTGTACCCGACCTTTCTCTCTGGCTGCCCTTAACATTTTTTCCCTCATTTCAACTTTGGTGAATCTGACAATTATGTATCTTGGAGTTGCTCTTCTCGAGGAGTGTGGCGTTTTCTGTATTTCCTGAATTTGAATGTTGGCCTGCCTTGCTAGATCGGGGAATTTCTCCTGGATAATATCCTGAAGAGTGTTTTCCAACTTGGTTCCATTCTCTCCATCACTTTCAGGTACATCAATCAGACATAGATTTGGTCTTTTCACATAGTCCTATATTTCTTGGAGGCTTTGTTCATTTCTTTTTACTCTTTTTTCTCTAAACTTCTCTTCTTGCTTCATTTCATTCATTTGATCTTCCATCACTGATACCCTTTCTTCCAGTTGATGAAATCGGCTACTGAAGCTTGTGCATTTGTCACGTAGTTCTTGTGCCATGGTTTTCAGCTCAATCAGGTCATTTAAGGACTTCTCTACACTGGTTATTCTAGTTAGCCATTCATTCTAACATTTTTTCGAGGTTTTTAACTTCTTTGCATTGGGTTTGAACTCGCTCCTTTAGCTCGGAGTAGTTTGATCGTCTGAAGCCTTCTTCTTTCAACTCGTCAAAATCATTCTCCATCCAGCTTTGTTCCATTGCTGGCGAGGAGCTGCGTTCCTTTGGAGGGGGAGAGGTGCTCTGATTTTTAGAATTTTCAGCATTTCTGCTCTGTTTTTTCCCCATCTTTGTGGTTTTGTCTACCTTTGGTCTTTGATGATGGTGACCAACAGATGGGGTTTTGGTGTGGATGTCCTTTCTGTTTGTTAGTTTTCCTTCTAACAGTCAGGACCCTCAGCTGCAGGTCTGTTGGAGTGTGCTGGAGGGCCACTCCAGACCCTGTTTGCCTGGGTATCAGCAGCGGAGGCTGCAGAACAGCGAATATTGCTGAACAGCAAATGTTGCTGCCTGATCGTTCCTCTGGAAGCTTCGTCTCAAAGGGGTACCTGGCTGAGTGAAGTGTCAGTCTGCCCCCACTTGGGGGTGCCTCCCAGTTAGGCTACTCAGAGGTCAGGGACCCACCTGAGGAGGCAGTCTGTCCGTTCTCAGATCTCAAACTCCGTGCTAGGAGAACCACTACTCTCTTCAAAGCTGTCAGACAGGGACATTTAAGTCTGCAGGGGTTTCTGCTGCCTTTTGTTCGGCTATGCCCTACCCCCAGAGGTGGGGTCTACAGAGGCAGGCAGGCCTCCTTGAGTTGCGGTGGGCTCCACCCAGTTCAAGCTTCCTGGCCCCTTTGTTTACCTACTCCAGCCTCACCAACGGTGGGCGCCCCTCCCCCAGCCTCGCTGCCGCCTTGCAGTTCTGTCAACATTAGACAGATCAACGAGACAGAAAGTTAACAAGGATATCCAGGAATTGAACTCAGCTCTACACCAAGCGGACCTAACAGACATCTACAGAACTCTCCACCCCAAATCAACAGAATACACATTCTTCTCAGAACCACATCGCACTTATTCCAAAACTGACCACTTAGTTGGAAGTAAAGGACTCCTCAGCAAATGTAAAAGAACAGAAATTATAACAAACTGTCTCTCAGACCACAGTGCAATCAAACTAGAACTCAGGATTAAGAAACTCACTCAAAACTGCTCAACTACCTGGAAACTGAACAACCTGCTCCTGAATGACTACTGGGTACATAACGAAATGAAGGCAGAAATAGATGTTCTTTGAAACCAATGAGAACAAAGACACAACATACCAGAATCTCTGGGACACATTTAAAGTAGTGTGTAGAGGGAAATTTATAGCACTAAATGCCCACAAGAGAAAGCAGGAAAGATCTAAAATTGACACCCTAACATCACAATTAAAAGAACTAGAGAAGCAAGAGCAAACACATTCAAAAGCTAGCAGAAGGCAAGAAATAAGTAAGATCAGAGAAGAACTGAAGGAGATAGAGACATAAAAAATCCTTCAAAAAATCAATGAATCCAGGAGCTGGTTTTTTGAGATCAACAAAATTGATAGACTGCTTGCAAGACTAATAAAGAAGAAAAGAGAGAAGAATCAAATAGACATAATAAAAAATGATAAAGGGGATATCACCACTGATCCCACAGAAATACAAACTACCATCAGAGAGTACTATAAACACCTCTATGCAAATAAACTAGAAAATCTAGAAGAAATGGATAAATTCCTGGACACATACACCCTCCCAAGATTAAACCAGGAATAACTTGAATCCCTGAATAGACCAATAACAGGCTCTGAAATTGAGGCAATAATTAATAGCCTACCAACCAAAAAAAGTCCAGGACCAGACTGATTCACAGCTAAATTCTACCAGAGGTACAAGGAGGAGCTGGTACCATTCCTTCTGAAACTATTCCAATCAATAGAAAAAGAGGGAAGCCTCCCTAACTCATTTTATGAGGCCAGCATCATCCTGATACCAAAGCCTGACAGAGACACAATAAAAAAAGAGAATTTTACACCAATATCCCTGATGAACATTGATGCAAAAATCCTCAATAAAATACTGGCAAAATGAATCCAGCAGCACATCAAAAAGCTTATCCACCATGACCAAGTGGGCTTCATCCCTGGGATGCAAGGCTGGTTCAACATACACAAATCAATAAATGTAATCCAGCATATAAACAGAACCAAAGACAAAAACCACATGATTATCTCAATAGATGCAGAAAAGGTCTTTGACAAAATTCAACATCCCTTCATGTGAAAAACTCTCAATAAATTAGGTATTGATGGGCTGTATCTCAAAATAATAAGAGCTATTTATGACAAACCCACAGCCAATATCATACTGAATGGACAAAAACTGGAAGCATTCCCTTTGAAAACTGGCACAAGACAGGGATGCCCTCTCTCACCACTCCTATTCAACATAGTGTTGGAAGTTCTGGCCAGGGAAATCAGGCAGGAGAAAGAAATAAAGCGTATTCAATTAGGAAGAGAAGAAGTCAAATCATCCCTGTTTGCAGATGACATGATTGTATATCTAGAAAACCCCATTGTCTCAGCCCAAAATCTCCTTAAGCTGATAAGCAACTTCAGCGAAGTCTCAGGATACAAAATTAATATGCAAAAATCACAAGCATTCTTATACACCAATAACAGACAAACAGAGAGCTAAATCATGAGTGAACTCCCATTCACAATTGCTTCAAAGAGAAAAAAATACCTAGGAATCCAACTTACAAGGGATGTGAAGGACCTCTTCTAGGAGAACTATAAACCACTGCTCAATAAAATAAAAGAGGATACAAACAAATGGAAGAACATTCCATGCTCATGGATAGGAAGAATCAATATTGTGAAAATGGCCATACTGCTCAAGGTAATTTATAGATTCAACGCCATCGCCATCAAGCTACCAATGACTTTCTTCAAAGAATTGGAAAAAACTACTTTAAAGTTCATATGGAACCAAAAAAGAGCCCACATTTCCAAGACAATCCTAAGCCAAAAGAACAAAGCTGGAGGCATCATGCTACCTGACTTCAAACTATACTACAAGGCTACAGTAACCAAAACAGCATGGTACTGGTACCAAAACAGAGATATAGACCAATGGAACAGAAGAGAGGCCTCAGAAATAACACCACACATCTACAACCATTTGATCTTTGACAAACCTTTGAAACACAAGAAATGGGGAAAGGATTCCCTATTTAATAAATGGTGCTGGAGAAACTGGCTAGCCATATGTAGAAAGCTGAAACTGGATCCCTTCCTTACACCTTATACAAAAATTAATTCAAGATGGATTAAAGACTTAAATGTTAGACCTAAAACCATAAAAAACCTAGAAGAAAACCTAGGCAATGCCATTCAGGACATAGGCATGGGAAAGGACTTCATGTCTAAAACACCAAAAGCAATGGCAACAAAAGCCAAAATTGACAAACAGGATCTAACTAAACTAAGGAGCTTCTACACAGCAAAAGAAACTACCATCAGAGTGAACAGGCAACCTACAGAATGGGAGAAAATTTTTGCAATCTACTCATCTGAGAAAGGGCTAATATCCAGAGTCTACAAAGAACTCAAACAAATTTACAAGAAAAAAACAAACAACCCCATCAACAAGTGGGCAAAGGATATGAACAGACACTTCTCAAAAGAAGACATTTATGCAGCCAACAGACACATGAAAAAATGCTCATCACCACTGGCCATCAGAGAAATGCAAATCAAAACCACAATGAGATACCATACCACACCAGTTAGAATGGCGATCATTAAAAAGTCAGGAAACAACAGGTGCTGGAGAGGATGTGGAGAAATAGGAACACTTTTACACTGTTGGTGGGACTGCATACTAGTTCAACCATTGTGGAAGACAGTGTGGTAATTCCTCAAGGATCTAGAACTAGAAATACCATTTGACCCAGCCATCCCATTACTGGGTATATACCCAAAGGATTATAAATCATGCTGCTATAAAGACACAGGCACACCTATGTTTATTGTGGCACTATTCACAATAGCAAAGACTTGGAACCAACCAAAATGTCCATCAATGATAGACTGGATTAAGAAAATGTGGCACATATACACCATGGAATACTATGCAGCCAGAAAAAAAAGGATAAGTTCATGTCCTTTGTAGGGACATGGATGAAGCTGGAAACCATCATTCTCAGCAAACTATCTCAAGAACAAAAAACCAAACACTGCATGTTCTCACTCATAGGTGGGAACTGAACAATGAGAACACTTGGACACAAGAAGGGGAACATCACACACTGGGGCCTGTTGTGGTGAGGGGGAAGGGAGGAGGGAAAGCATTAGGAAATATACCTAATGTAAATGACAAGTTAATAGGTGCAGCACACCAACATGGCACATGTATACATATGTAACAAACCTGCACGTTGTGCACATGTACCCTAGAACTTAAAGTATAATAAAAAAAAAAATACCTGGGTAATGGGATGATCTGTGCAGCAAACCACCATGGCACACGTTTACCTATGTAACAAACCTGCACGTCCTGCACATGTATCCCAGAAATGAAAAAAAAAGTTGGAAATTTTAAAAAAGAGTTAAAATTCACATTTTCTGAAGCAGCTACCCTTTTTCTTTATTTTTCTTTCAAATTGTTTTTATCATGTATTTAGGATTACTTAGACCGAGCCAGGACAATGAGATTCAATCCTGAAATTTTTTTCAAACTTGGAAAGAGGATCTCTTTTCCATGGGATTGAAAATAGAGCTCCTGAGAACCTGCCTGATGGAGAGTGCAACATAGAGAAAAGCAGAACGAAGACACAGAGAGAAGGAGTTCCATTTTGACTTCTAGATCCAACCTTGCCTGCAGCTGAGCTTGTTCACTGAGTAAGATTATCACTATACTTTTCAGTTTTATGAGCCAATAAATCCCTCACTTTTCTTCAGCTAATTTGAATTGGTTTCTGTCTTTCACACCTAAAACAGTGCTATCAAAATGTAACAATCAAAAGTACATAGAATTTGGGATCAGACAAACTAGATTCTAATATATCTCTGATACAGTTTCCACCTCTAGAGATAATAATTCCCTCTTCCTAGGCCTGTTATGAGGATTAAATGAGATGGTATGTTAGAGATGCTCTGAATATGCTAGTTTCCTTTTTGAATTTGAGAGTTATATTGATACCACATCCTTGAGTTTTCACATAGTGTTTTCCTTTTCTGTAGTTCATTAAAAAGTACCTTATTTATACCCATATGTAAGGTGAGGTCATCTGGGCCTAAATTGAAAAGGGATAGGGGCAATTTATACAACTGGTAATGGAAAGTTTCCCTCCTACTTTCATAAGAGAATCAGTTTGGTGAGGAATATTATTTGTCTTTGGGTCATCAGACCCAAAACAGTGGCTGTGAATTTGTGTTGCTCTTCCCACAGTCTATTTCTTTTAAATTACTGTCATAATGTAATGGGAATTACATTGTGCAGGCTCTGGTCACATGATGTAGTTCCTTTTGCCTTCTCAAATGTAACCATGTGTGGAATCTCCATCATTGTCACTGAAGATTTACTTACCTTTTATGATCATACTGGATTTAAGTTAAGTACCTTGGTAATCGAACAGAATATAATTAACTAATCATTTACAGGATTACTTAGCCTAAAAACCAACACAGTAAAATACAGTAAGCATGTTTATGTCTGTTCAAATCCCATATTAATAAAGATGATCAGATTAATCAATTCAAATGCATTTTCAAGAAAATATTCCTGGCATAGAAGATTAGAAATATGCTTAAGCTAAATTTAGAATTCAGGAAAAGCAATCCTACAGCTTACTTTCCACTATTTTTTTCCCTTCAACTAAGCTCTTAAGCTAAATAAATTAAAGTCTCCCAAGATGTTTAAACAGTTTAGTCTATATTAGTATGCTATGGTTCATTATAAAATACAATTGTAAAACCATTGCCAAATTACCCTCTAATACCTGCTTAGTCATAACTGGAAATCTATAGCAAAGGCATGAATGTCCTGCTTATCTATTAATTTTAGCTTCTTATCTATAATTTTACCCCCCCCCCGAGAATCCCTCTTCCTTCACCAAATCTTATTCCTGTCTCTGACACACTGCATCACATTCATGAACCCATCTTCCCAATCTGTCAGGCAAAGGGCTGCTTTCTATTGTCTAATATTCAGTCTAAAATAATCTTGTACCTTTAAGATTTTCTTTCCTTCTTTTAAAAGCTTACCATAGTATGTTTCAAATTGTTTTGAAATTAAGAAAAGCAAGGCAATATACCTTTAAAGGTAGACAACACCTCATATGCTCATATGCATGTATTTCTTAGAGAAGTAGGACTTTTTTGTTGTTACTTTTTTATCTTAACATGGCTACTATTGTTACTTTCAGCAAGTACTATAATAATTTGCCCCACTCCACACCCTCTCATCTCTATTTCTACCAGTGTATGGCAGGATAAAACTTCAAAGTATTAATTAATAACAAAATTTTCCTCATCTCTACCAAAGCCCTCCTTTTCAGGCAGTTTTACTTAAGGATCCAATCTAAGAGAAGAAAGAGATAGAGATAGAGAACAAAAGTGTAGAAGGCAGAAATATCTGGAAAGATATAGGACAGAGTTTTTCTTAGACTCAATTTTAGAATTCTCTGGACTAGGGAGAAGGAAGAACAGAGATGAGAGAAATAAAATAGAGTGAGCTGGGATCCCACATTCTGCATCCATCCCAAGATTTGAGGGTGATAAATTGATCCTTGATAGGTTTAGGATCTTTGAACAAAAGGAGGCATGTGGCCTGCTTTCTGTCTAGACACCCAAGAGACAGCAACCCCCACAGAAGCCTAATGCTTATGGTAGTTAGGTGCTAAATACTGCGGGTTGGTCCCCACCCTTGTAAACTCTCTCTTATATCACAGGGGCTAGACGTCTGGAAACTAGATTTTCCAATTTCCCTTTTCAGCCTAATTTTAGTTCCAGACTTGCCAGTGGAAGGGACTTGCACAAGATTAAAGGGAAGTGCTGGGACACCTGGATAGCCATATGCAAAAGAATGAAGTTGGACCCCTTCCTTCCATCATACACAAAAAATAACTCAAAATGGATCTAAGATCTAATTGTACCTACTAAATCTGTAAAATTCTTAGAAGATAACATAGAGAGTAAATCTTCATGATTTCAGATTTGGCAATAGATTTTTAGATATGATACCCAAAGCACAAGCAGCAAAAGGAATTACAGGTAAATTAGACTTCATCAAAATTAAAAACTCTCATATACCAAAGGGCATTAAGAAAAAGTGGAAAGACAGACTATGATATAAGAGAAAATATTTGCAAATCATGTATCTGACAAGGTGCTTGTATCTAGAACACATAAAAAAGTATTATAACTCAATAATAAAAAGACAAATGATCCAATTAAAAACTGGGCAAAGCATCTGAACAGACATTTCTCCAAAGAAGATATACTAATGGCTAATAAGCACAAGAAAAAATATTCAATATTATTAGACATTAGGGAAATGCAAATCAAAATCACAATGGAATATCACTTCATACCCACTAAGAAGGCAATAATAAAATTTTTTTAAAAAACAGATAATAAGAACTGCCAGTGATAATGTGGAGAAATTGGAACCTTCATATATTGCTGGTGGGAATGTAAAATGGGGCAGCTGCTTTACAATCAGTATAGCAATTCTTCAAAAGGTTAGAGTTAGCATATGAACCAGCAATTCCACTCCTAAGTATACACTCAACATGTATAATTCCACACAAAACCTTGTACACAAATGGTCATAGCAATATTATTTACAATAACCAAAAAGTAGAAATAACCCAAACGTTTATTAACTAATGAATGGATAAGTAAAACATGGTATATTGATACTATGCAATATATTTAGTAATCAGACCACATGAAATATTGACACATATTACAACAAGAATGAATGAACCATAACACTGAGAACATTATGCTAAGTGAAAGTATCCATTACAAACGGCCACTTATTGTAAGATTCTATTTCTATGAAATGTCTGGATTAGGCAAACCTATACAGACAAAAAGCAGATTACTGATTGCCCAGAGCCAGACAGTGGGGTATAAGGGGATTTGGATTGAGGGGTGATGTCTAATGAGAAGGGATTTCTTTTTGGAGGTAATGAAATATTCTAAAATTTATAGTGGTGATGAATTCACAACTCTGTGAATACACTAAAGGCATTGCATTATATATTTTAAATGATTGGATTGTATGTTATATAAACTATATCTCAATAAATCTGTTTATTAAAAAATGAAAAGGAAGAAGGAAGGCAGAGGCACATCTTCTCCTGGCTTTGGCTTTGGAGCAGAGCGCCCCATAGGAACTGCACTACAGTTCCTGTACTGTACTGAACTGCACTACAGTTCCTGTTCCTACTACTGTAGGAACTACAGGAACAAATGAGAATAGTTTCAGAGGAATGAGGGATTGCGCAGTTGTGGTGTCCTGCAGGAGCAGTAGCATCTTCCTAAAGTTCCTGAGCACTGACTAACATCATATTTTCTCCCTTCCTTTTGTCTCTTTTATCCCTTCCAATAATTTTGTCACTTAACTCCCTTTGTTAAAATCCACTCTGCTCGAAATGCCTAGAGTGGTTTGTTTTCCTAACTAAATTCTGATTGGTAGTTTTACTCAGAGAATATCCATCTTCCTTGTTCTCTTCCTAATACATTTTTAAATTTTGTCCAGATACTCATCTCTCCACCACGTAGCCAACTACAACAGGAGACAATGAGTGACAGAGTTACCTCAGCTTCAGGGTTCAGCCTGATTTTGGTCTAAGAGTAATTCCATTTATCTTTCTAATAATTGGTTCAGAAATGAGCATGCGACCTAGTTATGACAATGAGACATGAAGGGAGGTTTACCAGAAACTTCTGGGAACACTCTTTATTCTTAAGTATGAATCATGAGAAACCAACCAGATATAAAAGAGAAATCCCTATTTTCTCCTTACACCTATCAAACAACCAAGACAGGAGTCTGCTTAAGAACAAAGGTGACAGGTCAGAGGCAGTGTAGAGAAACACAGAGAACCTGGGTGTTTAATTGCATTATTGAACATGTTGGATCAACACAGCCTGAAACCCACCTTACCTCTTGAATTCTTTTTTATTTTTTTTACATTTATTTATTTATTTACTTATTTATTTATTTATTTTTGAGATGGAGACTCACTCTGTTGCCCAGGCTGGAGTGCAGTGGCGTGATCTCAGCTCACTGCAACCTCTGCCTCCCAGGTTCAAGTGATTCTCCTGCCTCAGCCTCCTGAGTAGATGGGATTATAGGCACACACCACCATGCCTGGCTAATTTTTGTATTTTTAGTAGAGACAGGGTTTCACCATGTTGGCCAGGCTGGTCTCGAACTCCTGACCTCAGCTGATCTGCCCACCTCAGTCTCCCAAAGTGCTGGGATTACAGGCATGAGCCACCGTGCCCGGCCACCTCTTGAATTCTTATACAGTATAAGCTAGTTTCACTTAGGTAGTTTAAGATAAGTTTCTTGTTATTCACAGCTGGAAACATGTTAACTGACACCCTGAAATACCATGACACGGCAGTCTCTCTAGGCAGAGAGGGCTTGAGACAACTTCCCAGTTTCCCATGGTTCCAGAGTGGCACAAGACATCATCCAAAAGTTACCCCTAAAAGCTGAGCAATTTAGCTGAGAGGGGGCTGATATACCTGGAGGGGTCTTGCAGCCATGATTAGGGGATACAGCAGTATAAGCCACACAAAACCAGAAACACTGTAGGAATGTGGACATTATATTGGATATCACAACAGCAGGATAATGACAACCAGGAACCAGATAGTTTCTAGGTCACAGCAAATTCCACACAGGACAGATGATGTCCTGAGACCACACTCTCCCCCCTTTGACATTTCAGTGCAACTCAAGGACCCATCATCCCTCAGACCTTGCAAGAATGAAGAATGGACTCTGTTAATTTTCTACCACCAAATAGAATGGAAGCTCAAAATAGAGACTGTTAGATCATGGAAAAATAAAAAGTTACAGACTGAGAAGATCATAGCCCTAGAAGTGTATATCCCAATTATACAGAACTAGGTCTTTGGCCTGGGAGTGGCAGATGATTATTTTGATCATCTTGAGCATTGCCTCCCCCATTCTGTGTTTACCAATCCTGCATCATGGAGGGTCACAATCAGCCTCACTGTATCCTCCTCTGCTGCCTATTCTCATCTGGAATTGTTCAGATTTCAAGCTCAGATCATCTCATAAATGTAAATTATATTGTAATGGGCTCTTGGACACAGCTAAGATCAGAAGTCTTACTGTATAACTGTGGCACCCTCAGCCATTCTCCAATGACCCTCACCACCATAGTCGCCTTGATCAAAAGATGGATATATAACTAGGTGTCTCAGTCTGTTTTGTGTTACTATAAGAGAATACCATAGACTGGGTAGTTTGTAGTGAACAGAAATTTATTTCTCAAAGTTCTGGAGGCTGGGAAGTTCAAGATCAAGGACCTGTAAACTGCAAGCTGCCTTCTTGTTACATCACACATGATGAAATGCATCACATGGCAGAAGGACAAAAAGAGGACAGGAGAGAGCAAGAGAGAGCAAATCCATTACTGAAATTACAGCATTAGTCCGTTCATTAGGGTGGAACACTCATAACCTAAATACCTATTAGAGGCCCCACCTTCCAGTACCATCACAATGGCAATTAAATTTTGACATAAGTTTTGGAAGAAACAAACAAACCTTAGCACTAGGTAAGGGAAGCTCAGAGAAATGTCTATAAATTTTGTCCTACAATCCTATTTTTTCTTTGTGTATCTTTCAAAGTAATATTGCTCCAAATTTGAAGCAAAAAAATCAAATAATTACTAATGGATGATATTCAACTCAAAATTGCTCTAACTTGGAACATGAAAGTACTTATAACTCTGTTCTATAATTAATTTTGTAGAATTTAAGGTACAGTGCTTGAATCCACTACTACCATTACATAATTCCTTATTTCTTTATTTTCTTCATCCTCATTTGTATTCCAAACTCTTAAAACCAATCTCATTTTCTCAGTGTTGTCATAGATTACCCCAAAGAGAGAATGACTGATGCTAACATAAAAGTCACTTGGTCTCAATTCTGAGATTAGGAAAATTTTTTCATGCTTTTATTCCAGCAGGAAGAGAATTTGCTATGCAAGCAAGAATACTGAGCACAATTGGAAATTAAAGCTAAGTATCAGATTGATGGGTCTCCATCTGATTCATATTGTCACCCATCTATTTAAACAATTTAAACCCATGGACTTGCAGAAAATAGTTTCATCACTATGTTACAGATATTCTTTAGTTGAGCACTTGATAGCAAATGTTATTCAAATAGTAGAAACAAATCTTAATTTTTAATAAATGTGAAAAAATAAGTCTGTTTACTCTTTGTGACAGCTCTTACCACTTTCAAATATATAAGTAATATTTAGCAATTATGTACATACCTATTTCTAAGAAATCTAAGTTAGAATTATACATTTTTTTGTCTCCAAAAAGTTGAGTTTCTGCCTAGGTCAGTTTGCTAAGAACAAAGCTTTCTTATAATGCTTGAAAGTGTTGGGGGTACAGAAAAAGATACCCCTAATATGGCACTCAGGACTTCCTGAGACTATCACAGGCATGTCCCTAACCTTGGCAAAATAAACATCTAAATTGATTGAGACTTTTCTCCCTTGGCAAAATAAACGTCTAAATTGATTGAGACTTTTCTCAGATACTTTTTGGTTTACAAAGGTAATCCTTTTTATTTGCCCTGCTGAGGCACAAGAAGCAGTACCACAAAATATGGCGCTTGTCATGCTGAGTTCTTTGAATCAAAGAAAATTGAAAAGCCTCAGAAATAAGCCACAGAACCAGTCTCTCTGACCTTCCCCCAAAGCCCTGTCTGGTATTCTCTTTCTTTCCCAAAGAACCAGGAGGGATTCTCTCTGGAATTTCCTTATTTGACTAAGAAAGCTTTTTTTTTTTTTTTTTTAATAAAAAGAAATGCAATTGTCTTAAGACTCTCCCCTAGGAATCTCATCAAATAGCCAGGAAAGATTAACCACTGGAGAAGAGTCAATTCCCACAGAGAAGGGACTGGGAGTCACACCCACACACAGACAGACTTTTCATCTATAAGAAGTAGCTCCAAGAGATTAACTGGGAGACTCTATCTGCATAAGACAACCTTTGCTCACAATGAAGTTCTGCCTCTCACCTTGCAGCCACTTCCTCCAGAGCTCACAGGAACTTTGCCCAAGGCCATTGTTCTTGGGACTCATTCATTTCCCCTGCAAATCATTTACTCCTATACCCTACTCCCCATCTCCCTCTTCCTTATGAAGAAGAGTATATAACCAACTGGACCTCATGGGATTAGGGCAATCACTGTCCTGTGATTCTCCCCAGGGCACATTAAATAAATTTTGTATGGCTTTTTCTCCTGTTAATCTTCCTTTCATCAGTTTATTTTCAGTGAGTTTTCAGAGGGTGAAGGGGAAGCTTTCCCTCTTCTACCCTACAAAGCTTTATTTTTAATATTTCTATAAAATGTTGACTTACAAACTTGCAATTAGACCATGTGATATAAGTTACTATGGTTAAAGAAAAACATATTCATGACACTTGTTAAAGCAGACTTTACTCAAAGCAAGGGAGCCCTTAGCAACAGGTATAGGGACCACAGTAATAGGGTCTCACTGCAAGGGAGAGAGATCAAACTCAACTCTGACTTCAGTAAGAACAAGTGGGGATTTATGACCATGGAGCAGGATTGTGGGGGTGGTCAGTCGAAGGAAAATTACTAAAAGAAAACATCAAGGATAAAGGATATCCTTGAGGAAACATCAATAATAAACATCAGGGATAATTATTAACAGGAAACATCAAGGACTATCTCCTTTGGTCAAAACGACTGTTGTAAAAAACTGTGTATGTTAACTTAAAATTATAAACTAAGTTTGTCATCACAGGTTGTTTTTACTCACCAACTTAATGAGAATTAATCCATTTGAATATCACCTGATCAAGCTCAAATTATTCCAATCTGTGTAAATAGATTGGAGGAAATTTTTTTTAACATTTCTTAACATTTAAAAACACAGCTTGTAAATATGTATTTAAAGAAAAGGGTCTAACAGATTAATTTTAAAACACAATACCAGGTACAGTTTTAACTTACAGGCACAGATGACTGCAGAGGCTTCCAGGCTTTGGTTAGGGCAGTCATGGGAGCCCAGATTTCCCAGAGGATACCAGTGGTTGGTTTGAGCTGGGGGATGCAGAAGCAACAGCAGTTTTCTCTGGTGCCTGTTGGGGCAGTGGCAGTAGCATTTCCTCCCTAGGTCAGTTCTGTAGCACAGTTCCCTGGAATCTACTCAATAAAGTGCTCCCCACAAACAAGGTTGTAAACCATGAAAGAGGAAGACATAGAATCCAACAAATGGGAGCTCCAACATCAAAAAAGGAGGTTGTGTTCCCAGGATGACAATAAAGGAATGTCCTGAAACACAGCAAGACAGTAAGACTAGAAAGAGACGAATCCATTGTGGAGTGGAAGGATGGATTCAAAATCCATATTTTCAAGAACTGGAGTTCTCAGATTTTCCTTAAGTGCTTGAATGTATTAAGAGGTTCTTATTTTCATTCTTACTCTCTCCTCCCCTTTAGCTCTATCCATTGTATTGAAACCACCTTTGCAAAGTTTATGGCAGTGAGAGAAATGTAGCATGGCTAAATCCATCTTGCTTCTAGCTTCATAGGCTGGCTGTCCTCACTCATTCCTGGGTGTAGGCCAAGCAAGGATGATAATAGTCCTTCCCTAAAACTGCCCCCCTCCTTGTCTGGGGACTGAAATTGCCTTTGTAAGACTATTGAAAGGCTATGAGATTAGGATTATAAGATGGGCCTGAATTTTGCTAAAATGTAGGCATAGTTAAATGATAACCAGTCATTGTTCCCTAGCTTGCTTTTCTGTATAATCCCTTGCCGCTCAGTTGTCACGAGGCCAGAGGTCACAAGATTTGTGACTTCCTCAATTGCCCCTATAGATAACATCACTATTGTAAAACCTAAGATTGGTCTTTTGAGATGATTTTCAGACTTTTGCATTCTGGCAACCAACTGACTCCACCTGGACCTGTGACTCATGATTCAACCAGTCCTGCAGCCCCCACCCAGAGGCTGACTCAGTACATAAAGACTGTCTTCCACATTCCTATGATTTCATCCCCAACCAATCAACAGCACTCATTCCCTGGCCCCCTGCCCACCAAATTATCCATACAAACCATAGCCTCTGAGTTCTCAATGAGGCTGATCTGAGTAATAAATTCCCATCTTCTGCTTGGCTAGTTCTACATTAATTAAACTCTTTCTCTACTGCAATACCACTGTCTCAGTGAGTTGGTTTTATCTGTGCAGGGGGCAAAAAGAACCTGTCAGGTGATTACGATATCAATATCAATAACAAAGCAACTTTTTTTTTTTTTCAGATGGAGTCTCACTTTGTCACCCAGGCTGTAGTACAGTGGCGTGATCTTGGCTCACTGCAACCTCCGCCTCCTGGGTTCAAGCAATTCTCCTGCCTCAGCCTCCCAAGTAGCTTGGATTACAGGCATGCACCACCACACCCGGCTAATTTTTGTATTTTTAGTAGAGACGAGGTTTCGCCATGTTTGCCAGGCTGGTCTTGAACTCCTGACCTCAGGTGATCACCCACCTCAGCCTCCCAAAGTGCTAGGATTACAGGTGTGAGCCACTGCACCCAGCCACAATGCAACTTTTAAAAAATGAAATAATTATTAGCTTTTCTGGAAAAGCTTTATCTCTTTTAACCTATGAAAAGTATTAATATTTGTCATAAAAAAAGCTTTTGCATTTTTTAGAAGAAACAGTGCTTCATTTCTATTATAAAAGGAAATTGTAGAATATTGTGAGACTCACCTGTGAATGCTATTTATATAGACACTATAATTTTAACACTGTATATGAATAGAACCAAAGAAGATTAAATGATTGTGCATTTGTGTAGGGTGTATTTGAGTTGGGGGACGGAGACTGGTTGGGGTTTGAGGAGTGGTTAAGAAAACTAAATCTTATCTTCAATAGTAGGAAGTCAATAGATAATATTCAAAACTGAAAAAGAAAAACAAAACTTAAATAGCAGAAAAATCTGCTTATTTGAAAATATGGATGTAAATACCAGTAAAAACTGCTTAAACTGTTGGAAATTTTTTACTTTGGAAATGGGAATCAGAAGCTAGAAAGTGCAAAGCTGTAGATTGCTGTTATAAGCTAGTAGAACTCAGCATAAAGTGAATATGTATGACTTTGACAAAAATAAAAATAAAAATTTTAAATAAGAACTATTTTTCAATTTTTTCTCAAATTACATTATTGTTTTTTATTAGAATTGAATTGAGTTTATAGAAAGATAATTTAAGGAGAACTGACATCTTTCTAATTCTGAGTATTTTCCTCTAGAAACATGGTTGAGACTTCTTTTCTATTCTCAAAAAAAGTTTATCATTTTCTTGTTATAAGTCCTGTGAATTTTCTGTTATTTTTGCCTGGGCCTGCTATATCATTTTTGCTATTATAATGACATCCTTTTCCATTATATACATATGATAACTGGCTGTTTCTAGTGTGCAGGAAAGCTCTATATTTTTCTTGTAACTTGACACCTGACCAAATGCCTCTCTCTATCTCCTAATACTTTTTCAACTCATTATCTTCAGTTTTCTATGTAGAGAATCATATAAATGTATAAATAACTATAATTGTGTATTATAATTTTCTTTTCCAATGTATATGACATTTCTTTTATATAGCCTATTGCATTGGTTAGTACTTATTAAACACAGCTTTAATAATCATAATAATTGATTGTATTGCTTCCAACTTGAATAGGAATACTCCTGGTTTTCCCTAACATGAATATTATTTTCTATTGCTATCAGATAGAAGCTTGATTATCTATTTCTTTCATATCTAGGACTTCCCCTATCTAAACACTCCTTCATACTTTATCATATTTGTATTTGCCTCTATACCAGAATTTAGAATAATCCCTGGCTCAATAAATTTTTTTTAAACAAATAGATCAATAGGTGGAAAAGTCACCTCTAGACAATCACATGCTTTGTCTCTTTTAACCTATGAAAAGCATTAATATTTGTCAAAGTGTTAAATCACTTTTGCATTTTTAGAAGAAACAGTACTTCGTTATTAACTGGATTTTTCAGCACTTTATTTTAAATGTTTGTATCCGTGTTTATGAGTATGAATTGTAGTGTTGTGTTATCCCTATGTTATCTTTGTCAAATTTGGCTTCATGATTATGCTAGCCATATTAAATGAATTAAAATTCATCACTCTGTCTCAAAAAAAAAATTCATGTCTTTGCGCTGAAACAGTGCTAAAGTCATAGGAATTAGATATTAAGAGCATTTGTCAAGAAAACAACCTGCCTCCTGGTCTTTCTTTGAGATCTTCAGTAGCTATTCTTCTATTATGTTTCATTGTCCTTTATTATACAAGATGTGTATAAGTGGACTTTCATCATAGAAAGTTAAAACTATACCTAATTGAAAAGACTAAAAATGCAGTCTGTCTCTCTCACCCTATCCCACCCATCCCCAGAGTTAACCACAATTAACAATTTAGTACTTTTATTTTCATTATTTTTCCTACACCCTCACATATTTATATGTAAACACAACGTGCAAGTATATGTGCATTAATACATGTGTAAAGAATAAATAGAGCTATTCTGAAACTACTCTTTCACTTATTCCTTGAAAAGCTTTTCACATATATATTATAAATGATATGAAACTATATGTACTTCATCCTTTTTAATAGCTGCATAGTATTCAACATTATGGCTTTACCATACACTCTTTAACTACTCTTCTACTATGAGTATTTGGATGTTTCCCTCTTTTCACTATCATGAACAAACCTGCCATGATCATTCTTGTACATAGACTTTTAGGCCCACTGCATGCAAAATATTCTTCAGAATAAGATCATAAATGTGGAATAACTAAGTAAAAAAAAAAGGCAGTTTTAATCTTAATAGATAGTAAAAAAATTTTCTCCAAAAAGATTTTGTCTTCTTATCCTCCTACCAATAAGGTATCATTGTGTTAATCTATCATATCCTTACTAACCCTGGGTATTATAAAGCTTCTATAATTTTGTTAATCTGATTAGTGAAAATTGATTAAAATGTATCACATTAATTTACATTTATCTGATTACCAATGAGGTTGAATATTTTGTAGGGTTTATTGAACATTTGTATTTCTTTTTCTATAAATTGCTTTTTAATATCCATCATTCATTTTTCTATTGGAGGGATTGTTATTTTCCTATTGATGCTTACTGATATTAATCCTTTGCTAATATAATGCAAATATATATCCAGGCTGAAGGTTGTCTATTATGTTACTACGTCTTTTGCATGCAGAAGTTTCCTTTTAAATTTTAATGTATTTAAATATTTGATTATTTTCCTTTATGGTTTTAATGTTTTATATCTTACTTCGATAGGCTTTCTTTACCCCAAGCTTATATTTTTTCTGCAGCTATGTCTAGTACTTTTATGTTTGGCTTTTTGGGTATGGTTTAAGGCATATGTCTAAATGTATTTCTTTCAAAATGGATAACCAATCACCCCTAACTGTATTGCTTTGAAAATGGATAACCAAGCTTCACCCTAATTTGTAAAGTAATTCATTTTCCTACTTAATTGTTTGCCATTTTTATTATTAATAGCAGCAAGCACTTACGTAGTTCTGACCACATTTCAGGCACTCTTCTAAGTGCTTTCTGTATATTAATGTATTTAATCTTCACAACAACCATAAGACGTAGGTAGTATAATGATCCCTCTTTTACGCATAAGGAAACCAAGGCACAAAGAGTTTAAGTAACTTCAAGAACGCACAGCTACTGTGTGGCCTGGCTTGAGATCCAGTGCTCTTTACTATACTAAACCCTGATGTGCATACTGCTCCTCCTAGATTCCATCCAATCTTATTAACCAATATCTCTGCCTATACCTGCGCAAACCCTATACTTTTATATTTTCAAATTTGTTTTAATTTTTGAAAGACAAGTTTCCCTCATTTTTTCTTCTAGGAGTTTTCCAGGTTACTTGCTATTTTGTCTACCATTTGACCAATAAAATAGCATGTTAAGTTTCATAAATAATGATTAGGATTGCATTACATTTCTAAATTAACTTGAGGAGGACTGATATCTCAACAAAAATTGTCTTCTGTTTAGAAAAGTCCTGCATATCTGCATTATTGGATTTTTTTCTATATTTTACAGTTTTCAACATATGAATCTTACAACTGTTAGGGTTTTTTATTATTATTGTAAATAGGTTTTTTTCTCTGTTTCATTCTTTAGTATATTATTGATAATATATAGGAAAGCATTGATTTTTTTCTATGTTAATTTTGTATCTGTCGTACTGAATTTTACTGATTCTAATAATTTTTTCAGATAATTCCTTGGATTTGCATGGCAATCTTTAGTTTCCAAATAATTATATCTGTGTCTTTTCTTTATAATATTTATGTGTCATGTTATTCTTTTTTGGTCTGTATATATTTGCATTGGTTAGAGTTAGGACCTCTATTACAAGGTTAAAAGACAACAGTTCTGGCAGCAAGTTTATCTTGTCTCTAACTTTAGTAGGAATGTTTCTAATGATTTACATCACACATGGTGTTTGTTCTTGTTTTATGCTAATCTTTATTAGTTCAATGAAGTTTCCTTCTATTGCTAGCTTACCAACACTTATTGTTTACTTGTTTTTAATCACAAATGATTATTGAATTTTAGCAAATACATTTTTGCCCATATTGAAATGTCATAAATTTTTTTTATCTATTTATATAGTAAATTATATTAATGGATTTTCTTGTGTTGAGTCATCCTTGTATTAATAATAGCTACATTTAATGTATTCTTCCTATGTGCCAGAAATGATGTTAAACATAGTTATTAGGTAAATACACGTTTAAGATTACTGTCTCTTCTTGACAAACTGATCTTTCTTATGAAAGTTTTTTTAATCTATAGTAACAATCCTCATCTTGAAGTCTATTTTGCCCAATATTAACATAGCCACATAAGTTTTATTCATGGTTACTATTTGTATGGTATATATTTGCTATCGTTTAAATGGGCCCCCAAAAAGCATGTGTTGGAAACTTAATTACCATTTTAATAGTATTAAGAGGTAAGACCATTAAGAGGTAATTAGGCCATGAGGGCTCCTCCCTCATAAATGAATCAACGCTGTTATCACAGGAGTGGGTTTGCCATAAAGGGGTAAATTTGCATTCCTCCTTTCACTCTTCTGCCATGTGAACAACAGTGTTGCCTCCTCTGTTGGATGCAGTATTCAAGATGACATCTTGGAGTTGGAGACCAGAACCTCACAGACACTAAACCTGCTGCTGCCTTGATCTTAGACTTCTCAGCCTCCAAAACGGCAATAAATAAATTTTTATTCTTTATAAATTACCCAGTCTCAGGGATTCCACAGCACAAAACAGAATAAGCCACAATTTTTTATGTCTTTCCTTTCAACCTAGCTGTGTGGTTTTATTTAAAGAGACTTTCTTACAGACAGCTTTTAGTTGGCTCCTGTTTTTATATCCAGTCCAATAATCTCTGCCTCATAATTGTAATATTTAGTACATTTACATTCAATGTAATTAAATGGTTGACTTTAATTTTACTATCTTGCAGTTCATATTCTATTTGTTCCATCTCATGTTTGTATGTTTGTTTCTTTTATTTGTCCTTTTCTACCTTCTTAAATCAATGAAATATGATTTAGTACTCTATTTTATTGCCTCTATCTCTATTGGGTATTTCTCTCTTCTCCTCCTCCTCCTCCTCCTCCTTCTTCTTCTCTCTCTCTCTCTGTGTGTATGTATTAGTGATTGCGCCAGGGATTATAGTATATATTTTTAACTTATCACAGTCTACTTCTAATTAATACTGTAACACTTCACATAGAATATAAGAATCTTCCAACAGTAGAATCCCATTTACCCCACCCAATTTGTAATGCTATTGTCATTTTTACTATTACATATATTAGAAATGCCACAACACAGTACCCAAGCCACAACGCATTATTATTTTTGCTTGAACCAGTCAATTATGTTTTAAAGAAATTTAAAGGTGAGAAAATAAAATTTATTCATATTTGCCCACGTTTACCATGTCCAATGATCTTCATTCCTTCCTATAGTTCTAAGTTTTATCTTCAGCTTGATGAACTTTCTTTAGCATTTCTTTTAGTACCATGGCTATTGTGGACAAATAGTTTCAGTTTACATTAATTTAAATTTTTTTTTTTTTACTTTTCAATCTTGAAGAATACTTTAAAAGACATACTGCTTTGGTGTTTTTAGATCTGCAGATTGATTTTTTTTTTCACCAAGTTCACCTTTCGTTATTATTTCTTGGAATAGTTCTGATTCATTCTCCTTTCCCTTTTCTTCTGAGACTTCCCTACATATGGGACAACTGATATTATCCCACAAGATTCTGAGGCTCTATCCATGTTTTAAAATATATTTTCTCTTTGTTTTTCCATTTTGTTATCTTCCATCATTGTGTTTTTCAATTCTCTGATCTTTTATTCTGCATTATCCAATCTCCTCTTGAGCCACTGAGGGAAATTATTACTTCTAGTATTTTTAGTTAGGTATTTTTTATACCCTGCTTTTCTCTTTTGAGATTTCCTACCTGTCCATTCATTACATTCATGTTTTCATTTAAATCTTTGAACATGTGTATAAACATTGTTTTAAAAACTGTGTTCTAACTCCAAAATCTGAATCATCTCAGGATCTCTTTCTATTGTATTTTTTTAAATCTTTGTTATGGGTCATATTTTCCTGGTTCTTTGCCTCTATAGTAATTTTCTATTGCACATAAAATGTTGCAAATGATCTATTATACACAGTTTGGATTATATTGCCTCCCTTTTAAAAGTATAATATTTTGTTCTGGCCAGCAACTACACAACTGGCTCATTCTCTTGATCCTTCAGGCTTCATTTTATGCTTTGTTTGGGCTAGGCTATACCCCTTTTTTACTTAAATCCCTAGATATGATCATAGTCCTTGTTTCTATAGAGTGGTTTCAACTAAATGACTGACGCATATGGTGAAGTCTTTCCATTATAGCTGGGCTAAGACTGCAATATCTCTTAGCAGTGCAGATCTCTGGCATTTCCTTTCCTTTGTTAGCTCCTTTGCAGCTTCTACTTTTCAGAATTGGGAGGTCTTGCAGAATCTCGACCTGACGTGTAAAGCCCACACCAGCTCTCAGCCAAAAAGCTAAGAAGAATATCTACACAGACTTCTGGGACTTTTCTTCTTTACTGCTTCTCCCTCTCTGGAATCCTACCCTGCAAATTCCAGCTTTCTCTAGAGCCCTGTGTTACCATTTCTGCCCCCTCAGCTCAATCAGACTAATGATCTTCACTTGGTCTCCATTTCTCTGTGCCCCACATTCAGGAAAGTGCTCCCAGATATAAAATGTGGTGCTTGCCTCATGTTATTTCTGTCTCTCTAAGACTCTAATCCTACACTGCCAATTTTCCAATGCCTAAAATGGTCACTTTACATATTTTCTTTCATTGTAGTGTGAGGGTAAATCCAACAGCAGTTACTCCATTATGGCCTGTAAATAAAGTTGCATAGATAAATCAAATTCATGAGCTTTTTATTCCTTCTGTCTTACTTCATAGATTCTTTAAATTTTTCTTCTTCTTCTTCTTCTTCTTCTTCTTCTTCTTCTTCTTCTTCTTCTTCTTCTTCTTCTTCTTCTTCTTCTTCTTCTTCTTCTTCTTCTTCTTCTTCTTCTTCTTCTTCTTCTTCTTCTTCTTCTTCTTCTTCTTCTTCTTCTTCTTCTTCTTCTTCTTCTTCTTCTCTCTCTTTCTCTCGCTCTCTCTCCCCCACCCCCCAACCACACACACACTTTGCTGTCTTTTGGAATAATAATACTTTCTGTGAGTTTTTTTTTCTCCTCTAATGGTCTCATTTAAAATTTGTTTTGTCTAAAATTTTGTAAAACATGTTTTAATTTATTCTCCATCAATGTTAAGAACCCAGAAACATATATAGACCCTTCTTTTTCAAGCTGAAAACTATCATGCTTTACTTCCTCTTTCCCTACCTCTCTCTTCATCTCACACCTCCAGGGAACTTTAGGTCATTCATTTATGTATGTATGGTGTGTCTATATATATATATATATATATATTCTTTTTATACATATATTATTATATATTATTTATTATATATAATATAATCATATATTATTGTATAATATATACTATTATATAGTATATATTATTGTATAATATATACTATTATATAGTATATATTATTTTAAACATTTATAAATTATATGTAATAGTATATATTATCTATTATTTTAAATATTTATAAATATTATAAATTATATATAAATATAATTTATAAATATTTTATGTAAATATAAAATATATGTTTTAAATCTAAATTTTATATATGTATATCTTTTCAAAATTTATTGTTGTAAATTTCACTTAGTTTCACAACCACATTACAAACTACTCTTTAGACTTAAATCTAAGTTTTCATTGCTCACCATTTTTTTTTTAATTATACTTTAAGTTCTGGGATACACGTGCAGAATGTGCAGGTTTGTTACATAGGTATACATGTGCCATGGTAATTTGCTGCACCCATCAACCCATCATCTACATTAGGCATTTCTCCTAATGCTATCCCTCCCCTTGCTCCCCACCCCGCAACAGGCCCTGGTGTGTGATGTTCCCCTCCCTGTACCCATATATTCTCATTGTTCAACTCCCACTTATGAGTGAGAACATGCGGTGTTTGGTTCTCTGTTTCTGTGTTAGTTTGCTGAGAATGGTGGTTTCCAGCTTCATCCATGTTCTGGCAAAGAACATGAACTCATTCTTCTTACGGCTGCATAGTAGTCTATGTTGTATATGTGCCACATTTTCTTTATCCAGTCTATCATTGATGGGCATTTGGATTGGTTCCAAGTCTTTGCTATTGTGAACAGTGCTACAATAAACATACATGTGCATATATCTTTATAGCAGAATGATTTATAATCCTTTGAGTATATACCCAGTAATGGGATTGCTGGGTCAAATGGTATTTCTGGTTCTAGATCCTTGAGGAATCGCCACATTGTCTTCCACAATGATTAAACTAATTTACACTCCCACCAACAGTGAAAAAGCATTCCTATTACTCCACATCCTCTCCAGCATCTGTTGTTTCCTAACTTTTTAATGATCACCATTCTAACTGGCGTGAGATGATATCTCATTGTGGTTTTGATTTGCATTTCTCTAATGACCAGTGATGATGAGCTTTTTTTCATATGTTTGTTGGCTGCATAAATGTCTTCTTTTGAGATGTATCTGTTCATATCCTTCACCCACTTTTTGATGGGGTTGTTTTTTTCCTGTAAATTTGTTTAAGTTCCCTATAGATTCTGGATATTAGCCCTTTGTCAGATGGATAGTTTGCAAAACTTTTCTTCCATTCTCTAGGTTGCCTATTCACTCTGATGATAGTTTCTTTTGCTGTGAAGAAGCTCTTTAGTTTAATTAGATTGCATTTGTTAATTTTGGCTTTTGTTGCCATTGCGTTTGGTGTTTTAGTCATGAAGTCTTTGCCCATGCCTATGTCCTGAATGGTATTGCCTAGGTTTTCTTCTATGGTTTTTATGGTTTTGGGTCTTATGTTTAAGTCTTTAATCCATCTTGAGTTCATTTTTGTATAAGGTGTAAGGAAGGGGTCTAGTTTCAGTTTTCTGCATATTGCTAGCTAGTTTTCCCAACACCATCTATTAAATAGGGAGTCCTTTCCCCATTCCTTGTGTTTTGTCAGGTTTGTCAAAGATCAGTTGGTTGTAGATGTGTGGCATTATTTCTGAGGCCTCTGTTCTGTTCCATTGGTCTATATATCTGTTTTGGTACCAGTAGCATGCTGTTTTGGTTACTATAGCTTTGTAGTGTAGTTTGAAGACAGGTAGTGTGATGCCTCCAGCTTTGTCCTTTTTGCTTAGGATTGTCTTGGCTATACGGGCTCTTTTTTGGTTCCATATGAAATTTAAAATAGTTTTTTTCTAATTCTGTGAAGAAAGTCAATGGTAGCTTCATGGGGATAGCATTGAATCTATACATTACTTTGGGCAGCATGGCCATTTTAACAATATTGATTCTTCCCATCCATGAGCATGGAATGATTTTCCATTTGTTTGTGTCCTCTCCTATTTCCTTGAGCAGCTCACTGCTATTTTTTAAACATGTCTTTACATTTCTAAAATTCTTTATTTTGATTAGCTTTTTCTTAAAGGTATACTTTGTTTTTTTGTTTTTTGTTTTTTTAAAAGTATACGTGAGTCATACAATTTCTGAATTCTTGCAAATCTGAACCAGGCTTTGATTTGCCTTGCATTTTGACAATAGCTTGGTTTAGTATATAATTATTGGAACATAATTTCTTTTCTTCAGAAGTCACACATTTTCTCTCAGGTTTTCTAATGTTAGTGTTGCAAATAAGAAGTCCAATGTCATTTAAACTTGTGGGGTGGGGGGTGACATTTTTTCCTAGTTGGCTGCTTCTAGCATTTGTTCTTTATCCAGAATATGGTGAACCACCTGAATATGGCTTTTTTTCATTATGCCTGCCCAGTCTTCAGTAAGCTTTCTCTATGTGAAGACTGAATTCTTCAACTTGGAAAAAATGCCTTCTTCTGTTTCTTTGGCTATTGCTTTCATTCATCCATACAGTTTTCTCCTTCTGGAACTCCTGTGATAATGATACCATTTCTTTTCTTTTTTTTTTTTTTTTCGGAGTCTCGCACTGTCACCTGGGCTGGAGGCTGCAGTGCAGTGGCACGATAGCCCAATAATACTATTTCTTTTGCTTTCATCTTTCCTGCCTCTTGACTGTCTTCTAAATTGCCAGTTCTTGAAATTTATGCCCTACATTCTGGAAGAATTTTTTTTTTTTTTTTTTTTTTGGACAGAGTTTCTCTCTTGTTGCCCAGGCTGGAGTGCAATGGTGCAGTCTTGGCTCACTGCAACCTCCACCTCCTGGGTTCAAGCTATTCTCCTGCCTCAGCCTCCCAGGTAGTTGGGATTACAGGCATGCACCACCATGCCCAGCTAATTTTGTATTTTTAGTAGAGACGGGGTTTCTCCATGTTAGTCAGGCTGGTCTTGAACTCCCAACCTCAGGTGATCCGCCTGCCTCCACCTCCCAAACCGCTGAGATTACAGGCATGAGCCACCATGCCCAGCAGAAGAATGCTTTATAGTTACTCTTCTCTTCATTTTCAAGACATATTTTTGGTCTCTAGATTTTGACTGGTGATTTTTCTCTTATCTTTACAGTTGAAGAATTTGTTTTTCCAGCATGAACAGCCAAAATGTGAACAGTGGCTTATTAGTGACCCCCTCATTTACTACCACCTCTAGCATTTCCAACTAAAACTCCTGAGCTTCATCGATATAGGTAAAAAGTTTCTGATGATGATACACAAATGACCTTTTTATAACCCTTTTACATGTTTTGGATTATTTCTTTCTAGAATAGGAAAGAGGAAGTCATCAGATGTAATCAGGATACCATCTTTGTTACAAAAGATTCCATTTATTTTTTCTAGACTGTGATGAAAGAAACTTTGTATTTGTTTCTCACGTAAGAAAAATAAATTTTTTAAGAAAGAAAAATTGGACATACTCAACTTCCTTCCTTACAGAGAAATAGGAAAGTTATTTAAATTTCAACATTCTTATGAAGAGAGCTTTTTTGGGAGGGATAAATTTTTTACTTACTTTCCCCTACTAAAAACATTTTGAAATACATTCCTTGAAACCATCTTTAATAGTCCTGAATTTACTATGAACTTCTGTGTCCAACTGCCCAAACAAGGACAGGGAAATATGCCCATGAAATTTAACCTCTGCTGAAAACAACCACGAGGTAGAAAAAACAATGGAAACATCTGTATTTTATCCTGACAATATGTTCTCTCTTATTCTGGAAGCACAGGATGTCTTTACTCTGTCAGCTGCAAAAATATTATCTCTCTGCAGGAATGAAACAAGTGTGGAATATATATTATGCTACCACATTACATGCATACCTAAGCAGAAAACAAAGAAAATAGCCATTTAATATATAACTCAGTTTTGCCTCCAGGGACAGATAAAAATTTTTATTATAATACCTAAATGGTACAGTCCATAAACATACATGGGAAATGTGATAGGGCGAAGTCAGGCTCTTTTGGCTAGATACTTGTGGCTAAAAATTTATCATCTGACCCTCATCCTAATCTTTCCTTCAAATAGACATAAAGTAGGCTATATTTTTTGTGAGGTCCAGGAATCTGGGGGCAACGGAGATCAAAACCCATCACCATTTTTCAGCAAACAATTCATTTTTAAATGTCTGTGGAAAATAACTATTGGCTGATATCTTTCAGTTCCATTTCAAACGTTTTACCTTATGCAGTTTACCTAATAAACAATCAAGTTACTAAAAAAAAATAAAAAACAGTAACTAAGTTGATAATTTAATAACTTCAGATGATTCTAAAGGCTTAGTTGTGTTTACCCTTTTTGAAATCAATAACTTTTCATTTGGAATTTTAAATCCACTTTAATGAGCATTCTGCTAGCAGCAGTTTAATTTAAGATCCGAACTTATACAAACAAAAGTAATAGAGGATTTTACCTACATTACAATTTATACTTACCTTTTGCAGACCACATCACTGATTTGAATGTATAAATCCCTGCAATTTCATTATATATACCTCTTAAAATTTTTTAATGCTTTTAACCAGAGAAGGGGTTATATAGGAAGAGTATTCCCAATGTAAGAAGTCTTAATGTTGCTCAGATATTTGCAACATGACTGACATGGTTCTTCTAGTACTGGTGCTATCTTTGCAAGCTTTTACAGAGCAACGACATGACTTCCTTATAGGCAGTAAATGAGAAACATCCTATGATAATGCCACTGGCTTTCTACATAAGCTGCCTGTTGTATGTCTTATCAAACTGAAGCATTTGTCAACACACAAACCTTGTTTCTTTGTATCTTCACATTCATTCACTGATTTCATAATGACAGTGTGTTCTGCATTGTTCCCCTCCCTGTACGTAACCTTTTGGGGTCATGTAATCTATCCCTATAAAACTAAGTGGAAGCATCTCCCATAAACAAGGAGCTATATCTACTGTTTCTAAAATCCACTCTCTGGCACCATACCATAGGGACCCAAGCAGCTCTGGAGTCTCCAGAGGGTGCTCAAGAGGGAAATTATAGCCTTTGGGCTCCTCAGTGCCTCCCTGTGAGATGCTGTGCTGTCTTGCACTGTTGCTTCCTGGAAGCATTTTATAGCTATCACACCCTAATGTACCAAAACTGTACAATCCCCTCAAAATTTATGAAATTCTTCATAAAAAGTGATTATTTCACTCTCTGTTATAGCTCTACTTTCCACAGAAGCTCAAAAAGGTAATTTTTAATGGCTAAAACCACAATTACTTTTGCACCAAACTAATAGTCCTTGAACCATGGTGGAACACATAGCACCAAGTAATGCCTCCCCATTTTGCCCCTCTCCCAGCAGTCTTATAACAAATCCTCTCTTTAAGCCCCCCACCAAAAAATCATATCACATAAATTGACACCCAGGCACAATCCAAACCCCAGTTTAGGCTCAGCTGGAGCCTTTCACCCCATCTGTAAATATCCAAAATTCACCCTATATCAATGAATAACTTACTGTGTTGCTTCATGAACATTCCTTTGTTACCTATAAGAAGAGAGCTTACCTGAGAATGACAGTAGCAAAGGGCAAAGCAAGCCAGGAGATGAAGAGACACCCCTGTCAACCTCATCTGAGTCCCTGAAACCAACCTCCACCTTTGCTTTCCACAGTTATATGTGGCAGTAAATTCCCTTTGTTGCTTAAGTTAATTTGAGTTTGGTTATATGTCACTTGCAACTGAAATAATCTTGACAAATACACTAATAATTATCAAATTTTATTGGGTTATATAAATATCAGTGCCTCGGGAACTTGAAACAACAAATCCCAGAGATGTGCAACCATAAACACTATATAGCCTGATGAGTGATTTAATTAAATATGTACATATAGATCATTGCCCAAGCCACATATATAAAAACAAGGAGAGATAAATCTGAAGGAGAAGAAAAAATCTTTTGCATTTTGACACAACTTATTAAGCAGAAGACATCTGCCCAATGTCTAGGTCTGGAAAGATAAATTATTCCATTTTATGTTGTTATTAAATTGTATTATTCTTCATTAAAGTTAAATGCATTTGGAGGAATTAAGCTTATCAAAAATTTGGCAGTGTAATATAAGTGATGATTCTTTGTTTATTTGACAACATCCTCCTGTGAGTTGATTCACAATTTTAATTTTAGAAAACAATATTTCCTTCATAGGGGCTGACAGAATGATGTGAACTGCTGCATCATTTTGCATGAAGTCATATTGATTGTGAAAGGAAACAGAAGCCAAGTGACTTAACCAATTTTTCAAGGAGCATTATGACAATAATGTTTCCATATTGTCAGAGGGGATCACATCAATTTAAGAACTAAAATTCAGCTTCAGGAGACAATCACCTGTCCTTTTGAAGATAAGTACAAAGGAATTCTATGAAGATAAAAATTCTAAATAATGTTAGTGAAAAAAATAGTTAAAAATGTATGAAATTATGTGTCGATATCAAGCACCTTCTATGGATACAATGATGAGCAAAACAGAGACATCAGAGAGCTTTCAACCTAGAGGAAGGCATCAGCCAATCACAGAGAATTATAATTCCAACTAGGATGTTACCAGAGAAATGGACCTGCTACCAGGCCCATGCTGGGGCTTCATGCTAAGCAAATAGACCAGGGAAGGATTTCATAAAGAAGTGATATTGAACTGATATTTAAAGAATGAATAAGCCCTGACTTGATAAAGAGGGAAAACAGCATTCTGGTCTGAGGGACAAGCCTCTACATAGGTGTAGGGAAGACTGGGGCAAGAATAAGAGACCTAAAACTGCCCTGAGGCCAGAACCCAGGGAAAGGAGCCTGTGAGTGAGGAGTTTCCTCCTAAAATACTCGATAGACTTTGAATGGTTTCAGGCAGGGCTTGTGTGATCAGTTTTGCATTTTAAAAAACATCACCTTGGCTTCAGGCTGGATAATAAATGGGGGATGGGGTCAGGGTCCAGGCAAGGGAAAATAGTAGCTGGGGCTGGGTAGAAGTAAGGATGAGGGTAAGACACAGGTAGAGAAGTCATCTGTCATGGCAGCTTATCCTCATCAAACATTTATTGAGAGTCAGCAGCAGGAAATCTGACTAAATCATTCCTTTTTAAAAACTCTTTATTGGGCAAAAATCTCAAACATCTCAAAGAGTAGACAGAATAATCTAATGAACCCCTATATGCTCAACCCTAAGCGCCAACAACAATCAATGCTGGCCTAATCTTGCCTGATCTATATTCCCAATCTTTCTCTACTCCCAGATATATTTTTAAATTATGAACATTTCAAACCTTCAGAAAAGTCATGAGAGTACTACAACAATCATCCATTTAACATTCATTTAGATCCATTGTTAACATTTTGTTAACTTTATATATATATAAAGTATATACATGTAAAACTGTGTGTGTGTGTGTATATATATTATATATATATATATTTTATATATAATATATATATATACTGTGTTTATTCTCTCTCTCCCGTGTGTGTGTGTGTGTGTGTGTGTGTGTGTGTGTGTGTGTCTTCCATCATCTATCCCCTAAGAGCAAAGGCATTCTCTTATACAACCAGCATATAATTATTGCTCAGGAACTTTAACATTATCTAATTTACAGTCCAAATTCAAAATTTCCCATGTGTTCCAATAACATCCTGTATAGCTGTTTTTTCCCCCCGATCCAGGATCCAAATAATGCTAATGCATTTATTTTGTTATCCTGTCTCTTTAGTCTCCATCAATCTCAAGCGTTCCTCAGCGTTTGTGTCTTTCATGACATTGATGCCTGTGAAGGGTCCTGGCCAGCGGCTTTGCAGGATGTCCTTTAATGTGTGTTTGTCTGATTGTTTACTCATGATTAGATTGAGGTGAAACATTTTGGCAGTACTATCGCATAGGTGATGTTTGTCCTTCTCAATATATCACCTCAGGAGCCACATGATGTCAGTTGTACCATTACTGATGATGATTCTTTCACTTTTCTAACCTATTGAGTTCATATCCTATAGACATAATCCATTACTGTGGAAACCAGACAAGGACTGCAAAATATAATTTCTATTTCCTCATGAGCCATCTTAATACCAAGAGACATTTACACAGATCATTTATACAGACAAAACTTTATTGGTTGTATTCACAAAAGGTGGTTATAGATCATAAATAGACACGGATGGGGGATGAATATCCTACAGCAATTAGAAGATATTAGTAAGTTTGGGAATTAGAATCTGGAGAAGAAGTGAAGTGTGGAGGTGAAGCACATCACCTCAGGAGCCAGACCGCCCTGCCACTTCCCACCCGTGTGACTTTGGGCAAGTTACTTAACCTTTCTCTGTCCACATCTGTAACATGGGATGTCACAGAACTCTTCCTATATGGCTGGTGTCAACACTGGGTTGCTACATGTGCAGTGCCTGGCAACCACAAGCTGTCAATGAGATGATGATGATGATGGTAATGTTTCCAGAGAAGGACCACTAACCTCCATGTGTTGACTAAAGGAAGACCTTGGTTTTTTTTAATATATAAAAAATATTGTCTGAGGCCAGGCATGGTGGCTCACACCTGTAATCCCAGAAATTTGGGAACCTGAGGTGGGTAGACCACTTGAGTTCAGGAGTTCGAGACCAGCCTGGACAACATGGCAAAGCCCCGTCTCTACTAAAAATACAGAAATTAGCTGGGTGTGGTGGTGCATGTCTGTAGTCCCAGCTACTTGGGAGGCTGAGGCAGGAGAATTGCTTGAACCCTGGAGGTGGAGGTTGCAGTGAGCCAAGATTGCACCACTGCACTCCAGCTTGAGTGACAGAGCAAGACTCCATCTCAGTATATACATATATATATATATATATATATATATATATATATAGTCTGAAGTTTATACCCTGTTAAAAACATAATATGGTAAAATGTCAACACATTTGTATAAAATCATCAACATCATTTAATGAGAACTACATAGGGTAAAAGAGTTTGATTTTAACAGTTAGATGACTAGCATTAACATTTCCCAAATATTCAGTAGAAGACACCATAGGGTAGAAACATCTAGATGACAGAAATAGAGGAAGGGAGCAGGGAGAAGCAAGGGAAGGGCAAAGAGGTGGAGGGAGAGGGAAAGTCCCACATCCCTGGCCCTGAGTCCTCAAATCTCACCCTGCCCAGGACTTAAAATTACTGCCCTTTCTACCACTCACAGGCTTGCTTACCTAAACAGTCCCGTCTGGGCTTCTTCCTGCTGTAGGATTTAAAAATCCAGGCTTTCATTATTGTCTCCCCAACTCAGCCTACCTACCCATACCCAAAACAAAACACACATAGCATGTTTTCTTTTTCTTCTTCTTCTCTTATTTTTCAATGAAGTCCCACCATTTATCAAAGTTAAATAACTTTTTTTTATTTTTTTGGAGACAGAGTCTAGCTCTGTTGCCCAGGCTGGAGTGCAGTGGTGTGATCTCAGCTTACTCTAACATCTGCCTCCTGGGTTCAAGTGATTCTCCTGCCTCAGCCTCCCAAGTAGCTGGGATTATAGGCACCCACCACCACGCCCAGCTAGTTTTGTATTTTTCGTATAGACAGGGTTTCACTGTGTTGGCCAGGCTGGTCTTGAACTCGTGACCTCGTGATCTACCCACCTTGGCCTCCCAGTGCTGGGATTACAATCATGAGCCACCACGCCTGGCCGAAGTTAAATAACTTCTACAACAGGCGTGAATTTTACAGTCCCAAAACCCAGATGTGCAAACATAAAACCCCCTTTTTTTTTAAAAACTGACTTAGATCACAAGACCCACTTCCACAAATGGAAAAATATCTTACTGCCAATTCAAGGAAAACGCAGACATTTCTGGGATTTCTTTCTTAGTTTCTTTGGGTAAATAGGAAGTCAATATGGAATTCATACTCTCTCTTATTTCCTTCTGTTCTCTCCATCACTCCCTAAATCTGGGGGCAACAGGTACAGCAGCTTGAGCTGCAGAAAAGAAAGAAAGGATTCTCTCAGTTCTCTCAAGGAGACTGTCTAGAACAGCAGACTGTTCTAATCTTGATTACAAATAATCAAGTAAATGCCCAATTGTAATATAGGTAAGTTTCCCAAAAATGTTTTGGGAGTACAGAGCAAGTATAAAGAAGCATAAACTCAGTTCAAAGGGCCAGAGAAGCTTCCAAGAGGAGGCAGTTTTTAAATTTTATCTTAAAGAGTGAGATGGAGACAGTAAGTTTAAGAAGACAGGGAAGGATATCTCAGAAAGCATTTGCTAAGGCATGGAATAGTGGGAGAGGGTGACGTCCTTGGGAAATAGAAGTAGTTCTGTCCAGCTGGAGCACAGGGCATGCTCAGAATACTGGGTAGGAGATGAGTCTAGAGAGATGAACACACTGTACATCAAGCCAAAGGATTTGGAGTGTCTTCTCTAGACCAGGGCTTGGCAAACTGTACATGGAGTCCAAATATAGCCTGGTTTTGTAAACAAAGTTGTACTGAACACAGCCATACTCATTTGTTTACATACTGTCTTCAGCTGCCTTCATGCTTCAACATCAGAGTTCAATAGTTATGGCAGAGTGTATATGGCCACCAAAGCCTAGTATATTTACTATCCAGCTCTTTACCTTAAAAGTTTGCTAGCTGGGCCTGGTGGCTCACGCCTGTAATCCCAGCACTTTGGGAGGCTGAGGTGGGCAGATCATAAGGTCAAGAGATGGAGACCATCCTGGCCAACATGGTGAAACCCCATCTCTACTAAAAATACAAAAATTAGCTGGGCATGGTGGCGCGTGCCTGTAGTCCCAGCTACTTGGGAGGCTGAGGCAAGAGAATCACTTGAACCCTGGAGGCAGAGGTTGGAGTGAGCCGAGATCGCACCCCTGTACTCCAGCCTGGTGACAGAGCGAGACTCTGTCTCAAAAAAAAAAAAAGTTTGCCGACCCTGGGCTAACCCACTTCAGTAATATATGCACCCTCTTTAAAAGGATAAATTATCCTAGAGCCAAAACTCCACTTAAATATTGTTAGTATATTGTTATTTAGATATAAAATTAAGTGCAAGCATCTTATGCTTATAGCTCTTTTGCAACTATAAAAATGTGTATAAACTAACAAAAACAATACAATTCAAATTAATTTATTAATTCAATGTGAATGATGACATCACTTGTATGGAGACAGATTTCCATGCAGGAGACAGATTTGGTGCAGGTACCAAAATCAATTGTCAGTACTCAGCTCCAAGGAAGCCATTGAGGTGATCCACAATTGTTCATGTTTTAAAATATCATCCAAATGAAAACACGATAATATAAAAATTACCGCAGAGAGCTGCAGATTCTGGATGACATGCAGTTACTGAAGAAATCTAACAGACAGCTATTCATATGGCAACAAATAGCTAAAAACAACTAGTCCAAACTAGGTAAACCTAAGGGGTAGCAATGGATTAGAGAGAAGAGGACACATTTGAGAATATTCAGTACACTATCTGGACAAAACGTTAAACATCAAATGGTCGTAGGGAGGAAGAAACATAAGGGAAGATTCAGGAATGACTCACAGGTTTCTGGCGTGGGCATGTGTGCTCACCGAGGTGAATAAACACAAAGGAGGTAAAAGCTTGGGAGAGAAAGACACTAAGATCCCTTGGGTATTTGAATTTAAGGCATCTGTGAAACTAGTTCTTATTCTGAATAAAGTTGGATGTATAGGACAATGCAGTTATAAGCAATAACTGGCTCATAAAGATATGCAAGTTGGAGGCCAGGCACGGTGGCTCACACCTGTAATCCCAGCACTTTGGGAGGCCAAGGCGGGTGGATTGCCTGAGGTGAGATGTTCGCAACCAGTCTGGCCAACATGGTAAAACCCTATCTCTACTAAAAATACAAAAAAATTAGCTGGGCATGGTGGCATGCGCCTGTAATCCCAGCTACTCGGCAGGCTGAGGCAGGGGAATTGCTTGAACCAGGGAGGTGGAGGTTGCAGTGAGCCGAGATTGTGCCACTGCACTCCAGCCTGGGTGACAGAGTGGGACTCCATCTCAAAAAAAGAAAAAAAAAAAGATATGGAAGTTGGAAATAAGTTGTTATTGAACTACCAATATAGATGAGATGATAGCCCACATAGAAAAGTAAAAAGTGAGAGAAGAAGAAAGCACTAAAAGACACTTAACAAAGAACTGGCCATTATAGGGAGCTTTCTAAATAACGACATTTATGAATCCCTAAATATAATCAATTCAGTATGATCTATGTGAATGGAGGGAAATTATAATATGCATAATATGAGATACCAATACAAAAGTTATTTCTTTTTGGTGGATTCATTTTGGTGGATGCATAGAGGAGAGATGCATTGATAGAAGATTTATTTATGTTCGCTAAAATTTGGTTTGCTCTCCCAGGAGGCACATTAACTTGGATAAAAGGACAAAATGGTACAGAATGTGGCAGTCACTGTTAGTTGTCTATTCAATATCCATTTCTTCTTTACAAACCAACCTGAATTTTTCTCAGTGGCAATGTGCCTAGCTGAAAACTTTATTTCCCCACCCACTCTGCACCTATGAATGGCCATGGAACACAGTTCTGGCCAATGAAATACAAGTGAAAGTCAAAGGATGAAACTTCTGTGGAAGCTCTTTAAAAGGCACATAGACTCAAGTGACTGGATGCTTTGTGCATACCTTCTTCCTTCCTAGATACATCGTGTTGGAGGTGGAGCCACAGTATTGTGACCACCAGGCCCCAAAAGCATGGTAAGGATTACTGAGCGTAAATACAGGAGGATCCTGGGGGCTTCACAAATCCTCAGTATGAGCCCTGACTCTGCTTCCAGATGTAAATAAGAATAATTGGATCCCTAATTTTTTAAGTCACTTTTTTTCTGGGTTTCTGTTACTTGAGGCCTAGTGAATTTCTCCCTACGCAGAAGGCCTATTTGAAAATGGTCTCAGCTAAAAAATCCCCACAGATAGCTTTCAAAGTTAATGTAATGTCCAGGAATAAATGAAAAGTTGATTCCCACCTAGATGCAACAGGAAACCTCTCAACCCTATTACTAGGGCCACCTGCTTCAGCCTTGATTAAACGAAGTGAAGGAAAAAAGGAAGTGGGCAGCCCAGAGTTAAGCTGGCCATGACAAATGAGCTCCCGGTAAGACTGTATACTCCAAATCTCCAATTTCTAGCATCCTCTACTGTGCTTTCTTTTTGCTTTTCATCTTTCTTTCCATTCTTAATCTAATGGGAAAAAAAGTGAATAATAAAGTATGAATACTATTATTCATTAACCTTAAGTGCCTTCTCACTGTCCACCCAGTTAAGCATATGAAGGATGATTTATTGAACTATTAATTTGTGCTTTTTATTGCCAGTGTTTTCGTCTCCTATTCCAAGCAAGTAGCCAGGCTAATTGCCGCCTTACTTCAGGGAAGTCTGTGGCAGAAGCTTGAAAGCAAATGACCTACTACACCTGCTTGTGTCCTGGTCTTCAAGAGCTTGGGTTCCTGAAGTGGATTATGCTGGAGGAACACAGGTAGAAGCAGAAGTAACAAAGGAGAGAAGGAGACTGCCCTACTGCCCTATACCAGGAAGGTGTGGTGGTTTCCACAATCATCAAGGGGCCTGTGTCCTACTTCTAGCAGAACCTGGGGAAGAAGACAAGGATTCTGCGGAGCCTAACTGTGTGGTGAAGCTAGGGAGGCTGTACCCTTGGCAACAGGGCTTCCATTGTGAAGAAAGATGCCTGCAGGCCAAGAAGAGCAGAGAAACAGAGTCACTGCCATTCAACAGTTCATGACAACTTCAACAATAGGGCCACCATAATGAGCCAAAAATTAGGAGCAATTCTCCTGTGTTTTAAGGAACCACAAAGTCTCTGAGAGACTGAAGAAGAGAGAACACCCAAATGACAAATTAAATTTACCTCCAGCAAGGTGGGATTAAGGCTCACAGAAATATCCAGCACACTCTCCTCACATCTACTGGGGTCCAAGGCCTCAACAGCACAGTCTCCTCAACCTGCTGCTCCAGACATTTCGCTTTTCTTCCTCTGCTTGAATCCTACAATCGCAATGCTTTCCTGCCTCTGTGTTTGCTTGGAATTTTTTGTCCTTTGGCAATTTAATGCTTGTATTCATCCATTTAATAATAAGTGCCCATCTTTTCTATCTTCAAATACTTGCCCTTCATAAGGTTCTCCCTGACCCCTCTGAAAAGCCATAATTTCCTCCTTTACATCTCCAAGTTTTGTACTTCTCTTGGGACATTTACCCTGTACTACTTTTTGTTATCATTTCACATCTGCTCCTCCCAACATCTTAAACATTTATTGAACATCTACTAAGCATCCTAAAGACAGTGACTGTTTCCCAAGTACCTAGCATAACACCATATGCCATTGACCTTAGGACACTAAACTGAACAGAGCACAGAGCCTGTCCTCAAAGTTCTCAAAGTCTATGTATCATGCTCAGGGATCACAGGATTGTATGTAGTAACTTCTCAGCCTTTGTTGATCTTGATTGTCAGCACTTTAAAGCTCCATTCAGCTACTTATGTAAAATTTAAGCAAAATGAGGAAGATAATTTCGTTGGAGAGAAAGCTTCTGGATGCTTCAGAATATGCCACCTCACCTGAATGGTAACCATTACACTTGTAAATAAGATAAAATAGCAAGAAAAATATAAACATATGCTTTGATTATTTCCTTTTTGAAAATCAATAAGATCATTTTTATTTTCAAAGAAAATGTGCAAATAAAAATATTGTTACCACTTATTTGAAATCCATGAAAAATGCTGAGGTGAAGGAACTGTTGTCCAAAAACTGCTTTCTCTTCCCGGGCTTACTTCCTTTGCCTTCATTGTTTTCTGCTGCCACTCCTGCTTTGGAATTTGCTGTTATGTGTAATAAACTCCATCACAGTGTCTGTGGATAAATCAAGAAATATTCACTGGAGATCTTGTCACAGGCCACAGTCCAGACTTAATCCCTGCTCTCCCTTCCCACGCTTCTCAGTCTGTTTAGGCTCTCTCTCTTCTTCCACATTCTCCATTCTCCTGATTCTACTAGCCTTTGGAGGCGACCTTTCTGTTTTCCGTCTCCCAAGTATGTCACACACCTATATCATACTGGGCTAATGAAGGAAGGGGCACTGGCCTAGAATCAAGAAGCCTAAGCTCATTTGGTCATTTATTCAATCAACAAATATTTTTGAGTATTTTCTATGTATCAGGCCTTGGTCTAAGCCTTGGAAAGTGGTAATGAACAACATAGTGAAATCCCCAGCTTACATTCTAGTGGATAAAGTATACAGATTATCAAGAAGATTATAGATGGTGATAAACACTATGAAGAAAATAAAGGGGTTGATGTGATAGAGTAATTTTACAGGGTCACTTGGAGTGCAGCTGTCAGGGAAGGCTTTTCTGCCATTTAAGCAGAGACCTGATGGATGGGAAGGTGCTAACCAGATTCCAAGAAAGAGTGTTTCCGGCATCACATCCCTAATATGCCCAAGACACAGGAAGGAGGCCATGTGGCAACAGCAGGGAGCAGGAAGAAGAGAGGGACCCTAGCAAGATCAGCAGAAAAGGATGAGCTCATGGAGGATCTAGCAGCCATGCTGAGGAGTTTCGATTTTAATCTAAGAGTATGAGATTTATTTGATGTGCTTTAAGCAGAGGAATGAAACCATTTCATTTTTGTAAACATCACGATGACTACAGGGTGAAGAGTGGAATTAGAAATATCAATTAGGAGACTACTGCATAAACTCAGGAGAGAGAAGGGGGAGGATTCAGTTCTTTAGAGCTGAAGCTTATAGGACTTACAAATGGATCCCGTGTAAGAGGTAGTGGGGAGTCACCAAGATAGTGTCCAGATTTGGGCTAAAAGGCTTGGGTGGATGGTGGGTGCCCTTCACTGACACAGGACAGCATTCCAAGCCTGCCTTGCCCAACTCTGGGCAATTTTGCCTCTTCAACTTTGAAATAAAGGCGTTGAAAGGGACTGAATAAGTGGCACTAAAATACCACAGTTCTATTGGGTTATTAGGACACAAATATGTTTTTCTTGCTTCCCATTAAGAAAATAACACAAGATTTAAAATGACAGAGGCTGACATTCAAATCAAAGATCCACAAACCTACGTGGTATTGGCAAACAGATTCCACGTGCCTCAGTCTCCCCATCTGCAAAATGGAATCACAAAACAGGCCTGCCTCACTGTGCTGCTGGGAGGGATACATAATATATGTAAGGAGCCTGGAATATAACCGTTCTTGGTCAGTCCCACATTCTCCTTTCCTGACAGACCCAACAATTGTTTATTTTCTTTCTTTCATTCATCTCACTTTCTAAGTCTCTTGGCTCTAGGACTTTTCTCCAAGGATGAACTAAGATCTGGGACTCCCAGAGCAGATTTCACTTGTGTCCTTCCCTCCCTGGGGTGGTCGCTTAGTCCTGGACCTCTCTGCCTTCCCGCTTGGATGTAGACCATTTAAAGGGTGAGCGCCATGCAGTTAGCTTCAAGCCTGGGGACACCGGGGTTTCAACACCAGGGTTTTAATATCGGAGCTTAATTTTGACGCATACTTTTCCCTGCCTTCCAGCTCCACCCCTTTCCCTGATCAATGGGGCTAGGAAGGGGAAAAAGTGAACAGCAAAAACCAGTCCTGAGAAGAAAATGGGATGGAATGGCTGCTGATGAGAGAGCTCTCATCCCCTGAAATCCCACCAATACGCTTTTTTGCTGCCGATGGCCATAGTACTTCACACTTGGGGAACGACATGGACAAACTACAAGGGATATTACAGTCTCATCTGCTGCCTAAAACTAAATTACCAAAAACTAAAATTTTAGATGCCATAAAAATTCACTGATGAACTCTTTCGTTTTTCTTATTGATGCCTCTCTTTTTCATTTATCTCAATTGCCCATTTTTGCTTTCAGGAATAAAGCCAAAAAAACAGAATTCTCCAAGTGTCAAGCAAAAACACATACTTTGCACACGTTTCTCGAGGTCCAGCCCGAAAGCCTGCGCCCTGGGCGTCCCTGCTTCGGCCCCCAGAGGGGGGTGCGCTGCTCGCTCCCCTCGCTCCACCTCCCGCGTAGCCTGCGGGCCCCTGGCGGCCCAGGGCATGGGGCAGAGACGCCATGCCGGCTGATACACACGCCCGGAGGAGGTGAGGGAGGAAGCCACTTGAAAATAAACAGGTGCCGTAAAGGGCATAGGTAGCTTGCCCGGGTTTCCTGCTTCCTGGTCGCTCGCGCTCGCCTCCCCGCCGCCTCGCCTCCCCTCGAGCAGCCTCCGCACCCCGTTCTTTCACTCCTCGGCGCGTGAGCTCCTGGCAGCCTCACCCTTTTGCACATGACGCGCCTCCCCGGGTCTCCCGCAGGCAGGCCTCGCTCCTCCCTCCGCCAGGCCTGCCCGGGAGGCCTCGACCCGGCGAGGTGACCCGCCCCAGGGTCGCCGGCGCGAGGACGAGGCTGGCGGTGCGCTGCTTCCTCAGAGCCGCTTCCTCAGAGCCGGCTGCGGCGGGCCCGGGCGGGAACCACGGAGCCCAGTGCACCAGCCTCCTCGGTGCTACCGCGGGACACAGAGGAAACAGGAACAGCTGGTTTCTGTGGGCAGGCCCCGGGCTGGAACTAGAGCCAGGGTAAGGGAAGCAATAATAACATCTCACATTTGCAAGAGGGCTTTATGCTTTCCAAAACGCACTCACAAATACCCTGGCTTATGTTACTTCCTGTAAGGTGCGCAAGTATTAGGGACCCCTTTTTACAAGTGAGAAAACTGAGCCCATAGGAAGGTTAAGCATTAGTGACAGAGCTGGACTGCACTCCAACGCCACGGTGAGAGGTTTGCCCAAACATCCCTGACCTGTGTAACATCTGTCAGGAGCTTAGCGCGATGAAGATCAGATGACTCAGCGGCTCCAAAGCTTGAGAGCCCTCACTGTGGCCCTTTACTGTGTCCAGGTGCGGCCGGCGGGGGACAGGGAAAGAGATCACAGCGAAGACCCAGAAGAAACAAAAGGCAAGCGAATGTAAGAGCTTCACCACCTTCCCACTCCAGGACGGTGGACAACAAGAGGTTTGAAAGCTGTGATGTCCTCACTGTCTTCCGTCCCTCTCACGGAATGAAAAGTCGTTTTTGCCAGAATATTATACCTGCAAGATCTCACGGGGAGGAGACTGCAGCCCACCCGCTGGAGATTTTTGCCTACAGAAAGCTTCCCTTTTTTTCCAACCCAAAGACAGACTTTTATAGCCTCTCCAACTCCCCTTGAATTTTTAAGAGAGAGAAAGAAAAGCCCCAAAGTGAAAGATAGTGGTCATTTATGCCTTGGAAAGATAAATGGGTGTTTTAGTTTTGTTTTTAAATGAATTTTCCTTTTCTAAAGAATTTCTTTCAAAAAATTAGTGGGAGTTGAGGTGAGGCATGTGTTTTATATTTTTATATCCACTTTAGTAGGTTTTAATATAACGTCTTGAGTCCCTTTTGAATTTCTTTATGACCCAGGTCAAGCTGCCCTGATTCAGGTTCCACGCAGCTAAAAATTAAATTGTAGCTTCCATCCATGTCACAAATATGTAAGCTGGGGAGGTAACCTACTATCAGGCCATATTTACAGAATGGCTAAAAAACTAAGCTAAACTTCTCGAAGATGTCAATACCTAAGTGTCTTTGGGATACTTCCTGAAACTACCTGTGAGAATCTGTTCATTTTTTCTTTTAATTAGGACTTTATTTTACTGAAAAAAAAAAAACTTGAATGAAGAGAGCCAAAGTACATGGTGATGTGAGTGTGAGTCATGGAACTTGTTCTTTTTTCTGAATAATTATTTCACTTAAGAAGACATCCAGATACATCCAGATAATTTGACTATTTGCCGACCTCTTGGATGTACCATAGATTCTTATGCATTGGATCCTTGAAGACTTAACGCTTCAGGATGGCATGCTGGGCACACAAGTTCACTTCCCCCTTGCAAAGCCACATGACATTTACGGTAAAGAAATAAGGCAGAAATAAAGCCATGACACTACTGTGACCAGAAGGAAGGCCATCCGAGAGAAATATACTTTTGTGAAGTTCTTGGCAAGAAGAAAGAGGAGAGGACCAGGCCGGGCGCGGTAGCTCACGCCTGTAGTCCCAGCACTTTGGGACAAGGCGGGTGGATTACAAGGTCAGGAGATCGAGACCATCCTTGCTAACACGGTGAAACCCCGTCTCTACTAAAAGTACGAAAAATTAGCCGGGCGTGGTGGTGGGCGCCTGTAGTCCCAGCTATTGGGGAGGCTAAGGCAGGAGAATGGCGTGAACCCAGGAGGTGGAGTTTGCAGTGAGCCGAGATCATGCCACTGCACTCCAGCCTGGGCAACACTGCAAGACTCCGTCTCAAAAAAAAAAAAAAAAGAAAAGAAAAGATAAATAAAATTGATAATTTGACTATTTGCCGACCTCTTGGATGTACCATAGATTCTTATGCATTGGATCCTTGAAGACTTACACTTCAGGATGGCATGCCAGGCACACAAGTTCACTTCCCCCTTGCGAAGCCACATGACATTTATGGTAAAGAAATAAGGCAGAAATAAAGTCATGACACTACTGTGACCAGTGCAGTGGCATGACCATAACTCACTGCAGCCTCAAATTCCTGGGTTCAAGGGATCCTCCTACCTCAGCCTACTATGGAGTAGCTGAGACTACAGGCACGTGCCACCATGCTTGTCTAATTTTTTTTTTTAAGTACTGGTAGAGATGGGTACCTTGCTTTGTTGCCCAGGCTAGTCTTAAACTCCAGGCCTCAAACCATGCTCCCACCCCAGCCTCCTGAAGCACTAGGATTACAGGCATGAGCCACTGCATCAAGCCCAAAAGAGGCTTCTTATAAAAAAGGAACAACCAGAAAACAAGAAAGGGTTACTGGAAATTAAAAATATGGCTAAAGTGCCTCGTTAGCTCAGTCGGTAGCGCTTCAGTCTCATAAAAATATGGCTGCTAAAAAATTTTACCTGTAACACAAACACTGAAAAATGAAATCAAGGAAATCTACCAAAATGATGAGTAAAAAGAAATAGAAAGTATGAAACAAAAGTTACAATCAGAGAATCAATAGAAGTCCTACACCCGCCTAACAGAACTGTCAGAAGAAAGCTGAAAAAAAAATGTGCAGGAGAAAATCATTGAATAAACCATAGGTGAAGAACGGATAAACAAAATGTGGTATATACATACAATGAAATATTATCCAGTCACAAAAAGGAAAGGAGCTACATGCTACAACATGGATGAACCTTGACAACATTATGCTGAGTGAGAAAAACCACACACAAAGGCACAAAGGCCACATATTGTATGATTCCATTTATATGAAAAGTCCAGAACAGGCAAAGCCATAGAGACAGAGAGTAAATTAGTGGTTTCCAGGGACTGGGGGAAAAGGGTAATGAGTGAGTGATTGCTAATGGGTGTGGGATTTCTTTTGGGGGTGATGAAAATGTTCTGAAGCTAGATTGTGGTGATGGTTGCACAGCTTTGTAAATATAAAAAAACCGTTTCTTTGTATGCTTTAAAAGGGTGAATTTTATGGTGTGTGAATTATTTATTTTTAACTAAAAAAAAAAAGTAGAAGAAAATCTCCAGAACTGAAAATAAAAAGATTGAAGGTTCTATATGAAGCAGAGTAAATATATAGATACTCTCAAATTCATTCTTATGGAATTAAACACTAAAGAAGGGCAGGGAAAAATGCTAAAGAGTGTCAAGAAAAAAGTTACAGAAAAATTAAAATAAAATTGGCATTGAACTTCTCATTTGAAATACCACCAGAAGAAAATGGAACAATGCCTTTTTCACAGTTCTGTAGGAATATGTTATTGACCAAATTAGGATAGGAAATCAGACACCTAGGAAAATAATATCTTCTAAGAAAGTTTTTTTCATTCAACAATAGTATAACTAAGAAGCTGATGTCTTTGTGATATCATGAAGAACACGTGTGTTTCTGTTTGCAACAAGAAAAATGTAAGACAATTAGCAATTTTGGATAAAAAAATAGTTTCAAGAACCAGTGTGTAAATATGAACTAAAGTGTGGCATGATTTTGAAGAAATTGAGTGTGAAGAAAGAGAATCCATTTGATCTCAATGCCTAGAACATGCTTCTATGACTAGTTTAGTGACATAGGATTACATTCCATTTTCTGGGGATTAAACCGCTTAATTCTGCATTTAATTATATATAATGTAGTAAAAAATGTGAAAAGTGGCACTTATTGATTTAAAGCTATAAATGTAGCTGTAGAGGAAATGTAATACATGTGGAGAATAGTAGAAAATAAATTCTTTCAAAGTAGGGAAGGAATATATACTGTCTAAATAATGTGTTCAGTATAGAAGAATAGGCAAATTACCCTAAATTACAGTCTAACCATCAGAGGACTGAAACAGAAGCAATTAAAAGTAGTTGCCTCTGAGGAGGATACTGGGAGCTCGGAATAATACTTGTACTTGCTATTTAACACCATGATATATTTTTCAACATTTTGCTTTACCATATGCATGTATGACATAAATTTTTTTATTATACTTTAAGTTCTAGGTTAACTGTGCACAAAGTGCAGGTTTGTTACATAGGTATACACGTGCCATGTTGGTTTGCTGCACCCATCAACTCGTCATTTACATTAGGTATTTCTCCTAAAGCTATCACTCCCCCAGCCCTCCACCCAACAACAGGCTCCAGTGTGTGATGTTCCCTGCCCTGTGTATGACATGAATTTTTTTAAGAGAGAAAGAACAATTTCCAGGCTTGCAAATTGGCTGTATCATTAGAAATACTTCCAGCAGCAGCATACAGAAACCTTTACTAACAGTGGCTTGCATCATGACATTTGTTATTTGTTTAAAAAGTGATCTAGAGGTAGGCAGAAGGAACTGACTGCAGTCGATTTGGTGGCTTGACGACATCAGCAAGGGCTCAGTTTCTTCCCATCTGTCTGCTCTGCCACCCAAAGTTCTGGCTATGGTCTCCACTCAAGAGCCCAACATAGCTGCTGGCTCCAGGAACCAGTTTTCTCACAGCCACATGCAGTCTCTGGAAGGAAATTACAGAAAAAAAAAAGACTAACTTCCACATGATGATCACCTTTTATTTTCTTTTCTGGAAGCCACCATCCCTTCCTCCTCCAACCCATTCAGCTCCTTTCCATCCTTCTCTTGCATTTCATTGGCCGGAATTAGGTCACTTCCTCACCTCTGAACCAATCACAGGGAATTTAGTTCACCGGAACGGAAGCAGATCTATCATATCTCATCATCTGGAGCTGAGCACATTGCTCCCTGAACAAAATTGGTGTTCTTAATAAAGAAGAAGAGGGCATTGACTGTTAGGTAGGCAATAACTGGGTCTACCAGGCTGACTGACTGATTAACCAGCTACCATCCCTTATGAGGAGACAATTGCCAGCCTGTCTATCAGAGTCACAAAGCCTGGAATCTCTCACAACAAAAGGCTATACAATTCTGAGGCCTTGGTCCTATGTTAATTTAATGTGGATTAATCTTTTGAGATAAAACCATTTAGTCATGTGTTGGCATCTGCAAATTAACACTGGCTTCTGGGGAGAAACTCTGGAGAAAAAAAAAATCACATCACTGCATTTTTCAAAGGTTCAACATCAAAAATTTATCAAGTGTAAAAACCCAGTCTGTTTGATACTGTTAAAATGATTAATATTACAAATAGCTGCTAGAAACAAGGCACATCTGACAACCTGAAGGACTGGAAGGAGAGGCAAACATTTTCCTTTCTGAAGTAGGAAAAGTTAGTTTCATCATTTGCATTTTCCCTCCCTCATATCATTTTATGTCTCTGGCACATTTCCTAAATCAAAGACTTTCCTGGGGATTCTATTTATCAGACAGGTATTGGCTTGCTTTTCAGCAGCCCTATCATAGTTGATTTACTAATATATCCTATAGACTTTCTGCACAATCTATACTGCTAAAGCCCATAGTGCCTCATAATTCCCACCTATTTTAAGTGAAAGACTTAATGTGTAGATGGGATCTGACATATGAGTGCTGCTCACCAGTTCACTGTCAGCAGGTCTGAATAATTAGCACCAGCAGCTCTTCTTTGCAGATATCAATACCTTATATCATAAATGTCAAGCATAGCACAAAGATGCAACTGGAAAACCTCCGAAGGGAAGGGAGCCCATAAATCATGAAGGTTTCACTCTATTTTTCTTCCATTTTACTATCAGAGAATAAACCCAGGGTGGTGAGATTTAAAATCCTGCCCGCCTCTTATTTATTACTTAGCATGGGGCCTTTCCTGAAGCTGGACCCTGGAGGAAGGGCTGATGGGAAGGAGACACCTCAGCCGGGGAGGGATAATGATGCATTCAGGGGTGAGGGGTAAGTGGAAAACAAAACGTCTCAGCAGCACTCCCGGACAGTTCTGTGCCCCTTACCCGTGTGGCTGTGTTGTGTACATTTGGGACTTAGAGGCTGGGAGATTGTACAGTACAGGCTATTGGAGGGGTTGCTTATAAAAAATCATAACCCCCTGCCCTACTCAGTGAAGAAAATAATCTCTTTTATGGTTGGAGAACAAGTGTGAGAATGAATGTTGTAATGTAATGTTCATAAATTTTAATGAACATGCTGAGGACGCCAGGCCCTAAGTAAACACCTCATTCAAACTAGGCCCTAGCTCTGCAGTTAGCAAGGCCACATCCAACCTCACCTCCAACAGTAGGTATCACTCTTCTAACTGCAATTTAATTTAATTTAGAGATGAGGAAGTCTGTACTTCTGAAAAAAACAAAAGCAAAAAACTATTCTATCCTAAGAACTTTGGCACTTTGGCTATTAGAAGGTTCCCACTATATTTAGCTGAGGTTGGTTTCTCTGAAACTCCTTTTGGTTCATCCTACTTCCCCTTCTAGGGTCCCATGGGGATAATTCTACCTTTGTTGTTGTTGTTGTTGTTGTTGTCGTTTTTGAGACAGGATCTCACTCTGTCTCCCAGGCTGGAATGCAGTGGCACAATTAGGGCTCACTGCAGCCTCAACCTCCTAGGTTCAATCAGTCCTCCCACCTCAGGTTCCTAAGTAGCTGAGACTACAAGTGGGTGCCACCACACCTGGCTATTTTTTTTTTAATTTGGGGTTTGAGGGTACATGTGAAGTTTTGTTACATAGATAAACATGTGTCACAGGGGTTTGTTGTACATGTTATTACATCACCTAGTTATTAAGCTTAGTACCCAATAGTTATCTTTTCTGCTCCTCTCCTTCCTCCCACCCTTCTCCCTCTGATAGGCCCCAGTGTCTGTCATTTCCTTCTTCATGTGCATAAGTTCTTATCACTTAGCTCCCACTTATAAGTGAGAACATGCAGTATTTAATTTTCTATTCCTGTGTTAGTTTGCTAAGGATGATAGCCTCCAGCTCTATCCATGTTCCCACAAAAGATATGATCTCATTTTTTTTATGGCTGCGTAATATTCCATGGTATATATGTACCACATTTTCTTGTCCGGTCTGTCATTGATGGGCATTTAGGTTGATTCCATATCTTTGCTGTTGTGAATAGTGTTGCAATGAACATTTGCATGCATGTGTCTTTATGGTAAAATGTGTTATATTCATCTGGGTATATATCTGGAGGACTTGCTGGGTCAAATGGTAGTTCTGCTTTTAGCTCTTTGAGGAATTGCCATACTGCTTTCCACGTGGCTGAACTAATTTACACTCCCACTGAAAATTTATAAGAGTTCCCTTTTCTCCACAACCTTGCCAGTGCCAGCATCTGTTGTTTTTGTTTTTGTTTTTGACTTTTTATTAATAGCCATTCTGACTAGTGTGAGATGGTATCTCATTATGGTTTTGACTTGCATTTCTCTAATGATCAGTGATATTGAGCTTTTTTTAATATGCTTGTTGGCCACATGTATGTCGTCTTTTGAGAAGTGTCTCTTCATGTCCTTTGCCCAGTTTTTAATGGGGTTGTTTGTTTTTCTCTTGTACATTTGTTTAAGTTCCTTATATATGATACTAGACCTTTGTCAGATGCATAGTTTGCAAATATTTTCTCCCATTCTGTAGGTTGTCTATGCACTCTAATAATAGTTTCTTTTGCTGTGCAGAAGCTCTTTAGTTTAAGTAGGTCCCATTTGTCAATTTTTGCTTTTGTCGTGATTGCTTTTAGTGTCTTTGTCATGAAATCTTTGCCTGTTTCTAGGTCCAGGATGGTATTGCCTAGGTTGTCTTCCGCGTTTTTATAGTTTTGGGTTTTACATTTAAGTCTTTAATCCTTCTTGAGTTGATTTTTGTACGTGGTGTAAAGAAGGGGTCCAGTTTCAATCCTTTGCATATGGAGAGCCAATTATCCCTGCACCATTTATAAAATAGGGTATATTTTCCCATTGCTTTTTTTGGTCAGCTTTGTCAAAGATCAGATGGTTGTAGAAGTGTGGCCTCATTTCTGGGCTCTCTATTCTGTTGCATTGGTCTATGTGCCTGTTTTTGTACCAGTACCATGATGTTTTGGTCACTGTAGCCTTGTAGTATAGTTTGCAGTTGGGTGATGTGATGCCTCCAGCTTTGTTCTCTTTGCTTAGGATTGTCTTGGCTATTCAGGCTCTTTTTTGGTTCCATATAAATTTTTAAATAATTTTTTCTAGTTCTGTGATGAATGTTTTGGTAGTTTGATAGGAATAGCATTGAATCTGTAAATTGTTTTGGGCAGTATGGCCATTTTAATGATTCTGATTCTTCCTATCCATGAGCATGGGATGTTTTTTCCATTTGTTTGTGCCTTCTCTGAGTTTTTTGAGCAGTGTTTTGTAATTCTCATTGTAGACATCCTTGACCTCCCTGGTTAGGTGTATTCCTAGGTATTTTATTTTTTATGTGTAGCAATTGTGAATAGGATTTTGATTTCTGATTTGTCTCTCAGTTTCGTTGTTGTTGGTATATAGGAATGCTTGTGATTTTTGTACATTGATTTTGTATCCTGTAACTTTGCTGAAGTTGCTTATCAGCTGAAGGAGCTTTTGGGTCAAGACTGTGGGGTTTTCTAGATATAGAATCATGCCATCTGCAAACAGAGATAGTTTGACTTCCTCTCTTCCTAATTGAATACACCTTATTTCTTTCTCTTGCCTGATTGCTCTGGCTAGGATTTCCAAAACTGTATTGAATAGGAGTAGGGAGAGAGGGCATCCTTGTCTTGTGCCACTTTTCAAGGGGAATGCTTCCAGCTTTTGCCCATTCATTATAATGTTGGCTGTGGGTTTGTCATAGATGGCTCTTATTATTTTGAGGTATGTTCCTTTAATACCTAGTTTATTGAGAGTTTTTAACATGAAGAGATGTTGAATTTTATCAAAAGCCTTTTTATATCTATTGAGATAATCATATGGTATTTGTCTTTAGTTCTGTTTATGTGATGAATCATATTAATTGATTTTCATATGTTGAGCCATCCCAGGGATGAAGCCTACTTGATCGTGGTGGATTAGCTTTTTGATGTGCTGCTGGATTTCGTTTGCCAGTATTTTAGTATATGTGCTGCCAAACTGAGCACATTTGCCAGTATTTTGTTGAAGATTTTTGCATCAATGTTCATCAAGGATATTGGTCTAACGTTTTCTGTTTTTGTTATGTCTATGCCAGGTTTTGGTATCAAGATGATGCTGGCCTCAAAGAATGAGTTGGGGAGAAGTCTCTCCTCCTCAATTTTTTGGAATAGTTTCTGTAGGAATGGTATCAGCTCTTATTTGTACATCTGGTAGAATTCATCTGTGAATCCATCAGGTCCTGGGCTTTTGTTGTTGGTGGTGGTGGTAAGCTATTTATTACTGATTCAATTTCGGAGCTTGTTATTGGTCTGTTCAGGGAATCCATTTCTTTCTGGCTCAGTCTTAGGAGGGTTAATTTCTGTGTATCTTCTTTTTCTTCTGGAATTCCTTAGTGTAATTGAAAGCTGCTGCCTCAGACCTCCTGCACAGCAAGCTGACCAACCCTAGGCTCTTTCAGCATTCATCATGTGACAAAATTTCAGTCCCTCCTCTCAGTAAAGCACTGACTACCTGGCCCTCTTAAAGTAAATTCACCCAAACAACAAGTAAAATACAATAGCAACAACAACAATAATAATGCTTATTAATTTTTCAGCACTTACTGTGTGCCAGGTACTCTGCTAGGTGCTTTATTTTTTATCATCTTATTTCATTCTTACAAAAACACTATACAGTAGCTGTTTTTATACCCCCAATTTACAGATGAAGAAACTAAAATTCAAAAACATAAGGTGCTACCTTTACATGGTCCATATGAGGCACAGTCAGGATTGACTAGGGCTGAAGTTCTTAGCCCCTGCACCATCACCTGGAGCCAGAACTATCACTTCCCTACTTTTACGAATATGAGGAAGGACTGAATTTACTCTTTTTATTGGCTCTTAGGGATTTTTTTCCCAAATCTGTATCTTCAGCCTACACCTCTGTCTTGGGTTCTAGATTTTTATATCCAACTGCCTACTGGACACCAACCACGTGGACAAGTCCTGGTTGCCTCAAACTCAACATGTTCAAAGCTGAATACATCACCTGCTCTCCCAAATATGCTCCTCTCCTGCTGTTCCCAAAATCAGAAAATGGCTTCACGATCAGCTCAGTCATCTCAAGAGCAAATGCTGAGAGTCACCCTTGAATCCTTCTGTTGCCTCCACATTCAAACCATCACCATATCCTTGATTTCTCTACTGTATATTTTTCATATGTGTCCACTTCTTTCCATCTGCACTCTCATTAGTGAAGGCCACCAACATCTCTCATCTGAATGCCTGCAATACCTCCTCACAGGTCACCAGGCATCTAGTTTTGCCCCTGTCCTGCCCTTCCCTCATCTAGAGTGAAGCCAGTAGGAACCTTCCAAAATGAAAATCTGATTAAGTCACTTCTTTGCTTAAAACTTTTTTATGGTTTCACAGCCCATGAAAATAGTATCCAATGTCTTTAAGTGCATTGCAAAACTCTTCAAGGCCTCCCTCTCCAATCCTTCTAGTCCTCCCTCCCCAGTTTCATCACTCATTATATACCCCATAACCTTTATGCCAGAGTTGTCATGAACCTCCTCCCATTCCTTCAGTATTTTATGTCTTTTTGCCTTCAGGTCTTTACACATGTTGTTCCTTCATATTGAAATATTCTTTCCTCTCCCCATTGCCTGGTAGATTAACTCCTGTTTATCCTTCAGATGTCAGCCTTAATGTCACTCTCTCAAGGTGAACATCCCTGAATTCTCTGATGCATTACATAGGATACCGTTTTTATTCTGCCATTGTATGTGTCACCCTTTATTGTTAAGAAACATTTAAATAAGAAATATTTAATTGTTAATAAACAGTTTTAAATAAAAAATATTTATTTGTTTCCATAAGGAAATTAATTGTGTCTGTCTTACTCGTCATTAAATCCCGGAATATCATTAAAGCACTAAACAAAGATAAGACTTGAAAAATATTTGTTGACCAATGAATAAAGGAATTAATGAATATTCATAAAAATAGGGAAGTGATAGTTCTGGCTCCAGGTGACGGAGCAGGGGCTAAGAACTTCAGCCTTAGTCAATCCTGACTGTGCCTTCTATGGACCATGTAAGGGTAGCACCTTATGTTTTTGAGTTTCTGTTTCTTAATCTGTAAATCGAGGGTATAAAAATGAACGAATGCCAGTTGAAATCCTGGTCAAACAGTGCACCTAAGAATCTCTTCTTCAACATGTATGTGTGAACTTGACGTTTTGGATTCCAGAGAGGATATCACATTTATTCCCCACTAACCTTCCTGTTGTTGGGTTCAGTACATTTTTTTCGGATTGCTGAGATGTTTTTAGATCCTGATTCTCTTACCTATTCTCTAGCATATTAGCTATCACTGCCAATTTCATGTTATCTGAAAACTTGATTAGCATATCTTCTGTATCTTCATTAAGCAAGGGCAGAGCTAGTGACCCCCCATTAGATACCCATCTCTATTAATCAGCACCTATTGAGTATGCTAATTCAATCAGGTTCAAACATGCTACATTTTCTCATCCTCAAGAATATCATGGGTAAACTTGTCAAGAGCCTTGATGAAGCCCAAATCAAGATTACTATAATTCTCCAAACCCACAGTTCTCAATTTTCTTGGCCTATCACACTGACAGATAATATTCAGATAGTATCCCCTGAGCATACTGAATTTGTTGTGAAATTCCCAGAAGCAAAACTAAAACTCTACCTCTCCCTCTCTCTCCCACTAAAGAAATCATACTGTGGAGCAACTGGATGACTGGGGCTGTAATGACAGCCAGCAGGAGTCCTGGCTATTCTAGAGCTGAGGCTCAGCTGTGTGCCTGACAGCTGGCCACCAAGTGGTCACTCCCACCTACACAGCATTTCTGCAATTCATGCTTGGGCAGTCAGCCTGTCTGTCCCCTCCAAGGAGAATGCAACATTTCAGCAACCTTACCTCTGCCCTGACTCTACATTCTTCTTAGATGGCACTTTATTCTTCCTGATTCCATTTCCTGGTGGTCTGCAAACATACTGGAATGAAAATAGATCTATGTGGTTAAACTGATTCAATTAAAATCAGTAGAGACTAAGAAGGGCAAGGACATTTTACCTGGAGAACTAGATATTCCACCAAAACAATTGTATTGTGAAGCACCAATTGGCTATGCAACGCATTACCCCACTGCCCTAGTTGACTGACTCTGAAGTCCTAGAATTGCATGAGATGACTAATGCCAGCATAAACTATATCCATGAATGAAGCAGGGATCAGTGAGACATACGTCATCTACTGCACACTGATTGCAGGAGGCATCGAAGCAATTGAGACAGAAAAAATATGTTTATTCTTTGACAGTGAAACCACTTTAATTACTGGTGCTGGGTAAGGTCTCTTGGGCAGGGTCCTCAAAGAAAACTAGAAATTGAATTCTCTAAGAGAGTGGGTACAAAGAATTGTGATATCGTAACATCCCATTTCTAATCTACCATGCTTTGTGGACTAAGATTCTATCTATATACTGGCAATCAGATCAGTAGAAGACAACAGTCGAGAGAAATACAGAGAAAACAGCTAGAGCAGAGATATGTCAGATGTCCAGGCAGTGAGGGAACGTAAATGTGAGATTGGACCAAGAACTTGTGAAATAGGCAGACATAAGGATTACTGGTTGTGGCATTTACTGCTCATTGCCTCCTAAGTCCTCTCCCCACTACTTTCTTATAAAAGAATCCTGAATTTTTTAAAGCAGGATACATTGTTATTTAGCTAAAAGATTATATTTTCCATGTTCCCTCTCAGTCAGCTTAGGATATAACTAGTTTTGGCCAACGAGCTGTGTGAAGAGGTGTTGCATGCTAAGTTCAGGAAATCTTCTTGTAAGGGAGGGGGTACATTCCTTCTCTTACCTTCCTGCATCATGCCTTGGAATGGCGATATAATGGCTAGACCCAGGTAGAATTCTTGGACTGTGAGGTGGCCTTGAGAATAGAAACCACACACAGAACACAGCAAAACCAGTGCCTGCTTCTGGCCCTGTTGCTGCCACACCAGCCCTGGATTGCCTTATCTCCAGGTTTCCTTTGTGTGAGCAAGATATAAACTATCTTGTCTAAGATATAATTTTTCAGGGCATTGTTTCTTGCAGCCAAAGCTCCAAATCATCTCTGCTCCCTCTTCTAAGTGTTCGCAAAAGACCCAGGCTCAGCTCCCCTGTCTGGCTGCCCATGCTTATCACAGGAAGAGCCAGGCCAGTTAGCTCAGGCCTCACTCTTACAAGGGTCCTCAAATGTAAGCTTTTAAGCTCCTCCTCAAATGAGATTTTACAGAGTCTTTGTGGGACTTCTGGTGTTAAAAGCATTGATTTGTCTGCCACACTTGGAATCCTGTTTTGAAATTTTTAATATTTTTTTAATATCCCAAATGTCTTAGTCTGCTTTGTGTCACTATAAAGGAATACCTGAGGTTGGGTAATTTATAAAGAAAGAGGATTATTTAGCTCATAGTTCTGCCCCCTGTACAAGAAGCATGGTGCCAGCATCTGCTTGGCTTCTAGTGAGGGCTTCTGGGCTGTGTCAAAACATGGTAGAGAAGGTCCAAGGGAAAGCGGGCATGTTCAAACCTATGGGGCATCCTGGCTTTATAACAACCCACTCCTGAGGGAATTAATCCATTCCCCTGAGGACTGAGCCAGTCTTGAAAATGATAGAACTTACAACCCCAGAAGGACACTGAGCCACTCATGAGAGATCCACCACCATGACCCAAACACCTCCTACCAGGCCCCACCTCCCAACACTAGATCAAATTTCAACATGAGATTTGGTGGGGACAAACAAACCATATTCAAACCATAGTATTAAGACCCTCAAATAAATAGAAGCCACGCATAGCCCAAGGGTGACTGTGCTTGCTGCCATTGGTCTCCTGTCAGTACTGATGCCAGAACCTGGTCTAAGACTCTTATGGTCCCTCATTTCTCCCAACTGTCCCCAGAACAGAGTCCTAAACAAATAACACCTAAGTCACCAGTGAAGTTAATGTTTGATCACTTTTATTTTTTTTTTTTTTATTTTTTTTTTTTTTGAGATGGAGTCTTACTCTGTCACCAAGGCTGGAGTGCAGTGGTGTGATCTCGGCTCACTGCAACCTCTGCCTCCCAGATTCAAGCGATTCTCCTGCCTCTGCCTCCCCCAAGTAGCTGGGACTACAGGCACTCAGCCACCATGCCCATCTAATTTTTGTATTTTCAGTAGAGACGGGGTTTCACCATGTTGGCCAGGCTGGTCTTGAACTCCTGACCTCAGGTAATCTGCCCACTTTGGCCTCCCAGAGTGCTGGGATTACAGGCGTGAGCCATCATGCCTGGCCCATTTAAGATTCTTGTTTGGCTATTCTAAAATTCACATGGAACCAAAAAAGAGCCCAAATAGCCAAGGCAATCCTAAGCAAAAAGAACAAAGCTGGGGGCATCACGCTACCTGCCTTCAAACTATACTATAGGGCTACAGTAATCAAAACAGCATAGCACTGTTACAAAAACAGACACATAGGCCAATGGAACAGAATAGAGAATCCAGAAATAAAGCCACACACCGACAGCCATTGGATCTTCAACAAAGTCTACTAAAATAAACAGTGGGGAAAGGACTCCCTATTCAACAAATGGTGCTGGGATAACTGGCTAGCTATATGCAGAAGAATGAAACTTTACCCTTACCTTTCCCCATATACAAAAATTAACTCAAGATATATTAAGGATTTAAGTACAATACCTCAAACTATAAGAATCCTAGAAGAAAACCTAGGAAACCCTATTTGGGACACTGGCCTTGAAAAATAATTTATGGCTAAGTCCCCAGAAGCAATTGCAACAAAACACAAAAATTGACAAGTTGGACCTAATTAAACTTCTTAAAGAGCTTCTGTACAGCAAAAGAAATTGTCACAGAGCAAACAGAAAACGTACAGAAAGTGAGAAAATATTTGCAAACTATGCATTCAACAAAGGTCTAATATCCAGAATCTATAAGGAACTTATAAGCCAATAAGAAAAATATAAATAACCCCATTATAAAATGGGCAAAGGACATGAACAGACACTTCTCAAAAAATATATATATATAAGCAGCCAACAAACATGAAAAAATGCTCATCGGCTGGGTGCAGTGGCTCACACCTGTAATCCCAGCACTTTGGGAGGCCAAGCGGGCAGATCACCTGAGGTCAGGAGTTCTAGACCAGCCTGGCCAACATGTTGAAACCCCTTCTCTATAAAAATATGAAAAAATTAGCTGGGCTGGTGGTGGGCACCTGTAATCCCAGCTACTCAGGAGGCTGAGGCAGGAGAATCACTTGAACCCGGGAGGCAGAGGCTGCAGTGAGCCGAAATCACAACACTACACTCCAGCCTGGGTGACAGAGTGAGACTCCATCTCAAAAAAAAAAAGAAAACTCATCATCACTAATCATCATAGAAGTGCAAATCAAAACCACAATGAAATGCCATCTCGCACCAGCCAGAATAACTATTATTAAAAGGTCAAAAAACAGCAGATGTTGGCAAGGCTGAGGAGGAAAGGAAAGGGAATGCTTATACACTGTTGGTGAGAATGTAAATTAGTTCAGCCACTGTGAGAAGCAGTTTGGGGGTTTGTCAAAGAACTTAAGACAGAACTACCATTAGATCCAGCAATCCCATTACTGAGTATATATTCAAAAGAAAATAAATCATTCTACCACAAGACACATGCACTCATATGTTCATTGCAGTACTATTCACAATAGCAAATACATGGAATCAACCTAGGTGCTCATCAGTGGTGGATTGCATAAAGAAAATATGGTACATCTATACCGTGGAATACTATGCAGCCATAAAAAACAATGAAGTCATATCCTTTGCAGCAACATGAATGCAGCTGGAGTCCATTATCCTAAGCAAATTAACGCAGGAACAGAAAACCAAATACCACATATTCTTACATATAAGTGGAAACTTAACACTGGGTACTCATGGAAAAAATGTGGCAACAATAGACACTGGGGACTACTAGAGAATGGAGAGAGGGAGGGGGAAAAGGGTTGAAAAATTAACTATTGGGTACTGTATTCACTCACTACCTGGGTGACAAGATCAACTGTACCCCAAACCTCAGCATCACACAATATACCCATGTAAAAAATGTGCACATGTAGCCCCTGAATCTAAAATATACATTGAAATTATCTAAATAAATAATTTATAAATTTAAAATTTAATGTTTGAGGAAATAGATGGGAGAACAGATTGTTGTGTTGCAGCCAGCCCAGTTCTATACATCTGAATAGGAGAGTAAGGGAGGTAGGCTCCATGCCTCTGGTGGAGTTCAAAGTGAACAAGAAGATGCCACCTGAGAAGGGAATTGGATGACAAACTTAGCTTTCACTCAGGACCCTCAGCTCCAACAGCCCTTGCTAGACATGCTTCTTGTCATAACCCAGGGTCGAAGTCTTCTGGGGAGAGGGGGCAGTGATCAAGCTCAAGGGCTGTGTGTTCTGCAGGGCATCTCCTCCATAGAAAGATGCCTCAGAGAAACTGGAGCCCAGCTACCATCTATGAAGAAAGGTTGCAGTGGGATCCCTGGGGACTGTGGGATGAGAGCCTTCACTGATCCTCAGGTCTAACTCATTACTTTGCAGGCAGCAACACTGTCAGCCTGATATCAGAGCTGGTGGATCAAGTGGCTATTCCTACTCTCCTGCTCAGGGAATAACATGACCCAGATGATTGTCACCCCCAATAAAGACCCCATAGAGAGAAAAGATTGCCATCCCCTATGTTAGAGAGGCAAAAGGCATATCCTCAAATATCTTAGTTCCCCTTACTAACACATTTAGCTCTGTCATTATGAATTTATCTACAGCTTTCTAAAAAGCCTGTATCTTGGGATAACAAGTTCCATGTTTTCATTATCCATAATGACAGGCGGCTGGTCATTCCACTGATTTGTTCTAAATTACTCAGCATTTTCAAGTCTGGATAATGCAACCTTTTAAATTAGGTCAACTATTCTGTCACCATGTCCAACAGTCACAGGGTTGTTATTGAACTTGAACAAGAGTCGGTCCCCATCTGGCAGTCACAAAACAAGCTGAGCCTGGCTTTAAGGATCAAAAGGCATCCATTCCTCTCCACCTTCTGGAGAACTTGGGCCTCTGGACTCATCTGGATTACTATCCCTTGAGATGAGGCTAGGGATCAGTCTCTAAGGAAATTATAGGGAAATCATGTGGTAGCAGCTTCAACAAAGCAAGATCAGTTGCTTGTGTTCTTCTTGTCACCCCAGCACTCCCCTAGACACCTGCCCTGTTCCCATAGCAAAAGTTAAACTCTTCATCTTCACATCAATAAGTAAAATATCTTTATCCAAATAGAATAAAGCAAATTCATGGACCACAGCTGAGCCTCTCTGACTATCAAGTATAAAACTATAGTCTCTCTTGCATGAACATCTATTTTTTTCTGACTATCCATCTGTTCTTTCTTCTCAGGCTCTTGGTTTTTCTATGAACTCGAGCAATCTTATCATTTTTTCAGGAGATAGCTGAATCAAAGTAGGTACATTTCTGAATCCAAAAAAAAGAGAGTGATATTAGATCAAAAGGAAATATTTTAAGTGGTTTCTAGATTCTAAGGGTATCTCAACTCTCCGTCTTTGAGCTTCATCCCTATCTTTGACATATTTCAATTGGTAAGTTATGAAGTAATTAAAATATTTCTCCCAGGCTCCCTAGTTCTTACCTAACTGCAAATTGGTTTTTCTTCAGCTCTTAGCAATTCTCATCTGATGTACTTTATGACCAGAAACTCAGGCTACCATGGGACTATTTTGACCATTTTGGAAGGAGTCAATATTGTTCTGCTGGAAAAAACTAATTCTAAAGTATCAAGCAGGCATTCATTGGCCACACAGTCATTCAGTCTGACAGTGATGATAATATTCCAAGTCACTGAATGTTGTCATTTACTTTCAAGTCATTGGGTCCTTACCATGTGCTGAATGCCTCATTCTGTGATCTGTCGAGGCTTTTGATGGAGTAATTTCTCCTAGTGAGTTTTCTGTTAAAATTTGTTCACATATAAACCACCCATATCATTTACCAATTCCATTTGACATTTGCTAAAATATAACCCCAAGATGAGTTCATGAGTTTGGAAATGGTATATAATGCAAGTCTCAAAGAAATCTGAAACACAGGTGATCATTATAGCTGATTGTCTTTTGGAATTGCTGAACAATGCTTGGGGCAAAATACTGTCCACAATGCTAAGGAGAATAGTACTTGTAAAGTTCCTACCTTCTACTTTGGACATTGAAACCTAAATAGGGGAAAATCTTAAGGCCCACTGTTAACACCATTGTTTGATGAGCTCCAAGGTTCAATATAACATAAAGTTATATTGACCCCCGAACATGCTCCCCTATGTAGGGAAGAATATTCCCTATCTTTATCAGCAGGGTGTTTTTATTCAGTACATGTGAAGGTTTTCTCCAATATATTTCTAATTTGTGGTTAAGTCACCCTCATAAGGGACATTTCAGAAGCAGATATCCCTGGAAAATATTGCATATCACACATATTGCCATTTCTAACAAAGTCTTTTAAAGTAAACTTGGGGTTGATTCACAGAAGTATTCATGTTGCATTTTCATTTTGAATATTTAAAAACTCCTCTTACCTGGTTCTTTAACAAAGAAAAGAACAAAGGAAGCCAGCCCAAGAATAGTCAGAATATCTTGGTCTGAAAACGCAAGAAAAAGGCATCTAAAGACTATCTAAAAGTTCTGGTCCCTCTAGTGTGCCTCGGCAGCCACTGGGCAAGCATCTATTCAGTAAAATCCTGCTGGTTTTCAGTTTTCACTTTGTCTTTTTACAAGCATAGCCTGCACGCTCTGGGCCCACAAGATGAATGATTAGGGAGGTGTCAAGTGGAGAAATGCTGCCAAGCCTGGCAAATGAGTTTGTAGTTAATGTCAATGCCGGTTTTTCCAGATGCTTTCAAATATTTGAAGGACATTGCTTGAATGATGAGCTTTTAACCTTGCAGCTGGTCATTTGTTTTTCTGATTAGGACATGCCACTGTCTCAACTTCCAGGTGGTTGTTCACCATAGGCAATAATGGCCTCTTGTTTACTAATCTCCAAACTGTGCCACATGTTCCTGGCTCATCATCATGTGTAATCCTGCCTCTGAGTGCCAAACAATTGTGGAGAATCACTTTTGATCTTTTTCTCTTTGTTGTGTCAGAGATAATCATAGAATATTTAAAAGTCTAGCATTTACAGAGGGAAACAAATAGTGTGTGTGTGTGTGTGTGTGTGTGTGTGTGTGTGTGTGTGTGTGTTTTAAGACAGCAAATGTGGAATCAGGGAGTTCCAAAATACAGAGCAAAACAATTCAACAAAATGCATTTTCCAAAGTAAAATAAGGAAAGATGAAACCCAGGTAAAAACACTGCACCTCAGAAATGTTTTACATTAGCCAATTGCTATGGTTTAAATGTCCCCTCCAAAATTCATGTTGAAACTTAATCTCCAATGTGTCAAGTATTGAAAGGCAGGGTCTTTAAGAGGTGAATGGATTGTATCAATTCATTCATTGCTTAATGTATCAATAATGGGTTATAATGGGAGTGATACTGATGGCTTTACAAGAAGAGGAAGAGAGACTTGAGCCAGCACATTCAATCTTCTCACCATGTGATTCCCTGTACCACCTTGAGACTATCCTGAGTCCCTACCAGCAAGAAGGCCCTTACCAGATGCAGCCCTGGAGCTTGGATTAAACCTGCATAACTATCTTTATAAATTACCCAATTTCAGGTATTCTGTTGGAAGCAACAAAAAACAGACTAAGACACCAATCAAGCCCTAAACTTTACAGTTTAGCATTTCATTTGTTGCATTTATAATTTACTTAATTTCTATCCATCCATACCCTCCCCTTGTGAACTTTAATAAAATCAGGGATTTTAGCAAAACCCCAGTGGTATGTACTTTCAGAATTGAGCAAAATTCCATTATTATAGTAGGCTCTGAATGATTGTTTTATTCTCTGGATAAGAGAAAGCCATGATTGCTAAGACTACAGTGGTGCATAATACAGTAAATCAGCTTAATGATGTGTGAATAAAACTATATTAAGAAAAAAAGGCTTGTTTCCCTGGATTCAAAAGGAGAAAGAAAAAAAACAATTCTGGGTGCTTCAGGGAGACCAGAAAATCTATACCACAGAGTTCTAGGATTTTTTTCAAAGCCTTAAACCAACATGAGAAAACTGAAGTATCTTGGCCAAAAGCAGTCTCATGAATAACCCACTGAGAGTGAGATCTCAGCTTGGTTTTATATTTACACAATGTATCCAGAAGTTAAAAATTTGAAAAGCACCAAAGAACTAATCATGGCTTGAAGGGGTATGCTGGGGAGGTGGTGAGAGAACACTCTTTTTTCCATGTCAACGTGAGATCCTAATGTTCATTGCAGTTGTCATAACAACTGTTTTTAAATAAAATTTGTATTATTCATCAAATATTGGCATCCTGAACATGGTGCCATCTAAAAATTATCACCTATTCTTATATCCATACAACTGGCTTGTGTGGCTAAGGGAGAGAAAAGGTATAATTCTGTGTCATGGCAGAGATTCTCAGCTAAGAAGGGAAGGCTTCCAAGAATGCTCCATTGTCCCAATTTGCTCCTCTAATTTCCCATTTTCAGAATCATCACCCACCTGTGCCAGAAAATATTTGGGGGATACAGCAGAGTGATACAGCCAACAAGACAATGGTTCAAGTTGCTGTACACTAAATGGGAAACTTCAGTGAATAATACAAAAGGCTACAGTATAAGCCCCTTTCCTATTCCAAGTTCCTGCCCCCTGGCCATAGCTAACCCTCATACTAGTTTGTATGCATATGCAAACATATATTTTTATTTTTTCATTATTTCATTCAACATTTAAAATTGTATACACACTGTTCTGCACCTGAATCTTTTCACTTAACATATCCTGGAGAATACTTAATAACAGTAGTATATAGAGAGCTACTTTATTTTTTTTCACGACGGCATGGCTTCATTTCTATTGGTTGCTGTTTAGCTTATTTCAGTGTTTTGGCCCTGTAAATAACACTGCAATGTGTATCTTGGCCTTTTGTCTTTATTGCCATAGCCTTTCAATGGGCCTCCTTGTCTTCCAAATTAATCCTCTCCAGCTTTCTAATTTTCCACATTCCCTCAGAATATCTCCAAATTCCTCAATAGGTAAAAATCCTCCATTTGGTGCCGCCTGTCTTTTAGCCTCACCTCCTACCACTACCCACCAAGCACTCATCATGCTGCCCGTGCTGAAGCAACAGCTAAAATACTGCTGGTTTACTCATGCTGCCATACTCTTGACATCATTTATCTTGAATCCTTCTTGGAACTTGCTGGATGTGCTAGGAATGATAGTAAGATTGACCTTGAGTTCTGAACCTGAACCCTCCAGGGAAGCCATATTTAACCGCTTGCTGCCCGCTCAGGTTCCACCTGATGATCCCAGCTAAGACTCAGACACCTACAACAAACACACCTGCAGCTTTTTGTATGAGGTGGGAGCTGACCTGTGCCTACCATCTGCCTCCTAACACCTTGCCTGGACCTCTGACCCTGCCTTGCTGTGGCTGCTCCAACCCATGAAATGCCATAAGCAAATTGCCTGGCATACAAAAAGAATACTCAAATAAAATTCTTTCCTGAAGGCACTCTAGTTCCTACTTGTGTTAGGCCATTGTCTACATGATATAAAGAAATAACTGAGGCTGGGTAATTTATAAGAAAAGAAGTTTAATTGATTCATGGTTCTACAGGCTGTACAAGCATAGTGCAGGCATCTGCTCAGCTGCTTGAGAGCCTCAGGGAGCTTTTACTTATGGCAGAAGGTGAAGAGGGAACAGGTACGTTGCATGGCCAGAGCAGGGGCAAGAGAGAGGGTAGGAGGTGCCACACACTTTTAAACAACCAGATCTTGAGAGAACTCACTATTGCGAGGATAGCACCAAGCCACAAGAGATCTGCCCCCATGACCCAATCATCTCCCACCAGGCCCCACCTTCAACATTAGGGATTACATTTCAACTTGAGATTTAGATTTATTTATTTATTTAGATTTTTCACTATGCCACTTCCCTGTTTTGATCAAAGATCCAGGCACATTTCCTGGTTCTTCACAGTTAGTCTTCTGGTCCACTTTCAATCTGACAATACCAGGCATTGCCAGTTTCACCAGTCAGCAACTTTTCTTCCTCCAAACGCCTTTCCTGGCATTACTTCACCCAAGTTAAACATCAAATTTCCTCAATTCTAAAGTAGGATGATACTGTCCAGCTGGTGAAATGCCGTTTTCCACCCTACAAAGATATTGGCACAGGACAAATATATGTTTGTTCATCAGGGCATATTCAAACAAACAGAAGTAACAAAAGTATAATACTGGCATGTCCCTTTGTCCCCTCTCCAAAACCTACCATTACTGCATGCCACAGACAGTTAAATAGAGAAGCCACACACTTCAAAATGTGACTGTGGCTAAATAGTGTACCAGTCATGCATTGTGTTCAAGGATGCAGTTGACATTGATGCAATATGCCAAGCATTTGCAGGAAGATCTTTAACCAATGCCTTTTAAAATGAATATTGAGTCTGATTCCCGCCCCTACCCCGCTTTCCCTCTATAAACACTCATGGGAGAGCTAGGGGGAAGATTCTCTTTAGAATGAGGTCAGTCTTATGAGCAAATGGATGAATGGTCTATGTGTCATAATGTAAACAATGAGGGAACTCTGTTTCAAAACATCCCCCATGGGACCAATTGTTAGATTTATTTCCTTGCACTAAGCCATTGTCTACAGAATAGCAATACTAAAATACAAATATCTCCTTTGGCAGGGGCAGCAATACATTAATGCAAGAAGAAAAATCTCTACACATTTGTATTTAGCAATTGCTACTCTGTTCAAAGATATTTTAAAGTAGATATTTAAGAAGAAAGAAAAAAAGACATAAGTCCTTTAAGAAATAGGTTGTTCTAGAAAACAGTATTAATCATATACTGTTATGTGAGGAAGGCAGATTATAAATGAATTTATAATAGTCCCATTTTTGTAAATGAAAAAATGTGTAAATACCAGACTGCCATCCTTCCTCTTAAAAAGACTGGAAGAATAGTTTCCACAATGTTCGTAGTGCTAATAGTCAAGGGGTAGAATATGAGAGATTTTTTAATCTTCATTTTATCTGCTTCTTTTGCTTCAATTTTTAATGAACATACATTTCTATAAGAAAATATCCTTAAAATTTATATGTATATATTCATGCACTTTTCTGTATGTTTCTAGGTTTAATTAAAGCATATCCTCAATGGAGAAGAGCATTTTATGTGAAGTAGAATGAATAATTAGGATTTGAAAGGGAGAAGGATACATTGCACAGATACTTTCTTTCCTGAGAGCTGAACCATGTAACCTAAGGAAAAATTTTTTTTTCTCTGAGACAAATGAGATTCAGAGCAGGTAGAATGAACAGAAAAGGCCCTGGGAATGCTTTTGGTACATGGGCACACCTTGCCTTCTTCCTGAGGAGTTCCGCGAAGGTAACAAAATTTGAGACATTTCCTTTCTGGGCTTTGACATTTGAGCGAAACTTTCTGAGTTATGGGAGTGGCTGTGTAGGTCCTTTTCTGTTTTTTGTTTGTTTGTTTGTTTTGTTTTTACTTTATTGTAGTAAGAACACAACATGAGATCTAGTCTCAAATTTTTACGTGTACAGTACATTGTTGCTGACTATAGGTACAGTGTTTTACAGATCTCTAGAGCTTATTTATCTTGCTTAACTGAAACTTTATGCCTATTGATTAGACATAATCAATAAACATTAGACATAATCAATAAGGAATCATTTAGGGAATCTCACCATTTACCTCTCCCCACAGCAAATATCATTCCACTCTTCAATTGTATGAATTTGATTATTTTTGATACCTCATATAGATGGAATCATTTGTCTTTCCATGACGGGATTATTTCATTTAGCGTAATGAAATATGCTCAAAGTTCTTTCATGTTGTTCACATATGGCAGGATTTCCTTTTTTTAAAGCTGAATCATATTTCACTGTTTGTATATACTGCATTTTCTTTATGCATGCATCTGCTGATGAACATTTAGGTTGTTTACATATCTTGGTTGTTGTGGCAATGAACATGAAAATAAAAATATCTTTTCAAAATATTTTTTAAGTAAATATCTAGAAGTGGGATTGCTGGATCAAAGGCAGTTCTATTTTTAATTTTTTAAAGAATTTCCATACTGTTTTGCATAGTGGCTGCATCATTTTGCATTCCATAAACAGTGTGCAAGAGTTCCAATCTCTCCACATGTGTGCCAATACTTGTTGCCTTTTGGTTCTTTGATAATAGTTATCCTGACAGGTGTGAGGTAATAGCTCGTTGTGGTTTTGATTTGCACTTCCCTAATGATTAGTGACATTGAGGATTTTTTCCTATACCTATTGGCCATGTGTATATCTTCTTTGAATAAACAGCTATTCATGGCCTTAGCTCATTTTTTAATTAGGTTCTACAACTATTGAGCTGTAGATGTCCTTTATATATTTCACAGATTAACCCCTTATCAGATATATGGTTTGCAAATATTTTCTCCCATTCTATTGATCATTTCTTCACTCTGTTGATTATTTCCTTTGATGTGCAGAGGCTTCTAATTTCATATAGTCTCACTTGTTCATTTTTGGTTTTGTTGCCCATGCTTTTGGTGTTATGTTCATGAAATCAGTATCAAGACCAATGTCAGGAAGCTTTTCCTCTACGTTTTCTTCAATGGGTTCTTCAGTTTCAGGTCTTGTGTTTAAGTCTTTAATTAATTTTGAGTTGATTTTTTGCATACAGTTTAACATATGGGTCTAATTCATTATTTTGCATGTGGACATCCAGTTTTCCCAACACCATTTGTTGAAGAGACTATTCCTTCCCCATTGTGTATTTCTGGTATCCTTGTCAAAGATCAGTTGACTGTATATATGGATTTATTTCTGGTTATATGTATATCATATACATATACCTGGTAATAGGTATATGGATTTATTTCTGGGCTCTTTATTTTCTTCCACTGATCTGTATGTCTGTCTTTATGTCAGTACCATACTGTTTTCATTCCTGTGGTTTTCTAAAAGAATTGTGAAATGAGGAAGTATGATGCCTGCACCTTTGTGCTTTCTGAGGATCAATTTGGCTATTCTTGGGCTTTTGTGGTTTCATATGAATCACAGAATTTTTTTTTCTATTTCTGTACAAAATGCCACTGAGATTTTAATAAGGGTTGCATTGAACCTGTAAATCACTGTGAGTATGGATATTTTAACAATACTAAGTCTTCCATTCTATGAACGCAGGATGTCTTTCCATTTGTTTGCATCTTTTTAAATTTCTTTCATCAGTGTTTTGTGGTTTTCTGTATACAAGTCTTTCACCTCTTCGGTATATGCTTAAGTTTTTATTCTTTTTGGTGCTATTATAGATGGAAATGTTTTCCTAATTTCCTTTTCAGAGAGTTTGTTGTTAGTATACAGAAACACAACTGATTTTTATATATTGATTTTGTATCCTGCAATTTTACTGAATTTGTTTAATAGTTCTAGAGGTTTTTTTTCCTTGAATCTTTAAAATGATCTTATGTACTTAGCTGTGGGCTTTTCATATACAGCCTTCATTATATTGAGGTACTTTCTATTCCTAACTTGTTGAAGTTTTTTGTTATGAAAGGGTACTCAATTTTTTCAAATGCTTTTTCTGTATCTATTGCAAGGATCATGTGATTTTTATCCTTTTTTTCTGTTAATGTGGTGTATCACATTAATTGATTTTTGTATATTGAACCATCCTTGCAGACTAAGGATAAATTACACTTGGTCATTGTGTATTTTTTTTATAATTATTATACTTTAAGTTCTAGGGTACATGTACACAACGTGCAGGTTTGTTACATAGGTATACATGTGCCTTGTTGGTTTGCTGCACCCATTAACTCGTCATTTACATTAGGTATTTCTTCTAATGCTATCCCTACCCCTGCTCCCCACCCCACGACAGGCCCCAGGGTGACACGTTCACTGCCCTGTGTCCAAGTGTTCTCATTATTCAATTCCCACCTAAGAGTGAGAACATGCGGTGTTTGGTTTTCTGTCCTTGTGATAGTTTGCTGAGACTGATGGTTTCCAGCTTCATCCATGTGCCTGCAAAGGACATGAACTCATCATTTTTTATGGCTGCATAGTATTCCATGGTGTATATGTGCCACATTTGCTTAATCCAGTGTATCATTGATGGACATTTGGGTTGATTCCAAGTCTTTGCTATTGTGAATAGTGCCGCAATAAACATACATGTGCATGTGTCTTTATAGCAGCATGATTTTAATCCTTTGGGTCAAATGGTCAAAGGTATTTGGGTCAAATGGTATTTCTAGTTCTAGATCCTTGAGGAATCACCACACTGTCTTCTACAATGGTTGAACTAGTTTACACTCCCACCAACGTGTAAAAGTGTTCCTATTTCTCCACATCCTCTCTAGCATCTGTTGTTTCCTGACTTTTTAATAATCGCCATTTTAACTGTTGTGAGATGGTATCTTATTGTAGTTTTGATTTGCATTTCTCTGATGACCAGTGATGATGAGCATTTTTTCATGTGTCTGTTGGCTGCATAAATGTCTTCTTTTGAGAAGTGTCTGTTTATATCCTTTGCCCACTTTTTGATGGGGTTGTTTTTTCTTATAAATTTGTTTAAGTTCTTTGTAGATTCTGGATATTAGCCCTTTGTCAGATGGGTAGATTGCAAAAATTTTCTGCCATTCTGTAGGTTGCCATTCACTCTGATGGTAGCTTCTTTTGCTGTGCCGAAGCTACTTAGTTTAATTAGATCCCATTGGTCTATTTTGGCTTTTGTTGCCATTGCTTTTGGTGTTTTAGTCATGAAGTCTTTGCCCATGCCTATGTCCTCAATGGCATTGCCTAGGTTTTCTTCTAGGGTTTTTATGGTTTTAGGTCTAACATTTAAGTCTTTAATCCATCTTGAATTAATTTTTGTATAAGGTGTAAGGAAGGGATCCAGTTTCAGCTTTCTACATATGGCTAGCCAGTTTCTCCAGCACCATTTATTAAATAGGGAATCCTTTCCCCATTTCTTGTGTTTCAAAGGTTTGTCAAAGATCAAATGGTTGTAGATGTGTGGTGTTATTTCTGAGGCCTCTCTTCTGTTCCATTGGTCTATATCTCTGTTTTGGTACCAGTACCATGCTGTTTTGGTTACTGTAGCCTTGTAGTATAGTTTGAAGTCAGGTAGCATGATGCCTCCAGCTTTGTTCTTTTGGCTTAGGATTGTCTTGTTAAATGGGGGCTCTTTTTTGGTTCCATATGAACTTTAAAGTAGTTTTTTCCAATTTTTTGAAGAAAGTCATTGGCAGCTTGATGGGGATGGCATTGAATCTATAAATTACCTTGGGCAATATGGCCATTTTCACGATATTGATTCTTCCTATCCATGAGCATGGAACGTTCTTCCATTTGTTTGTGTCCTCTTTTATTTTGTTGAGCAGTGGTTTATAGTTCTCCTAGAAGAGGTCCTTCACATCCCTTGTAAGTTGGATTCCTAGGTATTTTTTTCTCTTTGAAGCAATTGTGAATGGGAGTTCATTCATGATTTAGCTCTCTGTTTGTCTGTTATCGGTGTATAAGAATGCTTGTGATTTTTGCATATTAATTTTGTATCCTGAGACTTCGCTGAAGTTGCTTATCAGCTTAAGGAGATTTTGGGCTGAGACAATGGGGTTTTCTAGATATACAATCATGTCATCTGCAAACAGGGATGATTTGACTTCTTCTCTTCCTAATTGAATACCCTTTATTTCTTTCTCTTGCCGGATTGCCCTGGCCAGAACTCCCAACACTATGTTGAATAGGAGTGGTGAGAGAGGGCATCCCTGTCTTGTGCCAGTTTTCAAAGGGAATGCTTCCAGTTTTTGCCCATTCCGTATGATATTGGCTGTGGATTTGTCATAAATAGCTCTTATTATTTTGAGATATGTCCCATCAATACCTAATTTACTGAGAGTTTTTAGCATGAAGAGCTGTTGAATTTTGTCGAAGGCCTTTTCTGCATCTGTTGAGATAATCGTGTCGTTTTTGTAATTGGTTCTGTTTATGTGATGTATTATGTTTATTGATTTGCATATGTTGAACCAGCCTTGCATCCCAGGGATGAAGCTGACTTGATTGTGGTGGATAAGCTTTTTGATGTGCTGCTGGATTCGGTTTGCCAGTATTTTATTGAGGATATTCACATTGATGTTCATCAGGGATATTGGTCTAAAATTCTCTTTTTTTGTTGTGTCTCTGCCAGGCTTTGGTATCAGGATGATACTGGCCTCATAAAATGAGTTAGGGAGGATTCCCTCTTTTTCTATTGATTGGAATAATTTCAGAAGGAATGGTACCAGCTCCTCCTTGTACCTCTGGTAGAATTTGGCTGTGAATCTATCTGGTCCTGGACTTTTTTTGGTTGGTAGTCTATTAATTATTCCCTCAATTTCAGAGCCTGTTATTGGTCTATTCAGGGATTCAAGTTATTCCTGGTTTAGTCTTGGGAGGGTGTACATGTCCAGGAATTTATCCATTTCTTCTAGATTTTCTAGTTTATTTGCATAGAAGTTTTATAGTATTCTCTGATGGTAGTTTGTATTTCTGTGGGATTGGTGATGATATCCCCTTTATCATTTTTTATTGCGCCTATTTGATTCTTCTCTCTTTTCTTCTTTATTAGTCTTGCAAGCGGTCTATCAATTTTGTTGCTCTTCTCAAAAAACCAGCTCCTGGATTCATTGATTTTTTGAAGGGTTTTTTGTGTCTCTATCTCCTTCAGTTCTTCTCTGATCTTAGTTATTTCTTGCCACCTGCTAGCTTTTGAATGTGTTTGCTCTTGCTTCTCTAGTTCTTTTAATTGTGATGTTAGGGTGTCAATTTTAGATCTTTCCTGCTTTCTCTTGTGGGCATTTAGTGCTATAAATTTCCCTCTACACACTGCTTTATATGTTTCCCAGAGATTCTGGTACATTGTGTCTTTGTTCTCATTGGTTTCAAAGAACATCTTTATTTCTGCCTTCATTTCATTATTTATCCAGTAGTCATTCAGGAGCAGGTTGTTCAGTTTCCAGGTAGTTGTGTGGTTTTGAATGAGTTTCCCAATCCTGAGTTCTAATTTGATTGCACTGTGGTCTGAGAGACAGTTTGTTGTGATTTATTTTCTTTTACATTTGCTGAGGAGTGCTTTACTTCCAACTATGTGGTCAATTTTGGAATAAGTGCGTTGTGGTGCCGAGAAGAACGTATATTCTGTTGAGCTGGGGTGGAGAGTTCTGTAGATGTCTATTAGGTCTGCTTGGTGCAGAGCTGAGTTCAAGTCCTGGTTATCCTTGTTAGCCTTCTGTCTTGTTGATCTGTCTAATATTGACAGTGGGTTGTTAAACTCTCCCATTATTATTGTGTGGGGGTCTAAGTCTCTTTGTAGTTCTCTAAGGACTTGCTTTATGAAAATGGGTGCTCCTGTATTGGGTGCATATATATTTAGGATAGTTCGCTCTTCTTGTTGAATTGATCCCTTTACCACTATGTAATGGCCTTCTTTGTCTCTTTTGATCTTTGTTGATTTAAAGTCTATTTTATCAGAGACTAGGATTGCAACCCCTGCTTTTTTTTGCATTCCATTTTCTTGGTAGGTCTTCCTCTATCCCTTTATTTTGAGCCTATGTGTGTCTCTGCACATGAGATGGGTCTCCTGAATACAGCACACTGATGGGTCTTGACTCTTTATCCAATTTGCCAGTCTGTGTCTTTTAATTGGGGCATTCAGCCCATTTATATTTAAGGTTAATATTATTATGTGTGAATTTGATCCTGTCATTATGATGTTAGCTGGTTATTTTGCCCATTAGTTGATGCAGTTTCTTCCTAGCATTGATGGCCTTTACAATTTGGCATGTTTTTGCAGTGGCTGGTACCAGTTTTTCCTTTCCATGTTTAGTGCTTCCTTCAGGAGCTCTTGTAAGGCAGGCCTGGTGGTGACAAAATCTCTCAGCATTTGCTTGTCTGTAAAGGATTTTATTTCTCCTTCACTTATGAAGCTTAGTTTGGCTGGATATGAAATTCTGGGTTGAAAATTCTTTTCTTTAAGGATGTTGAATATTGGCTTCCACTCTCTTCTGGCTTATAGAGTTTCTACCGAGAGATCTGCTGTTAGTCTGATGGGCTTCCCTTTGTGGGTAACCCAACCTTTCTTTCTGGCTGCCCTTAACATTTTTTCCTTCATTTCAACCATGGTGAATTTGACAATTATGTGTCTTGGGGTTGATATTCTCAAGGAGTATCTTTGTGGTGTTCTCTGTATTTCCTAAATTTGAATGTTGGCCTGCCTTGCTAGGTTGGGGAAGTTCTCCTGGATAATATCCTGCAGAGTGTTTTCCATCTTGGTTCCATTTTCCCTGTCACTTTCAGGTACACCAATCAAATGTAGATTTGGTCTTTTCACATAGTCCCATATTTCTTGGAGGCTTTGTTCATTTCTTTTTATTCTTTTTCTCTAAACTTCTCACTTTATTTCATTAATTTGATCTTCAATCACTGATATCCTTTCTTCCACTTGATCGAATTGGCTATTGAAGCTTGTGCATATGTTATGTAGTTCTCGTGCCATGGTTTTCAGCTCCCAGGTCATTTAAGGTCTTCTCTACACTGTTTATTCTAGCCTTTTCAAAGTTTTTAGCTTCCTTGTGATGGGTTCGAACATCCTCCTTTAGCTCAGAGAAGTTTGTTATTACAGAGCTTCTCAAGCCTACTTCTGTCAGCTCATCAAAGTCATTCTCCATCCAGCTTTGTTCCATTGCTGGCAAGGAGCTGTGATCCTTTGGAGGAGAAGAGGTGCTCCGGTTTTTAGAATTTTCAGCTTTTCTGCTCTGGTTTCTCCCCATCTTTGTGGTTTTATCTACCTTTGGTTTTTGCTGCTGGTGATGTACAGATGGGGTTTTGGTGTGGATGTCCTTTTTGTTGATGTTGATGCTATTCCTTTCTGTTTGTTAGTTTTCCTTCTAACAGTCAGGTCTCTCAGTTGCAGGTCTGTTGGAGTTTGCTGGAGGTCCACTCCAGACCCTGTTTGCCTGAGTATCACCAGCAGAGGCTGCAGAAGAGCAAATATTGCAGAACAGCAAATATTGCAGAACAGCAAATATTGCTGCCTGATCCTTCCTCTGGAAGCTTCATCCCAGAGGGACACCTGCCTTTTTGAGGTGTCAGTTGGCCCCTACTGGGAGATGTCTCCCAGTTAGGCTATACAGGGGTCAGGGACCCACTTGAGGAGGCAGTCTGTCCATTCTCTGAGCTCAAACACCATGAAGGGAGAACCACTGCTCTCTTCAGAGCTGTCAGACAGGGACGTTTAAGTCTGCAGAAGTTTCTGCTGCCTTTTGTTCAGCTATGCCCTGCCCCCAGAGGTGGAGTCTACAGAAGCAACAGGCCTTGCTGAACTGCAGTGGGCTCCACCCAGTTCAAGCTTCCCCAGATGCTTTGTTTACCTACTCAAGCCTCAGCAATGTAGATGACCCTCCCCCCTGTCAGGCTGCTGCCTCGCAGGTCGATCTCAGACTGCTGCATTAGCAGTTAGCAAGGCTCAGTGGGAGTGGGATCCACTGAGCCAGGTGCAAGATATAATCTTCTGGTGTGCCATTTGCTAAGACCATTGGAAAAGCGCAGTATTTGGGCAAGAGTGTCCCATTTTTCCAGATACAGTCTGTCATGGCTTCCGTTGGCTAGGAAAGGGAAATTCCCCAACCCCTTGCTCTTTCTGGGTGAAGCGATGCCCCACCCTGCTTTGGCTTGCCCTCCGTGGGCTACACCCACTATCCAACCAGTCCCAGTGAGATGAACCAGGTACCTCAGTTGGAAATGCAGAAATCACCCATCTTCTGCATCAGTCATGCTGGGAGCTGCAGACCAGAGCTGTTCCTATTCGACCATCTTGGAACAGAATCCATGTATGATTTTTTTAATGTGCTGTTGGATTTGGTTTGCTGGTATTTTGTTGAAGGTTTTTCTTAAGAGTTTGGAAGTATTCCTTCCTCTTCAATTTTTTGGAAGAGTTTGAGAAGAATTGACATTAATTCTTTAAATGTTTGGTAGAATTCAACAATGAAATCATCTGGTCCTGAGCTTTTCTTTGTTGGGAGGTTTTTGATTACTGATTCAATCTCCATAGTAGCTATAAGATTGTTCAGACTTCTGCCATAATTTAGCCTTGGTAGATTGTATGTTTCTATGAATTTATCCATTTCTTCTAGGTTATTCAGTTTTTTTGGTGTATAATTCTTCATAGTAGTGTCTTATGAATCTTCTTATTTATGTGGCATCAGTTGTAATATCTTTTTTCATTTCTGATTTTATTTATTTGAGTCTACTCTCTTTTGTTCTTAGCCTAGCTAAAGGTTGTCTATTTTGTTTATCCTTTCAAAAATCCAACTCTTCATTTGCTGATGTTTTTCTATTTCATTTATTTCTGCCCTAATCTTTGCTATTTCCTTCCTTCTGCTAACTTTGTGATTAGTTTTTTCTTATTTTTCTAGTTACTTTAGCTATAAAGTTAGGTTGTTTATTTGAGAACTTTCTTCTTTTATAGTGCAGATTTTTATTGCTCAAACTTCCCTTGTAGTGTTGCTTTTGTTGTATCTCATAAGTTTTGGCATGTTGTGTTTTCATTTTCATTTGTCTCAAGGTATTTCTAATTTCCTTTTTTCTATTTCCCCTTTGACCCAGTGATTGTTCAAGAGTGTGTTGATTCATTTTCATATTCCTGTGAATTTTCCCATTTTACTTGTGCTATTGATTTCAAGTTTCATTCCATCAATGTCAGAAAATGATTTCAATCTTCTTAAACTTGTCAAAACTGTGTTATGATCTGACATGTAAGCTATCCTGGAGAATGTTCTATGTACTCTTGAGAAGAATAGGTGCTGTTGTTGGGTAGAATGTTCTATATATGTCTATCAGATCCATTTGGCCGATAATGTTGTTCATATCCTCCATTTCCTTATTGGTAGTCTGCCTGAATGTTCTATTATTGAAAATTGGGTAGTGAAATCTTCTACAATTATTGTATTGTTGTCTACTTCTCCCTTCATTTCTGGCAATGTTTGCCATATATATTTAGGTGTTCTGATGCTGGGTGCAAATGTATTTATTCCTGGTGGATTGAACATTTTATCATTATATAATGTCCTTCTTTGTCTCTTGTAATAGTTTTGACTTACAATTTATTTTGACTGATGTAAGTATTGCCAACTCTGCTCTCCTTTGGTTACCATTTGCATGCAATATCTTTTTCCATCTCCTTACTTTCGGCCTATGTGTGTCTTTAAATCTAAAATGAGTTTCTTATAGAGAGCGTATAGTTGGTCTCATTTTTAATCTGTTCAGCTATTTTATGTCTTTTGATTAGAGAGTTTAACTCATTTACATTTAAAGTAATTATTAATAAAGAAGAATTTACTATCACAACTTTGTTAATTGTTTTCTGTTAGCCTTGTAATTCTTCTACCTGTCTTTTCCTTTCTTGCTGCCTTCCTTTGTGTTTTAAAAAATTTTTTGGTATTGATAGGCTTTGATTCCTTTCTTCTTTTGGGTAACTTCTATTTTTTGTGTATGATTTCTTTGGGACTTACATAAAATATCTTTTACATATAATATCTTATAACAGTCTGTTTTAAGCCAGTAACAACTTAAATTTGATCATGTACCAAAACTCCATACTTTAATTTCTCCTCCCCCTACATACACTCATTTTATGTTATTGTTGTCACATTTTATATTATTCATATTGTGTATTTTAACATATTTTTGGTTATATTTATTTTTTATACTTTTGCCTTTAACTTTTATGCTTTTTAAAGCGATTTTCCCACCACCATTACAGTAATGCAGTATTTTGTATTTGTCCATATATTTACCTCTACCAATGAGTTTCATACTTTCTTATGCTATCATACTTCTATTTGGCATCCTTTCATTTCAACTTTAAGAACTCCCTTTAGCATTTCTTGTAAGGCATGTCTGGTGGTGATAAACTTCCTCAGCTCTTGTTTACCCCTGGAAAAGCTGTCTTCACCAGACAAACAAAAGCTGAGGATTTCCATCACACAGGTAATTTGTCTACGAGTTGTTGCTGGATTGATGTGTTTGTAGGAGAAGACGGGTCCAGGGCTTCCTACTCCACAATCTTGCTGACATCAGTTACTGTATATAGGTTTCTGAACAGCAGAAATATTGAAGGAAAAAGAAATATTCTCTCCAAGAAATAAAAAGGAAAAAAATGGAATTAGGTTAAGTAGAAATAGCTTAAAGTTAATGCTTATATAATCATTATACCCAGGTTAAATTATCATTCATATTAAGAAAATCAATATTTACTTTTCAAAATAAAACAGTATGTTTGAAACGGAGAAAGCTTGTTTAGTTGACCATAAATTTTTCTTGATATGCAATGCTATCCAGCTTCTCTTTCTTTTCCTCACTCCCTCCATGATTTTCTCCTCCATAAGGCCAACAAGAAAAACAAAAAGGAAAATAAGAATATGCCACAGCTATGCTTTCCCAGTAAGGCTATGCTGGTTTTATTTGCATGGGTTTATAGTGAATGTTCCAATAATCAAATCAGAGTGCAGGCTTTCAAAATCTTTCATTTCTAAACTCTGAGCAGAGTAGTACATCAGTTAATAAAAGAAGAGCCTTTTTAAAAATTGCACAGTACATTTTAGTTTATAAAATACTTTTATATTTTCTCATTTCAACCTCAAACCAACTCAATTTAAATAGCTACTTCAAGTGTTCATTTCTAGCTTTTTCCTGCATGGAATTCATTCCTTTATTTCTTTTGGTAATAGACCTCTCAATTTTCCTTTGATGAGGCACCTCCCTGCCCTTTGCAGATAATTTGGGTGAGACTGACTTTATTCCATCCCCACATCTAAGTCTGGATATGTTTCTCAGGCTTGGGCAATCAGTGTAGTCCACTTTCTTGGCCACGGTGATTGTTGAGAGACAAATACATGACTTAAGTCAGTCCCATAGACTAAATTATGGGATTTTCCCAAAGTAGATACAAGAGGCAGGTCACAGAAAGAAAGTAAGAAGGTGCTAAAGACTACTGTGATCAAATCTACCATTTTTCCAGGAGCCAGTACTCTGGACTTTGGGCCTACCCAGGGTAACCAGCCATTTCAGTTGGCTTTGCACTGAGGTGTCTCTTAGGAACGCTTAAACCAGGAAAGCCCTGGACAAACTGGGATAAATTGTTTACTCTACCAGTCACCACAGTGCCACGTAAAGTAAGAGCTTCACAGCCTGGAAGGGAGATCAAAATGTTTCTTCCTTACCAAGGAAGACCAATGGTTATCACCCTCCCCTACTCCAAGAGAATAAGTATCCAAAGTGCCAGGCAACAATTTTAGAGAAAATGAATCTAGCAGTGACCATTTCCCTTATTCTATTCAATCCTTAAATGTTTAACCAAAAAAAAAAAAAATCTAAGATCATTTTTTAACAGCCTCATTTTTCAATTATCAAGTGCTAAATTAAAATGGAATGCAAACACTAAAATTTAACACACTGCTAAAAATGTACATGTCTAAAATATTAATAGCAACTCTAAATGATTTATAATGCCCTCTTGGGCATATTTTATGATTTATTGATGTCATTTTAGTGGCTCTATGGGCGACAGAGTCACCTCACTGTGTGTGTGCTCCGGCGGGTTTCTGGGCTTGTTACTCAGTAAACTACACACTCAGACCTTTGCCGCATGCACATGAGATGATAGGTGAAGTAGAAAAAGTAAAGATGTTAAATTTTTCCATAAATCAAAGAATCCTAGGGCTAAAAGGCTTTAAAAGTGGTTATTTCTTGTTTTCTCAACTTCATGCAGGGCCACACTGGGGCTATCTTCAATGGTTGTGAATTTCACAACCTCCCTTGTTGATTTATGATATCAGTCTTTGTCGACAAGAAATGCTACTTTGGAGCTAATGTTTACCCTTTCTGTATCAAGTAAAGCTTGTTTTCTGGAGAATAGCTCATAACATTTTTGGTAGTTAACTTCCTGTCTTTGACCTAATCATGCATTTTTCAAATCCTTCTGTTCATCCCACAGACATGATTGCTCTGCCCTCCACGCTATGATTTGCTTCTAGTTTCTCTGCAAGCTTCCTAGGACTCTCTCAGATTCTGCTACTCAAAATTTGCTCTCAATGAAATTGGGTTTGTCTTTTTCTTCTTCCCTGGACACTGTCCTCCATCTCTCAGCTGTTTCTCCCTTCCCAGAAACCTAAAGCTCTGATTCTGCCCTCTGGACAAACAGACCTTCTTTCCTTTCATCTTCCTTCCACTGTCAGCCACACACACCCAAGCAGTAGCCACACAGGCCTATGCTTCTGGGAAACTGCCCATGCTCAAAGTTACTATTCCATAGTGGGTGCAGTGGCACATATCTGTAGTGCCAGCTACTTGGGAGCCTGAGACAGTAGGATCTCTTGAGCACAGGAGTTCGAGGCTATATTGTGCTATGACCACACCTGAGAAGAGTCACTGCACTCCAGCCTCGGTGATATAGCAAGAGACCCTTGCTCAAAACAAATAAATACAAGCTACCATTCTTTTCCCCCAACTGCCCCCCACTTCAAAATTCCAAACCCTTCAATATAGGGATGTATGGATATGGGAAGTTAGGAAGGCAGCGTTCTGAAAGCCCATCAAATTAAATCATGCTGACACTGCATTTCTCCCTATTTGAAAGTATAACCAAGATCCAGAATTCTGTGTAATATTCATAAACTAGCAAAAAAAAAAATCTCAGAGTCTTTTAGTCTATTTTTTTACATATAATAAACTGAAGTTATAGAGATAAATAACTTTCTTAAGGTCACAGAACTTGAAGGAATAGTACTGGGACTTGGATTAATTGTCGCATTCCAGGGCCTACCTCCTTATCCATCATACCAGACCTATACATATCTATGTAACAGTGATATCTATGCCATTTGGCCTCTGCCACTAAGCAGCAGAACATACAGCAATTGTCATATATCCCCAAAGTTTTAAAGTCATGTCCCTGCTTAGAGCGGAGATAGCTATGGAATGCTTTATATATTTTTAATTGTATATCACACCCCTGGCCCTTAAAGCCAGAATGACCCCTCCATGCCTTGTGCCTTCTCTTGCCCATCAAAGTAAGTCTTAAATTCTTGCTGGTGTCAAGACAAAGGCTCAGGTCATTCCCGAGTTATAACACTCCCTCCCATCTTTTTTAATCCTGACCTTATTTGAGTTTAACCCATTTCACTGAGCTTAGAATCCTTGGTTCCTTATATTTAAGTTTGATCTTCAGCTTTCCTGGTTGTTTTCTGTGGTAGCCCATGTTGCAGGCCCCCCCCTCAAGAAAGAACACGTTGCCCAGGAGTGGAGTTAGCAGACAATTCCAGCTGTTAACTCATTCAGGCCTGCTTCAGCTTTTGAGCCCACATCAAACTATTTTTTGGGTGGCCCCCAGGCATAACCATCCACTAATGCTGACTTCTGTAATGAGCAATCTGTGCTCAGAGCTCTCCAGTGGGCTGGCAGATACTTTGTCCGATCAGCATCATGGTCTGACAGCGCCTCACGTCCAATCCTTACTTTCCCCTTTTCTCTTCACAAACGTTACTCTCCAGTGCAGTAAATCTATTGCACTCCTCGTTCTGTCTCAGCATCTGGTCCCCAGAGGTCTGAATCAACACCTCCTACTACTCAAGTGAGAGCTCCCAGTAAACCTAGTTCCAGTTACTTATCCTAACTGGCGCCTGGCTAGGCCTGGCTAGTACTCCCTAGACATCTATGATTAGCAAGGTGCTTAATTATACACCAGCACTCAAAAAACAGGTGCATATTGAGTAACCATAGTATTTTCATGTCTTCATGAGCAGAATCATCTCTTCTAAATGTCTGAGATAAAGACGAAATGTGGCAAATTTTAACATCATGCTTCTGTGTCTCCTATAGTTCCTATGGTGAATTGTTTGTCAGAGTTTAAACTTTAGTAATTACATATAACATCTTAAGATCATTGGGTACTGCATGTGTAATTATAGTGTTGTAACTTAGTAAGGAAAAGCAAATGTCACCAAAATAAGACCAGAAGTCACTAGCCATGTCTGATGAAAAACTTCTGTGACCCTGAGTCATTTCTATGACCCTGAATCAGTGATATTGAACTGGAGTTTCAAAAGTAAGTCAAATACTGGGTAAAGAAAAATAATTGGACAAAAAATAGTACCTATCAGGTAGGGTCGTTGTTAAGGTTAAACCATGCTACTCAAAGGGTGGATCCTGGACTAGCAGCAGCACCATCATCTGGAAGCTTGTTAGAGGTGTGGAATCTTGAGCCCCATCCAAGGCCTAGGGAGTCAGAATCTACATTTTAACAAGATCTCCAGGTGACTTGTGTGCACATAAAGGTTGAAAACCATGGAGTTGAGGATATAATGTACATCAAAAACTTAATACAGTGTTTGGCATGTAGCAACCCACTCAATAGATACTAGTTGTTATTGTTTTTGTTATTATAATTGTTAATTTCATTCTGAATCATCGTGGGAAGGCATATACTTAGGAACCTGAGCTTTCCAATCTGTAAAACGAAGATCATAATAATATTAAACTACCTGAGGACCAGATGAACTTTTAAAGCCCTTTCAAACTCTAGGAGACCTCTGTGATTTGCTCAGGATGACATAATGGTAATGGTTAATATTTCAGCAGCATTAACTATGTGTCAAGCACATGTTCCTAGTGCTTTACATGTATAATCTTGTTTAATCATCCAAGGATGCCATGAGATAGGTACTATTTTAATGCTTATTTTATAGATGAATAAAATGAAGCATGGAGAGATTAAATAACTTGCTCAATAAAACACACAAGGATAGAGTCTGGATTTGAACTTTGGAAGTCTGGTGTGACAAACCACATTCTTAATGTTTTCCCTCTAGCCAGGCCATGAAAAAGAGACTTAAACTAAACTGACTGCAATACAACCAGTGCATTTAAATGTAGCATTTAACACATCATGGCCACAGCAGGCAACATTCAGTCTATAGGTTCTCAAATCTGGCTGCACATTGCATGTTAGAGTATTTTTTAAAGAGTGGAGATTTTTAAAAATACAGACTTCTTAACTGTCATTCCCAGAAATTCTGTTTCAGTGGAAGAGTGGCTCAAGCTTCTTATTTCTAAAAAATTGAAGATAAATCTGATACAGAATCAAGATTGAGAATGTGCAGGAAGATAGGTGAACAAGCCATTTTTCTGTATTCAGTATGTGGCAAGTTAAACTTCTTTTCAAAGTAATTGGAAGGAATCTGGAGGGGAGGGAGGGAGGGAAGGAGGAAGAAAGGAAGGAAGGAATTTAAAAAGAGAAGGAGACGGAGTGGTTGGTTTGTTATGGAAGTATGAGCAATTCTCCCTAACTCCTGCAACACATCCTTGTGTCTAAGTGGGTTTCCTGCACATGGCGTAGATGGGAATTGCACATCTCCTGAGCCTTTGTTGCTTGGGAATGATGAATGGCATTGAGTAGGAGCTGTCTTGGTACCACTCAGTGGAGGAATCCATTTTCACCTTGACTCCATGAGGGACATACTTTTTCAGCAAAAAAGGAGGTGAATAGAACCCTTCACATCACCTAAGACAAAGTGAGAGGACTACACCACCTCTGGAAGAGAGAGTGTGGATGCAAGACAGTGCTTAGATGAGAAGTATGGAGTGGAGCGGCTGCATAGACTCCATAGTTGGCACCCAGGTGCACAGGGAAAGTAAAGCATCTGCATTTTCCAGAGCATTCCAGACACAAGCAGGTCTATAGAAACAGTCCATAAAGCCTACACTCAAAGCAAACTTTAGCCCTGATATACATAGAGCCAAAGAAATGTCTGAAAATAGCAATATGGGCTCATCTGATAGCCTGGGACATTGAAGAGCATGGACTATTGACAAGAAAAAGGGGAAGCCCAGAGAACAGATATCCTAACAGAAAATGTTCCCTGAACCACTCATGCAGAGGAGGAAACACTGAAAAGGGATATCAAATTCCAGTTTATGATAGCTCATAGGTTGTTATCTACATTAATGCTGAAGTTGGAAACTAGTTTTAATTGTAGGGTTTGGATTCAATCATTCTCAACAAATCATTCTATTATCTTTGTAAAGCTCTTAGTTAAAGAGACCCTCGAGATTACCAGACAGAGATACCTGGACCAAAGAGACCCACTCTGGACGTTACAGTTAGGGTTGGGTGCCCAACTTGAGTAAACAGAAAAGCTTAGAAAGCACTGCCTCAAGCTTGCTTTTGCTCTCAGTGTATAACCCATATATCGCCATCCCTCAAAGCCTGTGGAAAGATAACGGGTTAGCAAACATGAAGAAAAATCACTCCTTCTGTGAACAGGGTATTTTGAATTGAAAAAGATGGCATAATGCACTAGACTACAACATACATTCATCCTAGATTTGAATGGAGTGAAATCAATAGCTGAAATTGAGGAGGCATTTAGATTAAAAACAAGTAGATAATATTTTATAAATAAAGCTTTAATTAGCATTTATTCTTAAGTAAAATATTACAAATTTCACTTTCATTGTTACTTAACATCCCAGAATTCCTCACAAATGCCCGAGTACAAGGGCATTTGTATTCATGCAGAATATAGAGCCATAGATAAAAAGAGAAGAGCAGTTGATTGGTTTTTTTTCCCAAGAAATTGTTAATGTTACATTACATTTTATTGAACCAGCCTCAAAAAATAACAGAGCCTGAACATTATTATTGCAGTTATTACCTTTCCTTTCCAAGTGCCATATCTTGTTCTCTCTTGAGTTGATACATTCTGATTACTTTTGCTTATTTTAGAGATTTTCTTTTTTTAGTGAAAAATGCTCCACTAGAACCTCTTGTATTCAAATTTCTTCAAGTTATAACCACTTGCTATCAAATTTAAATAATCTCCCATATCTTATTGGAATCAGTGTGTTCATTTCCAACCTACACCTTCTATTTAATACATGGAATTGTTCCGTAGTGCCCTTTCTCTTTCACTACAAAGGACAAATGTGTCTTTCATTAGTCACAGTCGTAGCTCCAGCCCCACATCGCCCAAGGAATCAGGACAGCTGACACAACATCTGTGCAAATATGACTATGGCGGAATTGAGTGTGACTGAATGATTCCATGAGTCCAATTCACCTTGGATTAAGCTAGGGAACCAATTTCCAGGACCTTGAAAACAGCTGTCATGGAGCAGACAGGCCATTTAGCAAGAGGCACAGATATGGGGACACTGGCTTGGGCCATTTGCTTCTTTTCATTTCCAGAAAAGCTCCAGCAGCCCGTCCTGCTCCACCTTTCCTATCAGACTTATCATTGTTTTTTGAAACTGTGTTGCTCACCCTAGTGTGTGGATCTAATGATGCATCAAGTGTTTCTGTTTGTATGGGGGGTTTTTTTTGTTTTATGATTTGGGTTTTCTTGTTTTTGTTTGTTGTTGTTGTCATTATATTTATTGGTTGCTATTCAGAGAAGCTAAGGTCAGAGTTCTTTATGTTCGGCTTTAAGCTATTAGGCTCTTCTTTCCTATCTTTGATCAAAAGTATAATTTTGCATGGAAGAAATATAGAAATTGGATTAAAGTGTATCTTTGTGAGTTGTAGAAACTAGCTTGGGTTCAACAGGGGCAACTTGAGGGGGGGTGCTTTGGACACAGAAAAATCATGTCAGATCTAGGCTTCCCTGTTTGCACTCCTTTCTCTCCCCCATCCTGTCATCTTCAGCTGCTCGAAAAAAATATTAAATTACAGGTAACCAGAGTTGCTAGTGTCAAGAGAAATTGAGAGAGAATATCAGTAAAATATGTGTAACCAGTACATCTTATTTCACAGGCTGTATCTTGAATAACAGCCAACCTCATTCCAGGAGGGTCCCTAATGCAGTGTTCCAGCCCCCAGTGTCCATATTAACAGGAAATCAGTGTATCTGTTAGACCCCTTACACCTTTCATACATCTAATACTTCCGGGATGCTAAGTAGCCTGAGAAGGGAGTCCTGCTAATTCCTATCTCACTATTTTGCTACTTTGGAGCCAAAGGTTCTCCCTTAACGTTGGAGATTTTAGCAAGCATTACAAAAGCTGATTGATTTACGATGCACAGTCACACTAAAGGCATCTGAAGCCTAAGCAGCTTGGAAGTGACTTATTCTGCACCGATCCTGCTGTTTCTCCTGGTGCTTAGATATGGTCCTAAGTGATCAGGTGAGGCGAGGCATCCACCCATTCACACCCTGCCCGGGCTACAGTGGTTTTTCCAGGTTCCATGCCTTAGAATTCCAATCCCTTAATGGTGGGCTCAGCCAAGAAGTTCCACATCAACCTTACTGGGCTTCTAGTTGTAGCTCTTTAGATTCACTCCACAGCCTTTTCCCCAGATCAGGAGGCCCACCCTGAAATCCTGGAATGTTGGTGTCAGAAACCTCATGGTCCCAAAATTACCTGCCCACCCCTTCTTTCTCTTTTTTCTTTTTCTTTTTCTTTTTTTCTTTTTTTGACAGAGTCTCCCTCTGTTGCCCAGGCTGGAGTGCAGTGGCACGATCTCGGCTCACTGTGACCTCTGCCTCCCGGGTTCAAGCGATTCTCCCACCTCACCCTCGCAAGTAGCAGGGATTACAGGCATGCGCCACCACACCTCCTTCTTTCTATTTTTAGGCCCAAGCCTAGGGTCACATCCTACCACCTAATGAGTGAAATACTCTTCAGAGGAGGAAAACCCACTAACAACTGCTACTTGAGGATCTATAACTCCTACACCCCAAAGTCTGTTTAGATACAAGGCAGTCATCTGCTTTCATATATAATGTTTTCTTGAAAATGTGTATAACAGTCAAATATGATAACATTGAAAGATTTACTGGCATCAATTCATATGCACAAAAATATATTTAATTATGTTGTTAATATACATTGTGGTGAAAGTGGTCATTTCTGATAATAAGGAAATGGGGAGGGGTGAAGTGAGGAAACAAAGGCTGCTTTTCATAAGACAACAGAACTCTTTGTCTCTTTAAAATATGACCTTTTGCCAGGCACAGTGGTTTACACTTGTCATCCCAGCACTTTGGGAGGCCAAGGCAGGAGGATCACTTGAAGCTAGGAGTTCAAGACCAGCCTGGAGAACAAAGCGAGACTCCATCTCTTTCAACAATTTTAAAAATTAGCTGGGCACAGAGTCCCAGCTACTCAGGAGGCTGAAGTGGGAGGATCTCTTGCATACAGGAATCTGAGGCTGCAGTGAGCTATGTATGATTGTGCTACTGCACTCCAGCCTGGGCAACAGAGTGAAGCCCTGTCTGTAAAAACTAATAATGATAAGTAAATAAAATATGATTATATAAAAACAGAAAAATTAAGAATAAATACTACTTTGAGATAAAACAGAAAAGCTTTAGAGAGAAGCAAATCATATACATGGTCTCAAAACGGAATGGCTTTGGACTTCTCAGCAACAACGCTAGAAACCAGAGACACTGGAGAAATGCTTTCTAATTTTTGAAGAAAATGGTTTCGAAATTAGAATTCTATACCTGACCAAACTTACGTCTTACAGAAGGACAAGGACATCTTTAGGCATACAAGGGATATATTGGCCAAGTTAGTTTAGCAAGGCAGAAATTACTGTAGCCAGTTTAAGCCAAAAGGACTAGTTATGACGTAGTGAGAGCTCAAGACTGAGGGAAGGAAACGGATTGTGCTTCCAGTTGTGACACCCAGCTCCACAGCACAACGCTGCTCACACAAGCCATGAAACCAGGAGGCTACTGCCACCAGTGCCAGTTCCAACCTATGGCCTCTGCCATCACCAGGAAGTTGACAAATCAGGTGCTATGGTTGCACATTTAGACTCCAGAGTCCTGCTGTACTGCCGGGCCCAGAGCTGCACCAGCAAAGTAACAACCTCAGACCCTGGCTTTTTCCCAAATAATTCAGTTCTGGACCCAGATTTTGAATCTGGCACAGATGCAGTTGACTGGTGGAATCAAAACCACATGTCTGCAATCTCACAACTGGAAAATGACCTGAAAAATCTTCGTTAGGAATGCAGAATTTATAACGTGGGAAACTGCTAAAACAATGTTCGGAAACTGGAGCCAGCCTGAATAACAACTGACCACTATGTATAGACATACATTTTACCTCTTACAGACTCTCTTAGGACGCTATTAGAAGATACTAGTTTCTTCACCAAACATGAGAATGAATCAAGAAAGAGGTAGATACAAAATTAGGAAACTGGAAATCTAACATAAGAAGGCAGGCAAAGGAAATTCCCAAGATCCTAATGAAGGGAAGGTGTGAACAGAATCCAGCATAGAGCAGGAAGTTAGAGCCCGCACGGAGGTTGAGGAGGAATCGGAGAGATTGCCTGATGTGTTCAACTCTATTGAAAGTATCCTACAACTGTCAGAGAATTAAGATAGGCACGTGATTCACTGAACAACTTGGGTAGCTGGGGGAAAACAAGTATTAATCCTAAGAAAATAAAATGTTATATAAGAAAAGGAATATAATCTTAGTGTGCTACATGTCTAAGGTGTGAACTGTATTCACATGGACACAATGGTATAAACATGGAGTGCTGATAATGAAAACAACTATATTGGAACTATACTGGAAGAATGAAGAACATATATTGTTCAACTATATTGGAATTGAAGAAATGAAGTAAGGAAGGGAAGAGAATCTGTAGGAAGGCCAACACAGTGATCACCTGAGCTAGCTTCTCATTCTCCATGCAAGGAAGCCAAAGAAAATAGCTAACATTTTAAAATCAAGAAATAATGATATAGGCATTTATTTAGAATGTGGAAGCAAATACCAGAAAAAAAAAAGCAAAAATAAAAGTTGAAAATTTTTGCCTTAAGGGAGCAGGATTGTGGAGTAGAGAAGGGTTAGGATTGTTAATTTTTATTATAAGCCTGACAGTATTGTTTGACTTTTAACGTATATGTACACGTGTGCATGCACACACACACATACACTAAAATAAAAAGTAAATGTAGAGAACAGCATCTCTTGCTGTACCTTCATAGCCTTTCCCTCCCTAAGACTCATCCATCTCCTGTCTGTTTCTTTCCTTTCTATGATACACCTGCTCATTCTATAAACCATTCTCTCATCCTGTCAAGATGAAAAACTACATTGGCCACTGGCTGCTTCTGAAAATCAACCCTAGAGAAACTATAGAAGCCAGAGGGAAACATATTTGAGAAACTAATGACAAACCATAAAATAAAATAAAACACTGTGATAAGGCCCCAGGGGAGTCTGAAGACTCAGGATTGTTATATGTTGGGGGAGGGAAAAGAGAGAATTGCTTCAGCCTGGGGGGAAGGCAGCCATAGGTAGCTACTAGAAGGTCAAAGGGGAACAGCGTTTCTGTTTCTGTTCTGCCACGTGGACCATCACGGCCTGCCCAATCACCACAGAGATTGGTACCAGCAACCTAAGCTACAGGTGTCAGGAGGGTACTACAAGTGCAGTACCAAAGCCCTGCAGGAAGAAGGAGGAATGAAAGGCAGGCGTGTGCCAACCAGTATCCTGGGCATTCACTGCTGTACTACTCCCATTAGGGAACGTGAATGAAATCTATGCAGACTGCTTGTAAAGAGTTTAAATATGAAACATGGACTAGAGACATTGTGTCCGGAATCGGTTCCTTCCAGTGGGTTCTTGGTCTCACTGACTTCAAGAATGAAGCTGCGGACCCTCGCAATGAGTGTTACAGTTCTTAAAGATGGTGTGTCCGAAGTTTGTTCCTTCAGATGCTCAGATGTGTCCGGAGTTTCTTCCTTCTGCTGGGTTTGTGGTCTCGCTAACCTCAAGAATGAAGCTGCAGACCTTCACCGTGTTGCAGCTCTTAAAGGTAGCGCATCCAGAGGTGTTCATTCCTCCTGGTGGGTTCGTCGTCTTGCTGGCTTCAGAAGTAAAGCTGCAGACCTTCACAGTTAGTGTCACAGTTCCAAAGCGCAGACCCAAAGAGGGAGCAGCAGCAAGATTTATTGCAAAGACCAAAAGAACAAAGCTTCCACAGTATGGAAGGGTACCTGAGCGGTTTGCTGCTGCTGGCTCCCGTGGCCAGCTTTTATTCCCTTATTTGGTGCCGCCCATGTCCTGCTGATTGGTCCATTTTACAGAGTGCTGATTGGTCCATTTTACAGAGTGCTGATTGGTGCGTTTTTACAGAGTGCTGATTGGTGCGTTTACAAACCTTTAGCTAGACACAGAGTGCTGATTGGTGCGTTTTTACAGAGTGCTGATTAGTGCATTTACAAACCTTTAGCTAGACACAGAGCACTGATTGGTGCGTTTACAATCCTTTAGCTAGACAGAAAAGTTCTCCAAGTTCCCACCTGACCCAGCAGCCCAGGTGGCTTCACCTCTCAACATGATTTGGCCGTGGTGGGAAAATTGGGATAATCACCATCAGTTCTTCAGGCCCTGAGGTTCCATCCCCTGGGCAGTTTCCAAAGTTTTAATTCATTTGGAGGTACATAAACTGCAGGCTGGGATTTAGCCCTTTTCCAACACATAGCCGTGGCTAGTAACTAATAATCCAAGAGGAAGAGTTTTCAAGACAACATAATCAAAAAGCCATATAAAGAATACAACTATCACATAAGAAAGACAACAAACTCAACAACATAAGCCATCTAAATTAGGATTATGAGAAGATTGTGAGATTATGAGAAGATTATCAGCACTCTGTAAAAATGCACCAATCAGCACTCTGTGTCTAGCTAAAGGTTTGTAAACGCACCAATCAGCACTCTGTAATTAATATAGTGATGATAAATATATGAAGAGGTTAAGGCTGATAATCAGCAATATGAAGCAAGAATGAGAACACATAAAAAAGTACCAAGTTGAATATTAAGGATGGGATATATAACAGTTGAAGTAAATAAAACAATGAATAATGTATATAGCCAAGTGGATAAAGGTGATGAATAAAGCAGTGAGTTGGAAGAACAGATGGAGAAGCTCTCTTAGAGGTCAGCAAGAAAGGGTGAAGAGACAGGAAATGTAAAAGAAAGCTAGGAGATGTGGAGGGTGGAAGGAGAGTGCAAATACTTGTGAGCAGTGGCTTTGTAATGTGTCAACGTGACTAGACTGAACTGTGCTTCCTAAAATTCCCTTTCCTGTATATTTCTAATTAGGGTGGGCCACAAGAGAGAACCCTGTGAAAGGTTTGCTGGGCATTAGCCCTTGTCTGCCAGCTCTCCTTCTTTGTGGGAAGCATCAGTGGAGCCTCCAGTTGCTCTACCTTCCCCACTAAGCTTCTCTGACTCTGGGCCAGGTGTGTGCTTGGCAACTATGATGCAGGACTCCAGTTTCTGCAATAAACAAACATGCACAATCAAAGTTAAAGGCAATAATCACTAATACAAATTGTAGTCTGTCCTCGTGGGCTCCAGTTTGTGGGTTCCAGCTTGTTCTTGCTCACCTCCACTTTACTTCACCTCCCCTTCCCAACTGTCTGCTCTGTATTTCAAAGCTCTAGCATTGGAAGTACAGGTAATCTTCTTACAGAGGCTGCTTGACCAGCTCTTACAATTTCATTAGGTCAAATCCCTGCGATGTATATATTCCCATTCACCATTCCTATCATATTGATATTGTCTCAAATTTTAATTATAAGTTGTTTTGGATAAATTGTAAGTATGGTTTTTTTCTCACTTTAGTGAGGATATACAAACTTTACCAAGGAATTTTATCACCTTTACCATATTTCTTAAATATTAAAGATTGCTTCAAACATGTTTTCAGTATGTATCTTTTTGTGGCGAAACTTCATTCTTGGTCTTATCTAAAGTATATATATTAGGCCATCATAGTTGAAAGACAATTTGGCTGGATATACAATTCTAGGTTCAAATTTATTTTCCTTTGAGACAGGATCCCACTCTGTTACTCAGGCTGGAGTGCAGTCGCACGATCACGGCTCACTGCAGCCTCCACCTCCTCAGGGTTAAGGTGATCCTCCCACCTCAGCTTCCAAAGTAGCTGGTACTATAGGAATGCATCACCATGCCTGGCTAATTTTTATATTTTTTGTGGAGACAGGGTTTTGCCATGTTGCCCAGGCTGGTCTGGAACTCCTGGGCTCAAGCAATTCACTTGCCTCCACCTCCCGAAGTGCTGGGATTACAGGCATGAGCCACTGCGCCTGACCTTTCCTTTGATATTTAAAACACATTTTTTCCCTTTTGTCGTCTTCTGTGTACTGTTCAAATCTTATTTTTGTTCTAATTGCTGATCTCTTCACTATCTCTGGAAGTTTTTTGAATTCTTTCCTTATCTTTGATGTTCTTAAATTCTATTGTGATGTTTCCAGGTTTAGACTTTTTCCCATCTCTTATTTTTCTCTCTTTCTGAAGCTGGGTATAATAGGGTTCATTCAGAGAAGCAGATCCATTAGGATATATTTCTGCAAGTTCATATATATGCATTCATATATATAAATATGAACAATAACTAATATATATACATGAGTCCACTAAATTGTCCAGTTAGGATGAATATACAGATATTGATAAATTTAAGAAATTAACAGGAATAAATAAACATGAGTAAGGGTCTTCAGGCTAGCCATAATGAAACCAAAATAGAATATATAATTTTCAAGCCAGTAGAAAACAAAAGAAAGTGGAGTAAATTGAAAATATAAAATATGGAATAAATAATTCTTAATATAATAAAAATTACAACAAATATAAATGGTTTTAGTTCACAAATGAAAAGACAAATACTCTCTATGTTATTAAGAAGTAAAAATGCAATCCAAAAATATGTTTTCTATGACAAACATTCTTAAAACCAAAAGACATAATAAGTTTGAAAATGAAAGAGTGAAAGACAAAAAAAAAACAAAAACCAGAAACCGAAAGAATTCCAGAATTGCATTCATAATAGCTGACAAAAGAGAATTTAATGTGGGGGGTAAATAAAACAACAGTGAGAAGATATAACCATTGCAAATATACATATGCACCTAATAATAGGTTACACTAACTGTATAGTAGAGAAACAGATAAATCACTGGGAGTTTTTTTTTAACACCCAACTATCAAAAATTTACTAAGCAGTATGTTGGGAGCCTCTTAGACTATCCACCTCTGCGTTGCTTTGCTGTTCGTGATATGAGACAGACAGTTGCCACGGGTGTCATCAAAGCAGTGGACAAGAAGGCTGCTGGAGTTGGCAAGGTCACCAAGTCTGCCCAGAAAGCCCAAATGAATATTACCCCTAATACCTGCAACCTCAGTCTTAATCAGTGGTGAAGGAATGGTCTCAGAACTGTTTGTTTCAATTGGCCATTTAAGTTTAATAGTAAAAGACTGGTTAATGAAAGCAATGCATCATAAAACCTTCAGAAGGAAAGGAGAATGTCTTGTGGACCACTTTGGTGTGTATGTGTCTGTGTGTGTGGCAGTTTTAAGTTATTAGTTTTTAAAATTAGTACTTTTTAATGGAAACAACTTAACCACAGCTCTCTCACAGAATTTTGAGACACATTAAAACAAATTTTAATGAGAAAAAAAGTACTAAGCAAAAATTAAACAGATTTTTATCTAAACATTATAATTAATAGACTCATACTATTAATTATATTGTTCAGATCTTTAATATGTATGTTCCAATGGTATGATTTATATATATATATATGCTACAATAGTTTATGCAACAAATAGCACATACATATTTTTAGAATCATGCACATATTTACACTAGTAGACTAGGTTTACAGAAAGTTCCAATAAACCCAGGGACAATATTATGCAGATTTTTTATTGAAACAAGATCTAACTCTGTCACCCAGGCTGGAGTGCAGGGACATGATCATAGATCATTGCAATCTCTAACTCCTGGGCTCAAGCCATCCCTACCACCTCAGTCTTCTGAATAGCTAGAACTACTACAGATGCACATCACCCCACCCAACTATTTTTCAAGAATTTTTTTGTACACACAGGGTCTTGCTATGTGCCCAGTCTGGTCTCAAATTCCTGGGCTCTAGGGATCCTCCCTCTTCTGCCTCCCAAAATGCTGGGATTACAGGCATGAGCCACTGCACCCAGACTTCATGCAGATTTTATCTTCTAAACATGAGATAATACAAGAAATTAATAATACAAAACTTTTACAAATGTCTCAAATTCTGAAGGTAACATATTGCTAAATAACTCACAGGTTAAAAATGAAATTATAATCAAAATGAGTAAATACCTAGAATTGAATGAACTTGGAAATACAAAATATATGGTACATAACTAAAGTATTATTTAGAAAGAACATTTATACCTTTAAATATGTTTATGAAGAAACAATAAAAGTTGAAACAAAGTATGCTAAGCATCCAACTCAAGAAGTTATAAAAAAGAACATCAAAGCAAACCCAAAGAAGAAAAAAGATATAATAAAGGAAACAATATAATACATTTTTTAAGTAGAAGAGATTTATAAAACTAAAAAGCTCTATTTTTGAAAAGATTGCTAAGATAAACTTTTGATAAAAGTGAATAAGGAGAAAAGGAGACAACAAAGGTAAATAAAACGCTGATCAAAAAATAAAGATAGGAAAATAATTACAGGTTTCAAAAGAGATAAAATAAATAAATTCCTGGAAAATATATAAAATGCCAAACTAACCCAAGAAGAAAAAGGAAACTTAAAATAGACTCACAAGGATTAAGGAAATTTAATTGGTAGTTAAATCTCCAAACCAAAGATCTCCAGGCCTGCCGGCATGCTTTCAAAATGAACTCTATCAAACTTGGTTTTTGTTGTTGTTGTTGTTGTTTTGAGACAGGGTCTCGCTCTGTCACCCAGGCTGGAGTGTAGTAGCATGATTGTAGCTCACTGCAATCTTGAACTTCTGGGATTAAAGGATCTTCCTGCCATAGCCTCTGGAGTAGCTGGGACTACATACGGGTATGAGCTACCTCATGCCGGCCTCTATCAAACTTTCAAAAACTAATTCCTGTTTTATAAATTATTCCAGAAAATGCAAAAAAAAAAAAGAGTTTCAATTCATTTTATAAAGTTAATATAATCTCATTTTCCTTATTGCTTCTGGATTTTAGCCATAGTTTAGAAACTTTTCCCAACTCACAGATTGTAGAGGACTTCATCCTACCTTCTCTAGAACTTGTGTGATTTCATTTTATTTTTACATTTATCTCTTAGAGCCATTTGAAATTTATTCCAGTATGTGCTATAAATAATAGGTCTGATATTCTCTATTCCCATGTAACTACACACAGCTCACAGGCGCCAATTGTTAAATTTTCAGGGATTTTGTGAGCTGATTGTTAAACATAGCCATTATTACAAAATAAATTATATCAACTTAAAATGAAATAAATCATGTTAGAAATGAAGCTAATAAATATTCACAACTTATCATTCATATTACTTTGATACATTTTACTACTATCAAGACTTCTGAGGTTATTTATATCTATCGTGTCCACACAATGGACATACTATAAGCATGGAATGCTGCTATGCATCTTTTCCCAAGTCTTTATTTCATGATGCCATACTGATAGCATGAAATTGGCTATGGTGGGAGCATTTACATCACAAAAGTTAGTGATGCTAAAATCAGGGCTTAATTTATTATTTCATTGATTGTGTAGAACAAGGATCACTATGGCCAGTAGGCCAAATCCAGCCTGCCAGCTGTTTGTGTAAATAAAGTTTTATTGGAACACAGCCACAGCTCTTTGTTCACTATCATCCATGGCTGCTTTTATGCTTTCATGGCAGTTGAATAGTTGCAACAGATACCATATGGACCAAAAAGCATAAAATATCTCCTATCTGGCCTTTACAGAAAACCCTAGTCTAGACTTTAAAAGATAACAGAGAAAATGTTAGCAGCATAGATTAATTTTAAAAGTGTATGATAGGCAGTCTCAGTATGAGGGCAGCTGAAGCAGCTGGCTCAATTAAGATGAGGCTTCTGCTACTTCTCCTGGTGGTGTCGGCAGTGGTGGCCAACCTGGGCAGCATGCCCAGCAAGAGATTAAAGATGCAATACACCACAGGGCCACCGCTCAAGTTCTAGATTTCTGTTTCCTAAGGTTACAGGTGGGTGTTTGAGGAGCACATGTGGGTTATTAGCCAGCAGTACCCAGACATCACACTGAAGGAGAGAATTACCTCCCTCAACCAATATATAGACACATAGCATCTTTCCTGACAGCCTTCAGTCTATTACTAATAGGGTTAATAATTGTTGTCAAGGATCCTTTTGCTTTCTTTGGCATACAAGCTCCTAGCCTTCGGTGAAATACATAGCATAGATAAAAAACAATCACAACTTCTGGAAATCAAGGACACACTTAGAGAAATGCAAAATGCACTGGAAAGTCTCAGCAATAGAATCAGACAAGCGGAAGAAAGAACTTCAGAGCTCAAAGACAAGGTTTTTGAATTAACCCAATCCAACAAAGACAAAGAAAAAATAATTTAAAAAATGGACAAACGCTCCAAGAAATTTGGGATTATGTTAAATGACCAAACCTAAGATTAATTGGTGTTCCTGAGGAAAAAGAGAAATCTAAGTTTGGAAAACATATTTAAGGGAATAATTGAGGAAAACTTCCCAACTTTGCTAGAAATCTAGATATCCAAATACAAGAAGCTCAAAGAACACCTGAGAAATTTATAGCAAAAAGATAATCACTTAGGCACATAGTCATCACGTTATCTAAAGTCAAGACGAAGGAAAGAATCTTAAGAGGTATGAGGCAAAGCACCAGGTAACCTCTAAAGGAAAACCTAGCAGATTAACAGCAGATTTCTCAGCAGAAATCCTACAAGCTAGAAGAGATTGGGGCCCTATCTTCAGACTCCTTAAACAAAACCATTATCAGCCAAGAGTTTTGTGTCCCGCAGAACTAAGCTTCATAAATGAAGGAAAGATACAGTCTTTTTCTGACAAACAAATGCTGAGAGAATTCACCAGTATCAAGCCAACGCTACAAGAATGGCTAAAGGAGCTCTAAATCTTGAAACAAATCCTTGAAATACACTAAAATAGAACCTCCTTCAAGCATAAATCTCACAGTGCCTACAAAACAAAAACACAATTAAAAAAAAACAGATATTCAGGCAACAAACAACAAATAGCACCACGAATAGAACAGGACCTCACATCTCACTACTAAACGTTGAATGAAAATGGCCTAAATGCTCCAGTTAAAAAATACAGAATGGCAGAATGGATAAGAATTCACCAACCAAGTAACTACTGTCTTTAAGAGACTCATCTAACACATAAGGACTCACATAAACTTAAGGTAAAGGGATAGAAATAGACATTTCATGCAAATGGACATCAAAAGCAAGCAGGAGTAGCTATTCTTATATTAGGCAAAATGAGCTTTAAAGCAATGGCAGTTAAAAAAAGACAAAGAGGGACATTATATAATGATGAAAGGACTTATCCAACAGGAAAGTTTCACAATTCTAAATATATATGCACCTAACACTGGAGCTCCCAAATTTATAAAACAATTACTATTAGGCCTAAGAAATGAGATAGACAGCAACATAATAATAGTGGGTGACTTCAATACTCCACTGACAGCACTAGACAGGTCATCAAGACAGAAAGTCAACAAGGAAACAATGGATTTAAACTATACCCTAGAACAAATGGACTTAACAGATATTTACAGAACATTCTGCCCAGCAACTGCAGAATATACATTCTATTCATCAGCACATGGAACATTCTCCATGTTAGACCATATGATAGGCCACAAAATGAGTCTTAATACATTTAAGAAAATTGAAATTAAATCAAGTACTCTCTCAGACCACAGTGGAATAAAATTGGAAATCAACTCCAAAGGAACCCTCAAATACATGGAAATTAAATAACCTGGTCCTGAATGATCATTGGGTCAACAATAAAATCAAGATGAAAATTTTAAAATTATTTGAACTGAATGATAATAGTGACACAACCTATCAAAACCTCTGGAATACAGCAAAGACCTTGCTAAGAGGAAAATTCATAGCATTAAATGTCTATATCAAAAAGTCTGAAAGAGCACAAATAGACAATCTAAGGTCACACCTCAAGGAACAAAACAAACAAGAATGAGCCAAACCCAAACCCTGCAGAAGAAAATAAATAACAAAGATCAGAGCAGAATTAAATGAAATTAAAACCAAAAAATACAAAAGATAAATGAAACAAAAACCTGGTTCTTTGAAAAGATAAATAAAATTGGCCGGGTGTGGTGGCTTACGCCTGTAATCCCAGCACTTTGGGAGGCTGAGGTGGGTGGATCACGAGGTCAGGAAATCAAGACCTTCCTGGCTAACACGGTGAAACCCCATCTCTACTAAAAATACAAAAAAATTTAGCCAGGTGTGGTGTCGGGCTCCTGTGGTCCCAGCTACTCAGGAGGCTGAGGCAGGAGAATGGTGTGAACCTGGGAGGCAGAGCTTGCAGTGAGCCGAGATCGTGCCATTGCACTCCAGCCTGGGCGACAGAGCAAGACTCCATCTCAAAAAAAAAAAAAAAAAGAAAAGATAAATAAAATTGATAGACCACTAGTGAGATTAACCAAGAAAAGAAGAGAGAAGATCCAAATAAGCTCAATTAGAAATGAAACAGGAGATATTACTACTGATACCGGAGAAATACAAAAGATTATTCAAGGCTACTATGAACAGCTTTACACACATAAACTAGAAAACCTAGAGGAAATGGGTAAATTCCTGGAAATATGCAATCCCCCTAGATTAAAACAGGAAGAAATAGAAATGCTATTCTATTCTAAAACCAATAACAAGCAGCAAGATTGAAATGGTAATTTTAAAAACCTCCAACAAAAAAAGTCCAGGATCAAATGGATTCACAGTTGAATTCTTTCAGACATTCAAAGAATTTGTACCAATCCTATCGATATTATTCCACAAGATAAAGAGGGAATCCTCCTTAAGTCATTCTATGAAGCCCGTATCACTCTAATACAAAAATCAGGAAAGGACATAGCAAAAAAAGAAAACTACAGACCAATATCCCTGATGAATACAAATGCAAAAATCCTTAACAAACTATTAGCTAACCAAATCCATCAGAATATCAAAAAGATAATCCACCATGATCAAGTGGGTTTCATACCAAAGATAGTTTGACATATGCAAGTCAATAAATGTGATACACTACATAAACAGAATTAAAACCAAAAATCACATTATCATCTCAATCAATGCAGAAAAAGCATTTGACAAAATCTAGCATTCCTTTATGATTAAAACCCTCAGCAAAATCAGCATAGAAGGGACATATCTTAACGTAATAAAAGCTATCTATGACAAACCCACAGCCGAAGTAATACTGAATGGGGAAAAGTTGATAGCATTCCCCCTGAGAACTGGAACAAGACAAGGATGTCCACTCTCACCACTTCTATTCAACATAGTACTGGAAGTCCTAGCCAGAGCAATTAGACAAGAGAAAGAAATAAAGGGCATCCAAATTGGTGAAGAGGAAGTCAAACTGTCGCTGTTTGCTGATGATATGATAGTATACCTAGAAAACCCTAAAGACTCCAACAGAAAGCTCCTAGAACTAATAAATGAATTCAGCAAAGTTTCAGGATACAAAATTAATGTACACAAATCAGTAGCTCTGCTATACACCAACAACAACCAAGCTGAGAATCAAATCAAGAACTCAACCCCTTTTACAATAGCTGCCAAAATAATAATAATAATAATAATAAATAACACTTTGGAATATACCTAACAAAGGAGATAAAAGACCTCTACAAGGAAAACTACAAAACACTGCTGAAAGAAACAAATCTGGAGGCATCACATTATCTGACTTCAAACTATACTATAAAGCCATAGTCACCAAAACAGCATGGTACTGGTAGAAAAATGAGAGCAGCAGTAGAAAGACCAATAGTGGCAGCAGGTGGCAACAGAGTCTCCACCTGGACAAGTCCAGCAGCTGAGGTGGCAGTCGTGAGTATGACACTAGTGGGGGCAACTACACTGGCGTCTTGCATAGTTATAGCTTCCCAGCACCAAAAATTACTCGGGCAGGGCGAGTCGCGCAGCAGCTCCTGGGGTGGAGGGGTGAAGGGGTGGAGTCGCTTTCCTCTGGGGCCACCTCTTCAGCTCTTGTCCTAGCTGAGTGAGGAAGCGGTGGAGGATGGCCTGTTTCATGAGTTCAAAGGCTTCAGGGATGTAAGGGTCAAAATCAATCAGCTGTCGGGTTCTGGCAGTGGAGATGAGCTGGTAGCCTTTGTGAACCTCCCACAGCCAGAGGACGCGCGGGTGGCCAAGCACACAGAGGCGGCCTGGTGCTCTCTGACTTGCCTCTGAAGACAGAAGCTGTGCATGGGAGCAGGCACCACAGCTGCTCCCCTTTAGACAAAGATATTTATCCTCCATCAGCCAGTGTGGTGGGAGCCTCTGTAGGTGGTCACCCGCACTCCCCTGGAGGTGGTGGAGGCCAGAGATCACTTTCCTCTGGTGGTGCGGCTTTGGGATACAGAGATAGGTCTGCAGCAGATGGCTCTTGGCCGCCTACCCTCTCCACCTCTGCCACCATTGCCTAGAGAGCTGGAAAGAAAAGGAGACTATCTGTTCTATGAGAGAGTGCCCCCAGCATACAGTCTTAAACCAAGGGAGGGAGCTGAAGCAGATGCTGCTCCTTTCAGAAAAGTGGATGAGATGTCACCCAAGGATCATCATAGAACTAACCAGATGCTTTTCTTGGGCAACCTAGACACAACTGTAACAGAGAGTGACATAAGAAGGGCGTTTGATTGCTTTGGAGTCATCACAGAAGTAGATATCAAGAGCCCTTTTCTTGGCCAGAGCAGTAATTACAGCCTTCTCAAATTTGAGAACCTAGATATGTCCCACAGGGCCAAATTAGCAATGTTCAGCAAAATTATAATTTGGAATCCTATCAAAATTGGTTATGGTAAAGCTACACACACCACCCACCTCTGGGTGGGTGGCCTGAAACCTTGGATGCCTCTTGCTGCCCTGACATGAGAGTTTGACCAACTTGGCACCATACACCCCACAGACTACAGAAAGGTGACAGTTGGGTGTATATCCAGTATGAAAGCCTGGATGCAGTGCACGCTGCCTGGACCCATATGCAGGACTTCCCACTTGGTGGCCCAGATCACCACCTTAGACTAGACTTTGCAGACACCAAACGTCGTTACCAGCAACAATATATGCAGCCTCTGCCCTTGACTCATTATGAGCTGGTGACAGATGCTTTTGGACATCAGGCCCTTGACCCTTTGAGGGGTGCTTAGGATAGGACACCACCCTTACTATACAGAGATTGTGATAGAGACCTTTATCCTGATTCAGATTGGGTGCCACCCCCACCCCCAATCGGAGAAGGCAGCACTGGGACTGCAGCTACTGCTGTGCCTGCTTACGAGCCACTGAATAGCCTGGATCACAGGCGGGATAGTTGTTGGTCTTTGGACAGGGACAGAGGTGATCAAGATCTGCCCAGCAGCAGAGACCAGCCTGGTAAGCAAAAGCTGCCTGATGAGAGTGGAGGACGGCATCTCGATAGGTCTCCTGAGAGTGACTGCCCACAAAAATGTCACTGCGCTCCTTCTTCTGACCACAGTCCAGAACTGAGCAGTAGCCTGGATCCTTACAACAGCGACAATGATCCATCTTCCCGTCTTCTCTTGGAAATGCCCTCTCTGATCAGAGACGGATGAGGTAGTTTGGAGAAGAGCCAGGATGACAAGCGAGACCATAAAAACTCTGCCTCAGCTGAGTGGATAGGAAGCACCACTGAGGGGAAAAACCTTCTGAAAAAAGAAGACCACACTGATGGGAGTGGACCTAGCACAAACACTGCTTCCTGGAAGCTGAAGTCCCCTTCCCAGAAACAGGATGAGGGGACAGCCCCTGTGGCAGCAGCCTCTCCCAAACTCTGTTTGGCCTGGCAGGGCATGCTTCTACTGAAGAACAGCAACTTTCCTTCCAACATTCCAACATGCAGTTGTTGCAGGGTGACCTCCAAGTGGCTAGCAGTCTTCTTGTGGAGGGCCAAAGTGGCCCAGCTCAGGATCACTCAGTGTCTCTGTTTAGACCAGCCCAAGTTGGATGAAGTAACTCGATGCATCAAAGTAGCAGGGCCTAATGGTTATGCCATTCTTCTGGCTGTGCCTGGAAGTTCTGACAGCCGGTCCCCCTCTTCCTCAGACACTGTCACTTCTACTAAGAGGCTGCTTAGGAGCCTTGTGTCCTATTTAAAGCAAAAGCAGGTACCCAGGGTGATCAGCCTGGTGAGGGGGGCACAACAAAGACAAGGAAAACGCCGGGATCCTTCTTGCCTTCCCACCTTGTGAGCTCTCCCACCAATTCCTGGATTCCAAGGCACTGGCTAAATCTGAAGAAGATTACCTGGTCATGATTATTGTCCATGCAAAACTGGTTGAACAGCAGATGGAGATGTGGAATTCAAAGCTCTAATGGACCTTTTTGAAGAGAAATTGTGGCTTATGTGGAATTTACGTGGCCCTCTGATGGAAGAAAGGTAATCTATTTAGTATTTGTGCATTTCACTAAAATGGCAGCTTAAAGTTTTGTATCTGCCATTGTGATGCCAATGCCAGTGTTTTAAGTGGGGAAAAAAATGACCTGTTTGCTTTGTGCTATGTACATAAGATTTCTAGAAGAGTAAAGAAAAACCTTTTTGATGGCTCACACAGCTTAAGAGTAGCTGTCTCTCAAACATGTACTCACAGTTGAGCTGCTTTTGTTTTATTCTAAATAAATTGTTTCTTTTGAAGAAAAAAAAGAAGTAGGCACACAGACCAATGGAACAGACTAGAGAACCCAAAATAAAGCCAAATACTTACAGCCAACTGATCTTTGACAAAGCAAACAAAAACATAAAGTGGGGAAAGGACACCCGATTCAACAATTGGTGCTGGGATAATTGGCAAGCTACATGTAAGAGAATGAAACAGGATCCTCATCTCTCACCTTATACAAAAATCAACTCAAGATGGATCAAGAACTTAAATCTGAGACCTGAAACCATAAAAATTCTAGACAATAACATCAGAAAAACACTTCTAAACATTGGCTTAGGCAAAGATTTCATGACCAAGAACCCAAAAGCAAATGCAACAAAAACAAAGATAAATAGGTGGGACTTAATTAAACTAAAGAGTTTTTGCATGGCAAAAGAAACAATCAGCAGAATAAACAGACAACCCAGAGAGTGAGAGAAAATCTTCACAGTCTATACATCTGACAAAGGATTAATATCCAGAATCTACGAGGAACTCAAACAAATTAGAAAAAAACAAACAATCGCATCAAAAAGTGGGCTAAAGACATGAATAGACAATTCTCAAAACAAGATATACAGATGGCCAACAAACATATGAAAAAGTGCTCAACATCACTAATGATCAGGGATATGCAAATCAAAACCACAGTGCACTAACACCTTACTCCCACAAGAATGGCCATAATAAAAAAATAATAGATGCTGGCGTGGATGCGGTGAAAAGGGAACACTTCTACACTGCTGGTGGGAATGTAAACTAGTACAACCACTATGGGAAACAGTGTGGAGAACAGTTTGGAGACCTTGTAGAACTACCATTTGATCCAGCAATCCCACTACTGGTTATCTACCCAGAGGAAAAGAAGTCATTATTCGAAAAAGATACTTGCACACTCATGTTTATAGCAGCACAATTCATAATTGCAAAAATATAGAACCAGCCCAAATGCCTATCAATCAACAAGTGGGTAAAAGAAACTGTGGTGTGTGTGTGTGTGTGTGTGTGTGTGTGTGTGTATATATCACATATATATATATGTGATGATTGATGAGTGCACCAAAATCTCAGAAATCACCACTAAATAACTTATTCATGTAACCAAACACTACTTGTTCCCCAAAAACCTATTGAAATAAAAAATAAAGTATACTATTAAGATTGTTTAATTTGTATATTTGTAGCTGTTACATTGTGAATAGCAAAAAAAAATGGCAAATAATCTCCCAATATTTAAAAGGTATTATCCAATGCAGCAAGGAAGTCACATCTTTGATAAACAAGTCAATATTCAATGTCTTTGTCATTTTACTCTATATGGTATGTTAAATGAAAATATCAACTGACATTCATGTGACAATTCATGTGACATTCATGTAACTTATCAATTACAATCATAAATTGGTTATGGATAGAAAAGTTCAGCAAAAATCAAGAAAAGCATTCTGTGAGAATTTATGAATCACTTAGAATTTATAATAGAAAGAATTGTATATTTTATTATTATTTTTAAATGCTTGCTAAACATCCTTTCTATCAGTAAAATTTATACTATACATACATACACACACATATATATATGCACATACATGTGTATTAAATATTTACCAGGCCAACGCCAGCTACACAGCATCCCAGTTCCACTTATTAAAAAACTTTATCACCCTAGTTTAAAGTGAACAGCACAATAGAACTATTACCTATGGTACCTACTCAGAACTATAATGCAAGGAATAATATTTTAAGTTTGATCAGCTGAATTCCATTGATACATATTGTGCAGAATTTTTCCTAGTTGTATTAATCTTTCTAAAGTAACCACAATCCTTCCTATATTTTTTAAAATACTTGTTTTTTAAAATGTATCTTTTCCTTACTGATTTGAGAGGCTGTCTTTATTGTATACTAAATTTCCAAATGCACTTCTACTTTATTTCTCATTTTTCTATTTTTTGTCCCATTAGTCTGTCTGCCTATTTGTGTGTCAATACCAAATTATGTTAATTATAAAGGGTTTATGGTATATTCTAATTTTTGGTAAAAGAAACTCCTCCCACTCTCACTTGATTGCTCTTCTTTTTCAGGGTGTTTGGCTATTCTTGTTTGATGTCCTTTCAGGTAAATTTTATAATCAACTTGTCTATTTGGGGGTTGTGGGGATGAAATCTGATTATATTCTTATTGGGTATTTCACAAGTTTATAAATTAAAATAGTGAGAATGTTATTTTTTATGATGTTGAGTTTTTCTGTCCAAGAACAAGGTACATTTTTTCATTTGTTGCAATCAACTTTTGTAATTTTCAAGTGTATTTTTCTCATGTAGGATTTGGATACTTGTAATTAAGTTTATAACTTGGCACTTACTTTCTTTGTTATATCATAAATGAGAGGATTCTCTTCCATTATATTTTGTAATGGGTTTTGTTTATATTACAAAAGCAATTGATTTTTAAATGTTAATTTTGTGAGCTGCTACGTTACTATTTTTTTATTTGAGGTAAGTTTTTATCAATTGTTTTGGATTTTCCAGATATATAATCATGTCATCTGAAAATATCTCTTTACTTCCAATTACTGTATCCTCCAGTTGTTTTCTCTTATCTAATTACAATGGTCAATAGCTTCAAAATAATGTCATATAGGAGTAGAAATTGGTCCCTTTCTAGAACCTGACTTTAGTGGGAAAGTTTTCAGAGTCTCCTTATTAAGATGCTAGGTTTGGGGCTGAATTATATTTATCATTGAGGAAGTGTAGTAGGGCAAATAGTGGCCTCAAATATCAGGTCCTATTTCCTAAAACCTGTAAGTGTTACCTCATATGGCAAAGGCTTTGCGGACATGATTAAATTAAGGATTTTGAGATAGAGAGATTATCCTTGATTATGTGAGAGGGCCCTAAATGCAATCACATGAGAGGAAGACAGAGGGAAATTTTACATATGCAAAGAAGAAAAAGGCAATGTGACCATGGTGGCATAGACGGGGGAGATGCAGCCACAAGCCAAGGAATGCCAAAAGGTGGAAGAGGCAAGAAACAGATTCTCCCCTGGAGCCTCCATAGGCAGTGCAGACCAGCCAACACCTTTGTTTTGGCCCAATGATACTCATTTTGAACTGCTTCTTATTAAAAAAAAAAAACCTCTTGTCTCCAAAACTATGAAAAAATAGATTTGTTGTTTTAAGCCACCTATTTTATGATAATTTGTTCCAGCATCCTCAGGAAACTATGACAGGAAATATCCAATAAATCTCTTTTTTTAAGTCTTTTTAACATAACTAATAACATTATTAAATGTCTCTTCTCCATCTGTGGATACAATAGTAACTTTTTTCTCATCTTTATTAATATGATGAATTATATTGACTTATTTCCTTGGATTAAATCACCTTTATATTCCTGGAATAAATTCCACTAAGTAATGATGTATTTTTTTTTAACATTCTGTTGGGTTGTCTTTGCTGATCTTTTAAGATTTTTGCATCAATACCCATAAGTGAGACTGGCGTGGGGTTTGTTTTGATTTTTCTTTTATTGGTGCAACCTGTCTCAAGTTTTGAGATCAATGTCATGCTCAATTCATAAAGCAAATTCAGAAGTTTAATTTTCTATTCTCAGCAATAATGTAAGTAGTATTATTATTAGACGATTTTCAAGGTTTGGCAGAATTCTATGCAAACATCTGAGGTTGGTGCTTTTTACTATGGGGAAACTCATTAATTACTTTTTGATATTTATATTTCTTCTGTGATATTGATCAGTATAGACTTTCTGTCTCTGTCAATTTTGAAAACATATTTATCTGTAAAAATTATCCACTTCACTTTGGTATTTATATAATATTTAATTTATATATATAATATATATAACATACATTTATATATATAATATATATAACATACATTTATATATTATATATGTATTATTTTAGAGACAGGGTCTTGCTCTGTCACCCAGGCTAGTGTGCAGTGGCAAGGTCATAGCTCACTGTAACTTAAACTTTTAGGTTCAAGTGATCCTCCCATCTCTGCCTCCTACGTAGCTAGGACTACAGGCATGCGCCACCACATTCAGCTAATTTTTTTTATTTTTTGTAGAAACAAGGTCTCGTTATGTTGCCTAGGCTGGTCTCAAACTCCTGGCCTCAAGTGGTCCTCCCACTTGGTGTTACACTTGTGAGCCACTGTGCTCAGCCTAGTATTTGTCTTTGTTTTGAATAGATTTGGGCAAAATGGCTTTATGATTATAAAAACTTCCCTTTTCATCCTTATTGCTCTCTTGTCATTTCTAATTTTATGTATTTGTCCTTTCTTTTTTCCTCCGTTACAGTAACTAATGAGTATCTATCCTGTAATTTTTTTAATGACAACTTTGGGGTATTTGTTAATTCCACTGCTTTAATTTTATCTCATTAATATCTGCTTTTGTCTTTATTAATTTTCCTGCTGCTTTATTTTGAAATACATTGTTCTTTTTCTAGCTGTTTGCATTTGGTATTTAACTCATATTCTCATTTTTAAATTATTCCTGCAATAGACACTTAATGCTATAAATATTTTCCTGATAATTGCTTTAGCCATATCCCATAGCTCTAATATGTTTTCATTTTCATGATTTTCAAAACTTTGAATTTTATATTACATTTTCCTTTAAAACCCCAAATCATTTAAGAACATGTTTTAAATTTTCAAATTGAACAGATCTTTTAATATTTTGTTATTATTTCTATTATGTTATATCAAGCTCAGAAAATGTGTTTCATTTCTTTTCTTTAGAATTTATTAAGGTTTTTTGTAATTTAAGATAAGGTCAGTTTTTATGAATGTTTCATGAACACTTCAAGAGATTATGAAGTATGAAGTCTCTGTTTTCAGTGTTCAGGGTTCAATGCATCTATAGAATTATAGTCATGCACCACATGCATGACATTTAGGTCATAATGACATATAGGTCAACAATGGACAGCCTATTTGATAGTGGTCCCATAAGATTATAATACTGTATTTTTATGGTGTCTTTTCTATGTTTAGATACACAAATACTTACCATTATATTATAATTGCCTACAGTATTCAGTACCGTAACATGAACATGAACATGTTTGTAGCCTAGGAACAATAGGCTATACCATATATCCTGAGTATGTGGTAGGCTCTACCATCTAGGTTTGTGTAAGTATACTCTATGATGCTTGCAAAATGATAAAATTGCGTAAAAATGTCTTTCTCAGACTGTAACCCTGTCATTAAATGGTGCATGGCTATGTATTATTTGTTGTTGTTTAGGTCTTCTAATTTTTTTCCACTTGATCTCTCTTGTATGCTGATAGCACTTAGCAGCCTTTACTTTTGATCAATTTGCTTTTATTTGAAGTTCATGGCTCACTTTTTCCCCCATTAAATTATTACATTTATTATTCTGGTATCTTCTGGCATAAAACAGTACTATCATAAAGTCTGGTGACAATCTGGCTTTCCCCTTATTAATGACTTTTTTTTGTCTTGGATGCCCAAAGGATTTATTTTCGTTCCTTTTTAAAATAAAGTCCAATCGTTTCACTAGACTATATCTTGGTTTTAGCTGTTCTGAGTCAATTTTCTCAGGAACACAGTGGATCTTTTCAATATATGCTTTCAAATTGTTTTTTATTTTGGGAAAATTTTCTTCAATCATAGTGTTTAATATATATTCTCTTTCATTGACTTCTCCAGGGGCTCCTTTTGTTTGTATTTTGGATCTCCTTTGCCTACATTCTATGTTTATCTCTTTCTCTTATATCATTATTCTCTCCTTTTTCATGTCTTTTTTATTTATAAAAATGTCATCCTTTCCACCTTTTACTTAAGACATTATCAGTTGTATCCACTTGCCTTCTTTATTTCTATAATGATTTTTAAATTTTATTTCTAATTCTTTATTGAGTCATCCCTCTTTTCAAGGCATTTTTTCTCAATGAACACATCTTTAGTGTCTCTCATTCTGCTTTATGTTGTTGTTTAAGTTTTGTAATTTTTAAAATTTCTGTATCTTCATTTTAAATATTAGGTAGAAATTTTAATTTATTTTCATCTCTATTGGCATGCTTTCACTGTCTGTAGAGAGGTTATTCTGCTCCTTATTCTTTTCTTTTTATAATTTTTTATGAGATGTGACTGTACCTCTAGCTAGCACTACCTTTGTGCTTTGTGCTCTAACTAAAATGACCTTTGTATCTTTGTGGCTACATGTTCTGAGATTTACCTTCTCTGCTTCCTTCACTTTTACCTGGGCCCTTTCTTTTTGTCCCTATTGTTTCTGTTCAGCTTGATTTATATTGTACTTGCTTCAGTTTCTTCTAAGAGTGGAGTTTTGTTTTGAAATGAAACTTCTGTTTATTAATTTTAAGAGTTTATAAACCCAGGTAGCTCCAGAATAGTCAGACTTTATTGTAATTATAGCACACTTGCATTCTCTTACAAATTGAACCTTGTAGAACATTACCCTCTCCCATCCCCAATTTTAGCTTCTCTTCCCTTCTTGCCTCACTGTGCTTTCCAATGAGTACATCATGGCAATTTGAGGCTTTTCCTATTCATAGGACCATTAGAAACTCAGTTGCCTTTCCTCCACTTCGTCCTACTCAAATTCTGATACACAGGACTGGGATACAACAGTGGTTTGTTCCCACTATTTAGAGGGTCATCACGATACCTTGTCATCTAGCTGTATTTTAGATATCGTCATGAGTCCTTAGTTTAGATGTTACTGTTCCTCTATCTATTTTTATGAGGCAATATGGAGAGAGTCAAAGTTATATGGCCATCTTCCCAGAATACCAACCACAATTCTTACTGGAGAAACTTTAGGTGTATTCCTTTTAAGATTGGGAACAAAACAGGAATGTGCTTGATTACCACTACTGCTTATTGTAACTCTAGAAGTCATGACCAAAACATAAAGAAAATAAGTACAAAGTGTAAAAATTGAAAGAAATAAGACAAAATTTTGGGTAAACATGTGATCATCTACCTATAAAAATCCACGAGAATGAATAAAATGATTACTATAACTATTCAGATAGTTCAGCATGGATGCCAGATAAACACTTAATATAAAAATTTAAAACTTACAAAATCACAAAACTCATATTAGAAAATTCGAAAGAAAAACTACCACTTACAATTTAAAACTATATAGTATTAGGAATTAATTTAACCAAGACTATGCAAGACTACTATAGAGAAAAAATGAAACTACAATGAAGAATATAAAGATAACCTAACAAATAAGAAGACAATTCATATTCTTGGATGAGATGACTAAATATTATAAAGATGATAATTATCTCCAAATTGATCCACAAATTCAATGCAATACCAATCAAAATGCCAGTTGCATTTTTTGAGGAACTGATAAATACAGTTTTAAAATTTTATAGGAGAACAGATATATACAAATATTTAGATAAATGATGAAAAAGAAGACTTAAGAAAAAAACTTGCCATACAAGTTTTTTTCTACAAGTACATCATCAGATATACAATGAAGCCATTGTTAAAAAAGAAAAGTGTGGTATGCACTTCAAGAACAGGCATATAGACCAAAGCAACCAGATAGAATGCTCAGCATCAGACACAGATCTGCTCAGAGTCAGACCTAGAGAGACTCTTATTTTATTTCCAATTTAGGTGACACCACAATTCAAATGGGAAAGAATTCATTATTTTGGAGTCAGTACTGGGAAAATTGAGTCATTACATGAAGAAAAATAAAGTAATTTTTGGACCAAAAGTGGTCACCAGGGGTATTAAAAATCTAAATGTAAAGATAAAACTATCAAGTTAATAGGAGAAAATGTAGGAAAGTATCTTTGTAACTTATAAGAAAAAAACTTTTTAAACAAAACCCAAAGATACAAACCATAAAGTAAGAAATTTATGAATTTGATTAAAGTAAAACTAAGGATCTCTAGTCAATGATCAAAATGATGAATAAAGTTAAGAGACTAAAATTGGGGGAAGATATTTGCAAAATGTAAAATTAATGAGGGACCAATATACAGAATAGAAATCCTGCAAAGCAACTAGAAAAAGATAGGATCCCCAAAATAAAATGGACAAAGGACATGGCAAAGTAATTTACAAGAAAGAAAACCAAAAGACTAAGAAGCACATGAAGAGGTATTCTACTTAATGAGTACTCATAGAAATGCAAATTAAACAAAAATGAAGTCAGATCTTCCCAACTTGATCTATAGATTCAATGCACTACCAGTCAAAATCCCAGCAAGTTTGACAATCTGATTGTAAAGTTTATATAGGGAGGCAAAAGACCTAGAATAGCCAACACAATATTGAAGAGAACAAAGTTGCTGAACTGACATTACCCAACTTTAAGACTTACTGTTATAAATCTAATAGTAATCAAGACACTGTGGTATTGAAGAAAGAATAGATGGATCAATGAAACAGAATAGAGAGCCTAGAAATAGACTCGCATGAATATAGTCAACTGATTTTTGACAAAGGAGCAAAAGCATTCACTGGGGAAGAGATATTATTTTTCCACAAATGGTGCTGGAACAACTGGACATCACATGCAAAAAAAATGAATCTAGACACAGCTTTCTATACCCTTCACAAAAATTAACACAAAATGGATCACAAACCTATATGTGAATGCAACACTATAAAAACTCCTGAAATACAGGAGATACAACACCAAAGGCACAATTCATTAAATAAATAATTGATAAACTGGACTTCATTAAAATTAAAAACTTCTGTTCTGTGAAAGACACTGTCAAGGGACTACAAAGACAAGCCACAGACTAGGAGGAAGTATTTGCAAGACATATCTGATAAGGACCTGTTATTCAAAATATACAATGAACTCTTAAAACTAAAATGAACTAAACAATAAAAAATAAGAAAATAAGTGGGAGATAAGGCCAAGATGGCCGATTAGAAGCAGCTGAGGTCCGTGGCACTCACAGAGAGGAACGAAAGGGCCAAGTGAATACGGCACCTTCAACCAAAATATCCAGGTACCCACACTGGGACTAATCAGGGAAACAACCCACGGAGAACGAAGTAAAGCAGGGTGGGGCTGTGGCACCAAGGGAACCCCCACCCCCAGCCAAGGGAAGTGGTGAGTGATTTTGTGACCCCCGGAAACCATGTTTCTCCCACGATCTTTGCAACCCATGGTTCGGGACCCCTCATGGGCCCACCCCACTAGGGCCTTGGGTCCCACACACAGAGCCTTGTGAAGTCTCGGCATAGCCGCTACCCAAGCATGCACAGAGAGACCCAGGAGCTTTACATACTCCAGCCCTGGGATCACTAGCAAGGGTGTCTGCAGCTCAGACAAGGTGGGAGGTCATGCATACCCTTAGGAAGGGGGCTGAATCCAGGGGGCCAAGCAACATCAGTCTGCAGGCCCCATTTCCATGGCACCTCACAAGATAAAGACCCACTAGCTTGGAATTACAGCCAGCGACCAGCAACAGGGTGGAGCCTGCCTGAGAAGGGATGGAGTCCCCGGGAGGAGGGGTGGGCTGCCATCTCTGCTGTCTGGCCAACTCAGCTCTTCCAGCCTAAGAGCTCTGGAAAATCCAAAAGGTCCAGACAAGGAAGGGTCACCACAAGCACAGCATAGCTGCTTTAACAGAATGTGGCCAGACTGCTTCTTGAAGCAGGACCCTGATCCATTCTTCCTCACTGGGCCCAACCTCCTAGCCAGGGACTCCAGCCACCCCGCCTGTATTCCATAAACAGAGCTCTGATCTCTCACTGAGATGGTGTGTGTGTGTGTGTGTGTGTGTGTGTGTGTGTGTGCATGTTTGGGAGGGGAATGGGGATGGACCGCCATCTTGGTTGTTTGGAGTACTCAGCCATTCCAGCCTGCATGCTTTGGAGAGTCCAAGCCAACGGGAGCAGATGCTGTTCCCCAGCACAGCATGGCTATTTTTTTTTTTTTTTTTTTTTTTGAGACGGAGTCTCGCTCTGTCGCCCAGGCCGGACTGCGGACTGCAGTGGCGCAATCTCGGCTCACTGCAAGCTCCACTTCCCGGGTTCACGCCATTCTCCTGCCTCAGCCTCCCGAGTAGCTGGGACTACAGGCACCCGCCACCGCGCCCGGCTAATTTTTTGTATTTTTAGTAGAGACAGGGTTTCACCTTGTTAGCCAGGATGGTCTCGATCTCCTGACCTCATGATCCACCCGCCTCGGCCTCCCAAAGTGCTGGGATTACAGGCGTGAGCCACCGCGCCCGGCCCAGCATGGCTATTTTGTCCAGGCATGGCCTGACTACTTCTTTAAGCAGGACCCTAACCTATTCCTCCTCATAGGGCAGCTCCTCCCAGCTAGGGCCTCCAGCCACCACCACCTGTGTTCTATACAGTTCTAATGTCTCCCAGGATTGGAGTGCCCAGAGGGACAGGGCAGGTTGCCACCTTGGCTATTCAGGCATCTCAGCTTGTCCAGCCTGTGGGCCTTGGAGAGCCCAAACTGATCAGGGACTGAAGGGATCCCCAACACAGCACAGCTGCTCTACCATAAAGTAGCCAGACTGCTTCTTTAAGTGGGTCCTTGATCCTGTTCCTCCTGACAAGGTGAGACCTCCCAACTGGGGTACCCAGCCACCTCCTCCAGGTGCCTTCCAGCTGACAACAGGTCAGTACCCCCCTGGGATGGAGCTTCCAGGGGAAATGGCAACCTGCCATCTTTACTGTTTCACAGCCTTCACTGGTGGTGATACCTCCTGGTATGGGAAAAACTAAGATGACCAGGGTCTGGAGCAGACCCCCAGCAAACTGCAGCAGCCCTGTGGAAGAGTAGCCAGACTGTTAAAAACAAACACAAAACAACAACAACAAAACACACACACAAACCCCATCCAAAAGTGAGCAACTTCAAAGATCAAAGGTAGATAAGCCCACAAAGATAAGAAAGAATCAGTGCAAAAACAATGAAAACTCAAAACACCAGTGTGCCCCTTTTCCCCCAAATGACCACAATACCTCTCCAGTAAGGACTCAGAACTGGGTTGAGGCTGAGATGACTGAAATGACAGAATTAGGCTTCAGAATGTGGATAAAAACAAACTTTGCTAAGCTAAAGGAGCATATTGTAACCCAATGCAAAGAAGCTAAGAATCATGATAAAACAATGCAGGAGCTGACAGCCAAAATATCCAGTTTAAAGAGGAACACAACCGACCTGATAGAGCTGAAAAACACACTACAAGAACTTCACAATGCAATCACAAGTAATAATAGCAGAATAGACCAAGTGGAAGAAAGAATCTCAGAGTTTGAAGACTATCTTTCTGAAATAAGACAAGCAGACAAGGATAGATAAAAAAGAATGAAAAGTAATGAACAAAACCTCCAGTAAGTACGGGATTATGTAAAGAGACCAAATCTACAACTGATTTGGGTACCTGAAAGAGACAGGGAGAATGGAACCAGTTTGGAAAACATACTTCATGATATCATCCAGGAGAACTTCCCCAACCTAGAAGACAGGCCAACATTTAAATTCAGGAAATGCAGAGAACCCCAGTAAGATACTCCATGAGAAGATCATCCCCAAGGCACATAATCATCAGATTCTTCAATGTCAAAATGACAGAAAAAATGTTAAGGGAAGCCAGAGAGAGAGGCCAGGTCTCCTACAAAGGGAAGCCCATCAGACTAACAGCAGACCTCTCTGTGGAAACCCTATAAGCCAGAAGAGATTGGGGGCTAATATTCAACATTCTTAAAGAAAGAATTTCCAACCCACAATTTCATATCTGGCCAAACTAAGTATCATAAGGAAGGAGCAATAAGATCCTTTTCAAACAAGGAAATGTTGAGGGAATTCTTTACCACCAGACCTTCCTTACAAGAGCTCCAGAAGGAAGCACTAAATACAGAAAGGAAAGACCATTACCAGCCACTACAAAAACACACTGAAGCACACAGACCAGTGACACTATGAAGCAACCACATAAACAAGTCTGCAAAATAGCCAGCTAACATCATGATGACAGGATCAAATCCACACATAACAATACTAACCTTAAATATAACTGGACTAAATGCCCCAATTAAAAGACACAGAATGGCAACTTGGATAAAGAAACAAGACCCATTGGCATGCTGCCTTCAAGAGACACGTTTCACATGCAAAGACGCACATAGGCTCAAAATAAAGTTGTGGAGAAAAATTTACCAAGCAAATGGAAAACAGAAAAAGGAAGGAGTTGCAATCCCAGTTTCTGACAAAACAGACTTTAAGCCAACAAAGATGAAAAAAGACAAAGAAGGGCATTACATAATGGTGAAGGGTTCAATTCAACAAGAAGAGCTAACTATCCTAAATACGTATGCACCCAATACAGGAGCACACAGATTCATAAAGCAAGTTCTTATAGACCTTCAAAGAGACAGACTCCCATGCAAAATAGTGGGAGGCTTTATCTCCCCACTGACTATATGAGACAGATCATCAAGACAGAAAATTAACAAAGATATTCAGGATCTGAACTCAGCTTGGGATCAAGTGGACCTGATAGGTATCTACAGAACCCTCCACCCCAAAACAACAGAATATACATTCTTCTTATTGCCACATAGCACTTACTCTAAAACTGATCACATAATCAGAAGTAAAACACTCCTCAGCAAATGCAAAATAACTAAAATTATAACAAACAGCCTCTTGGACCACAGCACAATCAAATTAGAACTCAAGATTAAGAAATTCACTAAAAACTATACAACTACATGGAAATTGAACAACCTGCTCCTGAATAATTTTGGGTAAATAATGAAATTAGGGCAGAAATCAAGAAATTCTTTGAAACTAATAAGAACAAAGATACAACATACCAGAATCTCAGTTGCAGCTAAAGCAGTGTTAAGAGGGAAATTTATAGCACTAAAATGCCCACATTGAAGAGCTAGAAACACCTCAAGTTAAGCTAACACCACAACTAAAAGAACTAGAGAATCGGCCAGATGCAGTGGCTCATACCTGTAATCCCAGCACTTTGGGAGGTCGAGGCAGGCAGATCACAAGGTCAGGAGATCGAGACCATCCTGGCCAACATGATGAAACTCTGTCTCTACTAAAAATACAAAAATTAGCTGGGTGTGGTGGTGCACACCTGTAATCCCAGCTACTCAGGAGGTTGAGGCAGAAGAATGGCTTGAACCCGGGAAGCACAGATTGCAGTGAGCTGAGATCATGCAACTGCACTCCAGCCCGGCAACAGAGTGGAATTCCATTTGGGAGGACGAGGTGGGTGGATCACCTGAGGTGAGGAGTTCAAGACCAGGCTGACTAACATGGAGAAACCCTGTCTCTACTAAAAATACAAAAAAAATTAGCCAGGTATGGTGGCACATGCCTGTAATCCCAGCTACTCTGGAGGCTGAGGCAGGAGAATCACTTGAACCCAGGGGGCAGTGGTTGCGGTGAGCCGAGATCGCGCCATTGCACACCAGCCTAGGCAACAAGAGTGAAACTCTATCTCAAAAAAAAAAAAAAGAAAAAAAAAAGCTAGAGATTCAAGAGCAAATAAACCTCAAAGCTAGCAGAAGAGAAGAAATAACCAAGATCAGAGCTGAACTGAAGGAGATAGAGAAATGAAAAACCCTTCAAAAAATCAACAAATCCAGAAGCTGGTTTTTTGAAAAAATTAATAAAATAGAAAGACCAGTAGCTAGACTAATAAAGAAAAAAAGAGAGAAGATTCAAATAAATACATTCAGAAATGATAAGGGGGATATCACCACTGACCCCAAAGATATCCACATAACCATCAATACTGTAAGCACCTCTATGCACAGAAACTAGAAAATATAGAAGAAATGGATACATTCCTGGACACATACCCTCTCCCAAGACTGAAAGAGGAAGGCATTGAATCCATGAATAGATCAATAATGAGTTCTGAAATTGAGGCAGTAAAAAATAGCCCACCAACCAACCAAAAAAAAGGCCCAGGACCAGAAGGATTCACAGCTAAATTCTATTTGAGGTACAAAGAAGAGCTGGTACCATTCCTACTGAAACTATTCTAAAAAATTGAAAAGGAGGGACACCTCCCTAACTTATTCCATGAGGCCAGCATCATCCTGATACCAAAACCTGGTATAGATAACAACAAAAAAAGAATACTTCTGGCCAATATCCTTGATGAATATCAATGCAAAAATCCTCAAAAAATATTGGTGAACCAAATCCTGCAGCACATCAAAAAGCTTATCTACCACGATCAAGTAGACTTCATCCCTGGGATGCAAGGCTGGTTCAACATATGCAAATCAATAAATGTGATTCATCACATAAACAGAAATAAAGACAAAAACCACATGATTATCTCAGTAGAAGCAGAAAAGGCCTTTGATAAAATTCAACATTGCTTCATGTTAAAAACTCTCAATAATCTAGGTATTGAAGGAACATACTTCAAAGTAATAAGGGTCACCTGTGACAAACCCACAGCCAATGTCATACTGAGTGGGCAAAAGCTGGAAGCATTCTCCTTGAAAACTGGAACAAGACAAGGTTGCCCTCTCTCACCACTCCTATTCAACATAGTATTGGAAGTTCTGGCCAGAGCAATCAGGCAAGAGAAAGAAATAAAGGGTATTCAAATAGGAAGAAAGGAAGTCAAACTATTGTTTTGAAGATGACATGATCCTATATCTAGAAAACCCCATTATCTCAACCCAAAAGCTTCTTTTTTTTGTCTGTTTGGTTTCTTTTTTTTTTAGATGGAATCTTGCTCTCTCACCCAGGCTGAAGTGTAGTGGCACGATCTTGGCTCACTGCAACCTCCGCCTCCCATATTTAAGTGATTCTCCTGCCTCAGCCTCCCTGGTAGCTGGGATTACAGGCACACACCACCAAGCCTGGCTAATTTTTGTACTTTTAGTAGACACAGGGTTTCACTATGTTAGCCAGGCTGGTCTCGAACTTCTGATCCCAGATGATCTGCCCGCCTTGGCCTCCCAAAGTGCTGGGTTTACAGGCATGAGCCACCATGCCTGGTCTCAGCCCAAAAGCTTCTTAAGCTGATAAGCAACTTCAGCAAATTCTCAGGATACAAAATCAATGTACAAAAATCACTAGCATTCCTATGCATCAACAACAGGCAACCAGAGAGCCAAATTGTGAATAAAGTCCTATTTACAATTGCCACAAAAAGAATAAAATACATAGGAATACAGCTAACAAGGGAAATGAAGGACCTCTTCAAGGAGAACTACAAAACACTGCTCAAAGAAATCAGGGATGACACAAACAAATGGAAAAACATTCGATGCTCATGGATAGGAAGAATCAAAAAAGTACAAATCTGGAGGCATCACGCTTACCAACTTCAATCTATGCTACACAGCTACAGTAACCAAAACAGCATGGTACTAGTACAAGAACAGACACATCGAGCAATGGAATGGAATAGAGAACCCAGAAATAAGACCACACACCTACAACCATCTGATCTTTGACAAACCTGACAAAAGCAATGGGAAAGGATTCCCTCATTAATAAATGATGCTGGGAGAACGGGCTAGCCATATGCAGAAAATTGAAACCGGACCCCTTCCTTACACCACATACAAAAATCAACTCAAGATGGATTAAAGGCATAAATGTAAAACCCAAAACCGTAAAAAACCTAGAAGAAAACCTAGGCAATACCATTTAAGACATAAGCACAGGCAAAAATTTCATGACAAAGACACTGAAAGCAATTGCAACAAAAGGAAAAATTGACAAATGTGATTTAATTAAACTTAAGAGCTTCTGCACAGCAAAAGAAACTACTAACAGACTAAACATACAACCTACAGAATGGGAGAAAATGTTTACAATCTGTGCATCTGACAAAGGTCTAATATCCAGCATCTATAGGGAACTTAAACAAATTTACAAGAAAAAAACAAGACTTCATTAAAAAGTGAGCAAAGGACATGAATAGACACTTCTCAAAAGAAGACATACATGTGGCTAACAAACATATGTAAAAAAGCTCACTATCACTGATCATTAGAGAAATGCAAATGAAAACCACAATGAGATACCATCTCACACCAGTCAGAATGGCTACTATTAAAAAGTCAAAAAACAACAGATGCTGGCAAGGTTATGGAGAAAAAGGAACACCTTTACACTATTGGTGTGAGTGTAAATTAGTTCAACCATTGTGGAAGACAGTGTGGCAATTCCTTAAAGACCTAGGGGCAGAAATATCATTCAACTGCACAATCCCATTACCAGTTATATACCCAAAGGAATATAAATCATTTTATTTTAAAGATGTACACATGTATATTCATTGCAGCATTATTCGCAATAGCAAAGACATGGAATCAACCTAAAAGGCCATCAATGATAGACTGAATAAAGAAAATGTGGTACATATACACCACGGAATACTATGCAGCCATGAAAAGGAGCAAGATCATGTCCCTTGCAGGGACATGGATGGAGCTGAAGGCCATTATCCTTAGCAAACTAACACAGGAGCAGTAAAACAAATACCATATGTTCTCACTTATAAGTGGGAGCTGAATGATGAGAACACATAGAGGAAAACAACACACACTGGAGCCTGTTGGAAGGTGGGCGGTGGGAGGAGGGAGAGGATCAGGAAGAATAACTAATGGATGCTGCGCTTAATACCTGGGTGATGGGATGATCTGTGCAGCAAACCCCCATGGCACATGTTTACCTATGTAACAAACCTGTACATGCTGCACATGTACCCCTGAACTTAAAATAAAACTTGGAAATTTAAAAAAAAGAAAGAATATAACCAACAAGAAGCCATAAGAAAGCTAAACAATAAGAAAATAACCAGCCAGGCACAGTGGCTCACACTTGTAATCCCAGCACTTTGGAAGGCCAAAGCAGGAGGATGGCTTAAGTCCAGAAGGTCAAGGCTGCAGTGACCCGTGATCATGCCACTGCATGACAGAGCAAGTTCCTGTCTCAAAACACATAAAAGAAAGAAAGAAAATAAGCAACTTGATTTAAAAATGGGGCTGGGTATGGTGGCTTATGCCTGTAATCCCAGCACTTTGGGAAGCTGAGGTGGGCAGATCACTTGAGGTCAGGAGTTCGAGACCAGCCTGGCCAATGTGGTGAAACCCCATTTCTACTAAAAATACAAAAATAAGCAGGACATGGTGGCTTGCACCTGTAGTCCCAGCTACTCTTGAGGCTGAGGTGAGACAGTCACTTGAACCTAGAAGACAGAGGTTGCAATGAGCCATGATCACGCCACCGCACTTCAGCCTGGGCAACAGAGTGAGATCCTGTCTCAAAAATTAATTAATTAATTAATTAAAAATAAAAATGGGCAAAAGACCTGGACATCTCACCAAAGAACATATCCAGATGGCAAATGATCATAGGAAAATATATTTCATATCATACATCATTAAGGAAACACAAATTCAAACAATATTGAGATACCACTATGTGCCATAAAAATGGCCAAAATTCAGAACACTGACAATACAAAATGCTGGTGAAGATGGAAGAACAGGAACTGCCATCAAGAACACAAAATGGTACAGCCACTTTGGATGACAATTTGGCTGTTTCTTAAAAAACTAAACATACTCTTACCATACAACACAGCAATCATGTTCCTTGTTATTTATCCAAATGAGTTGAAAATTTATATCCACAAAAAAACCCCATACACATGTTTATAGTGTATAATTGTTCATAATTGCCAAATATTGTTCATAATTGCCAAAACTTAGAAGCAAACATGACATCCTTCAGTAGGTAAATGGATAAAGAAACTGTGATAGATCTGTTATGGTTTGGATATTATTTGTTTGTCCCCATCAAAACTCATGTTGAAATTTGATCCCCAATGTGGTGGTTTTGGGAGGTGGGGCCTAGTGGGAAGTGTATGGGTCACAGGGAAAATCCTTCGTGAATGACTTAGTGCCATTCTCACAGTAGTGAGTGAGTTCTCATTCTGGTGAGACTGGGTTACTTCTCCAGGAATATTTTAGTTCCCTCAAGAGTGGGTTGTTATAAAATTAGGAAGCCCCTTGACTCTCTCTCTTTGTGTGTGCCCCCTTCCTCTTTGAACTTTTCCACCGTGTTATGATGTGACATAGAAGTCCTCACCAGAAGCCAGTTTAGTGCCCTTGAACTTCTCAGCCTGAAGAACTGTGAGCTAAATAAACCTCTTTTCTTTATACATTCTCAGGTATTCTGTTTTACCAACACAAAATGGACAAAGACAACATCTAACTAAAGGAATATTATTCAGTACTAAAAAGAAATTAGCTATCAAGCCATGAAAGTTAATGGAGGAACCTCAAATGCATGTTACTGAGTAAAAGAAGCCAATCTGAAAAGGATATATACTGTATGATTCCAACCATATAACATTTTGGAAAAAACAAAACTATGAAAACAGCAAAAAGATCAGTGGTTGCCAGAGGATAAGGAGGAAGAAAGGGGTGAACTGGCCAACCACAGAGAATTTTTTTTTTTCTGAGATGGAGTTCCTCTATTGTTGCCCAGGCTAGAGTGCAATGACGCGATCTTGGCTCACCGCAACCTCCACCTCCAGGGTTCAAGCGATTCTCCTGCCTCAGCCTCCCGAGTAGCTGGGATTACAGGCCTGCACCACCACACCCAGCTAATTTTGTATTTTTAGTAGAGACGGGGTTTCTCCGTGTTGGTCAGGCTGGTCTCAAATTCCTGACCTCAGGTGATCCACCCACCTCAACCTCCCAAAGTGCTGGGATTACAGGTGTGAGCCACCGTGCCTGTCTCCACAGAGAATTTTTAAAGCAGTGACACTATTGCATATGTTACTATAATGGTGAATACATCTCATCATACATTTGTCAGAACTTATAGAACATGCAACACCAAGAGGAAACCCTAATGAAAACTGCCGACTTTAGGTAATAATGATGTGTAGATGTAGGTTCATCAGTTATAACAAATATACTACTCTGGTGCCTGATGTTGATTATGGGAGAGAGTGGTGAAGGGTGGCGGGAAGCTATGAGAACTTTCTGTACCTTCCGCTCAATTTTACTGTGAATCTAAAACTGCTCTAAAAATTAAATCTACTTAAAAAAACAAAAAGAAAACAAATGAGGCATCACTTTACTCTTGTAATATGTGCAGATATTAGGAAGCTGGGAAATGCCAAGTGTTAGTGGAGAGGTGGGGATATCATGCACTTCTGGAGGACATGGAAATAGGCCTATATTCTATATCACAATTTGGTACCTCTATAGCACCATTTGGTCAGATTGGGTGTTCACATAACTAGGACCCATTCCTTAGTACCTATCCCAAATATAGTCTCTCACATCTAGAAAGGGACATCTGAGAAAATGTACATTTCAATGTTGCTTGTAGGGACAGAGAGTCAGGGTCCATCTGGGTGTTCATTACCTGGTGTAGAGGAAGTGAACGTGGATAGGTGAAGTATGATTGTTGCAGAAGTTAAAAAGCCACAGTTCTGATTTGCATATAGCAACATGTATATTAAAAATAGTGAAAAAGAAAGATACAGAATGAGATATAGAACACAGTACCATTAAAAGAAAATTTAAAATATGTGTACACCAAAGAATACATACAAATAAAAAGATCCTCATTAAATATGTTGGAATAGTTTCTTATGTGGGAGGAGAAAAATAGGAGTGAGGAATGTCCATAGAAGTTTTAATAGAGTTTAAAAAAAACTAAATAGCAGCTTTGTGTGGACCAGCAGTAATAATATACCATAAACTGAGGAGTGTGATTAATCTAAATCTCTATATGTGAGATACAACTATTAGTTGATTGGTAGCTAGATATACATGACAGACAGACATAATATATAGAGATGATAGATTAGATAGATATGACTGATAGGTAGATAGATAGAGATAAAGAGAACATTCTCTCTTCCATTATGGCCTTTGAAATACCAACACTACCACCACCAAACCCAGAGAGTTCTATTCTCAATCCATTTGACCTTGTTCTTGTTATGTAACTGTGAAACTCTTATTCAAAAAACAAAATACTAAGGCTTCTTATTCAGGACATAAGTACAGTGCACCCAATCTTCTAGATTCTGGAACATCCTAGAGGGAAATGTGCAAATGTATGGTGGCATAGAGGACACATTTGGAGAACTACATTGAGCACGTTTAGAATCCCGTTGTAACTGCAATTTAGAGTGAGAAAAGAGAGCTCTAGGAGATTAATCTACAGAGGGAGATAAGGTTAGATCAGTTCACAGATAGTAGGTGAGGCTAAGGAGTTTAAATTTGGACCTGAGGTAAATGGGGAGTCATCAAAGAATATTAAGCAAAGATGAGAATGACCTGATTTGTATTTAGAAAGATTACTCTGATTGTAACATGGAGAAAAGGGGAACAGGAAGACAGAGCCAGTTAGAAGGATGTTGCAGTTGTCCATGCTAGGGCATTCATGAATTTAACAAGGGACCTTGGTAGCCTGACTGTGTTAGTAGATTAGACATACAATTGTAAAGGCAAAGCACTAGACAAAATAATTTCCACAGGTCCCCCCCAGCTCCATGATTTTCAAATTCCATTTATGTTATACTCAATCAAAGACAGGAGTGATGAGGCATAAGCAGAGAAATTTTCAGATTTGTGATCAATATGCAGAACTCATGCTCCACAGACAGAGGCATTAAAGGCTATGCATGATGCTGATTGCCTGGATAATTCTCTGAGATCAAGCACACTTTACAATTAATGATAAACTTTTGTGGTTCAGGTGAGATCTGCTGTTTTTAAAAGTTTTGGTATTTGAAATTTCATGGCAAAACTCTGTCAAATTTAATGTTGAATATTCTAAATAGGGGCAGAAGTATTTTAACTTCACAAGAGTCACTTCTGTGTCTCCCACCCTAAATAAGATTGGATTTGATAGGAAAATCTAGGGCATTGCCATGACAATTACCGTGCTTAGTCTTAGTTCCACTTGGGCTTTATATAACTCCAATCAGACAAAAAGCAGAGGGCTGTGAGGAGCAGAGCGGGTGCTCACCTCTGCTTCTTGTTATTAGGGCATTCGGACTCCAACAGTAACCCAACATGACAGTAAGCCGCTGATTCTAAACCTTGGTTGTATGTTAGAATCACCTGAAGATCTTTAAAAAAAAAAAAAAAAATCACTGGTGCCTAGGCCCTATCCCTAGAATTTTGTATTTAATTGGTCTGGAATGAGAAGGCTTTAAAAGTTTCCCAGGTGATTTTAATGTGCAACCAGAGTTAAGAACCACCACTAGGTAATTATCACAGCAATTCTCAAGGTGCTGCCCAGAAAGAGCTGGAGGCTGGCAACATTTTCCAAGTGGCTGCCAGTCTGGATTCTTGCATGTTTGAATTATTTCACAGGTTGGGCAAAAATATGGATTTATCACACTAAAAACAAATCTGTTGTTGGGAGAAAATATTTGCAAACCATACAGCTGATATGGGGTTAATACCCAAAATATTTAAGGAATTCATAAAGCTCGATAGCAAAAAAAAAACTTAAATACTCGGTTTAAAAATGGTCAAAGGACCTAAACAGATAGTTTTCAAAAGAAGATATACAAATGAACAACAGGTATATTAAAAAAAAAAAATCCTCAACATCACTAATTATTCGGGAAATGCAGATCTAAACCACAATGAGATCTAATCTCACTCCAGTTAGAATGGCTATTACCAAAAAGACGAAAATAACAAATGTTGGCAAGAATGTAGATAAAAGGGAACCCTTGTACACCATTGGTGGGAATATAAATTGGTACCACCGTTATGGAAATGGTGTCTCCTCCAAATTTATTGAGTTTCCTCCAAAAATTAAAAATAAAACTACCATATGGATCCAGCAATCCAACTTCGGGTTATTGTATCCAAAAGCAATGAAATCATGATCTTGAAGGGATATGTGCACTTTCATGTTCACTGCAGCATCATTCACAATAGCCAAGACGTGGAAACAATCTGAATGTCTATCAACAAGTGAATAAAGAAAATGTGGTGCAGGCCGGGCATGGTGGCTCACGCCTGTAATTCCAGCACTTCGGGAGGCCAATGCAGGCGAATCACGAGGTCAGGAGATCGAGACCATCCTGGCTAACACGATGAAACCCTGTGTCTACTAAAAATACAAAAAATTAGCGGAGTGTGGTGGCGGGCACCTATAGTCCCAGCTACACGGGAGGCTGAGGCAGGAGAATGCTGTGAACCCAGGAGGTGGAGCATGCAGTGAGCCAAGATCACACCACTGCACTCCAGCCTGGGCGACAGAGCAAGACTCTGACTCAAAAAAAAAAAAAAAAAGAAAGAAAGAAAGAAAGAAAAAGAAAACATGGTGCATATACACAATAGAATATTATTCAGCCATAAAAAAGAAAATTCTGCCATTTGTGACAACATAAATGAACCTAGAGAACATTATGCTAAGCAAAATAAACTAGACACAGAAAGATATATACAGCATAGACTCACTTATATGTGTGATATGGTTTGGATCTCTGTCCCTGCCCAAATTTTATGTCGAACTGTAATCCCCAGTGTTGGAGGTGTAGCCTGGTGGGAGGTGACTGGATCATGGGCGTAGATCCTTCAGGAATAGTTTAGCACCATCCCCTTGGTGCTGTTCTAGTAGTGAGTTCTTGTGAGATCTGGTTGTTTAAAAGTGTGTAGTACCTCCCCTCTCTCTCTCCTGTGCCTGCTCCTGCTTTGCCTTCTGCCATGAGTAAAAGCTTCCTGAGGCCTCCCCAAAAGCAGAAGCCGCTATGCTTCTTGTACAGCCTGCAGAACCGTGAGCCAATTAAACCTCTTTTCTTTATAAATTACCTAGTCTCAGGTATTTCTTTATAGCAGTGTGAGATCAGCCTAATACGATGTGGAATCTAAACTAGTTAAACTCATAGAAACAGAGAGTAGAATGGTAGTTGCCCAGGGAGATGTTGGTCAAAGGGTACAATCATTCCGCTATAAGCTGAATAAGTTCTGGGGATCTCATGTACAGCCTCATGACTACAGTTAGTAATACTCTGTTGTTCACTGGAAATTTGCTAAGAGATCTCAAGCATTCTTACCAGAAATACACACACACAATCATAATTGTTAGGGTGATGGATGTGTTAATTTACTCTATTATAGTAATCATTTCACAATGTGTATATATCTCAAGTTACCACATTCACATCTTGTATATATATGTGTATAAATTGTATTTTTTATTTTACCTCAATAAAGCTGGGGGGTGGATAAAATAGATGAAATAAGACAACAAATCAGTTATATCATTGGTGACCCATCTACATCCTGGTTGGGTTTTTTTTTTATTATTATTATACTTTAAGTTCTAGGGTACATGTGCACAACATGCAAGTTTGTTACATATGTATACATGTGCCATGTTGGTGTGCTGCACCCATTAACTCGTCATTTACGTTAGGTATATCTCCTAATGCTATCCCTCCCCCCTCCCCCCACCCATGACCCACCCCAGTGTGTGATGTTCCCCTTCCTGTGTCCAAGTGTTCTCATTGTTCAGTTTCCACCTATGAGTGAGAACATGCGGTGTTTGGTTTTTTGTCCTTGTGATAGTTTGCTGAGAATGATGGTTTCCAGCTCCATCCATGTCCCTATAAAGGACACGAACTCATCCTTTTTTATGGTTGCATAGTATTCCATGGTGTATATATGCCACATTTTCTTTTTTTATTTTATTTTATTTTATTATTATTATACTTTAAGTTTTAGGGTACATGTGCACACTGTGCAGGTTTGTTACATATGTATACATGTGCCATGTTGGTGTGCTGCACCCATTAACTTGTCATTTAGCATTAGGTATATCTCCTAATGCTATCCCTCCCCCCTCCCCCCACCCCACAACAGTCCCCAGTGTGTGATGTTCCCCTTCCTGTGTCCATGTGTTCTCATTGTTCAATTCCCACCTATGAGTGAGAACATGCAGTGTTTGGTTTTTTGTCCTTGTGACAGTTTGCTGAGAATGATGGTTTCCAGCTTCATCCATGTCCCTACAAAGGACATGAACTCATCATTTTTTATGGCTGCATAGTATTCCATGTGTATATGTGCCACATTTTCTTAATCTGGTCTATCATTGTTGGACATCTGGGTTGGTTCCAAGTCTTTGCTATTGTGAATAGTGCCGCAATAAACATACGTGTGCATGTGTCTTTATAGCAGCATGTTTTATAATCCTTTGGGTGTATACCCAGTAATGGGATGGCTGGGTCAAATGGTATTTCTAATTCTAGATCCCTGAGGAATTGCCACACTGACTTCCACAATGGTTGATCTAGTTTACAGTCCCACCAACAGTGTAAAAGTGTTCCTATTTCTCCACATTCTCTCCAGCACCTGTTGTTTCCTGACTTTTTAATGATTGCCATTCTAACTGGTGTGAGATGGTATCTCGTTGTGGCTTTGATTTGCATTTCTCTGATGGCCAGTGATGATGAGCATTTTTTCATGTGTCTGTTGGCTGCATAAATGTCTTCTTTTGAGAAGTGTCTGTTCATATGTTGTTGTTGTTTTAATGAGGCAAGGGAAAGTCGGAAGAAAAGGAAAGTAGAAAGGAAATGCAGAGATTCTACTGAGAGGGTTTTTATACATGAGTTTGAGAACCTCTGGGCTCAAGAAGCAACTGTGTCCAGGGCAAGAATACAGCAGTTGTGCAGGATACCACATGATTCCCATCATGTGTTCAGGATACTTTGAGCTCTATCCAAAGCATAGTCTTCTACGTTATAACACAAAATTGTCAGATTTTTTTTAAAGATCATGGGTCACAGCATTGCCTAATGACCTTCTGAGGTCTCCTGATATTTACATAGGTAGGATCTGATTTATGGTATATTTTCTTTTTCTAAGATTATAAAAAATGATAATTATTATTAGAAGCTATATTAGTTTCCTAGGACTTTGGTAACAAAGTACTACAAACTGGGTGGCTTAAAACAACAGAAATGTATCACCTCACAGTTCTGAACACCAAAAGTCTGAAATAAAGATGTCAGCAGGTCCGTGCTCCTTCTGAAAGCTGCAGGGAAGTCCTTCATAGCTTCTGGTGTTTGCTGGCAATCTTTGGTGTTCTTGGCTTGTAGCAGCATAATTCTTTCTTCTGCCTTCATTATCACATTGCATTCTCAGTGTGTGTCTCCGTGTCTTCATATGGCTGTCTTCTCATAAAGACACCAGTCATATTGGATTAAGGGCCTGCCCTACTCCGGTATGACCTCATCCTAACTAATTATATTTGTAACAACCTTATTGCTAAATAAGTTCACATTCTGAGGTATTATGGGTTAGGTCTTCAACATATCTTTTGGGAGGGCACAGTTCAACCCATAACAATATCTGACTAGATTATTTAGGGTTTTAAAAATATACAAAGTCTAAATTTTTTACAGAATTAATTCATTAACTTCTATAGGCTAAGGTAACTTTTTATAAAGCTATTTCACTTCCAATGCTGTTTGCAAAAGACCCAAAGGCAAAGTGAATCCCTATGTTAATAAAAGAAATCCTTAGCTAAAATAGTATATCCTTGAGACTACTTTTCTATAATTTATCTTCCTTTCATTTAAAGCAAAAGAGAAAATGGAGGGATTTTTCTTTCATCCAGCCCAAAATGACAGAAACTTCTTTTCTGGTTTCTTTTTACCAAATTATAGTTGAGAGTTCATATTAAAACCTTGAGTCTTATTGTAAGAGAGGAGAATGTCTTTAGGGAATAGGAAAAGTCTCCATCTGAATTAGTGTGAAACATTAGAACCTAAAAAGATAGACCCAAAAAAACTGTAATTTTTAAAAGTTTTTTGTTTTTGTAATTCTTATGACAATGTGAACCAGAGAGACCTTGAGGACATAAAATATTATTCCTCAAAGTTTTTTATTGGTAAAACGACCCACATTGTTTTCTATGCTAATGAATGAAATTTTATCTTTCAATCTATTGAACTAAAAAGAGTATTCCTATCAAGGATCTAAGGTCACAAAACCAAAGAGAAAGAAGTTTAGAGTTGTTTCTCCTTTTATATAAACTTATACTAAAAATATTTAAGATTAAAGATATAAATAAGTAGGCAAATATCAAAACTCCAAATGTTTACTTCGCCACCACTACTCTAAAAGAGTAATAGGTTTAAAGCACAACCAGGAGGCGCTGCTTGGGCTCCAGCATGGTGACGGCGGTGCGCGCTGTGGGCCGCCTCCCTGCGCTGTGCAGCGGGACAGCGGGTCATTTATTGGGGAGGCAGCTTTCCCTAAACACCTTACCAACAGCTTCCATTTTGGCATGGGAGACTGCTCTCAGCAATGGCCCTTTGTCATCACTGGGAACCAGAGACATCCGTCCTTATGCCAGCTTGAGCCGTACGTTGCAGACACTATGCTGTATTTCTTCTCCCAGTCATCTGATGGGCCAGCAGTATAGACCGTACAGTTTCTTCACTAAATTGACTGTAGATGAGAGCTGTGGAAAGGTGCTTTAGCAGAGACTGGTGCCGGAGCAAGAAAAGGAAGAGGCAAAAGAACTAAAAAAAAGAAAGGAAAGGATCTGAACAGGGGTCAGATCATTGGTGAAGGGCGTTATGGTTTTCTGTGGCCTGATCTGAATGTCCCTCTTATGAAAAATGAAGCAAAGCAGACCATTGCCCAAAGAAGCAAGGAAGAGCAGGAGAAGGTGGAGGCGGACATGATCCAGCAGAGAAGAGTGGGACCTAAAGAGGAAGATGAAGATTAAATGGGAGCGAGGAAGGAGTGGAAACTCATGGAGAGGCATCAGTCATGGCCCCACTGACCCTGGTTCCAATGGAGAAACATATGAGGATTTTGATACCAGGATACTTGAAGTAAGAAATGTTTTCAATATGACAGCGGAAAGAGGGAAGAAAGAAATCGGTCCGTGTCCTGGTGGCTGTGGGGAACGGAAAAGGAGCTGCAGGTTTTGCTGTTGGGAAAACCACTGAACGGGTGGACGCTTTTAGGAAAGCAAAGAACAGAGCAGTTCACTATGTGCATTATGTAGAACGATATGAATATTGTATAAGACCATATAATTTTCCATGATATTTCATTAAGATTTAAAAGGACACATATCAAGATGAAGAAACAACCCAAAGGTTACGGCCTCCACTGCCACAGGGCCATCATCACCATCTGCAGTATCATTTGCATCAAAGACATGTATGCCAAGGTCTCTGGGTCCGTCAATATGCCCAACCTCACCTGGGGCCTCTTCCATGGGCTCTCCAGACAGAAAACCCATCAACAGCTGGCTGTTAAGAAGGGCCTCCATGCTGTGGAAATCCAGGAGGAATGTGGCCCTCTGCCTATCCTGGTTACCTCCTCCCGGGGGGCCTTAAGTAAAGATCCGGAGACAAATGATGAGGTTCCAGACATCAAACTGGACTGGAAAGATGTGAAGACTGCACAGGGAGAGAAACGCTCTCTCTGGTCTGGTTTAAAGAGAGCCGCCACCTAACCTCTCTGGCCTTGTGCAGCCAGTGCCTGTGCTGCCCTGCACCTAGGAGAGACTCAGCTCCTCACAGCTTGGGGTGTTGCCTTGGTTTTTTGTTTTGTTTTGTTTTGAGGCAAGTTTAATCTTTAAATTGTTTAGAAATGAATAATTATAGCTTTTGTTTATTGAGCACATGGTATATGCCAATGTGATAGGACCTTTACATACATATCTCAGTTCAAGACTACTTTAAATATTCATCCAAAGTAGCAAAAGTAAATGAATTAGGGATACAGGGCTAATAATCTGACCCAATCAGTAATAATATGCACAATAATAATTGCTATAATAATTATAGCTAATATATATGAACTCATTCATCCAAAGTGAATGTGATTAACTTCATTTTACAGAGCAGTTAAGTAACTTGACTACCTTGAGGAACGGCCAAACTGTTTTCCACAGTGGAAATGGAAGCTTGTAGGCTACTATTGGGAATGTTAAATGGTGATTAATTGTACACCATTGTAATTTTGACTTGTATTTCCCTGATGGCTGATGATGTTGAACATCTTCTCATGTGCTTATTGGCCATTTGTACATGTTTTTTGTAGAAATGTCTATTCAGAGCTTTTGCCCATTTAAAAAGTTTTTTTTTGTTATTATTGAGTTCCTTGTAGTTTCTAGGTATAAGCCCTCTATCAGATACCTGTTTTACAAAACTTTTTACCCATTCTGTGGAATATATATTTTTTTTATTTCTTGGCATAATTTTTCTGCCCCACTCACATCCTCTTTCTGGGACACTGATGAAACAAATGTTAAATCTTTTATTATCATCCTGTGAGTCCCTGAGGCTCTGTTTATTTTTTTTCAGTGTTTTCTCTCTGTTGCTCAGTTTAGGTAATTTGTATTGTTTTATCTTCAGGATAACTGGTTATTTTCTCTTTTGTTTCCATTCTGCTCTTGAACCATCCATGCAGTACTTTCACTTTGTCTATCATCATATATTTCAGTTAAAATTTCCATTTGATTTCTTTTTTATATCCCCTGTTTCTTTGCTGAGGTTTCCTATTTGCTGAGACTTTTTTTTAATGCCTTCAAGAGTGTTTATAATTACTCACTGAAGCATTTTTATGGTGGCTGCTTTAAAATCCTTGTCATCGGTTTGGTGTGGTGGCTCATGCCTGTAATCCCAGCACTTTCTGAGGATGAGGCAAGAGGATTGCTTCAGCCCAGGAGTTTGAGACCAGCCTGGGCAACAAAGTGAGACCTCATCTCTACAAAAAAATAAAAGTAAATTTAGAAGTTAGCCAGGCATGATGGTGTGCACCTGCAGTGCCAGCTACATAGGAGGCTGAAGTGGGAGGATCATTTGATCACAGGAGGTTGAGGCTGCAGTGAGCCTTGTTCACACCACTCCAGCCTGGGCAGCAGAGTGAGAACTTGTCTCCAAAAAAAAAAAATTATTGTTATAAAGTTTCAATATCTGTGTCATCTTAGTGTTGACATCCCTTGATGTTTTTTCTCATTCAAGTTTACAATTTCTTGGTTCTTGTTATGATGAGTGATTTTGGCTGTATCCTGGACATCTTCACTGTTATGTTATGAAACTCTGGGAGTTATTTAAATCCCTCAGCATGCTTCTTTTGACGGTGCTGGTGTGGGATGGGGCACTGCCTCGTTACTGCCTGGTAAGGATGGAGATCCAGGTTCCCTAATGTGGCTCTACTGGAGACCTCCACTGATGCCTTTCTGCTGGAAGTAGGAGGAGCACCCTAATGACACCATGGGATAGGGAGAAGGCTGTGTTAGGCTGGATGGTGAAAGTTCTCAGCCTGTGACATTATCCAGGTGGGGATCCTTTTTTTTTTTCTTTGGTATTTTGCTAGGGTAAGGTAGTTATTTCCTAAAAGTTACCTGTCTTGTTAGTTTATCTTCTTTCCTTAAATACCTAATAAATATCAAGACAATGAGCTTTAAGCAACAAAGGACAATGATCCTGTGGAGAGGGGAAACAAAATTATCTGTACTTACTATCTGGAGAAAGTCCATGGCTCCAGGAAGGGCTACCTCATCAGGACCTGGCAGTCTTCTGGAGTTGAGGTGTAGTTGGGCAGTCGAGGTGGCTAGAGTTCACAAGGGAGAATGCCTTTGAGGAAAGAGTTGCACAGCAGGAGAACTAAGATCTGCAGAGAGTTTTCATCAAATATTCAGTTACACACTAACAGTGCATGCCTGTGAGGAAACTCACCCAAAAGAATTAGAGGGAACAGTGTTTGGAGCTGAAAATAGTGCTTATTTCTAGGTGGCATTGGAAGAGAACTAAGATGCCCTAGTAGTAGAAAAATTAACTCTATATAAAAACTACCCTTGTCCCAACTTACAAAGCTTAAAAACAAGACCAAACTGAAACACAACTTTTTCCAAGTAACTTAATTGTGTTCCAGAACAAAGCTTAAGAATATAGGAATACAAAAAATATACCCAATAAGGTAAAATATGCAATACTTGTCATCTAATAAATCACTAGGCATGCAAAGAAGCATGACAATAAAGCTCATAATGAAGGGAAAAATCAGTCCATCAAAACTGACCCAGGAATGGCACAATGACAATCAGTAGACAAGGACATTAAAGCAGGTATTATGGCTGTATTCCATATGTTCAAAAAGCTAGAGAGAAAAATATACTAAGTAGAGGCATGGAAGATACAAAAAAACCAAATTGAACCTCCAGAGATGAAAACTACAATATCTGATGAAAAACACTGGATGAGGTTAACAGCAGATTGGACATCACAGAAGATGATATGAAAGGATTTGAAGACAGCAACTTAAAAATAAACAGGAAAAAGACTGAAGAAGAGATGGTAGGAGAAATTAGGCATTAGAGAACTATGGGACAACTTTGGGAGCCAAATATATATATAATTGGAGTCCCTGGAAAAGGGAGGTATAAAAAAAATTGAAGAAACAATAGCTGAATTGATGACAACTACTGAGACCCAAGAGATACAATGAACTGTATCAATCAAATTTCAACTAGTAATAAAGAGGAAATTCTAGAAGTGAGAAAGAGAGAGAAAGAGAAGACAGATTAGGTACAGAGGAACAAAGGTAAAGATGATAGCAGCTTTCTTGTTGGAAACAATGCAAGGTAAGAGACAGGGAACCACATCTTTAAAGTATGGAAAGAGAGACATTACCAAGCTGGAATTATTTGCCTAATGAAAATATGTTTCAAAAATGAAGGCAAAATGGAGGGTTTTCCAGACATAAAATCTGAAAGAATTAATCAGCAGACCTGCCTTACAAGAGTTGTTAAAGGACATTCTTCAAGCAGAAGAAAGATAGTAACAGATGGAAACCTGCTTCTATGCAAAGAAATGAACACTAGAAATGATAACTAGGTAGGTTATCATTATATGCATAAAGAATTTCATATATTCTTTTATTTAGATATCTTTAAAACCTAATTGACTATTTAAAGCAAAAATAATAATAACATACTGTGGTTTTCAACATGTAGAAGTAAAATATATGATAATAGCCCAAAGGCAGAGAGGGGAGAAATGGAAATATGTAGTCATGTGGTTCTTACATATTTGAAGTCATGTAGTATCATATGAAGGTAGACTGGTTTAGATGTGCACTAAAAATTCACCCTAAAGGAATCACTGAAGTAACACAGTTACAGCTATTAAGCCAACAAAGAGGATAAAAATGCAATCTTAAAACTTTTTATTATTAAGTTTTAAGATTGCATTCTAAAAGAAGGCAGAAAAAGGAAAAGGGGAACAAGGAACAAGTAAAATAAATAGAAAACAAGACGCAAGATAGTAGATTTAAACCCAGCCATATTCATAATCACCTAAAGTGTAAATGGTCTAAATGTGTCCATTATGACCAGTTGGTTGATGGTGGTGTTGCTTTCAACTGTGTCCTTACTGATGTTCCTCCTGCTAGATCTGTCCGTTTCTGAGAGGGTTGTTGATGTCTCTAACCTATAATAGTGCATTCATCTATTTCTCCCTGCAGTTTTTGCCTCATGTATTTTTTGATGCTCTATTGTTCATTAAAGATTGTTATCCAATGTAGGCAAAAAAAAAAAAAAAAAAAAAAGCACAACCAGACAAACCAGAAAAGTATAGAGTATCAGAGTCCTCACTTCTGGGGAAGAGCTCTAAGGCATTTCCTGGGCACCAGGAGACAATGTCCTCCTTATTCACGTTGCTTCAGCCCTAGATGAGTGTGGTCATGTTTGTGCCTTACAGTGACAGGTTGCAAATGATAGAAATTCAACTCAAACTGTCACAAGAAAAGAAGGAAAGGCTTGTAACTATTTAAACATATTGCTAATTAAAGATGTCTGGACAAAGTGACTCAATAATGTCCCAGGATTCAATGCTCTCATGCCTTCTTTTCCCTCTGTTTTCTTTGGTGTTGGCTTGGCTCTCCACATGGAGACCCCTGGCAGGCTCACACCATTCAGCTTCAAGTACAAAAGAAAGGGAGCACATTTCTGTAGTTCTATGAGGAACCTCTGCAACTGGCGTGTGTTCCATTCTTGAATGGTGGCCAAACAGATGGAAGCCCTTATTGGACAGATCTGAAGTCAGTACCTACCCACTGAAGAATTAAGGAAGTCAGGTCAGCATCACTTGAACTGAGTAAGAGAGGAGCTGTGACCCACATAAATCATGAGCTATTATCAGGGACTTGGAAACTGGACAGGCAAAACAACCAATGTCCACTTCAAATGAGGATAAAGAATCTAGGAGAAGAGGTCTATGTGGGGAAATGAACTGGACCCTAGGTCTCCTCTTTCTAAAGCTGTGATTAAAACATATAATTAAGTTTTACTTTTTCTGTGTCCCTCCAAAGTAGTGTATCAAATGAGAACTACTCAAATGCTACGACGTGAGTGAACCTTGAAAACATTATGCTAAATGAAAGAAGCCAGACAAAAGGTCACATATTTCATGAATACATTTATATGACTACCCAGAAAAAAAGTCAATCTATAGAAACAGAAAGCAGATTGGTGGCTGTCAGGAACCAGGATGAAGGGGACTGGAGAATAACTGCTTAATGGGTACGGGGTTTTCTTTTGGGGTGATGAAAATGCTTTGAAACCTGACATAGGTGGTGTTTACACAACATCATGAATATACTAAATGCCACTGAATTGTACATTTTTAAATGGTTAATTTTATGTTATGCTGGTTTTACCTCAATTTTCAAAAAATGACTCTAGTCAGTAGGCAAGACTTTAACTGGGGTAGAAACACTGATCTTTCTTTCCAAATACCTGTTTAAATGCTGATGGAGACTCAATAACCTCTCTAACTTTTCTTACCTGGCCTGTGAAGCGTTTAATCTGCACTCTCAAGGAAGTGGCCTTCCCCTCCTTGTCAGCCTTCTGGAAGCCCCCAACCATAAAGTTTTAGGTGATTTTATAGTACGTGGCCTCTGATCACTCACTCCCACTTTACCCTCCTGCCTCCAACAAATAGGCTGCTGGTGTGCTTTGGCTTAGGGCATGTTCTACTTCCTCATTTTCTGCATTCTGCTAAGATGGTTCGGTTTTCAGTGCATAAGAGTATAGCTAACACCACATTGATCAATTCCAGTTTTGCATTTTGTAAATTCCAGCTGAGTCCCAACATATAAACCTCATAACAACCTGTCCAGAAATATTTCCAGCAGAGAGGCCAAGCCATTTGAAGGATGGCCCTGGTGGGTTTTGCTAAAGGTTGTATTTCTTCCAAGTGTCAGATCAGATTTTTAGACTGAAGTTTCTAAAGTCTGCACAGATACCGGAAAAATTGGTTTGGAACTATAGGAAGCCACAGAGTTTTAGGAAGATTGTATAAATTTGTATCTGAATCCTGCCTGTGAAACTTCAATGGTTCAAACAAAGACAAGAGTAATTGTTTAAGACATATTTTAGTGAGGAAAATAAATTGGCATAGTGCATATGAATCCCAATGAATGAATTGAGGGGTGCTGAAAATAAAATTTCATTCTTCTGTAGCAAAACCCTTCTTCTATTCAGAAGGCCTATTCCTCCCAGATGGCAGGAAGCTCTTCTCTTCTAAGTTAAAGACTTTCACCCTTTCCTAGGGTTGTGTCTGAGTTTCAGAAGGTCAATGTCATGCCAAGTTTTGGGAAGGGAGGTATCTGGTTTTTGTTTGCAGCCCCTGCAGGCATGGCTAAGACATTCCCCAATCCCATCAGCTGACCCCATCTCCTACTTCCATGCAGGCATCATAATCACTTTGCAGGTTCTCTGCTCAATTAAGATATGGGAACCTATGGGAGCCTACAAAGCTGTCCACACTCTGTAAGTCTTGACTCTGTGCAGACATTCTCTCTTTGCAGTCTTTCAACCTCCCCAGGACTCTGCTTTCTAAGTTATAGGACCCCTTTGGTCTCAAACCACTCCCTTTCTTAGGAGTTTCTACCACCTACCCAGGACTCTGCTCCAAAAGCAGTGCTCATTCCTCTCTCTGGAATGCACCAAGCACTCTTCTCACATCAACTTCCTTTATCTCTAACCTTTGACCCTGCAGGCACACACATATACCCCCAGCTATGAGAATCTTATAGTGGGGAGACCAGAATCACCTAGAGGCTTGAATGGGTGAAAGGGAAAGGAAGGGAATAAGGGGAAGGAAGTGAACATTTTAAAATTATTCCGATTGCATTGGCGCTTTGAAGATTGCAGACTAGAATGCTAATTAACACCCCCCAACACACACACTTACACACACCCACAAAAGCAGGGGGTGAATTCTGGGGAATGCAACTGGTTTCAAGACATTTATACCGATTCTTTCCTTTCATTCATTGCTGGGGCATTGGCATCCTCCCAAGCCATCTCCTTGAGTTAGCTTCCCTGTTTGCAGGCCCTATCTAATCAAGGAGATGCTTTGGAAAGGAAACCTAACATGATTGAGATGGGGAGTGTGCCCTATCTCAGAAAACACTCAAAATAATGGCTATGACTTGTAATTATCTGTAAGACAATTCAGTACACGTCTCTATTTAAAGAGCTCTGGTCCAATGAACATTTTTGCCTAGACAGATGGAATGGTGTTCAACTCTCTGTATCATAATTTTGAGAAGTAACCTATATTGCTATGTACTATTATTAAATATGTGTGTGTGTTTATATATGGGGGAGGGCAGCATTTGCTCCCCAACTGGATATTAAGCTCCCAGGGCTTGGACCCTGTTTTACATTCTGTTGTTTGTCCCATTATTTTATTCTGTGTGCATAACATAGCATTCTGCTTATAGGAGGCACCTTAAGAAATACTTGCAAAAGAAGATGGATGAATGAAAATCATGTACTCTTAAGGCTAAAGAGATTTTGTAAAGCTATATAGTCTTTTTTGAAAACTTCAGATGGGCCATACTAAAGCCAACTCAAATAAATGAGAACTTATTCAATTTTTTTAAACCTCCAGCAAAAAGTTTCTAAATCTATTTTCATAAACTAGTATTATATGGCATTTGACAACTCTATCTAAAACTTCATCACCACATCCTACCTGAATATATCAGAGAAAATAACACACTGGACCGCAGTCTAAGAGATCTGGATGGGCCTGGTTCTGTGGTTCACAGGATTTGACCTTGGCAGCATCATTTACCCTCTACAGATTTCACTTTCTTCATCTGTGAAAGTATTGGGGTGGACAATAGCACCTCTAAGCTCACTTCCACCTCCAAATTTTTTTAATCCTTGTTATTTATGTGTCAGGATATGAATGAGTGAGACTATTTCAATATAGCAACTGTGGCTTTTCTTCTCTTGCTTTGCTGCTTTAAAGTACTTAGAATATAATGTTTCTCTTATTCTTCTGGAAGGACTTTAAGATTAACAGCCTCTCTCGCCACCCCAGGAAGGAGGGATTAGATAATTGGCCTGATAAATAATCCAGGGTCTATTTTTAAAGAGTAAGAGAAAAGATATTCAGAAGAGAAGGAGCATCTGTGATGAATACTCAAAGAAAGAGGGGGATTTCCTCCAGACGAAGAAGAAATCAGGGTCTTTGACCAGGGGTAGGGAGAGAGGGGTTGGTGAAGAAGCCTCTAACCCTATCCTGTGGAATTTACCCAAGAACTGAAAGCTAACTATAAGTTCAAAGAAGCTCATGGCTCATTACCCACCAAGTGCCCAGCCTTGAGTTAGGCATGAACCTCCCAAACCTTTGCCAGAACCCTCTCTGCTAGCTCCTGTTGGTTGCGCCAAGAGACTTCACTTTGACTGCAGCCAGCACCTCTGACAGAGTGCCCAGTGGAATGATGCCTATCAGTGCTAGACTTTGTTCAGTCCCAGCCTAAGTACCCCATGGGAAAAGCCCGCATGCAATGCGCAGGACACACATAAACACAAGAAATTTGGGGGGCCAGGACATCTAGTGGGAAGGAGCTGAAGAAAACTGAGATCCCCTGAGCCAAGGCAACTGAGGCTCCTCCCCAAAGGGGAGGATCCAGATTTTGTGGGCCCAAAACATATACGATTTGGGTCCCTCTTTAATAAATCAACACAACATTACACATACAGAAATAGGTAAGAATGGAAGTATACATTCAGCATAAGAAGCCATAACAAATTGCACATTTTTGGCCAGGCGCGGTGCTCACACCTGTAATCCCAGCTCTCAGGGAGGCAAGAGGCGGGAGGATAGCTTGAGCCCAGGAGTTCGAGACCTGCCTGGGCAATATAGCGAGAGCCCGTTCTCCAGAAAAAGGAACAAATTGCACATTTTTAAAAGCTAACAAAGACTACAAACACCACAAAATCCAGAAAAAAAACAGAATATGTTTTGTGCATTAACTGCTTGACACTACTGTCTCATACTTGTTTTCCACATTCATTGGTGACATATTATTTGATCGCCTCTTCTTATGAATGATTTTATAACATTTTCTGTAGAGAAAATAGAAAAATAAGTCAGTCTTTCCTCTAGTATAGTTGATCAAAATGTTTTTTGACAGTTGGGATGAATAAAACATGACTTCACACATGGACATCATTACTGTTTCATAGTATTGCCATAGGTTTGTGCCTCCAAATACAGAAAGTCTAATTCTATTTTGTGTAAGTCTCATGAAAAAAGGAAAAACCATATATGTGGTGTGTTTATAATTGCATATACTGCATCATAAAAGATATTCCTAAGACTCAAGAACTTCCATTTTAACTAGGCATCGATGAGAAACTAATCCTCCACTTAAAATTTTAAACATAAAGTACACCAAAAAACTGAAAGCAGTGACTCAAAAAGATATATGGACACCCATGTCTGTAGCAGCATTTTTTTAATAGCCGGGAAGTGGAAGCAAGCCAAAATGTCCATCAACAGACGAATGAATAAAGAAAATGTGGGATATACATATAATAGAATATTATTCAGCTTTAAAAAGGAAGGAAATGCTGACACATGAGACACCATGGCTGAACCTTCATGACATTATGCCAAGTGAAATATGCTTGTCACAAAAAAGACACATATTATATGATTCCATTTATGTGAGGTTCCTAGAGTAATCAAATTCACAGAGACAAAAAGTAAAATGGTGGTTGCCAGGGACAGGAAGAAAGGGGAATGGAAAACCTCCATTCTACTTCTTGTCTCTATAAATCTGATTACTGTAGGAACCTCACAAAAATGGAATCATATGAATATTTGTCTTTTTGTGGCAAGCATATTTAATAGGTACAGAGTATCAGTTTCACAAGATGAAAAGACTTCTGTAGATCCATGGTAATGATGGTTGCACAACAGTGTGAATGCAATTAATGCCACTAAACTGTACACTTAAAAATGGTTCAGACGATAAACTTTAATGTGTGTTTTACTGCATTTTTAAAATACAAAATATTGCACATCAGATCATTGAAAGAACATTTCAGAGTAACTTCTGGCTTTCTACATTTCCAACCTGGTCCTCTGTTACTGCTCAGATACTTCAGGCATGGGATGCTGTAGGGCAGTGTTTCTGGACCCACACCTTCAGGTCATGATGCCACGGTGGACAAAAGAAGATTCCTGGAATATATTTCCTCACCAAATGGCTGGGAACAGTTTCACTACACACAGAAGCAGTTGTGACGCTCATAACTATAGTCCACTAAATGCAAACTAAAGGCATTCTCAGTTCAATTTCCTCTTACTTGGATCCCAGAGATGCCCCTACTTTTTCTGCCCCCACCCAACACAAGGGAAGTATGACACAGATAAAGTCGGGCTGGAAAGAAGCAGTGATCAAAACTGATAGTGATGAAAATGTGTTAATTATAACACGAATTTTACAAAAATAGAAGAACCTGTGAACATACGTCTAGCACGTTTCCTGGGATGTTGGAAGTGGCCATGCGGATGCAGGGCCCTGAAGGGTCAGCTGCATTGATTTCTCAGTAAATCCTTCTCTGAAAGTCCATTCCGCTGTAAAATCCTTTCTATTTCAGGAGCACTCTCGCTTGTTTTGTTCTCACATGATATGTGAACTACCAGGTCAAAATTCTTTGTACAATAATCTTTTTGGATAGACATTCTATATCACTTTTTATATTCTATCCAAATATTCCTAGTCTTTTTAACTTGTGTTTGTAGTTATTGTTTTTCAAATATTTTATTGTGCCTGCATCTGCGTGATCTATCATGCATTGTGAACTACTTGAAAACAAGAAATATTCCTATCATGAAACTCAGTAGAATACTACAGGCAATCACATGCTTCATAAATCTATTTGGACAAGATAATGCATGTGTGTGGTATGTGATGAGTGTGTGTGTAGCACGGATCTGCTCTGAAAGCTTAACAAGTTGTCCAAATCCATCTTCAGTTGTGGGATCCAGAGCCAGATACAGAACTTTGGCCAGGGTTTTTAAATTTTGCTTTTTATTTTATAAAAATAAAAAAGTTTTATTTTATTTTGGGTTTTTATTTTATTTGCTTTTGTGTTTACTACACAAGTGTATATACATCTGTGTCAGTTAGAAATTTAGTTCAACTTTGAGTAGTGAGACCTAAACAAAGAGTGACTTAACTAAGATAGATTTATTTCTTTGTCATGTGGTAAATCCAATGGCGAGCAGTTCAGGGCTGGCATAAGAGCTCCATACTGTCACCAGGAATCCAGGCTCCTTTCAGCTCTCTGTTTCAACAGTACTGGCCCTTATCCTCACACTTACAAGTTGGTTGCTGGAGCATCAGCCCTTTGCAGGCCATCACATGTGCATTCTTGGCAGAAAGAAGGAGAAAAGAGGTGGGGAGGCAAGCAACATGCCTCCTGGGGGCCTGTTTCCTTTTTAGGAGTATTCCCGGAAGTTCTGCTAAACCACTTCTGCCTGTATCTTATTAGCCACCCCTAGCTGCAAGAAGTGAGATGGGGGAATATTTGGAAATGTGGTCCTTCACTGGATACATGTCTACCTAGAATGAAAATTGAGACTTTGACACCACAGAGAAGGATGGGTATTGGGTGGGTCTGCTGCAACACCCTGGGCTCTCCGGCCCTAAGCAGACTGTGGAGAGAGCATGGGCTGCCTCTTGCCTCTCCATTCTCCCTCCACTCCACTTAGAATCCATCTTCCTGCTTCAAAATAGAGCCAGACACTGAGCAATGAAGCAATAAATGATGAGAAATTTTAAACGCTCCCTTTCTATATTAGGCCGTTCTCACATTGCTACAAAGATATACCTGGCTGGGCATGGTGGCTCATGCCTGTAATCCCAGCACTTTGGGAGGCTGAGGCCGAGGTGGATGGATCATCTGAGATCAGGAGTTCGAGACCAACCTGGCCAACATGGTGAAACCCCGTCTCTACTAAATACAAAAATTAGCTGGGCGTGATGGCGGGCGCCTGTAATCCCAGCTACTCGGGAGGCTGAGGCACGAGAATCACTTGAACCTGGGAGATGGAGGTTGCATTGAGCTGACATGGCACCACTGCACTCCAGCCTGGGTGACAAGAGCAAGACTCTGTCTCAAAAAAAAAAAAAAAACTATATATATATATATATATATATATATATATATATATATATACACACACATATATACACCTGAGACTGGGTAATTTATAAAGAAAAAAGGTTTAATTGGCTTTTGGTTCCATAGGGTGTACAGGAAGCATGATGCCGGCATCTACCCAGCTTCTGGGGAGGCCTTAGGAAACATAATCATGGCAGAAGGTGAAGGGGGAGAAGGCATGTCACATGGCTGGAGCAACAAGACAGAGAGACAGAGAGAGAGAGAGAGAGAGAGAGAGAGAGAGAAGGTGCTATACACTTATAAACAATCAGATCTTGTGAGAACTCTATCACGATCATGAGGACAGTACCAACAGGGTACCACTCATGAGAAATCCATCATTCAACATGAAATTTGGTGGGGACACAAATTCAAACAATATTACTTTCCCAGGAATTTGTGTTTTAACCAGGAGCAAAGCCTTGAACTAGAGAAATAAAGTCATCTTCATATATATTCAAGTATCAATAAGTAAGATATGTGTGATTGGGTCTGGTGGGAGGGAAAGGTTTTCTCTTGTCAGATCATACAGACGATGTTTCTGTTTTGCTGCTTCTTTTTTTCTTTTAATGTGCCTGTTTTCATTTCAGTGTGTCCCTGAGCACTAATGGTGAATGTTACCCACTATGAATCCTACCGTTTTTTCTTTTTGTTTGCACATGGCTAGTCATTCTCCTGATTGTAACTATGTAGTGCATATTTTCTCCCCCAAATGGGTGAAAGTCTTTCTAACACTAATACTAATTGTGCTTAGTGCTCACAGGTTTTATTGGAGGTTTAGCATTCACACAGCAGTTGAGGAGGCATGGTGACAAAGTGCTTTTCATTTTGTGTTGTGGTTACTCAATAACAAGCCTGCTTCAGCACACACTTATGCAGTACATGAGAGATGGTGGGTGACTTTTTATTCCACTAAGTCTGTCAAGTGGGCATTAAGCAGAAAATGAGGTTTAGTTTCCCATGCTGCAGTAAAACATATGCTTTAAAGAGGAATACAATTGCCTTTGAATTACTGTTGCTTCATTTTGTGTACTACGGGGTCTTCAGGCAAATATTTCTGCAAATAGTCTTTCAGAAAGGATGGAAATAACTGACATTTGTAGAGCCTGTTCTGGTTTATAAGCCATTTTTACATTTATTGTCAGAGCCTAATTTCTCTACTCTCAGATGCTAGCAAGCAGGGAACTGAGTTTCACAGTTTTGAGATGGCCTCTGGGACATAGCTTTTGATCTCCCTTACCTCTAGAATGGCTACCGGCGGTTTTAATAATGTCCTAAATCACAGGTTTCCAGAAATAATAACAAACTTACCATTACCTGATCTTTTTCTACCCAAAAATAATGCTATTCCCTTTGAAGCAAATAGCTCTCTACCAGGGCAAGTCAGCAAGGAAATGCTCATTACAGAATGGAGAGGGATGTCACAGGGTAAGGATAATTCCTTTCCACCGTATTTCATTCTTTCCTCTGTTCTTATTCCATGGCAGCCTGACTCAATATACTATGCTAGACCAAAAAATGCACTTATGTTTCTTTGGGCCATCAATAAATCAATCAGCGAACCTCAGAGTAGACAGAAAACATTAAAGATTATTAAGATCAACCAGCCAGATCTGTACTAGTCGTCGTAGAAAGGGGTAAATTTAATCTTCTAGAAGGAGCAAAAGGATCAGGAGTTCAGGTTCCCAGGGACAACAGGCAGCCAATGTCATAGTTAATAGGACCTGGGTCCAGCCCACCTCCCATCTTACCTTCTAAACACTTGAACACTCAGCCTATTACAATGCTCAAGCATCTCTCACCTTTAAAAAAGGAAAAAGAAATGAAATGAAATGATCTCTTAGATTCCAATCACTCAAGCCCAATAGCTTTCAAACCTTTCTCACCCAAAAATTCCCTTACAGCATCCCATAGTCATTGTCACCACTTCCTCACCTCCCATATAATCCTCAACCTATTGACACCTGGTCTATTCCCATCAGTGCTCTCCAAGTACCCTCATCCTCATCTCCAATTAAATCCTATTGACAAACCCAATGAACATTCTTCAGTCATTTAATTGCAAGGCTGTAGTATTTGGCATGTTGAATCCTTTTACTCTTTTGAGAGCTGTGACACTGTACTCCCCTGGCTTCCTCATGCCTCCCTCTGGTTTGCTCTGATGCCTTCCCAAGCTGCTTTTCCAGATTCCCATCTTGGTTCCTGCACTCCTTTCTCTCTACACCTCCCTGAGTTAGCTTACTCCTTTCCTGGTCTTCAACTACTACTTTTGTGATGATTCTTCTTTAATGTGCACCTCTCACCCAGATTTCTCCCCCAGCTTGACTCAGATACCACTTTTCTAAAAAACGCACTTCCATTGAGTTGCTTAAATACGTGGTCTTCTCTCAAACCATCTTCCTTCCCTGCCCCATTTTTCATCTAATGTTTCTACCATCCCCTCTTTCACCCAAGCTAGAAAGCCTAGAGGATCCTCTCTACTCTTCATCAACCTGACATTTAATCTACATATTTCTTGATTCATCTCTTCTCTTTACTCCTGAGATTATGTCTTTAGTTCATAACTCTGTCACCTCTTGCCTAAACAACTGCCACATCTCTGAACTGATTGCCATACTTGCATATTTTTCTGCCAGGGTGCTTTATCTGAGATAAACATTTAAGCAACAGGTAACATTCAAAATCCTTATTGTGCCACAAAGACTCTCAGTGCCTTAATCCCAACTTTTTGTATCCAGTCTCACCATTCCATTCTATCTGTTATGTGCTTTATGCTCCAGGAAAATGGAGCTGCTGTCAGTACCCAGGACTTACTGTTGTGGTCTTCATTTACATGCTGGGTGCTCTGCTTGGAACACTCTGCCCACCTCCTCCTTTCCCCTCTTTTTCATCTAGTTTAATAGCACTCAGGCTTTAGAAATGATCAGGGGAAACCTCCTCCAGGAAACCATTGCTCACACCCAAAGTGGGTTAGTTGCCTTTCCTGGGTGTCCTCATAATAATCCCTGCATATTTCTACCCCAGAACTATCTCCATTCTACCTGTTATTTCCTTTTAAAATTTGTTTGTGCACACAGGTGAATTCACTGTGAAACTAATGAAGATTTAGGGTCTTCACTTGCATAGACCCCTTCCAAGGCTCTTAGCTAAATATATATAATATTGCAATTTTTTTCTTAATGAGGGCCCCAAATTTGTACAAGCCACAGGTCCCTCAAAATTCGGATCCATCCCTTTTGGGGGTCTATTTATCTTCTAGTCAGTAAATTCTATAAGGGCAGAGCCTATGTCTTATTTATCTTTGTATCAACTACATACATGAGGCACTTAATAGTCGGTTGTTGAATGAATGAAGGACCCAAAAGTCTAATGCGAGATTGAAAATGAAGTAAAAGACCAACAATGGGTGCAAGCTGTGGCAAATGTGGAAGCAGAAGTCCACAACGAGCGGTAATCCGAGAACAGCCAAGAGGAGGACATTATCCAGGATGCCAGCGTCAGAGCAAGGCAGTCAATCAGATCTCACACAGGGAGAAAGGGTCAGAAGCCAGGCAGGCAAACACAGGCCTGGAATGTGCAGATACTGGTGGGCAGCGCAGAGGAGTAGGTCCAAGTCCATGCCAATGGCCAGGAACCAGAGGAGCAAGACAAAGCTAGCAGGAACACGGAAACAAAACAGCAACAACAAGCAAGCACTTCCTGCATTGTTCATGGTTCTTCTATAGTTCTTCGGCTACACAAACCATCCCAGGATAGCCAGGGCAAAGGCAGGGTAGGGGTTCATAACACCCAGCCAAGTGATGGAGCATGAAGGGGACAAAGGATTCTGACTACCAATGTGTTTCCCACTTGGATTGCTGTCCAGGGAATATCTATGTCCAAACCTGAGCACCTACTTAAAATTAAATGATGACAACACTGCTGAGTTTACAAAGCCCTTTAAAAAAAAAAAGGAATAAATAAAAATTGTGTTATCTATTCTGTTTTGAGGTATTCCTTTAAAGATTTGCTTTCAATGATGTGACAGTAAATGGTTATGTTGCAGTATGAAATCAGGACAGCAGTTATGTAAAGGAGGCAAAACTTATTTCATTAAAATGCATGGAGGGAGAAGCAATGGATTATAGTATAGATCATGCTACAGATGAGCAGATTACTGAGCACCAGGCACACAAGGGAGACAGATTAATGAAAAATAAATAAAGGAGCTTCAGAAAAACAGCATGAAGCTGAACACTGGTCTGCTGCATATCATAAAATATGAGCCCAAAGGTGAGTGGAAAATCATTTCATTTGGAATGTTGAGTTGAAAGTTAATGTTATTTGCTTCTTTTCGTATTCTCCATTGCATTTGTTTATTTTTTAGATAATTAAAGATAATTTTTAATAATAGGAAACATCAACATAGTGGAACATCTAATGCAAGCTGCTTACCCTGGAAAAATGTCAAGGGCGTGGTACAGTTTTCTGAATGGTATGGATAATCACTGAAACTTGTAAATTAAAAAACTGACCCTTCTTGTCAAGACTTCATTATGTGTTTTTCCTGAAGATCTTCATGGTTGTTACTTTGAAGGGGAGGCCACTTAAAGCATGAGGAGGAGAATAAAATTTGGAGTCAGATGATGCAGGGTTCATAAGCCAAAACTACTTAACATTCATAGTGTGTGATTAAAACAAATCACCAAGTGTCTTTGAGCTTCAATTTTTGGCAGGGAAAAAAATGACACCTGTCTTAATTAACTCAGAGTTTTCAGTGCATCTCAAACGATATAAGGAAAAACAGGGTTTTTTTATTATTATACTTTAAGTTTTAGGGTACATGTGCACAATGTGCAGGTTTGTTACATATGTATACATGTGCCATGTTGGTGTGCTGCACCCATTAACTGGTCATTTAACATTAGGTATATCTCCTAATGCAATCCCTCCCGCCTCCCCCCACCCCACAACAGGCCCTGGTGTGTGATGTTCCCCTTCCTGTGTCCATGTGTTCTCATTGTTCAATTCCCACCTATGAGTGAGAACATGTGGTGTTTGGTTTTTTGTCCTTGCGATAGTTTGCTGAGAATGGTTTCCAGCTTCATCCATGTCCCTACAAAGGACATGAACTCATCCTTTTTTATGGCTGCATAGTATTCCATGGTGTATATGTGCCACATTTTCTTAATCCAGTCTATCATTGTTGGACATTTGGGTTGGTTCCAAGTCTTTGCTATTGTGAATAGTGCCGCTATAAACATACGTGTGCATGTGTCTTTATAGCAGCATGATTTATAATCCTTTGGGTATATACCCAGTAATGGGATGGCTGGGTCAAATGGTATTTCTAGTTCTAGATCCCTGAGGAATCGCCACACCAACTTGCACAATGGTTGAACTAGTTTACAGTCCCACCAACAGTGTAAAAGTGTTCCTATTTCTCCACATCCTCTCCAGCACCTGTTGTTTCCTGACTTTTTAATGATCGCCATTCTAACTGGTGTGAGATGGTATCTCATTGTGGTTTTGATTTGCATTTCTCTGATGGCCAGTGATGATGAGCATTTTTTCATGTGTTTTTTGGCTGCATAAATGTCTTCTTTTGAGAAGTGTCTGTTCATATCCTTTGCCCACTTTTTGATGGGGTTGTTTGTTTTTTTCTTGTAAATTTGTTTGAATTCATTGTAGATTCTGGATATTAGCCCTTTGTCAGATGAGTAGATTGCAAAAATTTTCTCCCATTCTGTAGGTTGCCTGTTCACTCTGATGGTAGTTTCTTTTGCTGTGCAGAAGCTCTTTAGTTTAATTAGATCCCATTTGTCAATTTTGGCTTTTGTTGCCATTGCTTTTTGTGTTTTAGACATGAAGTCCTTGCCCATGCCTATATCCTGAATGGTATTGCCTAGGTTTTCTTCTAGAGTTTTTATGGTTTTAGGTCTAACATGTAAGTCTTTAATCCATCTTGAATTAATTTTTGTATAAGGTGTAAGGAAGGGATCCAGTTTCAGCTTTCTACATATGGTTAGCCAGTTTTCCCAGCACCATTTATTAAATAGGGAATCCTTTCCCCATTTCTTGTTTTTGTCAGGGTTATCAAAGATCAGATAGTTGTAGATATGTGGCATTATTTCTGAGGGTTCTGTTCTGTTCCATTGATCTATATCTCTGTTTTGGTAACAGTACTATGCTCTTTTCGTCACTGTAGGCTTGTAGTATAGTTTGAAGTCAGGTAGCATGATGCCTCCAGCTTTGTTCTTTTGGCTTAGGATTGACTTGGCAATGCGGGCTCTTTTTTGGTTCCATATGAACTTTAAAGTAGTTTTTTCTAATTCTGTGAAGAAAGTCATTGGTAGCTTGATGGGGATGGCATTGAATCTATAAATTACCTTGGGCAGTATGGCCATTTTCACAATATTGATTCTTCCTACCCATGAGCATGAAATGTTCTTCCATTTCTTTGTATCCTCTTTTATTTCATTGAGCAGTGGTTTGTAGTTCTCCTTGAAGAGGTCCTTCACTTCCCTTGTAAGTTGGATTCCTAGGTATTTTATTCTCTTTGAAGCAATTGTGAATGGAAGTTCACTCATGATTTGGCTCTCTGTTTGCCTGTTATTGGTGTATAAGAACGCTTGTGATTTTTGCACATTGATTTTGTATCCTGAGACTTTGCTGAAGTTGCCTATCAGTTTAAGGAGATTTTGGGCTGAGACGATGGAAAAATAGTTTTTAAGAAGGTGTACAAACATAAATTGTAAACTATATATAACAAATTCTATCCAGTTTCAGCTGGGTGTGAGTTTCATGCTAATCGAAGAATAAGAAAGCACACAGCAACCACCTGAAAATTACATCCACTATTTATGTGTCGATACTGACAGCATAAGACAGGTAGTGACTAGTTTTTAAAATGGTATTAGTTTCTGATTATTTACTTAATCATTTTTAAATTAGGCTTATAATTTCTATAATGTGTAAGGTTAAACAAGTCACCTTTTTTGGATTTAATAAGCTACTTTATTTTTGATAATTATATATGCTTCTGAACATTTATATGCTTAATCAGTGGCTTAAAAGTTTTAAGGCAGGTAAAAATAGCTGAATTATATGCAAAAGCTCTGAAAAAAATGTAGAAAACTGCTAGCAACTATAAGACGGAAATAAAACTCTGTGAAAACAAACAATGAAAAATAAGAATGATACTGTGACAATTCCCTATATTGGAGCAGCCCTCCATGGTTCATGAACCTCTTTCCCTGAGGGGAAACTTAGAAGAAGGAGGTTAATGGGGAGAACTACCCCTGTCATTGCTGCATTTGTCCTTGGGGCTACAACTAGTAATCACCATGTCCCTTCTCCACTCTCATTCTAACTTCCCCTCACTCTCAGCTATCACCTCTGTAGGTCTAGGTGGCTTATCTGAATGTAGGACCCAAATGTTTATTCCTGAGGGCTCTGAGCCGCTGGTAGTAATACTCTTCTCAGGCCAGAGCAGCTGCACGTATTTGTTTACATTTATAATTGGGTAAGGAAGTACCAAGAGGTGTCTAAGTATATAGTCTGGGTTCCACATGTTTTCCTCCCTCCCCCACGTATAAAAGTAGCCCTAGGCCGGGTGCGGTGGCTCATGCCTATAATCCCAGCACTTTGGGAGGCCGAGGCGGTCAGATCACAAGGTCAGGAGTTCGAGACCATCCTGGCTAACACGGTGAAACCTCGTCTCTACTAAAATACAAAAAAAATTAGCCGGGCGTACGTGGTGCACGCCTGTAGTCCCAGCTACTCGGGAGGCTGAGGCAGGAGAATGGCGTAAAACCCGGGAGGCGGAGCTTGCAGCGAGGCGAGATCGCACCACTGCACTCCAGCCTGGGAGACAGAGTGAGACTCCGTCTCAAAAAAAAGAAAAAAAAGTAGCCCTACCTCCATCTGATTAGGGACAATTACCCCTGCCAAAATAGTGACTTCTGCTTTGTCTCCTGGTTTCTAAACACAGAGAGTCCAAAGGGCCAAGAACAATGATAGCTTGTAGTTCAATGGGATCCCAGCTGTGTCCCCTGGCAAGAGTATGCCCCCTTTGTGGACCAGAACCTCTAACCTTGCAAAGCCCAGAGTTGTAGTGATGAAAAGCAATGTTTCCCAAGGCGAGTACTGAGTGTGATGGTAACTGGGAACATTCCTGCTTCAACTACTTGTGATATGGTTTGGCTGTGTCCCCACTCAAATCTTATCTTGAATTGTAGCTTCCATAATCCCCACATGTTGTGGGTGTTGTGGGAAGGACCCTGTGGGAGGTAATTCAATCACAGAGGTGGGTTTTTCCCATGCTGTTCTCATGATAGCAAATAAGTCTGTGAGAACTGATGGTTTTCTAAAGGGCAGTTCCGCTGCACATACGCTGTTGCCTGCTGCCATATAAGACATGCCTTTGCTCCTTCTTCACCTTCCACCATGATTGTGAGGCCTCCCCAGCCATGTGGAACTATGAGTCCATTAAACCTCTTTTCTTTATAAATTACCCAGTCTATGGTATTTCTTCATAACAGTATGAGAATAGACTAATACAGTAAATTGGTACCAGGTGCTACTATAAGGATACCTGAAAATGTGGACATGACTTTGGAACTGAGTAACAGGCAGAGGTTGGAACAGTTTGAAGGGCTCAGAAGAAGATAGGAAAACGTGGGAACATTTGAAACTTCTGGGCTTGGACAGTTCAGAAGGCAAGAAGATGTGGGGAAGTTTGGAACCTCCTAGAGACTTGTTGATTGGCTTAGCTTTGACCAAAATCTTGATATGATATAGACAATAAAGTCCAGGCTGAGGTGGTCTCAGATGGAGATGAGGAACTTTTTGGGAACTGGAGTTAAGGTCATTCTTGCTATGCAAAGAAACTGGCAGCATTTTGCCACTGCTCTAGAGATCTGAGGAACTTTGAACTCCAGAAAGATGATTTAGGGTGTCTGGCAGAAGAAATTTCTGGTGGCAAAGCATTTAAGAGGAAGCAGAGCATAAAAATTTGAAAAATTTGGAGACTGACGATGCTATAGAAAAGAAAACCCCATTTTCTGGAGAGAAATTCAAGCCAGCTGCAGAAATTTGCATAAGTAACAAGGAGCCAAATGTTAATCACCAAGACAATGGGGAAAATATCTCTAGGACATGTCAGAAACCTTCACAGCAGTCCCTCCATCACAGGCCCCAAGGCCTAGGAGGGAAAAATGGTTTCCTGGGCCAGGTGCAGGTCCCTGCTACTGTTTGTAGCTTCAGGACTTGGTACCCTGCATCCCAGCTGCTTCAGCTGTGACTTAAAGGAGCCAAGGTATAGCTTAGGCCATTGTTCCAGAGGATGCAAGCTCCAAGCCTTGGCAGCTTTCACATGGTATTGATCCTGTGGGTGCATAGAAGACAAGAAATGAGGTTTGGGAACCTCTGCCTAGATTTCAGATCATATATGGAAATGCCTGGATGTCTGGGCAGAAGTTTGCTGCAGGGGCAGAGTCCTCATGGAGAACTTCTGCTAGGGCAGTGCGGAAGGGAAATGTGGGGTTGGAGCCCCCACACAGAGTCCCCACTGGATCACTGCCTAGTGGAGCTATAAGAAACCAGCCACCATCCTCCAGACCCCAGAATGGTAGATCCACTGACAGCTTACACTGTGCACCTGGAAAAGCCACAGACACTCAACGCCAGCCATGAAAGCAGCCAGAAGGGAGGCTATACCCTGCAAAACCACAGGGGCAGAGCTGCCCAAGGCCATGGGAGCCGACTTCTTGCATCAGCGTGACCTGGATGTGAGAAATGGAGTCAAAGGAGATCATTTTGGAACTTTAAGGTTTAATGACTGCTCTATTGGATTTCAGATTTGCATGAGGCCTGTAACCTCTCTGTTTTGGCCAATTTATTCCATTTGGAAAGGGTGTATTTACCCAATGCCTGTACCCCCATTGTATCTAGGAAGTAATTAACTTGCTTTTTGATTTTACAGTCTCATAAGCAGAAGAGATTTGCCTTGTCTCAGATGAGACTTTGGACTTGGACTTTTGAGTTAATGCTAGAATTAGCTAATACTTTGGGAGACTTTGGAAGGGCATGATTGTGTTTTGAAAAGTGAGGAGATGAGATTTGGGAGGGGGCAGAGGCAGAATGATATGGTTTGGCTGTGTTCCCATCCAAATCTCATCTTGAATTGTAGCTCCCATAATCTCCACGTGTCATGAGAGGGACCCATTGGGAGGTAATTAAATCATGGGGGTGGGTTTTTCCCATGCTGTTCCCATGATAGTTAATAAGTCTCAAGATATCTGACAGTTTTATAAAGGGCAGTTCTCCTGCACACACACTCTTGCCTGCCACCATGTAAGTCATGCCTTTGCTCCTCCTTCACCTTCCATCATGATTGTGAGGCCTCCCCAGCCACGTGGAACTGTGAGTCCACTAAACCTCTTTTTCTTTATAAATTACCCAGTCTTGGGTATTTCTTCACAGCAGTATGAGAACAGACTAATACACCTTGGTTTCAGGATCCATGTATCCTTGCTACTGGGGACATGGCCTCATATAAAGCTATCTAATTTGGTGCATGTAATACTTCTGGAACTATGGCATTTCTTCCTTGGAAAATTTTGCCTCCAAAGCAGCACTTCATGTGGCCCTTCAGTTTCTAAGCTCTACAAAACCAATTCCTTCTATATGGTGCAATTTCTGATATTTCCATTGGATCCCAGTGTCATATGCCCAGTCCTTCAATTCCTTTACTGTGAAGGTAAAGGACAGATGCTATGTTGTGTAGAATTCCATGCCTGTGGATCAGGCATTGTAGAAGCCCCTGGATAGTGTTGCTGGCTAAGACCCTGAGGGAAGGAAAAGCAAACTCATACCAGGAACAGGTAGAATAAATATCTGATCCTGAGAAGACAAACCACTGATAGCTCCAGGATAGAAGGGGTCCAGTGTAGCAAACTTGCCCCAACTAGCGGTCTTCTTGAGGAATGGTGTCATGTCGGTTGTTCAGCATTCATCTATGTTCTGACAGATTGGGCATTCAAACAATGTAGTGGCTAGGTAAGTCTTGGTAACTGGAAGCCCTACTTTTGGGCCCATGTGCAGCCTATTTCTCTGCCACCATAGTCATTCCACTCATGTGCCCATTGAGCCACTTCCATGATGGCCAACGATGGCATTAATTGGTTGAGTAATTTTGTCTATTTGGTTTTCAGGACTTTTCTGTGGTGAGTGCTTTCTGGTGTGCATTAATGTGTGACATAAAAGTCTCACACTTGAGGCCCATCCCATATGTCCATCCACATGCCTCTACCCCAGGCTTCTTTGTCTCTAATCTCCCAGTTGTTTGTCTTTTTTGCCCCTGACCAGCTGTGGCCACTCTTCTTCCACATGTAGTGAATGACTGGATGCACCACTTACAGCTTCACCCATTAGGAGGATCTCCATTCATTACTGTCTTTCAAAGCCACCCTTTTGACTGGATATAATGCAGGCACTGTCTTTTTTTTTTTTTTTTTTTTTTTTGGCTTGCACTAATTTATTGAGCCAGCCCATCTGTAAATCAAGTTTAAGGCTTTTCATCCTCTTTGAGATGAAATATATAAGACCCTCTCATACGACCATAAATGTGAGCTGGGACAGGGATGCTGGTGCAATTATGATAGGTGACAGCAGATCTGGACCACCTGCTCATACAGCTGATTCATGCCATTTTAGTTCTGCATGGGTTGAATCTTAGGTGCACAATTTCCATCTTAAGAGGCATTGTTGCTGGTTCCCCGTGACTTCATAATACATGGTCACTTGGTACCATGTAGTCAAGCATCCTATTTCAATCAGGACACTGTAATATGCCAATGTCTTAGTTCATTTCATGCTGCTATAACAGAATATCTGAGACTGGGTAATTTATAAAGAACAGAGATTTATTTCTTACAGTTTGGAAGGCTGGGAAGTCCAAGGTTGAGAGGACTACAACCTGGCAAGGACCTTCTTGCTGCATCCCATGGTGGAAAGTGGAAGGGCAAAAGAGCAAAGACTTGTGCAAAAGAGCGAAAGGTGCTGAACTCATCCTTTTTTAAAAACCCACTCCTGCAAAGTAAACCCACTCCTGATATAATGACATTATGAGGGCATAGCCCTCATGAGCATCACCTCATAAAGGACCCACCTCTCAATGCTGTTGCACTGGGGACTAGGTTTCTAATGCGTAAACTTTGAGATACATTCAAACCATAGAAGCCAGAACCATTCTCAAAATAACTGTGTAATTTTCTACTGAGATGGCATAGCCTTGCTACAGAATTCCAGGGCCTTCTTCGTGATTCTCCCTCTGGGTCTTGCCATAAATCCCATGCTGAATCTTTTCCTACCACCAACACCTCCAACTCCAGCGGCTATATCATACAGCCCTAGCAGTAGAGCTGTAATACAAGCAGCTTGGATCCCCTAGCCCAATACATGGGCCAAAGCAGGAGTCCTATGAAATGTGCTGCCTCTGGAACCCATTTGGTTGCTATATTTCTTTCTTTATTGTAGAGGATATACAATGCAATCACTTGTCTTTTACTTTAGAGGGGATATCCTAGCATACCCCTGACCATCAGACTTCCAAAAAACTTTACTGAAATTGTAGGTACCTGAATCTTCATAAGGTTTATTTTCCTATCTCTGAAAAATATGTTCTTAACAAAGGCTTCCAACATACTAGCAACCTATTGCTTGTCCTGCCAAATCAACATGATGTCATCAATATAAGATCAATGTAACAATCTGCAGGATGGTCAGGTGGTCCGGATGTCTTCAGATTATACTATGGTAAAGAGTAGGAGATGTAACATAGCCTTGGGGCAAAACTCTAGATAAATAATGTCCATCCCACAATCTGAACTATTTCTGATCCCCTTTTCTGGTTGCAATAGAAAATATTTCACCAAGTCAATGGCCATATACCATGTAGCTGAGGATTTATTAATCTCCTCCAGTCATAAAAACATGACCAAAACAACAGCAGCAACTGGGGCTACTATTTGATTGAATCTGTGCTAGTCTGCAGTCTTTCTGCAGGATCCATCCAGGTTGAGTAGGACCCAGATTGGTGAATTAAATAGAGATGATTGAGAGTATCACCCCTGCAGTATTTAGGTCTTTAGTGGTGGTACTAATCTCCACCCTTCCCCAGGATGTGAAATTAGTTTTGATTTACACTCTTGGCCATGGAGGAATGGGAGTTTTAAAGGCTTCTACTTAACCTTTCCCACCATGATAGTACTTATCCCATAGCCAAGGATCCGATGTGGGAGTTACTCCACTGGTAAGTATATCAGTTCTGGTAATGTACTCAGACACCAGAGAAATAACCACTGGGCATGACTGCAGACCCATAAGCCAGCTGGAAGCCAGACATTAAACAGGACTATATTTTCAGTCTCACTTGCCTCCACTCTAACAAAGGGGGCTACAATGATGCTTTGGAGCTCCGGGTGTCAATTTATACCTTATATACATAGACCTCAAAATGTCTAAGAATTCCTCTTTCCCCAGTGTACAGTCACCCAAGTAAATGGTCACGGGTCTTTTTGAAGAAGGATTAGAAGAGACATCGCAGCATATTCTGGCTGCAGTATTGCAAGGTCCTTCTTCCTGGGGGTCCAGCCACTCTTCAGTCAGTGAGCTCTAGTTTTGAAAACTGGCTAAGATCCAAGAACAGAGGAAGAACTTTTTTACTGGAGAATCACCTTCATGCTCCTGCTGTTCTATTCTTATCTTCTGATTAAAGATGTTCAGCAGCACGTTTATTGGCTGCCTGTCTATTCTGTCCCTAAAGATACCCTGCTTTATTAACTGTCTTCACAACCAAATGCATGTCAAGCCCCCTTGACTGCACCTCTAACCTTGCTAATCATTATAGTTATTATGACCTCCCAGCTTCAGGCAGTTAGATACCAACATCTGACCTCACTTGAGGTCGGAGAAGGGATTATTACCATGATTGTTAATGAGCCCTGCCCTGGGACTCACCTGCCCTACCATCTACCCTGACCTGCCGTGGAGGCTCTCCACTGGGTTTAGCAAAGCTGGTGCCATCTCACTGGCACATTCCTGATTGCCATGGTGAGTGGTGTGCCCTCTAGACCTTCCCATAGAACATAATTCTCCAGTAGGTCTTATGGTCTCACATAATATATTCATTCCATCTGGCCCATTTTCCTAAGGCTTTTTATTTCTTCCTCTGCTAGCTGTCGGAAAAACTCTGCTATTTTCACTTTTCTTCTCATGGGCCATTGCTTCCTGCCGATTTCTAGGAGTCACCCCAGCAGCAATTCCGCCCCATCTCCTAGGATCCTTGCCAGCGTGTTATATTTCATGTCCTGAGAAAGATCCCCCCAGTCAATGAATTCTGGTTTAAACAATCCTTTGCCTGGTTCCCTTAATGAAGGCCCCACAGAATACAATCCCAGTGATATTCCTGTGAATCCTGCTGGTACAGGACAGGCGATATTTGCAGCTCTTTCAGGGTATAATCTCTTTTCTCCCTTATTAGGCCTCATATATCTCCAGCCAGATTATGCTTGGATTTAACCCAAGTTGTGGATCTAACAGCCAGGAGAGGAGATGGGGGCAAGTGCTAGCGTGACTACGGAGGGGTGGGCCACCCCTGTAGGCTCTGAGGATTCAAGGTTTCTGCAGAGCCACAATTCTTAGGGACATCCATGCAGATGTCTCTATCCCATATTTCAGGGTCCCAGATTTTCCTAGTCAAAGACCTGAAATTAACATAACAGACATGCCTTTGCTGAGCATTTAAACGCATCCCAAACTCTGAAATGTCATTGCATTCTGAGTCTGCCTCCTAGCTGTGTCCAATCTCCCACTGCAGGGGAAAAGGGCCTCTTTGTAAACTACCAAGTCCTCTGGCATTCAGATTTAGCCTTTAGCTGTTCGTTAACTATCTCAGTTTCTCTTCAATTGTCCCTCACTCCCAAAGGCATCATTACCACCAGCTAACCTCACTGTTCTTGTAGCCATCATTCCCTCATATCTTTCAAATACCTGAATCATCACACTGATAAAAGTGTTTCTCTCCACTGGGACATTTTCCCCAAATCATCACAGGGGAAATCTTCAGCAATTGGACCACTAGCTTGTGCCAGGGATTATCTATGCCCCATGTTCCATTCAGGGTGAGATCCTTCTTACCAACCAGGCAGAAAGTGAGCCAGTCCCCACTTAGTCCACATTTTCTTAGACCACTTCTGCAACTATTTTCTTGGACCAATTCTGGTACTACCTGTGTCAATTCAGGTGCTCCAAGAAACAGACACCAAGACAGGATGAGATACGCAAGAGATTTATTAGAGACATGCCTGTGAAGGAGCAGGAATAAACAGGCAGAGAGAACCTTCAGACAGCAATGCATGTCTGACAACAGTGAAGAAAAATTGGGTAGGAAGAACTTCAGATTGCAGTGCAGCTCTGAGAATAGCCAGGTCAACATGGAGACCCCAAGCAGGGGCTGCCTGTGAGGGGAGTCAGGCACCTGCTGTCACCGATAACTCTGTCATGCTCAGTCATTGCCAGGGAAAGCATGGCCTCAACACGAACGCCTTGGCAGATTTGAAGGTATAGCCACAGCTTCTAGAAGCTGCAAGCCAATTCTGCTCCCGCAGCAAGTTCTCTCAAAGGGAGATATGAGCAGTGCTTCTCCATGGCACCACACACATGCAACAAAACACACATACAATGGCGTATTTGCACGGGAGACTTAGCTATAAATGAGTCCTATTAATGCCTATTATGCATTAATGCATATTAATGGACATAAGAACTAATCACTACCTTGGAATAATTCACACTGTGTTCAGGCAGGGCTAGATAAACAAAATATGCAAATATTAATAAAAATTATGACTTCTCAGAATGGCGTATGTTGCACCAAGTTATAGCTATTATTAAGAGTCAGTAAGGATGGCAATAGTGATAGTTGCCTTTTCTGATGAAGGAATTCAAGATTAATTGGCAATAAATCTGCAAGAAATGCTTCCATCAAATATAGAAGAATCTCAGATCTATACATTTTTTCTCATGTCTTCAAACATTGTTTACCATGCCTATGTTAGAGGTATATTATATTTATTCCAAGGTACATATTGTGAGAGGGCCATAAAATAGCAGTTTACTAAAGATATGCACACACAATGCTTTATCCTGTCTTCTAAATTTCTAATAGATCTTTTTCTTTCTCATTTAATACCTTCTTTTTTCTACACCTGAAAGAATCTGAAAGCAGTTATAATACGGTCCTGGAAGAAGGTAATTACAGATGTGATGTGAAGATTGTATCTTCATAGCAATAACCTGAAATGAGATGAGTTATCCATATTATCTGATCAATGTAGGCAGACACTATGGCTAATTCAAGCTTCAATGAGTTTGGGTGTTACTCTTTTTTAAGCAAAAATATCTGGATTAGGAGCCTTTTATTGTGCCTAATAAACCAGATAATCTACCTTAATTGTGTTGCTTTTACCTAGTCCATATTGATCTCTACTTTTTCCAAAGTCCTTGAGAATTTAATATCCATAACTTTCATTCAACACACATTTATTTGTTCTAATAATGATTTATAATAGCAATACTACCTTTTACTACCATCTTATATGTCCCAGAGACTATGTTCAGACTTGAATGTAAAAAAATTAAGAGGGACCTTGTTCTTGAGGACTCACAAACTAAACGGTAAGACAAATGTGTAAAGCCATAACTAAGGTTTTTATAGAGATATGGACAATGTACTCTGAGGATATACAATAGGCACATGAATGAATACTCTCCCATATGTTCTTTTCTTGAATAGCATATTGTCAGATATTCAAAAAGAAATCTCATACTTTTTTCCAATACCTGTAGTAAACACACTATCTAACATGTTGAACATTTATAGTAGGCATTATAACATATTTTCTCTTTTTCAGTCATTCCACCAATATTGTCAGGTTTAATCTTTGTTGATCATCTCTATCAGTAATATATATAATGATCTAGAGAAAGAACGAAGAGGCCAGGTGTGGTAGTTCATGCCTGTAATCCCAGCACTTTGGGAAGCCAAGGCAGGAGAATTGCTTGAGCCCAGGAGTTCGAGACCAGCCTAGGCAACATAGTGAGACCCTATCTCTACAAAAAATAAAAAATTAGCCATACTTGGTGGTGCACATCTGTAGTCTCAGCTACTCAGGAGGCTGAGGCAGGAGAATTGCTTGAGAAGGGAGGTTGAAGCTGCATTGAGCCATGATTGTGCTACTGCACTCCAGCCTGGATGACAGAGCAAGACCCTATCTCAAAAAAAAAAAAAAAAAAAAAAAAAAAAAAAAACTTTTATTTTAGATATGGGAGTTAAAAGTGCAGGTTTGTTACATGGGTATATTGCACCCAGGTAGTGAACATAGTACCCAGTTGGTAGTTTTTTAACCCATGCCTCATCCTTTCTCCCTACTGCCTCTAGTAGTCTGCAGTGTGTATTGTTCCAATGTTTAAGTCCATGTGTGCTCAATGTTTAGCTCCTACAAATAAGTAAGAACATGCAGTATTTGGTTTTCTGTTCCTACACTAGTTCACTTAGGATTATGGCCTCCAGCTGCCTCCATGTTGCAGCAAAGGACATGATTTCATTATTCCTGTGGCTTCATAGTATTCCACTGTATATATATATACCACATTTTCTTTAACCAGTCCACCATTATGGGGCACCTAGGTTGATGCCATGTCTTTGCTATTGTGACTAGCGCAGCAATGAGTATACGAGTACATTATGTCTTTTTGGTAGAATTATTTATTTTCTTTTGGATGTATTTCAGTCATGGGATTGCTGTGTCAAATGGTAGTTCTGTTTTAAGTTATTTGAGAAACCTCCAAATTGCTTTTCACAGTGGCTGAACTATTTACATTCCCACCAATGGTGTATAAGCGGTTCCTTTTCTCCTCAGTCTCTGCTGTTTTTGACTTTTTAATAATAGTCATTCTGACTGGTATTAGATGGTATCTCACTGTGGCTTTGAGATGCAATCCTTTGATGATTAGCAATGTGGAGCATTTTTTTTCATGTGTTTGTTGGCCCACTTACAGGTCTTCTTTTGAGACATGTCTGTTCATGTCCTTTGCCCATTTTTAATGGGGTTATTTGTGTTTTGTTTAAGCTCCTTATAGATTCCTGGATATTAGACCTTTGTTGGATGTATAGTTTGAAAATATTTTCTCACATTCTGTAGGTTGTCTGTTTACTCTGTTAACAGTTTTTTGTTTGTTTGTTTTCTGCGCAGAAGCTCTTCAGTTTAATTAGGTCCCTCTTGTCAATTTTGGGTTTCTGTTGCAATTGCTTTTGGGGACTTAGTCATAAATTCTTTGTGAAGGTTGATGTCAAGAAGGATATTTCCTCAGGTTTCTTCTAGAATTTTTATAGTTTGAAGTCTTACACTTAAATTACTATGCATTTTGAGTTAATTTTTGTACATAATGAAAGGTAAGGGTGTAGTTTCATCCTTCTGCATATGGCTAGCTAGTTATCCCAGCACCATTTATTGAATAGGGAGTCCTTTCCCCATTGCTTGTTTTTGTCAGCCTTGTTGAAGATTAGATGGTTGTAAGCATGTGGCTTTATTTCTGGGTTCTCTATTCTGTTCCATTGGTCTGTGTGTCTACTTTTGTACCAGTACCATGCTGTTTTGGTTGCTATAGCCTTATTGCATAGTTTGAAGTCAGGTAGTGTGATACCTCCAGCTTTGTTCTTTTTGCTTAGGATTACTTTAGCTGTGTGGGCTCTTTTTTGGTTCCACGTGAATGTTAGAATAGTTTTTTCTAATTCCGTGAAGAATGATGTTGGTAATTTAACAGTAGTAGTGTAGAATCTGTTCTGGGCAGTATGTTTTGGGCAGTATGGCCATTTTAATAATATTGATTCTTCCAATCCATGAGCATGGAATGTTTTTTCATTTATTTGTGTCATCTCTGATTTCTTTCAGCAGTGTTTTGTACAGATTTTTCATCTCCTTGGTTAGCTGTATTCCTAAGTATTTCATTTTCTTTGTGGCTACTGTAAATGAGTTTATGTTCTTGATTTGATTATTAGCCTGGACATTATTGGTATACAGAAATGTTACTACTTTTTATATATTTATTTTGTATCCTGAAACGTTACTAAAATAGCTTGCTGTTCTAGTAGATTTTGGTGGAGTCTTTAAGGTTTTCTAGATGTAGAATTATGTTGTGAGAGAAGAAAGATAGTTTCACTTCTTCTTTTCGTATTTGGATGCCTTTTATTTCTTTAGCTTGCCTGATTGTTCTGGCTATTACTATACTTCCCATTCATTCATTTTTTTAAAATATTGATTGAGTGCCTCATCTGTGCCAGGCACTGTGACAGGCACTGAGGACACAACCTGAGTGAACAAAGCTGACAAAGACCCCTCCCTCATGGGGCTTTTATTTTGGTAGGGCAGATAGGCAATAAACAAGTAAATAAATTAAAGGTATACTATGTCAGAGGGCAACAAACATTGCAGAGAAAAAGAAAGCAGAGATAGAAGACAGAGAGTGATGGGGGCTAGAAGGATTAGACTTTTAACTAGGTTGGTGGGGCAAGCCTCCCTAAAAAGATGATGGTAGCCAAAGGCATGGTCAAAGGAATGAGCTATACAAATATCTCAGATAAGAGTGTTCCAGGCAGATGGAAAAAACGGCCTTTAGAAGGGAGAGTACCTGGGGTATTGGGGGAACAATGAGGGGGTCCATGTGGCAGGAGCAGAACATTGGAGGAGGTTAGGGAGAGATGCAACCAAAGGAGAAATGGGAATCCAGGATGTGCTGGGCCCCAGAAACCCTTGTAAAAATTTCGGCTTTTACAATGAGAGAGATGGGGACCAGCAGAGGATTTGAAGTGGAGGAGTGACATGATTCGACTCACTTTTAAAAGGTTAACTGTCTCTACTGTGTGAAGAGAACAACAGAAGAATAGGGCAGAAGCATGGTGATGGGGAGGAAGAGTAAAACATGGTCAGTTCCACATAGATTTTGAAGGTGAAATCAACTGGATATAAGATGGGAACAAAAAAATAAAAAGGAACCAATTATGTCATTTGCAATTTTAGCCTGCCCAATTAGAAGATTGAAGTTGCCATTTACTGACCTGGAAAAGTCTACAGAAGGAGCAGTTTCAGGGAGGAGGATTAAGAGTTGTGCTTTGGGCTGGGTGCGGTGGCTCATGCCTGTAATCCCAGCACTTTGAAAGGCCAAGATGGATAGATCGCTTGAGTCCAGGAGTTCGAGACCAGCCTGGGCAACATGGCAAAACCCCCGTCTCTACTAAAAGTACAAAAATTAGCTGGGCATGGTGGAACATGCCTGTAATCCCAGCTACTTGGGAAGCTGAGGCACGAGAATGGCTTGAACCTAGGAGGCAGAGTTTGCAGTAAGCTGAGATCATGCCACTGTACTCCAGCCTGAGCAACAGACTCTGTCTGAAAAAAAAAAAAAGAAAGAGAGAAAAGAGTTCTGCTTTGGACATAATATATGATAGTATATTAGGATCCAAATGGAGATGTCAGGTGGTCAGTTGCCTATACAAGTCAGTAGTTTGGAGAGATGACGGAGCTGGAGACATATTTTGGAATCATCAGTCTGTAGATGTGTTTGAGTCATAGAAATGGAAGTAAGCATAACGGGAGAAAAGGTCTAAGGCTGAGCTCCAGGACCCATTATGTTTCAAGGCCATGAAGAAGAGTATGATCCAGCAAAGGATATTGAGAAAGATCAGCCAAGTTAGGTAGTAGAAAAAAACAAGTGGAAGATCAGCCAAGTTAGGGAGTAGAAAAAAACAAGTGCCCTGAAAGACACATGGAAAACAGTTCAAGAACTGAGAAGTCATATCAGATATGGGACGAATAGAAAATTCAAATGGATCTAGCAACCTGGTGATCATGGTAACCTTGACAAGAACAATTTCAGCGGCTCTGGCATCAGCTGACAGTGGGGATGAAGAGGAGAAGTTGGGGGTCCCTCGATAAGCATGTTGACGTTTTATATTATCTTCCCCTGATCTTTTGATTTCCTTTTTAACCTGAGCCCAAGAATTTAATAAGCAGGGAGGACACAAAATTGAAGAGGATAACCTGAAATTAAATTAGCCAATAGTTTACAAAGTATCTCTGTAAGATAATAAAATCTGTTTTGATATAATCAATTCCCCAAAGAGCATAGACCTCAATAGACCACAATCTATATTTTCTGATCCAAAGGTCTCATAAAAATATTTTCTGAGTAGTGAACTTGGTCACAGAACTTTAGTTTTACATTTACATGTGTATTGAAAATAGTAGAGGGGCAGCCAAGATGGCCGAATAGGAACAGCTCCGGTCTACAGCTCCCAGAGTGAGTGATGCAGAAGACAGGTGTTTTCTGCATTTCCATCTGAGGTACCGGGTTCATCTCACTAGGGAGTGCCAGACAGTGGGGGCAGGACAGTGGGTGCAGCACACCGTGTGCAAGCTGAAGCAGGGCAAGTCATTGCCTCACTCAGGAAGTGCAAGGGGTCAGGGAGTTCCATTTCCTAGTCAAACAAAAGGGTGACAGATGGCACCTGGAAAATCAGGTCACTCCCACCCTAATACTGTGCTTTTCCTACGGGCTTAAAAAATGGTGCACCAAGAGACTATATCCTGCACCTGGCTCAGAGGGTCCTACACCCACAGAGTCTCACTGATTGCTAGCACACAGTCTGAGGTCAAACTGCAAGGCAGCAGCGAGGCTGGGGGAGGGGCACCCGCCATTGCCCAGGCTTGCTTAGGCAAACAAAGCAGCCGGCAAGCTCGAACTGGGTGGAGCCCACCACAGCTCAAGGAGGGCTGCCTGCCTTGGTAGGCTCCACCTTTGAGGGAAGGGCACAGACAAACAAAAAGACAGCAGTAACCTCTGCAGACTTAAATGTCCCTGTCTGACAGCTTTGAAGAGAGCAGTGGTTCTCCCAGCACGCAGCTGGAGATCTGAGAAAGGGCAGACTGCCTCCTCAAGTGGGTCCCTGACCCCTGACCCCCGAGCAGCCTAACTGGGAGGCACCCCCAAGTAGGGGCAGACTGACACCTCACACGGCCAGGTACTCCTCTGAGACAAAACTTCCAGAGGAACAATCAGACAGCAGCATTCGAGGTTCACGAAAATCCGCTGTTCTGCAGCCACCGCTGCTGATACCCAGGCAAACAGGGCCTGGAGTGGACTTCTAGCAAACTCTAACAGACCTGCAGCTGAGGGTCCTGTCTGTTAGAAGGAAAACTAACAAACAGAAAGGATATCCACACCAAAAACCCATCTGTACATCACCATCATCAAAGACCAAAAGTAGATATAACCACAAAGATGGGGAAAAAACAGAGCAGAAAAACTGGGAACTCTAAAAAGCAGAGCACCTCTCCTCCTCCAAAGGAACGCAGTTCCTCACAAGCAACGGAACAAAGCTGGAGGGAGAATGACTTTGATGAGTTGAGAGAAGTCTTCAGACGATCAAACTACTCTGAGCTACGGGAGGAAATTCAAACCAAAGGCAAAGAAGTTAAAAACTTTGAAAAATATTTAGACGAATGTATAACTAGAATAACCAATACAGAGAAGTACTTAAAGGAGCTGACGGAGCTGAAAGCCAAGGCTCGAGAACTACGTGAAGAATGCAGAAGCCTCAGGAGCCAATGCGATCAACTGGAAGAAAGGGTATTGCTGATGGAAGATGAAATGAATAAAATGAAGCAGGAAGGGAAGTTTAGAGAAAAAAGAATAAAAAGAAACAAACAAAGCCTCCAAGAAATATGGGACTATGTGAAAAGACCAAATCTACATCTGATTTGTGTACCTGAAAGTGACGGGGAGAATGGAACCAAGTTGGAAAACACTCTTCAGGATATTATCCAGAAGAACTTCCACAATCTAGCAAGGCAGGTCAACATTCAGATTCAGGAAATACAGAGAACGCCACAAAGATGCTCCTCAAGAAGAGCAACTCCAAGACACATAATTGTCAGATTCACCAAAGTTGAAATGAAGGAAAAAATGTTAAGGGCAGCCAGAGAGAAAGGGCGGGTTACCCTCAAAGGGAAGCCCATCAGACTAACAGCAGATCTGTTGGCAGAAACTCTACAAGCCAGAAGAGAGTGGGGGCCAATATTCAACATTCTTAAAGAAAAGAATTTTCAACCCAGAATTTCATATCTGGCCAAACTAAGCTTCATAAGTGAAGGAGAAATAAAATACTTTACAGACAAGCAAATGCTGAGAGATTTTGTCACCATCAGGCCTGCCCTAAAAGAGCTCCTGAAGGAAGCACTAAACATGGAAAGGAACAACCGGTACCAGCCACAGCAAAATCATGCCAAATTGTAAAGACCATCGAGGCTAGGCAGAAACTGCATCAACTAATGAGCAAAACAACCAGCTAACATCATAATGACAGGATAAAATTTACACATAACAATATTAACTTTAAATGTAAATGGACTAAATGCTCCAATTAAAAGACACAGACTGGCAAATTGGATAAAGAGTCAAGACCCATCAGTGTGCTGTATTCAGGAAACCCATCTCATGTGCAGAGACACAAATAGGCTCAAAATAAAAGGATGGAGGAAGATCTACCAAGCAAATGGAAAACAAAAAAAGGCAGGGGTTGCAATCCTAGTCTCTGATAAAACAGACTTTAAACCAACAAAGATCAAAAGAGACAAAGAAGGCCATTACATAATGGTAACAGGATCAATTCAACAAGAAAAGCTAACTATCCTAAATATATATGCACCCAATACAGGAGCACCCAGATTCATAAAGCAAGTCCTGAGTGACCTACAAAGAGACTTAGACTCCCACACATTAATAATGGGAGACTTTAACACCCCACTGTCAACATTAGACAGATCAACGAGACAGAAAGTCAACAAGGATACCCAGGAATTGAACTCAGCTCTGCACCAAGCGGACCTAATAGACATCTACAGAACTCTCCACCCCAAATCAACAGAATATACATTTTTTTAGCACCACACCACACCTATTTCAAAATTGACCACATAGTTGGAAGTAAAGCTCTCCTCAGCAAATGTAAAAGAACAGAGATTATAACAGAGTGTATCTCAGACCACAGTGCAATCAAACTAGAACTCAGGATTAAGAAACGCACTCAAAACCGCTCAACTACATGGAAACTGAACAACCTGCTCCTGAATGACTACTGGGTACATAACAAAATGAAGACAGAAATAAAGATGTTCTTTGAAACCAACGACAACAAAGACACAACATACCAGAATCTCTGGGACACATTCAAAGTAGTGTGTAGAGGGAAATTTATAGCACTAAATGCCCACAAGAGAAAGCAGGAAAGATCTAAAATTGACACCCTAACATCACAATTAAAAGAACTAGAAAAGCAAGAGCAAACACATTCAAAAGCTAGCAGAAGGCAAAAGATAACTAAAATCGAGCAGAACTGAAGGAAATAGAGACACAAAAAACCCTTCAAAAAATTAATGAATCCAGGAGCTGGTTTTTTGAAAGGATCAACAAAATTGATAGACCGCTAGCAAGACTAATAAAGAAGAAAAGAGAGAAGAATCAAATAGACACAATAAAAAATGATAAAGAGGACATCACCACCGATCCCACAGAAATACAAACTACCATCAGAGAATACTACAAACACCTCTACGCAAATAAACTAGAAAATCTAGAAGAAATGGATAAATTCCTGGACACATACACTCTCCCAAGACTAAACCAGGAAGAAGTTGAATCTCTGAATAGACCAATAACAGGATCTCAAATTGTGGCAATAATCAATAGCTTACCAACGAAAAAGAGTCCAGGACCAGATGGATTCATAGCCAAATTCTACCAAAGGTACAAGGAGGAACTGGTACCATTCCTTCTGAAACTATTCCAATCAATAGAAAAAGAGGGAATCCTCCCTAACTCATTTTATGAGGCCAGCATCATCCTGATACCAAAGCCGGGCAGAGACACAACCAAAAAAGAGAATTTTAGACCAATATCCCTGATGAACATTGATGCAAAAATCCTCAATAAAATACTGGCAAACCGAATCCAGCAGCATATCAAAAAGCTTATCCACCATGATCAAGTGGGCTTCATCCCTGGGATGCAAGGCTGGTTCAATATACACAAATCAATAAATGTAATCTAGCATATAAACAGAATCAAAGACAAAAACTACATGATTATCTCAATAGATGCAGAAAAGGCCTTTGACAAAATTCAACAACGCTTCATGCTAAAAACTCTCAATAAATTAGGTATTGATGGGCTGTATCTCAAAATAATAAGAGCTATCTATGACAAACCCACAGCCAATATCATACTGAATGGGCAAAAACTGGAAGCACTCCCTTTGAAAACTGGCACAAGACAGGGATGCCCTCTCTCACCACTCCAATTCAACATAGTGTTGGAAGTTCTGGCCAGGGCAATTAGGCAGGAGAAGGAAATAAAGGGTATTCAATTAGGAAAAGAGGAAGTCAAATTGTCCCTGCTTGCAGACGACATGATTGTATATCTAGAAAACCCCATCGTCTCAGCCCAAAATCTCCTTAAGGTGATAAGCAACTTCAGCAAAGTCTCAGGATACAAAATCAATGTACAAAAATCACAAGCATTCTTATACACCAATAACAGACAAACAGAGAGCCAAATCATGAGTGAACTCCCATTCACAATTGCTTCAAAGAGAATAAAATACCTAGGAATCCAACTTACAAGGGATGTGAAGGACCTCTTCAAGGAGAACTACAAACCACTGCTCAATGAAATAAAAGAGGATACAAAGAAATGGAAGAACATTCCATGCTCATGGGTAGGAAGAATCAATATCGTGAAAATGGCCATACTGCCCAAGGTAATTTATAGATTCAATGCCATCCCCATCAAGCTACCAATGACTTTCTTCACAGAACTGGAAAAAACTACCTTAAAGTTCATATGGTACCAAAAAAGAGCCCGCATCACCAAGTCAATCCTAAGCCAAAGGAACAAAGCTGGAGACATCACGCTACCTGACTTCAAACTATACTACAAGGCTACAGTAAACAAAACAGCATGGTACTGGCACCAAAACAGACATATAGATCAATGGAACAGAACAAAGCCCTCAGAAATAACGCTGCATATCTACAACTATCTGTTCTTTGACAACCCTGACAAAAACAAGAAATGGGGAAAGGATTCCCTATTTAATAAATGGTGCTGGGAAAACTGGCTAGCCATATGTAGAAAGCTGAAACTGGATCCCTTCCTTACACCTTATACAAAAATTAATTCAAGATGGATTAAAGACTTAAACATTAGACCTAAAACCATAAAAACCCTAGAAGAAAACCTAGGCATTACCATTCAGGACATAGGCATGGGCAAGTACTTCATGACTAAAACACCAAAAGCAATGGCAACAAAAGCCAAAATTGACAAATGGGATCTAATTAAACTAAAGAGCTTCTGCACAGGCAAAGAAACTACCATCAGAGTGAACAGGCAACCTACAAAATGGGAGAAAATTTTCGCAACCTACTCATCTGACAAAGGGCTAATATCCAGAATCTACAATGAACTCAAACAAATTTACAAGAAAAAAACAAACAACCCCATCAAAAAGTGGGCGAAGGACATGAACAGACACTTCTCAAAAGAAGACATTTATGCAGCCAAAAAACACATGAAAAAATGCTCACCATCACTGGCCATCAGAGAAATGCAAATCAAAACCACAATGAGATACCATCTCACACCAGTTAGAATGGCAATCATTAAAAAGTCAGGAAACAACAGGTGCTGGAGAGGATGTGGAGAAATAGGAACACTTTTACACTGTTGGTGGGACTGTAAACTAGTTCAACCATTGTGGAAGTCAGTGTGGCAATTCCTCAGGGATCTAGAGCTAGAAATAGCATTTGACCCAGCCATCCCATTACTGGTTATATACCCAAAGGATTATAAATCATGCTGCTATAAAGACACATGCACACGTATGTTTATAGCGGCACTATTCACAATAGCAAAGACTTGGAACCAACCCAAATGTCCAACAATGATAGACTGGATTAAGAAAATGTGGCACATATACACCATGGAATACTATGCAGCCATAAGAAATGATGAGTTCATGTTGTTTGTAGGGACATGGATGAAATTGGAAATCATCATTCTCCGTAAAATATCGCAAGGACAAAAAACCAAACACCACATGTTCTCACTCATAGGTGGGAATTGAACAATGAGATCACATGGACACAGGAAGGGGAACATCACACTCTGGGGACTGTTGTGGGGTGGGGGAGGTGGGAGGGATAGCATTAGGAGATATACCTAATGCTAAATGACGAGTTAATGGGTGCAGCACACCAGCATGGCACATGTATACATATGAAACTAACCTGCAAATTGTGCACATGTACCCTAAAACTTAAAGTATAATAATAATAAAATTAAAAAAAAAAGAAAATAGTAAACTTACTTAGAGTCATAGATATTCTGGAAAATGTGAGACATCCTCTTGCCCTTAGGCAAGATTATATCTGAACCTTTGTTAATATTTAACAATTAATACTGGTCGTAACAGCATTTAACCTAATAGCTACTATGTTAAAATAATACATTGAGCACTGTTTTTTCATCAACAAATTGAGGAAAACTCACTAATCCATCACATTATACTGTCAGAAAGCTCTAATCAATTCTCTTGGAAGGATCTTAGTATGGGACATTTTGATGACTTTGGGCTCTTTTGGTGAACCTAAAAATAAACTTTTAAATATTTAATTTATTGTATTACTATGAAATGTATCCATATGAAATCCTGCCTCTATTCTTGAGTTTTAACCATCCCTGTCTCTATATTTTGCATCAAAATGCATTGCTTCGATTTGCTCTTTTTCTCTTTCAATGCGCTGGGTAGATTGGGAGGGACAAGAAAAGCTCCCATCTGTAGGATATGATGGTCTTTTAAACACCATTCATCTATCTTTGGGGTGAAACCATGACCATACCTATAATTTGTCTCCATTAGTCCTTTTCTTTAGTCCAACCATCATTTTTACCTCTCTTGTCTAATCTTGTCAAATCCAATGGGCTACAGAATTCTGGGGAAAGTCTGGCCCAATTTCACAATAATTTGATTATTCTACAGTTCTTACAAGTTCAGTTTCTCCTTTTAGAAAAATACATTACTTTTTCTTCTATTCCTCTTAAAATTAGCACTGCCCTAGAGGAATGCTGCCTTTCAAGATGTCCTTCTTTGTAAACATGCTATTTTCCATTTTTACTTAGAATTCTCATGTTTGTTTTTCCTCTTCTGTAATCTACTTTCCAGAATTTTCTTTCCTCCCTCCTATAATTAGTGCTACAAACCACTGGTAAAAGACCAACCTTATCAGAGAGAAGGAGGCCATAGGAGCATATTATGTGTCCTTGAAGGAAAATATTTCACCACATGAGTTTACATAGTCAAATAAGAAGTTGCATCCCACATTAGAAGATAAGAAAAAAATATGATTAGAAGCATGCTTTCTTTACAAGCATTCATTTATTCAACAGGTATTTAAAGAACAGCTACTATATGCAGGATATGTGGACCCTGGGGAATACAGAGATGACTCTGGCACAAATCCTGCCTTAAAGGAATTTATAGTCTAAAGGGGAGAAAGTTGGGCAGATGTTGTTAAAGTGCAGTGGAGTACAGATTAGGGAGAGAGTCTTTCCAACCAGAAGCCTAAAGGAGCGCAGTGGGGAGGTGGCATTTGAATGGCTCTTGAAGAATAAGTGGGGCTTGGAGTGGGGTTTGAAGGCTATAATGAGGAGGAGGAAATTTCCAGAGGAGGGAGATGTGTGAACATAGGACAGCATCCAAAAGGGAAATGAATCCGTGCAGGAAACCAAGAATTACTCAGTAGTGTACATGAAGGGGAGTGGGAGAAGATAAAGTGGGAAAGACAGGTTAGAGCCAGGCCTTGCAATGCTGAGAACACCAGGAGGAAGAATTCAGGCTTTGTTTCTTAGACAGTGAGAATCCCACCCCAGGGGATTTTTGAGCAGAGAAAAAGCAGGATGAGAGCATTAATATATAGACGGGGTTGGAATGAGGCAATACTGGAAAAGGAAGGCCAGTTACAGGGTTTTTGTAATAATAGGCTGGGCCTTGATGAAGTAGTAGGATAGCAGGGCAGTAGAATTAGAGAGGAGAAGGAAGATTTCAAGGGTGTTTCATAGATAGAATTGATAGAACTTGGCAGCTGATTGACTAGGGAACGTGTGGGGAAGAGAGGAGTCAGAGTTAACCCTGAGAGTTTGAGACTGGCTGATTGGGATAAGAAAATGAAGATCCCAGGAAGGAATAATGGGGAGGGAAAATGCATGAGGGAAAATGCCTGGTGACTGTTGGGAAAATAATGTAGTCTTTTCAGAAAGAATTCAAAGCTGGAGGTATAAACAAATGTGGAAATCATCTGCACAGATGTGACAACCAAAATCATGACTTTGGATGAGATTTTTAATTGAGAAAGAGCCACAATTACTGTCTTTACATCACAAAGTCAAATGGTGTTTTGCTAATTATCCACTTAATTTGATGAATGTAGACAGCCAATGTCAGATCATTACAGCCTAGATACTTTGCAGACTGAATGGCCCAGTTTTGCAGTTCACATCAATAAAATTAAAGAAATCATTGTCAAATCTGCCCTTGGCTTTGTGCTGTGTCAATACAGCCGGTGGGTACATGCATAAATTGAAATTGAAAATCTTCTTCAAGACCCTCAAGTGCCAATGCAAGATCTCTATACCTCGGGGAATCTCAACTCACACCTGAACATAATGCCTTACACCAAGGCCCCACTGTCCAGTTTACAGAGCAATTTCATGAACACTATATTCTTTAAAGGTGAAGATAACACAATAGTTAGGTCTATCTCCACTTTGTAGATGCAGAAACCTGAGGCTCAGAGAAGTTTCCAATTTCCTAGGATCATATGACTAGTAACAGATAGAGGCAGAACTAGCAACCAAGGCTTCAGACTATTAGTAAATGGCAGGGAGGAGTATTTATTTATTTTACTAAATGACACCGTCTGGCCTTAAAAAAAAAAAAAAAGAATGTTATGCTCATTACTAATTAGCACAGCTGAATGGAACAGGAGGTTTTCTGTGCCCATGGTCCACTTATTTTCCCTAATGGCCACTTTTTTTGTCTTCTCTGTGTTATTTCACTGGAATTGATTGAGTGAATGGTATGTGTATACACACACACACCTTCCTCATTAATCTCAACCTAGTAGGCCAACTTAGAAGGAAAGCTATATCTCTAACGATACTTACTGTCAAAACCATAGGCCCTATTCCTAGGTGTACTTTTTATGGTTCTTTGGCTACAAGCAACCAATACCAGCGACCGCATGTCCATGTATCACATTACACAAGACAAATCTGAAATTTGATGTAGCTTTCACACCATCAAGAACATAACTTCTAAACCCAAAAACATCATGTTGAATTGTAGGCTTTAAAATGAAGGCCACTGCACTACATAGGAAAAAAATCAGTCCAAATAAGAATGGGAGTGTATTTCCCAGGTAGGATGGTAAGAGGAGCAAGAGAACGATGAAAATCACTTTCTACCTTGCTCTGTGTTTACAGGGGTTTACAATAATTCTTCAAACTCTGCTAGATCCTAACATGTGACGTTCATGATACCATACTTAGGATCAAATTAAAAAAAAAAATCAGAGAAAACCATCCTAATATACCTTCACTTCAGCATGTTATGTCCTTCTTAGGATTGAAAAGGATTGAAAAGAAGAACCCGTAGCCGGGCGCGGTGGCTCAAGCCTGTAATCCCAGCACTTTGGGAGGCCGAGGCGGGCGGATCACGAGGTCAGGAGATTGAGACCATCCTGGCTAACACAGTGAAACCCCGTCTCTGCTAAAAATACAAAAAAAAAATTAGCCGGGTGTGGTGGCAGGCACCTGTAGTCCCAGCTACTCGGGAGGCTGAGGCAGGAGAATGGTGTGAACCCGGGAGGCGGAGCTTGCAGTGAGCCAAGATCGTGCCACTGCACTCCAGCCTGGGTGACAGAGCGAGACTCTCTCTCAAAAAAAAAAAAAAAAAAAAAAAGGAAAGAAGAACCCGTAAGACACATCTGAATTGTAACAAGGGGTCTTGGCAAGGCAGACACTGAGCCTTAAGTGCTTCTGGGAAGTAGATGGAGGAAAGAGCCTATCTCTCCTTCACCATTCAGACCCACTTATTGTCATTGGAATTGAAGAATGTCTCAGAGGAAAAGAAAAACTTGAAACATTATACTATTGGAATTCAGACACGGACCACCAGGTCTGATGGCTGGGGTGGCCGTAATGGAAGTCAGACCACAAAAAGGAGCAACCCAGCTTCTGAGAGAACATTTCAGCTAAAGCATAAGTTGATAGATGTCACAATCCAAGTTCTTTTAGATTTCCACGCAGGAACTTCAGAGTTGGTGACAAGAATTGGTGAGACATCTCTTAAACTTTTCATGTATATGGAGGGTACAAAATCACCTGAAATCTGAGGACTTAGAAAAAGGGGTTTTGGTTGGAGAGAACCATACTATGCATCCCAGGCTTCCTCTCTGTTCCCTCCTCCTTGCAGTATGGCAGGTGGGCAGTACCTGCCCCTCGTCTCATGCCTAGCAGTGATCAGGATTTCAACAGACTGCAGTTTAGGGAGCATATAGGGTAGTGTCTCACTCGCGCTTGAAAATTAAAATGAGCTAATGAATATGTCAAAGAATGAGTAGCTGTATTGGGCAGCCTATACTCTCAGAGTTTGTCAGGGAGAAAAATGGGTGAGGGTTTCCTATGGGCAGATGTGAGCCACATAACAAAGATTAATGTGGGTCTCCGTCAGTCCTGTCCAAAGAGGCTTCCCGGAGGGGTAAACAGGCCCTCATGGAAAGACACTAAAGGTATTGCCAGATATCTGGGGGCTGCAGAAGGAGTAAGCAATCAGCCATAGTAGAGGCTTCACCTGAATCAAGAGAGGAATTGCCCTCAGTGATCTCCAAAGGACCAAAGCTCTGATGAGATGATCAAACCTAAACACCTGCCAGGCCTACCAACCACAAACCCATCTAAAGAATTTCAGTCACGTGAGAACTTTTCTGCTCCCCTTTTAACTCTCCTCCTTCCCCTCTCCTATTCCAACCCGTGGGTGGAGGCTAGTAAGGGAGGAAGGAGAGAGGCAGACAGTGACTCCACCTCCCCTCCTCTACCTCTAGGGCCCCCCTTCCTGTGGCAGGACTTAACTGGAGAAGGGGAGATTTTATTTTAAATCAAGTTTGGAGTATTGATATTTTATGGTTGGACTTGCTGAATAAAGATTGTGCTTGGCAACCTAAAATTTTTACCCAGGGGTTGGGAAGGCAAAATAAAATTGCTTCATGATTACACCCCATGAGCCCTGCTTTTTCCCCATGTCAATTACACACACTTGTCTTCCTATTTATCCATTTGCCTCCAGTGATTTGCGTGGGTCTGAGGAGCCTCCTTAGACTGGGAAAAAGAAAACCTAGAAATTTACTGAGACTCAGACATATGCAGCCACATGGGACATATACAGCAGGTGGGTGAAAGTCAGATTGCAAGGGGGTAGATTGTCATCCAGACATCAGTTGAAGTCTTCTTGTCTTCTGAGAATTACATGAAATTGGCTGACAGCCACCCCATTCTATGGCTAATAAAAACCCAGTCTCCTCCTAAATATTTCTCTGAATCCCCCCAAAGGCCCCTATCCATCCCATGGCTGCTCCATTTGCTATGTATTCTAGCTACTCAGATTTGGAACGAAGACTCTTTCCTTTGATTTTCCAGAAACACCACTCACCACTCACACATGGCCTCACTGCAGGCGATTAACTTTCAACACAGAGCAAGCAGCCTGAAATGGCAATGCAAACATCCTTGTCTTTGAACATTCCCTGGCCACTGGTGATGTCCAACTTGTGGTGTTCCCCAATGACTGACAGTCTTCCACTATGTGGCTTAACCCCTCATTCCTCCCGCACCCTTGTCTGCTCTTCTCTGCTTTTATCCCCTGTAAAATCCTTGTTTACTTTTTGTGCTGATTGGTTTAGCTATCTCTTTGTTTCAATGCCTCTTTCCAAATCATGCCCTGGGGGCCTCATCTTTGCTAAATAGAAGGCTACTTACTCCAGAGAGAAATTATGCTACTTCCTTACAGGCTGAAGCTGCCGCAGTCACTCATGGTTTTAAATAGTAATTGCTTTATCTCTGCCATAAGACCCTGCAACAGGGCTTGAAGTTGTAGGCGGGAGGTAATTATGGTTTTGGGATGTGGCAGGTTCCAGAATTCACTGTCACCCAAGGAGATTGACAGCATGTGTTTGTCCTGAGGAAAAGGAGGTTCTGTGTGTTACCTGAAAACATATTAAAATGCTGGAACTCTTTGGGCTCTGGTAAACTCATTATGGGTCCTTTGGCTTTTCCTGCATCCTGCCCTTCCACCTGTACCCGCCCCCCCCCCCCCCACACACACACAAGAACTCTCGAGAGAGAGAGAGAGAGAGACAGAAGAAACTTTCTCTTCATTTGGCAGCATCAGATGTGGTAGCCATCAGGTTCCCTGACCCTGACGCACAACAGAGATATTCCTGATTCCTCAGGAGTGCTTTACCACCTGTGCATACGTAACAAAGACAAGGAGAGAGCGTTCTAGCACTTCATTGTCTCTTGGAATTACTGGACCTGGCTACTGTAGAGCTCTGGGCCTGCCATCTGCAACTGAAAGAGCTCTGTCAGCAACCACTGTGGGCTCAGACAACTTTGCTGTCACTTTCCCAACTGAGTGCAAAAAATAAAAAAATAGAAAAGAAAAATCCTCCGTCTTCACAAAAACAACAATGGGGATCGTAAGGCTTGAGGTGCAGTGGTTTGACTCCATTTTTAAAATGACATCATGTGTGGGAACCTCCATCTTCCCTAGCAGCAGCGGCAGCACCAACAGCTGCGCTGATAGGAGCAGTATGGCAAGCTGCATGCAAAACGATGTAGAGCTACACATCTGGGCTCAGCAAACTGATGAGGAATAATTGTGGACCTATGCGAGCACCCCTTGGAGGGAGCTCTATAAAAATTGGGCTTCCTTGACTCAACAAGAAGCCAGTCAAATGGGGGTTTGCTCACTGCTATTGACTTTTGGGGTTTCATATATGACTGCATTTGCAATCAGCAGCTGCTAAATCCGGAGACACTTGGATTACATGAGTATAAACAGCTTTTGTCTTTAAGTCTATGAAATTCACAGAAATACAAGGCTGCACTGCTGTAGTATTATTCTGTGACTTTAACCCATTCTATTGGCAATGTTTCCAGAATGCTACTAGATAAATTTCCACACAAACTGTTGGAAGAAGACTAGGTAATAATATCTGAACACCACTTATAAGGAATATGTTAAGTGCTTTACCTGTCTTATCTCATTAAATCCCTATCATTGCCCTAAGAGGCAAATGTTATTTATCCCCATCTTAGGGATATGAAAAGAGGCTCAGAGACTTAAATAATTTAAGGTCAGGCAACTAATTAACATTATAACTACTTAATTGAAGATCTGAAAATAAATACAAAACTAGGACAACCCAAAGACTCTGGGACACACTTCTGATGCCCTTTATCTTAAGGTGAGCTCCTCACCCCTGGCTCCCGGTCCCTACTACTCACCCTGGCAAGGGAGGATGGGTCACAGAGCTTTGCTTCAGAGCTCTCATGCACCCACTCCCATGGGCAAATTCCCTAGAAGCAGAATTTGAGATGAGGATTCATGAGCAAGCAATTTAGTAAGAAAGTCTTCCCAGACGTCACTGACGAGGGAGTGAGGGAGGCAGAACTGGGGAGGGCAGGGAATCAAGCGAAGTTGTGACCTCAGGTAAAGACCCACTCAGTGACTTCACCTGATCCCACAGGGGAGCTCTGGGATAGGGCATAAGCAACACCTCAGAGTTGCCCAACCAGAGGCTCTCTAGGAAACCAAGCCCCAGGCACTGGCCACTGAAAGCATATTTCACCAAACCCACTGGCACACACAGTCAAAAGGGAACTGAGGAGCCTGACCAAAACAACAACATATCCACTGCACCCATTCAACAGCAGAGCTGGCTCGCAACCAGCTGCAATCCTTGAAAGCCATCCCATGAGAGCAGAATTAGAGGGAGTGCTTCCATAATTTGGGCTTCAGACTGACTGTGTATACCCAGGAAGAATAGAAAGACTTAGGTCAGCCTTTTTGTTTATTGAAGCCAGTCTGTGATTGGGGAGCCCAGCTTTTCAGGTTTCTAGAAGGCGAATGAGTATGTAGTCAAAGAAGCAGCTTGATGCCGCCAAAGGAGCTGTGGCTTTTTAATCCAAACATGAGGTGTGCTTCCCCGCACATCCCCCACTGCCTGGCTCTGTGATCCTGAGCAAATCATTTAATTCATGTAAGCCTCAAGTCCCTTAGCAGGAAAAGGAAGAAAATTATTTCCTTAGAGTTTGCTAGAATAACCAGATGAGGTGATGTCTATGAAAGTTCTTTGTAAATGGTCAGCATGATATAAATATAAGTTAGTAGTAGGATTAGGTTGTAGTTGGATTAAACAGAGAGAACTGTATTTCCATTCAAATGGGCTGCATGTAGTTAAATATAAATGAACATGGTTAGATATCAATTTGAGGAAAATGGAGTGTTTTATTATTCACATGCCCATTCTCTAACATCTCTATCCAAGCCATCATCCAGCTGAGGATTAGATGGATTTGAAAAGAGAGCAGCCTTGAGCTTCAAGAACTCCAGCTCACAATGACACAACCCCGCTACTCCCTCTGAAGGCTTGGGCCTCACTGTCTGCTCCACCCTGGAGGGGCCCACACCTCACACCTCTCACACATTCTATAGCCCTGTCTCTCCAGCTTTCCCTACACAATCTGCACTGAACTCTGCAGCACCCCAAGAGAATATAACATGATAAGCACATTCTCATGAAGGCCAAATGACATAATGGAATAAACATTCCCCGCTACAGGGCACAGCTTTAACCCAAAGGAATAGCTCTCAAATATCAGTGGAAAACTGGCTGCTGAGTGTAGTGGGCAGATTTGAGCACCCAGGGCAATACTCTAGAAATCACACCAGAGACATCTTTTGGGTGAAATAAAGCTAGCATTGTTTGTGAGAAGAATGTCCCTCTTCAGAGCAATTTCCCAGTGTAGAACACAAAGGGCCTCAATTAACACAGCATATTTCTTTCTCAACTATCTCTTGGGCAAGTGAATAAAGAAAGAATAGACTTTGGGATCAGAACAACCTGAGTTTTACTCCTGGCTTCAGCATTTACTAGCTTTGTGACCTTCAGCATTATCTGAACCTCAGTGTTCTCATCTGTGAAATGGAGATGAGTACCTCCTCATGAGGTTACTATAAAAATAAAATGCATGTAAACTGTTTAACAGGCATCCAACTGCATAGCAGATATTTGACAAATGTTATCAATAAAGTCAGTAATAATATGTAAAGGAATTAATACAATGCCTATGACATCATCAGACATTTTTATCATTATTATGCTCCTCACGGAGGATTTCAGTGGTTTGTACTTGGTGGGCATGCAGTAAATACTTGTTAAATTAATGAACACAGTAATGGTTGCAGCCAGCAAGCTTGCTAACCCATAAAGGAAAGAGAACACCTCTGAATTTTCTTTCTGAAGAATCTCTTTCATCCTAAACATCTTAAAAATAGGCCCTGGGCCTCTGCTGTGGTTCCATGTGACACACTGTCATCATGGCAGGTCCTCTCTCCTCAGCCGGAGATGAGCAAGGTCCCTGAACAATTGCCAGCACACATAGCCCTCACAGGCAGGGGCTAGACTCGAGGCCATCATCATCAGCAGGGCTGTACATCACCAACTGCTTCATTTGGGATCAGGATGGAAAGTGTTCTGATGTGGGTTTGTGCTAATTTACCTAGCTCCAAAGCTAAACATCAGAAGTGGGAAGCCGGGCACAGTGGCTAACACCTGTAATCGCAGCACTCTGGGAGGCTGAGGCAGGCAGATCACCTGAGGTCAGGAGTTTGAGACCAACCTGGCCAACATGGCGAAATGCTGTCTCTACTAAAAATATAAAAATTAGGCAGGCTTGGTGGTGCACACCTGTAGTCCCAGCTGCTTAGGGGGCTGAGGCAGGAGAATCGCTTGAACCCGGGAGGCTGAGGTTGCAATGAGCCAAGATTGTGCCACTGCACTCCTGCCTGGGTGACACAGTGAGACTTCATCTCAAAAAAAAAAAAAAAAAGTGGACACATCACAGGTATTGGTGTTTGTGTCTGGGATGACACCTGCATTGACTTTATGCAAAACTTGGAGCCATTAGATATCCAGACACCTCTCCATGTCAATGAAAAAAAGCACAGAAATACAGGACATCAGCAGTACCACAGTGAGATATTCTCCAACTCTTTTTACAGCCACCTGCACAGCTGGTGGACATCGCTTTCCTTGTAGATTTTGAAGGGAAAGAAGAAGGTAGGGCAGCCAATCACAGAGAAACCACTGTCTCCTTAAGTCAGGCCTGAAAATAACCAGAGGGAAGAATCCAGACAGGAACAAGAGGCGTTAAGGGAGGGCTGGCTGACCGCTCATAAGGAGACTGGGTTGGCAGCATCCTATAGGACACAGAGGAAAGAGTCATACTGCCTGGAGTCAGGTTTCAAATAGATATCATGGAATAGGGCTAAGAAGTCCTAGAAATGACAGCCTCTTCAGGGAGAAAGGAAAGAGATCATATTTACTGATTAGCTACATGACAATAACAACTGTTATTAATTGAGAACATATGCCAGGCTCTATGCAAAAATCATCCCCTTTATCTGCATAATAAGCATGTAAAAGGTACTACTTAAGTTTGCTAAGGCTGCCATAACAAAATACCAAAGACTGGGTGTCTTAAACAACAGATGTGTGTTTTCTCACAGTTCTGGAGACAGGAAGTCCAAGACCAGGGTGCCGGCAGGATTGGTTTTCTCTCTCCTCTCTCCTTGGCTTGTAGATGGCTGCCCTCCTTCTGCCTCTTCACTTGGTGATCCCACTGTGAACATGCATCCCTGATGTCGCTTGTGTCCAAATTTCCTCTTCTTATAAGGACAGCAGTCAGATTGGATTAGGGCCCAACCTAAAGGCCTCACTGCAACTTAATATACCTCTGTAAAAGGCCCTGTCTCCAACTACAGTCATTCTGAGGTACTGGGATTAAGGCTTCAATATATGAATTTTGGAGGGACGCAATTCACCCCTAGCAGGTACTATGATTCTCTTTTTATTGATAAGGATTTTAAGATCTGTGGTGTGTAAATGTGAGTAAATGATGAAGGTGGGATTTGAATTCAGGTCTATTGTCTCCACCAAGTGACACTGCCTCTAAAAGCTGATGAGCAGTACAAAGAAATGAGGCTAAGAGTGACATACATATCAGTATTTATAAGCTACTGACATGTCTAGGTTTTGGTATGTGGTTTACTTGGAAGTCAGCTTTGAAATGCCTACTAAGTGTAAGTCCTGCAGTTGTGAATTAATTTACATTTTATTCCTTTGTTACTATAGAAAATTTCTCTAAGCAACAGAAAAATCTGTAAGCCACCCCTGCACAGGCACATACCCGCCCTGGCTAATTATTTTAGACATTGTTCAAATCTATGATCCTAATTAACAGTGTGCACAGCCTATCCAAAGCATGAGCCCAGCATCTCTCACAGTTTGTAATCCCTCTGGTTCTCCAGTCCACGCGCCAGATTCAGGTATGGCTGCCGTCCACACCATCACCTCTCCTTCTGCATGAGGTGGGAGGAGGGGTCATGGTGGGTAACGAATCAATAATGCTCAGCCAATTCCCTGAACTCGGTTGACATGCATGGCCAGTTTTCTCTTGTGATTAATTACACTTGCTTTTGCAAGAGGATTAATTCACTTTTCTAGAGAGCTTTTCTGATTTCTGCTATTAAAAAGCCAATCTCAACAATTCCTCTAGCTCAGAAGGAATGGAGTCCAGTTCAGTGTGTGTGATCAAAATTGTTGAAATTCATGGCTTAAAAGAGAGTGTGGTTACAAACAGAAGGAAGGATGTATGTGGTGGCGGGGAGGGTTGCATGTGCATGTGTATGTGGATTCATGTAATACACATACATGAGCATAAGTATAATCTCACACAATTACGATTTTTCTCATTAAGGTGACTGTATGTCCCTTTTTTCATGGTTGCCACCTATTTCAAAAGCCTACCAAATTAAATGTACAAGCAAATCAGATACTGCACATTTTAGATAATAATACAGTCAAAAAGAGGAACAGATAATTGGAGACATATTCACAATTAGATATAACTCTCTTCAAACAAAGAACGACCCCCAGTTAATTAATGTTTGTCAAGCACTTTAAAATCATATAATTCAACATTCTAGACATTCCCACCTAAAGATAGGAAGACAAAGGGGCTGGGGAAGCAGCTTAGGCTGGTTCTGGGTCTTGTCTTCTTCAGTTATTCATCAGATTTACCAAAGAAGGAGGAGAAAAAAACACATGCACACAAAGTAGCTGGAACTAAATTTCCTTAAAAGCTATTCCTCTGTCTCTTCCTCTCATTTTTCTTTATGAGTGAATGGGGAATAATTCTTCTGAGAGACAATTCACAGGAGCACAAACATCAATTCTTAATTATTAATAACACGATTTGTTATTTATCGAACATCAACAGTGCATTAGATGTTGTACAAAACACAGATAGCTTCAAATCTTAAATCAAGTTGGTTCACTTGGAAATGTGGGTCTTCGGGTGTTTTTCTCTTTCAGTTTCTGCTTTCTTGGATGGGTTCTTGGGCACTGAGCTGGATAATGAGGTGCTGCCTACCTTGGAGGGAAGCGTCTTCCTGGTACTTAGGCTTTATCACCCACAGCTCAGGTAAGAGCAGATCATTTACCAGAGACTAGAAGACTCGAAGCTAAGGAGTGGACACTGAAAGATGTCACATCCAGTAGTCTCCAAACTCAGCTGACCATGTCCCATCTTAGTAAAATATCTGAGTAGGCACCCGGTTATTTTTATATATCCACTTATAAGTTATGTACACACACTATGGTACTGACACATTATGAACATTATAACACATGCACAATAATTTAAAAGATCACGTGAAGATAAAATGTTTTAAAACAATTTTTGTTTTATTGTATTTTATATAAAGAATTTTTACTCTCACTAAAAAGCTGCCACCACTGATAACGTTTCTTTACTGAGAATAATCCACTTGAATATGCTTCATTACAAAAAAGAAAAATCTTGGTTTAGTTCCTTGTGATAGAGGAATCTGAAAGTTTGGTGCAGCCTTAATGGCTGTCATTGCTGAGAAAGATGCTTCTCCAAAATATGTTGATCCAAATGTGGGAAAGATGCATTGTTGGCTGGGCTTACTAAATCATGAAACTTATTTTAACTTGCATCCACCAGTTATGAGAAAGTTCTTTTTTTAAGTTTGCTAGTGAATTTCATTTTTTCCTGCTCTATCATTTGTTCTTGCCAGCAAGTTAGAACTTAATGAATTTTTATGTGTTTAATAAATGCGTTCTTCAAAATATCCTGAAACTCTTCACTTTAAAATCGATTTTAAAATTTTATTACTAGGTTTTCTAAGTTTCCAGTGTTCTGATTGTTAAAGGTTATACATTTACACAGCTTTGGCAACAAAAATAACATTAACGATGGAAACATTTTCAGCCATTATTTGCAAAATGCTTTTATCATTGCAGAGGTTTTTGGTTTTCTTTGTTCAAAAAGCAACTGATTTCTCACCTTAGAGAAGTAAATTAGTTTGACTGAGAAAGACTCTTCCTTTAAACCCCACTCTTTCACTGATTACTGAGTGATCTTGGGGAAGTCAGTTTTGCCTTTCTGAGCCTTGGTTTCCTCATCTGTAAAATGGAGTTAATTGTCCCTACTTTTTAAGGCTGTGTCATGAGTCAATGACTTAACCCACTGAAAGCAGAACATGCCTGGTCCATGTATTTAAATGGGACCAGTAAGTGTGTTTATTTGTTCAAAACTGTCTAAGAAGTCTACTACCATCTGCCACTTGTCACAGGAAGTCAGCATACTTGCATGATTGCATGCTTCTTCTTGTAAGAAAAAATGCACAACTTTAAGTTAGACTGTGCTTTATTTCATCCCAAGATAACCCACAAACCTCTTTGTGACACAACAATTGTCATGTTTATTTCCCATTTCATTTAAGCTAAAGCTAATACTATTTGCAATTCTGCAATTTAAGATGCATTTCTTTCACAGGGCACAGTTAAACTACAGGTGTATGGAAACATGTGAATGTAAACAAACAAAGGAAGATCCTGCTGCAGCCTTCCGTGTTGGAGGACTCCTGCTCTTGCTGCAGTGTCCTGTGTGACCTCTCAGATGTGGCACAAGACTGTCTGATTCACTAGACATCAAATGTTAGTAGGCCTACTTTCTTTTTTTTACTCTTATATAGAATGTAAATATCAAGGGGATTTCATGTATCTTGTGCCCTCCACTGTGGAGTCCATTGCTCTGGTCTAGCAGTTTCTAACAAAGATTCTCTACATACTACCAGAGCTACTAAGTCAGACTCCTTGGGTGAGGTCTGCTTCTCCACCAGCTCCCAGCCTGCTGGCGTCTGACAACTTGATGAAACTAACCTCCCCACGTGGGCAGCTCCTTTACAGCAGCCTTGACAGGTGTTCATCTTCTTGAACATTTCTGATGATGAAGAGCTTATTACCTTCCAGTGTGGTCCAGCTCATTTTTGGACTCCTATAATTGTCAGAAAACACGTTCTTCTGCCCTCCCTGTAGCTCTTCCCACTGGTATAAGTATATTGCTCTCTGGTGTCACACAGAAAATGATTCACCATCTCCTCCCCTCTTCTCCCTCTCTCCTCCCTAGACCCTTAAATCAATTCCCAACTGACTTGGTTTCTAGAATGTTTCTCCCACCCAGATTCCCCTCCCCTGGCTGGTCTACTACTTGGAAATATTGCTCAATATCTTGTGTGTCATCGGGCCAGGGCAGAGCACTGTGGGTGTGTGGCCTCCTCTGATTGCTGCTGCAATGGGACTGTTAATGCCAAAGAGATTCATCATCACCAGCTGAGATTTGCCTGCTCTCTCCAATTGGGTGCTATGTATATATGCAGCACTACATTCATGAATGGTAGAAATATCTTGCATAATTGAGTTGAGGGATTTTGAAACTCTCTTCAAGATATTTCCTCTGTGTCCACACGTACATAATATACTGGTTCATGGTGCAAAGTCCTAAAGATATGATATTCTAAAGTTTGTGTTTCTATCTTCATCTTGTTTCTTACCATTAAAAATATGGCATCAGGCTGGGTGCAGTGGCTCACGCCTGTAATCCCAGCACTTTGGGAGGCTGATCAGGAGTTCAAGACCAGCCTGGACAACATGGTGAAATCCCATCTCTACTGAAAATATAAGAATTAGGCAGGTGTGGTGGCTGGCATCTGTAATCCCAGCTACTAGGGAGGCTGAGGCAGGAGAATCGCTTGAACTAGGGAGGCGGAGGTTGCAGTGAGCTGAGACCATGCCACTGCACTCCAGCCTGGGCAACAGAGCAAGACTCCATCTCAAAAAAAAAAAAATGGCATCAGGACAAGCACTGAACCTAGGATCATGTCAGTTGGTACCATGTAGGCCCACCTCTACTGTGTGACTTTCAGCAGGACACTTACTCTTTTTGTGTCTCTCAACCCTCAACAGATAATATGAGAATATCAGTGCCTACCCTCCTGACCTCAGAAAATTTTAGCAAGAATTAAATTAGTTACAAATTGTGAAAATTTTTTACAGTAGCTTTTAAAAATAGAATGTATATATTACTACCGTTATTATTACTATGTAAGCTGTAGGCACTTAATAAATATTAATGGAGAAATGAAACATAAATGATAGAGAAAGGGCTAAATAATGACAAGAAGGAAGATCAGAGTAAGATAAGACGTAACATCAATTCAAGCTCTTGGCACCTTAAGCCATTGTCTGTCGCCGATGGCAACACAGAAAGAATCACAGTACTTTAAGTCCAGGACAGTGTTTAAAGAATTCAGGGCTTACTTTCTGGCAAGGGATCATCTCACCCATGATTTCTAAAGCTCCATGCAGTTAATGAGGCATCTAGTAGCACCTGTTCAGAATTTACCCAGGAAGAAATGTAATGGGGAAGAGGCAGAAGCTAAGAGGTAAGGCTCACATTCATCAATGCACATTGCTAGTCTTCCGAGGATAGCAAAATATTTAACTGCTGGGCAGCAAATCCCATTTGACTGTTTAAGTAAGAGGTAGTGATTAATATCAAGCTAAAAGTATGTGCCTTTCTACATTTTATTATATAAAATACACTAATGGCGTATATATGAAATAAAATTGCATTTTCAACAAGTTTTTCATTCTCCCATGAACTAAGCGTCACAGGATATTTGTTCCTATGCATTTAGTCATCCATCCATTTATTCAAACAAACATCTCTTAAGTGAATATTATGTGCTCAGCTTTGTCCCAGGTATAGCAGGACTAAAAGATGAATAACCTTGTAGTCTGGGCATAGGAGACACACACACGTACAGCGAGAGAGAGAGAGATTTAAATGCACCATGATGTGATTGAACACAGACAGATGACTCAGGGTGCAGAGGGCCTTACAGGTGATCTTTGAGCAGCAGATCAGTCAGGACTCAGCTGTAGATCAGAGAAACCATTCTAGCAAGTTTAAGTAGAACAGGATTTAATACAGGAAATCAGGTGCTAACAAAATCTTTGAAAGGTCAGGAAAAACAGTCTCTGTGAAACCTGGAGAAATATATCCTAGAACAATACTGCAGAACCGGACTCCCAGGTGGAGCTGCCTTCTCTGCCATATTCAGGAAGCTTGGAAATCAAAAGACTGACAGTGCAACCACTGGCTCCAGGAATACACCTCATTTGCAATTTTCAAGGGTACAATTGTTGGTTCCTGTTAGATCCTTGCTGGGGGGAATAATAAAGGCTAACAGACCACACAGCTCTTGCCATTTAACTCAATTCTGATTTTAAGTCTTCTGTGAATGCATCTGACTAACAGAGCCCTAAATCATATTTGGAACCTCTGCAGTACAGAAACCCCAAGAAGAGGGTTTGCATAGCTACCAGTGAGCCTGTTTAGCTCACCCAGATCAGCAGAAAATGTAAAGATGAAACAATATTAGGGTGGAGAAGGGGAAAGGACTGAAGCTAAGAGGAACAGCATGTGCATGATACTAACCAGTATTGGACCTATGCCCTTGATGAGCTACGAACAGAACCACGGAGAGCACTTGAAATGTCAGAATCTCTTTGGTCATCCTTGTTACTGATATTGTAATACTAACATCAAATCCATATGCGTGCTCTGGTACAGTAAATATGAACTCAGAGTCAAGAGACAGCAATGCAATATTCTTCCCGGCTCTGCCAGTGACAACGTCCCTTGGGAGGTCACTTAACATGGCTGGCTTCATTTTTCCTATCTGTAAGGTAGAAAGAGTTTCCATGATTCTCTTCTAACAGGAAGTAATAAGAAATAGAAACATCAAAACTCTTATCTTGGTGTGAGTGGTTATACACATACTAGTTAGACATCCTGTTTAATGGAGGAAAGGGGGATAGTTACAGTGTGTGCAGGCTCACTTTTGACTAGTCAATTCCTTTCCTAATAATACATTATTGCAGTTTTGTTGGGATAATATTAGAACAGTGGCCACTCAATAAATGCTCATTGGCATGAGATTAAAATGTAATAATTCTGGAATTCAGTTTTCTTTGGAAACGCAGAAGTCTTCCCAGCTTTCCTCTCATGACTTGTAGAAACCTGTAATTGCACAGTACATGTTGACTGGCAAGGTAAATAAGTGAGAGAGCCAGAGCTTTGCATTGTTTGCTGGGCCTTGTGCTCAGCCAGTGTGAGGGCTTGGCAAGCAGAGTTGTCTTCCATTTCACAGTTTTCATGAATATGTAATTCATCTAGTCACAATAGACGTATTTCATGCAGTTTGGAAAGCCACATGTTATTTCCTTGCTCTAATGGCCTCTTCTGCCCCTTTTTAGAAACAGAGAGGCTCAGCAGCTGTTGAAGGTCAAGCTACCATTGGGTTACTGAGTTACAGCACACAGCAATGGTGGAGACCACGTGGCGTGTAAATTACCTGCAAGAGTACAGGCGGCATGCCATGGCGAACTACCTTTAAACACCTCTCCCTTTGTCTCTTTTCCCGAGACCAAGAGGAAAGAGGAGTCCAAGCAAGCTATGAGAGATAATATACAATCAGATACGCTTTTAAGACAGGCACTGGGCAGAGAAAATATGACACATGTAGTAAGGATTCCATTTAGTTAGATTTTCTCCCTCATCATCTGCACTTATGTGAGAATCGATGATGACCAGAAAAAATAGTGCAAAACCAAAAAACCACAAATAACCCTACAGTAAGACCTGGTGGCAAAGAAACTGTGAGTGTCTTCAAAGTGACCATCTACCTCACGATAGCAGAAGGGAACAGTAAGTCTGGGGTTTGGGCCTTCCCCAGATCCAGATAGAGGGAGCTAGTAACACATGTCTCCGCTGTTTCTCCATTTCCTCATTTTTGTATACAAACATACACACACATACACAGACACACACACACAGACACACACACACATGCTTGGGAGGAAAGAGAGAAGAATTTCACAGAAATGCTCTATGCCTTAACCAATTAACAATTACAAAATAAGAAATATGACTGTATGATAATTGAATTGCCACCAGCAGTACAAGAGGACAAAGCCAGTTTCATTGTACTTATGTGTTTCTTAGATTAACTTTCTCTTATTCCACCAAACTTATGCCTTACTCCTGTCTTCTCTCTTTGACTAATGAGAATAACTGATCCCCACTTTCTAACATTCAGACCTGTCAAAGTATTGATATCCTTCAGTCTTCCTGCTTTTTCCACTCTTGGAAGCTACTAAGAAAGTAGCTACCACTCTTGATTTTATAAAGAACCTTCTTAAATATATTACCATTTCAAGAGACTTCTTCTGAATCCTGGCCAACTTTGACTTGCTCTTTATTAAAAAATGGAAATGTTTAAAATGTAAGAATGCTTTATATCTGCAAGGTAATCAGCACCAATGTGGCTAGTTCAAGCTGAGATTATTTTCCCCCTCTGTTTTAATCTTTCTTACATGTGGTAACCATTTAGAGTTTACACAGAGCTTCGGAAAGACGGTCTTGGGCTTGGGGTATGGTAAAAGCCAGGGTGCCATAGAAGACTGGCACCTTTTATATTGGCAGAATAATTTTCTTTAAAGGGTTATTGTGAGGACTAACAAGGGCAGAGCAGGAATTATGGAAAAGAACCAACCGTATACAGAACTGGCACATGGCATAGGCCTTGGGTCAGAGGGAATTTCAGAGCCCATTCCTCTAGCATTCTCTGGGTCATCTCAGGACTGCTGAGACATGAGGGCCTCTGTTGAGGACACCTTCCCTCAGCATGCAGGAGTCATGTGCACATGACTTGGTTCAAACAAAAAACCAGCTGGTTCTCAGAGGCTTAAGAGGATGACTGTGAGAGTCACCAAGAGGACGCATCTTTTCTCAGCAGCTAGAGAACACAAATTCCCTGACATAATTCAGGAGAATGGATGGGTTAGCCAATTCCTTCAGGGGTAAAGTAGAGCACCATCCAGCCCTTCTAACCAACAATCCATGCAGGGTTCACAAAGTGAGAGAAGACCCTAAAGGTTTCTTGCCTAAATATCCAAACACAGCCTCATATTGCATTCACAGTCTCTGTGTAATTGCCCGCTTTTCACTTTATTTTGCCTGGGCAGCCTCAGTGCTCATGACACAACTGAGATGATGAAAGTTTCTACTGAGGTGCGATGTGTTAGCCACCAATAATACCTTTGCCAACTGCAAATTTTCTCAATTTCCTTGAACTGCTTACAGAATAAACAAAAACCTGCTTTATTAATTATTCTAACCATTTGCCAGTTACTTAGGTTTTAAGGCGGCTTTGATATGCTTTAAAACCACATTTGTGTTAAATACCAATGTAAATGAAGCACAGAAATGAACAAAAAGGCTGCAGTGCAGGACTGTAGTTCATGGAGATGGTAGTTCTTCCCCCACTTCAGGATATTTCACTCTGAGGACATTACACTATTATTAAGATTGTCTTCCCTTCTAGGCCTCAAGGATGGATTTAATTTTGTACAGTTCTCAGACTTGATGGCTAATAGCAGTAATGCCGAACACAAACATCTGGACTCACTGCAGGAAATCATTTCCTTTGTTCTGAGAGTCGAACCAGCAACCTGAGTGAATGGCGTGGAAGAGCTTCAGTGCCTCAGCCAGCGATCCAGAAATAAAACGTTAAGCCTTACTGAAGTAAGAAGGGAAACTGACAAGACCTAAAAACTGAACTTCAGGGAACATTCTCCCACCATCAAAGTGATCGTCTATTCAGAATTTTGATATTTGGAAAATGGTAGGGCAAGAGATGTAGAATACAGGATTTGGGGTGTGTTTTTCTTAAGTAACTCATAAGCACTCTAAATATAGCGAAAACCCTGCACTGTACCCTCAAAGGGTTGACAGCACCAAATGAAGAGGAAGATTTTTAATAACTATATTTGAAACCCTGGTCCTTGCCCAACAAGATGGAGATAAAGTTTCCAAACCCGCATGCTAGAGATTGTGGAAATTCAATATTTCTCTGAATATCTGGGAGACCAGGACACACGAACAGTGGTTTACAATCACAGAATTACTTTTTCCCGCCACCCTCCCCAACCCCCACCCCCACCCCCACCGCCAGTAATTAATGGGATTACTGGATCTAATGGTAGTTCTAAGTCCTTTGAGAAATCTCCAACATCTCTTGAATTGTTCTCTGGAGGTTTCCTATGATTGCATCCTTTATGTCAGCAACCCTAACATGGGACCCAAGTCCTTCTCGGTGACCCCACTTGTCTTTTGCCCCCTCATCTCCTCCACCAAAGCATCAACAAACACATGTGTAATAGAAGTGTCACTGAAAAGGTGGGAGTCATCACCCTGGGCACAGTGGGGAGACATTTTGTAGGCTGTCATGTCTTACAAGGGAAGAAAGATACTTTACTTATTTATTTTTGGATCAGATCTTTATTTTTATAATTTTGACTTTCATTTTAGATTCAGGGGGTACATGTGCAGGTTTTTTTACATGAGTATATTGTGTGACACTGAGGTTTGGAGTACAAATGAGCCCATCACACAGGTAGTAAGCATAGTACCCAATCGGTAGTTTTTCAACCTTTATCCACTCCCTCTTGCCCCGCTCTAATAGTCCCCAGAGTCTGTGATTTCCATCTTTATGTTCATGTGTACCCAATGTTTAGCTCCCATTTATAAATGAGAACATGCAGTACTTGGTTTTCTGTTCCTGCGTCAGTTCACTTGGGATAATGGCCTCTGGCTGCATCCATGTTGCTGCAAAGGAAATAATTTCATTCTCCTTTATGGCTGCGTAGTATTCCATGGTGTATATGTACCACATTTTCTTTATCCAATCCACCATTGATGAACACCTAGGTTGATTCCATGTATTTGCTATTGTGAATAGTGCTTTGATGAACATATGAGTGGATGTGTCTTTATGATACAATGTTTTATTTTCCATTGAGTATATACTCATTAATGGGATTACTGGATCTAATAGTAGTTCTAAGTCCTTTGAGAAATCTCCAGACTGCTTTCCACAGTGGCTGAACTAATTTACATTCCCACCAGCAGTGCATAAGCATTCCCTTTTCTCCACAGCCTTGCTGCCCTTATTATTTTTTGACTTTTAATAGCCATTTTGACTGGTGTGAAGTGATACCTCATTGTGGTTTTGATTTTCATATCTTTGATGATTACTGATGATGAGCATTTTTTCATGTTTGTTGGCTACTTCTATGTCTTCAAAAAGCACTTTAAAATGCATTATTAGTCTGCTCAGCCATTCCACCACCAGCAATTTCTTAATGGCTGTAGCCACCCTAACCCCTTAACATCTCATGATTTTTCTGATCCTTCTCACCTCTCCCTGTTTACACCAGTTATGGGTAGAATTGTGTCCCCCAAAAAGATATATTCAAGTCCTAACCTCCAGTGCATGTGAATGGGACATTATTTAGAAAACAGGGTCTTTGCAGATGCAAGCAAGTTAAGATGAAGTAATTTCGGTGGACCCTAATCCAATATGACTGGCATCTTTATAAGAAAAGGAGAAGACGCACAGACAGAGACACACAAGGAGGATGCCATGTGACAACAGAGTCAGAGCTGGAGAGATGGAGTCGCAAACCAAGGAACACCAGGGATTGCACAGGCACCGGGAGTAACCAGGAAGAGGCAAGGAAAAAATCTGTCCAGAGCTTTATAGAGGGAACATGGCCCTGCTGACACCTTGATTTCAGACTTCTAACCTCCAAAGTGGAGAGAATAAATGTCTGTTATTCTAAGCCACTCAGTTTGTGGTACTTTGTTAAGGCAGGCCTAGAAAACTAATACAAAACTCCCCTTCCTTCTCTCTCACTCGCTTTTATTTTCTCAGCAGAGATATTTAGCATCTCTTTATTATCTCAACACCTATCCTCAGATCTTCATCTCTGACCCACAAGCTGCCAATGAATGCATTTTCCTGAATAAGGACAGTTCCCTTCCTAAGAGAAATTCTGATGCCAGAGGTCAAGAAAAAAAAATTTTTTTCTCCATTACCTATAGTGTATTTAGATTAGGAAAATATACAAGCCAAGTATGCAAATTAGATTTGGGGGTCTAAACTCTACAAATTGGCTGTTGCTCTTGATCAAATAAGCACACTCTCACTTCACATGCATTGGCAGCTTCCCGCTGTCGATAGAGATGAAGATCCCCTGCTCGTGAGAGCCCGGAAAGCTTGCATGAAGTGGCCTCTACCTCCTTCTGCCTCATCCAGGACTGCTCCCCAGCTGCCACACTCTGCTCCACCCACACTGCCTTCTTTGAGTTCCTCATTTTCAACACATCCTCCCTCCACCCTCACACCATTGACCCTGCTACTCCTGCTGCCTGGAACGCTTTCTCCAGATTCCTGCCCCAGCCTGTCTCTGAGGTAACTCTAATCTTCGTCTGATCTTAGGTCAACAGTCAAGTCTTTCCTAACGCCCCAGGACTGTGATGTATATATCACATCCCCCAGTCACAGACTTTTATGGCACCCACCGCTTTTCTTTAGTAATATTTATTCGTTGTTAATTATAACAGAAGCTCTCTTAATTCAGCACCGCAGGGAATTAAGTGATGCTTTCAAATCCCTTTGTAAAACGTATTGATGGATTGCCCGGATCACGATCAACACTTGAGGCTTCTGCCACCTGGTAACCTCAAGGCCTCTACTCCCACCAGCTGAGCTTATGCTTACTAAGAGTGGGTTGTTTTTGTTCCCAAACCTGTTTATGGCAGTTGTACTTGATTACTATAATTATGTAGTTTAATTAAATATCACATAAACTGATAAAATATGAGCATGAAAAGAGAGTTACTGTCTCTATGAAAGCTCAGTTAAATGCCTTGGAAAGACCTGAAAAGCTGGGGGAAAATAACTGCTCTTAAATTAGTTGTAGGCAAGACAAGTGTAAAAGATTGGGGGAAAAAATAAAAATCTAAGTGAATTCACTTAGTGAAGACACTTCACAAGTGTCTTTAAGTTTTCCCTCCACTTTAGAGTATCTGAAACTAGAAATTGTAGATGATAATGTATATCCCATCATTTTGAGTGAGCTTTATGCAAGAAAGATAACGTAAACTTTCAATGACTGGACAGATCCTAAAAGAAACCATCTTGACTCTAACAAATTTAGCAAATGAATGTTCGTTTATGTATTTTAAGTAAAAAAATAAAATATTTATATATATATAACCATACCTATATGATTAAATATATATATATCAAATCATATACATACTTCCCACTTTAACTGCATTTTCCAATTAACTAGTTACTGGTCTTACTCCCATTGGAAAATGGGTTTTCTACAGTAAATATTGACATGATCATTTCATTAATATTTGACTGTGAGCTCTATTACAAGGGGTACGTGTGTGGTTCAACACTAACATTCCAAGCTGGGTGCGGTGGCTCATGCCAGTAATCCCAACACTTTGGGAGGCCCAGGCAGGTGGATCACTTGAGGTCAGGAGTTCAAGAGCAGCCTGTCCAACATGGTGAAAACCCATCTCTACTAAAAATACAAAAATTAGCCAGACGTGGTGGCGTGTGCCTATAATCCCAGCTACTCAGGCGGCTGAGGCAGGAGAATCACTTGAACCCGGGAGGTGGAGGTTGCAGTGAGCCAAGATCCCACCACTGCCCTCCAGCCTGGGTGAAAGAGCAAGACTCTGTCTCAAAAAAAACAAAAACAAAAACAAAAAACATTAACATTCCAGGAAGGGCACAGTAGCTCACACCTGTAATCCCAGAACTTTGGGAGGCCGAGGCAGGCAAATCACATGAGGTCAAGAGTTCGAGACCAGCCTGACCAACATGGTAAAACCCTGTCTCTACTAAAAATACAAAATTAGCCAGGCACGGTTGTGCATGCCTGTAATCCCAGCTACTCAGCAGGCTGAGGCAGGAGAATTGCTTGAACCCGGAAGGTGGAGGTTGCAGTGAGCTGAGACTGCGCCATTGCACTCTAGCCTGGGCAATAAGAGTGAAACTCCGTTTCAGGAAAAAAACAAACAAACAAACACTAGCATTCCAGCGCTTGACTATGGCACATAGTAAGTAGTCAGCATTATTCTGAATAAATTGGAAATTTTCCTTTATTTTGTCCTGTGCAGACACAGCAGATAATATAGTAAAATATTTAAACATATGTCTCTGAAGGAGGTTCAAATATGTGCAAAAAGATTATCCCTCAGAATTCTTCCGAGCAATAAGTATTAACTTCAACTTTGTGGAAGACTGCTCAGTATGCTGGGGCATGTTTGAGGGCCACAGTATCTTTTCTTTCTGACTGATAGGCTGGCTGCCCTGTTTTGTCTGAACAGGACTCTCTGGATGGGGGTGAATCTGAACCAGGGAATAAAGGAGGTGCATTTTACTCTCCTCTCTTTATGCCATGAGAAATCTATCCTCCTCCATGACCTAGCCTTAGTGAACATAACAGATGGGTTTAATCCATAAAAATGAAAAACTTTTCCCATTTCAACTCCATTTCCTGCCTGTCCAGGTAAAACAAAACTTTCCCTGAGGAAATGATGTAAATGCACTCAACATTCTTAAAAGATCCTACATAGCACAAAATATTGCTAGGAACTGAACCATGTTTCTCTTCAATTACATTTAAAAAGAATTATGAATGGGGTAATGAAAAAAATATAGATGGGAGTTAGGAAATGCTTTCCAATTCCAGCTTCATTGTGATTTCCTTCATGAAGCTTCAATTGCCTTGTCTGTAAAATGGGACTGATAAAAATGCATGCCCTGTCTATCTTACAGAATTATTGTGAAGAATCATATTAAATGATATCTATAAAGATGCTTGCAGTACTACAAAGGGTGACACAAATGTGCCCTGGTATTGTTACTACAAGGTCCCCTATGCCATCTTTCCTCAACAGTGTCAGTTTCTGCCCTTCTTCTTTGTGCCTGGCAGGCTGCACTCAATTCATTTCCTTTAGCACAGACACAAGTAATCTTCTGTTATTACAGGTGAAAGGAGGTTGGAAGCTACTGATTTTGGAGTAGACAACAATGGTCTTGCTCCAACAAACCTTCTGGGGAAATCCACAGGACACTTCAACTCCTATCTTGCCCCACAATCTTTTCAAGACAGATAAAGAAAGAGGCGTGAGTCAAGGTCCCTGCAAAAACTGTAATTTCATCACCAGTATGGGTTTAAACTTTAACAGCTTTGGTATCCATCTGTAAAATGTCATTTGTTGGTTCCATCCTAGTAGCTCAAACAAAAGAAAAAACACACATCTACTTCCTTCAATAAAATGTAAAAGTCTACAGTTTCTCTATATTTGTGCACTCAAGCCATTCTAATTTATTCTACAATGACTTTTATTTTTTAGCATTTTTATGTGGCTGTTATACTACATAATTAATGGTGTTTACATGGAAAGGTTGTTTATGTAAATGACCTAAGTGGACTACTGAGCAAGCTTTAAAACAAATAAATATTTTTCTCCTTTTAAAATTTACTTCACTCTCCTCTGAATGTCTGGCAGAAGAGCAGAGTTTTTAAAATGTCAATGGGGACATAGGAATCAGGCTTTTGAGATTCATTCTCCCCTGGTGGGTCGGGCTTATAATTCTGTTTCCTGTAATGGTTGGCCTTGGGGGAGTCAACAGTGACCCCACTGACCCAGCACATCCCAGACTCAGAAGCCTGTCTTTTCTTTGGGAGGTTGCCACTGTTTTTCTCCATGACCTTAAACATAACACAATATCTGGCCCTTAGAGTTCATTTCCTGCAGAGTTTGCAGACCTGAGGATGGGCGACTCATGAGATAAATATGCTCACTATAAAGTCCAGAAATACACCAGGAAAGAAAACCTACCAAGTTTCTGAATACCTCCACCAAAACAATCGCATCACCTAATTGTGGCAATTACTGAGACTGTCCCTCCTAGTCAAAGTTCAAATTGCACGTTCTTTGAGTGGCAACACACAGCCAAATTACTGTAAAACAGAGCTGGCATGACAGTCACTACTTGCCAAGACATACATTATTTTTCTAAGGCATTCTGAAGGGAACATATTGACATCAAAGCCCACTTCTTTATTCCTGCCAGAGGCAAAGCTAAGAGGACAGGAGTGAAGATGCCTCCCTCCACACCCACACAGGCCACCTTTCAGAGGCCTTAAGAGGGAAGCCTGGCTCCAGGTCATCTCTGGAAGAATAGGTCATGTGTCCTCTAAAGTACCTTTGGAGTTATGTCAGGAGTTACAGATCAGACTGTGACAGCAGGCTTTCTCTACACCAGGCTTCTGCCTCAGAGATGACCATTGAAAAACTCAACCCAGTTGAGTTCTGAACATTCTAGCACACAGATATCCCTGCATCAGTCCTATCCAGATTGGTAGCGCATAGCCTAGAATTGCAGTCCAGACCTAGAGGAGGACATGCAAGTCAAATGCCTAATGACAAGCATGTTATTTTGTTTGTTTGTTCATTTTTTTGTTTTGTTTTGTTTTGGAGACGTAGTTTCGCTCTTGTTGCCCAGGATGGAGTCTCAGCTCACTGCAACCTCCGCTTCCCGGGTTCAAGCAATTCTCCAGCCTCAACCTCCTGAATAGCTGGGACTACAGGTGCCCACTACCACACCCAGCTAATTTTTGTATTTTTAGTAGAGAAAGGGTTTCACCACATTGGCCAGGATGGTCTCGAACTCCTGACCTCAGGTAATCCGCCCACCTCGGCCTCCCAAATGGTGGGATTACAGGTGTGAGCCATCATGCCCGGCGACAAGCATGTTTTGAATGAACAAAATTGTACAAGATCCAGAACTGTCTTAAGGCCTTCATATTCTTAAAACACTCACATCATTTGAAACATATTAAAAGGTATATACATTTCACACTTAATAATTTTTCTATAAAAGGATTTTTAAAATTTTGCTTGTGAAATTATGTGGCTAAAAGTTAAAATATAATTTCTCTACACTCATCACATATACTCAGGAACTCTCACTTGGTGAGAGCATCTCATCTAAAAATTGTTTTCCAATGTAATGAAGTTGTTATAAATGCTAAACCCATCCATTAATGAAGCTGACACAGTGTTCAATTTTGTGATCATTTAATAAATGTTCATTAATTTTGCTATGAGTGTCCTTTTTTTTCTTTTTTGGTTTTGTAGACATTTTTCCTGGCCAGACTCCAGATATTTTCCCAAGCAGAGCTCCCTTCCCCAGCACTGTAGGCCCTGGACCTAGAGGCTAAACTGGTCCTCTGAGCTCATGGCAGTCAGCCAGGCACTCCCAAAGAGGGTATCAACCATAGTGAGTTCTCAGGGATTCCTAGACATTCGACAGGACTCCCTCTAACCAAAACAATAATGTGGAGGCTCCAGGTCTTCCGCTATCACTTACAAACCCAAGAAATTCTTACTGATTAAACTCAAATTCTGAAAATTTATGAACTTTTGGCTCCTTAGAGAAATTTACTCATAACCAGTGCTAAAAGCCTTCATTGTTGGCCTTGGTTGAATCCATTCTTTTCCTTCAGTGGGTGAAATCAGGTTTCATAAGTCCAAGTGATTTTATAAACCTTTGTTTTCCAACAATAAATAAGATTTGGAAGCTGATCTGGAGTTACATTTCTAGTAAGCTTTTCTGTCACTCCACAATATCTAAGATACTCATGCCCCACCAAGGTGTTTATAACTAGATCCCAGATTCCTTCTTTAAAGGTATCCTATCAGCAACTGTTAGGTGGACTGTGCTTTATCAATTGACTTTTTTTTTTCCAGAAAAACTAAGTCTTATCAGAGTGCATCAACTCAAAAATAACTATAGGTAGTCTGTTGACAGTCACAAAATTCCCTCTTTAGCCTATCAGAAAATGCTGAAGTGACAAAGAACTTGTAAATTCTACTATCTTAATGTGGCCTCTAGCGACATCACATAATCAGTGTGGTTTGTTTAAAGAATTCATTCCTGACCTTGGTTTGCTTTGTATCTTTTTTAAAACCACTGAGTACACATTGAATTTATAGTGGTAAGCTTAAGGCGTCAGACAGCATGAGATGGAATTCCAAATCTACCGTTTTGTAACTGTGAGAACTTGAGCAAGTTATTAAACCTCCATTACTTCATCTGTAAAATGGTACTAGTAATACTTAATTGCATTGTTCTCAGGATTAAACAGACTAATGAGTATAAAGCTTTTGGTGAGCAATCAATAAATGTTAGCTTTGAGTATTACTATAATTATTATCCATCATTTTCTCATTATTTACTGTACCACCATTCAAGCCACCACACCTAGAACCTGGAATGCTCAGTAGCTTCCTCACCTCCCTGCTTGTTCTACTCTTGCCTATCCTAAACCCTTCCCATCTACTTCCCAAAGCTAAGGGGTCCTTTCAGAAGGGAAAAGCAATCAGTTCAATCCCCTTCCCACATAAAACAGAAATGCCCCCCGGCTACCCTTAGCACAAACCTGAAAGGCCCTGCATGGCCAGACTCTCGCTTACCCTCTCTAGCCTGTTTCCACCTCTCTTCCCCATTCCCTCTAAGTCTCAGCCATACTCGTCAGTCTTCCGCATACAACCCATACTGCACATCCTCCACCAGACCCTTCCCCCAGCCTGCAGAGCTCTGTCCCCAACCCACGCCCTTCAGATCCCAGCCCCAAAGCTACCTCTTCAACGAGATCCCACTCAGGTCTTTTCTCATATTCCTTCCCTGCAAAGCACTTAGCTGAATAAACCCATGGCCTATTTAATAAGGGATAATTTCCTAATATCTGCTTTCTCACACGATTTTCAGTTTGCGGGAGGGTACGGCTGCCAGTTTTGCTCATCGCATTCCCCATAACCTAGTTCAGCCAAGACCTAGTGGAGGAGGCAGTAAATATTAAATTAACGAAAGAATGGATGCATGCAGAGCGGTTAAAATGGCTCGGACTCCGCAGCCTCAAAAAGTTGGCTCCCGCACCTGAGGCCTCTTATTAAATGGTTCCCAAACATGCGGGGTCACTTTTCCGTATTTTGTTTTTTAGTTTGGCCTTGGTTTGTGTGTCACTCTTCACGAGTAAAGGTTCAGGCGCGGCCACCCTTGAGAGCGTAGACGGGACACCACCTGAGATAGAACGCCCAGCGGCAGTGCTGCCGGCGTGGGGCGGAAGTGCGGGGCCTGGGGCCGGCGCCTGGTGGGTGCGGGCGGAAGTGCCCGGCGCAGGGCGGAAGCAGAGGCGTTGGCGGCGTGAGGCTCAGGTGGGTTCCCTTAGTCCCGCGCCGAGGGTGAGCGCTCGCGGGTCTCCGCCTCTGAGCTGACGCGCAGGCTGGCGGGGGTTCGCTGTGCCGCGTGCTGCCCATTTGGATAGTCGTTATACGGAATTTAATTAAACCGGGAGCCATAAATCCATGAACTACTTGGGGGAGATTATAAACGCGTGTGTGTGTGTCTGTGATAGCGCTCTGGGAAGTAAATAAATGACGGGCGGGAAAAGGAAGCTTTTTTTTTTTTTAAGAGAAAGCAGAAAACATCTCGAGAAAGCAGAAAACATCTCAACTTCATACTCCTCCAGTGATTCGCCGATGCCCCGTCCCGGGTTTAATTGAATTCTATGAAGTGGTAGTGTAATCACACTTGGGAGCCCGCTGAGCTGACTGCCTTTTTAAATAAATATTTTTGAGCAGCCATGTTGACCTTTAATTGGGGTGAAAAGGTTGAAAGGTGCAGCAGGGAACATTGTGAGTGCCGGGGCTCTCTGGATGAGCTGTCTGGATCTCCTCTCAGCCTTATTGGGCAAAAGCAGCCCTCTGGGTACTGAACAATGAGAGAATAAATCAGAAACTGTACATTCTCAACAGATATTCACTTCTGACAAATAGCAGCTCATACAGTTTTTTAATAAGTCCAAGGGTAGAAAAGTCCCCACTAAAATGTCATTGTGAGTTAGGCTTGTGACTGTTTCTAAGGCTGTCTTTCACAGGGAATGTTTTGCTTGGGTGATCTTTATTCTTGTTTATTAATAAATAGTGTATATGTGGTACTTTATATTTTAGTGCCCTTAAAAAAAAAATCCATAGTATGGCCTTAGCTTGACCCCAAGATTCTCAATTCCTCAAGGACAGAGATGGTGTCTAAGATCTGTTATATCCCAATACTTTCTAGCGCATTTCCCAGAATTAGTATACATTGTCTTGTTTAAGCAGCCACTAGAGCTATGCCTTGGTGCACAATGCTGAACAAGTTGAGGTGTCTATTAGAGGTCGCAGTCTTCTCATTTGGTCATATTCTGAGGACTAGCTTATAAAAATGCATGTGAAGCTCTCTACCAATATTTGGAGCTGTATACATTGGGGTGCATTATAGGTAATTAGAAAGATTTAAAACACGGGGAAAAAAGATACACCCTGGAAATATTGGATAATTATGATAATACTGGGGCAAAGCAGAACTAATCATGGTTCTGTGTGAAATATCGTAGCCCAATAACCTGCGTCCTGCTCTGCTGAGGAATTGCCTGGAACCAGAAAGACCCTGTTGTGAAAATTAAGATTGGTGGGGCTGGTGCTTTAAACAGGCAGGATCCTCAGATTGTCTTTCTTCCCTCCTGCTCTGGCAGCAGTAGCCACATGCCAAGGAAGGATCAATATTTTTTTGTCTCCTTCATCAGAGGAATATGTGGCTGTGTGGTTTTATTTAGATGGACTGTTGGCAGGTAAGTAATAGAAATGAGGATTTTTCCAACTTGGGAGTTGATTGGACTGTGTTTCTATTTTGTTCCAGATGCCTGGCTCTAAAGTACTCAGAGGCACTATGAGAAATCCCTTTAAAATAGGTTATTTTTTATTATTAAAGTTTTTTTATTTCATAACTTGTATATACTCTAGCTGGCTGATGTATTCAGTTACTCTAATGCTAGGCCTTGGGGTTTCAAACATAGCAGGACCTTGAGGTGATCTGGTACAAGTAGCGAGGTGTTTTTATGTTCCTTATTTAAATCTAATTTTTGCTACTGCTTTATTCAAGGACTGTACATCAGAGGAAGCCAAAAGCCAGCTGGAATACTTCCTGAATACAGTTTTAATCTTGTTTGCAATTATTTCGAAGGGGAGAAATCATCTGGATCAGGTATGTGTAGCTACACAGCAGGGACTAGGTGAGCTTCCTCTATCCTTCCCCTAGTATTGCATAACAAATTCTAGGGACAAAATCATTTGGGGAAGAATATGCAAATGAAAAGTTTTGGCTAAGTTTATCTTAGACATGATTCCACATCCCTAACTTCCCATCCCAGTACAGCCACGGAGAACAGGAAACATGAAAATGTTACTCTCTTTTTATTCCAATCCTTACCAAAGTTAAAGTTCCTAGATATGGAGGCAAACTGAAAGAACCTACCTACTATTTTTAGAAAGTATCCATCTCCAAGGATTTCAGACCATTTCACCAGTAATATCTAGTAACAGCCTTTTTACTGTTGTAGCCTTCATCACTGTGGTATTGTGTTATTTGTTTGTGAGTCTTTCTCCTGCTCAAGGTGTGAGTTTCTTAAGGGCAGTGACAATATCTTAATCACTTTTATATTTCTAATACATGGCACAGCACCTGGCACATTGCAAATGCTCAGTACAAGCTATAGAAATGAAAAGATAGTGTCCCTGAAGGGAGGTTGGATCTATAAAAAGTATAAAACATTGAGAATGTAACAAGATACTGAAAAGAATATAAAGCAGTCACCTCCTTTCAGGTTGTTACTAGAGACAGAAGTAATGCTTTAATAAACAGCTTGGAGCAGGGAAGAGTGTATTTGGGAATACATTAGATGCTCCTCAAACTGCCTTCCAAGGAGATCTGGCCTGGTCAGTTGTGGGTCCTTTGTTGTTTAGAATATGCAAGCTAAAAGCTTCCACCAGTCCTGTCTCCACACTTTCTCCAGGCCTGCCATGCAACGCCTCACCCAAACACCTGTTTAGCAAATATTTGAAGAGTATCTGTTTGAAAGTGTGCCAAATTATTAGCTTATGTAGGGCACCAGTATCTTGGTTTGGTCTTGCCTTAAGGATAGAGGACCTCTGTAGAGTCACTATCTTAAGTCTGGTCACTATTTTAAGTCTAGGTTGCCCAAATAATATTGAAGGAAATCCACACTTGTCTTTTCTACTTTACTAACAACATTTCAAAGGAGTTCAAAGTTGACAGCTTTTTGTGTTGTAATAGGACAGTGGTGGTATATGCTGCTGCCTTCTGTTGCCAATGGGATTGCAGCAGAAATCGCATTGTTACAACTGGAAACAAATGAATTTCCTCTCATTGTTCCAGTGCTTTTTCATGTTAATCATGAAATAATGGGGAAATGATTTTTAGTCAGGAGGGAAGGACATGACGTTGAATTATTTGATTTTTTTAAAACTCTTTGTTTCTTAAAACACATAGTCCTTCCATCCAGTGAAGAAAAATGATTCTATTATTTAATAGAAAACTCAGTAAATTCAGCCATTTCTCCAGGTTCAAAAATGAAATGGATGTGAATCTTTTTAGATTTAGAGAACAGAGCCTAATTCTTATGGTAAAAGAATTCTACTGTCTGAAACTGAGACTTTCCTCATTCTCTCCATCCTTAAATTAAGCCTTATACAAAATGAAGTGTCTGTTAATTGGTATACTCTGAGGATTAATATGAAAAGTGTTTTGCGATTTTTTGGGAAGAAAGAGGATTGAACTTGGAGATGCCTTCTAGTTCTGAAATTCTGTGTTGATCTCATTATATATAAAAATATGCCATTGTTCCAGGAGAAAATACAGAGAAATGAACTAAAAAATATAGTATGAAAGACTTTAAGCATTAGTTTCCTTATACATAAAGCAAGGGGAATCTCCAAAGTCACTTCCAGTTCCAAAACATTAAAAAAATTCTATCAATGATAGCTATTAAAAAACAGAATAGGACTCAAAAGATTGTAGAATCCCACATAACTGAGGGATGCCACAGCCTAATGTCAAGCAAGAGTGGATGGCTCCCAACATTCAGATTGAAGACTGTATTTCTACAGGCCTGGGTCTTACTGTTATCACAAGTCCAGGGAAATGCTGGATTTAGCAACTCAATGTCCAAAGTCACTTGCTACAAAATGGCAAGCAATGAATGAAACATCTTTTAGGTTTTGTGGGGGCACAAAGATAACTTTATCTCTTTGACAAGATAAATTGAAAGTGGGTGGAATTTTAGGGACAAAGAGAAGACATTGCCTGGGTGGATGGTTTTTGAATTGCAAACAGTTGTTTTTGGAAATGGGATTATGTGCTTTTTAAATAGCAGGGAAACTTGCATTACTAGCTGGGTACAATAAGACTAAGATGTTTAATGAAATTGCCTTCTTTCTAGGTCAGTATTAAGTATAAGAGATATCGTCAAAGGGAATGGGTCATGTTGGTTAAGAAGGATAATGTGGAAAGGAGCCTGCCTAATTCCTTATATACTTTTTTCCCATCCCTTGAACTAGAATGATTTTGCCCTCATCTTAATGCTATCTTTATGGAATGAAGGAATTTTCAAATTGGTTTTTAAACTCTATTAAGGCCTCATGTATGATATAACCCAACCACATTATTCAGGTTTTCTTGGCTTTCAGGAACAGCTTTGCAGCCATTATGTCATAATTGAACCGAGCATTGTTGCACACTCTGAATTTGGAATATGCTGCTCTGGCTCCAGGCCAGTTGCTGAGTCAGTATCTTTGGAGTTGAGGATGGAGGGGAGGGGTGTAGTGTGTGCAAACCCCATTGTGTTAACAGGAATTAGTCCAGAATTCCCTTTGGACTCTTGGGAACTAGAGGGGGTATATGGTGAGCGTACATTACTGTTCTTGATTGGCATCATTATTTTATTTTCTTAGCTGAGTGTTTGGAAACTCTTCCCTGACATTGTCATGTGCACCAACCCCATTACTGAGTAGACTCCTCCAAAGCAATGATCTGGAAAGTGTGAATGCTAAGATCTACATATTCTAAAACAAAATCTTGCTTATACTGAAGACTCCTCTCCCCTTCCACTTTACATTTGTCAGCTTGCCACAGCTGAGGCAAAGACAGCAGTGTTTCTGGATGGGAAAGAGAATGCCAGGATGAAGAGGATCTTTCATTTAAAATCATCTTTAAAATGTGTTTAATAGTAAGAAAGAGAAATTCATTATTTTTTCTTTGTAGGGAGAGTTCCATCTTGGATGCTTAGACAGTTGCAAGATGAGTGCCTTAGTGTCACCTTCCCCATTTTCCAGCTTGGTTCCTTTTGACACCAACACTTCCCAGTTATGATTGAGAGTGAGAAAAGAGAGTATGCAGTGAACAAGTATCTTTACACTTCTGCCTGGATCTATAAGTGAATTTGAGTCCTCTTTAAGGGGCTATTTTAGGCTCCTACAGATAAAAACTACTTTGGATTTTTTATTCAAGGCCTTATTTAGTCATAGACTATTCCCATGGCATTTGTTTAGCATGTGATTTCCCCTTCTCTGATCAGGAGAATGCTTGAGGCCCAAAGCCCCAGGCACAGTTCCTTTGGGTTTCTAAAATGAGAGAATGGGACAAGTGGTAGCATTTCCATTTAATTGTGGCTGAAACTGAGGCTTTAGGAGATGAGGATTTGCCTCCCTCTTTGGGTTTTATGTTTATGAAATCCTCACCTAAAAATGCACTCAGGGAAGTCAAACATGCTGAATTTCAACGGAAACTCTATGTGAAGAATAACTTCAAAGCTCAAAATGAAGAACTATACCATTTATGCTTAATTCCTCTGACTGATTAGTTAGTAGGAGCTGTGTTGGTTTAAATTTATTTTGACCTCTCTAGACAATTTACTCAGAACCACTTGGAACAAGTTTTGTCTTTAAAGATTATCAATAAAATCCACCTTTACAATTACCTAGGCGGCTTCTTTTTTGACGTGCATGAATTGAGGATATCCTTGGTAAAATAATAATGGTACTGAATTTTTCCCTGTTTGAGAAATAAAAACAAATATTGGGAAAAACCAATTGGAAGGGAACTGGCCTTTGCTTAAAACCCATCAAGGGGAAACCTTGATTTCTCAAAATCTAAATTTCAGTACCTTCATAATTTTGTGAAGGCTGAGTAAGTTTAAGCCAATACCTGGTGCCAAGGTATTTGCTAGTCAGTCTTACCTAGGCTTAGTGACATCCTTAGGTGCAGATAAATATGTTGAATATTTAAACAGTCATATCTTAGAAATTCCTGTTTAAATAATATTTGTGAGAAAACTTTCAGTTATTTCTATTTGAAATTTTTTTCAGTTTTGCAATTCCGCATTTCTGAGACTGCTGTTAATAGAGATTTAAATGTTTCATTTGATGCCAGTAAAAGCACATTTCAGTCAATAGAATCATTATTATTAATAGTGATCTCTTACTTTTAGTATTTTTAGTAATCAGTACTTAAGCTTTACTTTTCTATTCTGCTTTATAACTTACACAGAGATTTTTACCTTCATCATCTCTTTTTAAGATACCCAATCAACTTTTGCCTTCACTCTTCCCACCCTTCCCACTCCATCTTCACCAGAAAGATCTCCTTTTAGTTAAGATGTTAAATTGGGTAAGAACCACTTAAGGTAGTTCATTTTAGGAGTAGGCATTGGTTGAAAGATTTCATTCCTTTGAAGCAACATTAGATGCATCTCTTCTGATTTGTGGTAGATTGTTTCACTGTCCCTGTTCTAGACAAGCCCTCATCAGTCTCCTTGACAATGGACAATTCTGTCATTCTGGAAACACTTTCTCATTGACTTCTGTGATGACACACTTTTCAGGTTTTCCTCCTACCTCACCAGCTGTTCTGTCTGCCTCATTTGCTGGTTCCTCTTGATCCAACCTCTAAATGTTGGATTGCTTCAGAGATCTATCCTGGGCCCTCTTTTTTTTTCTGTACAATTTTAGATGATTTCACCTAGTTTCATAGCTGTAAATATAATCCTTAAACCGATGGAGACTCAAGTCTTTATCTTTAGACCCGGATTTTTTTCCTGAGTATCAAACCTGTGTATGTCATTCTCTATGTGAGTTCTGACATGTCCCTAACCGAGCTCTTGGTCCGACATATTCTTCAATCTGTTCTTGCCTCAGTTTTCCTTATTTTAGTAACAGGCACTGCCACCCACCTAGAGGCTCAGGACCAAAACTGAGATTGACCTTACTGCCCTCTTTTCTTTTCTTTAATTCCTCATGTCCAATTCATTGGCAAGTCCTGTTGGCTCTGTTTCTGTTCTAGTCCATACCATCCCGTCTCATCCAAACTAATGCAGTAGCCTTCTACCTGCGTCCCTGCTCCACTCTTGCCCCCCAACAATCTGTTCTTCGCACAGCAGCTGAAGTTTCCTTTTAAAAATGTATATGAGATCATGTCATTTCCCTCCTCTAAATCTAACTGTACTTAGAATAAAATCTCAATTCTTTAACATAACCCACAAGGCCTACGTGATCTGATGCCTGCTTACTGTGGGTTAATCTCGTCTCCTGATTGTATCCCCTTTTCCTTGGTGTACTCTGCTTAAGCCATACAATCTTTTCTGTTTCTTTCAATAAATCATTTGTCCTCACTTACAGGCTTTTGCATTTACTGTTTCCTCTCCAGTGCAAACAACACCTGCTCAGAGAATACCTTAATTAAAGAACCTGCCTCAGTCAGCATCACATCACTCTGCTATTATCTCTCCCCTGTATGTATCACCATCTCAAGTGGCCTGACATTAAAGAGTCTCTTCACTAGCACATGGACCCCATGAAGGCAACGTACCTTACTTTCTTGTTCATCACCATACCCCAACACCTATAATAGTATCTGATACATGCAAAATATTAGATAATTGTTGAATAAATAATGCATCCCACACCTAGATTTTCATAACTGACTTCTCTTTCCCACCTCCATTCTCCTTTTCTCAACAGTCTTTTCTGCCTGCTGCTGCCAGATTAATCTTTCAAAACACTGATTTTATCACATCACTCATTCAGAACCCTTCAGTGGTTCCCAAGACATATACAACACATCACACATTGCTTAACCACCATTAAAATCCTCCACAGGCTTATCCTAGTCCACCTTCCAAAGCTTATTTTCCACTATTATTCAGCAGAAGTCTCTTTACCCCGTTCAAGGTTTCCCCCATCAGATAGCCATGTCATTCCTACCTCCATTACCTTTGTGTCTAACCCTGAATTTGGAAAGCTTTCCCTTTTTTCTACATATCCAAATTCTCAATGAAATGATTTAAGATATTTCTCTTGTGAAGCCACCTCCAATTTTAGCCTATAGTACTCTTCTTTCCCATTCTCTTATAACATTTGAATTATATGGCCCTGTTACAGTATTTCCTGTATTTCTAATTTACCTGCTCATATACATGTCTTAACTTCTGACCAGATTTTTCATGGGTTGGGATCAACCCTTATTCATTTTTAACCCATCTTTCCATCCCCATTGTGGAACTAATGAGTGAATGATATCATTGATTCACTAATCACTGTGAAGCCTGACATAAAACTTTATTGTTTTAGTTAAGAATTCAACACCTTTCTCCTGAATCTGTATAACTGAAATACATCTTGTTATTCTTGTTACTTGTATCAAACATGTGGAGTTGATTAGTCCATCTGAGAGCTTTATTTAGAGGTGAAAAAATGAGCTAAACAGCAGGCAGGATACAAAAAAAAAATTAATGGCTTAATGTTACTGAGAACTAGAAGGGTAAGGGGATGTGCATCTACTAAGTGAAGGATATGTAAATGCTGTATACCTTCAGTGAAATTGTCATCTTAGGCAAGGCCCACACTTCAAATAGCTAAAGAATGTTTTCAACTGAGCAGTGTGTTGAATACAAATTAATGTAGCACCCATCGAGTCCAAACAGTGGAATAGAGACATCCAGCTACTTAGAAATTGTCATGGTAATAACTTGAAGGGAAATAAAGAGTTTTTGTCCCAGGCACTCATGTGACCAATCCTTTCTGGAGACTGATTCTTTGCTGGCTTCTCTCATCCCCTGTGTGGTAAACCTGTTGACACTGAAATCTGGAAGTAGAAGCTGCATAGAGGGAGTGGTATGAGGAGCTGCGTCTCAGTCCCCAGGGCTGGGCCATAATATAGGCCTATTCATAGTTTAATGTGTTGTGTGGAAGCAAATCTGCAGTCCAAACTGTGTAGTCAGAATGAAGCTGAGCGTGACACCATGTATAGCCGGGCCCATAGGTGGGTGGTTAGCTCAGGATCTTTGTTGCAACATTTTGTTTGAGTTGGCTCTACCTCCTTAACACTTCCACCTGGATGCTAAGGCTGAGACACTAGAAAAGCACCTCTGATCTCACCTATGCCAGTGAGTTAGAGCTGCACTCCAGGTTGGGCCTTCTACTCCTCACTCCCTGTTTCTGTTCCAAAGCTTCATTTTCCCTCTGTGTAGCCCCTTGGAATTGACATATCAAAGTATTTACTCAATTTTCAGTTTTGGTTTTGTCCCTATATGGCACCTCTTCTTGTCACTCTTGGCTCCACGAGAGTCATTTTCTCTCTTGCCCTTGAACCCAAGATCCCAGGCTAGGTTCCCACTTGTTTGGGAGAGTGAGAGGTTTGGACACCAATGACTGACCAAAAGCACAGAGGCACACTGGGGAGGCATCAATTGTCCCTGTTTCGCTGGATTGGTAGAGCCCAGTGACCCAGATGTGTCCCCTAAGAGCAACCTCACCTCATTACATAAACTTCCAGTAATCTAAAATAATGGTTTTGTTCCCAGAAGAGGTGTGTGTGTGTGTTTGTGTGTACATGTTTCCAGTCATTTGGGTAAAAATAGGAATGTTACACTTAGATAGTAATAAATGGGAAATAGAGCACTTAACTTCTCACATGGCACAAATGACTGAACAGAAGCCCTGAGTCTTCTTTAGGGAATATAGGTTCAGTGAGAGCTACAGTAATAGTATTTAGTTAATGTCAGCTCAGCATTAAATTTACATTATATTCTTGTGAACAAGCTCCAACATTATCTGTTAAATAACCAAGGCAGTACCTGGGCTGATGTAGACTTTTTGATTTTGCACATGAACTAACACTGCAGCTTGCTGATGAGGGATCACATGAGCTTGAAAATTTGGTGTGCCAAAGGATTCTTTGTATGAATAAAAATTCTGGTCGGTGAAGGGCAGTTTCTCTACTCAAGTGAGAATAATGTTGTGTCCCTTCTAATCAGACACACACAGTGTTTGAAGAATCCAGGAGCTCCATACAAGTGATGTGCAGCCATAGCCTGGGCAGCTCCTCATGCAAGAAATGAATAATCTTTAATAAAGACTCAAACGACCCTGGCTTCTTTCTGTACTATAATCAGTTGCCTTAATGGTGTGCCCTTTAGTCCCTTGCAGGGAAAATACTATAAAGTTATTTTTCTTATGTTGCTTCAAGGAGGGCTGAATTGGTCCAGTCAGTCCTGCTCCCATGTTGTATTTGACTCTGCCATAAAGACCACTGAAATCAGCCTCAGTTTTATTGAAAGGCCAGCATTCCCTTTCTCTTTCAGGGTGATCCATGCCTCCGAGGGGCACTGGACTTGAAACGGCAGGAGTCACCATCTTTATTGTTAGGCTGTGGAATTTGTTTTAAGCACATTCTAAATCCAATCTTATGTTTTTTGCTTTTTTTTTTTTAAGTCTGTGACAAAGGTGACCCAATTGTTCTTCTTTGGTATTGTGAACACAGCTCTTTTTGCTCATATCATAGAGGCATATAACAAAATATGAAGGATAAAATCATGTCTGTGTGTGTAGTAAGGACACATATTTCATGACTAAATTCAATGACATAATCAAAAAAGTGTTGTCCTCTCACAGTCATGAGCTAACAGGCAGAGACCATGTTTCAGGATATTTTTTATAGTGCTGAGATACTGTTCAAAAATAATAGAACTAATGAAAATGTCACATTGACAGAGTAGCCCATATTAAAATTTTACTTCAAGAAGGCATGATTCAGTGAATGTGACATTGACAGCAATGGTGTTAGGGTTTACAGAGTTAGTAAAATGTTCTAAGAAGAATATTATAGAGTTCCCATTGAAGTGTATCATTTTTCATTTTATTTTTTTCTTTCTAGGATTAAGTAAATGTTAGAAATTAAGGAATTTTAGCATACTATCTGCCTAGAAGAGGTATAGGGAGCTTTTTCTATCAGGCTCTAATATAATTTTATAATACAGTGCTTCCAAAGAAATAAGTTAATTTAACAAAATGCATATACCTTAGAGTATTTGAAGAATATGCAGGTAGTAAAATTGCATAATATGGATGCATTTCTCAGTAAATAGATGTGCCATGTTTAAGCAATTTAAAATGTGTAAAAAACTAGAAATGGAGAATAACAGTGGAAAAGAGAACTAGTTACAAACAGAATGGTTGTAGCATCACTGAAGACTTTACTTAGCTCTGTAGATTGGTTGAACAAATCCTCCAGCAAATCTGGAATGAATAGCAACTCTGCTTACTATGACAGGTTTTATTTGTCTTGGGTGCAACCAAGACCACATGCTGTGTTTTGTCATGTTGGAAAAACTGAAGCAGATTTCCTTTGTGAATTTGAAGTTTTTAAAAAAGCCTTAATACTTCAGTCTCAACTCAGCCAGGTAAAAGCAATGTTTTCCTTTTCTTATCAACCAGACGTCAATAAATCTTAAATCCCTTCACCAGAAGCATGTAGCTGCAGTTCACTGCCCTGGTCGTAGTCAGATCACCACCACAGATGGCCTAATCCTCCTCATTTCCAGGGACCTTTAATAAAACTAATTTTTCTTTAATGAAGTTAATTCTTCTGCCTTTAATAAAGCTAATTTTTAATTTTCTTTCTCTTAGAAGGGTGTGTCACCATTAGCATAGAGACTTTCCACATCCCATGATGTATAAGTTTCTACCTAGAGTAAACATGGCTAACAATTCTGTACCTCCTCCCCATTTTTATAGCCTGTGTAGACAAAGCTGTGTTTAGAAGGTATGTCTCTAACTACATTTACCTATTGGAAAATTGTTCATTCTGCTGAATCTATAAAAATATGTATGTACCAGTGATTAACACTTCGTTGAGAGTAGCACAGAATGTTATGAAATTGTTTAGATCTACTTTTTACCTTGGAACAACTGGATAGCAGATCCTTGTAAAATTCTCATCATATTCCTTTTTTATGCATTTATCAGGATCATTTAGTTGGCAGAGAGATCCAAGTAGAAGTGGAAGAGTAAGGGCTGAAGAATAAGGGAATAATCATTGTTTTCATGGATCAGTATCCAGTCTTTTTGTTCTGTGGTCTTTATTCTAGCATGATATGGGTTGGTGGTTTTCTCTAAAGTCGTATCATTCTGTTTGAAATGAGTTTAAGGCTAATCTCACACTGAGGAGCCTTGTCTCTAGTGAAGATTAGCATTTAATTAATATAGTAATGCTCTGTGAAGCAGAGGAGGGCAAGATTTGAGGTGGTGGTGAAGGAGTTAGAACCAGTTGCAGTACCCCAACCCAAAATTTTGTGGGTACCCTGAGGAGCACTGATCTTTAGTTATTATATAGAATAGGCCCAAATAGTGACTGCTGTACATACTGAGTATCTAATCAGGGGTAGAGGTGAGATTAAAGAAGGTGAGAAAAGCTCACTTCAATACTTTTAACATACAAATAAATATTTGAGTGCCTATTATGTGCCAGGTTAATTGTGGGTACTTGGAGATACAGGGTTGAACAAGTACCTGTTCTTATAGAACTTGCATTGTAGTGGAGGGGACATAAATAATTTTTGATAGTAAAGGGCAAAAGAAAACTACAGCAAGATGTGAGGGTGGGGAGTGTTGGGCTGACTAACATTGGTAAGTTAGTCACTAAACCTCCAAGGAGATTACATGAGGCCCAGGCCAAGTGAGGAGAAGCTACTTCAGAGCTTTTCATGCAGAAGTAAAGCAAGTACAAAACGAGGAAGAAATGATATTGGGTATACAAAGAACAGAAAGAGAAACTTTGCAGTTGCAACTTGCCAAGGCAAGGGAGGGGAAAGTGATAGATGAAGTTGCAGAGATACAGTAAAGCAAAGTTTAAAAATGATGATCTCAGGAATTAATTCATCCTAGAAATACTGATAAATGATGAAGCCAATAGTGCACATGTGTTTTTAAAGTGAAATTATAATATTTACAGTTTTCAGGACAAAACTGGAGACTCAGTAGAATAACTAGGATTAAACAGAATGACTGTAGCATCACAGAGGACTTATGTCTTATGTTGAGCAAAGTAGCAGGATGAGGAAGCTTCAAAGCCTAGTGTTTGAGATGCTGCGATCACCAAGCTGTTCTTACTGGAATATGTCCAGTAGAAACACAAGTACATTTGTGTATGAGGTTTCCAAAAGTTATGATGATCTCCTTTTGAAACACTTCTTAAGGAGTTGAGTAGATTTTTTTTTCTGACAAGGTAATTCAGCCTGATTCTCTCCTATAGTTCCTGTAAGTAAGCTTTGTGGTTTTTGTTCTTGTTTTTGTTTTTTTTGAGATGTAGTTTTGCTCTTGTTGCCCAGGTTGGAGTACAGTGGTGCGATCTCGGCTCACTGCAACCTCCACCTCCCAGATTCAAGCAATTCTCCTGCCTCAGCCTCCCGAGTAGCTGGGATTACAGGCTCCTGCCACCATGCCCAGCTAATTTGTATTTTTAGTAGAGACAGGGTTTCTCCATGTTGGTCAAGCTGGTCTCAAACTCCCGACCCCAGGTGATGCCTTGGCCTCCCAAAGTGCTGGGATTACAGGCGTGAGCCACCACGCCTGGCCAGCTTTGTGTTTTCTTATGTCTCACAGTGGAGAAGCATAGGTCTCATAAGGGATAGTCTGAACCTTTACCTGGGGACTTATGCTGCTTAGCTGCTTACCCATTGTTTCTTTTTCTTTTTCTTTTTTTTTTTTTTTGAGATAAGATCTCATGTCCATCCCCCAGACTGGAGTGCAGTGGTGCAATCATGGCTCACTGCAGCCCCAACTTCCCAGGCTCAGGTGATTGTCCAACCTCAGCCTCCTGAGTAGCTGGGACTACAGGTGTACACCACCACACCCAGCTAATTTTTTGTATTTTTAGTAGAGATAGGTTTTGCCATGTTGCCCAGGCTGGTCTTGAACTCCTGGGCTCAAGTCATCTGCCCATTTTGGCCTCCCAAAGTGCCAGGATTACAGGTGTGAGCCATGGCATCTGGCCCTCATTGTTTTCTTTACCATGGCAGTGGCTAGGTATTGTTGAATGCTTGCCAGTATAATAAGCTATCCATGAGAATAAAAGCCATCTCAGGAAACCTCCATATTTTAGGGGATCATCAAGATGCCGGCAAAATCTGCAGATGAAATTTTATATTCAAATTAACAAACCCATGCAGTTTACTTTCAGAAACCAAGTGATTAGGCATACAGCTAATTCATAACAAGGGATTTTTTTCTATTCTAAATTCTGTTTCGTTCGGAATACAATGAATGTTGAGGCATCAGAGAGACTTGCCAAATTTATAGGTCTTTCCAACACTCCTGGACTTGAAGAAACAATTCTGAAGCCCGCAAATTCCATCATAAGCTTGGAAATTACTGTCCATATTGTAAGGAACAAAGTCTAGGGCACATAAGTTTACTGCTTTATTTTTCTTTTGGCAGAATTAAGATGCTCTGGTTTCAAGGAAATAGCATGCAACTTGCCAGATCCTCCTTTGGACTCTTCTTGAGAAATTGCTCTGCCTCTAAGACAACTCTGCCTGTGTTGACCTTATTCACAAAGGTACAAAGTGAAAAAGTAAAATTGTTGGGTGAAGAAAGTTGTACATTTAAGAAAAAGGGACAAAGTTGAAAGGAAAGGCAATGGAATAAGCTTTCTTCAGACCTGCTCTTCAATTTTTCTATCAGCACAACAGCAGCAACTCAGTTTTCTACCCAGATACCTTATTATCTCCCAATTAGCAAAGAGTAAATTGATGTATTTAATGGTCATCTGGCCCCTACATTGAAAAAAATGAAGTATAGGTTATAATATGGTGTTTAAAAATGTATCATTTAGAAATACAATCAATTATTTTTATTTGTGGTAATTATGTTCTATAAAGTCACCTTGAACGCTGAATTAATGAATATTGCTCCTAGGGGAAATACACAGTTAGGTTCCTATGAGTCTCTGGTCATAATATTTTCATCAGCCTACCAAATACAGAACCTTATTTTATGTGTGATTCTATTTAAAGATACTTTATTTTTACATTTGCACCATGGAATACTATGCAGCCATAAAATAGATGAAATAATGTCTTTGCAGCAACATGGATGCAGTTAGAGGCCATTATCCTGAGCAAATTAACACAGGAACAGAAAATCAAATACTGCATGTTCTCACTTATAAGTGGGAGCTAAACATTGAGTACACATGCACACAAAGAGGGGAATGATAGACACCAGGGCCTAATTGAGGGTGGAGGGTGAGAATCGAAAAACTACCTATCAGGTGTATGCTTACTACCTGGGTGATGAAATCATTTGTACACCAAACCCCAGTGGCATGCAATTTACCCATGTGACAAAGCTGCACATGTACCCCCGAACCTAAAATAAAAGTTGAAAAAAAAATTTTTTTAATAAAGATACCTTATTTAGTATATATTGTTGATTCATTAACACTAAACTCACAGCCAATAGCACTTGTGTATAACTCATGCCTAAATGAAGCTTATCGAACACATGTATTTTCTCCATAAGGCACATCACAGTCTTCTTGTGCTTAGGAACACTAGCCAGCACTTCAGCACTGTGTCTGGGGGCTTATTTAAACAGTGAAATCACCAATAAAAAGCACAAAAATGCAAAAATCCTGGCACTATGCACACCATGAAAAGGACACTAGCTTACATTTACAGTATGAGAGCTAAAACAAGAAGGCAGAGCATCACCTTGTTTGACCTCAGCTTAGAATGAATGCTTTGGGTAACTGAAATCTCTCACCAGTCTATGCATGTGCATGTCTGTGAATACCTGCAAAAGCGCTTCAAGTATTGACTTGGGGGTTGCAAGGAAGTTTTAGCAATTAGGCAAATTCATAAATATGGAATCCATAAATAATGAGGACTGATTATAGTTGTTTTCTTATCCCTAACACTAGTTTTAAGCCATAAAGCTAGTTTTAAAATATTTAACAGCTTTATCTCCCTGAAATTATAATACAGACATTACTGATTTCTTTTTTTGCTAATTAACATCACTTTGTGTGATTTAACAAAAAAGAAATAAAGTGCAGGTTAATAGAAGTAACTTTGGTGAATAATACTGCAATTCAAACAAAAAAGATCTCTTTTCAATAGGTTTTTGAGATTTCAGGCATTTTAGCAATTTGGATATATATGACAGTTATTTAATAACAAAGTTTAATGAGTTTTAAAAATGAATTTATTGATGAAAATATTTAATCTAAACTACTTTTTATATCTGTAAGTATATATTGCACTGTTGGAAATTATGGAACCAAAAATATTTCATCATCTGAGAGTCTATGATGGGAAACCCATGTGCAAACCACAGAAGTTAAATAATCCCTTAAGGCTGGTGTTGCTCACTCAGCCTAACAGTTCTGCACTGTTCTTCGGTTTGGGCAGCAGTTTATATAGCCAGAAACATTTGTTAAAAACAAAACGAAAAAACCACACCAATTTTCCATTCAGCTTAATATTTATACTTAATGCTTATTCTGTACCATTAGGCACACAAGAAGATGGTACTCCCACCTTTGGCAGCTTATAATCCAGTGAAGTAAATGCTTAAAAGTACAGTATCAGATTGCTATCAGTTATGAAAAATAGAAAGTACTTCCCAGAGTGAGTTAAACAAAAAGATTTTGGAGTTGCTCTGGTTTCAGGAACAGCTTGATTTAGGAACTAAACATGTTAACAATCTCTTCAGCTTTGCATCCTCAGGGTTAAATCCCCCTCTAGTTCTTCTCATGTGATATGGTTTGGCTCTGTGTCCCCACCCAAATCTCATCTTATAGCTCCCATAATTCCCACATGTTGTGGGAGACACCTGGTGGGAGATGATTGAATTATGGGGGTGAGTCTTTCCTGTGCTGTTCTTGTGATAGTGAATGGGTCTCACAAGATCTGATGGTTTTGAAAACAGGAGTTTCTCAGCACAAGGTCTCTCTTTGCCTGCTGCCATCCATGTAAGATGTGACTTGCTCCTCCTTGCCTTCCGCCATCATTATGAGGCCTCCCCAGCCATGTGGAACTGTAAGTCCAATAAACCTCTTTCTTTCATAAATTGCCCAGTCTTGGGTATATATTTATCAGCAGCATGAAAACGGACTAATTCATCATGGATGACTGCAGCCATCCCAAGCCTCAGATCTCACATCTCAGTCATCTACAGAAACTCCAGCAAAAGCCTTATAGCTACCCACTGGCTCTGATTGGCCCATTCTTGAGGGATAGGATGCACTGATTGCCTGAGCCTAAGTCAGGTTTCTCACCTTTGTTTTTCTGGGATGGAGTCAGCCACATGCTGAGAGTAGTTCCTGTGAAGCAATATTATAACACGCTTGCTACAAGAAAGGGAAGTGGGTGGTGGACAGCCAACCCAACAAATGCCCACTATGGTTAGGGACAGAGTAAATAACAAGTGCCATGGAAAATCCTAGAGAAGGATATTTGAATGGTCCATTCCACTGGTATCTTTTTTTGGTTCTTTATTGTTTTAAAATTTGATGAGCCTTTCCTCATAAAAATATATACACATATTTTCAGGTATAATTTGCATAGACTTCTGTGGACCCCAGGTCTAAAAAACAAAACAAAACAGAAAACCCAATCTAGATTCTTCTAAAGTTCTTAATATAAAAGCAAAATTTTAGCACAATTGGTACTTCTGTAATTTAGCATGCTCTTGGTTTTTTTTGCTTTTAAGATCCTGTGTTGAGTTTTTGAAACTTTCTCTGAAAATTTTAGGATGTTTATCTTAAAACATTACAAACTATCCATAATCTATGTATTGCTAATGCTAATAATAACATGATAAGCCAATTCTCTGTTCTAGGAAATTAGGGCCAGAAAGACCCTTTAATGGTGTGATTCTTATTTCAAAACAAGCTGTGAGTTAAGCTGGAGGAAAGCCCTCTCTTTTACATAATAGCTTATCTCTTCCTGTCATGTTAAAAAGAAGGTTTTATATAAGCATAAGTAATTTGGGGTCTGTTTTGAGCTCATCCAAGAGAACCTATAGCAGGTCCCTGTTCAGTCAGACCTTTAAAATCTGCCGATGTAGCCTTGTAATATAGTTTGAAGTCAGGTAGTGTGATGTCTCCAGCTTTGTTCTTTTTGCTTAGGATTGTCTTGGCAATGCGGGCTCTTTTTTGGTTCCATATGAACTTTAACGTAGTTTTTTCCAATTCTGTGAAGAAAGTCATTGGTAGCTTGATGGGGATGGCACTGAATCTATAAATTACCTTGGGCAGTATGGCCATTTTCATGATATTGATTCTTCTTCCAAGCCTACAGTAACCAAAACAGCATGGTACTGGTACCAAAACAGAGATATAGACAAATGGAACAGAACAGAGCCCTCAGAAATAATACTACACATCTACAACCATCTGATCTTTGACAAACCTGACAAAAACAAGCAATGGGGAAAGGATTTCCTATTTAATAAATGGTGCTGGGAAAACTGGCTAGCCATATGTAGAAAGCTGAAACTGGATCCCTTCCTTACACCTTATACAAAAATTAATTCAAGATGGATTAAAGACTTAAATGTTAGACTTAAAACCATAAAAACCCTAGAAGAAAACCTAAGCAATACCATTCAGGACATAGGCATGGGCAAGGACTTCATGACTAAAACACCAAAAGCAATGGCAACAAAAGCCAAAATAGGCTAACTGGATCTAATTAAACTAAAGAGCTTCTGCACAGCAAAAGAAACTACCATCAGAGTGAACAGACAACCTACTGAATTGGAGAAAATTTTTGCAATCTACCCAGCTGACAAAGGGCTAATATCCAGAATCTACAAAGAACTTAAACAAATTTACAAGAAAAAATCAAACAATCCCATCAAAAAGTGGGCAAAGGATATGGACAGACACTTTTCAAAAGAAGACATTTATGCAGCCAACAGACACATGAAAAAATGCTCATCATCACTGGCCATCAGAGAAATGCAAATCAAAACCACAATGAGATACCATCTCACACCAGTTAGAATGGCGATCATTAAAAAGGCAGGAAACAACAGGTGCTGGAGAGGATGTGGAGAAACAGGAACGCTTTTATGCTGTTGGTGGGACTGCAAACTAGTTCAACCATTGTGGAAAACAGTGTGGCGATTCCTCAAGGATCTAGAACTAGAAATACCATTTGACCCAGTGATCCTATTACTGTGTATATATAAAAATATATACACATATTTTCAGGTATAATTTGCATAGACTTCTGTGGACCCCAGGTCTAAAAAACAAAACAAAAAACCCAATCTAGATTCTTCTAAAATTCTTAATATAAAAGCAAAATTTTAGCACATTTGGTACTTCTGTAATTTAGCATGTTCTTGGGTTTTTTTGCTTTTAAGATCCTGTGTTGACTTTTTGAAACCTTCTCTGAAAATTTTAGGATGATTATCTTAAAACATTACAAACTACCCATAATCTATGTATTGCTAATGCTAATAATAACATGATAAGCCAATTATAAATCAAAGGATTATAAATCATGCTACTCTAAAGACACATGCACAGGTATGTTTATTGCGACACTGTTCACAATAGCAAAGACTTGGAACCAACCCCAATGTCCATCAGTGATAGACTGGATTAAGAAAATATGGCACATATACACCATGGAATACTATGCAGCCATAAAAAAGGATGAGTTCATGTCCTTTGTAGGTACATGGATGAAGCTGGAAACCATCATTTGGAGCAAACTGTCGCATGGACAGAAAACCAAACACAGCGTGTTCTCACTCATAGGTGGGAATTGAACAATGAGAACACTTGGACACAGGGTGTGGAACATCACACACCGGGGCCTGTCGTGGGGTGCGGGGAGCAGGGAGGGATAGCATTAGGAGAAATACCTAATGTAAATGACTAGTTGATGGGTGCAGCAAACCAACATGGCACATGTATACATGTGTAACAAAACGGCACGTTGTGCACATGTACCCTAGAACTTAAAGTATAATAAAAAGGTATAATATATATAACATATATAATAAAAGTATAATAACAAAATATAGGAGAAAGTGGGAAAAAAATAAAATAAAATAAATAAAATCTGCCGACGATCCATAGTATTCTCAACAGACTTCTCTGCTAGATGGTTTATGAGTGCAAACAATGGACACTAAAAGTTGTTTGCTCTTCAGGTGGAGAATTTGTCCAGGAAACCTATTGTTGACACTTGTAATGAGAAAACAGGCGGTGCAATAATCATCTGAAGTGAATAGAGATTTGTTTTACTTTTTAAAGATGAGGCAATTACTATCTGACTCCATCCTAATGGGTTTCTTCCTGTGGACTGATTAGGAAAAACAGGCTGGCAAGGCTCAGTGCTTTTCAGTCAGAGCAGACTTTAAGCCATCCTCGTGGTGTCAGCCAGGCCAACTGTATGAGGCCACAAGGGTGCACCTGACCTAGGAAGGACAAAGCCCTTAGATCAGTGAAAAAGAGAAACATCTATATGTATGTATTATATATACACATAGATAGATGGCTTGATTTATGGAGAAAAATCAGAACAAAACAACCAAAAAAATGCACAGAGCCTATGAAATATTAGTTATTTATAAGATTCTATGGTAGTGTTTTACTTTGGAAAAGCAGTGTAACTAACATGGTAGAAAACTATTCTTTAAAATAAGTATAATCTGCCTCTTATGGGTTTTTTGTTTTGTTTTGTTTTTGTAAGGGCAAATGCCATTCTTTGGGTTTAATCGCTTGGGTTTTTTTTCTTCCTGTAGGACCCATGCCCCCTTTGTGATGAAGCCAAGGAAGTACTCAAGCCTTATGAAAACAGGGTAATATAATACAGTGTGGCTTTTATGTATATGGATTGCATATTAGATGTGGTATAAAGTATCTGCCTGGATCCTTCCTTTAGGAAAAGAGATTAAATGATTTTTCTTTTAAATTTTCTTTCTGTTCTTCAGAGAGAGAGTTTAGTGCTTATTACCATAAAACTCATTACACCTAAGTGTTTTCCTCTGAGCAGTACTGGTTTTCTTACTCTGGCTCTTACTGAGTCAAAGTTAACTAGCAGGTGCAGCATTCATGTTTTCTTTAAACTTTTGCCCCATTCCTTTTATCTTGTTTTGCAGTTTGCACTGATGTGTTTTCACGTAACACACCATCACACCTTTCCAGTTCCTGTAACCAAAACATTTCTGTCCTGATTCTCAGTCAGCTTCCCAACTGGGACATGTTTTATTTCATTGGAACTGAGTACTGTCCTGATGCTGAATGTAACAGGGGTAACAGAAAAGCAGCAAGATCAGGAAGTAGAGAATATAATGAAACCAGTCAAGTTTTGGAAATCAGGGACATTAGATCACTGTGGACCTAAAACAAACAAACAACTATAAGGAAAATGGCATTAGAAATGGTCTGGGGATCAGTTTATCACTGCAGTTGTTACATCACCCCATGGTCTAAAATACAGAGCTTTAGTCTGTCTCTGTTTCAGTTCATTTTACAGGAGGTGAACATCACACTTCCAGAAAACTCTGTCTGGTATGAAAGGTATAAATTTGATATTCCTGTCTTTCACTTGAATGGCCAGTTTCTGATGATGCATCGAGTAAACACCTCAAAACTTGAAAAACAGCTCCTGAAACTTGAGCAGCAAAGTACTGGAGGCTGACTGATGCCCTCATGATTTTCCACCCTCTCTTCCCATAAAGCATCTTCCTAAGGAAATGACCATGGCCTGATACTCATTTTGTCACTTGTACAGAGCCCTAAGGATGTTCTGAATTCAGTGGTGCCAAATAAATGTTGACATTCCCCTTTTGGTTGATGGAAGTATCAGTGTGGGAACTGTTTGCTTAATGGCATTTTATAAAATAAGAAGAGCATATTAGCAGGGAGGGAGATGATGGAGGGAGGGAGAAGTCCATTTGTCTTATTTATCCTTTTTGTATTAATAGAGAAGCACTTCACAGTCACTGGGCAATGCCATTTATAGGAAGAAGGTTCTGCATTCCTGCTGCTGCCCCGGAGGGCTTAACTTTTTAATGAAAGAATAAATGCTCTTCCACTCAGTAGATAAAGTGAAATGTGAATTGTTAATAACTGTGCACGGTCAATAAAGCGATGTTTTAAGGAATACATCTGCATGAAGCCTATTCAGTGGGATTTAATAATACCTGTTTAAAATTAGAGTTCATTTTTGTTGAGTAGAAGAGAATTATTATCCTAGCCAAAGAGGCATCATTTGAGAAAAACAAAAGAAAAACTTAAACTCCTTAAATGTATATAAAAATCTCAACATTCTCTACACAGTCATTGAATTCATTTGTAGTATTTGAGGACTGCCTTTCATAGTTATTCAGTTACCATCAATTGAGTTAATTCAACTTATTTTAAGACAGTAGGTTTTTTTAAGTCAAATTTTAATATCTTGGAAAAAGTCACTCCTAAATATGTCATCTAAAGATAAAATACTCTTTGCCATTCTATGTAAAGTGTTAGAAATGTATTTGCGTACCCTTATTTATATTTAGTCAGATTAAGCCAGTGTAGAAATGGATTCACTTGAAAACAAAACTGTCTTTCCTCTTAAAATCTTACCACTGCAATTCCATGTATAATGAAATTATTTTTTAAACTATTTGAATGAATTTGGATATTGTGAGTCACTAGATTTTAATTTGATCAGGATGATTCAGTCTTAGTGTAGAATATTAGAGCTAGCTGACCTTAGACATTGTCTAGTCCCACTCCCATTTTATATATGAGGAGAAATCTGAAATTCAGAGAATATCAGGGACGTAACCCAAGGTCACACAGCCAGTCAGTTGGCAGGCCAGGTCTTGCCCCACAGCCCCAGATTTCCAGTACTCTCTGGACTCATTGCAGGGGGCTCCTGTTATCTCACATACAGCATCCCCAACCATTTTGGATCCAACACAAATCTGGAATCAACTTAAAAAGCCTTTTAAGCTGAGTACAGTGGTACATGCCTATAGTCCCAGCTACTTGAGAGGCTGAGGCAGAAGAGCCCAGAAGTTTGAGTCCAGCCTGAGCAACATAGTGAGACTGTGTCTCTTAAAAAAAAAAAATAAAAGAGAAAAGAACAAAATCTTAGCAATTGAATAGCAGTGTTTATCATTTACAAATTTCTGGAACATTTATTTGACATAAATATTGAGCCCTGGGGTGGGCAGAATTCTAGGATAACCCCAGTGATCCCCACTCTTGGATAATTCCCTGTCCCTTTGAGTGTGGGTGGAAATATCACTGCTGTGATTATGTTACATTATATGGCAAAAGGGAAATTATCCTGGCTGGGCCTGACGTAACTGGGTGAGCCCTTTAAAAGCAGAGAATTCTCTCTGGTTAGTTATAAAGAGGAAAGTAGAGAGATGTGCTCTAGCAAGCCTGGAAGAAAGCAAGCATCATGTGAATTGCCTAGTGGAACCACATGGCAAGAAACTGGGTAGCCTCTGGGAACTGAGTAATTCTCGGCCAAAAACTAGCAGGAAGATAGGGACATCAGTCCTATAGCTTCAAGGAAATGAATTCTGCCAATAATCAGTAAGCTTAGAAGAGGATCCCCAACGACAGATGAGAACTGCAGCCTTGACCAACATCTTGATTTCAGCTCAGTGAGACTCTAATCCAAGAATCCAGCCACACCAAGCATAGACTTCTGGTTTACAGAAACTGAAAGACAATAAATATGTCTTGTTTTAAACTGCTAAATGTATGATAATTTGTTACATAGCAGTAGAGAATGAATACAAGTCCTTACAGCATTGAAGCACCGTAGTAGGTGATGGGAGTACAGAAATGAATAAATCATAGTCCTTGTCTTTGAGATACTCACTATCTATTAAGGAGCAAGGAGAGACAAGTGAATAAAGCACAGCATAGTGCAATGAGGGCTGGAACTGACACATGTCAAATGGTACCAGGTGGGAAAAGTAGCAGGAATGATTCACAGAAAATTAGACTTAAGCTAGGTCTTGATGGCTGAATAGAAGCAATGGATGGGGATTGGGAGTAAGGAGGGTATTCTACAAGGGAACAGTATATGTAAAATATGAGGGTGTGGAAGGACACAGCATATTCAGGAAATGCTAGGTGGCTTTGTGTGGCTGGAGTAAAGGGGAGGAGAGTGAAGGAGATGAGACTGGCAAGGTAGATTGGGATCCATATTGTGAAGGCCTTAGCTAATGTGCTTTTGGCCCAGCATCAGTAGCCTCCCATGCTTCCTGCCTTTATCCATAGTCAGTCCTTCTGACTCCTGACTACTCAGGGGTGTCTGGCCTCCCTACCCCAGCCTGTTGCAGTCCTTCTTCCTGTCCTTAAGCATGCTGAGCTCAACAGTCCCTTCTAGTAGTCCTGTAGGACAATCCCACTCTCAATACAACCAGGGATGCCACAGACAAAGTCCTCCACTTGTGTGTCTGGGTGTCCTGTGTTCATTCCTGCCTTCTCCAGGCAGGGTGAGAATTGTGTAGCCCCTAGGACCCAGGTTGCTGATTCTTCTCCTAGACCACCAGTTGGAAAGGTTCCAAGAGTTTCTTTCAGTGTCTGCTCAACTAAGATGGAGAAAATCCATTGGTTCCCTTCAAAAAGCATGGCTGGCCAGAAAGCCTAGAGACGTTTGTTCTCTTGGAGCACTTCTTACCTGAGTATAACCATGTGGTTATAGTGTGCAGGAAGTGCAGAGACTAAAGGTGAAACAGTATTTCAGCAACAAATTTCTGACACTAGAATTTCAAACAAGAATCCCATGATATAGGATGCTCAAACTAAAGTACTGGCTAAGGCACTAAGAAACAATAGATGCTACATTTCAAGGAAATACTAGATCATGTGGAGGATTATTATAGACCTGGGAGAGAGGATCTTTGGAGGAGTTTTTTAAAAATAAGATGTCCTCTCACTAATTTTCTACCAAAGTAGAAAGGTTGGGAGTCACTTCATATCAAGAGGGAGGGGCATAAGTTGGACTCACTGGAAAGCGAATGTATGTCCTTGGGTAAGAAGAACATAGCGGTCTAACTCTCCTGGGAAATCAGGCAAGAGATAGTTTAGCAAGCAGATTTGGCTGTACAGTGAAGGCAGCTGATGCTGTTTCTCTGAGTTTGTCCCAGGGAAGTAAAGTAAGTTTGTGTGTGTGTGTGTGTGTGTGTGTGTGTGTGTGTGTGTGTGTGTCCTCATGGACCAAATATGAACCAAATGTGAGAGGGGACTGGTATGAGGGCACCTTCGTTGCAGGCAGGCCTCAGAAGGGGATACCCAGAGGGAAACACTGGGTTCCGAGGGGCTGAGGGGTCTGCTCGAATGGAGAGCCCATTTGCCCAAATCAGGGAACTGCAGGCAAGACATCGCCAGTAATTGGTACAGTCTCCCAATAACCTGCACAGCCTGTACCAAGTGTGGTCTGCTTTAACTGTTTATTGGGTCCAGAAAGTAGGCCAGTATACAACTCCACCACTGAAATAAGAACATTCTCACCCCTCTCCACTTTTTCTTTCTCCCATAGCAACCCTACAAGGATCAGAAGCTGCCAGGAACAAGGAGAAGACGCTCCCCTTCCTCACCTTCCCACCCCCACATGGCTTCTCAGTCGGGGAAAAGATACAACTTAACTTTAAACCAAGTCTTAAGTTTTGATTATGACATGGGATTAGATGCACCAAAAACAATTTCAAGTGACTGTGGGGCATTCTATTGCCTGAGAATGTTCAAGAGTCCTGATATGACCTGTTGTTTTTATCCTAAACAGTGAAAAATTCATCCACCAAATATATAGGAATAGAGGGAGACAGAAAGATGCTTTCTGAAGGTATCCCATATTTAGAGTATTGGTTACATATACCTAATGTTGGTTTTAACCTATAGCTCTTCAATAAACTTACTCATCAATTCTTATTTCAGAGAGGAATATGGTCATGTGACTAGGAATCCTGCAGATCTTCAGCAAACCCATGGGTCCCAACAGCTGGCAAAATGAAAGGTAGATACCTACAAACATGGCATCTAAAAGGTGGTTTGATTATCCCACTGTCAAGTATCAGTGTTATGTCACCTATTACTGTGATTTTCATGTGATGTTTGTAGCAGCAATTACTTTTCCTTTCTGAAATTATGTTTGCAAAGATCAATTTGTTTTTATATAAAGATTAACTTTGATATAAGAAGCTCATCATTCACCTCCAAAGGAAAAGGTGATACAAGCTTCCTTTTTTTCCCCCTTCAAGCTAATGCCTTATGAAGGAGTGGAATAGTTTGGGACTTCATATTGCTGCTCTAGAATAGTGCCTCTTTCTTCCACATGTCTCTTCATAACATTATGAGCTTACTGGAACACATAGCTCTTTGGCCAGTTTATTGCACGAAACAAGGGTATACTCAGACTGGGGTTTTTTAAATAATGCAGCAATCTCATGGACATCTGACAGTAGGAATCACAATACAGCCAGGCTTCAGAAGTACAATTAAAGAACCACCCAAAACTGAAACATCACCCTTCTCACAGTGCCTTGGCTTATTTTCTTCCTTGTTCTCTCCTGGCTCACAGCTCCCCTGCTTACACACACTATCTGCTTCCTCATAGCTGCAGCCTGCTTATGCCCATCATTACTGCTAACCTTTCTGTTCAGCAATACAGCACCCTGAGCCTCTCAGGCTTCTCTATTCTGAAATCCTAAAAGGAATTTTACTCAGCTTATATTTTACAACCAGGCACCCATGACCTAAGTTGGCTGACCAAATCTATAGAAGGAGCCACCTTTAGGACAGAAGCCTATCCCTGGGCCAACTGGCTATGGAAGCGGTATGCAAATCACAGTCACTGCCCACTGGCAGAGGCCAGAAGCAGGACAGGCAATGACCAGCAACTCTGGCACGCCTCCAAAAAGCTTAAGAATGTGACATTCTACCATACTCAAGAGAAGTCAGGAGGGACACATTGGTAAGTTCACTTATATCCTACTCCATAGGAGTAATAAGGACATGAACCAAAGCAATGGGAGTCAGACAGAAAGAGATATCAGGAGATATTTAGGAGTGAGGTTGACAAAACTTCATGACTGACTGGATGGGTCGGTAGTGATGTGGAGAGGGGAGTAGAGAGAAAGCATGGATTCTGGGATAACTCCCAGTTTTCTTGCTTACACTACTGGGTGAATTCTGATACTTTTTATTCCCTGAGGCAGAGAATGTAAGAGGAAGGAAAAGTTAGTTTTGGGCTGTGCTTGGTGGATGGGAAAGGTAAGACATGGTGAATTCTCCATGCTTGTGGGATATCAAGGTAAAGATAAAAGTTAGAAGTGCAAAACAAAGGTCTGGGGTTAAGGTATACATTTGAGAGCCCACTGAGTATGGTTGGAAATGTGGCCACCTGGCATATAAGGAGAAAAGCAAGCTATTCCCAAACCATGGAGAATACTAATCTTGACCCATGAGAATAGAGGAAGTTGCTAGTGAAGGAAAATGAGAGAGTGGTGGTGGAACTAGGAATGGGAGAAGCTCATCCAATTTACATTACGTGATGCCTTTTGTGATTTGATAGTGGCAGGTATTATTCCAAGCACTGGGGATAAAACAACAAACAAGATAGCCAGGATTCCTACTCTCAGAGTCTTGCATTTTAAGGGAGAGACAGACAATAAAGATATCGTATCAGAGGAAAATAATCATGAAAGTCAGGGAGGAGCTTTTCCCAGAGTAACTGACAGTATCAAATAGCAAGAGAGTTAGGATGAGGACTGAACAGAAGACATCAGATTTGAAAATTAGAAAATCAGTGCTGCTATAGGAAGAATAGTCCCCAAAGATACCCAGGTCCTAATTCCTGGAACCTGTCACTTATATGCATAAAGGACTTTGCAGATTTAAGTTAAGGATCTTGAGATGGGAAAATTATATTGCATTATCTAAGCAGGTCCTAATGTAATCACAGGTGTCTCTATAAGAGGGAGTCAGAAGGAGATTTGACTAGGGTAAAGAGAGTAGGAAATTCGACAATGGAAGCAAAAGGTTGGAGTGATACAAGAAAGCAGCCATGAGCCAAGGAATGTGAATGGCCTCCAGAAGCTAAGAAAAGAAAAAGAAAACAGATTATCCCCTATAGCCTCCCGAAGGAGCAAGCCCTGCTGACACGTTTACTTTAGTTCTGTGAAACTGATTTCTGACTTCTGGCCTATAGAACTATGAGAGAATAAATTTGTGTTGTTTTAAGCCAAGTTTGTGATAATTTGGTACAGCAGCAATAGAAAATGAATACAAATGTTTCCTTGACCTTATTGAGAACAACTTTTGTGGAGAGGGAAGAGGTAAACTAAAAGAAAATTGTGGTGGGATGATAACTGAAAGATACAGAAAAGACAGCAAAGTATCCATTTTTTAGGAAGTTTTTATATATCTCATTTGACCCACTAAGAAACGACATCCAGAAAGGAGCTAAAGACCAGAGGTAATTGATTAGCTCAGCACCCAAAAATGGCAGGCAGTGTTGGGGCAGTACTAGAATGAGGTAGCCGGCCGGGCACGGTGGCTCATGCCTGTAATGCCAGCTCTCAGGGAGGCAAGAGGTGGGAGTATAGCTTGAGCCCAGGAGTTCGAGACCTGCCTGGGCAATATAGCAAGACCCCGTTCTCCAGAAAAAGGAAAAAAAAAAAAAAAAAAGCATAGAATGAGGTAGCCATAACATTCTACCTGGCTTTTGGCTGAATTGTGGGGAGGAGAGTTCAGAGGCCTCAAAAGTGACCCTGACACTGGAGAGTAAACCATAGTAACCCATTATAGTCCACAGATATGCGCACCAGACCCATGACTCTTGTTCACCATAGAGACAGGATACTTTGATGCTGTGACCCAAAATCCTGCACCTGGAACAGATTTGGTACCTCTCTATTGACACAGAAATTCATGTTGAGCATGGAGACATAATCAAGAGAGAATGGCCTCATTCGATCGGTCTTCAGCTTAGGCACTGACATTTTGCATTTTACCTCCTCTCTCAGGTTCAAAGATGACTACCAAAGCTAAACCTCTGAATTCTAAAGTCTACAAGGACATAAAGCTTCAGGGAAAGGGGAAATATTAATATTAATATTAATGTCATACAAAAGAGGAGAAGCAGCACATAGGAGTGCCAGCTAATAGACTAGTAGTAATAAGAAGAATCCAACCATAGGCCTATATTGAGAGTCATGGGCATCCCTTCTTTATGCTGAAATGGTATATTTGAACGGAATTCCTGATGGAAAACTTTCTATCCTTAGAAATACTGTAGGCCAAATATTAATTGGAACTTTTGTTAATGATTTGAGAACACCAAAAAGTTTAGATGATACAAGTTAAAGGCAAATTGAGCCCATGGCCTCATTGTGCTACTTAGAATACCCTGTGACCCAGCTCTCCTCAGAAACCCTGATGGCTTTGTTGCAGCATTGCATTGCACAGAAGACCTCAGTGGTGGTCCTGAGTCCTCACAACAAGGTCAACCCGTGGCCTGGCCACTAAGGCAACAGAGAGGGAAATAAATTTTAGAAAACGCTTCCCTTAAAAATGAGTTAAAATGTACATTTGCATCATGAGACTAGGTTAACTGTCACCTGAGAAAGTCCTATATTCAGAAAGACTTAATCCTGGACCAGGTAAATGAGGCATTTGCTGTATGTTCTTTGTTATGAATTTAATGCTACAAAGAGAAAATGGGCATTGATGCATAATCTGGGTAAAAAAGAGATGTCAGAAGTTGGGAAAGAACTGCCAGAAGAGCTATGTTTTAGGATTTCACTCCACCTTACCCTGTGTTTTCTTGTAAAGATATTCTCAAAATTAGGCCAATTTCACTCTTTTAAGGTCAGAGGAGATTAAGATATTTAGAAATCAGATTGTGGGATTGATTCCCATTGTGATTGCTGACTTTTAGTATCAGCCTTTTGTTCTGCATGGATTCTCTCATCTTGCAAACTAGCAAGACTCCTGAATTTGGCAATGATCCTGCTCTGTGAAGCATTCTCAAGTTAGGGTTCTTATCAATGTCAGATTTCACTAAGCCAGTAATAAAGGAAAGGTTGAGAGAGCAAAGGATGTCACTGAGTTGACACCTAACAGCACAAAACAACTTGTCAGCTGGCAGGACAAGCCAGCATGTTCAGGGTGGTCACAGCCTTTGAGTTGGAAAGATAGTCTTTTAAACATTCTTACCTCACCAAATAACTTTAATAGATAAAATTTAGTTACTCCCTCCCACTTTTGTTCTATTCATTTAAAGCAGTGTTTTTTAAAAATTTATGTATATGTGACTACATGAAAAATACATTACTGTGTTTCTTGATGTTTTATGACCTGTACACAAAGTGAGACCAGCAGATGCCTTCAAGAGAAATAAAGGACACTGCTGTCATTCTAACTAAATTGTCCAGAGGAGGAAAGAAGAGTACAAAAATGATTATGAATACTTAAGAAGAGGCATGACTTTGTCATTGGTGTGGAGCCTATAATTATGTGCAATTCCCTACTTAAGACTTTTTAGTTATGCTGAACATTGAAAAAAAACTAAACAGCGGAGAGGAGAAAAGAAAAGGGGAAATTTAAACATTTAATGGAACACATTCATTAAATGGAGACATCGCTTCACCATAAGGGGGCAGTTAAGGGTTTGGTAGTCCTACTCACTTGCTATTGTCAAATCATTTGTTTTATCATGGATTTGAGATCCTTATAAGTCTTCATTATTATTTTGAATTCAAGAATGATTCCTTCTGCTCACAAAACATGATCACTTTTCATTGATTTTTTTTTTTAATATTCTGACTGGTTTTGCATATCTGGAAAAGATAAATCTTCAAAATTTGGAAATAAATATTTTTCCTCCCTGCCAAATCCATAATATGATCCCTTTCTGTCACTGACAGCACCATCAGATAAGTGGACGTGCCTTGCTTGGTTAGAAGGATGCTGCGATTTTCAGCAGGAACAAGAATGTAGTTACAGACCCAGCCTAAGACATGTTTAGGGCACGTTGTTACAGATTCTTTTTGGTTCTGTTCTAGAGATATCTTCTTAAGTCCCAATTTGACATTAGAAATTCTCATTCAGGGCCAACGTCCCCAGCAAACCAGGTATCCCACAGGCAGGATTCACCTTCAGGACTTGGGAGGAGGCCCTCAAGACGTGGGCTGCAGCAGGAGACACAAAGACAAGAGACTAAAAAAATACAGGGGCTTGGCCTCTTCAGATTCTTGGGATCTTCCTCTCCTCCTCAAACTGGAGCCTGAGTTTACCCCAGAACTGATGCTGAGAACAAATTGGGGAGGGAGAGGCAAATCTGAAGATGTGCAAACCACAAAAAACTGGAGGCATGAGAAACTGAAATCTAGGATTCTGTAATAGCACCAATATTTGTTGTTGTTCCCTTCCATCATTTATAAGTAAAATGTGAAATAAGACAAAGGGAATCAGTTACTCTACCTAAAGCTGTATTTTCTAGTTTTCCCCAGCTTTTATTTTTAAAAATACATATTTTATTTTATTTTATTCTGTCAGCAATCCCGTGATATAAATAGGGCAGGTATTACTATCCTTATTTTTGAGATGAGAACAGTGAGTCCCAGAAAGAGGAAATGACTTTATAAGGTTATGCAGTGAGTCAGACAGCCCAAGGAATAATAAATACCCAGTTCTGCTCTTATTTAATCCAGAACATTTCCCTTCCTGGCTTTAAGCATCCCTTTCCTCCTTCTCCCTTTGGTGGTTCTCTTTTGAACATGATCTCTCACCAACTGTGGATGAGTCCATGTTCAGAGTTGCAGAGAACTGTTGTTTATAGATCCCCCAAGGGGCTATTTTCGTTGCTTACCTGCGAAGCCCCTGTGATGGAAGTCCCTTAGAGGCAGTTGCTGGGATTCTTCTCACCTGAGACTGCTGTAATTAGCTCTGCTAACAACTGTGATCTGCGATTGAACATTGTTCACTGACAGGCACAGATAAGAGCTGCATCTCAGTGAGTGGTGTTCTAAATGGTGTTCTCCACTTGATAAACTCCTGTAAGGCACTTGTCAGGGTCACTGTTCTCAAACTCAGCTAGCAGCAGGCAGTTTCACCGTAACACCTTCCAAAACACACAAAAGAGGTTTTAACAGATCCCCAGGGAGTGCACCGCCATGCACTGGGAGAGACTTTATATTTTGACCTTGCCCAGGATTTGCCTGCCCCTCCTTCTAATGGAAAACATAGGTGTGGCCTTGCATGAGAAAAGGCAGTCTTTGTCTTCCTGATCCTTGAGACGCCAAGGTTTCAGATCTCCCCATAAGAACACTTGTAAGTGAAAGTATAATGGGTGATACGTTCAGACGATGCTTTTCAAAGCCTACACTCTTAATAGAAGCAAAACAAAATACTGCTTATGAACACCTGCTGGTGAGGACCCAGCCAAGAGGCAGTGTGGGCGTTGGATGGGAGGTGTTGCCCTGGCAGTAAATCCAAGTTGCTCACACCAAAGGAAGTGTTTCTAGGGAAGCTATCTGAGCAAGAGGTAAATACTTAGTCATTCGGAATAGTCCATAAATGACGACTGCTTCATCTTCAACAAGGGGAGGTCTGATTGGAAAGTGCTCACAGAATGATTGGATTGCATTTCTGTCTTCAATCCACCTTTGATTCACAATATACATTCCTTTGTTAAAAAATTGAAGAATGTCTGTAATCAAACCCTTGTTAACAGATGTAAAGAGCTACAATTTGCTTGCTGGACATTATTTCAACAAAAGTTTTTTCATTCAAAATAATTTGTCAAAAAAGGACCCATGCCCTTACGTGGTTTCAGATAGTGTGCTGTCCAATTTGTATGCTTTTCCACCTACTCCCCCAGGGCCATCAGGGGGTACGTGAGTTTAATGATTCTACTTCTTAACCATTTCTTAAATCTGCCTCCTTGGTCGGGCGCAGTGGCTCACACCTGTAATCCTAACACTTTGGGAGGCGGGAGGATTGCTTTGAGGTGGGAGGATTGAGGTGGGAGGATTGCTTGAGCCCAGGAGTTCAAGACCACCCTGGGCAACATAGTGCCCTGACTCTACTAAAAAAAAAAAATCTGTCTCCTTGTTTCAGTCCTCACGGCTTTTGCAGTAGTCGAAGGCTTCTTCATCTCTCACCTACACATTGCAATGCCTTTGCCTCCTAAATGGCCTCCCTTACTCACTGCTCTCCTATGCCATCTTCTATCTACCTCATCACCACTTCTAATTATCCTTCCAAATCACAGGTCTGATCATCCACTCACAGACCTATCGTGGCTTTCCATTGCCTACAAAAATGAAAACCAAACCACAGAACTTAGCATGACAGTAAAAGCCCTGCATCTAGCCTCCATCTACTGTATCCTTCATGCATCTTAAACTCTTGTCTATTCCAGATAACTTGCCCTTGCATGAAAGCACCCTCACTTTGAGTGTCTCTTTGAGCATACCTTCCCTCCTTTCATCCACACCATCTTACAAAAATCATCCTTTTTGAGTCAGCTCAAATATCATTTCCTCCAGGAAATTTCCCACGACTTTCTTCCAATCCAAATTAATTAATCTCTCTTTCCTCCAAGTTCATACAGCTCTATCTATCTATCTATCTATCTATCTATCTATCTATCTATCTTCCATTGTCTTTATTAGAGATACAATTTGCATATCATACAATTCACCCATTTAAAGCGTACAATTGAACGGTTTTTAGTATAGTCAACGAAGTTGTGCAGCTGTCACCACAATCAATTTTAGGACATTTCGTCACTCCAAAAAGAAACCCTGTACCCACTAGCAGTCACCCATTTCCTCCATCCTTCCCCATCCCCAGCCCTAGGCAACCATCTGTTTTCTGTCTCTACAGATTTGCCTATTCAAGACATTTCATATAAATGGAATCATACGATATGTGGTCCTTTGTGACTGGTGTCTCTCACTTAACATAGCGTTTTTAAGATCCATCCATGTTGTAGCATGTATCAGTACTACATTCCACTTCATTGTTTAATAATAATAATAATAATAGTTCATTGTATGGGAATACCACGTTTGTGACTGGCTTCTCTCACTTAGCATAGTGTTTTTAAGATCCATCCATATTGTAGCATTATCAGTATACATTCCACTTCATTGTTTGAATAATAATAATACTTCATTGTGTGGGTATACCACATTTATCCATTTATCAGTTGATGGATATTTGAGCTGTTTCCACTTTTTAGCAATTATGAATAATGCCTCATCTAACACTTTGATTATACTTTTTATTATCATATGTGTGGCTTCAGGTTTTTGTTTGGTTGGTTGGTTTTGCCTGTGTCTGTTTTTATCACTTGATTATAAACTTCTGGAAAAAGATCATTATTTTCACTCTGAAATTTCCATACAGCAAGTATTCAATAAGTGTTTGGCAGATGGATGAATGGGCAGATATTATAGGTTCTTACCATGTTGATTATGAAGAAGTACAAAGTATTCAGAATAAAAACACTAAGCACAGTAATAAACCAAGGGTGTGCCAGTAAATTTACCCAGTAAATTATAACTTTCAAAAACTGACGGTTCTTAAATAAACTTTAATCTCTGCACTATTTCCGGGAATTTCACACATGGTTATTACAGTTGATTATTTCAGGGAGGCAGTTCCTCTGCTAATAATAGTTGTGAACTGGCTGGACAGAGGCCTGGAAGACACCAGACTTTCTCTTCTGAATTAACTCCACAGTGTTTTGTTGTTGCTCTTGGCCTGACCGATGTTACTCTTCTAGCCTAGAGTAGTGGTTCTCAGCTCTGACTGAGCATCCAAATCCCCCATGGAGATTTTTCAAGGCATAATTATCTAAATCCCACTGCCCAGATTATGATTCTGTCGGCTGAGTAGGGGTCTATGTGCTCACATGTTCTAAAAACTCTAGAGACATTTCTGATGCATAGCCAGGTTCAAGAATAACTATTTCAAAAGTCACCCACAGGTTAAAAAAAAAAAAAAAAAAAGAGAGAGAATTAATATTATATACCATGTATGAGCACTTTACTCCTGAAGAGTATTTTACTCATTCTGGGATCATACCCATTAATACTACCTAACATTTATAAGGTACTTTTTATTTGGAAAGAGCTTTGTAGTCATATTTTATTAGCTAGGCTTGCATGCTGGGTGACCTTGTACAAATCACATAATCCCTTTGTATCTTAAATTTCCTCATATTGTAAACTGTAATACTGACCTACCCTCAAGGGGTATTGTGGGGACTAATGGAGGACTATGAAGCACTCAGCAAATATAAAAATGTTACATGCATGCTTATTAGACAGGTATGAAGTCCTAGTCACAGCCTTTAAAAATGAAACAAATACCAAAATAAAACGTTTCAACAGTCCTTCCTGCAACCTTCATTATCATCTGTAAGATCCTGTCCTAACACAAAAGTACTGTACAGCAATTCCCCCTTACCACCAAGACTAATAAACAACACAGTCTGCAGTCACAAAGGAAGACAGGGCCAGTGATGGCAGCAGATAAGTACAGCAAACAGCCCTGAAATATAGTTTGCTAACCGTCTCTTATTTATCATTTATAATGCAATTAGAGATTATACCTATAATTACACTCTTCTGAAAAATATTCTTAGAAAACATTTGTGCACATTCACAGTCTTTAAACTGATGCTAACTACCCCCTGTTGATAGTAAGCCTGAAGTTGTTTTCCAGTTTAGTGATGAGTTTTGCTGGTCTTGCAGAGCTACATTTAACCCCTTCTCATGTTCCGCATGTGACTGAAAGAATATGTGATCAAAATGGGACCTGGAGACCTATTTCAAGTTGGGTGTGGGTGAGAATGAAAAGGCAGAGGAGAAATCTCTAACCTGAGAACGAGGGGCAGGTATTGTAAGGATGTTGACCCACGACCAAGAGTTCATTTACACTATATTTTCAGCTTCTTGAAAAAGGGAGGCAGAAAACAAATGTGGTTTTTCCTTGTTGTCATTTTGCTTCGAAAGAGTCACATAATTTAAAGGACCATGTTCATTTTCTGTATTCTTGAAATCAAGGAAAATGTCATGGTGTTTTTAAGACAGGGCAGAAATAAGGTACAATATCCTGGTATAGTGCTTGTTTTCCACATCTTTTAGGTGGGAGCTTTAAAATCTTAGGTGAAACTTAATCATCTTGGCATATTTTTCTTTCTTTCAAACTTCCTAAAAAACAAAAGAAAAAAACAAGCAAATAAACAAACATGGAGAAACATTCAACATTTTATTCACAAATCTCCATGACTTCAGTCGTAAAGGACAGTCTGTTGTGTAGTAAATTTGGGATTTTAAAATGTTCCATTTTGGCCAGGCACGGTGGCTCACGCCTGCAATCCCAGCACTTTGGGAGGCTGAGGCAGGTGGATCACTTGAGGTCAGGAGTTTGAGACCAGCCCGGCCAACATGGTGAAACCCTGTCTCTACAAAAAATACAAAACAACTAGCCATGCGTGGTGGTGGGCGCCTGTAATCCCAACTACTTGGGAGGCTGAGGCAAGAGAATTTCTTGAACCAGGGAAGCAGAGGTTGCAGTGAGCCGAGATCGCACCACTGCACTCCAACCTGGGCAACAAGAGCAAAACTCCATCTCAAATAAATAAATAAATAAATATAAATAAAAATACAAAAATTAGGTGTGGTGGCATACGCCTGTAATCCCAGCTACTTGGGCGGCTGAGGCAGGAGAATTGCTTGAACCAGTGAGCCAAGATCATGCCACTGCACTCCAGCCTGGGCAACAGAGTGAGACCCTGTCTCAAAAGAAAAAAAAAAAGATTTCACTCCTATGTAGTTATTTTTTCTGGAACAACACTGAGCTAAGGTGAGGGGCATGTTATTGATGGGCATCCTGAGTACACTCTCCAGAATCTACACTCGTTCTTTCCATTTGTCGCCATGTAGAAGTCAGGAATCCTACTTTCAAATCTCACATATGTCAGTTATTAGCTACATGATCGTAGGCAAGTCTCAACCTCTAAGTGCATCAATTTTTTAATCCATTAAAGGAGGAATAATATGTATCTCATTAGAGTGACGCGAAGGTTAGAAAAGCTGATGTGTGGAAAAATACCTGTAGACTAAGCACATATTAGCACTAGGTACAGCACATGTTAGAATAATGAGTGAATACGAGAAGTCAGAGATAAGTCCAACCCCCATTGCCCTTGGGCTGAAATCCATGTATTCATGGATTCATCCATGTATTTTGGCTGGGCATTCAGCATCCTGGGAAACCCGCTCCTTTCTACTCTCCTGCCCTTTCCCCACAACGGCCCTGCTGTAGTCAGATATTCTCCAAAACATCTTAAATTTGCCCACCTTCATGTCTGTCATTCCCACTAGCCACACTTCCATTTGCCAAAATTCTACCCATCCCTCATGGGCCCTGAATCCAACTCTCTCCAGGAATCCTAGGGAACTCTCACCCTCTCCTCCTCTGAACCCTGGTCCTTGCTGTCTGAGCACTCTAGGAGGCATAATTCATGAACCGCTTATTGTCTCAGAGACTGCAGGCTCTTGCAAGGTAGAGGCCACATAGACAATATCCATCTCTGTGCACCACCACCACACAGACTTTGGTGCCTTGCCAAGAATAGATGCATGATTGAATGAATGAACAATTTCTCACCCTGCCCCTGGCTTTGCTCTTGGACAAACCACTTTGCCTGTTTCAGTCTCAGTTGCCTCAGCTGTGAACAGAGGATAAATGCACAGATGTACTCCCCAGGTGTGCTGTGAAGAATAAACCAATGACTGAAAAGCAATTTGAAAATGTAAAAACAAATGCTATATATAAATGTTACATAATCAAAATCATTTCCCTCTGTATTATGTTTTATTTGGCTTTATATCTTCAAATCCTTCAAGGGTTTCAGAATTTCACAGGTGTAGTACCATCCGTATTAGCACCTAGATTCTCTTGGGTAATAAACAATTTTGTATATTATAGCTCACGGCTACTTTTCCCTGGCATTCTTACATGTGAATCTGTCATAATTTGGTGTATTCATAATCAGTAATGATACAATTCATTTCTAAGGGATAATCCAGCTTTTTCACTCATTGGCTGGCCAGTTATTGTTCCCATACTGCTGTGTCAAGGGAACTAACTCCCATTAAGTCTAAAATCTAAGTGCCTATCATTAGTTATTGCTGTCATCTCTGTGAAATTGGTCATAAGTACCACTGCAGTTTCCCAGATAGGAAACTAAGATATGGAAGGTTGATGACGTGCCCAAGGTATCAGAATGAATACATTGCAAAGCTAGTATTAGAATCTGCAGCTTCTGGGCCAGGCACGGTGGCTCACACTTGTAATCCCAGCATTTTGGGAGGCCAAGGTAGGTGGATCACTTGAGGTCAGGAGCTCAAGACCAGCCTGACCAACATGGCGAAACCCTGTCTCTACTGAAAATACAAAAATTAGCTGGGCCTGGCGGCATGTGCCTGTTGTCCCAGCTACTTAGGAGGCTGAGACAGGAGAATCGCTTGAACCAGGGAGACAGAGGTTGTAGTGAGCTAAGATCGCACCACTGCACTCCAGCGTTAGTGACAGAGCAAGACTCTGTCTCAAAAAAAAAAAAAAAAAAAAAACGAATCTCCAGCTTTGATTGCATTGATTGCATTTCTTTGCTAAGATCTTTAGCTCAACCTCTTTAAATTGTGAACAACTTTCTCAGTAAATATATGTTGAGAGAGGTGGTAGGAGCCAGGGAGAGGAAAAAAATACTATCCATGTAAGTAAAATTTTCCTCAACTCTAGGTCTGCTTCTACAATTCTTCCTGTTCTGGTAACTCATTCCTATTACACCTTCAAAAACTTTAGGTAACCAAAACTTTTAGAAGCTGTATTCCTCCTTAAAGAATAAAGATGGTTTCCTCTCATTTCCACTTAAATACTGAAAGGACAATAATCTAATGACATTAAAATAAATGGGCTGGGCGTGATGGCTCACACCTATAATCCCAGCACTTTGGGAGGTTGAGGTGGGCAGATGACTTGAGGCCAGGAGTTGGAAACCAGCCTGACCAACATGGCAAAACCCCGTCTCTACTATAAATACAAAAATGAGCCAGGCGTGGTGGCCCACGCCTGTACTCCCAGGTACTCGGGTGGCTGAGGCAAAGGAATCACCTGAACTTGGGAGGTGGAGGTTGTAGTGAGCCAAGATTGCACCACTGCACTCCAGCCTGGGTGACAGAGTGTGAGTCTGAGAACGAAAGAGAGAAAGAGGGAAAGAGAGAGAGAGAGAGACAGGAAGGGAGGGAGGAAAGGGAAGGAAGGAGGAAATTGCACATGTAAATGGAAAGAAAAATGTAAATTGCACATGTAAATAGGAATTGTTCATACCACACTATTTTCCCATCTCAACATCATTTTCATCTCCTTTTTAGCAGGCAGTACTACTGTAAATGCAATGCATTTGCAGTGCTTCATAACCATTGTCATGATGTCCCCTTTATGCAGCTACACATAGTGGGCCAATTCTGCCACTACTGTTTTATGGCCAAAGAAGGAAGAGATAACAAAGGATGAGTGACTGCCAGGAGCACCCACCACAGCAGCTGTTAAGATTAGAACCCATGGCTCCTACCAATCACATCCTATTGAAATTTAGGGGATTCTAAAATACTGTTTTAGTGTCATAAAGGAGTGACAGTGCCTGAAGACAATCTTACCATCCACAAAAGAACAAGCTTTGCTTCCATGGTCCCACCTGAATCTTCTCATTCCCAAGCCATTCCGTAAATTTCTTCATCTCTTTGAGTAAAAGAAATTTTCTTTCACAAAATAGATTGGGACTAAATAAGTGACTTCTGCGTTCAGATTTTGATGGTTCTCTGTTTGTTCCATACAGATAGTGTAAGCATGGGTTATTGGAGTAGTAAGAGATCTCATTTTCCCTTGTAGAATATGGGGATGGCCCAAACTCAAGAGATTGTTAGGGGCTCTTGTTGAAAATCAATTACAACAAAAGATGGTATGGAAATATGAATATAGTCCGAATATGCTGTCTTTTCCATGTCTTCTGGTCTACAAGGGAAAATGAGACCTATTACTTGTCCAAGAACCCATGGATGATCTTGTCTGTCTGAAACAAACAGAAAACCTTGGAAATCAGGACATGAAAGTCACCTAATTCTAACTTGTTTCATGACAGGACATTTCCTTTATTTCCATTTTTCATCACTTAATGTAAATACTAAAGTAAGTACAGTCATGACCTAGTGTTTGGCTCCTATTCCCGAAATGATTTTAAAAATAATAATCAGCATCTATGAAAACCTTCACAGGGTACTAATATGATAAGCACTGTTGGCAAATGTTTTCTCTAGTTATATCCTGAAGTGTGGTAGGAAAAAAAATCCAAGGAAGTATATTTCTTCCATGAGCATTTCCTGATAATTCTAGTCAAAGATGACGTTTCATGGCAGCCTCCGTGAAAGCAAACAGAAGAGCACAATTTTAAAAACACATCAAAGTGGAGTTCTGCTGGAATCAGGTTGGGAGTCAAGTCTTCTCTCTCTTTGGCCTTCTCTCCTGTAAGGCACCTCCAGCCATGTCCTTGCCCAATCCAGACCTGGGCAGAAACCTGGTGAATATTCCATTCATGTGGTCTACATCTAATACTTTATGGGCAAAGGCCATTCTCCTAGGCCAGTCAGCAGCATGCTAAGGAACCTCTGGAATTGAGTCAGATGGTCTTCCTTGCCTGTAGCAGTCCTTTGGTCCACAAGATAGAAAATAAAGAACTTAAGGCTGGGCGCAGTGGCTCACGCCTCTAATCCCAGCACTTTGGGAGGCCGAGGCGGGCGGATCACAAGGTCAGGAGATCGAGACCATCCTGATTAACACGGTGAAACCCCGTCTCTACTGAAAATACGAAAAATTAGCCGGGCGTAGTGGCGGGCGCCTGTAGTCCCAGCTACTTGGGAGGCTGAGGCAGGAGAATGGCGTGAACCCAGGAGGCGGAGCTTGCAGTGAGCCAAGCCATAGCACTCCAGCCTGGGCGACAGAGTGAGACTCTGCCTCAAAAAAAAAAGAAAAGAAAAGAAAGAACTTAAATATGGACAATGTTTGCATTACTGAGCAATTTTTCAGGGTCTGCAAAGGGCTATCCCTGCCCTAGTCTCCTGCCCTTCTGACAACCTTCCTATGGACCTTTTCCCATTGAGAAATGGAGCTGAGGAGACAGAATTGAAACTCAAACCAGGCCAGAGCTCACCTAAGAGGGGCCATTTCACTCCTTTTCAGCCACCAGCCCTTTACATTCCTTCTCCCTGGTGACCTCATCAGAACCTTCTCATGAGAGGTCAGCTATGATGCAAGACCTTATAGAGGCCAGATGGCATTGAAATAACACCTTGCAGCTCCCTTACATGTGAATAATTGCCCATACTGAGAGACTAAAACCCTTAGGACTTCTGGGACCTGAATGAGGCAATGGTCTGAAGTGGGCTTGCGCTGGAAGCAAGACGTAAGTGGTGAAGGTGAGTATCAGGGCAGCAGGTTGACCCCTTTCTTGTTATGAGCATGCATTCCTTCATTCTTACTAATACGGGTTAGGTGCCTACCCATGGCAAGAGCAGTTCTAGGCAGGGAGAGGCCCCTACCCACCCACAGCTGACGGTCTAGGGCTTGTTTACATTCTAGGTTTCAGCGGGAAAGCAAGAACACCCAACTCCCTGCTTTTGATTCTATGTTAGTAGCTCAGCGCGCCTGTGCGAGCACGTGCTGCAGCCAGGGTAGGGGCTCAGAAACTGGTTGACAAGATGAGCAGTGGGGTCCTAGGGGGTTGGGCGGGAAGGGCCCACAAGGCCATATTCCAGGCTGTTCGGCTGCGAGTGACCCCTGAGAGGTCGGGATCTCCGAGCTCGTCCGATGTCTCCATCCCAGCCAGGAGCTTGCGAAGGGGAAGGAGGGCGGAAGCAGAGTGGGACAGATGTGGTTCGTTCTGGGGCTTCCTGTCCACGAAGATGGATAATTCTAGCGACCCGCCTGGGATTTTGGAATCCTGGCGGACCCAAAAGACAGCAGAAGTCACCGCAGAGGATGCCACCCCGCACGGCAGCCCGCCCAGAGCGACGGTCTCACAGGTTCCGGCGCCGTCGAGCGCCCAAGCCTCCTGTTGGCCGCCAGCTGTGTCCGCGACGCGCTGGGTCGGGAGGAGGAGACCCGAGGCGCCGGTAAGTCCCCCGCTGCAGGTGGCCCGGAGGGCAGGGGTGAGGACGGGGACGTGTACTGAACTTTGGGAGGTTTGCGGGGCTGGAGTTTTGTTTCAGAGATAGCCAGATCGAGATCAGAACGTTTTCCAGAGAGCCCAGGTTTCCACTTGTGGCTGGGCGACCCGGTCCGGAATTCATCCTTTCTCGGCCCTCAGCTTCCTCCGGGCGGGGTTCCGATGGGGCAGCTAAGTTCCGCGCCTCCTGCCGGTGCCAGATACTGGCGTGTCGACCCGCGCTGCGGTTGGCTTCTTGCTCCACAGCGCTATGCGCGCGGCGGCTCCGAGGGCTCCTGGTCTCTCTCAGCCAACGGCCTTCTGGGGCCGCCGCCTCCCTCTAGAGCTGCTCGGGTCCCATTGCAGAGAGTCCCGCAGCGCCCGCCGGCAGCCACGGCACTTCGCAATAACCAACTTCCCCGCCGCCGGCGCGTCCCGCCAGCCTGCCCTCGGCCGCAGGCGACTGGACGGCGGTTACGGGGCGGTCCCAGCGCCACCACGACTGGCTGTCGGCTCCGCCAGTCATGGGCTGATGACGCCCCGGGGCTGGCTCCGCCCCTAGCGGCAGCCCCGCCTCCCCTCCAGAGCCTGGTCGGCTTAGCCCTGCTTTCCGCCTCACTCGTTGAGCAGGTCCGTGAATTGTCAGCGCGCTGTGGGCGACTGTGTGGCCGCGGCGGCCGCCAGGCTTGCCGCACTCCCCCTGAGGTGCCCGCCGGAACCAATGTGCCCTGGTCCACTGGGCCGTGAGCAGCCACCGACTGGGGGCAACTTGGCACTTAGAACCGCAGCAGGGACGTCGGTTTGCTATCGGGACTCGGCGAGGACGGTGAGTGGCCGCGCGCCGGGCTAGCGGCTCCTCTCGGCGCGGTTCGGCGGCGGCGAGAGGGGACGGGACGCGTCCTGGCGCTCGGCGGTCCGTTCGTCCGAGCGTGACCGCTGTGGGGAGGTCAGGGCTGGGCGGGATTTACTCCGTGCCAATATCCCCACTCCCGAACTTCTTCTTGTCAAAGCATCCCAACTCCGCCCGGGACGCGGTTCCAGTCCGCACCAACTTGGCGTAATTGACATGGGTAGGTGGGGCCGGGACGCGTCCCCTGCCCCTCTGCGGCAACGACATGGAGCGCTGGGGCGGCCTCCGCGCCCGCGGCGTGCGGACCGCGGTTCCTGAAAAATTACCCGCGCTGTGCGGTACGGTAAGACCCGGCGTCCGCGTCTGGATCTCAAGGCTGAGCGAGCGCTCATCGGGCTCAAGGTGGGTCTCAGCGCCAGAGAACTGGAGTACCAGCCGGGTTCTGTAGCGGGGGCTTCAGTGCTCTGCAGCTACTGAGAGGAATTGAGAGCACTGCTGGGCTTTGAACTTTCTAAAGTAATTGCTTTCTATTAGCACTTGAATCCATGACCCTCCTGAGGTGCTCGGACCTCCACATCCACCCGCAAGGGGTGTCCGAAGGACTTCGTTAGGACCAGGCGGGAGCTGCTGTCGGTTCTGGTGCCCAGTGCCTTGGAGAATCCTAGAGGCTGCGAAAGGGATTGCCAGCCTGGTCGGTTGGTGTTTGTTTGAGCACCTGCGTGTTTAAGTGATGAAGTTGAGTCAGGAATTGACAGCAGAGAACTCAAGGTTAAACCTGACACTCCGTTTGTGACTCGGTCTGGGTTAGATTGTTTTCCCCCCTTAATGGTAAGGGGGTAAAAGCAGCTTGTTTTTCTGAGACCAACTACATGCATGTAGTTTATATTATGTGCGGAATAAACAGAATTCAATACGATATTTTCTTACAATTCTTATTTGACATGAATAAGAGCTTTTGAAAATACTAGACAGAAACAGGTCCAGAATTTGGGGATGTTTAGACCTTTGAAAATACATGAAAATGTTGAGATATATAGTTCTGTATGTGTATATGAAGATGTAGATGCGCATATACACACATACATACGTGTATATGTGTGAGTGTGTGTATATATAAAATTAAAAGGTGAATGAGGTAAATATATGAAGGGGAAATTCAGCCTTGAACTTCCCTTGGGTCACAGAGATGGATCCTCTGAGCTGTGGGGTGTTAGTGAGTGTGTATGCGTAAGCATGTCTGCATCTGCCTGGTCTGTCTGGGTCAGAGTATGTCCATGAACTTTACGAGCGTTCAGTTCAATACCACTCAGTGCAGAATCCGCGTTCCTGTTTTACAGCCCAGCAGCCGCCAGCCGGCCCATCTGTTAAAACATAACATGTACACTTCAGTCCGACCACTGGGGTGGAGCCTGGGTAGGGGGCAACTCTTAGCAGAAACAACATGCTACAAACAAAGCCTGCCTCTCAAGTTCTATTTTCATTCAATATTTGGCCTGAACTTGAAGTTTTGGTGAGGGAGAAGGAAGTGTTTGTCTCTAGAAATGGCAAACTGCATTTTGTGAAATAATTATAGCCACGGCTTGGGGAGGGGGAGCTTGTAGGAGAGAAAAAAAAATCCCTCCAGAAATGTGGTGCTTGTCACATCACCATGCAACACGGGTTTACAGCTTTGCAGTATGGCATGTATATCAGAAACTGTTTGCTTTTGCTTGTTAAAATAATGCATTAAAACTGAATCATTTTGCACCAAAAAAAAAAAAAAACCTACCTTAATAGAAGTAAACAGAGCTTTATTGCAGAGGCTATAATTAAGACTGCCTTGGTATTTCTAATGAAACATACTTTTAGGAATTTATAACCTGGACATATATTCATAGTCAGTCTAATCACTAGTTGCAATGATTCACAATTTATAGTTTTAAAATAATAAAAAGGCTTTATCACAAAAATTCTGATGACTAAAAGGGTATGGGAGGAGTATAATAGCTTAATAAGTTCTTGCAGCCAAGTGACTGATACTTTAAAAAACAATAAATTCCTTTAATAGCACAATTACTTTAGTGACAAAATAAAGGCAGTATTTTTGAGAAGCATAGTTCATATTTTTCCCAATAATTTTATGCTCATAATTACATTTCAATAATGGTGTTCATTATATATGGGCGGAATAAACTGAATGGTTTTTAAGGGCTTATCACAAGAAGTATTGTTTTCAATTTTATGGTATATAAACATTTTGGGGAAAACATGCAAAACACTAATCTGTGAGTGTCTTTAAATTTCTAATGGACAATGTAGACATAATAATTTTCCCACCTTGATATGAATCATCCAAATTAACTAGGCTGTTTCTTAGAAATTCAGTTCTTGGGCAGGACTTCAGTCCCAGGGTTTCAATTTAGGAGTCTGGGATGGACCTTAGGAATCTGCATTTTCACAGGCACCCGCAAGTGATTCTGATGCCAGGGATCCCTTCACTGTACTTTGAGAAACACTGGAATTGTGTTAATGACATAAAAGAACAGTTATAGTCTGTGAGTTGATTTAACAAATAATTGTTGAGAAATGTCCAGGTGGCATTTACTGGCCTTGTGAAATTTATAGGTAATGCATTAACTCTCTGTCTTCAACAATGGACCCCTTTTGTCTTACATCTGAAAGTGTTTTGGAATCCTCAGCTATCCCTATTCCAGGTTGGCCCTGATTCTAAGGAAGTCTGCCTGATGAAACAAGACCTGATGAATTTAAGACCCACCCCACAAACCCCAGTCTTAGTTCCTTCACCCCCCACTCTGAGTTCGGTGGGGTCCTGGGATGCTCTGGGGTGACTTTGCCAGTCCTAATTCACATGGTTGAGCATTTCCTCCTGCAAGGTAGAATCCTTATCTTCATGAGGCACCCTTTTTCTCTTTAAAAGCTGTTCTAGAACAAAGCCCAGCACCTCAGCTGGGCTACTACAGACTATATGAGGTCAATGATCGCCTTGGGAAGCTGTGACTATTTTGCTTGTGGCCAGGAAGAGTGTCCCAGGCCACCCACCCAGAGGCCCAGAGATTCTTACTTTCTGAAAGTCACCTTAGGAGTATTTTGAGCTGCCCAATTAATTGGGTAAATAGATTTTCTCATTGTCACAGAGATGTGGGTTGAGAATTGTTTGCTACCTCCCCTTTCACTGAGAGCACTGTGAATTTTTATTAGTTATTGCCAATTAGTTTTTTATTTATCATTTGATACTGACATTTGGATTCTGTTCTCCCATTTCAGACTGGCATAATTCTCCATTTAAGACTACTAAATAAGGTTTGAAAGAGAAAGGATCTATCAGAAGTTACCCTTCCCTCTTTCTACCATCCAAGTAGCTAAAAAAACAAATGACTTCTTTCAGAGGTGAGAAGTATCCTGATAACAAAAGGATGTGTATAGGCCAGGGTATTAAACTTGGATTGTTCCAGACCACTGGATCGTCACTGGAACTTTTACAGAGTAATTTCTGTTTAAAGAAGCACTTGGCAGGCATGTTGATAGGTCACTTACCTTAACAATCCTTTGAGGACAATGATTTTTTTCCACTTTGTTACAGATGAGCAAACTGCAGCTACAAAAGGATAATATTTAGATCTTGTCTTTCACATTCAAAGATGACACCAATAACTGAGAAGTTGGCCTTGCAACTTAAATTGTTTTGATTTAGGATTGTGGTGATATGATAGGGTTATGCTTAGTCGTTCATATCATCTACAATTTTTTAACCTTTTTCTTCAAATTGTTTCTTATATTGAATGTGACCTTGTAGTAGTTTTCTTTATAAAGTTAACTACCATATATAATAATTAGTTCAATGACCCTGACCTTAACCAGACAGTCTTGACCCAGAGAGGCAAATAATTTGCTAAAAGTCCCAGATTACAAAAGCGGCAAAGCCTACGTATAGAATCCTTTAGACATGTGTTTTAGCCCTGTGCTGTTTTGTCTGTTGTCATGTTAAGCTGCTAATGTTTTCACTCTGGCAAAATAGGGTTGCTTTTATTTGCCTAGCTTCTGTGTGATTGGATAGACTTAGAAAAATGGAAAAGCCTAAAATATACTATCCACAGCCCCTGATCATACAATGGGACTGATTTCTGCCCAGTTACAAAAACTATAGTAGAATGCTGCTTTTCTTGAAACTGGGCCATAGGTCATTGCAAGCTTCTAAGCAACAATTCTATTATAACTTTTTTTTTTTTTTAGCTATGGCATTCTTCTGGCATCTAACTTTCCTTTGACAAGTTCTTTTCAAGTTTTTTATGCTTCTTTTCTTACCCTTATCCCCATAGCAAAATCTCCTTGTAAAAAATTCACTTTTTAAATCAGTCTGCCCTCTTAACATCTCCCAGTTCTTCCATTTTAGCCATTTTACCATTTCTCCTCCGAAATGCCCCCTTAAGTTCCCAACCTTCACTTTAGCTTTTTGGGTCTAGTAATATCCTCTAATATACGACAGTCATTGAGCTACAGAAGTTTCACAACAGCTTAAGCTTGTGGATTTAATGATAGCAGTAGTAAGAAGAAAGAAAAAGATGAAGGATAATACTGAAGTCATGTTGATATGTGTGTCATATTAGATATTCCCAGCTTACAGTGTCAGTGGGGAAATTTAAGATTCAGATGAATGAAGTGACAGATGCACTCATCTGTGGCCTCACAGACACTCTCCTGATACAAGCTGAAAAATATAACTGAAGACAGCATCCTGGGTTACAGAAGGAAAACAAATGTTAAGCTCTGAGAAAAGAACTGGGCAAAAAGTGAAGGGTCAGGGGTGGGGTGGGTAGGATGGTGGAAAAGAAATACCTCCAGTAAAATGCCAGACAGGGTGGTAAGAAATTTATAGAGGTGCAGACGGTTTGGGGTTTCTTGGGGGCATTGATTCTGTTTTATATTGTCCTCACAACCTGCTCACCCTGCTTGCTTTAAATAATTTATTATAGCAGCAGGCCTTCCCCTGGTTAGTTTCTTTCTTTTTTTTTTTTTTTTTAATAACTTTTTCCTTCTCATCTCTGGGTCTAATCAGAGGCATATATAATAGTGTGGCTGCCCTGGAGTACTTAGGAAAATCTGTGATCAATATCACTATATTATAAACCTATGGCTGTTTTGTTCTATTTTGCAATGTTTTCTTCCCTGTTATATTAACTCAGTATCTGTGTTTTAAACAATATTTTATTAATCTCTGCACAATGTTACTTCTTGGCTTATTCCTTTTGGCTGGAACTATCTTTTGAGTAATCCGTCATTGGACCACCATTGATCTAATGATGTATTTATTGCTCACTGTTGCAGTACTGGCAAGAAACCTAGTGCGGTTCTAAAAATTTGATTAAAAAGAAATCAAGTTTTTGCAATGCGTAGCCATCCAACTATGTTAGGAGCTGCCGAGTATATTTTATGCTAAAATATAAACATATTTCAAGTGAGCAAAATGTGCTGGTTTTGAAGGCTTTTAAAACTTTTTGCTGTGAAATCATAGAACAACAAGAGAACTCATAATTGGGAAAATTATGAGTACACTCCCCCACCCCTGCCAAAGGTAAGATGTGGTACTTTTTCAGATTATACCCTTGAACACTAAAATAGATAGACTTATCTTTTTAATTGACAATAATGAAAACAGTGGTGATAAGAACTAGCTCCCAGTCCTTCAGTGATATTTCAGGTAATCTTTACGAATGAAAGTGAGCTGAAATTAATTAACAAATACTAATTGAGTACCTATCATGGGTAGTACTTCTCTACTTAGCCAATTCAGGATTCAGTTCAAATATTAATGCCTTTGGGAAGCTTTTCCCTGTCCCCGTTTGACCTGATGTCTTCTTCAGGCAGAACCCTTATCTGCTGTATTCTCCCTCTTGGAGCCCCTTGAGGCAAGGGACCACACTTTTCATCTTGTAGCTTCTCAAGCAAGGTTACTCAAGAAAGAGTTGCTGGGTGTGCTAGAGGCTACAAAGAATTACAAGTGAACATTTACAAGGCCTTAAAAGGATATGCATAAAGATAGTTCACCAAAAGTTTGAATGGTAGCAGTAAGTGAATCCTAGTGTTCAACTGTCAACTTTAGCAGTGATCTCAGCACTTCATAGAATTATTATATCATCCATTCCTACTCCATCCATCTCCAAAGTCCCTCTGTTTCATTTCTACCTTGCCTCCTCCTCTCACTACCTTCCTATGTGTCTTCTCTAAGGATGTCTTCAACTCCCACCCTAGGCTAGGTCATCTCCCCTGATTTCTCTTTTGTTCCCATACCCCTTGTCATATCTTGAAAAGGCAGCTGACTCATGAGTCCTACTTTGAAACTTGGGACAGCTTCACTGTAATGTCATTTGAAGTTGAAAATGGCTTGGTTCCTTTTGTCATCCAATGCAGGTGACTAAGCTTTGGCTGTGGGAGGTTTAGGGGCCTTTGAAGAGCAAAATGGTGCTTGACCTGGAGGCTGCTAATGTCTGAAGTTCAGCACGAAGGGGAAGCTTGACATTTGTTGAGGGAACCTTTTTTTATTTTTTATTTTTATTTATTTATTTATTTATTTATTTATTTATTTATTTATTTATTTTTTGAGACAGAATCTCGCTATGTCACCCAGGCTAGAGTGCAGCGGCGCAATCTCAGCTCACTGCAACCTCCACCTCCTGGTTCAAGTGATTCTCCTGCCTCAGCCTTCCGAGTAGCTGGGATTACACGCATGCACCACCACACCTGGCTAATTTTTGTATTTTTTAGTAGAAATCGGGTTTCGCCATGTTGGCCAGGCTAGTCTTGAACTCCTGACCTCAAGTGATCTGCCCACCTCAGCTTCCCAAAGTGCTGGGGTTACAGGTGTGAGCCACCATGCCCAGCCTGAGGGAAACTTTTTAAAAAAAATAATTCCAGCAATTTTTTATTTTATAAACTAATTTTTATAATACAGTTGACCCTTGAACAACTGTACAGGTTTGAACTGTACAGGTCCACTTATATAAGCAGATCAAAAATACAGTATTGGCAGGGTTTGAAAGCCACATATAGGGAGGACAGAGTTTTTATATGTACATGGATTCCTCAGGACCAAATAGGGGACTTATATTGGTGGATTTCATTATATATGGATGTCCTGCAACCAGTCCCTCGTGTATACTGAGGGAAGACTGTAGTTTTCATTTATAAATCTCCTTTTGTTTAGAAAGCACCCTCTACATAGTCATGTTTAACACATGGTCTGATGGCTTAGGTAAACACTAGTCCTGGACAATGGGTTACTGAGGTCGTGTACAGACCATGCGTCCATGTGTACAGACCAAGGATCAGCTGAATTAAGCCTAACTACCTGAAGAGGCCATTAGGATAGCCTTTTTCTATTGGATCTTATGGGGCTTTAAATGATTGCAAGAGATCAAGGTCCCCTATTTTCTGTCTCATCTGGGAGATTGAGCCTCACTTAATGCAGGTGCTTTCTTCTCATATCTGCCTGCCAAGAAGAAAATAGAGAATTGAATGGTTAAGCCTAGGAGGTACTTAAATGTTTAAGCCCACATAGAAGATGAGCAACCCCAGATTAGGTCATGAACTCAAATGCTGGTTTCTCTTGGGTCTTGCAAATCAGGAGTACCTGTTTCTGCATATCCTGGGGCTTCTGCTTTTGCCTTTGGATCCGGGGGTTGGGAGGACTCAAGGGACGTTCCAGATGAGAGTGTAGAACCAATTATGTGCGGACCCTTTCTTGCAACTAGTAGATGTTCTCCCTGTGGAAATTTGCTTTGGCATTTTCCCATATCTTCTTTTCAGTGTCCTAACTATTAAATCTTGTTCCTCTTACACTTTGCACATACTGAGGTTCTCAGTCAGAAAGTTCTTACCTTTTGTTTCCCTAATTTCAACTTACTCCTTAATTCAGCCTCCAACTTCCAATACTGTTGTCCTTCCTTTGATATTCTCTTTCCCCATCTTTTCAGGTAAGAACTCCACTTTATAAAAGCTCTGTTACCATCAGTGTCACCATTAATCTTTTCCCTTCGAGAGTAATGCATTTTTGACCATTCTCAAAGGACTTGCTTAGAGCATTCCAATGTGATTTTCCGATGGGATATTACATGCTCTGACAGCCTACACAGTAAAAAAGTGATTAGCCTCACAAAACCTTAGTTCTCACCAACATTGCCCATCCTTGCCAGTGATACCTCCCCCTTATTTGTCTAATTACTCTTACCACCTCCCGCTCACTTATCTATCATTGAGAAACAAGATCATATGGCTCAAATAGCAACACACATATTTATTACAACAAGATGAGGTTTTCTATAAAACAAAAACAAGTATACACAGAATATGGAGAAGGGCAGGCCTACCCTGATTTCTTTAAAAACAGGACATGTGGACTGGTGTGTCTTTTGTTGATAGATTCTTAATTTGTTGTTTTCACTAGCTATGGTCTGTTTGTCTTTTGAGGCTAAGTTATTACTTTTATAGCTAATGTCAACATTTGTCACTTTTTTCATTCCCTTCAGAATTATTGCCAGTGAGTTTCGGGTTTTTCTTCATTTATTTTACTCTATTTTTTGTGTTTTGGGTGATCTACCTAATTAAGTTGTGTTGTTTCTAACCTCTTCATTTATTTTTCTACCACTTTCCTGCCCCTGGCAACATCTCACAGTTAGATACCATCCTTACATTGAATGAATTTCCACTTGCACTGCAAATTAGCAATGAAGACATTAAATGGAATCCCGATAGTGACCGTTTCAAGAGCTAAGGCACCATTTACTATTCTGTTTTAATTATGGTCTCTTAGCAAATTTTCACCAGTTATAATGTTCACCCCATTTTCCAAGTAATGCTTCTCAAATACTGTATGAAATTATGAAATCTGTGTGTATTATATTTTCTGCTCTCTGTTACATGCAAAATTTATAATTCTAAAAATTTCTTGTAGGAAAAATTCTTATTAGACTGGAATGGTTAATTTGGTTTCTTGCCATCCTGCTTTTTGCATGTTGTGAACCACTAGACATTGATGTAATCTTTTATTTGACTTCATTTCTAACCCCCACCTCAGTTCCCCAAGCAATAATCCTACTCCATCCCTTTCCTCCATAGTGTGTGTGTTGGTGGGGGGTGGGTATTAAATGGATATTTTTTCTGGTCCCTAATATTTTCACTTTTTAAAACTCTACATGGCTGAAAAAAAAAGCCAGTGTCAGTTGATGATATCTTAGTCTGTTTGGGTTGCTGTAACAAATAGATCAAGTAACTTATAAATAGCAGAAATTTGTTACTCACAGTTTTGGATGCTGGGAAGTTCAAGATCAAGGTGCCAGCAGATTTGGTGTCTGGGGAGGGCCTTCTTCCCCACAGATGGTGCCTTTTCACCATAACTTCACGTGGCAGAAAGGGCTAGCTAGCTCTCCAGGGTCTCTTTTTATTTTTATTTTATTTTATTATTTTTATTTATTTATTTATTTATTTGAGACAAGGTCTCGCCGTGTTGCCCAGGCTGGAGTAGAGTGGCACAGTCTCGGCTCTGCAGTCTTAACCTCCCGAGCTCAAGCAGTTCTCCCACCATAGCTTCCCGAGTAGCTGTGATCACAAATGCGCGCTACCATGCCCAGCTAATTTCTCCATTTTTTGTAGAGACATGGTTTCACCATGTTGCTCAGTCTGATCATGAACTCCTGAGCTCAAGGGATCTGCCCAACTTGGCCTCCCAAAGTGCTGGGATTACAGGCATGAGCCACCACAACCAGCCTAGGGTCTCTTTTTATAAGGGCACTAATCCCATTCAGGAGGGCTCATAATCAATTCTCAAAGGTCCCACCTTCTAATACTATCACATTGGGGATTAGGATTCAATGTCTTTTTGGGGAGATATAAATATTTAGACCATAACAGATGGTCAAGATTTTTTTCCTCTTTTCTGTTCAGGTAAGTCTACCTCCTTACAACATTGCACCTCTTCTCTGGAGTGCTTCTCCACTTTAATCCTCTTGTCCCTAAACAGTGTGAAGCTGTTTTTGCTTCCTTAACATCTGGCCTGTGCCTGGGATCTGTGATACTCCTATGTGATCTCTATTGAAACTCCTGTAATTGGATAAGAGCTGAGTTGGCTGCTTTATAGCAACAGAAGACCAATGAAAAGTATGCTTTGTTTAGGGAGAAGAACAGATGTCTCAGACAGGTGGGAGGTGAAAGTCAAAGTTATTAAGCACGTAGGGAAAGCCACAGACAGAGATTATTTGGTACTGGCTACTCATGCTAAAGTACCATCTTTCTATTGTGATTTCTAGGGTGTTTCCCCTTGGGCTTTTCTGGGTGACTATGCCAGTGTTGTAAATTAAAAAGCTGTCTCATCTCCTATCCCAGGATTCTTGAGATCACTGGGCTAGAATCAGAGTCCTAGTTCCTGTCCTAGACCTTCTAAGAGACAAAGAAATTAGTGATACTTCCAAATGGAAATGTCCACATGGAAGTAATGTGGTACACTTGATAGTATATCTCCTGCATACAAAACAAAAGACTCCAACTCAAATTGACATAAACAGTAAGGACGTGTATTATCTCATGCGAAAAGTAAGGCAGGTGGCAGGATTGGTTGATTCAGTGGCACAGTGATGTCATCAAGGAAACAGGGTCCTTTCATCTCTCTGCCTCTGTTGTCCTCAGGGACCATTCCAATCTAAGACTGGTTATTTTCTTATTTGCAAGATGGCTTCAGCAGTTTAGATGTTACTTGGAGACAAGACAATATCTACAGCACATAGCTGCCCCCGTTCCAAGATCTCCTTTTGAAGAATATGAAATTATTGCTAAGAAGAATCCCAGAGGACTTCTCAACTCACTGATCAGAACTGCTTTGCATGTCCGTCTGTCAGTGTCACTAACAAAGGACCACCATCATTGCCTGAGGGAGGGAGGAGATGTACTTGAACAAAGTTAGGATTCTGTTAGCAACAAAGAAGTATGTATAGGTATGTTGGGGGATGGGGTAGGGGGGTAGATGTTGGCAGGCAGTGTGTCTACTACTTGTCGTGACTTGGAAAATAACTATGAAATTCTCCTCATTACTATCTGGATACAAAATGGCAAGGCCTAGGCAAGAGAAAAGGCACAATGCAGACTAATTAAGGACAGAGGAATGTGCCAAAATCAATAATTATTCTGAGTAGAACCACAATAAACCCTAATGAACTTGAATGTACTAATTTATATCTATTTGTACTAAATAAGTGTATGATCTTTTCTGAATGAAAAAGATTAAAATAATTTGCTTATTTCTTAATAATTCTATATTTCTGGCATATTATTTTGCAGTATAGGCTATTTGAATATAAAATTTTTTATTAACTTTATATTTCATAGCATTAACAATACTGATAATTACTGATGAATGTAAATGGCCATTATTTATTGAGTACCCTTTTGTAAATTAGGATTTTAGCATCCAAGAGGAGCTAGTAATTTGCTTAGGTCACATAGCTACAAAGTGGCTAAGCTAGGATTAGACTCAGGTTCATCTTGCTCTCCATGGTTTCCCTTTGCTTGGAAGACAATCCCAAGACTACCATGGCTTACAGGGCATTGGGTGATTGGGCCTGCTTATCTTTGTGACCTCATTACTTACCCTCTGGCCCTCACTCAATTTTCCAGCCATACTGGCTTCCATGTTGTTAGTCTAATGAGCCAGTCCCATTCCCACCTCTGGTCCTTTGCATTTGCTGTTCCCTCCACTTGGATCACACATCTTCAGTTTGTATGGTGACATCCTTTCCATTCAGGCCTTTGAATGTCTCCTCTTCATAGGTGCCTCCCAGGACTACCCCATCTCATCTGTTAGGATCCCCTGCACTACCACCAATTTTCTGTTTCTGCCCCATTTTTGTTTCCTTCATGGTACTTGCCATAATCTTTTTTTTATTTTTATTTTATTTATTTGTTTATTTATTTTTTGAGATGAAGTCTCGCTCTGTCACCCAGGCTGGAGTGCACTGTCATGATCTTGGCTCACTGCAACCTCCACCTCCTGGGTTCAAGCGATTCTCCTGCCTCAGCCTCTCTAGCAGCTAGGATTACAGGCGCCCACCACCATACCTGGCTAATTTTTGTATTTTTAGTAGAGATGGGGTTTCACCATGTTGGCCAGGCTGGTCTTATACTCCTGACCTCAGGTGATCTGCCCGCCTTGGTCTCCCAAAGTGCTGGGATTGCAGGCATGAGCTGCCGCACGTGGCTTCACAATCTTATGTAATTTGCTCATTTGTCTACTTGTTTTTATCTGCCTCCCCTACTAGAATATAAACTCCATGAAGGTAGAGACCCTGTTTTGTAAAGCAAATGAACAAATGAGTGAATAAGTTAATGAAGGAATGAATATTTAGAAGTTTTGGCCTCTAATAATCCAGTCTTTATCTTCTACACTAGGAATAAAGTAGGATGCTGGTTGTCATTTGAGCTGAATATATCCCTCTCAGATTTTTTTCCTATAAAATTTAAAAACTAAAAAAAAGTTATTCATTTTGTTTGAGGATGAAAAAAGATACAGATATCAAAGTTCTTTGATATAAGCTTATTATGTCAAGTTTCAAGAGAGCTTAGTGTAGATAGTCCTCGACTTAATGATGGTTTGACTTTTTTCAACTTTATGATGGTACCCATACAACCATTCTGATTTTCACTTTCAGCATAGTATGCAATAAGTTACATGAGATATTCAACACTTTATTGTAAAATAGGCTTTGTATTAGATGAGATTGCCCCATGGTAAGCTAATATAAGTGTTCTGAGCATGTTTGAGATAGGCTAAGCTAAACTATGATGTTCTAGGTGTATTAAAGCATTTTGGTATACGATATTTTCAACTTATGTTCTGTTCATAAAGACATATAAACCCCTTGTAAGTTGAGAAGCATCTGTACAAGAGGGAAGTTTGAGTAATACTCAACTTTAGTTTTTTTAATTGATTGCAGTTTTAAGGACACCATTTTTAATTTGACATATCTTCTAAAAATGAAGATACTTATAAGACTAAATTGCAAACTGGGATAATTCATTTTTTTTTATCATACTTTAAGTTCTAGGGTACATGTGCACAACGTGCAGGTTTGTTACATAGGTATACAAGTGCCATGTTGGTTTGCTGCACCCATCAACTCATCATTTACATTAGGTATTTCTCCTAATGCTATCCCTCCCCAGCCCCCCACCACCTGACAGGCCCCAGTGCGTGATGTTCCCCTCCCTGCGTCCAAGTGTTCTCATTGTTCAATTCACACCTAAGAGTGAGAACATGCGGTGTTTGGTTTTCTATCCTTGTGATAGTTTGCTGAGAATGGTGGTTTCCAGCTTCACCCATGTCCCTGCAAAGGACATGAACTCATCCTTTTTTATGGCTGCATAGTATTCCATGGTGTATATGTGCCACATTTTCTTAATCCAGTCTATCATTGATGGACATTTGGGTTGGTGAATAGTGCCTTTCTATTTGCTATTGTGAATAGTGCCGCAATACATATAGGTGTTCATGTGTCTTAGTAGCATGATTTATAATCCTTTGGGTATATACCCAATAATGGGATCACTGGGTCAAATGGTATTTCTAGTTCTAGATCCTTGAGAAATCGCCACACTGTCTTCCACAGTGGTTGAATTAATTTACACTCCCACCAACAGTGTAAAAGCATTCCTATTTCTCCACATCCTCTCCAGCATCTGTTGTTTCCTGCCTTTTTAATGATCTCCATTCTAACTGGCATGAGATGGTATCTCATTGTGGTTTTGATTGCATTTCTCTGATGACCAGTGATGATGAACATTTTTTCATGTGTCTGTTGGCTACATAAATGTCTTCTTTTGAGAAGTATCTGTTCATATCCTTTGCCCACTTTTTGATGAGGTTGTTTTTTTCTTGTAAATTTGTTTAAGTTCTTTGTAGATTCTGGATATTAGTCCTTTGTCAGATGGGTAGATTGCAAAAATTTTCTCCCATTCTGTAGATTGTGCAGTACAAATTCATTTAAAAAATAAATTTTTTTGTGTACAATACACATAATTTTTCATTTGAACTCATAACAGTAGTTCACCCTTGTCTGCAGGGAATGTGTTCTAAGTCCCACAGTGGATACCTGAAACTATGGTTAGTAATAAAAGCTATATGTACTATGTTTTTTTCCTACATGTATATACTTATGGTAAAGTTTAATTTATAAATTAGGCACAGTAGAGATTAACAACAATAACTAATAATAAAAGTAGAACAATTATAACAATATGCCAGCATCACTACTCTTAGGGCCATTATTAAGTAAAGTAAGGGTTCCTTCGATTCTGGCAACAGTTGATCTGATAATGCAGAGGGCTACTAAGTGACTGACAGGCAGGGAATGTAGACAGCATAGACGTGCTGCACAAGCAGAGGATGCATGTCCAAGTAGGATGGAGTGGGACAGCATGAGATTTCATCATCAGAACGGTGCACAGTTTAAAACTTATGAATTCTTTGTTTCTGGAATTTTCCATTTTATATTTTCGGGCCATGGTTGACCAAGGGTAACTGTAACTGCAGAAAGTGAACCCACAAATAAGTGGGGGGATGTACTGCTGTATCCACTAAAATGATTTATTCTTAGAACTATGTTCTTAGTGATTCTAGGTAATCATGAAGGTACAAGTTGAAAAATAGCTTTACCTCAGATTTTAGTTTGGAAGGGGTTGACAGAAATGAAGCAGAATGCTTTCCTCCAAAGTCCTTTTCTATGGCTTTCAGCTTGGGACCTTCTCCACTAAAGTGTGTGCTTTTGTGTTTTTTTCTTTCCCTGTCATTCTGTGGGTGGTGTCATTTGCCAACTAAATTGTGAGGCATTATTTTCTGGGGCTTGCAGTGTGACTTTCCCATTCAACTGAATAAATAATCATTTAACGTTGGCAAGAACTTCACTTTCCCCTCCTCCCTGCTCATCTTCCCTCGACCTTTCCCCAGGTGATCTCAAAAGCTCTGTTGTCTCTTCACATGGTGTCAGCCTAAACCTACTTGACATTGTTTTCTAGTCCTCTGGTGTTCCCTCTACAGAAAAACTTGTTAGAGTAACTTACTATGAAATATACTTCTGAGCTAAACTTCCCATGTCATATTTTCAAAAGCATATCTGAATTTTATGGTGAGTAAAATACATCCGTATTTGAAAGTAATTTCTCAAATTTATTTATTTTTAACTGACATATAATAATTGTACATATTTATGGGGTACATAGTGATGTTTCAGTACATACAATGTGTAGTGATCAGATCAGGGTAATTATCATATCTATCATCTCAAACATTTATCATTTCTTTGTGTTGGGAACATTTAATATATCTTTTGTAGCTATCTGAAACTATATAATATATCATTGTTAACTATAGTCATTCTGCAGTGCTATAAAACACTACAGTGCTATAAAACTAGAACTTGTTCCACCTACATAGCTGGAATTTTATATCCTTTAACCAATTTCTGCCTATCCCCAACTTCCTCCTACCCTTTCTAACCTCTAGCAATCGCTGTTCTGCTTTTTACTTCTGTGAGATCAAGTGTTTTAGCTTCTGTTATGAGTGAGAACATATGGTGTTTAGCTTTCTGTTCCTGGCTTATTTTACTTAACATAATGTCCTCCATTTCCATCCATGTTGCTGTAAAATTACAGAATTTCATTCTTTTTTAAGGCTGGATAGTATTCCATTGTGTATATATACCACATTTTTTAATCCATTCATCCATTGATGGACACTTAGGTTGATTCCATATTTTGGCTATTGTGAATAGTGCTGTAATAAACATGGGGCTGCAGATATCTCTTCAGTATATTAACTTGCTTTCCTTTGGATAAATTCCCAATTGTGGGATTGCTGGATCGTACAGTAGTTCTGTTTTTAGTTTTTTGAGGAATCTCTATACTGCTGTTGATAATGGCTGTACTAGTTTACATTACCACCAGCAGTGTATAAGATTGTCTTTTTGATAGTAGCCATCGTATCTGGGGTGAGTTATCTCATTGTGGTTTTTATTTGCATTTCTCTATCAGCGATGCTGAGCATTTTTCCATATACCTGTTGGCTCATTTTTAAATTGGATTATTTGATTTTTTGCTATTGAGTTGTTTGAGTTCTCTGTATATTCTGGATATTAATCCCTTATCAGATGAATGCTTTGCAAATATTCTATTCTTCAGGTTATTGGTTCACTTGGTTAATTTTTTTCTTTGCTGTGCAGAAGAATTTTAGTTTTATGTAATCCCATTTACTTATTTTTGCATTAGTTGCCTGTATTTTTGAGTTCTTAATCATAAAATCTTTTCTCAGACCAATGTCCTGAAGCATTTCCTCTATGTTTTCTTCCAGTTGTTTTATAGCTTCAGGTCTTACAATTAGGCCTTTAATCCATTTTGAGTAGATTTTTATATAGGGGCAGAGGTAGGATCTAGTTTCATTCTTCTGCATATGGATATCCATTGCTTTTAGCACCATTTATTGAAGAAACTGTTTTTTCCCCAATGGATGTTCTTGGCACCTTTGTCAAAAATCAGTTGGCCTTATATAGATGGATTCATTAATTTCTGGGTTTTCTGTTTTGTTACATTGGTCTCTATGTGAGAGTAATTTTTAATCTAATTCATCCAGATTGTGTTTATGTTATGCATCAGAGACAAGTCAGAAAAAGAAAGGAAGAGGATGTTATGATGTTGTCTGCATCGTACTTCCCTCTTACGGATCCTGGCAGGGATCCCTTTCCTCCTCACTTAATAACTTGGGTAGATTTGGGTGTATAATTGTGAGAACTCATCAGGATCCAGGTGAAAATGAGACCAGTAATTAAAGGGCTGGGTCAATGTATCATTATTATTTAAGTTAAATGGGTACATGGTCTATGTAAGCTCTTGTCAACTGCCTTTGACAGCAGTTTTCATATACAGTAGATTTAGCCCTGTCTTAACGGAAGCTTTTCTTTTCCTTTCCTTTTAATTTTATTGTTGTTCTTGTTGTTGCTTTCTAAGCTATGTGGGTGAAAAACAGCATGAAGTTATAACAAAATGTATAGCAAAAGCAGTAACAATGAGAAAGAGTCCATGATGGATACACACACATTGCTGGAATATTTCTCAAGTATTTTGGGGAGTGGCTGTGAGGCTTCTTTGGCAGAGGAAAAGTGGAACATGTGCTTTTCCATGTGTGAACACTGTGATTTGAAAGGTCCATTATGATTCACTTCCACTAGAAAGCAACTGCTTTCTAGCTGGTGTAGCCACAGAGTTTTGAAAATTCACTTAAATAGGTGTATTGCAGACTCCTGACATCTGTTTTGGAGATTCAGTTGAGTGTTGGGAATTTGCTTGTTCACAAGTGACATGGAATGAGTTATTCTTATGAGAGTGTTGAACTCTATTCATTTCTTTAAGGTTGTGGATTAAGTCTAACAAGAAAAGACTTAAAATTTTGAACAGTCATTTGCTGTGTTACACACACACATAAATTTGCACTGATTGCATTCTTCTTAATTTCAAAAACTATGAATGACAATTTTACTTTGCCTAGTAAATCAACTTTACTGAGGTACCCTCAGGCATATTTTGTTGTATTGTAAGGCTTTCTTGCTAGGTATTTGCAATCTTATTGTGTACTGTTTTTCAGTGAGCTTTTAGTTTTTGCCCATAGTTTTACCTAACATATCCTGTGTCTCTGTCTTTTTGTGCACTTCTGTTCCATCTCTGAGTATTAGTTTTTGTCTACTCTTTTTATCATTATTAATAAGTTATTTTCACTTCTCTAATGATTTCAAACCTCAATGATACTAGAAGTATTGTTTCCTATCACTTTCAACAAAGGTCATTTGTAGCCAGTTCTTCAAACAAAATAAGTAACTAGGACATGAGTCTTTCACTTTTTGCTAGTTAGTTTTCAATTTACTAGGTACTGACATAATGTGGCATTTTCACAGGTTGCTTTTTTAAAAAAGTGAAAGCTTTGTTTTAATGGTTCATAACTATTATAATGTTTCTAAATGACAGAGCAAAAAAAGAATTACCACAAAATAAGATTAGTGTGGATATCCTGAACTGGAAATCATTTGAAACATTTCATGGCTACATTTTGTGCTAAATATAAAAATAACTGTGTTTCCCATGTGTGAGCATCAAAAGCCCCAGTTGGAAAATCACATGGTATAGCAAGTAGGTCACTATTGATGGTAGAACATGAGACAGGAAATGTCACAGCTAAGATTAGAGGCCCAAGCACTATGTCTCACCACGCTTGCTGCATTGGTCGTCCAAAGAAGTGGAAGGACTCAACAGGGCTGAACTAACTGTAGACCAACTGGAAAATATTAGCCAAGACAACCTTTTAATCGGCCATTCCATTTGTTTCTAGATAACTCACTCTCCCAGTTAGGCAAAAGAATTGAGCTGCTTGGGTTTGCACATTGGCAGACCTCTGAATGCCAATTAAAATGGCAGCTTTTACATTCTAAAAGTATCCATGGGAAGCAATAATCAACTATATACAGTCATAGCTGTAGATTCACCTGGTGTTTGAAATTGTTAACAAGGAATAACCAACCAGTTAAAAATGAATTCTCTTAAAATCTTATTTATCTTCATATTTGAAGGTGTGATAATATAGGGATGTGGGGGAAAACTACACTTTTAGGGAATCAGTTTCCTTTTCCTTTTCTTTCCAGGCAACATGAGGAAGATTTGTTATTTATATGTAGGAATTTTTACCACAGAAGATACCTAATTTTTGCAAACATACTTGCATAGTCTAATCTTTAAGCAAAAGACTAGGAAAAAAAGCAGTGCTCTGCTGCATACCCAAATGAGAGACAATACCTCATTTTTTGGGCTCAGACCAAGATAGAGCCTTGGATTGTGAGCATAGCCATCCCCTCATGCTAGATTGAGCAGTTGAACACATGCCCAAAGAGCTTGAGGTTATTTGGATGAGTAGGTGGAGGCATGCCGCGATGACTGCATTTGGATCAGTCATCGGAGCCTTATTCATTCACTTCCAGCATTAGTCCTTCACAGAAGTATCCTGGCTGATGGATTCAGTGTACCGAGTGGATAGTTTTATTGCTTAAATCTCAGAGATCTTCCTAGGCTTACATTTTCAAAAGTCTTTAATGCAGATTAAAACATTCTATTTTGAACTAGGATTATTTCATGCAGGGTATCACTTTTAAGAGAGGAAGTTAGTAGTATGAAGGCTCCATGGAAAAAGTATTTTTTATTATTTATATTATTTTTGTGCAGTAAAATGTGCATAACATAAAATTTAACATCTTAAATCATTTTTAAATGTACAGTTCAGTGGTAGTAAATACATTCATAATATTGTGCAACCATCACCACCATCCATCTACAGAACTCTTTTCATCTTACAAAACTCCCAAGCTCCTAGCAACCGCCATTCTCCTTGTTGTCTCTGTGATTTTGACTACTCTACCTCATTTTGGTGGAATCATACAGTATTTGTCTTTTGTAGCCAACATTACAGTTGGTATAATGTCCTGAAGGTTTACTCATGTTTTAGTATATGTCAGAATTTCCTACCTTTTTAAGGCTGAATAATATTCCTCAGTGGAAAAAGTATTTTGACAGTATTTTTAGTCTTTATTCCATCTCCAGCTTAAATACAGAGCATAGATTTTCATGCTTGATCCAGGGATAGTGTGTTGGGAAAGGGATTGGAAGCTCGGCTCTCACAGACATTCCTTCAGAATGAACATTCTGGCAGTAAGAGGCCTGTTGGCTTCCAATTGGAGAAAATGCAAGAGATGTGACAGTTGGGCCTGGATGTGCCACTGTGGCCTGGTTCTCGACCCTCACAAAAGTGAGCTGGTTTGTGGGCCATGTAGGGTTAGCTCATTTTCTAGGCTTCTGTCAGGGAATGTGAGTTGACAGAGGTTGGTGGAAACTTGCTGGAAAATATCCAGGAGTGTACAAAATACTTTTTTGCTTTGAAATGAAACAGGTTGATTTTGGTTGTCCTTTATAATTTCCTAAATGTTTGAATAACTAATAAATATCTAAACCTTTATGTGCCTTGTGTAACCCCTTACCACCTTATGAAATTGGTTACCTAATTGTAGTTACTGAAAAGTTCTTTGACCTTCAAAGATTTCTCTATGAAGTCAGTGTAAATGACCGAATGGCCAAGTCTTCCATTCTGCTTCAACCCCACTCAGAACCCTGAGTGGTCTAGGCACTGTCTCTGACTGGAGATGGATGTAGAAAGTCACCAGGAGTCACCAGGTTCCTCTTCTGAGAAAGGAACAGAAAACTGGATCATTTGTATGGACTTGTTCCAATGTTAACACAATATAATTCTATTCATCTTTCCAGTCTGTTTATTATTCCTTCTTGTAGGCAGGGAAATGTAAAGTTGGCATCCAGTTGGTAACTTTTCATTGTAAGGATAATACTCACCAGGTTACTAGTTGGCTGCCTAAGTTGCAATTTTGGCTGTTTCCTTTACCTGTGTTGCATGGAAGAGCCCAACTAAATGTGTCTGATCACACACTCTAAGCAAAAGTCACCAATAGGTTTCATACTTTAATACAAGAAGAAACAAGATTTTGTGGGGGCAGAGTGTTGGCTGGTTGGGGTTGGTAGAATGTGGAGAATCTAGTTTCATGGTAAAATAAAGAGGGGAAATCCCATATGCAAACATGTAACAGGAATCCAGTTGGGATTCACACAGTTAACTCTGTCCCTTTATATAAGAAATACAATACAGGTGCTTATAAACCTGTATGTAAAGAAGTAGCACAAATAAAAATGTCATTTATAAGAGCCGTTTCTCATTTTTGAAAAGGCCAAGTGGAAAGGGTACTATAAATGAGACACAAATAATCCTTTATTATTTTAAGTTCTCTCTGATAATAGAGAATATGGGTGGAATCTCTAACATACAGAAAAACAACCTAGATTGGATATTTTTTCTTGTTTTTGTCAACAAATCTTTTTTCTGAAGAAATAAATACTGAATGACATCAATATTCTGTACACCTACATTTTCTCAAACATAGACATAAGCAATCAATTTAATTTCCCAAGAGCTAATTATCCTTGGTTTTGGGAAGGATTCTGGTTACGAGAATGCTTAACCCCTGAAAGGAATTGGGCTTTGGAATCTCAGGGAATTCCTTATAAGAACAGGAGAGAAGCAGTTTTTGTGGAGGAAATTTGGACAGATTCTGGAGATCATCTTTTGGTCCTGTCTTCCTTTATTTGAAAACCTACCTATGTTATTGTAACTTAGTACCTTAAAAAGATTTTGCTTATAGGTAACCAGATCCTGCTGCTATAAAAATAACACCTCCTCTCTCATCCTTTGAGCTGAAGCTGCAAGGTTAAAAATAAATAAATAAATAAATAAATAAATAAATAAATAAATAAATAAATAAATTTTTTAAAGAGATAACGTCTCCTGAATGTTTATAACTGTCCTTTCAGACTCTTAAAATAGGGTTCGGTCACTGGACCAGGTTGTCTGGCCCGTTGCCTGCCATATGACTTGGTTACCACTGATTGCAGTGGTATACACTGGACTTCCTCAGCTCCTGCACCTCAGGGTGGAAATATGGAAAACCATGTTCAGAGCAAATAACAGGTGATAAAGACTCTAAATTTAGAAAACTTCTACCTTCCACATAATAGAACACAGTTTATTTCTTCTTCCCACACAAAACAGAGCTGTCCAGAACAACAACTATGAAAACACATGACCCCATCGTATCCCTCCCATTTGCAGCTGTTAAGGCTTCCAAATGCAATTTGTGTGTGCTGAATAATTTTGCTGTGAGACAGACTTATTGACGTTACCCAGTTCTCCCAATTCTGAGTGGATTCACCCAGACTCTCTTCTAAGTGACTGCAGAAGAAAACTCACCCCAGTAACCTCACTTGATTCGTCTCTCAGTGAACTTTTGGTTGGAGGGTTTCTCTGGAGCCACTAGGAAAGAAACATGAATTTGGGGATTATCCAGGAGTTCTTCGAGCAATCAAACAATGAGGGCCAGTGTCCTTCCAGCATAACATTCATTAATTTTTCATTTTCAGTTGGAAACGTCACTAGAGATTATCTAGACCAAGGTTTCCAGAGTGGAGTTTGCAAGATAAACCACTGGGGTATGGGAAGAAAATACTACAACTTCAATGCATTTTTTTTATACCCAAAGAATAAGAAAAATTTTTACTAATATTAAATACATGGATTGACATTTGCACCTCCTCTGTTCTTTAGACTAGAAGGCCATGTGTTAAGTAAGATACATGATGTGTTCTGAAGGAGGACTAGGTTTTCCTCAGCATACCGAGCTCAGCTGTGGTTCCCTCATGTCTGTAGCATGTTGCATGTATTTATGTGTGTCCATATATGTATTTGTATAATATATTGCCCATATATTTATATGTATTAACGTTGATTTGCAGAATATTAATTAGTTTTAAATATACTAGCCCTCAGCAACAAAAAGGTCAAGTAGCTTAAAAAGAATTCTGACAAAAGTAGAATAAAAACAAAAACAAAATGTGATTGAAGATGTCATCACTATTTGTGCAAGCTAGCACAAATGAACAATATGAAAATGGAGTTGCTACTTTATCATAAAATAAGCTCTTTGTTAGCCAAATTAGGAATTAAAAACAATAACAATCCAATCAGATCTTATAAGTTAGCCCCCAAATCTCAAAATTGTAGAGATAACTAATTGAAATATAGATTTATACCTACTATCATTAAGAATGAATATATTGGAATGAAGTGTATACTTGGCCTTGAGAAATTTCCTAATGATAATATGAAGATACCACCATTAGAAAAACATGAAGAATAACTTCTATAATTTTTCATCAATGTTTAAATTTACATAAGAATCTTTATAAAACTTTACTAAATTAAATATGTGTTTTGAAACCTCTTTTAAGGTTTTTTTTTTTTTACTTGTATGCAAGTTAAAAAAAATCCATGTATCTTTAGGAAACATTTGTTCTTCCTCCTAAAGCAAGACAAGATAATATGTTGAAAATAACATCTATGTAAAATGAATTTCTTTGTCAGAAAAATGCTGTGGAAGGAATTATAGAAACTGTTGCCAAAATCTTGTTGAAGAAACAAGTATTGTATTAGATCAAATCATGGAGACAAAAGGCTTGTTTTATATTTGGAAGATGTTAGATCTATCTTGCTTGTTACTTTGTTTCGCTGATGAAATATACTAAGAACTTTTTGGTGAGCCACCACCAGAGATCTCTTCACAGACTTTATGAAAATGTTTTATGAAAAATTTAAAAAAAAAAAGAAGTAGTTTTCTCTTAAGAAGCAGCTGTTTCCTTGAGACGGATTCCAGGGTAATGTTACAAGACATAAATTCATTCACTGCATCATTCATAAGCAAGCTAGTGCAACCCGGATGTTAAAACCAGAGGTACACAAAAGGCTGCGGGACGTTACTAATGTTAATTTTATAAAAACAAACCTTTAATATCTTGTACAGTAGAAGCCATATAATACTATGTAGTAAATTGTGAAAGGACCATGAAAATCTTTTGTACCTCACAGAAGTTTGTTTGGTATCTTGTTGAAAAATACTTAATGAAGAACTGTCAAGCTTACAGATAGTTATATTCATCTTTCTCTTTATGAAAAGGAAAGTGTTTCATATTTCATTAACTATTTCTGTGATAATAAGCAACTTCAGTAGTATGCTACCTAGCAGTCATTTTTTAAAATACTAAACGTAATGAATTTGTTCTTTCAAGATAAAGGTGTCATCTTAAGAATAAGAAAGAAAATAACAACTATTTTAAAGAGAACATTGTGAAAAAATGTTTGTAAATGTTTACAGTCTGTGTGAATTTATGGCCTAAAACAATGACAGCCCTTAAAACTCAGCTATGTAAAATAAATTGAACTTAGAACTAGACTTCAAAATTAACATATCACAAATAATTAAAGCGAGATTTTTAAACATAATGAAGCACATTCGGTCACACTGTTCTGGATAAAAATAGTGATTATTTGGTAAGACAAAAAGGATTTGTACTATTAGATGTATTTAAAGAAATTTTTTTTTTTTTTTTTTTTTGACAGAGCCTCACTGTGTCTCCCAGGCTGGAGTCCAGTGGTGCGATCTCGGCTCACTGCAACCTCCGCCTTGCAGGTTCAAGTGATTCTCATACCTCAACATCCCGAGTAGCTGGGATTACAAGTGCATGCCACCATGCCCTGCTAATTTTTGTATTTCTTAGTAGAGATGGGGTTTCACCATGTTGGCCAGGCTGGTCTTGAACTCCTGACCTCAAGTGATCCGCCCGCCTCGGCCTCCCAAAGTGGTGGGATTACAGGCATGAGCCACCACCCTGGCCAAAAATCTTTTAAAGTATGGTTTATTTTATATTTATTTCATGCTTTTGTAATGTTGATGTTTGTTTTATAATGTACCTAATATAGTACATATGTACATATCTACATGTATGTACATAAATGTATGTTAAGTATGCATGAACATGACATGCATACTTAAAAGCTTTTTAGTGTTGGGATTCATGATCTAATAATTTTGAAGATTTCTACTCTAGGCTAAAGATTTTTAAACTTTTTGGGGCAGGGAACAGTCACAGACCCCTTTGAGACAATAAAAGATATATACTCACTTCTCAGAAAAAATGATGCACACATTCTGCTAAATAAAATTTTGCCCAGAATTTGAGGGCAGTCACATGCCTATTGATGGCTGTTGTTATGGACTCTGATAAAACCCCCTGGATGAGGATGTGAATGCCCTAAGGAGTTGTGGGACTTACCCAGGATCACGTGGTAACATAATCTGATCTTTCAATCAAAACTTCCTGGCTGGGTGTGTTGGCTCACACCTGTAATCCCAGCACTTTGGGAGTTCAAGGCGGGTGGATCACTTGACACCAGGAGTTCAAGACCAGCCTGGCCAACATGGTGAAACCCCATCTCTACTAAAAATATAAAAATTAGCTAGGCGTGGTGGTGGGTGCCTGTAATCCCACCTACTCGGAGGCTGAGACAGGAGAATTGCTTGAACCCGGGTGATGGAGGTTGCAGTGAGCTGAGATCGTGCCACTGTATTCCAGCCTGAGTGACAGAGCAAGACTCCATCTCAAAAAAAAAAAAAAAAAAAAAGACTTTCTGAGCATGTATGTCATTCCAGGCTTTGGTCTAGTTACTGAGGATGCAAACATGAGGACGGAACTCTTTTCTGGACTTTCAAGGAGTTTACAAGTCCACTGGGAACTTTAGTATTCAACAAATAATCACAATATGATTTGTGTTTAGGAAAAACTTTTTTTTTTTTTAACTCCAGCATCAGCTGACACCAGCTGTGTGAGGGCATTGTGCTGGACTCCATGGGAAAAACAGAGATGGTAAGGCAACTCGTGTAGTGAATTGGGTCTCAGTTACTTGCTTTCGTGCCCTCTGCTTTTTCTAATATGCCTTTTATATTGCCAAAGAGCACCAATGAAGGCACTCTTCACTGGGGTTTTGCAGCTCTGTTTCCTTCATGTACTAAGTGATGATGTGCATGTAAAGGAAGTTGAGAGAGGGGTCATACTCCTTCCTATGTCTGAGCAAAGTTCTCTCTTTGAGTTTATGTGCATTTACATGTACTTCTTTGCCCATGGGATAAAGACCTGAACTCTTAGCTAAATTGGCAAATAGAAGAAAACAGGGAATAATAAAGGAGGTATGGAATTTCATAAGCTTCATGATCTCCTTCCCCAAAGGCTGAACCTATGTAATGAGGTAGTAGAACAAATTCATGCCAAGTCTGAATTTATTCCTATAAAAAAGAAATGATAGGAATAAAGTAAATTTAAATTCTATTTCTGCCTTCGTCATTAATTGGTAATATTCCTGAAGGTGATACGGAGTTTTTTTCTACAAGTATCAGGCTCTGTGTAAGGGCTAAAAATAAACAGAGCAGCACACGGAAATGGGCAAGCATTATTGATCTGTGTCAGGGCCATTTCCACTTTAATGTTTGCTAAAGGCACAGCCCCGTTTTGCAGCCTATTTATAGGGAGCAGATCATTCATTGCTATATATAGATAATAAAAACAAGGTGGATTGTCAGGTAAATTTTGGTTTCTATTAGGAAATAGGACTAGACGGGCTCTCCTTTGGAATTTGTGAAAGGGCTCATTTGTTCCTGTGGAACAAAGAAAGAGCCATACAGATGGGTGTCTGGAGCTGCCTTGCCCAGGACATGTCCACACCCTGTGTGCCACCTGCAGCTGGTGTCTGCCCTCACTGGCTGCCCCCAGCCTCCCTCAGCCACTCCCCATGCTGCAAGCAGGGGCCAAAACAAACAGGGCCCCTCCCAGAACCCTGCACCCTTCATTGTTCTGTCAAGTTCCAGTTCCCCATTAGTACATACCATGTTTGTGTGCACATGTGTGTGCAAATGTGTCCACATTACATTTGTGCACAACTGTGTACGACAAATGTAACGTTTTTGTGGGATCCTCTCATGACACATAATTCACTATCCACTTTTTGTAAGTTTTTCTCTTCACTCCTCATCTACCAAGGTTGTATACTCCTCTGGCACGATCTCGGCTCACTGCAAGCTCCGCCTCCCGGGTTCGCGCCATTCTCTTGCCTCAGCCTCCCGAGTAGCTGGGATTACAGGCGCCTGCAACCGTGCCCGGCTAATTTTTGTATTTTTAGTAGAGACGGGGTTTCACCGTGTTAGACAGGATGGTCTCCATCTCCTGACCTCGTGATCCGCCCGCTTCGGCCTCCCAAAGTGCTGGGATTACAGGCGTGAGCCACCGCGCCGGCCTTTGAGACGGAGTCTCGCTCTGTCGCCCAGGCTGGAGTGCAGTGGCGCGATCTCGGCTCACTGCAAGCTCCGCCTCCCGGGTTCACGCCTTTCTCCTGCCTCAGCCTCTCCGAGTAGCTGGGACTACAGGCGCCCACCACCACGCCCGGCTAATTTTTTGTATTTTTAGTAGAGACGGGTTTTCACTGTGGTCTTGATCTCCTGACCTCGTGTTCCGCCCGCCTCGGCCTCCCAAAGTGCTGGGATTACAAGCGTGAGCCACCGCGCCCGGCCAAAAGCCTTATTTTTCTAGTTTCACACCGCACTTACCAAGCTTCCACCTCTGAGCTTTTTTTTTTTTCTTTTTTCTTTCTTTCAACTGTCAGTTCAACAAGTGTTTTGTGAATGCTGGGCACCTGCTAGGATCTGGGGCTAATGAGATAAATGACAGAATCTCTGTCCCCCAGTTGCTTAGTCCACTGGGACTTGTGATTGTTGCTTTCCTGTCCTCTCCACTCTGGTTATCGATTGCTCCCTCCAGGCAGTTTCCTGCCAGCGTACACTATTGTAGTAACAGCTAAGTTTTGGCCCGGTAGAAATTCATTTCGTCTTAACTCCTCAATATTGTCTGATTTATGAAAGGAGCTGTGTTTGTAGAAAGGGGGCTCACCCGCCCTGAAAAATGTTCCAAGAAGGGGTTGGAATCTGGGTACGTTAAACATGTCAAAGGGATGCTAATGGCCATCCACTTTCTGAACGTTCTGCAGTGATATTGTTTCACCAGAGGACAAAGTTGTCCAGGCTCTGGAAAATGGCTTGTTGACAGTTTTTCCTCTGATGTGGTGAACTTAGTGCCAATACAGCACTGGAATGCTAACGTAACTAAGCATTTTTAAATCAATGCAGAAAACATACCAACCCTAAGTAACCATGGTAACTGTTTACTCCAGTTTGGGGCTGGTGAAATTGCTTTCCATCTCTGTGCCCATCCCTTCCCTGTAGATCTTTTATATGTGTAAGTTTCTCTGCCCATCCAAATACAACAGACATCAGTTTTTTTCAATGAAAGAGTCACCAAGAATAGTGACAGGCTGGTACATCTTTAACAGTCACAAAACTATGCTGGTTATATATAAGCCAGACTTAAGTGGTAGGAAAGGAACTTGAAAACTAACAAATATTTTGTAAAAAACCCTCATCTCTACTGCTTAGTGTTCTGATAATCACCAGACAAATGTTATCAGGGCTGAGATAATATGAGATCTTTTCCCTTCAAGGCCTTGCTGTTTGGCTGGAATTCTTAACTGGTTTCATCACTCGTGATAGGGTTAACGTCTTCCTGGTGGCTGGATATTGTTGGTTTCCCAGCTTCATTCTTTAAATCCTTTTGCGCCATGTCATTCTTCACTAAGTCTACTCAGTTCATCCTTGGTCTTACTCTGTTTCTCATTCCATATCCTCCAGAATGTGTCACTATGTGTAGTGTCCATTCTGTAGTGTTCTAGTGGCATGCATCCAAATGATTACAGCTGTCTTCCTTGAGTCTCCTATAAAGTAATTCATGCTTGACTTTTCAGAGTGTAGTGATGCCATGAGATCACTGACATTACAAATCCAAATTATTCCTCATCCTCCTGCATGTTATATCAGTGGCCAGCACTCAAGGACTTACTGGCGGGACCAAATTCACTGTGACTTACTTGCATCATGTGGGCACCCTGATGACTGTCTGCTATGTGGAGAATAGATTGTACAGGGACAAAAGTGGAAGCAAGGCAACCCATTAGGAGGTTACCACAGTAATTCAGGGAAGATCTGATGATGACTTGGGTAGGGTGACAGTGGAGAGGGAAAGAAGTATATGATTTCAAGGTGGCAGTAAAACAGGACTTTATAATAAATTGCATGTGTGGGGTGAGGAATGGGAGGGAAGCAAATATGACTCCTGAGTTTTTGGCTTGAGCAACTAAGTGCACACTGGTACCATGGGGGAGAGGCAGGTTTTGTAGTTTGAGTCAAGAATTATGTATTGACCATATTATGTTCTGTTGTTTTACAGATGACAGTAAAGTTCAGTTCCATATAGAATTTAGATCAGAAGCTTTAGACTAAGATATTTGAACAAAATAAGAACCTTTCTGACCCATTATTGTAAGATGGCAAGAGTAAGACTGAATTACAAAATTCCTACCTTCTTTGTCAAATGGCATTGGAAATCCTGTGTAGTTCTACCAGTAGAACCTTTTTTTTTTTTTAGACGAAGTCTCGCTCTGTCACCCAGGCTGGAGTGCAGTGGCACAATCTCAGCTCACTGCAACCTCCATCTCCCAGGTTCAAGCAATCCTCCTGCCTCAGCCTCCCGAGTAGCTGGGACTACAGGCGTGCGTCAGCATGCCCGGCTAATTTTTGTATTTTTAATAGAGATGGAGTTTCACCATGTTGATCAGGCTGGTCTCAAACTTCTGACCTCATGATCTGCCCACCTCGGCCTCCCAAAGTGCTGGGGTTACAGGCGTGAGCCACCACACCTGGCCCTAGAATTTTTTAAAAGGTCAAACTCCACTTTGGGAGGCCGAGGCGGATGGATCACGAGGTCAGGAGATCGAGACCATCCTGGCTAACACGGTGAAACCCCGTCTCTACTAAAACTACAAAAAATTAGCCGGGCGTGGTGGCGGGCGCCTGTAGTCCCAGCTACTCGGGAGGTGGAGCTTGCAGTGAGCCGAGATAGCGCCACTGCACTCCAGCCTGGGCAACAGTGCAAGACTCTGTCTCAAAAAATAAATAAATAAATAAAAATAAAAATAAAAGGGCAAACTCAAGAGTCATGAATGATCACCACCTTTGCTCAAAGGCAGTTGCAGTTCCTTTCATTCTGCCCTGTTGGTAATGTAAAGCTGGATGGGTTATCAGGTGTTCTTTGCTAGCTTTAGTGAGTCTGTGGAGTGAAGATTGTTTCAGCAGCATCTGGTTCTCCCTGGTCCCACTTGTTACTCCTTCCTTTGGGGTGACTTGGTACTGTTGGGTTTATCTGGGGGTGTAAGGGATCATAGAGGGACCTCGAACCCCCTTGGCTCTGCTGCCATCTAACTCAGTGACCGAATAACTTAGCCACGCTAGGCCCACTGAACTGTCCAACATAGATCTGATCTGTCACATCACTTTGTGCCCTAAACTTCTATTTCTTCTAGCATCAAGAGGCAGAGTGTGAGAACAGGCATTTTTTTTTCAAAAAGATCTGAGAAACATGTTTCCAAAAGATTTTTATTGAGGCTACAGGGAGAGGGAGGTTGATTAGCAGGGAGCCATGCTAAAAGGGAGGGGGCTAGAGATAGCAAACGAAGGTTGGTTAAATGATATGAAGGATCTCTTTCAATCTGCTCTTGAGACTCTGACTTAAGATCATTAATATACTTTACAGAATAATATATATTCTATATTATATATTCTAATATTAATGATCTTATATATTCTAATGTACTTTATAGAATAATATATATTCTATGTAATATATATTCTAATATTAATAACCTTAAGTCAGAGTCTCACTAGTAGAAAAGCTACTGGAAAGCTATAAAGTTTAGAATGACTCTGAAGTATTAGTATGATTTTGCTTTGTTTCCATAATATGGATTCAATGGGGTAGCTGATTTCTATCCAGTGTGGTACATTAGTAATGGCTGAGTGCTCTGAGGATGACAGTATCTTATTTGATGTACCTTCAGCACTAACAGTCTTATAATAATCGGTGTTCATTGTTTGTTGAACAAATAAATGATGTGTATTTGATTGGTAGAGGAGTTGACCATCTGGTAACAAATAGCATGTTTTGAAAATATATCTCTCTGCCCCCCTAAAGTGGCCAGGTGCCAGAATACCAGCGACCAAGTCAGCTGAGAGACATTACTGCAATGCAACTGGATTGGCTGGTGAAGCTGTAATGGAGGGAAGGTAAATTTAGGCCTAGAAATAGAACAACGAGGGTCAAATCTGAAGGTCAGGGAGAGAGTAGCCTGAGAGAACAATGATGAAGTCTAGAGCTTGGAGGAACGGGAGCTGGGTCAAGCCATCCAGGTCTTTGCCCTGTGAACAGAATCCATGTCCCCAAGGGACAGGCTGTGCAGGAAGTTGTGTTGGACTGGCCGGCTCTAATGGACTCATTGAAAGCTGGTCTGGGCATAATTGCCATACAAATGGGTATTGTGTAAGAAAAAAAAGTCTGCCATCTGGAAAAAGGAAGAAAATGGACACATTTTCTGCATCATCTACATTAGATAAAAACTTCTTATGCAAGTTGGCAATTTTTTATGTGTTTGCCCCAACTGAGCCCTGCAGCTCACCACCCTGCCAGTATTATAGGATCAGTATAAAAATTCCTGTTGTTTTGCTGACTTAGGTATTCACCAAGGAATTATTTGTGAGGCAGACCTGAAAAGCAATTATGTGTAAAGTACAATAAGTTGGTTCTCCTTGAGAGGGGTTGCTGAGAGGGAACTTTCTGGGAGCCTCTCTGGATTTTTGGCACACATACTTTCCTCCTAATGTCTTGTGGCATGTAGTAATATTTTTTCCAACTCTTAGTCACAGTTTTTTACTTTGTTCCTTGACTTCGGGGCTTCTTTAGGTAACATCCACAGACATATTGGAGCTTTTTCTTTTTACCACAGATCTTTACAGCTTCTCAACTTATTGTGGCATGTCCTGGGGATTGACAGGGAGAGAGTGGGACAGGGGAACGAGTGAGATTTCTGCTGTTTAAAAGATGGCTTTTCTCAGGTTGGTAGCCACAGAAACATCTGTGGGCTACCTGGGAAGGATTTTAAAACATTCATGAGGTGGCCTCCTTCTTACCCTGCTCCTGACCTTCCCTTACCCCACCTCCCTGCCTGTTCTCCCCAGCGTGAGTGTGAGAAAGTACATTTGCAGCTGTCTCCACCTGATGGCTTCTGTGTGTGGCCTCAGCCGTGAAATGCTGAATGTTTGCATGGGGTTTGCTGAGAGCCAAGTCAAGGAACAAGCATGTTGGTGAAAGGCCAAATGCCCATCTTGTGTAGCTTCTCCAGTTTCACTCTTGATCCAAGCTGGAGCATATTCTCCAACTTGAAGAAAGCCAATGAGTGCTTTGAAAAGGGACCAGGAACTTGGTGTTTTATTCTTAGCTACTAGAGCAGAATTCTGGTCCACCATAAGTCAGCACTTTCTGTTTACTGATCAGCAGATGGTCCTGGCTGATTCCTGGTTGTACAGCTCACCCACTGCCACATGGGCCACTTGGACACTGCCTTTGTATTTTCATAATCCTCTCTTCCCCTTGTACATGGAGTTTTCTAATTTACTTGTGACAAAATAAAAGATAAAAGTTCTCCAAGACCCAAGATTTCCCATGTTGTGAGATATATTATTTCCTGCCATTGAACAGATTGTTTTATGATTCCAGCCAGGAGAGTTTTTAGTGATAGGGTAATATTCTCTTTTTTCTCTTAATATTTCCTCAGTTGTTCTTAGACTGCCTATAGCCTCCAATGGACTTCTGTAATAAAAGTGCTTCAATATTTTCTTTCTAGTGATAAACAGTCAATAGGCTTAATATAGTCATTCTCCAAAACAACCGGCTATGTTTCTTTGCTATATTAATACTATAGCACAAATGGTTAATTCCCCAATAGTGGTAGCAGGCAAGCCTAGGTTGACCAGGTGTACCAAATGGGCAATGAGAATTATTATTTATCTAATGTAATTTTAAGGGGGGAAGAGATTTGCAGAAAAGCATAGCCTTATCAAAAAAATTAAGTATGCAGTCATTTTGAGTAAACTGGAATTTAGAAAAATAACTGAATAGATGATTCTACTGTTTCTATTAGAAACAAGATGTGAATCTACAGGACAGACTGGCCTGAGGACCCAGTCCTTTCGACCTTGGGGTATCAGTGATAGGGAGAGATCGAAAGCCTATGGATTAGAGAGGAAGTTCTACCTGGTAAGGGGGTCCAGCCTCCCTCAGGCAGCATTCTGCCATCCCTTTTGAGACAAGTCCTCACCAAATTGACTTCCCTTCCATGTCCGTTGAAAAGCCCACCATGTTTTTTCTTGTCTTCTCATTCTGTTGCTCTTTCTGTGTTTCTTCTGCTTCACCCATCCAAACCCTAATCCCCACCTCCACCAAGAAGTCTTCTCTGACTACCTGGCTTTCCCATGCATTCACATCATATCTGTTACCTTTCTCTTTGTATTAACTTGTCCGTGTACTCTATTGACAGCTGCTTAAGGATTGGACAGTAACCTACTCAGTAACCACTTACTAAATTAAATGATTTAATAGTTGTTAAATTTAACATCTGGTATCTATTGGTCCTTTTATAACAGTAGTTGCTTGTCCTCATACTAAATTTCAGGTCAGCCCTGGGAAGTACTGTAAGTATTCTTTAATACTTACTCATTGTCATCATATGAGTTGCTTTTAACTATTTGTTAAGGGTATAAATTCAAAAGTAAAATTTTTGCTTTCTCTTATCCTCATTTTTCACTCCCCAGATATAACAAATGTTAACAGTTTGTATGCACCCTCCTAGAAGTTTGTATATATATGCGAACATAAATGGGAGCCTATTACATATACTCTTCTGCGCTCTGATTTTTAAATAATTTATCCTAGAGATCTTTCTATCTCTTCACGCTTATTTTTTTTCTTACTTGCGTTGTTGTACCCCATTGTATAAATAATCAATTATTGATTTAATCAGTTCCCTGTTGATGAACATTTAGGTGATTTCCAGTTTTCTCGGTAACGATAATATTACACTGATGGTTCTCCTGCATTCCTTATTAGTGCTTTTTGCTAATACCACTCCTCAAAGGGATTAAAGATCCTAGATCCATATCCCCACTGAAGAAGAGCTGCAACCCCTCTTAAAGCCTGCCACCAGTGTGCCCTCTTCTCCCTTTCTTTTTTTTTTTTTCCTTCCTTGCAGTCAACTCTTGCTAACCCTATGATTGCCCACAAGCAATACATTTAAACCAGGGACCCAGCTGAAATGCTTTAATGGACAACACAAAGTGGGAGACTAAATATGTGAAGCTATAGCAAGTACAAGTGACTCACCAACCTATTTGCATCTGGATCTCTTGCCCACTATCTACTAACATTTTTCCTATCAAAGCTGCTTAATGATTCCTTAATTGCCAAATCAGATAACTGGTTCTGTTCTCCATGCATCCTGACTGTGCTGCAACATTTGGAGCACTTTCTCTCCTGCTCTTTCCTCTATAACTTTCCTGCTCTTTCCTCTCCTGCTCTTTCCTCTATAACTTTAGAGGTACAGTGGGACTCATGGAGAAAAGGAGAGACCTGAGGCCTGAAGACATTGAAATTCAAAAATATTTTCAAATACTCGTGGCTTTCAGGCTCCAGGATGCCAGCTGATGTTCACTGATTTTAACAAATCTGCACTCAAAAGTGTGCAAAATTGTCCCTAAGCCTGGAATGTCTGGAGTCTCACCTCTTATTCATCTTTCAAGGACCCAGCTTAAATTCCACCTTCCCAGATTGTTCCAATTTCCTCTCCCTCTTACTGCCTTAGCAGTGTATTTATGCCTGTGTTTATAACACATCACACATTGCCTTCCATTCGAGTTATCTGAGTAGGTCTAGTAGAATGCCAAAAGGCTGGGTTTGAGTTTCTCATTCTTCCTGCCCTTAGCATTCATTTCCATTTAGTGAATTCTTAATAAATGTTTGGCTGATTTGTTTATTGGGAGAAAAACAGGGAAAAATAAAACTTAGTTGCAAGTCACAGACATTCAAAGTGGAGACAGTACATAATGGTCATGACATCAAATGGAAAGTTAAACAAAAATCTTTGAATACCCAGGATGTGAATATTGTTCAGCCAAAAATAAGTCTGTAAAAGGAATCTATGAGAATATCACAGAATTAGGGAAGTCTCTTTTTTCTGTATTATGTTCAGTCAGAATAATAGATTACTTTGCTTCATCATAGAAAACACACATGGCAGGCTTTAATAATCAGTCTGAAATAATTTCTTGACTCCAAGGATTATGAAAGCAGTGGCACCCAGGCAGTTAGAACTCTAGGAAAAGCAAGATAGGAACATGTGCAACAACCTGCAAAATAAACAGCACCTTAATGTCAGAATGCCAGAAGCTCTCATGAACAGGCTTGAAAACATCCAGTTGCACACTGGTACATTGGCTCAATTGATTTACGTATTAGTGCTTTTTTAAACTGTGTGTCCAAGAATAACAGGGTGCTATCTCGAGAGTGCTACCAGACCAAGAGTAGTGGTTAATATTGAGTGTCAACTTGATTAGATTGAAGGATGCAAAGTATTGTTCCTGGGTGTGTCTGTGAGGGTGTTACCAAAGGAGATTCACATTTGAGTCAGTGGACTGGGAGAGGCCGACCCACCTTCAATCTGGGTGGGCACCATCTAATCAGCTGCCAGTGCAGCAAGAATAAAGCAGGCAGAAGAAGGTGGAAGGACTTGACTTGCTGAGTCTTCCAGTCTTCATCTTTCTCCCGTGCTGGATGCTTTCTGCCCTCGAACATCAGACTCCAAGTTCTTCAGCTTTTGGACTCTTGGAGTCAAACCAGCAGCTCTTGGGCCTTCGGCCACCGGCTGAAGGCTGCACTGTTGGCTTCCCTACTTTTGAGGTTTTGGGACTCAGACTGGGCCACCACTGGCTTCCTTGCTCCTCACCTTGCAGACAGCCTATCATGGGACTTCACCTTGTGGTCGTGTGAGTCAATTCTCCTTAATAAACTCCCTTTCATATATACATATATCCTGTTAGTTCTGTACCTCTAGAGAACCCTGATTAAATACACCTCAAGCTTGGGAGAAAGCCTGCAGATCTTGTTGATGTAAGTGGGAGGTTAATCAGTTGTTTTGAAGTCTGCCTTTCTTACATTGAACATTTTACACTGAGATTATGTTTTTCATTGCATTTATTGAGGTAGAACTGACATGCCGTAAAATTCATTCTTTTTTAGCATACACTACTATACATTTTGACAAATGCATACAGTTATGTTAACTACTACCACAATCAAGATATAGAACAGTGCCATCATCCCCCTACCCCCTAGGTGCTCTCATCCCCTTTTAAGGTCAACCCTTTCACCACCTCCAGCCTCTGGCCACTACTTACCTGTTTTCTCACTCTATAGTTTTGCCTTTTCCAAGATGTCATATAAATGGAATCATATGTAGCCTTTTGAGTCTAGCTCCTATGACAAAGCATAATGAATTTGAGGTCTGTCCACATTGTTGTATCAGTAGTTAGTTCCTTTTTACTGCTGAGTAGTCTTCTACTGTGTGGCTGTGCAGTTTACCCATTCACCAGCTGAAGGACATTTGGGTTGTTTCCAGATATTGGTCATTATAAATAAAGTCACTATAAGCATGCGTATACCATTTTTTGTATGTATATATGTTTTCATTTCTCTTACCTAAATATCTAGGTGTGAGGTTACTAGGTAGAATGACAGGTGTATGTTCAACTCTCTAAGATGCTGCTGAACCATTTTCCAAAGTAGTTGAACTGTTTTGCATTCCTATAGTATTCACAAGAACTTAAAGGTCTAAGACTAAGGTTAAATCTATACCATTGTATATTATTTCAATAGGATTACTTGTTTCAAGTAGAGTGAAAGTCACTTAAAGGTGTTGATTGGGTTGTTCTGGCTCAGCTGCAGGTGTATTGAGAAGAAAGGAGAGAAGTGGAATGGAGATGTAGACGCCATCCCAAAGGGTTAAATTTTTTATTTATATACAGAACACTTTTTTTTCCCTGCCTGAAAATGATTAAAGTGAATGTTTGGCTGCTTGGCAAGAGTCTGCCCTGATATTCAGGGGAGATTAGAGCAGCTTTGTAGATAAGCTCAGAAAATCTACTGAGCCACATAGTTATTTCCGAGGTCCTCCAGGAAGTCACCAGTGTTGGGGTATTGATGGCATCTGATAATGTTGCCTATCTGGAACCTGAAGATGGGTACATCTTTTAGAGGATGATATTTCCATAAATTGTAACACATGTGGAAGAAAGGAGTAGTATCAACATGTATATATATTCTCAATTGCCTAATAACTGATTACTTTTAGCTCCTCATCTGAATGTTTTCAGATTCTGACCTCTGGAGATACTTTGCTTGTAAGGCTTGTTATCATCTACATTTCATATGGTTGAAATAGGAGACGATGGAGTTGGCCTCTACACCTCGCCTTGGAACTTTAGCCCTAACTCAGGAGGGATGTATCTATGTGCTGTCTGCCTGTTGCTGTAGTCAGCACCTTTTATACTCAACGGAAAAATCAGTGCAAGGACTATTTGAGTTGGAGGGCTCGTCTTTCTGTAGCCTATTGTGGATCATGATGGTCTGCTTTAAAATAACGGGGATGTCGGCCAGGCGCAGTGGCTCACGCCTGTAATCCCAGCAATTTGGGAGGCCGAGGCGGACGGATCACGAGGTCAGGAGATCGAGACCATCCTGGCTAACACGGGGAAACCCCGTCTCTACTAAAAATACAAAAAAATTAGCCAGGCATGGTGGCTGGCGCCTGTAGTCCCAGCTACTCGGGAGGCTGAGGCAGGAGAATGGCGTGAACCCGGAAGGCGGAGGTTGCAGTGAACAGAGATCGCGCCACTGCACTCCAGCCTGGGCAATAGAGCCAGACTCCGTCTCAAAAAAAAAAAAAAAAAAAAAAATCACGTGGATGTCAAAAAGAGGAAGAAAAAAAATCAGTGACTTGTAGACTTCTGATGTCCCTTTGTAATCGTCAGAGTTCTATGGTAATCGTATCAGCACCCTGACCTAAAACTCAAGCCAGTAACCTCCAGGAACCCGTAATGTGTAGTACGTAACCTCTACGTACTACGTAATTTCTACGTAGTAGAAATTAACTAGAAGATCCTGGCTAAGGGAGACATTCAGCCACGGGCACAAAACTCAACGGAGTTTTTGTATTTTACTCACTTTAACAAAATAGAAAGGAGATGAGAAAGCAAACGGAAAATGATTATTTTCTGTCTGATTTTGCTTCAGGGTAATGTCCATTCAGATGCCTGCCTATAAGTCACAGGGCTACAAATTATCTTGCCCTGAGCCTGTCTCCTCTGAGGTGCCATGGAAGGAGCTTGCAGCATCATTAGGGAGGTGCTTGTGTTTCAGGCTGATTTGACATTATTCTTATGAATGTCAGTTTGGACAGAATGATAAAGACTAATAAATATGGTATCCTGTGGTATGGAGAAGAAGTTTGTTTTGTTTCGAGCTACAGATTTGTCTGCAGGTAACTTTTTAGAGCTAAGCTAACAGAATGTGAGCGCAAAGAGAAGCTGGGGTGGGGGAACAATCACAGGTTTTGATTGTACTGAATATCCTGGGGCGACTGTTCACTCAGCATTAACTAAGCCCACAGGATGCCGTTCTCTTTTATCATCAGGTAAATTGTTTTCCCAGAGCTGCTAGTGTTTGTGGTCCAAGTGAATTGTTCAGCTTTGTATATTTCACATGGCCTGAAGAAGACCCAGTTGACAAACCCTGTTGATCAATTAGGAAAGGCAGAAAGTCAATGGAAATATCTTTGAGACTCTAACCTGCTAGGCATATGGAGAGTTGACAAAACGAGATGTTTTATCAGGTCGAGGCGTACATTTGCCAAGGAAAAGAATACAGTGAGAATGGAAGTGGGGGGAAGAAAATGCAGTAATGGAAGAAGCTGTCATGCCACTAGGTTTCTTTTTTTTTTTTTGAAATAGAATCTTGCTCTGTCGTCCAGGCTGGAGTACAGTGGTGCGTTCTCAGCTCACTGCAACCTCTGCCTCCTGGGTTCAAGCGATTCTCCTGCCTCAGCCTCCCTGAGTAGCTGGGACTACAGGCATGTACCACCATGCCCAGCTAATTTTTGTATTATTTTATTTTATTATTATACTTTAAGTTCTAGGGTACATGTGCACAACGTGCAGGTTTGTTACATAGGTATACATGTGCCATGTTGGTTTGCTGTACCCATCAACTCATCATTTACATTAGGTATTTCTCCTAATGCTATCCCTCCCCTAGACTCCCACCCCCTAACAGGCCCCGGTGTGTGATGTTCCCCTCCCTGTGTCCAAGTGATCTCATTGTTCAGTTCCCACCTAAGAGTGAGAACATGCGGTATTTGGTTTTCTGTCCTTGTGATAGTTTGCTGAGAATGATGGTTTCCAGCTTCATCCATGTCCCTGCAAAGGACATGAACTCATCTTTTGTTATGGCTGCATAGTATTCCATGGTGTATATGTGCCACATTTTCTTAATCCAGTCTATCATTGATGGACATTTGGGTTGGTTCCAAGTCTTTGCTATTGTGAATAGTGCCGCAATAAACATACATGTACATGTGTCTTTATAGTAGCATGATTTATAATCCTTTGGGTATATACCCGGTAATGGGATGGCTGGGTCGAATGCTATTTCTAGTTCTAGATCCTTGAGAAATCGCCACACTGTCTTCCACAGTGGTTGAACTAATCTACACTCCCACTAACAGTGTAAAAGTGTTCCTATTTCTCCACATCCTCTCCAGCATCTGTTGTTTTCTGCCTTTTTAATGATCACCATTCTAATTGGTGTGAGATGGTATCTCATTGTTGTTTTGATTTGCAGTTCTCTGATGACCAGTGATGATGAGCACTTTTTCATGTGTCTGTTGGCTGCATAGATGTCTTCTTTTGAAAAGTGTCTGTTCATATCCTTTGCCCACTTTTTGATGGGGTTGTTTGTTTTTTTCTTGTAAATTTGTCTAAGTTCTTTGTAGATTCTGGATATTAGCCCTTTGTCAGATGGATAGATTGCAAAAATTTTCTCCCATTCTCTAGGTTGCCTGTTCACTCTGATGGTAGTTTCTTTTGCCATGCAGAAGGTCTTTAGTTTAATTAGATCCAGTTTGCCTATTTTGGCTTTTGTTGCCATTGCTTTTGATGTTTTAGTCATGAAGTCCTTGCCCATGCCTATATCCTGAATGGTATTGCCTAGGTTTTCTTCTAGGGCTTTTATGGTTTTAGGTCTAACATTTTAGTCTTTAATCCATCTTGAATTATTTTTTGTACAAGGCATAAGGAGGGGATCCAGTTTCAGCTTTCTACATATGGCTAGCCAGTTTTCCCAGCACGATTTATTACATAGGGAATCCTTTCCCCATTTCTTGTTTTTGTCAGGTTTGTCAAAGATCAAATGGTTGTAGATGTGTGGTGTTATTTCTGAGGCCTCTGTTCTGTTCCATTGGTCTATATCTCTGTTTTGGTACCAGTACCATGCTGTTTTGGTTACTGTAGCCTTGTAGTATAGTTTGAAGTCAGGTAGTGTGATGCCTCCAGCTTTGTTCTTTTTGCTTAGGATTGTCTTGTTAAATGGGGGCTCTTTTTTGGTTCCATATGAACTTTAAAGTAGTTTTTTCTAATTCTGTGAAGAAAGTCTTTGGTAGCTTGATGGGGATGGCATTGAATTTATAAATTAATTTTTGTATTTTTAGTAGAGATGAGGTTTTGCCATATTGGCCAGGCTGGTCTCAAACTCCTGACTTCAGGTGATCTGCCCACCTTGGCCTCCCAAAGTGCTGGGATTACAGGCGTGAGCCACTGCACCCAGCCAGATTTCATTTTCAATAAAAGCAGCTTGATATTGCTGCAAGAGACACTGAAGATCAGAGTGTAATATAATAGGAAACTGTTCATAATTATAATTGATGTGCTGTAAGTATTGTGATTAATGTATACATGTTGATACTACTCCTTTCTTCTACATGTGTTACAATTTATGGTTCATCAGATCACAGTAGTGCTGAACACTCTACAAATCTCACTCCCCAGCTGAGGGAAGGTGTTAAGATGAATCTGTGCCCCTGCCTGTGGAGCTATTATCCATTTTTCCACTTAGATTTACATTGCACCAGCACTTAGACACGAACAAGATTCATGGCATCTGGGGAGGGGGAGGGGAAACTAAATTGTTGCTTAATTTTCTTCTTTAAAAAAACTTCCTTTGCTTTCTAACAAAGTGGTTAGTGTAGAAATTTCCAAATTGTCTTACTGCTTTAGCCTCTAAACCTACATTTGAAATGGTTCTCTTTAGTCCTAATATTATTATTATTATTAGTAGTAGTAGTAGTAGTAGTAGTAGTAGTACTAGTAGTAGTAGTAGTAGTAGTATTCTAGAGACAGGGTCTCTCTCTGTCACCCAGGCTGAAGTGCAGTGGTGCGATCATAGCCGACTGCAGGCTTAAACACCTAGGCTCAAGCAATCCTCCCACCTCAGCTTCCTGAGTAGCTGGGAGTACAGGTGTGCACGAGGATACTCTGCTAATTTTTTAATTTTTGTAGAGATGGGGTCTCACTATGTTGCTCAGGCTGGTCTCAAACTCCTGGCTTCAAGTGATCCTCCCACCTCAGCCTAGTCCTATTGTAGACATTTTTTCTTCAATGAAGTGTGTTGTTGATGCCAGTGGGAGTTAACTACATTTAAAAATCTCCTCTTTCATCCATGAGAGGATATTTTTGAAGAAACATCTTTTCTTTATTCCCTTTTAAAGTTTTTGTGAAAATAGTATATATATAGGTTAAGAAATAAAATAGCACAGAAATGCTTATAATGAAAAGCCATGGTTCCCTTCCAAGGACAACATGTCTCTGTGGTAATAGATGCTCACTGATGTAATAGTAGTTTACTTGCCTGATGTAATAGTAGTAATAATAATAATAAGCTTATACTCTTGCCTTTTTGCTATTTGTTCATAATCCTTCTCCCTTCCTCAACTGATAGTTATTATTTTAACTTTTCTAGTGATAATCTTTGTACCTTAAAATAATAGTTTTAAACCTCAATTTCTTGTCCCAATTTATGTAGTTAAATCTTGACTCTCCTGTCTGTTAGATCAAGATGTTAATAATCCCTGTGAAAACAGAGCATGAGTTCTCTTTTAAACTTCTCTTATGTGGTCTGAATTGTCTGTGTCTTCAGGAGTCAGGGGCCATGTTTAATTACTTGGCTTTTCTCTTTGGTGTTTCTGTTTTGTTTTTAGATATGAGTGGTGAACTTTGGTTATCCATCTGTATTTAAGAGCAAGGGGCTGAGTTTTATTTTTCTTCACAGATGGTGTGGGTTTCCCCTGCTCTTATATATGTAGATCCGGTTTCCTGTTATTGCTGCCTATGAATAGGAAATCTGCATGGAACCTTGATGTTGGGTGGGGGGCTTGTCTCCTGGAAGTTTCACTTTCAGATCAAGACTGAGAATGGGCTGGATTTTAGTCAGGAGTTTATGTGTGTGTGGTAAGGGGATTCAAAGGATTTAAATACCTGGGGATTTGACGGGGGCGGGGTGTGCTTTACTCTAGAGTGTTTGCATATAATCTGGCCCTCCTAGTTCTTTCTAGACAGTTTTTTTTAACTTTTTATTTTGAACTAATTTTAGACGTAGAGACAAGTTACTAAAATAATACAGAGTTTCTGTATGTCCCTCATGCGGCTTCCCGTAATGTTAATGTTATCTACTATATCCAGGCAGTTTTTCAATTTCTTTATAGATCAAGAGTCCTCTGATATTTGGCCCCCAAGTAAAATCATGGGTTTCTAGTGCAGTGCATGGACCTAAGGCAGGGAGTAGGGGAGGAGAGTGAGGGGTACCCACAGTGTCCCTTAGGCAGACTTCAGTTCACTTCTCTCTTCTCCACCCGGACTTGAAATCCCAGTCTCTGTTGCAGCTTCCCAGTGGGCCTGGGGTTTTGTTGGCATGTTGCTGGACAGCTCACTCCCACCCTCTGACTTTCCTGAAGTTTTCTCCAATATATTCTAGACTCTTTCATTCTTGCTTTGTATCAGGTAGGGTTCTCCATAGTGGGGGTTGGGGGATGGGGAAGTGGCAGAGGGGTGAAAGAAAGACAGAGAAATATTTGTTTTAAGGAATTGGCTCACGCAGTCGTGGGGGCTGGGAAGTCCAAAACCCATGGGGCAGGCAGACATGCCAGAAATTCAGTTAAGAGTTGATGTTGCAGTCTTGAGTCCCAAATTCATAGCACAGGCCAGCAGACTGGAAACTCAGGCAGGAATTCTATGTTACAGTCTTTTTTATTTTCTTTCTTTTTTTCTGTGGTAAGAACAAAACTTGAGATTTACCCTCGTATCAAATGTTTAAGTACACCCTGTATTATTCTTGATAATGTCAAGACAAGAATGACAGTGGATTTCTAGGGCATATTCATCTTGTTTGACTGAAACTTTATACCCACTAATGAATAACTCCTCATTTTCTATGTTACAATCTTGAGGCAGAATTCCTTCTTCTCCAAGAAAGCTCAGTTTTTGCCCTTATGGCCTTCAGCTGATTAGATGAGGCCTACCCATATGATGGAGGGTAATCTGATTGACTTAAATTCAGATGATTGTAACTGTTCATCACATCCACAAATACCCTCACAGCAACATATAGACTAGTGTTTGACCAAACAACTGGCCACCATAGCCTAGCCAAGTTGACACATAAAACTGTCATACATTCTATTCTATTTGCCATCTTCTTCCTGGCCTCCAGAAATTTGTTGAAATTTTCTTTTCATGATGTTCATCTCCCAATTGCATCACTCTCATGTCTTTTTCCTTTTAGTATTATTCTCTTAGAGTCCAGAGAATCAAAGTTTATTTGTTAAAGAGAACCCAGTTTTTCATACAGGTGCCTCTCCCAAACACTGGCATGTCAACGAAGGTCAGCAGTCTTCTTAAGGTTAAAAAAGAGAAAAGGCATATGATTTAGCTCAAATTTATTTGCCTTACATATTACTCTAGACAGTTTCATCAGTGTTCATTTTTGGGTATCTATCTCATTGTACTTATTTAGAGTTTTTTATATATTCATGTTATTTACTCTGACCTATTTAAATGAAACTGTTTTCCTATTTATTTGGAAGTAAGTTCATCCAATGTGAAATATTTTTTAAAATCTTCATACTGTGAGTTTAATTTTAAAATAATAAACTACGATTTTTAAAGGGTTTATTCACATTACCTTGAGCAATACTTTGTCTAAATTAGATGCTCAAAAAATTGCTTACATTTTCAAAAAATTATTTAGCTTTGTATAATAAAGGCATAAGTTAATATGATACTTAGAGATTTTGAATGCTTTAATTGTGGGTATTTAACTCCCTGCCCACTTTTGATGCTACTTATAAGGTAGGGAGGTGGCAGGCATTTTTAGTTTCTTGGGTAGCACACTTGGGCCCTGTCTGAAATGTTTAATAATTTGCCTGAGGTCATTTTCCTTACGGTTTCAAGACTGCTACAAACTCCAGGTCTTTTGACTCCTACTTCTGCGCTCTTTATTTTGCATATGTTACACTATGCTGTACATATCCTTGGGGAATATTTGACAATGAACATATTTCCATAAATCCCAGTACTGTTAGATATGCTTGCAATGGATTCACATGCAGAGCATGTTCTGCTAATGATTTAAACTCTTTTGTAAGAAGGTGAGTTTCCTTGGATGATCAACCACCCCACTGTGTTCCTTGTATGTTCTATATCCAGGGACCAAATAGAGTCATGCATGAAAAATACTCTCAAGGTCAGGTTCTCTCCCTGCAAACGTGTATTTAAGAATCAAAAACAACTGTGTGTTTTCAGAACCCAAGTATCCCCACCACCTCTAAAAATTCATCCAGGTAGGCCGGGCGCAGTGGCTCACGCCTGTAATCCCAGCACTTTGGGAGGCCGATGCAGGTGGATCACGAGGTCAGGAGATCGAGACCATCCTGGCCAACATGGTGAAACCCTGTCTCTACTAAAAAATAAAAAATAAAAAAATTAGCCAGGCGTGGTGGCGGGCGCCTGTAGTCCCAGCTATTCGGGAGGTGAGGCAGGGGAATTGCTTGAACCCAAGAGGGGGAGGTTGCAGTGAGCCAAGATCGTGCCACTGCACTCCAGCCTGGGCGACAGAGTGAGACTCCGTCTCAAAAAAAAAAAAAAAATAAAAGTTCATCCAGATTAAAAAAAGTATTTTTTTATCTAGTATTTACACAAACACATCAAATTAAACCCATCATATGATTCACTAAGAGCACACAGAACTGTAACCCTGTCCCTCCCATTCTTCCCAAAATGCATCTTTTCAAAAGTCAGATTGTGGTTTAATTAAATGACCAGATGAAAAGTAATAATGCCTCTGTTTTAGAAAAAGAAAAAGAGCAGCATTTCAATGTAAATCCTGGCTCACTGTCACAAATAAATATTTTTTCCTTTTTTTGTAGGCATACCATATGCCTTAATTTAGTATGAAATGCATGTTACAAAAGCCAAGAGTAGTCCCCCCAAAGGAAATCCCCATCCTCCAGGTCCATTCACCATTGTTCTGAATTAAATTTCTCCCACCACCACCTGGGGGAGAGTAGGGAGAGTTTCCTCACCACTCACACCCACCTTTGACTTCTCAATTTTTCGTTATTCCTCTTTTTTCCAGGGCTGCCTCTGAGGCCTCCCACCCAGCCTCCCAGCTCCCACCTTTCCACTAGAGTCATGCACTCACTGACAGCTTAAGTGCCTAACTAATCTTTGCTGCAAATTATGTATTATTCAGACCAGTTTCAGGCCAGACCTCATATTATTCCACTTAGTTTTCCAGAGGTTTAAAGGATTAAATAATCCTCCAAGTATTTCCTGTTATCACTCCTCTTTCTTCAGTGCATAGGAGTATCCTCTGGACCTGGGGTTCATAATCTCCAGTCTGTGGCTTGGCTTTCAGGGACCTGTGAATCCCCAGAAGTGAAAAGCAGAATTATGTGAGCATCAGTGCATTTTCTTGGCGGGGTGACTCTATAGTTTTTCTTGTATCCTAGAAGAGACCCATGACCCAAGAATGTTTAAAGAGAGTGGCTGGCTCTCAGGGGCCCGCCCTGGAAGCCCAGCTCTCGCCACCTCCTTCTGTTTTAACTTGAGGCCTAGGTTGGATTCTGTGCTGATCCTGTTTCCTACTGGTTCCCCTATGGACCTCAACCTGTGGGACGTGACCTCCTGTACTTTTTCTCCAGTATACTACCCCCTTGGCTGGACCTAACCTGCTTGGCTTTCCTTACTCCCTTCCACATCCCCCTGTCCTGCTGTAGAAGGGGTGCCTGTCCTGCTTATTTCCTAAGTACCTTTATGCTGGTTTGGTTTATTCTAGAGTTTCTCTGAATATAGAGTATCTCCAGAAGTTTTCCTCAACCCCCTTCCTCCTCATCAGTCCACGTGGCCTGTCCTAGAACCACTGTCCTCTTAAAGGATGGCACATTGCCTTCTCAGGGAATGGCATGGCTCAAAAGACAGTAGCACCCCCATGCCCTTGGAAATCCAGGCATTGTCTTTTCCCACAACCCCCTAAAATTGCGAGATCCCACATTAGCATTGCATAATATCCCCCCACCCCAGTCCTATCCAGTTAGCTGTAGATCACAAGCAGGTTTTAATCTTTTGCTACAACCTGGCTTAATAACTTCTCTCTCTTAGTTGTATGATAGTGGCTTCTGTATTTTCCAGTTAATTTCTCAATGTTGGAGTTGGGAAAAAATAGCCAACACTAAACATGAAAAAGATGAAGGAAGCTGGAGATAAGAAAAAGATAGAGGAACACAGACTTCCCATGTTCTCCTTTGGTTGCCTCTTTGCTTTGGTATAGGCCTCTTCTGAGAGAACCCTTTGCATCCTGCGCTCCTTCTGATTTGCCTCCCGTTAAGTGTCAGGGATGAGGGAAGGGACAAGTTGGAAAGCGAGGGACCTGGCTCCTCAGCCGTCTGAGCCCCAGTGGACTGACCTCAGCATCATAAATCATAAATTGGTAGCAAGGTTGGATTTGAGGCCCCGAGTAAATTGCTGTTCTAGTCCAAAGTTAGCTCTTCATGAGGTCTGCATTCTGAGCCTGCTGACAGTTCCGAGAGCCTTTGCTGATATCCAAAAGAGAGAATTTGAGTCCTGCCATATTTAGATCCCTGCCCTAAGTCAAAGTTCTGAGCTGCTCTGTCCCTGTTTCTGATACATGATCTTGTGCTGAGGAAGTGACCAGTCTGTGGCCTCAAAGACTCAGGAAAGCCTGGTCATGGGCAGAGGGCTAGTTCCTGTCCCCTGATAGGGACGGAGGCACCAAGGCCCACCAGATCGCCTGCCCACCCCTTCCCTGCCCTCCTGGAGCCGATTTTTAAGAAGGATCATCTGTCCCTTCATTTACTGAAAAACAGGCAGCATTCTTGTGAAGCCAAAGCCAACTCCCTTCTGGGACCTGTGGGGACTGCTGGAGCAGTGTCCGGTGGCATCCAGCGATGTGATTCCTCTGCATGGTTAAGCCAGCTCTTCTCTTGCAGAGGGAAGATAGAAGCACAACAGAGGAGTGCACAGCTGACCCCATACTCCCTACTCCCTCCATGCGCCACTGCTTCTCCTATCTTTTAAGAAATGAAAACAACATAAAATGCTGGGGCCCAGCTGTGCACCTATGTCAGGATTAGCTGTAAGGTCCCCAGTATGCTCAGTCAGCTCAGCTATTTTGCCTTTTATCAAAGGAGTCACCCTAACCTGGACCTTGTGGGAGACAACCACATTAGTGGTATAACAAAAACAATTCAGAACAAGGCATATATACCCCAATTCAACTCCCATCTCTGAGCTTTGTACTCTACTTTGTACTTCACATTTGATCTAATTAGTGCTCAGAGTATTTCTGTGAAGGTGCATTTATCCCATTTTACAAATGTGAAAATCTAGAGTAGAGAGTTGATGTGCCCCAGATGTTACAGCTAGCCATTAGTAGACCAAGGTTCAAACCCAGGTCTTCTGATGTGAAAGCCCTTGCTTGTCCTACTACCCCTTGCTACTGTGGCCATCTAGTAGATCCTAGGACTGTGCATTAGGTCATCTGGGACTCTGAAAATAATTAAGTCAGACTCTCTGCAGATGGGGCCCAGACTGCCTTGGGAAGAGCTGCAAAGCAGGTCAGCTTCCCCTCCAGTAGTGTTGGGACAGCCTCCCTCACTGTCAGTCATCCCGGGGCCCACTGTGGGTCTAAGCAGAATCACCAGCTCCCTTGCTGTTCCTTCCCCATCCCTGCCATCAAGACAGAGCCATTTGCTGCTGTCCATCCATGTTATGGCTCAAGGGTTCAGACATGGTATAGGGAAGATGGGAGCAGGGAAAGACATGAACTGCTGTGCTGTGTGACAAGGCCAGGGGTGTCACTGAGGATGCAACAGGAAGCAGGCAGGCAGGTGAGAGAAGCTGGGGAGGCGGGAGATAGAGAGTTATTCTAGCACAGCAGTGAATGAATTCAGTTTGAATGAAGCACAGAAGTAAATGTTTGGACAGCGGAACCAGGTTTCATGATCTTTGAGTTGTCCTCATAACATGTTGGAACTAGGTATTGAAAAGTCTGAGGTAATCTGAAGCTTAGAAAGGCACAATCTATCAAGTTAACTTAAAGGAAAGGAAGGTGTTAACAAAATTAGAAAGTGCTGTTTTAGAAACAGCCCTAGATATTTTCCAAAAAAGCCTTGGGAATATTCCAGTATAGGAATTCTAAATACCATAGTAGTCAAGTAATGTGTTCTTCTGGTAAAATTAAAAAGAGCATGCCTGGCAGCATATGAAGAACTAAATTTCACCCTGAACATAATATTTGATATTATCCTACTTCGGTACTCTGTTACTGTTGGCTTAGGTATTTGATGTAATATTTTCCTTTGTTGTTTAAGAAAAAAGGTTGGACAATTCTCAATTTGCTGGTATAGTGAGAGGGAAATTTTGTGCATGCACAAGCATAAATCTCTCTTCAAACTAAACATGTATGTAACACCTTCACTTTGAAGAGAACACTGTGTTTAGTATTTCCCAAAGCCTTGCAAAGTACATTAATATCCTACAACCATTTCTCTAATGTATTTAAAGAAAGTAAGACTCAAGGAAGTTATCTCCAAACACACTTACATCTGGAGTAGGAACAAATTCTTAAAGGTCTCAGAAGACTCGTCTTACTAAGTTAGGCTTTTCATGGCTTCCTCCATCAAAGCCTCTGAGGTTGTGTGGTCCAAAAAGCAGGCCAAGAGCCCAAGATGCTCATGGATTGGATTAGTTGATCCCTGAATGGATGAAAGTTTACTCGATGTTTTGCACAGCCTTGCTTGAGTAAAAGGGGAGGTAGAGTCCCCCTACTAGGAGAGGTTCCATTATTCTGAGAAGCTTTTCTTCCTCACTGGACAGTGACTATCCAGAGATGCCTAGGAAGCAGTCATTCATTGTTTATTGCTGGAGGCCAACTTGCTGCCCATCAGAAGTATATGTAATGTAAGAGGGAAAAGGCAGGCTGTAGATTTTTCTGCAAGTTCAACAGAGTGCTGCACACTAACAATCAGTTTGAAGAAAGCTGAAGTCGTGTGTCAGTGCTCACCAGGCTGATTCTTTGTGCAGCACAAAGATTGAATGGTGGCTTAAGGAAGGTATACACATACAACTGCTCTTGACTTTCAGTCTGGGGCCATGGATGGAATATTGGAAATCCACAGATAGTCTAAAAACAATTTTAACATCTCTGTCCACCACTTCCCTCACTAAACCTTGTTATAGAGATGCTAACAAACAAAAACTTAAAATACTAATCTTACCTCTCCTTCATGCCTATAGTATGCCACACTGGGCAGAAGATGGTTCTGGATGTTCCCCAGATGAAACTAAGTTTGCAAACTGGTGGCCCACAGGCCCACCTAACCATAGATGTGTTTTATTTGGCCTGTGCTGGGGTTTTAAAAAATATTTGAGGCCAGGCGTGGTGGCTCACACCTGTAATCCCAGCACTTTGGGAGGCTGGGGCGGGCAGATCATGAGGTCAGGAGATTGAGACGATCCTGGCCAATATGGTGAAACCCTGTCTCTACTAAAATACAAAAAATTAGCCGAGCCTGGTGGTGCGCACCTGTAGTCCCAGCTATTCAGGAGGCTGAGGCAGGGGAATCACTTGAACCCGGGAGGCAGAGATTGCAGTGAGCCAAGATTGCGCCACTGCACTCCAGCCTGGCAACAGAGTGAGACTCCATCTCAAAAAAAAAAAAAAGGAATGAATCATCAACATCTCAAACTCAAGAGATTCTACATAAAATCTGTGTTTCTGGCTTCTCTTAAAATTCTAAAGATCTAGTCACCCTGGGCCAAGGAGTGGCTATTCCCTTCATAATGGATTAGGGCTCCCACATGGCTGCCCCAGTTCACATTCACACCCAGCCCACTTGTCACTTCCAGGATCTACTAGTCTCTGCAGGCATTTGAGTTTGGCATCCCCAACAGAGAAGGTGCGCAGAAGAGGAAAGATTTTGCTTTCCTTATAGATGTTCGTGGTGACATCTCTGTGTCAGTAAGAAGTTTGATCCACTAATGAGCAAGATTGTTATACACAAGAGTTCTGGAATCAGAGACAGGTGAAATAGGCTCAATTAGTATACAGGATTTCACTTTCATTTCTTTTTTTTTTTTTTTTTTTTTTTGAGATGGAGTTTGGCTCTTGTTGCCCAGGCTGGAGTGCAATGGTGCAATCTCGGCTCACCTCAACCTCCACCTCCCGGGTTCAAGCGGTTCTCCTGCCTCAGCCTCCCGAGTAGCTGGGATTACAGGCATGCACCACCAAACCTGACTAATTTTGTATTTTTAGTAGAGACAGGGTTTCTCCATGTTGGTCAGGCTGGTCTCAAACTCCTGATCTCAGGTGATCTGCCCGCCTCAGCCTCTCAGAGTGCTGGGATTACAGGCGTGAGCCACTGCGCCTGGCCTCACTTTCATTTCTAATAAGGAATAAAGACCATTTCAAAATTAGAAAACTCTAAGGAAAAACACACTTAAATGGAGGACAGGTAACCTGAGTTCCTGATGCAGCTGCCCTGCCCCCATGCTGATACCTAGTGTCTTTACCTACATAATGGAAAGTGTTAACCATCATTCAGCATTCATTCCCTTAACAAGATTTATATAGAGTGGTTGACATCGAGGGTTTACAGTCTTCCCAAAATGGATCTGCATTTAAGACTTCGTTTTCCTCACCTATCAAATAAGGAATGAAATCACAAACACCTCAGTGTGTGACATACTCTGAATACCCAGTTATTGTGAGCTCTTATTATTTGTTAAGTACCAGATGTTTGCCAAGCTTTGTGCTAGACCTTAGAAATACAAAAACACAGAAACATGTGGTCCATGTCCTAAAGAGCCGCAGTCTGGTTGAGGAAGTAAATTCTGGGCTAACAAGTAGAGTCAGCAACCTAAACAAAAGCCCCTCAGAATGACTGTACTGTTGAAACATAAATAGGACTGATAAAGCCCCAGGTTATTACAACATCATATTAAATTAAGGAAAGTCCGTGTGCAACACCTACCTTGAGAAATAAACATGTATATACATATCTAAATATGATAGAGGTAACAAAAGTTTTCAATAATAGGATTTTTCTTAGGGGAGTTCCACATCAGACTTCTAAATCCAAGGTTCTTGACATCTGGAGTGGAGTCTTCCCATTGATAGTTCAGCCAGAGCCCTTGCTCCAGAAAATGTATGTACACAATAGTTTGCATAACATTCCAGGGATCTGAGAGCCCCAGAAGCCCATCCATGAGGCCTGCTCCATGTAGTTCCTCACTGGGCTGGTCACACAGTACATAAAAGCAGTGGCTCCAAAAGAGGTGCTCAGTTACAGAAGAGAGAGAGCCGCTCATAGAAACAGTCAGGGCAGTTCTGTGTGAGAGCAAAAAGCCGAGTTGCATAGAGGTCCAGTGGGCAGTGAGGGGAATGTTGAATGAAGAAAACGTCTTTTTTCTTTTCTTAGATAATGCTGATATGCCTGTAACAACTAATGTAGTCAGAACGAGTACTTCATATATCTGTCACATGTTTAATTGTGGACACTCTGACATCTTATCTTCTCTCCTGTGATCCTTTCACCTTTTTCATAAATCTCTGTTATCTAGGTATGAAAAGAAACCTTAGTATCTACTAAGCCAAAACATCCTTTCACATAGGGTTGATCTGGCTTTTTGTTCTTTTTCCCCCACTCTTTCCCTATTCTTCAACATTCCATTCCCAATATGTCCAGAACTAATTCTGCATGGGACCTAATTATCGGTTGGTGACCCGAATGGGGCTGGTCACTCTGGGCAGTCTCTCTCTCCTTGGCCCTTTCTGGCCTTTAGGTCACATGTAGTACTTTATCAGTTCCCTCCAAAATAAATCCAGCTGCAAAAGTATTGGAAAATAAGGTAGGTTTTACTGAGGGTTTTGGGGGTAGAGTGAAAAGAAAACTCACCACGTGAAGACAAAACATCACAAGATTCCCAACATACAATACTCAACTGCCAAAGCCTTTCTCTTGGGGGCCAGCCCCTCATCTTTCCTCGGCTCTACCTGCCTTCCCCACACTCTTGCTCTGTACTTGTGCTAATTCAGAGAATATAGCTCCCTCAGCTTCTCCAATTTTGCTTTCTCATATCTGTTAGTTACTTAATACTGCCTTGAATTATGAGAAAGCCTCTATGCTAAGGATGACAATTTTTGTTTGTACCCCTAATCACAAATGTCTTTGTGTTTTACTTAATACATTGAAGGCATCCTTGATGTTAGGACATGTATATTAATCTTGCATTTCGGAATGGCCGAATAGTGTTGCCTTGTATACATGCAACATGCTGTGTTTAGCCATTCCTGTACACTTACCTTATTTCTTTTTCTTTTTTCTATTATAAACAAGCTGCAATCAAACATATATTGCACACTTATATGAGTATGACTGTAGGATAAATTTCTGGAATTGATATTTCTGTGTCATGAATATATGCATTGTAATATTTAGTAGTTATTGCTCTCTAGAAATTTATCTTCCAAGCAACGGTGTGAAAGAGATCTGTTTCAGTTTTCCATAAAACCCCATTTTTATGTTTGTTTACCTTATTTTATGTTTGCCGATTCCTTGATTTAGGAAGGGCTTAAGGTGGCTGGCAAGGAAATATACATTAGAGGTAGATGGGTTGGGGGTAGAAGTGAAAAATGAAAGGTAAGAATATAAAATGGACCAGTGATTAAGATTATTATAAAAATTCATTCAGGTTTATTCTATGCCCTAGGTGACCTTCAGGTTTGGTGCTAAGCTTTCCAGCAGCCAAGGCAAAGAGGGGAGTCAATTATATAAGCCACTACTAAAACAAAGCTGTGCCTTGGGGTCCTTATAAAAATGAAAAAGGACTTTGTACAGGGCAACAGTAACTTCAGCAGCATGACTTCATGTGATCCCCTCAGCACCTCTGTATCTGCTATTTACCTCGGACCCAAAACATGTTGCCCTAGAGCAGAGCTCTGCCTTCAGTCATGTACGTGCTGATTATGTTGGGTGGACAGCAGTCTGGCCAAAACTGATAAAACCTGTGCCTCCAAATGTGGCCTGATAGCAGGGCATTAAGAGCAGGCATCACCTCTCATATACATAGACCTTCCTTTCTCTTCAAAGCTCCTAGGAATTGTCTTGGAGGATGGGACCAAGAAGCAAACCCAGGATCGGTGGATGTAAACCAGATCAGGAAAGCATCACTGTGGGGGCATTTCCAGGCAGGATGTGTGGGCTGCCTGCCACGTGAGCAGGTGGAGGGCCCAATGGGGCTCTCCCTGCTGCCAGGATCGGGGCGAGGATTCCCAGAGGGAGAGAGAGCCAGGTGCCATGTGTGCAACTGCAGATGCCAGAGTGGGCTCCTGAAGGAAATTGTGTCATTTCAGCTCCTGACCTCAGAAACAGGAGATAGGAGAAAGCCATGGTGACCTCAGCTGGGTGGGGAGACAACTAATCAGCCACCCCAGGTCTGAGGTGGCCCCAAGGCAGGTCAAGGATGTGAAGAGGTCTAGATAGATAGAAAGGAAATACAGAGGCTCAGCTTTTGGAAACCACACAGGGGCTGAGTGCCCCAGTAGAGGGTCAGATAGTTCTGCAAGGAAGCCAGGGTAGCCCAAAGCAGAGGCAATGAACCTGGAGACCAAGTAGCAGAGGAGCTGAAAGAGAGTTTGACTTGTACCTAGATTTGAAACCAGAGTAAGCTAACAAGAAGACAGAATGATTCCTAGGTTCAGGGCTGGCAAAATGCAAAGTGAAATTGATCGAGTCATGTAAGATTTTGTGTCCAAACTCCACTGGGCTGTGGATAATTTTACCCTCAAGGTCCTCCACACTGTAGTATGGACACCCAGGTGTGTCCCATAGAGGACATAACAAAAATGTATCTTAACTGGGAAAAAAAGATTAACAAAAAGAATGAAGATGTGCCTCAGCTGCATGAATATAGAAGGAGAAAGATCCCTCTATGTCATTCCCTGGGTGATAGCAGGAGAACATTATCCTAAGTAGGAAAAAAAGACAGTGGAAACCTGGTTGAAGGAGCTTTTTTGCACATCACCCTGGGGAGCCACAAAAGAGAGACAGGAACAAAAGAACAGCTGCAAAGGGAGTGAAAGAAACCCAAAGAGGCATTGGCACAGGCCTACTGGGAATATGATATGGCAAAGAGAGAAAATGAGGTCTGTTTTCTAGTTAGAGAAGATTGATCTATTCAAAGGACTTTAAATTTTGTTGATTCACTTTGGGTGCATCCATGTGAAGGTTTGAGTTTTGAATCATCATGATTTTTAGCCAGTAAAAGTGTTCTGGGTTTTAGCTTCACCCACATGGACCTCAACTCGCTATTTAGAAGTCTACTGCCCTTCAGGTGGGTTGCCAACAGACTCTGCCTTTGCTGTACCTGGGAGAATGGCTTCCTCATCACCACATTCTGCATCCTTCCAAGATGGCAGTGAAGATCTTCCCAGGGCATCTGGCATTAGCAGAATGCGGCTGATGAGGAAATATGACCCCAGTTTAGGCCGTTTTACCAGAATATTACACAAATTACAAAATAACTTGATAGCTAGAAGAGAGGATTTTGAATGTTTTTACTACAAAGAAATGATTAATGTTTGAGGTGGTGGATTTGTTAATTACCCTGATTTGATCCTTGTACAATGTATATCAAACATCTCATTGTACACCAGAAATATGTATAATTTTGTGTCAATTAAAAAGAGAAGAAAACTTAATAAAAAAATTTTTTTCAACTATATATGTGAACACATGAAAATGTAATAGTAAAATTTCATTGTTACAATATTATATCCCACTTCAGCCAGGCCCAGTGGCTCACACCTGTAATCCCAGCACTTTGGGAGGCCAAGGCAGGCAGATCACAAGGTCAAGAGATTGAGACCATCCTGGCCAACATGGTGAAACCCTGTCTCTACTAAAAATACAAAAATTAGCTGGGTGTGGTGGCATGCGCCTATAGTCCCAGCTACTCGGGAGGCTGAGGCAGGAGAATCACTTGAACCTGGGAGGCGGAGGTTGCAGTGAGCTGAGATTGCACCACTGCACTCCAGTGTGGTGACAGAGCGAGACTCCATCTCAATAAATAAATAAATTTTGAAAAAAAGAATGTTATATCCCACTTTAAATATAGATTTCAGAATGAATGGTAGCCAGATTACTTCAGCTGTCACATGTAACTTACATAGCTTCTCATTAAGACTTTTAAGTCACAGATAAAATTAATTTATTGGAATAAAGTAATGCTCAAAGCATGACTGAACATGTAAAAACTTAATAAGAAGCAGAGTTTAGGTTACAGAAAGAGATGTACTTTCTTATTGTCTGAGTAAACACAGTCTCCGTAACTTGTGTGTGGTGATCTGAAATCTTGGTCAAGATTCCCTGAAATCCACTTTTAAATGAGTTCATCTGACAAACAGTGCTAGAAAGGCCCTACCTTTGATCAACGCAATGATTTTGATTTCAGAACCTCCAACTGAGGTTCCTAATCATTCCTTTGGTAACAGAGAGTTTTGAACAAAATACAAGGGCAAGAGTATCAGGAAAGGTTACTTTTTTTTCCCTCTGCCTCTGATTACCCAGAGAGCAACAGTGAAAAATATGGAGGAGAAGAGCAGAGGGCTCTTTTGGTCCAATAACAGAATTCAGAAGTAGGACACACTGGGGAGGCTTCTGCCTCCTGCAGTGGTTTTCTCCAGGATTTTTTACCCTCACTTAGGTGTAGCCTTGACAGGAAAGGATGGGGGCCAGGAGCCTGGACCATCATTCCCAGCAATCTGACCTGCTTGAGGGAGGGAAGGGTCCCCATCCATCTTTTCTTCATTCTGGGCACCTCACTTTAAAAAATAGATTTTGCGGCCGGGCGCGGTGGCTCACGCCTGTAATCCCAGCACTTTGGGAGGCTGAGGCGGGTGGATCATGAGGTCAGGAGATCGAGACCATCTGGCTAACAAGGTGAAACCCCGTCTCTACTAAAAAATACAAAAAATTAGCCGGGCGCGGTGGCGGGCGCCTGTAGTCCCAGCTACTCGGGAGGCTGAGGCAGGAGAATGGCGTGAACCCGGGAAGTGGAGCTTGCAGTGAGCCGAGATTGTGCCACTGCAGTCCGCAGTCCGGCCTGGGCGACAGAGCGAGACTCCGTCTCAAAAAAAAAAAAAAAAAAAAAAAAAAAAATAGATTTTGCTTAATATTCTGGATAGAAAGTATTCCTCTTACAGATCCTTCAGTCTCCAACTTATATTTATGCCTGAAAATAATGTTCTTTATGGCCATCACCTTAGGCAATTTGGATGGTGATGAACTACAAAAACGTATATATGTTCTTACTAATACGGATAACTTACTGCTTTATCATTGCACAGAGGCAGTAATCCACATCTCTTTCCTAGCACTACTGAAGTAGGTAGAGTCATTACAATGCATTTTAGTCAAAAGGAATGTGAGAGTTGAGGATCATTGCCCCCAAATTCTCTCTGCCACCCTCTGCACTTCTGCAATTGTCTGCTTTAGCATCTAGCTAGGTGAGCTCAGATGTGGTCTGAATTAAGAGCAGTGTGACCTCAGAGCTGCCAGGTTTGCAGGCGCCTCCCCTACAGGTGGAAGCTATACTTCTGGATTGCTCCACCTGGCAGGAACCCCAGAGAGGTGGAATTCCATGCGTTGTGCTCGGACCTCCACAAACTGCAGGCTGATACAGAATGTGTTTACTGGGTTAGTGCAACCTAGCATGCAAACGTGGACACAGGATAGTCACAACTCCCACAGCAGCCTAAAGGAACTATGCAGGTCAGGTTGTGAAATGGCACCCAGAGTTATTTAGAAGGGCGTTTGGAATTCATAACGAGGTTGGTTTTGTTTTAAACCCTACTGTTGTCCTGGTAGGAAACAATGAGTGTTGATTACATTTTATTCTACTTAACATCAGTGCTTCTCAAGGGAGATATTGGTGACATGGAATTAGGTCTTATATTCAGGCATATAGCAAAAATAAATAAAGAACCTGGGGAGAAGATATTAAAATTTTAAGTAAAAGTGGAAATGAGACTACGAACAAAGGCAAAGAGAAAGAATATTTTAAACTGATATATCATGTGATATAGAGACATTAGCATACACTTTTGTTGGGTACGGGGAGAAATGTGGTATATAAATTATGCCAAAATCAAATTTTTCTCCATTGCTGGAGTGTATTTGGGATGGGTTTCAAAACTCTCTCAAATATACAGGGTTTTTTTGGTGTTTTTTTTACATCCTGTTTCAACATCCAGGGTCTAGACATTGGACTTCCTTCAAACAAGAGGCCAGTGAGAATAAATTTGAGCATGCAGTTGTTAAAACCACTCTCTTCCTCCACGTAGCTCTTGACAGCAGCTGCAGAAAATGAAACCTGTTGGGGGTGGAAGTGGATGGAGGTAAGGCAGTCTCAGATGGGAGGAATATGCTGATAGAGGAATCTGACCCTCAATTAATGAATGGCATCAACACCTTTCATGTTGAATGGCACACCCGAGGCCTGGGTGAGACAAGCAGGGAGAGAAGAGAAAGATCATATCTTGTTAATTGACCTCATCTCACCTCCTCCCCCATAAAAGCACATGACTTGTAACACAGAACTTCCTTTAATTTCATCAGACTACCTTGCCCAGAAACGAAGCACAGTAGTGATTATGAATGAACAGATACTTTGCCCCTACCTCTTGCCATTATCTCTTCCATAAACTTACTTAGGGAAAGCTAACATGAATCTCACTTCCTGGTTTTTAGGGGGTGATTTGAGGTTCTGGGAATTTTTTTTTTTTTTTTTTTTTAGTTCTTTAATTTTAAGCAGTCAAACACTCTGTTCCAAACAGAATGCAAATCCCACTCGTTGTACTCCTAACTTTGTATTATAAATGTTGGACTCTGTGAAAGCAGCAAGAGTAATGGTATAACTGGTGTGGATAATGACAGCTTTTGGTCTTGGAAAAGAAAAAAATGAAAAGACTTGTTCAGAATTGCAGAGCCAGGGAGTCTGGCAGTTTTTTCTCATATTTCTAGGTGATAGACAAATTGTTAGTTACCACATGTATAATTTATTAGTAATTGCTCTAATTTGCCTCCTAAGTTTCTAAGTTGCCGGTTCACTGAGATCAACTGTTTTGTACCCATAAAATAAGAATCATATGGTAATTTAATGAAGTAGCTAGCCAGTTAGCATGGTTTCTGTGCAAATGCAGTATTACCCTTGCAATTTAGAAAAGGGGGAGAGGAATAACAGTGTCAAACTTCTTAGAAGCCTAGTGACTAATTGTCACTTACTGGGATTAAAATGCTACACCCACATTTTCCTCTTGTGGACATATGGACACTAAGATAACTGTCTTTCCTTTGGGTTGTGTTGCAGTCTCTTTAAAACAAAATGCTTCCTTCCTCCTGGGAGCAGTGTAAGAGCTGCTGAGTGAAGGAAGCTGGATCCCTCCCATGGGTGATCTCTGGGAGAGAGGCCTAGAGCCTGCTAATGAAGTTAGAGCACAGCTTAAGGTACAATAGACCTGCTGCAAGGATGTTGGGGATAGGGTCAACATAGAACATTTGTTTTTTCTTTTCTTTTTTTTTTTTTTTTTTTGAGACAGAGTCTCGCTCTGTCACCCAGGCTGGAGTGCAGTGGCGCGACCTCGGCTCACTGCAACCTCTGCCTCCCGGGTTCATGCCATTTTCCTGCCTCAGCCACCCGAGCAGCTGGGACCACAGGTGCCCACCACCACGCCCGGCTAATTTTTTGTATTTTTAGTAGAGACAGGGTTTCACCATGCTAGCCAGGATGGTCTTGATCTCCTGACCTCATGATCTGCCCGCCTCGGCCTCCCAAAGTGCTGGGATTACAGGTGTGTGCCACCGCGCCCTAGCCTGTTTTTTCTTCTTAAAGCAAGCATTCTACTTCTCTCCAAACGTAATTAGTTGACTTCAGGTATGGCTATAAGAACATAAATGCAAAAATTTCTTCTTATGGCCAGACTGTCAGATTTCTCTCTGTTCTTGAATTTTCTCAACCTACCAACAATAAATTGTCTACTTATCTTTTAAACTCAGGAGCCAAACAAGCAGAGTCCTCATTCTGCTTCATGTGACATCAGCAAGACTGAACTCTCCTCTGCTTGCTGTGCTCTGTTCTTGCTGGTTTGTAAGTGGCAGCAATCATAAGAGGCAGGAACACAGCTTCCCATTTGTTTTTCAGGTTTAAGCTGTGGTTTTGGAAATGACAGGAAGTAGGAAAATGAAGCTTTTGGCTGGCCTTTGAAGAAACTGGAAGTAGAGGTGACAGAATACATGCGGATTGCTCTGGACCTTTTTGGAAAATCACTCTTTTGCCCAACACAGTTGGCAACCATCCTGGGACCGATAAAATTCCTTTGCACTTCATCAGAATTTAACTTTGGCTTAATCTGTCAAAGTCACAACCACATCTCTCAAGAGTACCATTTGGCCACAAGTCAAATACATTATCACAAACACATTAGATGTTCCTGAATAGCATTCCTAACCCATAGCTGATGTCCACATTCATCGAGCAAGATCAAATACCAAAAGAAAAAAAAAAAAGAAAAAAAGTAATTTAATCCATGCTAATTTTATTGAAATCAAGACACTTTCCTAAGTGGACAAATTTTTAGAAAAAGAGCATAAGCCAGCTGGGCGCAGTGGCTCACACCTGTAATCCCAGCACGTTGGGAGGCTGAGGTGGGTGTATCATCTGAGGTCAGGAGTTCGAGACCAGCCTGGCTAACATGGCGAAACTCTGTCTCTACTAAAAATACAAAAGTTAGCCAGGTGTGGTGGCATGTGCCCGTAATCCCAGCTATCTGGGAGGCTGAGGCAGGATAATCATTTGAACCCGGGAGGCAGAGGAAGCAGTGAGCTCATATTGCCCCACTGCACTCCAGCCTAGGTGACAGAGCAAAACTGTCTCAAAAATAAAAAAATTAAAAAAAAAAGAAAAAAGAAGAAGAAAAAGAGCATAAGCCTGGAACCTGAAATGACATCACCAATGGTTAGAAATTTTAATGAAATTGGGATACTTACAGCCTCTTGAATTTCTCAGTAGATTATTATCATATTCATCCCCAAGGAGAGTCACCTAGCTTCATGTTTGCTTGGTCAATGTTTGGTAAGCACCAGGGCGAGATGGTTGGCCCATGTATCTAAAGTAGTGCTACTCAGAGTGTGGTCTTAGGGCCAGCAGCATCTGGAAGCCTATTAGAAATGCAAATTAATGGCCCCACCCCAGCCTCCTGTAGCAGAATCTCTGCAGATGGGGGTCAGGAATCTGGGTTTTTATAAACTCTCCAGGTGATTCTAATGCTCGCTCAAGTTTAAGAACCACTGGCCTCACATCTCCAGAACAAACTGTCAACCAGCAACTGATGGTTTGTGGTTATGTCTGCAAATGAAAGAAGTGCAGCCATCCATGCCATCCTCCCTTGGTTGGAAACTAAGTCCCAGCTGCTGATTTTTGCTTCCTTTTCTCTACATTTCCAAATACCTGTGTTAGAACTGTGGGGCTCTATACATAGAAAATGTCTTAAAATAACAGTCTGTGTTTTTAAACTTGGGACTGTAAGGGGCTCCTCCTAAACATGTTTGGAGTATTTTATTTTGCTGATACTAGAAGCTGACCATTTACCTAAATAGTAATATACACCTTTCCAGAATCAGCTCTCTGGACAACCCAGCTGTCTGCTGCAAAAGAGCAAAAAACCCTAAAGTAGACCAAAAAAAGTTCCAATCATCCAACATATATATGTTGGGTAAAATTGTGCATCAAAGCTCATACCTTTTTCTAAACTCTTGGAGGCCATCAAAATCTACTCACTCTTACTTTCTAAAATTAGTTGTACCTTAGAAGTACATAAGTTTTTTAAAAATTCAGATGCATAAGAACTAATTGTAAGAGCTAAAATATAAAACTCATAAGAAAACACATGTAAATCTTCATGATCTTGGATTAGGCAATGGTTTCTTAGATATGCCACCTAAAGCACAAGCAATGAAAGAAAAAATAATTAAAATTTGAAACTTTGTGCTTTAAAGGACTATTTCAAGATAGAAAGTGAAAACACAGCCCATAGGATGGAAGGAAATATTTGCATATCACTTATCTGAAAAGAGTCTAGTATCCAGAACATATAAAGAATTCTTACAACTTAATAGTTGAAAAAAATAGGCTAGGCACGGTAGCTCACACCGGTAATCCCAGCACTTTGGGAGGCCTGGGTAGAGTTCAAGACCAGCCAGGCCAACATGGCGAAACCCTGTATCTACTTAAAATACAAAAATTAGCTGGGCTTGCTGGGGTACACCTGTAATCCCAGCTACTCTGGAGACTACACACGAGAATCACTTGAACCCAGGAGGTGGAGGTTGCAGTGAGCCAAGAACCCACCACTGCACTCCAGCATGGGCAACAGAGCGAGACTCTGCCTCAAAAATAATAATAACCCAATTGAAAACTGGACAAAAGATTTGAATAGGCATTTCTCCAAAGAAGGTATACATATGACCAATAAGCACATGAAAAGATGCTCAGCCTCTTTAGTCATTAGGGAAATGCAAATAAACACAATGAGATGCCATTTCACATCCACTAAGATGGATAGAATCAAAAAGATAAACAATAACAAATATTGACAAGAATTTGGAGAAACCGGAACCCTTATACATTGCTGATGGAAATGTAAAGTGGTGTGGCCACTTTGGGAAATAGTTTGGCAGTTCCTCAAAAAGCTAAACAATAGTCACCATATGACCTAGCAATTCCACTCCTAGGTGCATACCCAGTAGAATTGAAAATGTATGTGGAAACAACCCAACTGTCCAACTGATGAATGAACAAACAAAATGTGAAATGGTCAACCATGAAAAGGAACAAAGTACTGGTGCATTCTACAACATAGATGAACCTTGAAAACATTAAGCTAAGTGAAAGAAGCCAGACACCAAAAGCCACATATTGTATAATTCCATTTACATGAAATATCCAGAGTAGATAAAGCCAGAGAGACAAAGTTGATTAGTGGTTGCCCGGGGCTGGTGGAAGGGGAGAATGAGTGACTGCTAATGGGTGTGGGGTTTCTTCTGGGGTGATGATAATGCCCTGGAATTAGATAATGGTGATGGTTGCACAATGTTGTAAAATGCTAAAAACCACTGAATTGTATATTTTAAGAGAGTGAGTTTTATGATGTGTTATATTAATTATATCTCAATTTTTAAAACACAGGCAGCAGGTTGGATGTGGTCTATGGGGTTACAGTTTGCCAATCCCAGCTCTAGTGCAAAAAAAGAGGAGGGGGCAGATAGATGAAAAAGGCTGACAAAATGTTTGAGACAGAGTCTTGCTCTTGTCACCCAGGCTGGAGTGCAATGGCAGGATCTCGGCTCGCTGCAACCTCCGCCTCCTGGGTTCAAGCAATTCTCCTGCCTCAGCCTCCCAAGTAGCTGGGATTACAGGTGCCGGCCACCACGCCTGGCTAGTTTTTGTATTTTTAGTAGAGATGGGGTTTCACCATGTTGGCCAGGCTTGTCTCAAACTCTTGACCTCAGGTGATCCGCCTGCCTCGGCCTCTCAAAGTGCTGGGATTACAGGCTTGAGCCACCGCACCAGGCCTAAATGTTGAGTATTTTTGAAGCAGGGTGATGAATATGTAGTGGTTCATTACACTGTTTTCTCTACTTTTACATTTGTTCAGACACGCACATATTTTTACAAGAATCGCATATCGTGTATGCCAAATTAGATAATAGAATCACCAAGGATGGGGTCTGGGCATCTGTAAGTTTTAACAATTTTCCAGTTGATTCTTTTGAAACCAATCAATTGCTGGATTGAAAATCAATAGCTGGGGATCACTGTTCTACATATAGTTCTGTTAACTTGATTATCTTAGCAGATTAAAAGAGAGGAAAACAACTCCAATAGAAAAACAAATAGGAGTGTATACTCCTAGGGTGATGGGTGCGCCAAAATCTCACAAATCACCACTGAAGAACTTAGTCATGTAACCAAATCACCTGTTCCCCAAAAACATATGAAAATAAAAAATTCTTTAAAAAAAGGAAAATAGGTAATAGCAAAAAAAAAAAAAAAAAAAAAAAAAAAAAAAAAAAAAAAAGGCTCTCACAGCCCAACAAGAGAGAAACAGAAAAGAAGCAAATACAAGAATTTAAAGAGCTCAGTATTCTAAGGCCACTGTTAGCATAAAAGCAAACAGCCTCTGTGCCGTAATAAACTTTGAAATCATCACTGTATTACAGAATAGCACAACTTTTGATATTCCTAATGATGACCTGGAGGCATTCAGAGAGGATTAAATATGTTCAGTAAATGGTATTTAAGGTATATGGAAGTAAATATTTATTTTAGAAGATAGCATTTTAAGAATGCTCCTTTCTTAAAACCTCAAATATCTAGGAAATCTGATTCACCCAAAAGATGGTTTAAAAATCCTTAATAGCTTTATTTTAAAGTCTTCTAATTTTTCCACTTGACATTTATAAACAAAATTCTACCTTGCAACTAAGGAAAAATAACAGGATATAAACATCCTTTCTGAAACAAGCATTGGATACAGAAAACTCTTGGGGGATGGAGGGAACTGAGATGGATGAGATTGTTTTTGTTTCTTAATGTATACTGCCTTCTAATCTTATATTTTTTAAAAAATCAACTTTATTGAGATATAATTTACATATAATAAAAATTTTTAAGGCTATAAGTTGAATGCTTTTGACAAATGTATACACCTGCGTAACCATCATCCCAATAAATATATAAAACATTTCCACCTCCCCAGAATTCTGTGCCCCTTTGCAGTCAGTCCCCCACCCAACACCCACTTTGCCTCCAGGAAACCACTGATGTGATTTCTGTCACTATTGATTAATTTTGCCTCTAGACTTTCATATAAGCAGACTCATGCTGTAAACATTCTTGTGTCCAGCTTCTTTATGTCAGCATGATATCTATGAGATGCATCCATGTTGGTGCATGTTGTTAGTAGTTCATTCCATTTTATTACTGAGTAGTAATTCATTACATCAATATACCACAAATTATTTATCCATTCACCTGTTGTTTCTGTTTGCATGAATAAAAATGCGAAAGTCTTTCTTATGCACATAAGCTTTTATTTCCCTTCAGCAAATACCAGTATTGGGTCATATGTTAAATATATGTTTAACTTTTTAAGAGACTGCCAAACTCCTTTCCCAGACAGTTGCACCATTTTATACTTCCACTAGCACAACAGTACCACTTAAAATCCATGACCTTGACTTACAAATTGGTAGAGAGAAAATCCTCTCTTTCTCTCTCTCAGTGGTTTCTATCTCTCACTGACTCACTATTTTGTGTGCTGCTTTAGGCACTTCACCTTGTACTTAGGTAAACCTTCTCCCATATGTTTCCAAACTCATTTTAAGGTTCAATCAGCATTAATATTAATATGCTATTAATAGAGCAACTAAAGTTTTAAGCCTAAAAAATTTTCCCCCAAATACTAATAGCTAAAAACTGTCTCTAAAGCAGCATTTATTTATGTTTCTAATGAGTAGGCAATGAATGTGATTGAGTCCTTGACCATTCAACATCTTGGCAGTTTTTGTGGTTTACTCTTTTGAATGTCAACTTTCTGTGGAAGTCAGTGCCACCGTTCATGAAAGAGGAACAATACAGTTCAGTGATGAAGAGCTCTAGCTTAAAGAAGTGGTCAGACCAGTGTGAGAACCTTGGCTTCTTTCCATGGGCCCATTCTTTACTTTAATAGAGCATTGGTTTCTTCATCTGTAATCTGGGGAGTAGGGGTCATTATTATCCATGTCTCATATGATTGTTATGAAGACGATGATCTCATTTATGTAAAGCCTTTGGCAATGTTCCTGGTCCATATTTATTGCTCAAGAAATGGAAGCCTTAAGAGAGGAGTCATCATTAGAAACACATTCTAGAACACAAGTGTTCTAGGATGTAAATTCCCTCTTTTTTTTTTTTTTTTTTTACTAAGAACATGTTTCTTCTCTCCTTTCAGAAGTCAAGAAGGCTCCCATTTCATTAGCTTCTAATAAGCCCTATCTTTCTCAAAGTTATTCCCTCCTCCCTACCTACAGGGCTGGCTATTAGGAGGGAGGAATGTGATTCTTCTCTCACCAGGGTCTAGTCTTGCTCACTTGCCCAGATGCCTGTTCCCAAAACTGGCTCACCATGTTGTTGTCTGCTTCAGCTGGTTCAGCTGGTCTCACACTGAAACATCCTACTTCTTTTCAGAACTTGGCGTTGACCTCCCATATGCTCAGAAGACTTACCAGACCTCTGGGTTGAGAGATTAAGATGTATCTGCAATGTGGACCCCAGCCTAGGCTGTGAAATTTCCCTGACCTCTTTTCTCTTGAAAAACAACCATAGTAGGACAACAAGAAAAAAACTCACTGGACTCATATCTTAAAATTTCAGAATATCATTTTTAATTTACCAAAGGCATGTACCATAAGAAAGGGAAATTGCCGAGGCTTAGGCCTTCCATTTAAAGACCATTTTGTAAATTTGCACTTGCTCTTAGGGCCTTTATGGAGTTGCTAGTATTATATCTTCCCAAGTACTGAATCTGGAGAAATTGAAGTCTGTCAGGAGGTGAAAGAATCATACCAATAAATAAGCTAATTAAGAAATGTAATGTGTTTATGTATATCCAGCAAGTAGAGCAACCAGGGAAACTCAGGATGAACCAGCCTTGTGACATCAGACTACTCATTTGAACATCCTATTGAGGCAAATTTTGTTATCCTCACCTTTGTGTGTGCTGTGTTTTTTGATCTGTGGATTTAGTTCCACCTTCAGGCCAAGGATAGATGAGGCATAGCCAGGAGGGGGAAGAGAAAAAGAATGCAGAGGTTATGGTCTGGCAGTGTTAGGGTGAAGTAAAGCTAACCTTAGCTCAAGATCTTTCTGACTTTGTCAAATACCCTACAAAGTATCAACTGAAGATAGGCTGTCACCTCTGACCACATGATCCAAGCAAGCAGCTAGCTCACTCAGTCCCCTTAACCAGAACTAGTGAATGTATGAGACAAATACGGCCCATGGTAGGAGCGTTTATGACTCTCTCAGCCCCTGATGCTTCCCCTTAGGTGGGTTCTCTGTTACATGGAGACTAAGAAAGAATGACAGAGATTTCAGTGAATTATGTGAATAGACTTTAAGAGTTTAACGTCAGTACTCTTGATATTGTGACATCCTAATCTTTTTGTTTGTTTTCCTGACAGAAGAGTGTATACCAATTAAAGAAGAGTCAAAATCCTCTACTTGCTCTTTTTCAGCTGCTTAAAAACCCACCAGATTTTTTCTTAATTTACCAATTATAAAGCTAAATTTAAATTTTTGTCAGCTTCTATTTCTAAAAAATGCTTAGTATCTTAGATCCAATTAATCTTGTCTTAGCTCAAAGTATAAATAAATCTCTGTAGCAAATATCTCTTACGTCATGCAGAAGATGTGAGTGCTTGGTTTTTTGTTTTTTAAATTTTCTTCTTAAATGTAGCATTTTTTAATAACACTAACGTTTTAATGATTTTTTTCTCCTTGAAAATGTTGACTGTTTAAGATTGGTCAAATCTTCTATTTTGGTTTAAATGGGTATTACCATTAATATTGTCTGAATTTTTCCTACAAAAATAACAAACATGATGTATAATTACTCTAGTTTATCTTTTAAAGAAGAATTGTATTATTTTAGGGTCTGTTCTTATAATTCATCAAAAATATTTTTGTAACAATTCATAAAAATGGCTTATCTTCCAAGGAGACAAACTATAAGACTGGTCATTCTTTGCTCACTTGTTTCATAAGCTAAATAAAGAGGGTTAGAAAATAATAGAAAAACTCTATTGAGTGGCTACTCAGTGCTGCATACTAGGCTAAACATTACATACATTATCTGGTAAGGCTTACAACATGCTATAAGCAGTGATAGGTGTTGTTATCATCTTAATTTTGTATATAAGGAAAATAAAGCTTAGAGAACGTCAAGTTGCCCACAGTTACACAGGCAGAAAGAAAACACTTTCTCATGAAAAAATCATTATAAAATGGAGTCGATAACAGGTTACAGCATCACAAGTGCATATTTGTTTTATTATTGTTGCTACTATTGAAAACATATAGTTATACACACACACACACACACACACACGCACACACACACACACACACAGGTTGAGTATTCCATATTCAAAATGCTGGGACCAGAAGTGTTTTGGATTTCAGATTTTTTTCAGTTTCTGGGATATTTGCATATACATAATGAGATATCTTGGGGATGAGACCTAAGTCTAAACATGAAATTCATTCATGTTTCATATACACTTTATACACATAGCCTGACATTAACTTCATATAATATTTTAAATAATTTTGCACATGAAACAAAGTTGTGTATATTGAACTATCAGAATGCAGAGTGTCAGGTATGAAATTTTCCACTTGTGGCATCATGTCAGCAATGAAAAAGTTTCCTATTTTGGAACATTTTGTATTTTGTATTTTCAGATTGGGATGCTCAACCCATATATAAATAAATATATGTAAACACACACACATACACACACACACATATATGATTATTGTTAATAGAACATTAGACTGGAAGGGAATGACCATAGCACATTAATCCCCTCATTTTCCAAATGAAGAAATTTAGGGCCACAGAAATGAAATGACTAGCCCACAGGGACACAGCCAGTTAATTGAATTTCAAAATCAATCTGCAGAGATATATATATATAGAGAGAGAGATATATAGATATAGATATATAGGGTGTGTGTGTGCCTCCTGAGTTCCATGAATGTTTACCAAAAAATTTCTTTCCTAGGTTCTCACATTGTAAAACTATCATGTTAATGTCATAGACCCATATATTTGTTTCTTCACATGATGCTTCCTCCCTAACTCTGTAGGACAAAGAAATACACTGCATATTTATGTTAAGTTTTGCAGGTGCCTGTTTGTTTACACTGTGAATGGGTAACCATGGTTGCTTCAGCATTATCACTCTCAAGCTTGTCCATATAATTGTGTAGTGGTATCACTGGGGTTGTGAAACAACCAGTAATATTCTTCTTTGTGTTTATATTTAGTAGTGACTGTTAATGGTGTGATTATAGGATGTAAACAAGCTCCACCTAGAGTGAGCTCAAATGACTCAGTGACTGCCTGGGGGCCGGTTGCCCCATGCATATTGCATTCAGAAATGAAAATATCCAGCGTAGACAAGTTTATTATGACTATAAATTTGACTTCATACTATTACTACTTCAAGCCAAATTACATATGTTTGATGAGGCATAATTTCTTATTAGATCCAAAGAATACCAGGGCAGACTACATTGCGATGGAATTATAATTTGAATTTTAATCATTTTGTTCTTTTCCAAATTCTGACTAATGAAATAAATTCAGTACTGTAGTTACACAAATGAATAGGGGACAGCATAGGACAAAAAAGGAACAAATTGTATTGCTTATCATTAATATTTTTTATAAACATAAGCATAACTGTTGGCATTTATTCCTGCCCTTTTCATCAGCCTTATGGTGGTTGCTTCTGAAAGACAGATGTCTGAGTTTGGACATCTCTGATTGGGGATTGAACACCCCAAATTCTGCCCTCTCACGATTCTCTGAAATTTTATTTTGATAACCTCTATGCAAATCCTTCATGTAGATCAATGTTCCTCATTTTTGACAAAGAGAATGTGTTGAAACCTTTTCAACAAAATATCTTTTGTGAAGAGGGGAGGGAATTGTAGGAAGGACCTGTGTTTGTGCTTGCTATATTTCTCCCTTTTCTTCAGTACTTCTGGGATTCAGACATATGAAATAAATGTTTACAATAAAAGATGCCATTGAATACATGAAGTCATAGCTGGAATTGCCTCTAACACCTCATCTTATTATCTGTACTAAGTACACCATCAGCTGCATTTGTATAATATAAATAATAGAAGCATGGAGTTACCTGAATAATGAGCAATTTCTCCTTAATTCTAACTACTTTTAATTCATTCTAGTGAGTACTTAGCTTCTAATCAGAATATTTATTGTCTGATCATTTTTCTAAATCACAATTACATATTTGTGTATATGAACAATCAGAGTTTCATAAGGGTTAAGGAGTCAGGTGAAATAAGCCAGTGGAAACAAGATGATATATAATTTTTAATATTAAAAGTATGGTATTTGCCACACTGCTAGACAGTTCTCTCTTTTTTAATGCATAAAAATGGCAAAATATCATTGCTGTGAATGTCTTGAGAGTCTGGTGTCTGGCTATATACTGTTTTTCTAAAGTATTTAAGTCATCAAAACAGTAGCAGGAGGTCATTGTCTAATGTTACTTTACAGCTGGAGGCAGGCAGATCAGGAAGATCTTAGATTCATTTTACAAAAAATGTTCACATGGGAAAATATTAATAAGTGTTAAAAAATTAAAAAGAAAAGTTTTAGGGTTTGCATTAAACAGGAATAAGATTTATACTCTGCTTCTGTAAGGGTATTGAATATCATTTCAATTTGCAAATATTGATACAACTGTCATTATTTTCAAATTGCGACAATTTTGAGTTTTCTTCACTTGAAACATTGTCCCAAGGGGCATTATGACTATTAAACTAATCTTTATTCATGATTTATACAGCCTGAACTCAAATCTCTGGAACGAAATTAGTAAATCATGTGTCAACTGAGAGAATAGCAGAAACCGTAAACAATTTGATGAACAATTTCTAGGTGAATGGCACCACTTATGCCAACTTTTAGTTTATGGAAATTTTCTATGTAAGATATAAAAACTCTTAGGACCTCCTGGAAACAGTAGAAAGTCACGTTCTTGCTGGATTTACTCCAAGATGGGTTGAAACCAGGCTGGATCAAACCGTTGTATGGACCGTTGGAAAGATAATTAGCAGGGAATATCACACAGCTTGACTTCATAGCATTCTAAAACTCTAACTCAAACCCCTCCTGCTGCAATTTATGCCCATTTCTTCTTGCGGTTTTCTCAGAGGAGCTCTTAGAGCATAACTGAGTGCCTTCGGTGGAACTATAACTAACTAATAACCTAGGAGACAAAGGTACATTGGTAATTAGTAGAGGAAGTGCTGCTGGTCGGAATACCAAGCAATGCTTACTGTCTATTAGTTACTGAGTTGTTTTCCATGGAGGTATAGTAATTACGGCTTTAAGAACATTCAAAAATTATTGGCCGTGATCATTTAAGGTGTGATTATTTTCTAAATAAACTCTTTTTTAGAACAGTTTTGTAGTGACAGGAAAAAATTGCTAAGATATTACAGGGATTTTCCCTATTCCTTGCACCTTCTTTCCCCTATTATTAATGTCTTACATTAGTGTGGTATATTTGTCAGAACAAAGGACCAAGATTGATGCATTATTATGATATTAGCTAAAGTCCATACATCATTCATATTTACTTAGATTTTACCTAACATTCTTTTTGTGTTTCAGGATCCCATCCAGGAGCCTATGATACATTTAGTTTTCATTGCCTCCTTGGACTCCTCTTGGCTGGGATAGTTTCTCAGACTTTCTTTGTTTTTGATGACCTAGATAGTTTTGAGAAATGCTGGTCAGCTATTTTGTAAAAAGTCCCTTTTTTGGGACTGTTTGGGATTTGTTTGCTGTTTTTCACATAAATAGACTGGGATTATGGATTTAAGGGAGGAAGCCCATAGAAGTAAAGGGCTATTTTTCATCACATCATATCAAGGAAACATACTACCAACATGCCCTATCACTGTTGATGTTGACCTTGATCACCTGGCTGAGGTAGCGTTTGTCAGGTTTCTTCATAGTAAAATTATTCCTTCCCCCTTTCCATACTATAGCCTTTGGAAGAGATGGCCTATACTCAAGGAATAGGGAGTTACGCTCCACTTCCTTATGGTCAGTGTTGGTCAGTGTCCACATAAATTATTTGGATTTCATCTGCACAAGAGATTTGTCTTTTCTCCCCCTTCCCCTTTATTTATTCAATCATTTATTTAAAGCAGTGTGGACTAATGGGTATTCATTTTATACTTTGGCAATAATATAATACTTCACTTATTTCGTTACTTAGATTGTTCCACTGTTGGTCATTAGTGGTAGCTCATTCACTTGGATCCTATGTTGCTTTAAAATAGCCCCATCATTGTGGAGTTAGGTTTGTTTTAATTGCACATTACACTTAAAAATCAGTCAAATGGCCGTTGTCAACTTGTCTCCTCTGTGTGCCAGGAATCAATCAATTTCTATTCAAGTAAACAAGTGGCATTTTTAAAAAAAAAGTCACATTTGATTATTAACTAGAAGAATATTCAGTACCCTTGATCTGTCTTCTATATACTTCCCAGTCCTGACACCCTTTTTGGATTCAAAGATTAATTAATTTAAAGGCAGTGATGAGCAGATTAGATCAGAAGTAACTAGGGACCTAGAATGGAATATGAAGAATTAGATCATGAAAAAGAAAAAATACAGAATACAAAAGCAGTGGGCTTTTAGAAGTTTAAGAAAATTGAACTCTGTAAAGAAAAAGCTTTAATTCAAGAAAAAGTAAGCAAGCTAGACCATTTATTAAACTAATATACATCTTAATATAATCACTTGTCTTGGCCAGAGAAACAATATAGAGGACGGTTAATGGTAAACTGGAAGCACCTTATTAAAATCAAGTAACCTTATTAAAATGTAAAACAAGACAAAGATATTCCCTGTCATCATGATCATTCAGTATTATTCTGGAAGCTACTGCCCATCTAAGAAACAGAAAGCAGAGAAAAGGAGGAGAAAGATAGCCATGATTTGTATGTTATATTTCTGTTTACCTAGAAACTTAAAAGAATCAACACAAAGTAATAAATAAAAATTTGATAATAAAAATCTGTATACAAAATAAAACTAAAATCAATAGCTTTCCCGTGTATGGGCAATAAGTAGTTATAACATGTAATGGGAAATGTCCCATTTACAAGAGTATAAAATATTCAGTAATAAATCTATATTTGGAAAACTAAAATACTGAGCAAAATAAAAGAAAATTTGAATAAATACTATGTTCCTAGATGAGAAAACTAAATATTTGCAAGACACAATTCTTTCTATATTATTGTTCAGCTTAAATACATTTTTAACAAGGTAACAATTTTAGATGATGATTTTAAAAATATCAGGAAGGATAAACAACAGAAATGATGAGTAAAATCTGAGCACAGTAATGTTGGGAATCTTCCTCTACCAGTTATTAAAAATGAATTATAAGTCTATAATAATTTTTAAATGTGATGTTTTACAAAAATAGATTAATGAAGCAGAATCTAGGAACAGATTCAAGTATGTATAAGAATTTACTACAGATAAAGATGACATATAAATAAAGAAGTTATCAAAAATAAGATTGATCCAATTGAGAAACCATTGGGAGAAAATGAAAGTTACTTTTTAACATCATGCAATACACCAAAATAAATTACAAATGGATTGAAGGTTTTATGAAATCATAAAGCTATAGAAAAATCTAGGATGAGTATTTATCTGCACTTGGAAGTACAGGAATGATGGAAGAGACTGCAGAAAAAATGATTGATAGGTTTAACTTCTAAAGCTTATGTGTCAAATAGCCTGTAAACAAAATTAGAAGACAAATAACTGAATGTTTTTAAAGTTAAACATATGTGACAAAAGGTTACTATCTTTAATATATACATGGAATTCTTAAGCACCACTAATAAAAAGGCAAAAAATATAACTCAATAGGAAAGTAAGGAAAAGACATGAATAGACAAATAAAAAAGACTAAATACTATGGCCAAGAAACGTGATAAAGTTTTAAAGGAATATTTATTACTTAATGTATATTTACTAAAATGTTTATGTCAAAAAAAACTCTAATAAAAGAATACCATTCTTAGCCGGGCACAGTGGCACCATGGCATGTGCCCATAGTCCCAGCTACTCAGGAGGCTGAGGTGGGAGGATCACCTGAAGCCAGCAGGTCCAGGCCAACCTGGGCAACATAGTGAGACCCCATATTTTAAAAAGAAAGAAACACCGTTCTTAACCTGCCAATTCAAAGAGATGTTTTAAATGATAAAACCTAGTCATGACAAAGATTTGGTGAAATGGGCAGTTTCGTTCAACTACTGATGAAAGTAAAATGTTCACAGAAAATGGAAACTTTTAGTGAGGAAGGCATTAGTGGAAAGTGGATTGGGATGCAGGTTAAGATCTGAGTTCAAGCTTTCTGGGTTTTTTTTTGTTATTGTTTGTTTTTTTGTTTTTGTTGTTGTTTTTTTGGTTTTTTTTTTTTTTTTTTTTTTTTTTGGAGACAGAGCCTCACTCTGTTGCCCAGGCTGGAGTACAGTGGCGCAATCTTGGCTCACTGCAACTTCCACCTCCCAGGTTCAAGTGATTCCCCTGCCTCAGCCTCCCAAGTAGCTGGGATTACAGGTGCCCGCCACCACACCTGGCTAATTTTGTTTTTTTGTATTTTTAGTAGAGACAGAGTTTCACTGTATTTTCAGGCTGGTCTCGAACTCCTGGGCTCAAGCTATTTGCATTCCTTGGCCTCCCAAAGTGCTGAGATTACAGGCGTGAGCCACCATGCCTGGACCTAGTTCAAGCTTTCTAATTGTCTTGCTGTGTAAACCTGAATGGGAAATATAAGATCTCTGCATCTTTGTTTCTTCATTTATAAACAAAGAGGCTTGGTTTAAAAATATCTTCAGGGTAACTGAAGACAAAAGAAATCGTTAGGTTGCGGTACAGATGGACAATTTGAGGACTAGAAGAAAACTGTTTAAAAACAGGTTCTGACAAAAATCTGAGACCTATTCATTTTAACAGTGTAGAAACTCCGAAAACAATCTCCAAAATGTATGTGGGAATTTGGCATAGAGTAGACAAGGCATTAAAAATAAGTGGGAAAAGAAAGGATTATTTAATAAGTGATTTAGTTCTCTTCATGAAAAAGAAAGGTAGATTAATGTCTCATCCCATACAAATGGATAATTTTAAATGTATTAAGGGCCTGAGTGAAAAATAAAACTTTAAAATTATTAGAAAGAAATGCAGGCAAATATCTTTATGACTGTGGGGAAGAGATTATTTCTCAGTCGGTACACAAAAAAGGACAATTCATAAAGGAAAGATTACACTAAGAAGTAAAACTATTTTATGCAAAAGCCTCTATGAGTAAAGCTAAAAGACAAACTCTGAACTGGAAAAATATTTTTTCAACACATAAAGCAGAAAAAAACGTTTCAGACTATATAGTCAGAGAATCCTTACAAATCAGTATAAAAAAGACGGACAACTTACTACAGAAATGGGTTGCAAAGGATACCCTCAGGCAATACACAGAGGAGCGGATTTAAAGAACCAATAAACATAAGAGATGCTGACCTTACTAACAATTAGGAGAAATGCTGGCTGAAACAAAAACTACCCTTTCTCGCCCTTCATAATGGCAAAAATAAAGAAACATGACTGTCCAAATATTGGGCCGGATGAACGAAACTGGGCATGTAGTGTGGTACACCACTTTGGAAAGCAAGTTGGCAATACCTGCTAAAATTTGAAATGTGGTCCATAACCAAGCAGTTTTACCACAACAAATATTTCCCAAAGAAGCACTTGCAACAGAAGCCCTGTACAAGGATGTTCACTGAAGCATTTTTTTTGTCATGATGAGACCTAATGTCTCTTAATGGAGAGATGAAAATAAATTAGAGTATGTTCATATTTTGTTTCCTTCATTGCTGTGCTCCCAGCCACCGGAACATTTCTTGGAACATTGCTGATGCACATAAATATTTGTTGAATGAATGAATATGGTGGAACCCACATAACAGTTGAAAATGAATAAATTAGATCCATATGTATCAACATGGATAGATTTCAGAAACAGCGTTGGGCGAACAAAGTGACTTTAGAGTATGGATGTTATGGTACAATTTTAATATGCATAAAATGATACTATATGCTGTTTATAGATGCCTATGTGTAGTAAAAATATTAAAATGTACTGAAAAACACAAAAATTATAATGCCAGTTGCCTCTGGGAAGGGAAAGGAAGGCAGGATTTCTCTAGGAAAGAGAAAGAGGAAAGGAGAAGAAGGAGGGTAGGCATTGGGAAACAGGAGACTTAAGTTTACCTCTGTGGCCTTATTTCTTTTAATAAGAAAATTCATCTGAAGTACAAATGACAAAATGTAAACTTTTTTTAAAATTCTGAGTTGTAAATGCATGAGTGCGCTCTATTTATTAAACTTAAAAAAAAAAAAAAAAAGAAACTGGGGCCAGGCATGGTGGGTCACGCCTGTAATCCCAGCAATTCAGGAGGCTGAAGTGGGAGAATCACTTGAGTGCAGAAGTTTGAGACCAGCCTGGGCAACATAGGGAGACCCCTCTCTACAAAAAAATTTAAAAATTAGCTGGGCATGGTGGCACATACCTGCAGTCCTACCTATCCAGGAAGCTGAGGCAGAGGGATTGCTTGAATGCAGGAGTTGGAGGCTGCAGTGACCCATGGCCATGCCGCTGCACTCCAGTCTCAAAGACAGAACGAGACCCTGTCTCAAAAAAAAAAAAATTGTATCCATAAAATTAGAAGAGGTTAGGCCGGGCACGGTGGCTCACGCCTGTAATCTCAGCACTTTGGGAGGCCGAGGCGGGCGGATCACGAGGTCAGGAGATCAAGACCATCCTGGCTAACACGGTGAAACCTCGTCTCTACTGAAAATACAAAAAAAAAAAAAAAAAAAAAAATTAGCCGGGCGTGTTGGCAGGCGCCTGTAGTCCCAGCTACTCGGGAGGGTGAGGCAGGAGAATGGCGTGAAGCCAGGAGGCGGAGCTTGCAGTGAGCGGAGATTGCGCCTGGGCGACAGGGTGAGACTCCGTCTCAAAAAAATAAAAATAGAAATAAAAATAAAAATTAGAAGAGGTTACTACATAAATGGGAGTAAGTAATAAAAGAGTGGAAATTAAAAATATGATGGATTATATTAAAAATTCATTTACTAGGTTTAAAATAAAGTCAAGTAAATCTCCTAGACCATTGAACGAAAAGATAAAAAGGTAGAATATACAAGAGAAGATTTAATGGGCATAGACATCCAATCCTAGAAGTCCAACATCTGATTAATGAGAGCGTCAGAAAGAGCAGACAAAGGGGGAGGAACAAGCAATTAAAGAGATAATAGAACATTTCCCAGAGTGGAGGAAAGGCAAGAGCCTTCAGATTAAAAGGCAACTCCTTATGAAATTTTGAACACAAAAGATAAAGATGTGATGCTAATAGTATTCAGAGGGAGAAAAAGTTACTTACAAAGAAGTAAGAATCAGAGTGGCATTTTACTTCCATATTGTATAGCAATATGACATTAAAAGAATTACTTCAAATTTCTGAGGGAAATTTTTTGAACCTAGAACTTACGTACCATTGAGCCATTCATCAATATAAAAGCAGAATAAAGATTTTTGGAAATCCTTTGGAATCAAAGATTGTGATTTTTTTTTTGGAGAATGTTCTCTAACAAAGAAAACAGGGAACCCAAAAGAGAGAAAGAATGTTATTCAAGCAAATATTCATCCTAATCTCACAGAATACAATTTTTAAAAATCCTAGGGTAGTGGCAGGTTTAGAAAACAGTATGTGTGAATTACAACATGAAGTTTGAAAGCAATAGGAAGCATGTCTTCAAGAAGAACATGGATTTTCTGCCATGATTTGATTAAACAGTTCAATGAAATTAAAGTGAAATAATATGCTGTTTTTGTCAACAAGAAAAAAAGGCAATTAGAACTGCCTGGAAAAAACAAAAACCTTCATAAGAAATCTGTAGTGCAACTATAAAACAAATGAAAATGTTTTGATTTTGAGCAGCTTGTGGAATATACTAAAATAAAAACAGACTTGACCTTGAGGTTTGGAACATTTTCCCTCAAGCAACACCATTAAGAGACTTTGCATCTCCTTCTCTCAGGGTACAATTACACTACTTGGTTCTGAAGCAAATAATATCTATAGAATCATAATATTGAAATGTTCTTTGTTTTCATTTTCTGGAATTTATTTCTAGAGAATCTGTGGAAGACAATTAAGATTATAGGCAATTCGCGTTATAAACCTTAAGAATGCAAAATTAATTATATGGCTAAGAGGATTTGGGTAATAGAAGAAGGAGGAACAATGGAGGGAAGTGAAATAGGGCCAGTTTCCCCAACTGAAGTAATTGGGGGTGGTTAAGATACTGTCCCAAGTTGATGGATTAAGAAATAAACGTTTAGGCATATTATTTAAAGTTATAAAGATAGCAAAGGCCTTAAAAGTAAAAAAATAAAAATAAAAATAACAAAACGTGGGGAAAGGAGGGAACAATGGTAAAAAGCTAAGTTTCTATTAATTTTAAATTTCGTAAAGGACAGGAAGTTAATAGATACTACTTAAAATTGATAAATCAAGAGGAGATAAAAGCACCACCAGAAGAACTAAAATCAAGAATTGTTACAAGAGGTTACCAGGACTAGGTATAGTGTATAAAATGGAAATGTTAAGCCTCCATTTATACCACCCTTTAATGAGTGAATTTGCATTATTATGAGAATATACTACCTTTATAAATTTTGAAAGAGAGATTTTTAAAATGTAAGGTTTCCTCTGTCTCTTGCTCATTCTCCCTCCCCTCCCCCTAATAAAAAGAGTCTAGCTAGAAAAAATGCAAGTTTGCTGTCGAAGCTGGTTGTTTTGTAACTTGTGTATCCTTCTTACAGGGTAGTGGGCCTAGATTACAGTTGTACCAAAACTCAAAACCCTACTGAGGGCTGGGCATGATGGCTCACATCTGTAGTCCCAGCACTTTGGGAGGCCAAGGTGATCAGATCACCTGTGGTCAGGAGTTCGAGACCAGCCTGATCAACATGGTGAAACCCTGTCTCTACTAAAAATACAAAAATTAGCTGGGCGTGGTGGTGGGCGCCTGTAATCCCAGGTACTTGGGAGGCTGAGGCAGATTAATCGCTTGAACCCGGGAGGCAGAGGTTGCAGTGAGCCGAGATAGTGCCATTGCACTCCAGCCTGGGCAACAAAAGTGAAACTCTGTCTCAAAAAAAAAATAAACACCTACAGAGGAAACACTGAACAATGGAGAAAAATGTCCAAAGAACTCAAATGGAAACATTAAAGGTCAGTGCCTTACAGACAGAGCTGTTGTGTACATCTAATCTACTCTTGGCTGGATGCATGAAACATCACCCAAAAGCAACAGGGAAAAGATGGGTCCCATGAACTTAGCCAGCAGAGAAATAAATGGGCTCAAAATGATTTGAGCGTGGGTACAGAGGTATAATAACAAAGATGAGACTGTACACTCAAGTTCATTGCTCACGCTCAAGTTCATTGGAAGGATGGAGATGCCGCTGACTGAGATGAAGATGACTGCAGATAGAACAGTTTTGTTGGGGGTGGTGGATTCAGGAGTTCAGCTTTTAACATGTTAAATTTGAGAAGTCTCCACTCGGCTACATGGAGATGTTAAATAGACAGTTGGACATACAAGTATTGAGCAGAGAAGTCTGGGATGGAGATATAAATTTGGGACTAGCCATGTCACTAATTATGGATCATGAAGGGAGTGAGTCTAGATTGAGAGGAAAAGAAGACTATGGACTGAACCCTGGGGCCCTGTAGCATAAGATGATAGTGAGAATGGGAGGAACTAGTAAAGAGCATCAGTGAGGTAGAAGGAAAATTAATCAAGTGTGATGTTCTGGAAGCCAAGTGAAGAAAGTGTATCGCAATAGAAAGAGAAAACAATGAGATCATATGCTGTGGCGAGGTCAAGTAAGATGAGGACTGTTGGATTTAGCAACATGGAATAACTAGCGAACTTAACAAAAACAGTTTTGTTGAAGTGGTGGTGGCAGAAGCCTCATTGGAATGGGAGTAAGAAAGAAGGGAAAGGTATAGAAGGAAACTGGAGGGAGATGGATAAGTTCATTGTCTTGATTGTGGTGTGGTCTGATGGTGTTTACATATGTCAAAACTGATCAAATTTTACACTTTATATTTGTGCAATTTAGGATATTTTAGTTATACCTCAATAAAGCTGAAAAAGGTAATAGGAGACAAAAATGGAAAAGCCTTCTATTTCAGGGAGATTTGCTGTAAGGGGAGAAGAAAAATGAGGTGATAGTTATAGAAAATCTGGAGTAAAAGAGGGGCTTTTTTGAGGTGGAAGAAATAACCAGATATTTGTTTGCTGTTGAGAATGGTCTAATAAGGAGAAATTGATGATGTTGAAGAGAGGCAGAGTTACCAGAGTTAATCCTTAGAGTGGATAAGTGTGTAGAGGGAAGGGATCTAGTGCACAAATGGGAAAAGAAGAACCCAGTGGTTCCTTTGTGATAGCAGCTGGAGAGGCAGAGTCAATAGAGACAGACACCAGTAGATGAGGAGGTGGGGTGGCGAGAGTCTGTGGAAGTTCTCTGTGGATTCTTCCACTTTTCTCCATGAAGTGAAAGCAAGCTTATCATCTGAGAGTGTGAGGATAGGGAAGAAAGTATTGGAGATTTGAGGGGAGAAATGTCAACATGAAATTGTTGTCGAGAAGAGTGAAATATGAATGAAGTGAAGAATGATTGCTGGGCAGCATTAAGGGCTCACTGAGTCTGTGGTCATGAATTTAAGGTAAGACCATTCAGTAGAGTCATATGTGTTTCTTCAGCCATGATCAGTAGCAGGAGTGCAGGCATCGAGTTGACAGAGTTGGATCCTGGTTTTGCCAGGAAACTAGACAAGAAGCTGTGGGTGCACACAAGAGGTTGATTATAATGATGGGCCACTTGTTTAAACTGGGTCAGGAGGACATCAAGGGGCTGAGGAAAAGCAAAAAATGGGTAGGATCAATATTGGAGGTCCTGGGGGAGTCAAAAGATTATTGGAGTTGGGGTACTGGAGGGAGTGAGCTGGAAAGGTAAGTAGTAGACAGAAAGTGGGACACATGATGTAGTATACCATTATATGGTTATACAGATTTTGTCTAACAGCTAGGACCCCTTTGGAAGATAAGCTGATAGGATCACAGAAGCTATCTCTTTTACTTCTGCCACTCCTTATTTTTTGGTCATTGATGTTTTTCCCTGAGTTCCCAGGAATTCCTGCAGGGTTCAATTCCTTCCTTCTCAGATCGCCTAATCCCAGCCTACCTTTGTGAGAACATTTGCCTCTCTGATCCCAACTCCCTAGCAACATCTGCTTTTGAATTATGCTGGGAATTCTGCAATTCCTTTGACAACCAGGAAGGAAGTAAGGGGAAACCAGTTCACTGGCCACATGTCTGTCTCTCCAGGGCCTCCTAGGATGTATTCCACTTTGTCAAGGGCTGGGTCTCAGATGAAGGGTTGCTGGAAGGGAGAGAGATGGAGTATTTTCCTTTTACAGCGAGGGTTCTAGCTCCCTGGTCCAGGAATGCAAAGATAAAAGGTTTAGGTTTTTCAGGATGTATTAATAGCTCGACATTTTGAGGCCTCTTGCTGTATGGAATGTGATCTGTCACTTTGCCCTAGAAGATATTCCACATTTTCTGTTTCATCAGAACCGCTAGAAATGTTATTTGTAGATATACCAGCCATTTGGTGTCCTCATATTTTTCTTGGTTTAAATGATCTGTGTGTTATGATCTTTAATGGGATATCAGTTTAACAGGATAATTAAATCCATTAAGGAGGATTAATTTGAGATTTCATATCATTTATTAGCCTGCTAGTACCTTGTTTTCTTTAGCATATGTTCATGTAGGAGTTGGCATTTAGACTTGAATGCATTTATAACTGTGTTTGCCTCCTAAACAATGTCTTTTAAGGTATTTCCTCCATTGGGATTTCCTTTTAATGAAGTTAAAATTCTACTCAAAAGAATGTTTATGCATATATCATAAGCTTTGTTGATTACTAAGGAAGTTTTTTTTCTTGATGGTAAATATCCTCCCTCCTCTCCACATGCCCAAATTGTTCACCCTCCCACCTCCACCACTGTAGGCCGACAAAGGCACACTCACAAAGACACAGGGGACAAATGCTACCTATCCAAGGAGCCTGCTTTCACCTTCCTCAGCTCGCACCTGCCAGATGTGGATATTGAAGTCATCCTTTCCAGCATCACGGTAGCACCATCATATGGGGGTTTCATCCACAGTTATTAGTTCCCTGTTGTTCTTGTATCCTCTTTGTACACCAGAATCTTTCTGTAACTGTCACCAAGTTCCCTGTCTCTGATCTGTGTCACAGGTGACGCAGATGTGATGAAATCCCCAAGCACTTAAGAAATACGCCCCTAAGACATAGCCCAAGGATCACTATACAGAACTCCATGTCACAGACCCCAGTGCTCTGACTTCACGCTGCTTTCAGCTTTTGGTTCTCCCGTTCATTCTTTTATTCAGCATATTGCTTCTCCGTGGAGTATGGAAGTTATCAGCACTAAAGTTTTCCCTGTACCTTTGTGTGTTTCTGAACAAATCCTAGTGTGGGGCACACAGTAGATGTTCAGTAGAAATTACAGTTGACCCTTGAATAACACGAGTTTGAACTGGGAGGGCTACGTATTTGCAGAGTTTTTCAACCAACTGCGAATTGAAGATAAAGTATTGGCAGGATGCAAAACCTATACAAGGAGGACCAACTGCAGGACTTGAGTATGCAGATTTTGGTACACTCGGGGTTTCTGGAACCAATCTCCGTGGGTACTGATGGATGACATTCTTAGCAGACTGATTAAGAAAACTGGGCAGGCACATTGAAGATACTCAACAGAGGCTGGCACTGGCCCACCCAGGGTTGTCATGGTAGAGGCTCCCAGTAATGTCTGGGAAATGGAAGTAGGCATTTCCTGGCTCCTGCTTGATTAATGTAGGAAGTGTATATTGCCTTTTCCTTCCAACAAAAGATGATTTTGATAAGTTGAGAGGCATGGTAGGAAAAGGCACAGGAGTTGAGTACCTGCAGATCATTAATGAGAATGTCCTCTTTGACCAAGTACAGTTGTCATGGTTAGGACAACAGTTCTCACACTGCTGCCCCCCCACCCCTCCCAAACCCACGTGGGAGGCAGTCTCATAATAGTTGCAGTTTCAGTGACTGCCTGGACTGATCATATGACATCCTGCACCAAGAAAAAGATTGGCCAGGGTGAGGTAGGAAGGGGAGGAGATATTTTTCTATGAATATGTATTCAATTTGTTTGAGTTCATTTTTTTAAAGACTTGTTTTTTAGAGCAGTTTTAGGTTCACAGCAAAATTGAGAGGAAGGTAAACAGACTTCCCCTCTTCCCCATGCCCCTGTGCACACGTACGGCCTTTGCCATTATCACCATCCCCCACCAGAGGGTACATCTGTTGCAATTCATGAACCTCTAAGTTCACATAAGGGTTCACTCTTGGTGTTCTATAATCTAAGGTTTTGGACAAATGTATAATGACACATATCCACTACATAGTATCATCCAGAGCATTTTCACTGCCCTAAAAACCCTCTGTGCTCCTCTTGTTCATTCTCCTCCCTTCAAGATGTTCTTTTGTTCTTTTGCTCTTGCACCTTCCTCAGTGGAATCAAGGGTTTAAGAGGTTATTTTTAGCCACTTTTATCAGGAGGAAAGGGGGAAAGTGAAGGAGCCCTGATGTCTGTCACAGCTTGCTGTAAAGAATGGGCTTTAAAAAACATCATTGGTGAAGATTAATTCCTTTGTCAATAAATGTCGGCAGCTAATCTAGTGCCAGTTGCATATGCGGGGGAATGAGCCCTTTGGAAACTCTAGGAAACTAAATCAACATGGGGTGCTTGTTTTTTCTGCCAAACACTGACCAGGACTCTGTCATTACTTTCCATTTTTTAAATTGAAAAGGAAAAAGAAATGCCAAATGGTGTTTGCAACTCCAAAGGGCAAATTGGATATGTTTTGACATATGTTGAAAAGAAATTATTCTAAAATCTATTCACATACAGAATTATCTTTCTGGGATACACCAAACTAAAAGTCAGTTTCACATACTCAGTTCCTTCATGTGCCAATTGGTTGGGCAGCAACTTGTCTTAGATGGTTCCAATTACTGAGTTAATAAAAACAGCGGTGTTAGAGGTCCTCAGTGCCCCCTCCCCTCCACCACACACACACAGACACACACACACACACACACACACACACACACACACCCCTACTTACACGAGTCCCTCTCCCTCTCTGACCTCTGGGACCACTTCTGTGGGTTGTTCTCTTTCCTGGTTTTGGGAGGGCAGATAAGCCTATAGTCCTACCTGGCCCAAGGAGCATCCATTTTTACTGGAAACCCAAAGGACTAACTGCCTGAGACATTCCCAGTTCCTGGTGGGGTAGGACCCCTTCTCCCAGCCCCCAGGACTCGCCCACAATGTCATGTTAAAGCAAGGGCTTTCATGCTTCTTAAATGCGGGAATAAGTTTTACATGGTGACTTCATAAAACCCCGTTGTGTTCATACAAACACAAAACTTAACTTTGCAACATGTGATGGACTCTGGCATTTTTTTTTAATTTAATTCTATTCCTTTTTTTTTTTTTTTTTTTTTGACAGAATCTCGCTCTATGGCCCAGGCTGGAGTACAGTGACACGATCACGGCTCACTGCAGTCTCTGCCTCCCAGGTTCAAGCAATTCTCCTGCCTCAGCCTCCTGAGTAGCTGTGGTGACAAGCATTTGCCACCACACCTGGCTAATTTTTGTATTTTCAGTAGAGATGGGGGTTTCACTGTGTTGATCAGGCTGGTCTCAAACTCCTGGCCTCAAGTGATCCACCCACCTCAGCCTCCCAAAGTGCTGGGATTGCAGGTGTGAGCTACCACGCTCGGCCCCTGTTCTATTTTTTTAAGTGCCACTCAAGACTCACTAAATTGATTTCACCACTCACGAATGGGTCACTACCCAGAGTGACCTAGACTACCAGAAGACTAATGTTTAAGGCAGGAAAGGGCTGCAAACACCACCCCTCCACTACAGAATGTGTACATCTGCTCTGTGGTTAGCTGGTCTGTGCTTGGACATCTCTGAAGCAACTCTGATGAGCCAAACATTGTGCTAAGCACTTCAGTTATAGCTTCACAACCATCCCAGGAGATGTGAATACCATAATTGTTCCCATTTTACAGATGAGGTTCAGCTGAGGTAAGAAGTGCACCTGCTGTCACCCAGCTGAAAGAGCCAGAATTCAAACACCATCTCTCTGACTCTGAACTCAGACCCCATACTTACAACCTTTACCATGCCTGCACAAAGCCCCCTGGTAGCACCCATTGTGCTCAGGGTCAAGTTGAATCTCTTACCTCTCTAGCTTCATTCTCCTCTTCTCCCTCCCACCTGGCCCACAGAATTAAGGAATTGCCTTCAGTTGCTGTAACACTGGGGAGTTTGCAAATGTTTTTCCCTCTACTTGGAACTCTCTTCTCTCTCCCATTTGCCTGGCTGGCTCCTGCCATTATTTAGTCTCAGCTTAACCTCATTTCCTCCAGGACACCTCTGAATGCCTCTGCCCACCCTCCATAACTGTGGCAAGTGCCTCCCTATATGCGCCCAGGTTCCTCTGTGCTATCATTCCTAGCACCTGTGACAAATTGTATTTTGCTTCTCTATCCAGAGGAGTTCTGGTAAATGTTCAACAGCCAGCTCTCTGGGGGAAAGGAGGAGGGTGATTTGTAGCATTTGCCAATCCCACGGTGTAAATACTCCCACTATTGCCAATTTCAAGCCATCAATATGGCTTCATTGAATGTGAAGCTGAGAAGAGATCAGTGAGACAGTACGAGCTGGCTGTGGCACACCACTGTATGCCTCTCTTGTCATCTCTGATGACAGGGGTTAGAGGGGATCATCTTTGTCTTATTGACCATTGTGTATCTCCTCAGCAAATAAAAAGAAGGGATGGATGAGGGAGGAAGGGGCAGGCAAAAAAAGTGACTGGTATTCTGCAAAATACTAAGATTGTAAATGTATTGCTTTTTAAGAATGACTAAGGAAGGAATGGGAGAGGCAAGGATAAGGGCTATATGTAATAAAAATAATACCAACAATTACTTATTCCTCACAAGATATAAAATACCTCCTCATACATTGTGCATTTGATCATGTCAGCAGAAAGATTACAAGGACAGGTGTTATTTTGTAGATTAAGAAACTGGATGTCCTAGAGGTGAAGTGATTTACAGAGTCATACAATTTATACCTGACCTAGAACCAAGGTCTTCTGAGTTCTAGTCCCACATTCCTTTACTCTTCAAGGTGGCTTCCCATGTCAACATACCTCTTCAGGGTGTGAAAGCGGGTGATGATGATGATCATGATTATTATTATTATTACTATTATTTGAGACAGGGTGTCGCTCTTTTGCCCAGGCTGGAATGCAATGGCATATCAGGGCTTACTGCAGCCTCAACTTCCTGGGCTCAAGCAGTTCCCCTGCCTCAGCCCCCTGGGCATGTACAACCATGCCTGGATAATTTTTGTATTTTTTGGTAGAGATGGTTTTTTGCCATGTTGCTCAGGCTGATCTTGAACTCCTGAGCTCAAGCCATCCACCCACTTCACCCTCCCAAAGTACTGGAATTACAGGCGTGAGCCACCGTGCCCAGATGAAAGCCAGCATTGAGACACATGCAGAGATTAGAGGAAGGAGTGCAGTGGTTCAGAGAAGTGTGAATACTGTACAGACATGATGTTATATGCACCCCTGACAGTATCTTGGGAAAGGAATGCCTAGTGAGTGACAGAGCTGTTACATTAGTGAGATCCCTTAGTGTTGAGAGGTGGGATTATGAGTGGCTAAGATTAGGGGTTCATGGCTGGGCGCGGTGGCTCACGCTTGTAATCCCAGCACTTTGGGAGGCCAGGGTGGGTGGATCATGAGGTCAGGAGTTCAAGACAGCCTGGCCAAGATGGTGAAACCCTGTCTCTATTAAAAATACAAAAAAATTAGCTGGGCGTGATGGCGGCCGCCTATAATCCCAGCTACTTGGGAGGCTGAGGCAGAGAATTGCTTGAACCCGGGAAGCAGAGGTTGCAGTGAGCCAAGATCGCACCACTGGCACTCCAGCCTGAGCGACAGAGCGAGACTCCGTATCCAAAAAAAAAAAGAGTAAGGGTTCATGAATCTGATGCCAGGGTTCAAATAATTCTGGTTCTGCCATTTTGCTTTGCTCCTTTACTTGCCCAAGTGACATAGTTTTCTACCAATAACAATTTTTAAAAATAGTCCTTACTTGAGAGGATCATTATAAGGATTCAATAAGATAATACAGGCTAAGTGCTTAGAGAAGTGCTTGTCATATAGTGAATATTTAATATTTTGAGGGGTTTTTTTTTTTTTGGAGATGAGATCTTTTTCTGTCACCCAGGATGGAGTGCAGTGGCGCAATCACAGCACACTGCAGCCTCGACCTCCTGGGCTCAAGTGATCCTCCCACCTCAGCCTCCCAAGTAGCTGGGACCACAGGCCTGTGCCACCACACTCAGCTAACATTTGTTTTAATTATTTTGTATAGACGGGATCTCCGTATGTTTCCCAAGCTGGTCTCAATCTCCTGGGCTCAAACAATCCTCCCACTTTGGCCTCCCAAGGTGCTGGGATTACAAGTGTGAGCCATCATGCACAGCTCAATATTATTATTGAGCTCTGTTGCCCAGGCTGGAGTGCAGTGGCACAATCTCGGCTCACTGCAACCTCTACCTCCTGGGTTCAAGTGATTCTTCTGACTCAGCCTTCCGAATAGCTGGGATTACAGGCGCCTGCCACCAGGCCAGGCTAATTTTTGTATTTTTACTCAACACAGTGAGGCAGGGTTTCACTGTGTTGGCCAGAATTGTCTTGAACTCCTGACCTCAACTGATCCACCCGCCTTGGCCTCCCAGAGTGCCAGGATTACAGGCATGAGCCACTGCACCTGGCCTTAATATTATTTTTATATCCTTTATTACTTTCTCTTTTTTTCAGTGTTTGACACTGAGGAATTTTAGCATCCTTTATTGGTGTAAATCATAGAAAAAGAAAACCTTGCCAACAGTGTAGTGCTGTTAATACAGTAGTGATACAGGGCTATCTAGCTATTTGAGTTGGGGAATGTTTTAGTAAGTGGCATTTCTGAGAAAGTTTCAAAACACATGTCAGAGAACTGTCCCAAGATAGTCATAGAGTTAGAATAAAAGCCAATAACCACTTGGATTTTTCTGCTGGAAAGCTCTGATGATTTCCCTTCTTCATGTAAATTAACTAGTGGCTTTAAATGACCTAAGATAGTCATCAGTAAAACTTATAGAGATGTCAAACATCTAATATGAATGGCTTATCCTAAACTGTTATCTTATTGTGTCTGGTGTATAGTTATTTCTCTGTATTTTATTTATATGTCTTTATCAATATTTATTGTTTTAGATGGTCAACTCCTGTAGGGCAGGGATTATATCTGCTTTTTCAAACTAGAAGAGTGGTTTTTGCATTCTTATTTTTTTTTTACAAAACTAAAACAAAGAATTACATGAAATTTGAATTTTAATATCCAAAATTTAAGTTTTATTAAAATATAGCCATACTTGTTTAATGTTTGCAGCTATTTTCATGCTACCATGGCAGAGTTGAGTAGTTGTGACAGACTGTTTGGTCTGCCAAGCCTAAAATATTTACTATCTGGCCCTTTACAGAAAAGGTTTGCTGACTCCTGACCTAGAATAACTAATAGATTCTCTAAAAAGTTAAGATTTAATCAGTAAATGCTATGATGGCCATAGTGGAGCTTTCAATGTTTTTATTGCTTCTTAAGCCACATGAGAAACAGTGTTGTGATGCCATTTTTTAAAAAAGTTACAATGTGATTAAATAGCTCAAAGTGCTCAAGAAGGCTTCTTTTCAGTCTCTTAAGATAGCTGTGATGGGGTTGTGAAGTTAATTTTAGGTAAGATGCACTGAGCAGGAAGATTGCAACCTTGAGTCTCAGCACCATGATTCTGTAAACCAGGAATGAGCATACTGCCCAGCGCTGCTTAGATTAACTGAGAGGAACCATTCATTCCTCTTAGATATGAGATACCCTCATTGTATGCTTACACCTTACAGGACCTGACTCTCGTTTCCTTCCAAGGCCTCTTCCACATGCCAAGTGTTTGGATGGAAACAACAGTGGCAATGGGGTCAGGGTACCTGCTGGCAGCTCCACCAGCAGAAGGCCTCCAGATGCTTTCATGGTGCTCTCACCAGTGAACCAAGAAATGAATGAATATGCTTTCCTGGGGTCAGACCCAAATGTAACTGCTTCCTCTGCTAGAATCTTACTTTAATGCAGTCCTAGACCTAGATGCAAGTCAGTTCTGCTTTATTCAGATTCTACTCCACAAGGCACTATTAACGCATATGACACATACTTTGACTTCAGTTTTGAAAACCCAAGCATAATTCTGAAAACTGTTTTTAACAAGTGTAAATTTTTCCACCTGTTTTTTTTTTTTCTATTTATCACACCTCATTGTTGGATGGATGGTGTCAAGATTTTCCTCCACAGTTTTAGAGAATACAATAACTTTTAAAAAATAGGCTTGAACTTCTAATCCTACCTGCAGGGTTAGAAAGCCCCTAAAATGCAGCTCAGCACAAAAGTGTTTAAGAGGACAGAGACCTCGCTTTTTATGTGTTCAGTTCAGCAGCTCTCCTTTTCTAGAATATGTATAATTGTCATTCTTCTACCAAATTCTAAACATACCTTCTTTGAACCAGAATAAATTGTAATGCATTATAAAAAATAACTCTTTTACCTGTTCAAATGATAACTCAGGCTCAACACTTGCCCTATTTCTTTCTAAAACAGGTAAATGGAGAAAATTTTGTAAACTTGTGGTTTTATATTTTCTACCATCCATGTCACATTCATTAATTTTTGAAAATTAAAGTTTCCGACTTCCATTTACTTAAAAAACAAAAAGCATTAAATAATATACAGTTGCAAAAGTATAAGTGGGTTGTTTATAACACAAAAGATAAATGCTTGAGGGGATGGATACCCCATTGTCCATGATGTGGTTATTTCACATTGCATGCTTGTTTCAAAACATCTCATATACTCCACAAATATATACATAGCTGTATATTTATATATAGCTGTATATATTTATGGAGTACAGTAATTTTAACAAAAATTTAAAATTAAAAAAAAAAAGTTAGGCCGGGCACAGTGGCTCACACCTGTAATCCCAGCACTTTGGGAGGCCGAGGTGGGTGGATCGCTTGAGGTCAGGAGTTTAAGACCAACCTGGCCAACATGGAGAAACCCCATCTCTACTAAAATACAAAAATTAGCTGGGTGTGGTGGCGGGTGCCTGTAATCCCAGCAACTTGGGAGGCTGAGGCAGGAGAATTGCTTGAATCTGTGAGACGGAGGTTGCAGTGAGCTGGGATCACACCACTACACCCCAGCCCGGGCAACAGAGCAAAACTCTGTCTCAAAAAACAAACAGAAAAAAAAATTAAAAACATATATACAGTTGCACTGCAACTGTAATGGCCATCTAGCATAAAAATATTTCTCATTGTTTAGCATGAAAGATTAATTGAGGCTATTAGGAGTAAAGGAGATAAATAAGCATGATCTGCTCTTGGATAAGAGGTAGAATTTATAATCAATCCTCATTGTTCATGGATTCCATATTTGTGAGTTCACCCACTCACTAAAGTTTATTTGTAACCCCAAAATCAATACTTGAAGCAGTTTCACAGTCATTCACGGACACACAGCCCTGTGGTGAAAAATTCGAGTCACCCTACATGCAGCTGAGGTCAAACAAGGCAATGATCTGCTTTCTTGTTTTAACTCTCACACATTAAAAAGTGCCCTTTCTGTAGTCCACTTAGTGCCACATTTTCCACATTTTTTTGCATTTTGTTGGTGATCTCACTGTTTAGACCCTAAGGGCAGTGCTGAAGTGCTGGCTAGTGTTCCTAAGCACAAGAAACTTGTGATACCTTGTAGAGAAAATACGTGTGTTAGGTAAGCTTCGTTCATGCACGAGTTGCAGTGCTGTTGGTCATGAGTTCAATGTTAATGAATCAACAATATATATTAAATAAGGTGTCTTCAAGCAGAGACCCGCATAAACAAGGTTATGTATTGATTGGTAGATGAAAATGTGGCCAGTGGTCCACAGGAACCTAATCCTGCATTTTCTCTAAGAGCAATGGTTCAGTATTCACTAATTCAGTAATCAGCAATGTATAGAACATAACTACTGTAAATAACAAGAACTGACTCTGTTTAAATTTCCTTTCTATTCAAGTCTTAGATTCAGGGTTTAAGTACTTTTATTCCTGATGAATCTCTGGTGTTAAGATTACAACTAAACATTTACAAAGTTCTGGTAATAATTTCTTCCAGTCCTTCTCAGATACTATGGTTCTGTGTTTTATGTACTAATACTGTGTTCCAAAAGGAATCATAGTGAAGGCTGATCACCCAGAACAGCCCACATAAGAAGGTGTAAGGGATAAGAAAGAAATGAAGAACAGGTAGTAGCCACGGTGTTAGTAAGTGTTCTCCCAGCCCAGCCGCTCCTGGACCTTTTGTCAACCCTCGCCAAACAACTTATAACACTTTAGGGAACCTTTCCTTTCAAATGAAAGGGCATGAAGAGGGGGATTATGTAGGTGAGATGTTGAGCCTAACCTTTTCATATCTAGGGAAGGCATACTCAAGGGGGTGGGGTTGTCAATGAATAAATAATACTAGCATTTAAGTTGAGTTCACCTGTTATAATCAACCCTAGCATAAGATTATGTTTGTTGCAGAATCAATGCTAACAGGAATCTGTACATGTGCTGTTATTATACAATATCCAAGAAGGGAGAAACCTCTGGCAATCTTTCTAAGATTTTCTAAGGAAAAGAGCCATTTGCAACTTTAGTGACCAATGTATCCACAGAATTCATTTTCATTTAGTGACGGGACAAGCTTAGACCTCTTCCTCCACTCCCCAAATACCTGATTTTAATAGCAAAAGGAAATCACTATATGGTTTTTCTTGTTATGTATATAAGAAATAAGGAAAATTATTTATTTTGGCTTCTGTGAAACTGAGGAAACATTACATTTTCTTCATTGTAATGCACATGTGAAGTGATTTTCCTCAAACCAGATTCTAATTTTCTGTAATTCAGCAGCACAGCTCCCAGAAGTTTCCTGCCTACAAATGCTATGGGGGAAAAATTAAATCATTGCACAAGTTAGGAAGTGAATGAGTTGTGATGCCTAGAAAAATGCATGATGACTCACAAATATGAAGAGAAATTGTATCCACAGTGTGAGACTTGGGAAATACTAAGGATTTGGCTCTAAGGGTTTTTTTGTAAAATTTTTTTTTTTTTTGCTTTTTTTGCTTTTTTTGCCCTACATGTTAACTCCTAGCTTTTAAAAACAACAACAACAAAGTTCTCTAGAATCAGATCAACAGGCCAGGCACAGTGGCTCACACTTGTAATCCCAGCACTCTGGGAGGCCGAGGTGGGCAGATCACATGAGGCCAGGAATTTGAGACCAGCTTGGCCAACATGGTGAAACTCTGTCTCTACTGAAATTACAAAAATTAGCCAGGTGTGGTGGCACACATCTGTAATCCCAGCTACTCGGGAGGCTGAGGCATCAGAATCGCTTGAACCTGGGAGGCAGAGATTGCAATGAGCCAAGATTGAGCCTCTGTACCCCAGCCTGGGCGGCAGAGCAAGACTGTCTCAAAAAAAAAAAAAAAAAAAAAAGAATCAGATCAACAGAGCTGAGAATTATGTTCTATTCTCCCCTAAGTTAATAAAATGTGGATTGCAAAAATCCGAGGTGCTCATCAATGTCAGTGATAGCTGCTGCAACTATGTATTGTAAAATTTAGTCATGAAATTCTGCAGCTACTACACATGGTCTTGCCCAAGCATTAAATACCAGGATTCTCCTTGTTTCAAAATTTGAGTCTTATCAAAAGAGCAGATACTTTCCTTTATGCCTTCACTCCTACTCAGTGTTATTAGGAAACTCAGGAGTTTTTTTGTGGAATATGCTTGTCATAACTGCAGAAATCACCTTCTTTGTTAACTCTAATCTTGGGGGAAGAAAGCTTTTCGATTCTGTAAAAGAATTAAAAAGAATTTCCCTACTCTTTCTTCTCACCCCACTCTCACCCCAAAAACAACAACCAAGGTCACCTTGCATAGTATATCCATTTAGTCAGTATTAAATAATAATAGTGGTAGCAATTCATAGAAATTTGGGTCAGAAATCGAGTTAATCAGGTTCTTCCACTAACTTATGGTGCTAAGAAAATCATAAAATCCCTTTGTTTTAGTTTCCTCATTTATAAAACAGGTGACTACACCCACCAATTCTCATAAGGCCCCATGGTCTAAATATACAATTGCTGTCTGGACAATTTGGATATATAAATTCCAAAGAGGAATGATAAATGATGCTTTATAAAATTTGGCAGATTATTGCTGCTGGCTCCTGTTTATAATTTGTCTTCTCTAGCAAGAATATGACTTCTGTAAAGTATATGGATTTTTAATTTAAATTGGCATCTTTCTTGTTAAAAAGAAAAAAAAAGGTAACCAGATGTTAATTTAGACACATTGTAGATGTATGAGGAAAAAAGAGTATATCCTGTCTGGGTCATTGTCTGTCTACTGTTGACATCTGTGACTGCCCCCAAGTGGGGCAAAGGACCACTGAAGGGTTCAGGCATGAACTTGGTGGTGGTGACCACTGATGACCGTTTGTTACATTGCTGCAGTGCTCTGTAGCTGGGGACATTTGTGAATTTGTCACTTCATTTTATTCTGACAAAGCCTGGTATAGCTCACAGAAGCTGATTTAGTTTTTATATATTACTGTTGAGAGACCCAAAGCTGAGGGAAAGCAAATGACACACTAGTGGCCTCAATGCCAGTCTGCAGCGTGGCAAAGAGCCTGGAGCCTCTGGGGCCTGACCCAGGAGTCTTCCTACTGAACCAGCTGTTTCTAGGAGCAGGCTGCTGGGGAGAAACATTGTTGAATTTCTTTACCTGGAGATCTGTAATGTCCTTTCTGCACCTACGGAATAAAGGAAATTCTGTGGTTGCCTTTGGATTATTTATGGCGAGGGCATGTGCTTTTTTGAGTTTTGGTTGCTTGCTCTAGTTTGGCTTGTGTTTATTGTTTGTTTTCTCAGGAGGCAGTTTAATATGCATTCCCTCCTGAGGGTTATAAAATGCTATTTGTTCAACTGTTTTTTCTAAATATAATAAAAATTTATTTTAGAAAATTTCAAAAATACAAAAAGCAGAAACAATGAAAGTAAATTAAGAATCACTTGCTACCCAGAACCACTATTAACATATTGATATACCATCTTTCTCTCTCTGAATTATACTTGAAATTACAAACATAAATATTTATCCAATTTTTTTCACCAAGCCTTATATTGTGTTTTCCAGTGCTATTAAACATGTTATAAACTCATGTTAGTGCCCTCACTGGTAGTCTAGGATATGGATACACTATGTATTTATTTAACCTTTCCCTGGCTGTTGGATGATTATCTCATGTTGTGCTACTAGAAAGGAGTGTAGAAGAGTATTAAAAAGTACTGCAGATCGTGCATAAGTCCTTGTTTGCATTTCTGATTATGTCCCTAAGATAAATTCCTTTTTTAAAAAGGCTCAAACATTATGTCCTAAAAATCAGTTTCTAAAAGGAAAAGCACAGCCATCTTAAGGTTATTGATACATACTGCCAAACTGTTCTTCCGGAGGTGTGAAGGCTCATCACCCACTCTCAAAAAAGCCCATGTCATCTCTGCCCAGCACACCCCAGCAAACACTCTTTCGGTGTGTAGCAGGGATTATAGATTACTTTCTGTGTAGCCTGAGCATCACCAAGAAGGTAACTGAGAATCTGCTTAAATTTTACTTTATGACTCTTAAAGACATATGTGCATGTGTAAATATATATACACACCTGTATATACATATATTAAAGCCATATAGGCCAGGTGTGGTGGCTCATGCCTGTAATCCCAGCACTTTGGGAGGCCGAGGTGGGTGGATCACCTGAGGTCAGGAATTCGAGACTAGCCTGCCCAACATGGTGAAACCCTGTCTCTACTAAGAATACAAAAATTAGCCAGGCATGGTGGCAGGCGCCTGTAATCCCACCAACTTGGGAGACTGAGGCAGGAGAATCGCTTGAACCCAGGAGAAGGAGATTGCAGTGAGCCAAGATCACGCCATTGCACTCCAGCCTGGGCAACAAGAGCAAAACTCCGTCTCAAAAAAAAAAAAAAAAAAAAAAAAAAGCCATATATACATTCGTACTTTTTAGATTGGCTCTTTGGTGTTTTCTGCTCTGTTAGTGTTCTGCACAGAAACAGAACCAATAGGAACATATATATCTATTTCTCTAGCAAGCTAGAGACCCAAGAGAGCCACTGATGTGGTTCTAGCTCAAATGCTGGCAGGCTCAAGACCCAAGAAGAGCCCATGTTTCAGTTTGAGTTCAAAGGTAGGAAAAACTGATGTCCCAGCTGAAAGGCAGTCAGGCAGGAGGAATTCCTTCTTATTTGGGGGAGGGTCAGCATTTTTGTTCTGTTCGGACCTTCACATGATTGAAGGAGGCCTACCCACATGAGGGAGGGCAAACTGTTTGCTCAGCCTATCAATTTGAATGTTAAATGTTAAACTCATCCAGAAACACCCTCACAGAAACTCCTAGAATAATATTTGACTAAATATCTGGACATCTTATGGCCCAGTCAAGATGACACATAAAATTAGCCATCACACCTATACCACTGTGCCACTTTTGCCTGCCTATCTATCCCAACCAACAGCTACATGTGACTATTTGAACCAGCTCATAAAAGCTCAATCACCTAATAATATTTCTGAATATGGAAGTAATGATACCATTCCAACTATAACCAGACATTTTATTCCCAGTGGGAAAATGTGTACATGAGTTTCAAATCGGTGGGGGCAGAAACACAGCTCCCACCATGCTCACACACTGCCTCACACAGCAAATCGGGACCTGGGCCTGGTAGACAGGATGAGAAGATTTTTGAGCCTGAGATCCTCCTTTTCTACACTTTCAACATGTCCTGAATTGATAGAAAAATGGGACTATTTTGGCTCTGTATCCACTCGTTTCGTCATTTATTTTTTCTTTTTCTTTCTTCCCCCTCTTCCTTCCTTTCTTCCTTCCTTTCTTCCTTCATTCTTTCTTCCTTTCAATCTTCTTTTTCAACAATATTCTCCATACCAACTTAAAGAGATTTATGTGCAAGTAGGGAAGGGAATTAGGGATGCTTTGTTTTAGAGATGCTTGCAAGCCATTACTAAGTTAAGAGTTCAGATTCATGGCCTGCCTCTTAATTTTCCTAAATAACCCCTAGATCAGAGTGCCTGATTTCAAGTCTGGTAATGAACATAAGGATTATCCAAAATTCATGCAAAAAAAAAAAAATAGAGGCTACCATCAAATAGCAGTTAATACTGGACTGCTTAGAAGTTAAGTCAGATAGAAGATATTGTATTTCTAAATAGGAGGTCTGTGTTAGCCCTGTGATTGTGTCACCTAACCTGGATATAAATTTTGATATCCAGCTAGTGTATTTATTCATTTAGTGAGTCAGCAAATATGCTTAAGTGCCCATTATATGCCAAGCACTTGTGAAAAAGCAATGGGTCCTAATAATATTGTAAAAAAAATAAATAAATAAATAAGAAGAAAGTAGAGAGGTTCTGTCAGGTGGAGGGAAGTTCTATAAACTATTCCTGTGAATGCAGTCTTCCCAATGACTGCATTGCCATTAAAGAAGATTGCTCATGTAAAGAAATCGCGTATGTTTTTGTAGTTTAAAAAATAATGCAGTTTACTGAAGCAGATTGGAGCTTCATTCCTTGAAGCTAATAAAAGAGGCTTATGGGAGTTGGAAAGAAATAAAGAGAATGACTTTACAATCATTTGTAGATACACAAGTATCTTTAGATGGCCTTTTTACTCTTTTTAATGAAAATATCCAAAAACCTCCACAGTAATGGGTAATTCACCTAGGAACTCATCTTCATTATCTGTGTAATTTTTAATTCTCCCAGCTTTTAGTTTTATGTAAATCAAAAGCATTTAAGGGCTTTAAAAAGATACCAAAGAGAGGCTGGGTGCAGTGGCTCATGCCTGTAATCCCAGCACTTTGGGAGGCCAAGGCATGTGAATCACGAGGTCAGGAAATCAAGACCATCCTGGCTAACACGGTGAAACCCCGTCTCTACTAAAAATACAAAAAATTAGCCGAGCGTGGTGGTGGGCGCCTGTAGTCCCAGCTACTCGGGAGGCTTATGCAGGAGAATGGCGTGAACCCAGGAGGCGGAGCTTGCAGTGAGCCGAGATCGCACCACTGCATTCCAGCCTGGGCGACACAGCGAGACTCTGTCTCAAAAAAAAAAAAAAAAAGAGATACCAAAGAGAATGACAGGCATACAGCGGAAAATTCTGTTATTGAATTTGCCATAGTGATTATCGTTGTAAATCTAAGAAATGAGTCCAGTTTATGAACAGACCAGGCTAGAGACATCAGCATGCTTTGTTTGTGTATATATGCACTATCATCATGGATTAGCTTTGGTTGTATTTTCTCCGCTACTGAACAGGATGCATATTTTATGTAACCTTGAAAGTAGAACTTAATAAAAATCATGATACAGTGTATTCTGGCCTCTTTCAAATGTCCAGATCCTTATGACCCAGATACCCAAAAGTAGTAAATTTCCACTTTAGTATGTCCCTGTTTTGTTTTATTTTATTTTTTTAGAAACCATACATTTCCCACTATGTGCCCAGTAAACATCTAAGTGGGTCCTGTGCTGAGCTCTGCGTAAACAAGATGAAGAGAGTCCCTGGTTTCTAGAAGTGTTGGGATCAGCAGATGAAAATGGAAGTACAAATTTAGTTTGATTCTTCCCTTTGTTGTTAGGAAAGGGGAGAAAAGATATCTCTTCCCCAGAAAAAAATAGGACCATTCATTCCTCTGTATCTGTACAAAATGCTTCAGAGTAGCTACCTCATTCTGGAGCCAAAATGGTACCTGGCTCTTGGGAAAACCTGGGGAGGATAAATGGAAAGCTCCTAGAGCTATAGTGGCCCACCTAGCTCCCCAGAGCCCCGTATTTTACCCCTTGAAGCCAAAAACAAAGGGAGACAATTTTGTACTCCATATTGTACTGATGCTGTATTTTAAGATAATATTCTCTGCATACTTCACCTTCCAGTAACACCTACTTTCCTTAGGTTCCCACTGTGCCTTCGTATGTGTCCTCAGTCTTACTTACCCCATTGTTCCAATGACAAGCTCTGGCCCATCCTCCCCAGCCCAGGATCATGCCATCCAGTGGCAAGATTCAAGAGGCCCACCTCTGTCCCTTTCCTGAGCCTTCTATAATACTCTAATAATGATGAGAGCTACCACTCAGCGAGCACCCACTGGGTAAGACACTTTAAAGACTCTGTGGGCTTTAAAACCACAATTTAAAGTCTTATAATGACTGCGAGGAAGTCACCTTCTCCTTTTTCACAGGTGGGCAAATTGACATACAGAAAAGTTAAATAACTTATCCAAGGTTGTACCTTTAGTAACTGGTGGCAAAAGCCAGTACTCACAGCCATGTGTCTGATTCCTGAGCTTTGTTTCTGCTTCTCCACTCTGCCTCTCATGTTAATGTCAGTATAGTGATAAATGTTTGTTGGCTTGAACAGAAATAGCAAAAGCAACAGGGCACCCTGGAAACATTTGAGGCTGCTGTGGCCCTAACACAATCCTTGCAGCCAGTGGTGTTTGCTGTGTGCTAAGCTTTGTGCTAGGCACTTTATATATGTTATTTCATTTAATCCTCAAATGTTCTGAGATGGGCACTATTTTATCCCTGGCTTAAGGAGGCATAACTGGTAGATGGAAAATCGAAGGGATTCAAACCCAAGGTATCTAACTCCAACGCTCACATGCTGAATTATTATTATTATTATTATCACCAAATAGCCTTCCCCCGCTTTGCTTTTTAAAAAGAAAATTGTTAACAGTTTTTACTGGTGAGGCTAGTGATTTCTGGCTTCTACTCTAGTCCAGTTGACTATTCCCACCCAATATAATGGCAGCTATTTTCCTTCTGTTATCCTCATGTTACAACTTTGCGGTAGAGATTATACTTTAGTAGTCACTGGGCTCTGTGGTCAAGTCTAGGATGATGAGATTTTACAACGAATTGCTAGCATAAAGATGGCCTTCTATAGAGCCTGTGTGTGTGTGTGTGTGTGTGTGTGTGTGTGTGTGTGTGTATTCATGTATGTATTAGAGGATATGCTTTTATTTACACTAGCCAAGAAGTCAGGACCTAAACATATGACTAGAGATCTAAGTATCTGAGTAATAATATTACTTTCTAGCACAGAACCATTTACTAGAAAGATCTTTGGGAACCAAATTGCTTGTATTCGTTTATTTATAGTGTGCACTTCCCTTTCACCTTGGCTTTATAAGAAAGTATTTGCTCTTTTTCAAAATGCGTGAAAGTCCTCCACTTACAGAGTCATGGAAGCTGTTTCCTGCTGGTTCATTGGTTCAGCAGCTCTCAATGCATTCTAGGGAAACCAAAAACCAAAAAACAACAACAACTACAACAAAAACCACTTTCATCCTGGCCAGCCTCCTTGGCATGCATTTCCTAACCCATTCCCCTCCTTCTTAGAGCAACAAGCCCCACACTGGTGTCTGCAGAACCATTTCAGAATCTCCTCAGAGTCCACCCCTACATTATTTGTTCTTTCACTGCTTTGCTATTCTACACTCAATTTCAAACTAAATAGAAATGCAGATGGGCACATGAGCATCTCGATTTCCCAAAATACACATTTTTCATGAATGCTTCCCTCTCAAAGTATGTGGACAGAGCCAGCATATTATCTTCCCATTATTACTCTGTTTTAATATCTAACTGACAGATGCATGTCACTAAAACAAGGCAATCATGGGCAGAAAATGCCCCTGCTCTTAGAGAACAAAAAAGAAAGACCCTGGATTGCTGTCAGTCTCAGAGACACTTGTCAGCCACTGTTAAAGAAGGCTTATAAATGCCTCTGTGGGGAATACCTATGAACTGCCTAAATGTTTTCACCCTTATTAGTGAGAAGAAGGAAGGGGAAATGTTTCTCGTGCATACACAGATCCTTCCCACAGTGGAAGCTTGCCCCGAGTGTTAATGTGTCACCAGCATGGTGCTGGAGCAGGGTATGGTTCTGCCACATGGCACCTGCAGGCTTTTCTGGGTGGGAATGGCTTCCTGTTGGATCAGAAAGCCTGAGCTATACAGGCATGATGACCTTGAGTAGTCAGTCTACAGAGGCATTAGTTCTCCTGACCCCCTTCCACAGCCTTGGGCCACCTTCAGATGTATTCCATAAATAAGATACAGTGGAGGTCTGCAGGGGCAAGTGGCACCAAGTGATCTGTGCAGCAATAAGCAAAAGAAGATAATGGTTTAGAATTGTTCTCATTTTTCCTGAGGGACGGGTAAATATAGAAAGTTGTTGAGGAGTGTTGGACCTAAGGAAAGATTGTATCTACCATAAGGACAAAAGTCTTAGGTACCAACACAGGCAAGGAAAACAGCATCTGGCCTTCCTTCCAAGAGCACTGCAAAATGGCAGGGATGATGCCCTTGACTTGCTTTGTGTCCCTTTAAATCACAAATCCAGATCTTCTGTATACTTAAGAAGAGTTTCTTATGTAGTAGTGGTCTGACTTTTTTTTTTAATTTCAATAAAGACAGGTGGATCTTTAAGAATAGTGTATTAGTCTATTCTCATGCTGCTAATAAAGACATACCTGAGGCTGGGTAATTTATAAAGGAAAGAGCTTTAATGGACTCATAGTTCCACATGGCTGGGGAGGCCTCACAATCATGGCAGAAGGCAAAGGAGGAGCACAGTCACGTCTTGCAAGGCAGCAAACAAAAAAGAGCATGTGCAGGGGAACTCTCCTTTATAAAACCATCAGATCTTGTGAGACTTATTCACTATCACAAGAACAGCATGGGAAAGACCTGCCCCCATGATTCAATTATCTCCCACCAGGTCCCTCCCACAATACGTGGGAATTATGGGAACTACAATTCAAGATGAGATTTGGGTGAGGACACAGCCAAACCATATCAAATAGTATAAACAACAACAAATACAACTCAGTTATTATAGAACATAACTAAGGTACCAATTCCATACTCTGAAGACTGGCTATCATAGGAAAGAATTAAGCAGTGCTCATGACTTTTTTGTGTAAATCATATTTAACCAGATTGCACTGATTCTTTGTTCCAAAAGAATTCCAGCTACTAAATATAGAAGGGAAGTTAGAATTGGAAAAGCATAATTGGATAGCTCCCAAATGAAATAATTGATTCAGGCAACTGTCATCAGTGGATGCAATCATTAGACCCTTAGAATTGTGTACCTGGGGACTTCCCTGAGCCCACTAAAAGTGGGACCGCCATACATTACTTGCCATCTGATGTGATGCACCAAGAGTAGACAGTACCATCTATGAGCTAGTATTGCCTGAGAGTTGAACCTGAAATGAATCAAGCCAATCCTGGGGTTCCAGAAAATACAGGAAAGAGAGGAACAAGTGAAATGGTAACACAAGAAGACAGACAAATTTAAAAAATGGAGATTAGGACAGGGCTCTAGAGGACCTCTACGTGAATTTCTTCAACAGACAATGGCTTGGGAAGAAAGGGAGAGGCCGATGTGACTGAGAGGGACATACGATGAATAACATCCAAATATGATGTGTACAACTTGTTTGGGCCATTTAAACAAACCAACCAAAAGATTTTTTGAGACAATTGGGGAAATTTAAATATAGTCTGGGTAGTAGATGATATCAAGGGAATATTAAGTTTGTTAGATAAAATAATGGCTGTGTGGTTATATGAGAAATGTTCATATTTTTAGAAATTCATACTGAAGTATATAGGGGTGAAATGACTGATTTCTGGGATTTACTTTAAAATCATAATAAAAAGGAAGGAAGAAAGGATAGGTGAAACAAATGTGATAAAATCTTGATTAATTTTTAGATTGGCATATATACATTCTCCTGTAATAGTGTAAATAATTTTTATGAACAAAGGGAAGGAAATGCAAAAAGTAAAATAAAAATATTGGCATAAAAAATTTTAGATTGGGATAAGATATATGTGGATTTACTATCATGTTCTATTTGACACTTTTCATAATAAAAATATTAAGAAAAAAATAACAAATCTCTCTCAGAGATAATAGTGGGGGGTCCATGGCCTAGAAGCAAGATAGGACCTCTGACTAGAAAAAGGTCATTATCTGAGAATTGAACATTTTAAAAAAAATTTTTTTGACAATCTCCTTTACTTAAATTTAAAAAAACCTATTTCTTTTGGATTTTTGGTTGGTCACTAGAAACCAAGTTCCTTGCCTTATAACAGGCAATTGAAGGAGAATTTGGGAAACAAACAGTCTCTGGTGTTGAAGTTAATGCTGATCTTAGCTGGAATAACTTGCTTTCTTCAGCATCTGCAGTGGCTGGTCTCCTGGGACTTATCTGGCTACATGTATTTTTCACATTTATTAGTGAAATTGGAGATTCAAGAATAAAACACCGTCCTCAGGAACATTGTGTTAATTTGTGACACGCTAGAGATTTTTTTAGCCCATAAAACAAATGAATGAGCTCCGTGGGGGCATAAGTGTTATTTTCACCCTAGAAGGCAGTAAAGGCCTACTGTATTTATTAAGTACTTAGAAGATGGAAAATGAATAGTGCTATGAAAATAGAAAAATACACTCACACTGTTGCTATCAATAGTGTAATTTTTTTGTCTGTCCTGAAGGAAAAGTACCATCAGATGAAAACGTGTAAGGGTAGACCTCTGTATATTATTTAGTTATTTTGCCTGGATAATAATTTAATTCAGTCTCAATATAAAGTTGTTTTTGTTTCTATCAAACAGGCTGAATCCGGGTAAGAAACCTCACCCATTATTTTTGGCAGGGCTGGGCCTACAAAAAAAAACAAACAAACAGAACAACACAGATATTTGATTCAGGACCTTCCTTCTGAGTGGCTAAGTGACTTAAGGGGATGTTCTGTGTAAGCTGACACACTGTGGGCATTTCTAACAGGCCTTACACACTTGGCTTCCCAGGAGGATTGTGGAGACAGCATGCCGGTCCTCCCACTGAAAAAGTCCAGATGGAGCCAGCACTCCAACAGGTGGGGGTGTGGAAGAGAGGCCACTCTGTACCAAGATGCAGGGGACTGATGCAGCCACCCAGGCCATGATGCATGCTGTGCCCATACAGGCAGGCAGGTCCCAGCCAGGGAGCAAGTGCAGGGAGTGGGCATGTGTTCCAGTTAGAAAAAAATAGCACCTCAGAGGTTCCCTAAAGAGGTTCCCTAAAGAGGTTCCCTAAAGAGGTTCATAAGTGCTTTGCATTGAGGTACATAGAAAATAAGTATCATCACCAAGAGAGAGACCCTATTCTCCATCCATTTCATGGTCCACAAGAATCCAGGATACAGGCTATGCAGACAGCAAGTGATAAAGTGATCTCGGGTAACTCGGTCCTTGGCTATGTGTTACTTTGTTCTTGTGCTTGTTTGGTATCTTGACTGTTTAAAAGACTGGACCCATTTTAGGGAGCCAATCAAAAAGAATCTGTATTTTTTGTGTGTATATGTGAGTATGTGTGTTGGGGTTTAGAGGAGGGAAGCCATGTCTAAGGCCAAGGAAAGTAATTCCAGGGGGAGTTCCTGTGATTTTTTTTACCTGTTTATACAAGACTATCAAAGCAGATGTCAGTAGTTGTGTCTTCATGAGCTATTGGCTTGGGAAGATGGGGGCAGGGGTAATGAGAACTGTAGAAGAGGGTGGGCTGAGTGAGGAGCCTAGAGGTGGGATCTGGAAGGTGCCCCTTGTACCCCTACCCTGGCCCCGTTGTTCTGAGCTCATCCTGTTGCTCTACAGACTTAACTACTTCCCATTATCAAAAGTCCTCTACCTGCCAGGCCCACACCTACCTCAGGTCCTCAGTCTCGGGGGGAAACTGAGGTTCAGTGTCAAGTAACTCTCCTGTTGATAAGCAGCTGGGTGGTGGTTCAAAGCCAGGACTCCCTGACCCAAAACCAGAGCTCAGTCTCCTCAACCCCAAGGTTCCCAGACAGCTCCTTACTCAAAAGCTAAATGTGTGAAAAGGCCATGAAGGAACACTCAAGACAGGTTTGTTTCTGTAGAGTATACATGAAAGAACAATTGGTGTTTTGAGGACGTTTGGTATTATGTAGCATATGATAGAGAGTTCATCTGTCATGCCTAGGAGGGGGATGAAATGCAAAGTCCAAGGAGGTTTAGCCTTCATATTCCTTGGCAAGCTGAGTGACCTTGCTTATCTTGTGTGTAAATGCAAAGTAATGCAGCCAAATGTGTTGTGGGTCCTTGTGGGCCTGAAAGTGCTCCAGGGAATGCACAGGGAGGCCCAGCCTACCTGAGCCTGATGGAATGCAGAGTTTAGACTGCCCTGCCAGTGGACAAGACTGCAGCCTCCCTGTAGTCTGGGTGAAACGAGGAAGAGGAAAGTTCCAAGGAACCCTGATTTAAAATAAGCTCACAACTGGCTTTATTCTAGGCTTCTGGAGGCTTGGGTTAAGAATTAGCACATCTGTCTAGCTAATACTGGTTTGCTTATGCAGAGGAAAGTGAGGTACAACTTGGAAATGAATCCCAAATCAACGTCCTTCATGATAGGCTTTCACTTGGATGCTGATTTTTAAAAAAAATGTGTGTGAGCCCAAAAACAAATTGGGAGCCTTCAGTCCTTAGAACACATTTAGCTTTCATTGTGACTGAGATGTTTTTCTCTTGTATTATCAGACATCCTGACCAGCATGCTGTACCCTTCAGGCCTTTCCTTATGCATGCTGGACAGGTAGCTATTTGCTGCTGGTCACACTGAATATCATTTGAAGAGTACATTTTAATTTTTCATCCCTGAGTAATGTCCCATGAATGTCTCATTATGTTTTGCCTGCTCCTCTCAATTTTTGAACTTGATGTTTAAACTTTTCTGATGTGCCCTCATTGTTCCCGAGTGCCCAGAACTCATCTGTGCAACCCCCCTCCCTCAGCTCAGTGGGGCTCCGTGTGTAGGAGCCAGTTGTTATTTACAAGTGCAATTCAGCTGTCGCTGTGTCTTTGAACACATAGCATTGTTGTGGGATTTTTAATTGCCATTTTCATCTATATAATTAAAATTAAATGAAAAATGGATAGCCTCCAAAATCTGAATTAATTTCATAAGTACTTCTTGAGGGAAAAATATGTCTAAATATGATAATTGTTACTTGATTTGCCTTCAGCAGAACTAGAGGATTTTACCTGGCTGAAGAGAAAATACAGTAATTTTAAATAAAAAAAAAAGATCTGTCTGATATTTTGGATACTTCTTGTGGCTGAGAATCAGAATTAATCATGTGGATGAGAAATGATAAGTAACTCTGAATATAACTTTAAGGTAGTACACTAGGAACATATTATGGTAACTCTCCCCGGATCCAACTTGCTTTATGCTGGTCAGGTTTTTTTTCTCCCTCTAACTCATCACTGGGGCTTATACATTTCTCAAGAATATGCCATTACCCCCAAATCAAAACCTCCCTCATGCTCAGAAACAGGCATTTCACCTGCTTACTGCTTAACTGTGCCCTGTAAGCGTGACAATGAGCACCTAGCAGAAAATAATGAGACAACAAAAAGAGAAGTATTTTTTAAAATTCATTGGGCTGGCCAGTGTTTCACTCTGCAGACTCATCAAGCGCCTGATGGACATGTTTGTAAAGACTTGGATGGTCACTTTATTTGGAATGACAAATTCTGCGCTCCACATAATGAGGTCAGTGAAGCATCCAGAAAAGAAATGTATAATTTGGTAGTGCAGTCTGTAAGCACAGCCCTGCCACGGCTATTTAAGTTTAATGAAGCAACTACTTTGCCGCTACACATTCTTAGTGAATAGCCTCCTTGGCATGTTTTTGAAAACTTAAATGTTGCTGGTAATCATGTCACAGCAATCTCCTTGGAGAGCCTTTGTGTCCTGTTCTCAGAAGAAATATGCCGTTTTTCCATGTTAATGGTTTTGAAATTAGTGATTTGCTCTATTTTCATTGGAAAGGAAGGTCACTTTGTGATTTCCTACCTTCCCTCATTTTCTCTGAACATTCAGGATACTCTTAAGTCAGTTCATCAGCCATGCAGTGCACTGTCTGGTTATAACATGCCTGAAAAGCCAGAGGAATGTTCTATCAAAGAGCGGCATCCCTATTCTCAGAGACTGTTCTTAGAATTCAAAGTGTAAAGATCTAACTCAGAGAGGAAAGTTCCTGGACAGACCATTATTGCCATTTTTTTTCCCGTTTCAGTCACTGACCGCCTTGTATTGTCCATTCATTGGTCTCATTAGAGAAGGCTGTGCTCCCCACGTATTAAGCCTCTCACAGAGGACATTTAAAAATCCTTTCTGAAGCAGATTCACTCATGTAAAACTAAGGTCAGACTTATGGATCCTGGACCAGCATTAATGACGCAGAACTCTGTGGGAGCAGAAAGACGTCTAGCCATTCTCAGTTCTTCGGTGTGGGTCCCCAAACTTAGGGCCTCGGGTGGTTTCCCCTGAATGAGCAAGCGCATGATTGATTGTGGAAAAGTGCTAGGTCCTCATGGCTCTGCCACCCCAGTGAGGGTCTGGGGAATTCTCCAGACTATTTGGTGGCCTCCACATTTCCTTGGGAAATGTAAAGTAGGATTTGAGATGGCTGGACCCTGCACCACCAGAAACTTCCTAGGAATACCTAATAAGTACTCAAAAAAAAAAATAGTGAATGGATGGAAGGATGAATAAATGAATTTGCTTCTTTGATTTGCTTTGTCAACCAACTCTGGTTGTAGAGGTAACACAGGATCCTTCTAGGACATATTGAGACCTGCGGAGCCTACCTCTTCTTCTTCTTTTTAAAAATTGTATTTTATTGCAGTAAGAACACTTAACATGAGATGTACCCTCTTAACAAAATTTTAAGTAAGTGTCCAGTACATCATTTCTGACTATAGGTATAGCAGATCTCTAGAGATTATTCATCTTGCTGGACTGAAACTTTATTCCTGTTACTAAACTCATTACTTTGGGGGATCATTTCTATAGTTTGTTATCACTTCTTGAAATCTCTGGAATTGGGTATGAAGGTTGAATATGGAGGTCCAGACTTGCTCCAGACTGCCTCCAAGTTAGGGCCTGCTTAGACCGCTGTCCAGGCAGCTCACATGACCATGTCAGTGCCAGCCAGCACTCACATTCTCCTGCTCTCATTTTCACCTTTAAACCTTTTGAGTCATTTTTCTACCCAAATAGAGGTGCCAGTATAACAAATTTCTCCCACTTCTTGACCTCCATCTAAGAGACTAATGTTGACTTGGCACTGAAAATGTCGTTCTGATACAAGTAGGCCTGAAAAGGGCCTTGGGATTGGCCTGTGTTTTATTTTCTAGTGTATTTATCACATGCTGGATTAGTTAAGATAATAACTGCTGCTCTGACAAATAGACCCACGTATCTCCAACATCATAGCAGCTTTTCCTCATATATCTTTGTTTTTCTTTTTTCAACTTTTATTTTAAGTTCGGGGGTACATGTGCAGGATGTACATGTTTGTTACATAGGTAAATGTGTGCCATGGTGGTTTGCTGCACATATATCTTTATTAAGCATTTTCATGGAAGAATGACACCTATCTTCCAGATCTGAAGGCCGTGGGGTCAGGGAAAATGAGAAGTGGACATGCAAGGATGAGGCTCCCTCTGTTCTCCCTAGCCAAGAGAGATGGCATGGGCAATGTCAGAGTTCAAGTGTGATGCAAAAGGTACATCGTGGTAGAGGTTGACCAGACATGAGGAAAGACAGTTTTAAAAGACAGAAATGAGGCTGGGCGCAGTGGCTCACGCCTGTAATCCCAGCACTTTGGGAGGCCGAGGTGGGCGGATCACGAGATCAGGAGATCGAGACCATCCTGGCTAACATGGCGAAACTCCGTCTCTACTAAAAATATAAAAAATTAGCCAGGCATGGTGGCATGCACCTGTAGTCCCAGCTATTCGGGAGGCTGAGGCAGGAGAATGGCATGAACCCAGGAGGCGGAGCTTGCAGTGAGCGGAGATCACGCCACTGCACTCCAGCCTGGGCGACAGAGTGAGACTCCGACTCAAAAATAAATAATAAATAAATAAATAAATAAATAAATAAATAAATAAATAAAAGACAGAAATGAGATGTAGCCCAGGCTAGAAAAAGAGCAGAAATGAAGGTTAACATAATAATAAAGTTCAAACTTCTCTGTACATGGCATGTTCCTGCTTACAAAGTGAATTCATATGTATTATCTTGTTTTAGACCTCACAAACAACCAGGTGAGGTGGCTCAGGATGTGTTAGTATCCTAATTTCAAATATTCAGGAAATCTCAGGAAAAGTCTGAGAGGCTGAGTGATTTACCTTGGTGAGTAGAAAGCCAGAGTGTAGGCTTTGGTGTTGTGCCTCCAACAACAGAGCTTTTTCCCTAACTCATGATTCTCCTGGAGGTTTGGGGGCTGCTGAGGCAGAGGGGCTGCAGAGGTGAGCAGAGCCTGCTTCCCTTCCCTTCCCCCACGACCTGTGGCCGCATCCTCGTTATGCCAGCCATGTTCCCATGGAAATCACTTACCAGTGGCAACCTATTCAGAAACGCAGCAATGAATCGCTGCTGCCTGGTTAGGTGTCCTGCTTTTGTGAAACCTGTACCCTGTCCTTTTCAGGGGTCACAGTTTAACAGACAAGCCTTTTTATTTTAACAATTCCCTAATCAGGCTTTCATTTATTTGCCCACCCCCTCTGTTTTCACTGTCTCCCTCTTATCCACCTACTCCCGCTCCTCCCACTGTGTGCAGCTGAGTTTGGCCAGTGCCAAATCATGTTTTATTCTCAGCCTGAGAAAGAAATTATGCAAGGTGTCAAGCCTGGCCAGCAAAGGACCCATCCCACCAGTGCCGTTTGATGTTTTAAGTTTGCACATACACCGCTCCCTCCCTGAGAGAATTCTTGGGTAGACTGGGAAGTACTTTACCACAAGAGCAGTGCACTGGCATTGATAAGAAAGCAGTCAGATAGTGCTTGAAATTTTGCAGAAAGCTCAATAGAAGACCCATGCTCGACTGCAAACCAACAGCTCAGCTCTTTCTAGCATCCTCGGCAACAGCCTGCTGTTTTCCCAGGTGGCTTTGAACTAGACAAGGAAAATGCAGTGGGCCATTTGTCACTGCCCCAGGTGCAACATATGCATGCCAGTTGGTGCATGCAGCTTGTGAGGTCCGCTCCTGCCTGCCCCATGCCTGCATCTAGGCCTCTGGGCTTCCCTTTCACTGAGATCAGGGCAGAGTGTGCTTCCTTTCCTCCTCCGCCACCTGAGTAGGTGGTTAGATCCACTCTTCTGAGATTAGAACCAACTCAGCCATCCCCACCATGTTCAAGAGTGCTAATGCTTTGTGTAATCCCTCTTAGCCCATTAATTCAAGTCCACGGTCTTTCAGGGCTGTTGGGACTCATTGCTGGCATGCCAGTCTTAGAATCTTAAGGTTATTCTGATGTGTGGTATACGTAAGACATGCTGGTATGTTTTTCAGGGAATGCTGGACCGGACTATCATTTTAGTTAGGTCCTAAATTGAGCTAGGGCTTAGAGGATCTTGGATGCAGGGTTCTGCAGATATGGCCCAAGAGAAAGAGCCAGGGCTTGCTTGTAGGAGAAGGCAAGGTGTGGTTTCTTTTGTTCTTTTATGCTAAACTCAGTGCCCAGCACCCACTACGAATGGAATAAACTGATCAGGTGGCAAATAATATCCCTTTTACCTGTGAAAGAAGAAATGAAATTATGCAGAAGTGAAATTACATATATAAAATGAATTTAAGGGAAGCTCTGCTTCTAGAATATTTTTAAGGACATTTTATTGCGGATTTAGGTCACACATTTAGAACTACTTCCTTTGATGAGGACTTAATCTAGGTTACAAGTGTGTGAACTTGGGGCTATTATATGCCTGGGCGACAGGCAATTCACTGAGGGTAGCCTAACTACTGGCAGCCCTGGGTCCCATTATTTACTCTGCGCACCCCCTCCTTACCGTCTTCCAGTTCCATCAAGTAGAGGGAGGGAGTGTTTGGCCCTCTGAGCTGGAGTTATGCAAAACCCGAAAATAGACTCTCAGAGTGCATCTAGACATAATGATTCCATGCGGCAAGAAGGTCACTGTGTCTGCTTTTCCTGCCAATACACCCCTGGCTCTTAATCTATGGCTGCCTTGTGAAGCAAGAGAGCTGTGCCAGGAAGTTACACTTTGTGACTGTGAAGCATTATGAGAATTTAAAATCATGTCAATGGAGTTTTGTAAGGGCAGGCCAGAGGAGAGTAGTTATGCACAGTTTTAGAAGAGGACGGTCTTTTAACATCTCTTTGTTTTTCGGTCTGAAAGCTACCATAACTCAGTTTTTAAAAACAAAACAAAACAACTGTCTGGCCCCAGTCACAAATCAACTGCACCCTGCCAACCCTTTCAAAAAAATAAAAAGAAGATATCTACCCAAAAAATTTACTGGGGTTTTCTGAATGGTGGGATTATGAGTGAGTTTTATTGTGTTCTTTGTGCTCTTCCATAGTTTTTATAACATACCGTATACTAATTGCTTTGTAATTTTTTAAAAAAAGCAAAAAATCCTATTTAACCTAGTCAGTTAGTTGACCTATACCAACTAACTGACTGTGCTGAATGTTCAGTATTGCTGGTCTTGAAAATGGCATGAGTGGGGCAGCCTCTGCCTGTGCCCCCACATCAGGTCTCAGACAAGGACTGGAGTCCACAGCCGTCTCCCCACTGTGGGTTCAGAAGGGCTGCTGGGCAAAGGCAGACGCAGACCCTGAGAGGACGCCAGGCAGCCAATGAGGGTGGGAAAGGGAGGCTGCTGGTGCAAAGCCAGCCAGACACCTCAGCAGCAAGGAAGGGATGACAATCACGTCCGATGATTGTTTTGGACAGTCAAGCCTGCTTGACATGTGCGTGTCGGGAGGGAAACTGTCAGTTTCATCAGGAAACACTGCATTCTTGCCTGAGAACATCCAGTTGATGCACATTGTTCTGGAAGTTGGGAAGATCCTGTTTTCCAGAACCATGGGGATCAAGGAAAATGTAAGAAGTAGAGACAAATATCTGGGAGAAAACAACCCCTTGCAGAATTCCAGGAATCCTCTTGGGGTTTTGGGTTGTGCAAATAACAAGATATTTCATTTATTTAAGTCTGAGCCTTGACCACCTAAATGGGTTCTTGATGTGAGCTCAGTCTGTCAACTAATCCTGCTGCTGTCTACTGAGCCCAGGCCATGTCGAGCTCGGGAGCTTGAGGTGAGCAGGCTAGCACTCCTAGCCATGAAACTGTGTCATCTCACCTTTGGACAGAATTCTTCCTTCAAGTTTCTGTAAAAACCTCTATTTCTTATGTGTCACATGCTGACCTATTATTGAATCCAGTGGAGTTCCTCACTCCAGTGGGTCTGAGTGCTTTGAACTTGAGGTCATGACCCAAGCCTGCACCACACAGATTGGGAGCAGAATTCCTCACGGTTTATATGATAAACCATGTGCCTAGGAGGTAAGGCCCTTATTTGTAATGGATTATGTTTAATTGGTGATAGAGATCTCATTCATTATTTTCTCACGTTCTCCTATGTGTTTCCCTATGATGATGCATATACATCTGCATTTTAGGTAGTACACAAACAAGACATCATGCTAACGTATTTATTGTCACGTTCATTAGAAAATAAAAGCTCATTAAACTCATTTCATGAATAACTTGAAGACAAAGCTAAAATAGGTTCCATTTTTAAAGGAAGTTAATTTCAAGATGTATTGAGTAGAAAATTTTATTATGCAACAGATATGGCAAAAGTCGAAAGGTGGTACAGTCATTGAGTGATTCATGTTTGGCAAATATTGTCCTAGAACATACTATTAATACTTGGCCAAATTCATTTTTATTTTCCTTCCTTCTTTCTCTCTCCTTTTAATCTTAGTATCTCAGAATGAAGCTGCATGTAGAATAAATTGCTTACCAGAAAAAATAGTTCTGAATGTTTTTAATAATGATTTTAGTAACTTTTAGAGAGTGTCAACAAAAACTTATTGCTTCTCTAGCACAGAGCAGGGAACTGCTTATCTTCTCTTCAGATCTGGGCCTCAGAGTCATCATTCTGTCCCCTCGTGGAAAGCAGGGCTGCTAAATGTTTATATACACGGACATGCTTGCTGTCTTATTCATACCATATCTGCTGTTTCTTGTGGGCTCTGTGTGTGTGTGTGTGTGTGCACTTGTATTAAACAGTAACAAGATAATGTGCCACATCTAGGCTACCCCTGTTATTTGTATTAAATAATGACATGATGATGATGTTGGTGGCCCATAATTCTCCATTTTCTATTAGCCACCCTGCCCAAGTAAACTGTTTTCTGATCTCTCTTAGATGGAAATCCTGTATGAATGTGGAAGCCATTAGCAGAGTAATTGCTGTCTGTTACCATGACAACCAGCCGCTGCAGTCACCTGCCCGAAGTCCTGCCAGACTGCACCAGCTCAGCTGCACCCGTGGTGAAGACGGTGGAGGATTGTGGCAGCCTAGTGAATGGGCAGCCGCAGTATGTCATGCAAGTTTCAGCCAAGGACGGGCAGCTGCTGTCAACAGTAGTGCGGACTCTTGCCACCCAGAGGTAGTACCACAATTAAAATAAATGAATCTGTAATTGATCCAGAGAACTCTTTGTCAGATGGAAAATGCTAATGGGAATGTAATTAGTGCTCAGGTCTTTGTGTCAGGTGAGAGGAGGTGCTGGAAAAAAAAAAAAAAGACTACACGAGTTCTGTTATTGCCGTTTCTATAGCAATAGGATATAAAGCTAAAATTCACCTTATCAAGATTTCCCCTCAAATCATATTTACAAAGAGCCAGGAGGGGAAGGAACCCACAAGATACGGGGTTGTTATTTTGACATTGTTATGCTCTCTTGTTGTCTCCAGTAGGTAACAAAGGTGGTCCTATTGGAACAGGATTAAGAAGGTATCTGATTTCAGGCGACTGAGTCAAAGTGATTGGATTTGTGGGCAAAACTTTTGAAGTGACATTCTTGGTGTGCATGTGGACTGGCATTGCCTGATGGAAGCGCTGTCCAGGGCTACTTTCTGGGTGGGTGTCTTCTTATCACTTGGAGGTCTCTTCTGCTGTCCTCTCCTTCAGCCTCAATGGTCCCCCATCCCTGACCCTTCACGCACACTCTACCCTATGAAGTGCTATTGTGAAAACCTCCTGAGCCTTCCCAAGTGGTGAACTAAAGCCCGAGTGCAGGCTCTGAGCAGCTTGGAGACCACTTATCCTGACCAGCACTTTGTCTCCTCTTGTGCTCTTGTTGGATAGGGAGCTATGGGCTGCCAGGCTAATAGGAACTCCTTGGCTTCTCCAGCTTTTTCTCAGAATGGTTAAGTGGGACTTCTAACCTATGCATTTAAAAGGTGGATCAACATTGGATTTGCCCCCTAGTGTCAGTGCTGACACTTCTGACCTCTAACATAGGACCAGTCATTCACACCTTATTCTCTTACCTCTGTCTGAGTGATCAGTCAACCCCTCTGGTGCAGTGGCATCCCACCCTGGGCATGGTGGCCCTCAGACACTGAATCACACTCCCATGCTGTTGTAAACACTGCTCATATGCCCTCCATTTAAAATCTGTGCTGCTAGTGCAAAGGAAAAAATAGAAAAACCTTTAATATGTAATTTCTGACTCTTGGAGAACTTTTAACAATTGGTTAGGACTCAGAACAGGATGAGGCAGTGACTATCTTCGGTCCTCTGCGAACTGAGACTGGGTGACTGATGTGCCCCACTCACCCTTGCAGGCATCAAACAGCTCACTTGACCAGGAAGAGCAGGCTATGGTTGATGTGGTTGAGACCTGTGAGCCTCTGTGTGTGTGTGTGTGTGTGTGTGTGTGTGTGTGTGTGTGTCTGTCTGTCTGTCTGTCAGGTATTTTTACCTGCTTTCCCACCATGCGGTACTGTAAACCAGGTTTCAGAGTTTTACAGGCTCAGTGTAAATGAAGGAGGCCCAGAATCATGAGTTAAAAAAAAACTTGTCAGCTTTCTTTTCCCACTCGTGGGCACAAGTAGGCCTTTCAGGCTAGTGGGAGGGAGATCCTTTCCTTTTTTGATCTCCTTTTGGCCTTCACTCATTCCCAGGATCATTCTCAGAAAGGCCTTTGGGAAACAGCAGTCTTCCATGGCTATTTCCATTTGGACCAAAGATAGTGTTCAGGAGGATGAATGGGCATGTGCCTGGGTCACTGTCATCTTTGGGAGGCATACAGAGAGGCAAGGGAGGGCAGGTAAAGAGGCTGGTCCTAGGATTGTCACATATCATGAGGACACATTTTAAAATCTGTTGCCCAGTGAAGAATAGCACAAGCAACATAAGACATCCATCAGAGAGGCATGGTCCTCTCCCAGGGCAGGGTACCTCCCAAGCAGTGAGGCCATCCTCTTTCCATTGGCCACTGACTTACCTGATGAGGGCCAAGTTATTTGATTTTCTCTGGCCTGAGATTTTCCTTGAGAGATAGTAGCTAGCATTAACTAGGCATTTGCTGTATGCTGGTCCCTATTCTAAGCTTCTAATCTGGGCTATCTTTTCACATGCTCACTGTCATCATATGAAGAAGGCACCATTTTTGTGCCCATTTTAGAGATAAGGACACTAAAGTATGGGGAGATGAAGTTACTTGCCCAGAGTTATCCAGGTAATAGACAGCAGAGTTAAGGTCTGAGCCCAGCCAGCCAGATTCTGGAGCCTGCACTATGAACCCCTAACTACACTAAGCTGCCTTTATGAAATGTGTAGGAGTGGTTTTTCCAAATTAAAGGCAGAACTCTAGACTGAGGCTACCTCAGTGGGACATACTCATTACTCGCTTTCAGTTTGGTATCTTTGGCATCCCATAGAGCATCCTGTGAAAGCTCAAAGGACAATCCACCACTCAGCTTTGTGCTGTGGCTCAGACTGCAGTTCTGTGTAGTGGCTGCAGGGTTGGTTGCTGGCTAACTTCCCTCCTCTCATTCTCCCACCCTATTGAAAAGAGAAATGAGAAGAACCTCTGGATATGCAAACATGTCTTGGTTTGGTCCGAAAGATTCAATTTGTCATTTCAAACAATTTCTCTTCTTGATGATGAAGGATGGTTATGATTTTTGGATTAGTAGTTGACATGAACTACATTTATATTCAAGGCAAAAATATCCACTGCTTGTTTTCACTCACTTTTGATCCTGGGCCACACCCAGCTACTTTGATATTGGCAATCCCCTATTTCTTTGTGTTGTCACAAGTAGGTGACCCAAGTGCTCTAGAGTGCCCAGAATCATTTGCCCCATTGCCAAGGTCAAGTGTAGATCTAAGAGGTCTTAAAGCAGCTGCCTCTGGGGAGGGCCCAAAGGACAAGAGCTAGAGGGCCATCCACTTGGTGGAGGTTTCCAGCCCAGTGACCAGCAGGTGCCCCTCCTTCTCTTGCAGCCCCTTCAATGACCGGCCGATGTGCAGGATCTGCCACGAGGGCAGCAGCCAAGAGGACTTGCTCTCTCCATGTGAATGTACAGGGACCTTGGGGACAATTCATCGGAGCTGCCTGGAGCACTGGCTGTCATCCTCAAACACCAGCTACTGTGAACTCTGCCACTTCAGGTTTGCAGTCGAGCGCAAACCCAGGCCGTTAGTGGAGGTCAGTAAGTGGGGCACGTCCTGAAAACTTAGCTCTAATGAGCAAATGATGTCTGTTTTTATGCCTGGATCACAAGCCCTGTACAGCTTTACTGAAGCACGGTAATAGCTATGTGACTGTGTGTGTGTGTGTGTGTGTGTGTGTGTGTGTGTGTGTGTGTGTTTGAGAAAGAGAGATGTAGACAGACAGACACAGAGAAGGGAGAGCTTGCTAGCTCACTTGGGATCCAGCAGTAGAAGGAAAGCAGAATAAATTAGTATAAGGAGAAAGGGCCAGTTTAGAGACTTGATCTCCATTTTTCAATCCCTGTGAAATGGAACCAACAGATCAAACATCTTTCTCCTTGCGCACCATCTGCCCAACTTGAAGCAGGAGATAAATGGGCATTTGGGTTGCATATCCTGAGAAGTCTTCATGAAAAAGTATAGCTCCATAGTTTAATGGATATAGACCCAGATGTCCTGGGTTCTGTGACCTCGGGTTTGTTACTTTACCTTTTGGAATTACTATAAGGATTAAGGAAATTAATATTATAAAACACTTAAAAGAATACAGGGCACATATGCAACGGTTTGAATGAAAATATCTCACTTGGGAAATTACACACAAACTTTTTTCAGCCAATAACCTAATGTTATTGAACTCTTGGCTGGGCGCGGTGGCTCATGTCTGTAATCCCAGCACTTTGGGAGGCCGAGGTGGGCGGATCACAAGGTCAGGAGATCAAGACCATCCTGGCTAACACTGTGAAACCCCGTCTCTACTAAAAATACAAAAAATTAGCCGGGCATGGTGGCGGGTGCCTGTAGTCCCAGCTACTCAGGAGGCTGAGGCAGGAGAATGGCAAGAACCTGGATGGCGGAGCTTGCAGTGAGCCCAGATCGCACCACTGCACTCCAGCCTGGGTGACAGAGCAAGACTCCGTCTCAAAAAAAAAAAAAAAAAAAAAAAAAGTTGGATATTGGCAACAGTAAATATTTTAATATATTATAAGCCAGAGCTAGCTGAAGGGAGCCAAAACATTGTATCTATGATTCAGACCTGCTCCTAACCTCCTTATTTCAGCAGCTAACTCAGTGAAGCCCTGGAATGAAAACTAGTGCTGGAAATCAAGAAGCGCTTCTTGTAGACTATTTAATAAGTGTGTTAGCACCCAGGCTTAAGATGCTAGAGAGCTTTGTAGCTCTGTGTATACATTCTCTTGGGTTTGACCTTGAAAATTAAATCAAGACCTATAACCGGGGCCTGTTTTAGCTGTTATGACTTACTTGCCAAATGGCACAAAACTTACTTGACTTGCCCCAATACACTCCATGCTTTGCTTAAGAGTCGAGATCTAGTGACCTCTTAATTTAGCCATCTTGCCACTTGACATCCACTTTCAGAAATTCATATTCAGAAAGGGCCTGTGGGGAATTTGGCCTTGTGCCAGATTCATTGGGATTTAACATTTTAGAACTTAACTGTAGAGGGGCAAATATAATTAAATAATAAACAAAGGAGTTGAAAATTTCTCAAGCCTAATGGCAAAGTAAAAAGGAGCTTATTTCTCCTTTCCAGAAACTTTGTGGAACCTCCCCAATTTGATATTGCAGCCTCTCCAGGGAAGCTGGCTTCCCACAGTGAGGAAGTCCTGCTTTGAAATAGACTCTATCCAGCGATCTTTTTAACTAGCGTTTCCCCAGTAAAAATCCCAGTGTATGTGCACGTAATATATAACAAAGGAGGGTGTGTGTGCATCTGTGTGTGCACACATGCATGTACATACCCTAATTTTTCTCAGACGAAATCCATGTGGCAAATCACCCAGTGATCTCTCTCAGTCTCAGAGAGGGTAACATGTACCCACATACACAGGGGTCTTCAGAGTTGCTGAGGTCAGGTCACAGACTCATTCCTGGATCTTAGGCAACTGTCATTAAACAAGGAAACAAGGCAAATGACCTTGAGAATGTGTGAGGTGCTCTACAAGATTTAGGGCCTCGCCTACAAAAACTTCACCCAAACGGTCACCAGTGATGAAATTTTCATTGCACAAATGGAATGTGACAATTTTCAGAGTTAATGATGATTGAACAAGTTGAAAGTGAAAGGCAAACCTTCCCAAGCTGGGGGAGGCTGGCCGTTTGATCATCCCATGGCGAAATGAACTTGCTGTTTGACCACAAGCAATAAAAAGAAGTTGTCTTTGGTTTCTCAGCTGGAGGACAAATGAGAACCAGGTGCGGGCAGAGTTTTAAACAAATGACATTACTAATTGACTTTTCCCCTCTTATCAGAGGGCAGTTTATTCCTAGTGAGCATCTCTTCTCAATACTTTCACCTCAAGATAAACATGCATCTTTTTTTTAAGCAAATCAGCAAAACCTGCCTATTTGGGTTAAGGATTAAGATTAGTGTTACTTTATTTCTCAGTTTTACTCTTTTAATTGCTTAATCATTACTTTGTTTACCAGTTGGATCTGCCTTCTCATTAAAGCAAGGAAATTCCATAACATTTAATTTCAAAATCGATGTGACAATAACAGCTCTTGTTGCTCGAGGAAGCAGTTTAAAAAGTCATTTATAAATTTTATTTGTCAGCATCTAAACGCTAACATTGGTTGGAATTACTTTTAACACCTCAGACTTCCAGTTGTCAATAAACCCTCTCAGTCCTTCGTTCTGCATAACTGTTCATCCCCCTTCATGCCACCGTTCCTAAGACACTTCTTCACTTCCTTTTCTTATCTCTGCAGCCCACAGTTGGATGTTCATTTTTAACTGGGCAGGAACCCAGGGCTGTTGTATGTACACTGGCTGCTATGTGAAGTCTTTTTTTCTGCCCATAAGGGTGAGTTTCTACTCATAATGGCAAATCAATGGGCTGATTTTCATTAGAACCTCCAAACTGGGCATGCCCTCCTCACTTAGCCACTGGCCATCTGTGTGGGTTGGTTCAACTTCTCTGAGCTTCCCTGTGGAAGAGGGTGAGCAAAGAGCTCTCCATGACATCTTTTGGTCTCTATAAAGCTAAAAGTTATTGTTCAAAAAATGTGTATTCTACACTTAAAATGGATATACTGTATGGCGTACAATTAGACCTCAGTGAGTTGATTATGTGTGTCTACTTACCTCTCTACCTACTTTACCTACCTTGCCTACCTACCTACATGGCCAGTCTAAATCTTTTAGTCTCTTTTACCCTAAATATTGGTGAATCCTTTTATGGTTAGTAGATATCTATTTACTACATTCTACTGGATCATTATTCATATTTTCTTGGTGCAAGGTAAGCCAGTATAACAAGAGCTAGTTTCAACCCAAGAGCACTACATTGCAATCATCTATGTTAGTCAGATGTGAATGAATTTCTGATGAAGTCCAACTAATGCAAATCTCATAAGGTCTATGTCCAATCACACAAAGCTTGAAAGAAAAGCATTCAAAATGTAGATTATCGGGGGAACCTGCCCCTGATAGTCATGTAGGTTCTTTTCTATTTTCCCTAAGTGTCGGCCAGTCTGAGAAATAAAGGGACAGAGTACAAAAGAGAGAAATTTTAAAGCTGGGTGTCTGGGGGAGACATCACATGTCGGCAGGTTCTGTGATGCCCCCTGAGCCGTAAAACCAGCAAGTTTTTGTTAGTGATTTTCAAAAGGGGAGGGAGTCTACGAAAAGGGTGTGGGTCACAGAGATCACATGCTTCACAAGGTAATAGAATATCACAAGGCAAATGGAGGCAGGGCGAGATCACAGGACCACAGGACCCGGGCAAAATTAAAATTGCTAATGAAGTTTCAGGCATGCATTGTCATTGATAACATCTTATCAGGAGACAGGGTTTGAGATTAGACAACTGGTCTGACCAAAATTTATTAGGCAGGAATTTCCTCGTCCTAATAAGCCTGGGAGTGCTACAGGAGACTGGGGCTTATTTCATCCCTACAGCTTCGACCATAAAAGACGGCTGCCCCCGAAGCAGCCATTTTAGAGGCCTACCCTCAGGGACGCATTCTATTTCTCAGGGATGTTCCTTGCTGAGAAAAAGAATTCAGCGATATTTCTCCCATTTGCTTTTGAAAGAAGAGAAATATGGCTCTGTTCTGCCCAGCTCACCAGCAGTCAGAGTTTAAGGTTATCTCTCTTGTTTCCTGAACATTGCTGTTATCCTGTTCTTTTTTCAAGGTGCCCAGATATCATATTGTTCAAAAACACATGCTCTACAAACAATTTTGCAGTTAATGCAATCATCACAGGGTCCTGAGGTGACATACATCCTCCTCAGCTTACAAAGATGATGGGATTAAGAGATTAAAGTAAAGACAGGCATAGGAAACTGCAGTAAAGACAGGCGTAAGAAATTATAAAAGTGTTAATTTGGGGAACTAATAAATGTCCATGAAATCTTCACAATCCAAGTTCTTCTGCCATGGCTTCAGCCGGTCCCTCCGTTCAGGGTCCCTGACTTCTCACAATAGTAGATAGCAAAAAGGAGGAGCAGAGGTAACACATAAAAATACCATGACTTGTTCCCCTAAAATTTGTGCCTTGACTCCAGCCTTTTGCCATTAATGCATTTCTGGTTGACCAGTTTGCCAAGGAAGCCCATCTTACGACAAGCAAATAGCATGCTTGTAACATCAGTTTCTAGTGATGGAATATTTGCCACTAGGCTTTGAGACTCTCCTAAGACATGTATTCATAACATCCACCCTTGCCTGGAAAACTCGTGAAGTTATAGGTCAGCTCAACAATGTTGTGATTTAAATGAAACAGCCAGGAAATAGTGGGAATCTGGAGGAAAGGCCTTCTAGGATCTGATTTTTTCCTCTAATCAGGGAGCCACAGTGATTTTTCACAGTAGAAGTGATTAAGTTTCCGTATTCCTATTTCCTCTACACACAACCAGCTGATTGATAAGAACTGTATGAACAATTTAAAAGCTGTTCCCTGTGAGTCAGAGGTTTAGCTAAATTGAAACTGAGCATGTTTTCACACATAGCACTTACCCAGAATAATAGGATATAAAGCTAGGGAGATGAGGATTAAGGATTTTTTTTTCAAACTTTTTTATTTATTAACCTTTTTTATGAAGTCACTGGAGGACAATGGTTTTAAAGTGTGCCCAGAGAATAGGAACAGCTCCGGTCTACAGCTCCCAGCGTGAGCAACGCAGAAGACGGGTGATTTCTGCATTTCCATCTGAGGTACCAGGTTCATCTCACTAGGGAGTGCCAGACAGTGGGCCCAGGTCAGTGGGTGCGGGCACCGTGTGCGAGCCAAAGCAGGGTGAGGCATTGGGAAGTGCAAGGGGTCAGGGAGTTCCCTTTCCTAGTCAAAGAAAGTGGTGACAGACGACACCTGGAAAATCGAGTCACTCCCACCCGAATACTGCGATTTTCCGATGGGCTTAAAAAACAGCGCACCAGGAGATTATATCCTGTGCGTGGCTCGGAGGGTCCTACGCCCACGGAGTGTCGCTGATTGCTAGCACAGCAGTCTGAGATCAAACTGCAAGGCGACAGCGAGGCTGGGGGAGGGGCGCCCGCCATTGCCCAGGCTTGATTAGGTAAACAAAGCAGCCGGGAAGCTTGAACTGGGTGGAGCCCACCACAGCTCAAGGAGGCCTGCCTGCCTCTATAGGCTCCACTTCTGCGTGCAGGGCACAGACAAACAAAAAGACAGCAGTAACCTCTGCAGACTTAAATGTCCCTGTCTGACAGCTTTGAAAAGAGCAGTGGTTCTCCCAGCATGCAGCTGGAGATCTGAGAACGGGCAGACTGCCTCCTCAAGTGGGTCCCTGACCCCTGACCCCCGAGCAGCCTAACTGGGAGGCACCCCCAGCAGGGGCAGACTGACACCTCACACGGCCGGGTACTCCAACAGACCTGCAGCTGAGGGTCCTGTCTGTCAGAAGGAAAACTAACAAACAGAAAGGACATCCACACCAAAAACCCATCTGTACATCACCATCATCAAAGACCAAAAGTAGATAAAACCACAAACTTGGGGAAGAAACACAGCAGAAAAACTGGAAACTCTAAAAAGCAGAGCACCTCTCCTCCTCCAAAGGAACGCAGGTCCTCACCAGCAACAGAACAAAGCTGGATGGAGAATGACTTTGAGGAGCTGAGAGAAGAAGGCTTCAGACGATGGAATTACTCTGAGCTACAGGAGGACATTCAAACCAAAGGCAAAGAAGTTGAAAACTTTGAAAAAACTTTAGAAGAATGTATAACAGGAATAACCAATACAGAGAAGTGCTTAAAGGAGCTGATGGAGCTGAAAACCAAGGCTCGAGAGCAACATGAAGAATGCAGAAGCCTCAGGAGCCGATGCGATCAACTGGAAGAAAGGATACCATTGATGGAAGATGAAATGAATGAAATGAAGCAAGAAGGGAAGTTTAGAGAAAAAAGAATAAAAAGAAACGAGCAAAGCCTCCAAGAAATATGGGACTATGTGAAAAGACCAAATCTATGTCTGATTGGTGTACCTGAAAGTGACAGGGAGAATGGAACCAAGTTGGAAAACATTCTGCAGGATATTATCCAGGAGAACCTCCCCAATCTAGCAAGGCAGGCCAACATTCAGATTCAGGAAATACAGAGAACACCACAAAGATACTCCTCGAGAAGAGCAACTCCAAGACACATAATTGTCAGATTCACCAAAGTTGCAATGAAGGAAAAAATCTTAAGGGCAGCCAGAGAGAAAGGGCGGGTTACCCTCAAAGAGAAGCCCATTAGACTAACAGCAGATCTGTCGGCAGGAACTCTACAAGCCAGAAGAGGGTGGGGGCCAATATTCAACATTCTTAAAGAAAAGAATTTTCAACCCAGAATTTCATATCCAGCCAAACTAACCTTCATAAGTGAAGGAGAAATAGAATACTTTACAGACAAGCAAATGCTGAGAGATTTTGTCACCACCAGGCCTGCCCTAAAAGAGCTCCTGAAGGAAGTGCTAAATATGGAAAGGAACAACCGGTACCAGCCGCTGCAAAATCATGCCAAAATGTAAAGACCATCGAGACTAGGAAGAAACTGCATCAACTAACGAGCAAAATAATCAGCTAACATCATAATGACAGGATCAAATTCACACATAACAATATTAACTTTAAATGTAAATGGACTAAATGCTCCAATTAAAAGACACAGACTGGCAAATTGGATAAAGAGTCAAGACCCATCAGTGTGCTGTATTCAGGAAACCCATCTCACGTGCAGAGACACACATAGGCTCAAAATAAAAGGATGGAGGAAGATCTACCAAGCAAATGGAAAACAAAAAAAGGCAGGGGTTGCAATCCTAGTCTCTGATAAAACGGACTTTAAACCAACAAAGATCAAAAGAGACAAAGAAGGCCATTACTTAATGGTAAAGGGATCAATTCAACAAGAAGAGCTAACTATCCTAAATATATATATGCACCCAATACAGGAGCACCCAGATTCATAAAGCAAGTCCTGAGTGACCTACAAAGAGACTTAGACTCCCACACATTAATAATGGGAGACTTTAACACCCCACTGTCAACATTAGACAGATCAACGAGACAGAAAGTCAACAAGGATACCCAGGAATTGAACTCAGCTCTGCACCAAGCAGACCTAATAGACATCTACAGAACTCTCCACCCCAAATCAACAGAATATACATTTTTTTCAGCACCACACCACACCTATTCCAAAATTGACCACATACTTGGAAGTAAAGCTCTCCTCAGCAAATGTAAAAGAACAGAAATTATAACAAACTGTCTCTCAGACCACAGTGCAATCAAACTAGAACTCAGGGTTAAGAATCTCACTCAAAACCGCTCAACTACATGGAAACTGAACAACCTGCTCCTGAATGACTACTGGGTACGTAACGAAATGAAGGCAGAAATAAAGATGTTCTTTGAAACCAACGACAACAAAGACACAACATACCAGCATCTCTGGGACGCATTCAAAGCAGTGTGTAGAGGGAAATTTATAGCACTAAATGCCCACAAGAGAAAGCAGGAAAGATCCAAAATTGACACCCTAACATCACAATTAAAAGAACTAGAAATGCAAGAGCAAACACATTCAAAAGCTAGCAGAAGGCAAGAAATAACTAAAATCAGAGCAGAACTGAAGGAAATAGAGACACAAAAAACCTTTCAAAAAATTAACGAATCCAGGAGCTGGTTTTTTGAAAGGATCAACAAGATTGATAGACCACTAGCAAGACTAATAAAGAAAAAAAGAGAGAAGAATCAAATAGACACAATAAAAAATGATAAAGGGGATATCACCACTGATCCCACAGAAATACAAACTACCATGAGAGAATACTACAAACACCTCTACGCAAATAAACTAGAAAATCTAGAAGAAATTGATAAATTCCTGGACACATACACTCTCCCAAGACTGAACCAGGAAGAAGTTGAATCTCTGCATAGACAAATGACAGGAGCTGAAATTGTGGCAATAATCAATAGCTTACCAACGAAAAAGAGTCCAGGACCAGATGGATTCACAGCCGAATTCTACCAGAGGTACAAGGAGGAACTGGGTACCATTCCTTCTGAAACTATTCCAATCAATAGACAAAGAGGGAATCCTCCCTAACTCATTTTATGAGGTCAGCATCATCCTGATACCAAAGCCTGACAGAGACACAACCAAAAAAGAGAATTTTAGACCAATATCCTTGATGAACATTGATGCAAAAATCCTCAATAAAATACTGGCAAACCGAATCCAGCAGCACATCAAAAAGCTTATCCACCATGATCAAGTGGGCTTCATCCCTGGGATGCAAGGCTGGTTCAATATATGCAAATCAATAAATGTAATCCAGCATATAAACAGAACCAAAGACAAAAACCACATGATTATCTCAATAGATGCAGAAAAGGCCTTTGACAAAATTCAACAACCCTTCATGCTAAAAACTCTCAATAAATTAGGTATTGATGGGACGTATCTCAAAATAATAAGCGCTATCTATGACAAACCCACAGCCAATATCATACTGAATGGGCAGAAACTGGAAGCATTCCTTTTGAAAACTGGCACAAGACAGGGATGCCCTCTCTCACCACTTCTATTCAACATAGTGTTGAAAGTTCTGGCCAGGGCAATTAGGCAGGAGAAGGAAATAAAGGGTATTCAATTAGGAAAAGAGGAAGTCAAATTGTCCCTGTTTGCAGACGACATGATTGTATATCTAGAAAACCCCATTGCCTCAGCCCAAAATCTCCTTAAGCTGATAAGCAACTTCAGCAAAGTCTCAGGATACAAAATCAATGTACAAAAATCACAAGCATTATTATACACTAACAACAGACAAACAGAGAGCCAAATCATGAGTGAACTCCCATTCACAATTGCTTCAAAGAGAATAAAATACCTAGGAATCCAACTTATAAGGGATGTGAAGGACCTCTTCTAGGAGAACTACAAACCACTGCTCAAGGAAATAAAAGAGGATACAAACAAATGGAAGAACATTCCATGCTCATGGGTAGGAAGAATCAATATCGTGAAAATGGCCATACTGCCCAAGGTAATTTACAGATTCAATGCCATCCCCATCAAGCTACCAATGCCTTTCTTCACAGAATTGGAAAAAACTACTTTAAAGTTCATATGGAACCAAAAAAGAGCCCACATCACCAAGTCAATCCTAAGCCAAAAGAACAAAGCTGGAGGCATCACACTACCTGACTTCAAACTATACTACAAGGCTACAGTAACCAAAACAGCATGGTACTGGTACCAAAACAGAGATATAGATCAATGGAACAGAACAGAGCCCTCAGAAATAACGCCGCATATCTACAACTATCTGATCTTTGACAAACCTGAGAAAAACAAGCAATGGGGAAAGGATTCCCTATTTAATAAATGGTGCTGGGAAAACTGGCTAGCCATATGTAGAAAGCTGAAACTGGATCCCTTCCTTACACCTTATACAAAAATCAATTCAAGATGGATTAAAGACTTAAACGTTAGACCTAAAACCATAAAAACCCTAGAAGAAAACCTAGGCATTACCATTCAGGACATAGGCATGGGCAAGGACTTCATGTCTAAAACACCAAAAGCAATGGCAACAAAAGCCAAAATTGACAAATGGGATCTAATTGAACTAAAGAGCTTCTGCACAGCAAAAGAAACTACCATCAGAGTGAACAGGCAACCTACAGAATGGGAGAAAATTTTCCCAACCTACTCATCTGACAAAGGGCTAATATCCAGAATCTACAATGAACTCAAACAAATTTACAAGAAAAAAACAAACAACCCCATCAAAAAGTGGGCGAAGGACATGAACAGACACTTCTCAAAAGAAGACATTCATGCAGCCAAAAAACACATGAAAAAATGCTCACCATCACTGGCCATCAGAGAAACACAAATCAAAGCCACAATGAGATACCATCTCACACCAGTTAGAATGGCAATCATTAAAAAGTCAGGAAACAACAGGTGCTGGAGAGGATGTGGAGAAATAGGAACACTTTTACACTGTTGGTGGGACTGTAAACTAGTTCAACCATTGTGGAAGTCAGTGTGGCGATTCCTCAGAGATCTAGAACTAGAAATACCATTTGACCCAGCCATCCCATTACTGGGTATATACCCAAAGGACTATAAATCATGCTGCTATAAAGACACATGCCCACGTATGTTTATTGCGGCATTATTCACAATAGCAAAGACTTGGAACCAACCCAAATGTCCAACAATGATAGACTGGATTAAGAAAATGTGGCACATATACACCATGGAATACTATGCAGCCATAAAAAATGATGAGTTCATGTCCTTTGTAGGGACGTGGATGAAATTGGAAATCATCATTCTCAGTAAACTATCGCAAGAACAAAAAACCAAACACTGCATATTCTCACTCATAGGTGGGAATTGAACAATGTGAACACATGGACACAGGGAGGGGAACATCACAGTCTGGGGACTGTTGTGGGGTGGGGGGAGGGGGGAGGGATAGCATTGGGAGATATACCTAATGCTAGATGACGAGTTAGTAGGTGCGGCGCACCAGCATGGCACATGTATACATATGTAACTAACCTGCCCATTGTGCACATGTACCCTGAAACTTAAAAGTATAATAATAAATAAATAAATAAAATAAAGTGTGCCCAGGATTCAGTGTAATCTCCAGGTGTACCATAGGGAGCAGAGTTGAACTGCTATGAAGAAACCACTTTGTACCTTGGCACTTGCTATTTAATAGATTCAAGAATTCACTTAGCTGCTAATATATACAGATAGATTATATAGAGATTTTATATATATATACACACACGAGACTTAGGTGGAGACATTGCTGGACTGTTATTATAATGGATTTGGTTTGGTTTTGATTTTTAATATTCATTGAAGTAAAACTATGAGTTTTGGTTTCAGAGCATTCACTTTGATCAGCAATATAAAGTGATTCAAGAAGATTTATAGGCATGAGGACCACCACTCCATTCTTTATATGAAGGCAGACAAGCCCCTTTGTTCATTCTAACCCATGAACGCAGCCTAGTGAGTAAGGTAGTTGGACTAGTATCATAGCATGTCATAAGTGCATTGTGTTGGATCAATACTTTTATTGAGGAATTTGAATGCCTTTGGGTGGGACATGCTCTCTCTATTTCCCCAGGCCTTGCCTTTTGCTTGTACACACCTAGCCCTCCACCATCTTGCATTCCTTCCTGCATTTACAGTTGAGGTTCCAGGACTGGGTGACTTCTCTCACCTTTAAAAGAGTTCTCTAATACACTGTGCATTTCTTTCTACCAACACCTCATCTTCCTTTCAGAGTATTATAGACCGAACCTACTGATCTCCTTCCTATTGTGCCCACATTATAAGTGAGCTGAAATGACTGATTCAAAATCACAAGGTAAATGAACCTCTAAAAGACAGTGTACCAGCATGGACAGTGGTGAGAATACAATTATAACATCTTGTGCCTGAGTATGCTGTAGTGTCAGCCAAGCACTTTCTTGACCTCTGACAAGGTCGCTGAGCAGACCATCCCTCAGGCCACCTGCCTCCACGTGGACTCGTGGAACCATACTTTGTGCCAGCAGTGGAGATGACATTGTCTGATGACCACACCCCAACAATCCTTGATCCTGCAGTCGTCCAGTCTTGAATTTGTCTCTTGTTTTGGTGGCAAATTTGACAGCTGCTTTGTTACTTAAAGCTTAAATACAAAGAAGCTGTTTGAAGGTATCTATTAAATTCACAGCTTGCTTCATTAAAAATCACTTCATTAAAAAAGCAAACCACCAACCGAAGTGTTCACATGACCGTGCCAGATGGAAGTGAGCTAACTGCTCAGTGTCTGTGTTTTTAGCCCATCCACTGCTGGTAAAGGATTAATTTGGAGGGAAAATCCAGTTCTGTGTATAAAAAGAATTCCATAACCAGATTCTGTTATTTTCAATTGTTCTGATCCTTGCTGTGAACTTGGGTTGGATACAAATGAGAACCCACATTCTCAAGAGGACCTCTGTCCACCTTGATAGCAGCCCTCTTCATCTTTCCAAGGACTTCTGTGAGCAGAAACACAAAGATGCAAAACACCAATAATTGCTTCATATAACATGTTCATTTTAATCTATGTTTTTAAAAATACAGAAGAGGACAAAGAATACTATAACAAACAGGTGTGTATTCACTACCCAGAATTAACAAACGCCTTCAAAGGAATAGCCTGTTGGGGCCAGGGAGAAAACCGTGGTCTTCACTGATTCATCCCTAGGTGTTCTCAAATAGGGAGGAAATCCAGCCAGGTTTTCCTTAAGCACATGTGGACCAAGAATAAGAGGAAGTTAACAGAAGAGACAGATCATCTTGAAAGATTCCGGACCCTTTCAGCTAACTCCAAATGTACAAACAATTAGTACAGCAAATGTTGACAGCTATGGAGTTCACTTCTTTGAAAGGCAGACAATTAGAAGTTATTCCATGGGTGTTGGGGTGGTGGAAGTCAAGGTGTCTTGGGCTGCTGGCAGAAAAGCTTTGTAAGGGGGAGTCTGAGAGAGGAGAATTGAAATGTCACTGAATAACTACAGCTGGTAATCACCTTCATCCTAAGTCCTGCTGAAATAACAAGGCACAATTAACTCTCAGGAATTGCCCTGTGTTGGGTACAAGGCACCTGGTTGAGCTGAAGGGAGACATAAATTGCAGAAGCCCTGGTGCAGATTTCAGAAGCAGAGTTATAGAATATGCATAACGCTCCCTGCTGAGGGCTCCTGCCAGCCCTCCACAAGCATCTTCAGTTTTAAGTGTCAACAACTGACTTTTAACTCCAAAGAAAGAATACATAGTTTTAAATGACTAATGTGTGAAATATTGAGAACAATACATGATTATAGCTAATCCCTCACACTGCCTAACAATCAGTTGTAAACGAGTGAGCAGAGAGAAGTATCTTCAGTTAGGCACAGGGAGATCGGTGGTTGTTTATTCACTGAATGAGACCTGCTATGCCTGTTTGTGCAAAGAATTTTACTTTCCAGAATAGGCACAGATCTTGATTCCAGTCCAGTGGCATTAATTAACGTGAGTCCATCTATGTTTATCAAGATGTTCACACCCCAGAGTTTTTTCTTCTTAAATTTTGTTTACCCATTTCTGAGGCAAAGGAAAAATATTACATGCAATATTCTTTGCAATCTAGTTTTACAGAGTTAAGGGGTTAGATTTGCACTGTGATGGATATGTGAGAAGAAAGTTATGTTGTGCTTGTATACACTTTATATAATCATCTTATTTCAATGTCTCAGGTATCCTTCTCATAGCAGATATTATCGTATTCTGTAGATAAGGAAGCTGCAACTCAGACCTAAGTCACTCTTCATTGATCTTAAATACTTTCAGCCTCAGGGCTAGTAAGTGGAGAAGGCAAAAGAATAATGCAGGTGGTCCAGGCACGGTGGCTCATGCCTGTTATCCCAGCACTTTGGAAGCCTGAGGCGGGTGGATCACGTGACTAAGATCAGAAGTTCGAGACCAGCCTGACCAACATGGTGAAACCCTGTCTCTACTGAAAACACAAAAATTAGCTGGGCGTGGTGGCAGGCTCCTGTAATCCCAGCTATTTGAGAGGCTAAGCCAGGAGAATCACTTGAACACAGGAAGCAGAGGTTGCAGTGAGTTGAGATCATGCCACTGCAGTCCAGCCTGGGCAACAGAGTGAGACTCCATCTCAAAAAAAAAAAAAAAATTAAAGAAGAATCCAGGTCTATCTCCAAAGCCCACGTTCTTTCCACCACACCTAGTGGCCCAGTCCATTCTGGCTACTATAAATGAAATACTGTAAACTGAATGGCTTATAAACAACAGAAATGTATTTCTCACAGTCCTGGAGGCTGGGAAGTCCAAGGTCAGGGTGCCGACATAGTTGGGTTCTAGTGAGGGTCCTCCTCCTGGTTGCAGACTGCCAACTTCTGTCTATGTCCTCACATGGTAGACGGGAAGAGCTAGTTCTCTGGAGTCTCTTTTGTAAGGGCACAAATCTCAGTCATGGGTGCTCCATCCTCCTGACCTAATCACCTCCCAAAGGCCCCACTTCCTAATACCATCACCTTGAGGGTTAGGATTTCAAAATATGAATTTTGGAGGACACAAACATTCAGACCATTGCACCTGGCTTCCTTCCTGGCTCTAAAGTACTTTCTTGCATTTGCTCATTGGCATGAACCTATGCACACATAGAGCTGAGGGTTTCTTTGCCGATAAGCCTTTCCAAGAAACTACATGTGCTTCAGAAGGGGGAAGATGGAAAAAAAAATTATGAGTAAAGCCCTTATTTCCTCTTGACACCAGATTCGTCTATTAAATCAGAGAGTTAGCAAGGAGGGAAGGATGAAAAGGTGGAGCACAGAGGATTTTTAGGGCAGTGAAACTAGTCTGCACTATAATGGTGGATTCATGTCATTATATCAAAACCCATAGAACGTTCAACACAAGAGTTAACTCTAATGTAAGGCATGAGCTTTGGTGATGATGTGTCAAGGTAGGTTCATCACTAGTGACACATGTACCACTGTGGTGTGGGCTGTTGACAGTAGAGGGGACTGTAGGGGACAGGGGGAGACAGGGATATATGAGAACCCTCTGTGCTTTCCATTCAATTTTGCTGTGAACCAAAAACTGCTCTAAAAAATAAAGTCTGTTTTAAAAAACACCCTGAGCTGTGCCAGATCAAGTGCTGGAAGAGTAGAGTGGCACTTCTTTCCTGTGTCTCTTTGTACTCTAGTTGGAAAGCAAAGCTTTTGGCTACAGCACCCTATCAGAAGCCAGAAAAATCATTCTTCATTTTCAAGTGACTTTACATAGCCTTTCTTTTTTTCTTCTCATTTAGTTACTCTTCCTCTGCATTTGAGTCTTCAGTTTACTGAGTCATTATGTTACCAATTCCTTAGGAGGAATCTTTTAATCCAAAATTGTCAGAAACCTTTCCCTCCTTTCACGAATGGTTGTGAAGGTTAATCAGTCCTCATGTGGCTGTACACACTTGTGAGACAAATTTCTTTAAAACTACCATCAAGATAATTCAGATTGGTAAACCTTATTTTGCAACCCAGAAAGGAAAACACTGATTTTTCTCTTCAATTATTTGTGGCTCTCCCTCAATTCTTTGCCTCACTTTTTTTGACAGGTGCAGCAGATTTGGGGGAAGATAAGAAAACACCCCTGTCAGGTCTTCAGGCTTTGCCGTCCTCCTCATTCTTCATGGAATGTATGTTTCTGTGGCGTGCCTCACCACTGCCCGCCTCCTTTCTTGAAGAGATAGGAACGCTGTGAGATTGTTTGGGATAAAGCGGTTTCTTTGCAATCCATCATTACAGAGTTAGAGGGATAGATTTACACTGTGATGGATATGTGAGAAGAAGGTTATGTTGGTGCTTGTAAAACACGAAAGAGAAATAATATGCTTTTGAAGCTTTTAGTTTGGATACTAAAAAAAAAAGTTTAATTCTTAGATGTGCCACTTATGAAAATGTATAATCTGTTTGTGAAGATTGAAGTCAGATTACAAGAAGAAAATGAAATGTTTTCTACTCATTATTTCATCATTGCTTCACCTCTAGCGATGCTATTATAAATAGAAAGTTGGAATAAGTAGTGAGGTTCAAAGTCTTTTAGGGCTCCGAGGGAAAATGGCTAATATAACTTATATGAAATGCTGGCACGTAGGAGCAGCAGAAAAGTTGTAAAATAGAATTTATAGGCATTTAAGGACTTACATCTGGGAAGAGTCAGTAAAGCAGAAATTGGGAGATGAAGGGAAAATATGCACCATCCTAGAAAATAAGGCGGCCCCTTCCTTACAATTCACCGCTTCCAAAGGCTTGCTCTTTGCATTATGTAGCTGGTAGGTGATGGGAGAATAGGCATGAGAGATGGAGGTAATAAATGGCTCCAATATTTTTCTAAACACTGGTTTATCTGCTAAAAATCTGTGACTTCAATGTTGAATTCATTTATCAAAATATACCTATGTCAGCTGTTTTTAAGACATGCCTTATATGTATCTGAAAAATCACTCCGTTAGACGAAGATGTGGCAAGGCAAAGGAAATACCTACATAATAGAATTTATGCAAGATGGAGGGTTTCCTTAGAGAAATCTATAGGATACTTCAGATTTTTCTTAACTAAAGGGTCTTCCAGTCTCAGATTTTTTGAACAGCTTTATCAAGATATAAAAATTCACATACCATACCATACAATTCACCATTTAAAGTGTACAATTTCATGGTATTTTGTATTTTCACGGTTGTATAGTCATCACCACAGTTGATTTTAGAACATTTTCATCACCCAAAAAGAAACCTCATACACTGCAGCCTTCACTCTCCAGCTGTCCCTTCTCTGTCCCCCACCCCCAGCCTAGGCAGCCACTAATCTATCTTCAGCCTCTATGGATTTGCCTGTTCTGGACATTTCCTATGAATGGAATCCTACAGTATGTGGACCTTTGTGATTGGCTTCCTTCACTTAGCATAATGTTTGCAAGCTCTAGTCTCAGATTTTATAGAAAATGTATCTTAACCTTCCTTGCTAAATTTTTTATTTCTGATTTTTTTTCCTCAACATCCTGGTTACCTTAATATACTCCTCCTGCTACTACTACTAGTAATTATTTCCTGAGGCCTTACCCTGTGCACTGTTCTGGGTGCTCTAATGGTCTCCTATTTGTGGATATAAATGAGGAAACTGGCCCAGAGGCGTCAATGGTTTCTTCCCCTCTTAAACTTTGGCTTTCTCCCTGTCACTGTTCATCTTTTACTTTCTTCTTTTATGGATATCATTTGCATATTGAACTTTTTATATTATCTGAATTTTTGCCATTCTTGCTCAATAAGAGCCCTCTCCTTCCTTTAAGCCCATTAATTTAATTTGGATGCTTTCTTGATTCTGTTGTCCTATGTTATCTAAAACTATACAGTTAATTTTTTTAATCTCATATTTTGCAACCTAGGTTGATTTTTTAATTTTTATTTGAGGAGTAAGGAGAGGGTCAGGGTCTAAGGATAAATGACAATTCTCAGAAGGCATCCAAATCCGCATCCTTAAATTTCTTGGCCAGGGGCGGTGGCTCATGCCTGTAATCTCAGCACTTTGGGAGGCTGAGGCAGGCGGATCACCTGAGGTCGGGAGTTCAAGACCAGCCTGACCAACAAGGAGAAACTCCGTCTCTACTAAAAATATAAAATTAGCCGGGCGTGGTGGCACATGCCTGTAATCCCAGCTACTCGGGAGGCTGAGACAGGAGAATCGCTTGAACCCGGGAGGCAGAGGTTGCAGTGAGCCGAGATTGTGCCATTGCACTCCAGTCCAGGCAACAAAAGTGAAACTCCATCTCAAAAAAAAAAATTCTCAAACTTCAGAAAGTTGGATTGAACCAAGGATTGTCTCAAGGCAGTTTAGGGAAATGGTCCAGAACAGTGCCTCTTACCCTTTCCTGTATCTCAGATATGTGTGAGAATCTGATAAAAGCTTGAACTGTCTCCCCCAAAATAGACACACATCCATTGTCCAAATACAGGTTCAAAGGGGTCACAGATTTTCTGAAGCCCTATAACCTAAGTCAAATACCCCTAACCTAGAAAGGTAATTATGTAAACTATAAAACAGAGATTTTTCTAAAAGTGTCTCTTGAACCCTTAAAATGCCTTAAGTATGAAAAGTGAGAGAAGGTCTCAACACTTCACTGCATATTCCCTCTTCCATGAGAAGGCCATAGTATACTTCTGTGGGTTCCACGACAGTAGATATGATTTGTTAGTCTTAAAGGGAGAGCTGGTGCTTCAGTTATACATATAGACAGAGACTGGGCTAGTTATTAACTTGGGTTCTTTAATGGTTGGCTTGGTTCTGCCACAGGGACACCTAGGGGTTGCATGTCTCAGGATCACTCAAGCTAAAAATGTATATGTGTTTCCCAGTTGGAGCAGAGCTTTCCCGCAGACCCCAACTCTATTCATCCAGCTGGTTTCCTGCCTGCCCTTCTATAAATGCCAGTCCCTGATGTCATGAATCATTTCATTTGAGCTGTTACCCCTTACCCCTTAAGAATGTCTTTTCTGGGAGGAGCCAAGATGGCCGAATAGGAACAGCTCCAGTCTACAGCTCCCAGCCTGAGTGACACAGAAGACGGTGATTTCTGCATTTCCATCTGAGGTACCGGGTTCATCTCACTAGGGAGTGCCAGACAGTGGGCGCAGGTCAGTGGGTGCACGCACCGTGCGCCAGCCGAAGTAGGGCGAGGCATTGCCTCACTTGGGAAGCGCAAGGGGTCAGGGAGTTCCCTTTCTGAGTCAAAGAAAGGGGTGACGGACGGCACCTGGAAAATCGGGTCACTCCCACCGGAATACTGCGCTTTTCCGACAGGCTTAAAAAACGGCGCACCAGATTATATCCCGCACCTGGCTTGGAGGGTCCTACACCCACGGATTCTCGCTGATTGCTAGCACAGCAGTCTGAGATCAAACTGCAAGGCCACAGCAAGGCTGGGGGAGGGGCGCCCGCCACTGCCCAGGCTTGATTAGGTAAACAAAGCAGCCCGGAAGCTCCAACTGGGTGGAGCCCACCACAGCTCAGGGAGGCCTGCCTGCCTCTGTAGGCTCCACCTCTGGGGGCAGTGCACAGACAAACAAAAAGACAGCAGTAACCTCTGCAGACTTAAATGTCCCTGTCTGACAGCTTTGAAGAGAGCAGTGGTTCTCCCAGCATGCAGCTGGAGATCTGAGAACGGGCAGACTGCCTCCTCAAGTGGGTCCCTGACCCCTGACCCCCGAGCAGCATAACTGGGAGGCACCCCCCAGCAGGGGCACACTGACACCTCACACTGCAGGGTATTCCAACAGACCTGCAGCTGAGGGTCCTGTCTGTCAGAAGGAAAACTAACAAACAGAAAGGACATCCACACCAAAAACCCATCTGTACATCACCATCATCAAAGACCAAAAGTAGATAAAACCACAAAGATGGGGAAAAAAACAGAACAGAAAAACTGGAAACTCTAAAAAAGCAGAGCGCCTCTCCTCCTCCAAAGGAACGCAGTTCCTCACCAGCAACGGAACAAAGCTAGATGGAGAATGACTTTGAGGAGCTGAGAGAAGAAGGCTTCAGACGATCAAATTACTCTGAGCTACAGGAGGACATTCAAACCAAAGGCAAAGAAGTTGAAAACTTTGAAAAAACTTTAGAAGAATGTATAACAGGAATAACCAATACAGAGAAGTGCTTAAAGGAGCTGATGGAGCTGAAAACCAAGGCTCGAGAACTACGTGAAGAATGCAGAAGCCTCAGGAGCTGATGCGATCAACTGGAAGAAAGGGCATCAGCAATGGAAGATGAAATGAATGAAATGAAGCGAGAAGGGAAGTTTAGAGAAAAAAGAATAAAAAGAAAGAAGCAAAGCCTCCAAGAAATATGGGACTGTGTGAAAAGACCAAATCTACATCTGATTGGTGTACCTGAAAGTGATGGGGAGAATGGAACCAAGTTGGAAAACACTCTGCAGGATATTATCCAGGAGAACTTCCCCAATCTAGCAAGGCAGGCCAACGTTCAGATTCAGGAAATACAGAGAACGCCACAAAGATACTCCTCGAGAAGAGCAACTCCAAGACACATAATTGTCAGATTCACCACACATAATTGTCAGATTCACCAAAGTTGAAATGAAGGAAAAAATCTTAAGGGCAGCCAGAGAGAAAGGGCGGGTTACCCTCAAAGGGAAGCCCATCAGACTAACAGCGGATCTCTCGGCAGAAACCCTACAAGCCAGAAGAGAGTGGGGGCCAATATTCAACATTCTTAAAGAAAAGAATTTTCAACCCAGAATTTCATATCCAGCCAAACTAACCTTCATAAGCAAAGGAGAAATAAAATACTTTACAGACAAGCAAATGCTGAGAGATTTTGTCACCACCAGGCCTGCCCTAAAAGAGCTCCTGAAGGAAGCGCTAAACATGGAAAGGAACAACCGGTACCAGCCGCTGCAAAATCATGCCAAAATGTAAAGACCATCGAGACTAGGAAGAAACTGCAACTAACGAGCAAAATAACCAGCTAACATCATAATGACAGGATCAAATTCACACATAACAATATTAACTTTAAATGTAAATGGACTAAATGCTCCAATTAAAAGACACAGACTGGCAAATTGGATAAAGAGTCAAGACCCATCAGTGTGCTGTATTCAGGAAACCCATCTCACATGCAGAGACACACATAGGCTCAAAATAAAAGGATGGAGGAAGATCTACCAAGCAAATGGAAAACAAAAAAAGGCAGGGGTTGCAATCCTAGTCTCTGATAAAACGGACTTTAAACCAACAAAGATCAAAAGAGACAAAGAAGGCCATTACTTAATGGTAAAGGGATCAATTCAACAAGAAGAGCTAACTATCCTAAATATATATGCACCCAATACAGGAGCACCCAGATTCATAAAGCAAGTCCTGAGTGACCTACAAAGAGACTTAGACTCCCACACATTAATAATGGGAGACTTTAACACCCCACTGTCAACATTAGACAGATCAACGAGACAGAAAGTCAACAAGGATACCCAGGAATTGAACTCAGCTCTGCACCAAGCAGACCTAATAGACATCTACAGAACTCTCCACCCCAAATCAACAGAATATACATTTTTTTCAGCACCACACCACACCTATTCCAAAATTGACCACATACTTGGAAGTAAAGCTCTCCTCAGCAAATGTAAAAGAACAGAAATTATAACAAACTGTCTCTCAGACCACAGTGCAATCAAACTAGAACTCAGGGTTAAGAATCTCACTCAAAACCGCTCAACTACATGGAAACTGAACAACCTGCTCCTGAATGACTACTGGATACATAACGAAATGAAGGCAGAAATAAAGATGTTCTTTGAAACCAACAACAACAAAGACACAACATACCAGCATCTCTGGGACGCATTCAAAGCAGTGTGTAGAGGGAAATTTATAGCACTAAATGCCCACAAGAGAAAGCAGGAAAGATCCAAAATTGACACCCTAACATCACAATTAAAAGAACTAGAAATGCAAGAGCAAACACATTAAAAAGCTAGCAGTAGGCAAGAAATAACTAAAATCAGAGCAGAACTGAAGGAAATAGAGACACAAAAAACCCTTCAAAAAATTAACGAATCCAGGAGCTGGTTTTTTGAAAGGATCAACAAGATTGATAGACCACTAGCAAGACTAATAAAGAAAAAAAGAGAGAAGAATCGAATAGATGCAATAAAAAATGATAAAGGGGATATCACCACCGATCCCACAGAAATACAAACTACCATCAGAGAATACTACAAACACCTCTACGCAAATAAACTAGAAAATCTAGAAGAAATGGATAAATTCCTCGACACATACACCCTCCCAAGACTCAACCAGGAAGAAGTTGAATCTCTGAATAGACCAATAACAGGATCTGAAATTGTGGCAATAATCAATAGCTTACCAACGAAAAAGAGTCCAGGACCAGATGGATTCACAGCTGAATTCTACCAGAGGTACAAGGAGGAACTGGTACCATTCCTTCTGAAACTATTCCAATCAATAGACAAAGAGGGAATCCTCCCTAACTCATTTTATGAGGCCAGCATCATTCTGATACGAAAGCCAGGCAGAGACATAACAAAAAAAGAGAATTTTAGACCAATATCCTTGATGAACATTGATGCAAAAATTCTCAATAAAATACTGGCAAAACGAATCCAGCAGCACATCAAAAAGCTTATCCACCATGATCAAGTGGGCTTCATCCCTGGGATGCAAGGTTGGTTCAATATACGCAAATCAATAAATGTAATCCAGCATATAAACAGAGCCAAAGACAAAAACCACATGAGTATCTCAATAGATGCAGAAAAAGCCTTTGACAAAATTCAACAACCCTTCATGCTAAAAACTCTCAATAAATTAGGTATTGATGGGACGTATCTCAAAATAATAAGAGCTATCTATGACAAACCCACAGCCAATATCATACTGAATGGGCAAAAACTGGAAGCATTCCCTTTGAAAACTGGCACAAGACAGGGATGCCCTCTCTCACCACTCCTATTCAACATAGTGTTGGAAGTGCTGGCCAGGGCAATTAGGCAGGAGAAGGAAATAAAGGGTATTCAATTAGGAAAAGAGGAAGTCAAATTGTCCCTGTTTGCAGACGACATGATTGTATATCTAGAAAACCCCATTGCCTCAGCCCAAAATCTCCTTAAGCTGATAAGCAACTTCAGCAAAGTCTCAGGATACAAAATCAATGTACAAAAATCACAAGCATTCTTACACACCAGCAACAGACAAACAGAGAGCCAAATCATGAGTGAACTCCCATTCACAATTGCTTCAAAGAGAATAAAATACCTAGGAATCCAACTACAAGGGATGTGAAGGACCTCTTCAAGGAGAACTACAAACCACTGCTCAAGGAAATAAAAGAGGATACAAACAAATGGAAGAACATTCCATGCTCATGGGTAGGAAGAATCAATATCGTGAAAATGGCCATACTGCCCAAGGTAATTTACAGATTCAATGCCATCCCCATCAAGCTACCAATGCCTTTCTTCACAGAATTGGAAAAAACTACTTTAAAGTTCATATGGAACCAAAAAAGAGCCCGCGTCGCCAAGTCAATCCTAAGCCAAAAGAACAAAGCTGGAGGCATCACACTACCTGACTTCAAACTATACTACAAGGCTACAGTAACCAAAACAGCATGGTACTGGTACCAAAACAGAGATATAGATCAGTGGAACAGAACAGAGCCCTCAGAAATAACGCCGCATATCTACAACTATCTGATCTTTGACAAACCTGAGAAAAACAAGCAATGGGGAAAGGATTCCCTATTTAATAAATGGTGCTGGGAAAACTGGCTAGCCATATGTAGAAAGCTGAAACTGGATCCCTTCCTTACACCTTATACAAAAATCAATTCAAGATGGATTAAAGACTTAAACGTTAGACCTAAAACCATAAAAACGCTAGAAGAAAACCTAGGCATTACCATTCAGGACATAGGCATGGGCAAGGACTTCATGTCTAAAACACCAAAAGCAATGGCAACAAAAGCCAAAATTGACAAATGGGATCTAATTAAACTAAAGAGCTTCTGCACAGCAAAAGAAACTACCATCAGAGTGAACAGGTAACCTACAGAATGGGAGAAAATTTTCCCAACCTACTCATCTGACAAAGGGCTAATATCCAGAATCTACAATGAACTCAAACAAATTTACAAGAAAAAAACAAACAACCCCATCAAAAAGTGGGCGAAGGACATGAACAGACACTTCTCAAAAGAAGACATTTATGCAGTCAAAAAACACATGAAAAAATGCTCACCATCACTGGCCATCAGAGAAATGCAAATCAAAACCACAATGAGATACCATCTCACACCAGTTAGAATGGCGATCATTAAAAAGTCAGGAAACAACAGGTGCTGGAGAGGATGTGGAGAAATAGGAACACTTTTACACTGTTGGTGGGACTGTAAACTAGTTCAACCATTGTGGAAGTCAGTGTGGCGATTCCTCAGAGATCTAGAACTAGAAATACCATTTGACCCAGCCATCCCATTACTGGGTATATACCCAAAGGACTATAAATCATGCTGCTATAAAGACACATGCACATGTATGTTTATTGCGGCATTATTCACAATAGCAAAGACTTGGAACCCACCCAAATGTCCAACAATGATAGACTGGATTAAGAAAATGTGGCACATATACACCATGGAATACTATGCAGCCATAAAAAATGATGAGTTCATGCCCTTTGTAGGGACATGGATGAAACTGGAAAACTTCATTCTCAGTAAACTATCGCAAGAACAAAAAACCAAACACTGCATATTCTCACTCATAGGTGGGGATTGAACAATGAGATCACATGGACACAGGAAGGGGAATATCACAGTCTGGGGACTGTTGTGGGGTGGGGGGAGGGGGGAGGGATAGCATTGGGAGATATACCTAATGCTAGATGACGAGTTAGTGGGTGCAGTGCACCAGCATGGCACATGTATACATATGTAACTAACCTGCACAATGTGCACATGTACCCTAAAACTTAAAGTATAATAATAAAAAAGAAAACATACCATTACCTCAAAAAAAAAAAAAGTATGTCTTTTCTGAAGACAAGTCTGTGAGTTTTATAGCAAAGTGATCTACAAACATTAAACATAATCAAAGGAAGTAAGACCAGCAAAATAGAGAACATTGCCCTCTGCTCAGATAACACAGCGAGGTGTCTTCACCTGGTAATCTGATATTCTGGGCCCCATACCCAGTGAAAGATATCCAAAAAGTCCAGGGGAGTGGTTAACACAGATGCCTGCACAGAAAGTGAGAGATATGAGGATGCTACTAATCTAGATGTGAGGATGCTACTAATCTAGATGTGAGGATGCTACTGAGGGACATGTCTGAAATCTTGAAAATCATGAACAGCTTAGACAATGTGAACAGGGAGTGCCTCACACATTCCAAATTACTTAAATGGTGGTGGGATCCCTTTGAAATTCAAAGACAGAGTTTAGAACAAAAATAAGGAGATACCACCTCCATCGTGGTGCATGAACTTAAGCCGCTGCCTCAAGTGGAGCCTTGAATGATTCCTAATCCATTAGGTGCTAGGATGTATCTAATGTCAGCCAAGTCAGCCAGGCCCTCGTAAATATGTGGGGCCCTTTTAGGCAGCAAAACATTGGACTATAGGGACTGCAAATCCAAGAGTTCCTCTGTTTTCATGGTCCTTCTATTTGGAAGAAATTTCCCCTTTTTCAAAGTGTTCCCATTCTTGCTTACTTTGGGAGCATGTGGTGACATTGTCTGCTCTGTCGTCTGTTTTCCGTGTGCATTGTATTTCCTTGAAATCCCTCCACCATACTCTGCTTGGATAGTTTTCTTACTCACATTCTCACTACACCTGAGGGACACAGATATGTAAGTGTAGTACCATTTTGAAAACCTGGTTTTGAATGTTATTTTTTCCTCTCTATTCCTTCAAACATCCCTATTATCAAAATAGGAATTTATTGTTCATATTCATGTTATTTATCGTATTCTCATCTTTTGTCTGGTGCTCCAGTGGGGGCTCTTATTTGGTACACTGTCCTGGTACAGTGTATCCCATGATCATGTACTTCTGCTGGAAGTAATTATTCAAATGTTCAGAAACCCAGACTCCAACAGCAGTCCAACGGAGTGGTCATTAGACACCAGTAACCTTCCAGTCTGGGGGCCAGTAAGAATTAAAATGAAGCAAGATCAGGGGAATGAGAGCTGCTATTTGTGTTTAAAAAGACCATACAGGGCCAGCCACAGTGGCTCACACCTGTAATCCCAGCACTTTGGGAGGCCAAGGCGGGTGGATCACTTGAAGTCAGGAGTTCAAGAACAGCCTGGCCAACATGGCAAAACCCCATCTCTACTAAAAGTACAAAAATTACCCGGGCGTGGTGGTGCATGTGTGTAATCTCAGATACTCAGGAGGCTGAGGCACGAGAATAGCTTGAACCTGGGAGGTGGAGGTTGCAGTGAGCCAAGATTGTGCCACTGCACTCCAGCCTGGGTGACAGAGCGAGACTCCATCTCAAAAAAAGAAAAACCACACAGTATGAATTTATTGTTCCCAAAATAAATAATATCTACTTTTGGCACTATGCATTTTATCAATTTATTCTAAAAACTTCTGTTTCCTTGCTCTCCATTCTGTCTTGGTTATCTCATGTTTCTTGCTTTACATTGATCAGATATGCCACATAATTCTGAAGTATCTTCTCATATTTCAGATAAGCAATCTCCATTTGGCTGTGATCACTCCTATGCTGTAATGATCTAAAATAATTAGAGATTATTTTTATTTTGTGTATGTCTGAAGTTACAAGTGAATATATAAAATGATTTGCCATCTAATCCTGTTGTGCCACTGATCTAATCCTTGGAAAAATAAACCATTGGTGTGAGTGTGTGTAGCATTTGTTTAAATAATGTCAGAGCCAAATTACAATGTCCCAGGCATAAGCATAGTATTTATGGAGCATTATAGCCCGTTAATTGGCTTATTGGCCTAAGTCCTCCAGGGAGCATCACAAATCTCCAGGGTGTCCTTGAATATGACTTTATGCTTCAGCCAGATCACAGCTGTGAGTGCCAGAGTAACTGCTGTGCACATGTGTGTGGCAAAAATTACTGTATTTAATGGGAAGAGTCCAAGCAAATGGTCTTATATATGCATTTCAGTTATATTCATTTGATGTCTACCCAAAGTGATCCTCTCTGGCTTAGAAGGATTTATTTCTTCAGCTAATATTTATCAAGCACAAATTAGATATTTAAGAAACAGGAACGTAGCTGTGGACAGGCCAGAAGAATCTCATGTACTAACAGAGCTTCCCTGCTGGGGAGAAAGGAACAGAATGAACAAGTAAATAAATAAACAAGATTGTCTCTGGTAATGGTGGCAAAAGCTATGAAGGAATAATGGAGGCTTTGTGGCAAAGAAGAACTGGGGTGAGGGTTTGTGTGTGCTGGTTTGTGAAGGCCCATCTGAAGAAGTGTCATTCAAGCAAAGGTACAGCTGATGAGAAGGAACCTGCCATGGGTAGAGGAGTTCCAGGCAGAGGAACGGCCACTGTAAGGCTCTGAGGTAGGAGCTAGTCTGGTATTTCTGAGGCAGGAAGAAACACTGCAGGAGAGCATTGCGTGAGAGCTCAAAGGAGCTGGGTACCAGGTGCTTAAACTTTTCTGGACCCTTTGGCAATGTGTTGAAGCGCATGGATCCCTTCTCAGAATCATGTTCTTAATTGCATAAAATACACAGGAATGCAAAGGAAGCCATTTACACTAAAATACAGGTATCAAAATATTTAAAAGACACACTTGTAATATAAAATGTAAATGATTCTTTAGCACTTTTGTAGCAGATCTAATAACTAACATTAAAATAATGATATTTCAAGATATCTGCAACAATTGTAATGGGATACGAAATATCTGTATTTCTGTTTGTACTGGTGACAAAGTCGCAGGTACTGCTGATGCCACCTAGATTTTCTGCATCGCTCAATGGAATGTTCTATTTCAATTAGAGTTTATGAAAATAAAGATGTGATTTTTTTTTTCCCATTCAAAATCATAGATCCTGTGAATCCTATCTGTGGACTCCAGGGTACAAACACCTGGGCTAAACTATGCAGGGCTTTGTAGGCCATGGTAAGGTGTTAGGCTAAGGGTGATGGGGAGCCATTGGGAAATTTTAAACTAGACAAGTGTCATGATTTGCTGCTTTATAGAAACTGGATTCTAGGATAACAGGAGTGGAAGGGTGAGAAAGTAAGGAGACTATTACATGGTACCATCTTTTAGGTAAAAAATGAAGAGGGTTTGGATGGGAATAGTGGTGACCAGGGAGAGCAGTGCAAACATACTCAAGATGTATTCTGGAAGAATTGAGAGCATTTGCTGATAGACTGGATATAGGGGGAAGGGGAATGAAGAAAGGGAGAAATAAGGATGAGACTGAGGTTGTTTATGAGAGCCACCAGGTGTTGGTGTTCCCACATGCTGGTATGGGCCACCCTGAGAGAGGAATCTATTTGTGGGGGAGTTGGAATGGTGGATGGTGAATCTCGTGTTCTGCAGTGGATCTTGTAAAGCTTGTCATGTTTGCTGCACAAATGGAGACATATCAAGTAAGCAGCTGGGCACACAAGCCTGAAGCCCAGAAAAGGGTTGTCCTGAAATCCTTTAGTCAAGCCTGATGTTTTGAACTAAAATGAGAACTTATGAGTTCTATAGCATTGCTCTGACAGTAAGAGAGGCTGCTTCACCACTCCATCAAAGCCACAGCATCCTTATTCTGTTGAGGTAGACTCCCATTTTTGACTCCACAACAGAGTTAAAGAACTTCATAAAGTCACACAGCATTTGGGGGAACCACAATGCGGGGCAACTGGAAGTGGTGTCCTGTCCCCTGCCTCCGAGCCCATATCTTATCCCCAGCAAGGTGCTGCTTCTCCAACTTTATCTGTTGCAGGAGGGAACAAAAACTGGGATCAAGATTTTATGTAGTGTGAAAGTAAGTGAAAAGAAAGAATTGAAAGAGCATCAGGCTGGAGGTTTCAAATACTGGCACCTCACCATGTAACCTTAAACAAGGAACTTAACCTCACTGAGTCTTCATATCCTAATCCAAAATGGGAATAATAACAACACCTGGTGTTCCAAATTCAGTACAAATATCTGGTAGATCGTAGGCACTCAGTACATATTTTTGGTTGAATTGGAGTTGTATAACTTTTAAGAGGATATGTGGTATGTACCCTTCTCAATTATTTCAAGGTAGGTTTCTTCTAGAAAAAAAAAATTATATATATATATATATACATAGTAATTGTGACTAAAACAGCACAAGGGATCTTGAATAATTTACTAGGTTTCTCATACGACTTCATGACCTATGGAAAAATAGATGTTCCATGGTTACTTACATCTTAGGAAAAAAAGTTTGAATCGAAACTACAGGTTTTTCATCTTGTAACAACAAAACAATGTGTAGATATTTATCTTGGAAACCTAAGAAGAGCAATATGTAAGAAATGCTATCTCTAGTCTAGAAGGCTAAAAGCAATTAACTTGACAATTTGATGTTTATATGCCAACAAAGTTTCTCCTTTCCAATCAGTTTAACTAGTCTAACTAATACTGTAAGATCATTTCTGGTCAGACCTAGTGGCATCTCAGATGTTTATTCATTCATTTTCCTTTTTTCTTTTTTTAATCAAGATATATTTTTTAAATCAAGATTTTTTTTAAATCAACACTCTTGTTGCCCAGGCTGGAATGCAATGGCACAATCTCAGCTCACTGCAACCTCCGCCTCCTGGGTTCAAGCGATTCTCCTGCCTCAGCCTCCCAAGTAGCTGGGATTACAGGCATGCACCACCACGCCTGGATCATTTTGTATTTTTAGTAGAGATGGGGTTTTACCATGTTGGTTAGGCTGGTCTCAAACTCCTGCCCTCAGACGATCCACCTGCCTCAGCCTCCCAAAGTGCTGAGATTACAGGCGTAAACCACCACACCCAGCCTATTCATTCATTTTTGTTAAACATCTACTATGTTCCAGTGCTGTTCTTAGATCAAGGTATATGAAATAAACAAAAATAAACAAAGTTGAAGTGGGTAGCAATACATGGGCAACTAAACAGACAACTAAAGAAATAGCATCGTTTCAGAGAGTGTTGTGTGCTCTTGAAAATACAGCTGAGTAACATTCACAGGTGCTGGGAGTGTTTTCCATGAGAAGGTGCCGTTTGAGCTGAGACCTAAATAATGAGAAGCTGAAAAAGAATATGCGCAAAGGCTGAAAATGAAGCGAGAGGTAGCAGGAGACATGGGAACTGGTAGGAAGGGATGAAGTCAGGGCTTATAGTACCAGGTAGACAGTTTGGACTTTATTATGACCACTGGAGAGTTTTGAGCAAAGAAGCAACCCAATTTGATTTATATTTCTAGACGCTCACCCTGACTATTGTTTTGGGACTGGACAGCAGGGTGGCCAGAGTGGAAGCAGGGAGGCTATTGCCTCCCAAGTAGGAGATGATGGCGACCTAGCCTGGGATGTCAGTAGTGGGGCAGAGAGAAGCAGCCAGATTCCAGGTGTATGTTGCAGGCAGTGCCAATAGGACTTACCATGTCCTGGGCAAGTCCCTTAGCCCAGGAGGAAAGACACAGAATGGAACAGGATGACTAAGTGACAGGGGTGGATGGTCATTTACTGATATGGAGGACACTCAGCGGAAAGGAGTTATGAGGTACGTGCTAATCAGGAGTTCTGTTTTGGACAGATTAAGTTTGAGTTGTCTGTTAGTCATCTAAGCAGAGATGTTGACTGGGTCGTTGAATGTGCACGTCTAGAGGTTTGGAGAGAGGCCAAAGCATGAGCAAATACTCTGTAAAGTTCTCCTTTGAGATACTTTGTTACAAGTCTGGTTTGATGGATATCTGAAGCATGCATCTCCTAAGGTCCCCTGGGTCAGAATTTCCTTCTGTGCATCTTCAGCTGTCCTGGAAACTCATTGACAGACTGTGGAGTTCAGGGATTTAAAACACTAGTAGGAGTTTGTTTTTGTTCTCTGCTTTGTTTCAAGTTAACTGAAAAGCATGATTTTCAACTTTCATCTTCAATTTTAAATCATGCAAGAAACCTATCACTTACCTTCTGATCATTACACTGCCCCCCTCACATTCCAGCTCCCCAGATAAGCGAGAATTTAGTGTAGAATGTGTTGGGCTTACAGAATAAGACCCATCTCAAGAAAGGCAAGGTTAATAACTCTGCCAAGTGTCAGCCTAACAGGAGACTCAGGCAGATAAGCCCAAGTGAGTAAACACTGTGAGACTATGCCTTCTCTTTTTTTCCTTCTAGCTCCATAAATTTATTATGGTTTTCTATCAGTTTCTTTCATTCTTGTGATGGTTTCTCATTAAGGAGATTCATGGGGAAGGTTGTTATCGATCAGAGCTATTAGCCACCAGAGTGTAATCTGGTTTTAGTACAAACTGACCTGCACAGTGTCCTGTCTACCTTGGGGATTTAAGCTGATTAACTCAGAGCCTGGGAGGCAGAGTCTAAAGTTCTGTAACACAGCACCTCTGGCACCCCCTCTTCCCCACCAACCAGTAGGGGATTTAACATATTGACACTGTAATTAAATCCAAATCCACACTTAACCCACCTTGAAAGTAGCCACTGGTACCTGGCTTACCTTAGATGTACATTCACAGCCAGTGAATGATGCTGTGGCAAGGTAGTAGAGTGCTGCTTTAATCCCCTCTTCTGTCTCAGGCCCTTCAGTGCTGATTACGGTGGGGTTTCTAGTTTGTTTATTTATTGTACTTATTTCCAAGAATTGATCAACCTCATGGTTCAGAAATAAGTGATTAGAATGAGATTTCTACAGAAAAATAGGCAGCTCACTGCTGGGGCTTTCAACAGCATGATCTCTGTACTGCATGTTTTGATGGAACCAGAGAACAAGATGCCAGAAGGGTGCCCTTGGTTGCCCACGGAATCCCTGGCAGCCATATGAGTGGATCCACCAGGAGAAAAATGCCACAAAATTTACTAGTCTCAATCATTGACCTTGGCTTTTAAAATATAGCTAACCACCAAGTATACGCTGAAGACTAAGGTCAAACTTAAGACCCTTCAAGAATGGCATTTGAGCTGCAAAAGCTGTCCACAAGTGGGCAGGATAAATTAATTGGTATCTCACACCAGAGGAACTTCAATAAGTAAATATTCCTTCTTGTACTGATAAGTACAATTAAGATGTAACCATTTTCCTCCCCTTCCATCCAGCTACTTCCTGACCCCATGCTTTACTAAGAATTATGATATAGTAGAATGGTTAGGGGCACAGTCTTTGGAGCTAGACTTCATGAACTAAAGCCACAACCAATCTTGTGTAAGTTATTTAAATTCTCTGTGTCTCATTTTCCCTATCTATAAAATGGCAGTGATAATAATGATTCTAAGATTATTGAGGAGTAAATGAATTATTAGATGTAGCGTATAAGATAGTGCTTGGCATATAGTAGGGGCTGAAGAGACATAAGCTATTCTCATTCATTTAGCATGAGGTGCCTGATATGAGGCAGGCCACGTGCTAGACACCAGTGATGTAAAGGTAAGTTTGAATGGGAAGACAGACACACAAACAAGCCTGCCTTCTGCCTCTTCCTGTTCTTTATTAATGCTTAGGAGATGAGGATACTACTACAGAACAGGTATAATAGTCAATGTATATACCCCATAACTGATAAGAAAGGTAGAAGACATAAGAGCCAAAAATGTAATAGAACAGTAATCGAGGAGGTCAACCCCTTGTCTATTATGAATTAGGTCACAATGCATGATAATGTAGCTGAGATTAAACACCCAGAAATTAGACCTCATCGTGGTTTGGCAAAAGAATTGACACAGACCAGAACAAGAGCCTAAGAAAATTTTCTGAAACTAGCGTGATCAAATCCTGGCCAGCCAACTAAACATTCAGTTACCAGATGTACCCAATAAAACGGCAGGACTTAAATGTGTCCCACCTAGCTGAAAAGTTAAAAAACCTTGCACACGCAAGCATACACACACAAATGCCATTTGGTACAAAAAGAAAATGTTAGCAGGAAAACAAGGAAGAGAACATGTGAGGCTGGTTTAAATCTCACCTCTGATACCCACTTGCTATCTCTCCTTAGGTGAGTTATGAAACTTTCTGCTACCTGGTGTTTATATCTATGGAATGGGGATACTGTTATCACCTACTACATAGGACTGTTGTGAGGACTTAGTGAGATATTGCATAATAAACTCCAAGCTGTAGCACTGAGCCTGCCCCAGCCATCTCTCAGTAATAGCTGTTTTGCTGTTTTAGTTTGCTGTGTGCTAGCTAGATATCTGCCTCCCCTGACAGCCTTGTCTGTCCCTCTCTCTCACTCTGTGTGTCTGTCTCTCTCCCTTTCTATCTGTTTTGTACACAAGTGATATATATACATATATTTATACAAGGAATCCATGTTCATTTTATAAAGAAAATAATGTACAAAAAAAGTTTTAAACCACTCACAATGCCACCACCAAGAATAGCTATTATTTTGCTAGGTGGCCCCCTGTCTTTGTGTAAATATGTCTTACATATATAGGATCATACTATACATTCTGTCCACTAGAATTTTTTTCTGCTCAGCAGTATGTCATGCCAGTAAATATAAAATGTACATTAGCATTTGAAATTGCTATTAATGTATGGTATTCTATGTTAAGTAAATTCCATAATTTATTTAGACAATTCCATATTGCTAGGAATATAAGCTGTAATCAAATTTTCTCTGTTATAAACTTTGCTTGTATTAATATTCTGTGTCGATATATGGATATATCTGGATACTTAGTAGCTCTTACCATGGCCAAGGGTACTTTTTTCTTTTCCTCAATGAGGATGGATGATTGCTACTGATCTTGCTCACAAACCTGCGTTTGTATAATTGATAAGTAACATTTGGAGCTCTGCAGAAGATACACAATTTAACATAATAGTACCATGTAAAGTACTCCATACCTAAGTACAACCAGCAGCAAACAACACAAAGAGTAAGCCGAACCCCCCAAAACTAGAGTTAACAAGATGCAGAATTCATCTTATTGGGTGATCATGGGCACATAAATATGGAAGATCAAAGAACAGTTAGAAAACAGGAAACTGGAAACAAGCAATCATAATCTCTAGTTTGTCTTTGCACATTTATTTTGCATCTGGCAGAGATAAACACTGATTCGTAATTACCTCCTCCCCTCCTTCCATATCTAAGTCATTTCATAGGGTAATGTCAAGGGCCACATAAATAAGTAAAGTACTAAGTTAGTTTTAATAAAATGCATCCAGAATTCCCAAGCAAAAGAAAGGAAGGGAAGTCTTAGCTAATGAGGTCAGTGTTTCTGTGGACATCGGTAGCATATGTGTTCAGGGCCTACTGTTCCAAAATGGAAGTACAGAGAAGAGTACACCAGATGTCTATCTGCTTCCAGGGAAAACCTGAACCATGAGGAGAATTGGGTTGGTTTGCTATAATTTGGTCACCATTGTTTAATAATCTGGATGTCTAAATGTCTTGCGATTTTAATTTTTGAACATTCACTAACATCTAAATAAGAGTAGAGATCTCGATCCTCTTCTCAGTTCAGCTTCTGAATCACCTGGCACCATCATTTAACTTTACTGAGCCTCTATAAAATTAAGATACAATAATGCCCTATTTCTACTCTCCACTTGATAGTGATATTCCCAGTACTCAGGCAAGAACATGTTAATTAATAAGAGCTCTTTGAATTTCTTTGAAGCTGCTGAGATGTCTGAGGTGGCATGACAACACATGGCAGGATTAATATCATTTGCACTTATTTTGGTATTTATATTAAATATAATGCAGTATTTAAATTCGCAGACAAGTCAGCTCCCCATTATCTATGTTTTAATATTTATTTGTGTCCACTTTCGAGGTGAAACTGACTGTATTCAGCATTTCAGCCCGTGTTTAAGGTGGCTTGTCCCTGAAAGGTGGAGTGTTGGGGATTCATGCAAACATTTGAGGAAGGGCACCTCCCAGAAAACTTTCTTTGGTGCCTTTTACCTCCTGCTTCTTTTACTCACTCATTGGGGTTTTGCCAGGCCTTACACTGCTCTTTCCTCAACTTCTTTCCCTCTTTGCCGCTTTTCTATTTTGTCGTTCCATGCTTGAGCATGGCCTTCCCCTCCCTCTCCTGTCAGCCCCACCCACTCTTGTCTCACCCATCATGGCCCTTCTCTTCCTCCCAGTGGTTTTGTAGGATTCGCTGCCCTGGCCACTTGGGCTGCAAGTGGCCAGTGCTCCTGTTTGGCAAGCCAGCTGTGTGGCACTGCTGGGCACGCATCAGCAGACAGTCAATGCTAGGTCCCTGTTTGTTGGTAGGAACAAGATGGAAGGCAAAGAGTACCAGTGTCTCTCCTCACCCCAACCCCATCGTCTGTGTTTGACCCCACTCCTTCTCTGGACTCCTTGGCCTCTGTTTACTACATGGAACAGTGAGATGGGAATGTCAAATTATCTGTAGAGTGTTTCAATGCTAATCTGAAGAAGAGCTATCAGGCCTCATTACTCATGTGAATTGACACCAGTATGTAAGCACTGAATTAAATCTATTGTCGAATGGATTTTGGAAAGCATTATAGCAAGCATTAAGCAGGTACCCAAATGGGAGGACAGCCATCCTATTTTCCTAACTGTAGAAATTCTATTTAGTCTTTCAACAAGCATGAGGTTTTCCCCATCCTTTTGGGGATTAGTTCAGTCAAGATGGCAGCATAATCAAGATGTCAGAGGTGGTCCTAAGTGAGGAGGTTCAGGATCCAAAAGCCAAGAGTGGGCATTAATGAGTTCATGGGGTCAGGTGAGTATTATTCCGTGTTTGGTATCCCCAAGACCATCCTCAGGCTCAATTATTCACTAAAAGTACTCACGGGACTCAGAAAAAACTGTTATACTTATGGTTATGGTTTATTACAGCAAAGGGATACAGATTAAAAGCAGAAAAGGGTGAAGGTGCATGGGGTGAAGTCCAGGAGAAACAAGACACAGGCTTCCATGTGTCCTTTTCTAGTGGAGTCAAACAAATATGCTTAATTCTTCCAGCAATGATTTGTGACAACATGGGCGAAGTATTTGCCAATCTGGGAAGCTCACCTGAGCTTTAGTATTCAGGATTTGACTGGGATCAGTCACACAGACATGCAATATCTGCATGACTGACCTCAGCTACTCAAACTCCAGGCTCCCAGGGCAAAAATAGGTGTTCACCATAAATCACATTGTTGGCATAAAGTGTCTCATCATACTAGTATTGTGGGCCCAAGGCCTCTGGCATGCAAAATACTCTTATCAGGTAAAATGTTACTAGGACTCAGAGCTCATCTCTCAGAAGCTGGTCAAGAGCCAGTCCTAAAAACAGGCCTGTCTTGGGAATGTGCGGGGCTTGAGCAACTCAACCGTTTCCAGCACATATTCCCAGGGTGAAGACACTGGAAGGCTTTGGACACATGACTGAACTTCTCCTACCTCAGCTGTCACCTTCCAAGCGTAACATTCTCTCTTCCTTCCACATGGGATCATTGTGATTCTGAATAGTAACGACTATTTTCACAAAAAGTAGGTCATCTACAGCAAGGACACTATAAATTATTATTGTTATTTGTATCATATCATTATTATTCAGGGGGTGGAGCATGGGAATGAGCCCTGAACACTTCCTTGTTATCTCATAACAAGTCAGAAATGCCTTTTCCCAAGGTTCTGAAGGCAAAGATAACTTCAGAACAGCGTGTCTCCACTCCACACTGGCATTTAACCCTCTCCCTTGCTCTTCTCTGTCTCCCTTTACCTGGCAGTGGCTGAGAAACCCTGGCCCCCAGCATGAGAAGCGGACTCTGTTTGGCGACATGGTGTGCTTCTTGTTTATAACTCCCCTGGCCACCATCTCGGGCTGGCTGTGCCTGCGGGGCGCCGTGGACCACCTGCACTTTAGTAGTCGGCTGGAAGCCGTCGGACTGATTGCACTCACTGTCGCACTCTTCACTATTTACCTCTTTTGGACACTAGTAAGTATGGGCCGTGGCTGGGGTTCAGGCCATTTGGAGCTGGCAGCCTCACAGCTGGCACAAGCCTTTCCTCTTGTCTGTAACACATCTCACCTGCCCGGTAGAAAACAGACCTTCGATTGCTGGCGGGAGCATGAGATTTGGTTTATGACTATGTGTGTGTGTGTGTGTTTGTCTGTGTGTGTGTCTGTGCTGCTAAGGCGGATCACATAAAGAAAAAGTTTGGCTTCTGGGTGTCCATCAGTCAAAGACACAGACACACCATGGACGTTTCTCTCCTCTAGTAGTCTAGGACTCCATCTGTTATGAGTCTTGGCATTTTCTTTCCCTTGTTTATGTTTCTCATTTTTGCCGGGATTGTAGTATATTATGAATGATGCATTTGGCTGCTGTTGCTGTCACTGCCTGCACAGATCGTGAATCCTCCCTGCTGGTTATTTCCTTCTTACGTCCTGACACAGCCTAAAGTCTTTGTTGGACGTGGAGCCGCACTTTGCCTGGTGATTATTCTGTGTGTTGGGATATTGACTCTGCTGCCCATAAAAGCACTAATTTATCTAGCTGAGAAGCTGCCACCAAAGAAAGGCCATTTCCCAATAAGTGTTCTCGCTGTGTGTGAGGAAGAATTTTTACATATCACTTTTTTCATTCTTTTAACTTTTAACTTCATGCAGTAAGTTGATCGCTTGAGTACCAGTTGACAGCACCCACAAAATGCAACATTTGATCTCTCTCCTTATGCTTTCCTCTGGGAGCTGCAGGGAAGGACATCACTGTCTTCTAGAATATTTTCAGAAGCTGGGCCCCCTGCTTCCTGGCATTACTCTCCTGTGCCTGCTCGTTTCTAATCTGAGCACGTTCCACTGTTATTCAATATGTATTTCCTGTCTAAAGTGTACCATTCCCATATCCCATAGCACAGTGTCAGCATGTGGAAGCTGCTTCTAGCACATACTTCCTCCCTTTCTGTGTCTCCCAGACCCTGTTCCTCCAGCTGCCACTCCCACAACCCTGTTCATTTCCCTCTTCTTCATCATATGGCTCTTCCAGCTCTGTGCCTCCCCTCCAGTGAGAGTGTTCAAACAGTAAGGAGATACATTTCAGTTTCAGTAAAGAGGGAGTGTTCTAATGCTAAGAACTTATCTGAGTCTTATGGTTAATTTAGACATTCTGTTCCCAGGCTAGTGAAGCCCCAAGCAAAACTATTATTGCTTCCTTTAGAAGTCTACGCTTCCAGCTGGGCGCGGTGGCTCATGCCTGTAATCCCAGCACTTTGGGAGGCTGAGGCGGGCGGATCACTTGAGGTCAGAAGTTCGAGACCAGCCTGGCCAACATGGCGAAACCCTGTCTCTACTAAAAATACAAAAATTAGCTGGGCATCGTGGTGCATGTCTGTAATACTAGCTATTTGGGAGGCCAAGGCAGGAGAATTGCTTGAACCTAGAAGGCAGAGTTGCACTGAGCCAAGATCGTGCCACTGTACTCCAGCCTTGGTGACAGAGTGAGACTCCATCTCAAAAAAAAAAAAGTCTACGCTTCCAAAGTTCATCCTGGTTCATTTTGAATCAGGCAACGAAGCTGTTCCAGTAGCTTCCATTGTGATGGGAGGAGGGTTAGAAATAAGAAATGAAGGAGTCTAAGCAGCACTATCTAACTCCTGGTCAACAGCACCACCCTGGGAAAGTCATTTGGCTTCTGTGAGGCTCAGTGTCCTCATCTGTCAAGTGGAAATAGTGGTAATGCCCATCCTGCCAAATTCCCCTGGTGTTATGAGATTTAAGTCAAAGTGTTTATGGGAAAGTACTTTGGAGAATAATATAAGTTCTTGCCATGTTTAGAGGTTTTCTAGTCTATAATTTTTTTTAGAAGAGTGCCTATGATGAAGGATGGATGAAGTGAGCTTAAATGCTGGGCTTTCAAAACCAATGTAAGGCCTTTCTGAAATCCTGCTTTGTAAAGCATACACTTATCTAACAAGAAAGAAACAGGGTGATAGGTGGCTGGAAAAGAAGGAAGAAAGGAAGAAAAGAAAGGTTATCTCAAGAAAAAATGGATGTGACCTCGTTTCATCTCCCATCTCAGGTGAAAGGAAGGTTTGGGTAGAAAAGGTACCTAGACTAGGCTCTTTCAGGAAAATGGTAACATACTTCATTCCAGAAATGTTTCTCACGGGCAGTGCTATGCATGCGTTTAGAATCCAAGGGCCCTGTGTTTAAACCCAAGATTTATCACCCTAATAACAGTGTAAATTCAAATAGGATACTTAACCTCTCTGTTCATCCTTCCTCTTGTACAAAAAAATACAGGAAATAATTGATAACCGCTAGGTCAATCGGTTATTGCAAAGAGTAAGTGAGATAACGTCTGAGAACATACATGCAAGCACCTAGCAGAGTGTTGGCCCCAGGCTCCTTCCTGCGGCTTCCCTGCTCCCCCAGCTTCCACCCTCCCCCTGCCCTTTATAGAATGCAAAGTAGCAGGAGGGAAAGAAGGCATCTCTCCCCCTTTGACTGGTGTGAAAAACGTGCTGTGGAGTCAGCTCAGCAATAGGTTACTGAATATAGAATAACTCCGTCCCAGATAAATGCTGTGCTGAGCGGCCCTGGCAAGAGCCGTAATTCAGAAGCTGACAGCACTTGGAAACTGCCCTGCGGCAGAAACCCATTGTAAACAAGCTGTCAAGCTTAAGGAGAATATGCTGTGAAAATGTCTTAGATAAACAAACACGGTGTCAGTCCAAGCCTGGCTCCTCAGAGGAGCCGTTCCTGGAAGGGCCTCCCTGGTACTGTGAAGAAGGACAAGCGCTCACGCTGCACGCCTCAGAGTGCCTTGGAGTTTCTCGCAGGCACACGTGGCCATGCAGGTCCAGCCTTGACACACCCTCATGGAGTCCCACCTTCTGGAACCTGCTGTGTTCCAGAAGCACACCTGGGCCCCAGGAGGCCAGGGCCTTGGTCAGCTCCACCCTAAGAGCTCAGGGAGAGGTGTCCTAGAAACATCACTGTCCATGTCACAAGTGATTTGAAACCCGTAGACAGACACAAAGAGAGCTGGCTGAGAACTGAGTCCACATTAAACATGAAGAAATTGTCGGTAATGGACTTGGTATCAGCCCCAGTTTGGAGTTTGGAGGAGAATTGAGGCACCATGTACAGGAAGTCTTTCCACTCACTGCATCACTGATGCAACCAGTGTCCAGCACAGAAGGGAATGAATGAGCGACCCGGTTCCTCAAAGTGTGACTCCCAGTCCCAAGGTTTGATTGTTTAAATTCTTCTTATAAAGGGGGAACTGCCAATGGAACGCTGTCCCAACAAGGCTCACTGTGGGGCTGCTTTAGACACATCCCCCACACGGCCTACAAGCATCCTGAGGGTATTCAGCGGTATTTCCCCATGACCAATTCACTCCTATACTCCTTTTCCCCAGTGCAGTCAGAGATAGATAGGTGAGCTGGGCACATTGCTGAGGAGGCCGTTTGCCAAGGCCTAGTCCCATCGATATCCCTAAGTCACACCACTTCCAGAGAGAAAGGGCAAAATCAAAATATGTAATCAGATATCCCAAAGCCTTCTGTGACTTTTTTTTTTTTTTTTTTGAGAGGGAGTTTCGCTCTTGTTGCCCAGGCTGCAGTGCAGTGGTGTGAGCCGAGATCACCGCAACCTCCGCCTCCCAGGTTCAAGCGATTCTCCTGCTTCAGCCTCCCAAGTAGCTGGGATTACAGGCATGTGCCACCACGCCCAGCTAATTTTGTATTTTTAGTAGAGACGGGGTTTCTCCATGTTGGTCAGGCAGTCTCAAACTCCCAACCTCAGGTGATCTGCCTGCCTCGGCCTCCCAAAGTGCTGGGATTACAGGCATGAGCCACTGCACCAGGCCGCCTGCTGTGACTTTATAGCACACCTTTGCCCCAGCCGCAGTCACCTCCCTAATGGGAAGAGTGGATGCTAACATTTTCTAACCCTTCTCATAATATTCATGCGATCACAACTCTTTGTACAGCAGACTTGCCCATGATAGGAGGTTAGTTAGATGAATAAACTAGAAACTTCAGGAAGCGCATCCCATAAGGAGCAGTATTTTTATAATAGTGGCCCTATACTCTCTTCCTCCTCTCTCCTAAACTCAAAAATTTAAGAAATATCTAAGTGAAATTCCTAACATTATTGTTGGAGCATCTTTTTATGTTTTCTTTTTCCTCGCTGCCTTATTCTTCTTCTAAATTAGACCTCCTTTCTTTCCAATTATATTGCATTGCAGGGATGCAGTGTCTTGGAGCATCTAGAGAAGTAGCATTAACCCAGGGCAATGCAAACCTGTGGTCTCCTTGGCGTTGTGCTCAACTTGCCTTTATTTTCCCTGACAAAGAAGCATCTTCTTATGTTGCTTTCTTCTTATTAATTGAATTTGCCTGCAGACTGTAGTGATTAACCACAATTAAAATAGATTAATGTATAATAAGATCTCATCTGTTTGTCTACACAAGTGGGCTGAATTTTTTAATTTCCTGGCCATGGAACCAGGAGACCTGCTAAGTCGCTGACTCCCTGTGTTCCTTGAAGCAGTGCGTCTCAGGCTTGAATGCACATGCGGATCACCTGGGGGTCTTGTTAAAATGCACTCTCTCATTCCTTAGGTCTGGGTGGGGCCCAAAATTCTGATATTCTAACAAGCTCCCAGGTGATGCAGCCTGCTGCTGGTCCAGGACCACGCCGAGAGCAGAGCCTTAAAGGAAATAGCCCAATCTGTCTCTGTCTCTCTTTTTTTTTTTTTTTCTTTTTCTGTTACCCTGTATCTAAAGGGTGTCACAAAATTCTTTCTTATATTTAAGACACACAAAATACCAGCCCAAGAACACTAAAATGTATGCTCTGTGCCCTGTGCTAGGTGTTTTATATGCATTACATCAAATATCATTATTCACATCTTACAAACAAGGAAACTGAAGCTTGTTGACAGCAAATAACCTCCCCAAGTCACGTAACCACTAAGTAGAGGATGCAGATTGCAGGCCCGTGTGCCTGGCTCCGGAGCCTGCGGCCTGCACTCATAACTACTTCTCCAATTACTAATGCCAGTGTGCACAGCTCTCAGCATCATGGAAAAGGGGACTCTTGATTTGAAATCCAGCTTTCCCGTAATGTTCCCAGATTCCAGACTTCTTATATTGCCAAAGTTCCTTATTAGTATAATAATTGTCTGCATTCCACCTCTTTCCCGCTGTTGGCCCTGAACAGCTGGCTTCCCAGCCTGCCTCTCCTACATTCGTGAGTGGCACCAAGCAGCAGCAGGACAGAATAGATACAAGAGAATCACACTTGAAAAAAAAACCAAACTGATCCACTTTAGCATGTTCAGGGACTTTTGGAGAAAAGCACTTCTGTGTGAGTTTAAAAGCGTATATTTTCATACTCAACCCTCTCTGGCACTCGGCCCGTGGCATCTGCTTTCTAGCCTCAGAAATTTGAATAAGTGGCCTTGAATTTCATGATCCTGCCATGAAGACTAAAAAGCCCATTCTGATCAAGGGCCTGCCTTTCATCTACTTCCAGAAACTCGAGACCAAGTCATCAGGCCAGCCTACTTTCTGACCACCATAGACCTTTAGTGGGATCAACACAACACACCTACTCCCAGATAATTAAACAGCCCAGACCTGATTTGTCACTCCAAGCTCATGGTCTCCTTCCTTTCCAGCACTTACCTACACATCAGACTCTGAATTTCTTGGACGGTCCATCAATGTTTTATGCCAGCCTTCTCCAAAACAGACTACAGGTTTAAGCATCTCATTCCAATATATGTACATAAAAAGCAAGCACCTTGGCCGGGCACCATGGTTCACGCCTGTAATCCCAGCACTTTGGGAGGCAGAGGTGGGTGGATCACCTAAGGTCGGGAGTTCGAGACCAGCCTGACCAACATGGAGAAACCCTGTCTCTACTAAAAATACAAAATCAGCCAGGCATGGTGGCTACTCGGGAGGCTGAGGCAGGTGAATCGCTTGAACCTGGGAGACAGAGGTTGCGGTGAGCCGAGATCGCGCCATTGCACTTCCGCCTGGGCAACAAGAGCAAAACTCTGTCTCAAAAAAAAAAAAAAAAAAAAAAGACAAGGATCTCTCAGGCACCATTATGTCACTGCTTCTACCATCATGTATTATATGAGAGGTTTGGCAGGACACAGTGGCTCACGCCTGTAATCCCAGCCCTTTGGGAGGCTGAGGCAGGCAGAACACTTGAGATCAGGAGTTCGAGACCAGCCTGCCTGGCCAACATGGTGAAACCCTGTCTCCACTAAAAACACAAAAATTTGCCAGGCATGGTGGCGTATGCCTGTAATCCCGGCTTCTCAGGAGGCTGAGGCACAAGAATCGCTTGAACCCGTGAGGCAGAGGTCACAGTGAGCTGAGATCATGTCACCGCACTTGAGCTGGGTGACAGAGCAAGACTCCATCCAAAAAAAAAAAAAAGAGAGAGAGGCTTAAGTTTGAAGCAGTGTTGCAATCAGAAAATATAGGATGCTTATTCACTCATTCATTTACTCAGCAAACTCTCTTGAGCAATTTCCTAAGTGCAAGACATTGTAACAGGTGCTGGGCATGCAAAGATGAACACAACACAACGCCTGCTCTCAAGATGCTTCTAGTGCAGGGGGAGAGAAAAACATGCACAGTGCTGTTCAGGACACTCAGTGCCATGTGGGTAAGCTTGAGGCACAGTGGGCACCCAAGGGAGTCGTGCCCCACCTAGCCTGAGGCTCGAGAAGATTTATCAGGGGAGTTAGTGGCCACACTGTGATTTCCTTATTGGAAGCTATAGAATGCTGGAGCTGGATGCAATTAGGAATCACCCACTGGGGCCACCAGGCTGTTGGGCAGGTTGTCCACAGGACAGTACAAAGGGTGTCCTTCATATCATAGTATGAATGGGATCCTTTGAGTTGTGCAGGGTCTAACTTGCAGGAAGGTTCATGAAGCCCTAGCATCCCACTCATCTAACAGAGAAGAACCTAGGCACCTGATAGGCGCATTGCTGAGGTCACACAGCTGGGCGAGGGCTGGCATTGTATCCACCACTAGTCCGAAAATAAATCCAAACTCAGAAATAACCTCATTTTCCCATTTATATCCTGAATTTACCCGGTATGAGGAGGAACAAAGGAAGCCACCATGCAAGCCCTGCCCATGTGTCCACACATAGGGTGCTCTTTGGCTGGTGCCCAATCTCTCAACACTCACTGCGTGCCAGAGCCATTTTCCCAGGGTTCTTGCCCTGCCATAGTGCTTCCAGCTCTTTGAAGCTCTTTCAAATGACATATTTGTTTCTTGTATTGATTATCCACTTCTGCTGACCTGAATTCTTTTCTCTTACTTTTCCTCTCCCATCCCCAGGTGTCATTTAGGTACCACTGTCGATTGTACAACGAGTGGCGTCGGACCAATCAGAGGGTGATTCTCCTCATTCCAAAGTCTGTCAATGTACCTTCTAACCAGCCGTCCTTGCTGGGCCTCCATTCGGTCAAGAGGAACTCAAAGGAGACAGTTGTTTGATGTTTGTATGGTTGGTTGGTTGTTTGATTCATTGTTTGGGGTTTGGAAGTGTCTGCACTGGGGTCATGCACTGAGCGACCCCCAAGCCCTTCCTTAAGCCTGTGGGTCTAAGAACATCCAGAGCATATTAGCACATCACTCCAAGCAACAACCTCCGCCAGAAGAAAGCAAATGCTGTTTTACTTCAAATGATGGATGCTGCAATCATATGATATTTGCTAAGCTGCCAAACATGTTTATTTAGCAGATACTGTATGGAATTTTCTGAACACCTCTTTAACGTATGAGGAAGGTTGTCCTGCTACGGATGCAATTCAATTCTTCCTTTTTTATTACTATTTCAAACACACACACATATATATATATATTAAACTTAGATGATAATCAAAATCAAAAAGTCAACGTAAAAACTGGTTTCTTGGTTTGGTTGGGTCTTATTTGAGTTAGTTTGTTTCTCAGTTTCTCGTATGGATTCTTTGGGGTACTTTGGTAGCCTGAGTGGTCTTTTTCATCTCTTTCGCGTCCATTACTCAAGGAGACAGCATAACAGATGCAGAACAAGTCATATTTGAAGAATGTTTTGTACTAAACTTCATTTAATTATTCAGTTTTTAAAGGGAAAAAGGGCGTGAGCTCACACAGTGAGCTGTTTATTTAAATATCATTAAGGAGAAAAAAAAATATGGTGAGAAGCTCGCTCCTTTCAACTTGTTTGGTACTGACAGCTGATAGAAGCTATTTTCTAATAATAAACATCCAGTGTGTGAAAGACAAAACCCACTGATTGCAATACTCTTTTTTTAATGATAAAACCTGTGAAGTTTCCCAAAGCAGGTTTTAAAAGGAAAAAAAGGAAAAGCAAAAAGGTTGCTGTTCTCACTCCCATCTCATTTAGTGCATGTCTTAATTCGGGATTCGTAATGAATTGGAGGATCATTAGACATTTCTAGGAACCCTAGACCTGTTTTGCATGTCAATTAGCATTCCCATTGCTCTATTGAATTTCTAGCTTGACAGGTAGATGTGGCAAAAAAAAAAAAAAAAAAAAAAGCCTGTCCTAGCAGCCCTGCACTTATTCTAAGACCCCTTTGTCTGATTCTTTAAAAAGGAGCCCCACACAGTGCCTTCCCCCAACCATGAGCCAATTCTGTCACAGTCCGAAATAGACTTTTTCTAAGGGTTTCGTGTCCCTCTTTTATCCGTCGCAGTGTAAAGGGTCTGATCCGCAGCCTGCATTGTGCGCGCACCGAGGCAGGAGCGGATGTCTTCTGAGGAGAGCGCTGGCTGGGGTTGACTCTCAGGCTCCCGGCTGTCCGCCCGCCCACACGCAGCGAGGAGGGGCGGAGCCCTGCTTCCGGAATGCTTAAAATATGGAATTCTAGAACATGACCCACATTCTGAGTATCACTCCAGCATCTGCCTTGTGTTCCAAGTGGGAAAACGAGAAGTGCAAAGGAACAGGCAGCGAGGAGGGTAGCGATTTTTGTCTGCAAATTGATGGAGCTGATGCAGGTGTCCCCTTTGTAGGCGAGCCCTCCATTCACTGGCTGCTCCCAGCGCTGCCTGGGGAGGGAAACAGCTGTACTGCTCTCCGCTGCAAAACTCAGATGTGCTTTATGGCTTGTGACAATAGATTTCCTCCCCACCACGCTTCACTGGGACACTTCAATTCCAGTAATATATGTCTCAGCCCTTCTGTTTACTGCGCCCTGCTCACCCCCCTGGGCTGTCATTAGCTGCACCACCATCAACCGTTTCTTAATTGACCTTTTTAAAATGCTGGACATCACCGGCTGCACGCAGCTGCCACACATTAAATTTCCAGAGCAAAGAGTCCAACTTGGTAGCTGGTGAATTGCAGCCCTGTAATATACTTAATAAATGACGTCCACCCAGCCTTAGTCCCTGAGCTGTCAGGTGAACCCGTGACACGTCTCAACTGAATGGCACAACATTCATGAGAGGACCATACCCCTTCTCCCTGTTTCTTGCATGAATTAAGGAAGCAGCGGATTTCCAGGATGATTTCCTGTCAAGGTTGGCTGCAGAGAATTCCTGCCATCTTGGTTCATGAGATGAGATATGACATCATCAAAGGCAGCCAGGTCCCAGGCCGTTCAATGGGGATCCTGCATTAGGAAGGGTTTGCACATTAAAACTGTGCCTGTGCCACACCTCTTTCCTTCGTGTTTGCATCCCTGCCCTGTGAAGTAAAACAGAGTCCAAGATGCAAGGAGTAGATTGTGTGTGGGGTGGTGAAAGGACACCCCTGGCAGCCAGGCAGAGCATCAGTGCCTCCCTTCCCAGGTCACCAGCTTGGGACCTCCTTGTGAGAGGCTCTGATCTCCATCAGCATCAGGGCCCATAGGGGATTCTGAACTCTTGGAGGATATTTCATCCCCTCCAAGCCTTGCCCCATGGAAAGGGCTACACCTCCTGCAGGAAGGGGTGCCTTTTGTTAACAGGTATTAATGGGTACAGAGGCACCATGCAGCCTACCAGCACCCTTGCTAGCCTAGTCCTCTTCCTGTGCTTCTTTTTGAAAGATCAAGAATGAAGAGGAAGAGATGAGGAGTGGGGGTCCTTTACCTAAAGGACCCTCGTGGTTCATTGCTTCTCTTTAACTGACTTTTTAAAAAAACTCCCTCTTCCACACTCCTTGCTGTGATTCTGTCCTAATCATTTTTCTTGAGAATGTCATGTAGAGATAAATGTGTGTCACAGTGAAGCCAGAAGGTGAATTAACAACTAAGACAAATCCAGCATGCTCTTGCCTGCCCTGCATATGTGCTCATTTGGGGAAGGACGGAGGACACAGAGCATCGACACAAATTCTACAGCTCCTCAGAGAACACAGCAGAGACTCAGATGAGCTGTAAAATCCATTAAGGAAAAATAAATGGCATGATTTGGAAGTTACTTTGATTTGTCTTTCATTGTCCTAGTCTCCCCTGCCCCTAGTGCCTGGGCCCTGCCGTGGATTGTCACTTTCAGTGGGGCTGTAGCCATAGGCATTTCATTTTCAGTGAAAATAATTCATCTGCGGCATGGAGGAGCCAAAGGAGAAAATGGAGGTGAAATCGCAGCCCAAGTGACCCCACAGTTGGGCAAGCAGCCAGCTTCCGGTTCCACTTCCTCCTAGATCCTTATTGTTCCCATTGGGACACTGACCCTGGCTGGGCTCTGGGTCTGCGCCTGCACCGTGCATCTTTCTCCCATATTGGAATCCGCTCAGCCTTGCCTGACACTCCACACAGCTTATGGAGCTGTCCACACTAGGAAATGACCCATGGCCCAAAGAACCTGAGTAGGAAAGACAGCTAGAAAATGAAATCAGGAAATGCTTCCTTTCCACTTCAATCCAGAGTGTTCCTAGAAGCTGCCTGAAGATCTGCCACACAACTTGTAGTCCCTAGTGCTAGATGAGAAATGTAGAGTTGTGATTCTGATGCCTGAAGTAGAATGGGAGTTGAGCCAGTGCATGGGGACAAGGTTCAGGCTTATTTTAGGACAAGAAGTTAGGGACCATGATGGACCTGGCTTGACATCATTCTTCCCAGCCAAGCATATGAGGACCTGCTTTCTGGCAGACGGACCACATGAAGCCTGGTGCTGCTGAGGCTGGAGTCATGAGAAGTTGGCACTATGGCTTGTGATATCTGGGCAACTGCCAACTCTCTCAAAATGTGTCAGTTCTGCAGAAATACATGGGCTATGATCCACCAATTTTCTCTTTTTTTTTTTTTTTTTTTGAGATGAAGTCTTGCTCTGTCGCCCAGGCTGGAGTGCAATGGCACGATCTTGGCTCACTGCAACCTCTGGCTCCTGGGTTCAAGCGATTCTCCTGCCCCAGCCTCCCAAGTAGCTGGAATTATAGGTGCGCACCACCACGCCCAGCTAATTTTTGTATTTTTTAGTAGAGACGGGGTTTCACCATGTTGGTCAGGCTGATCTTGAACTCTTGACCTTGTGATCCACCTGCCTTGGCCTCCCAAAGGGCTGTGATTACAGGCGTGAGCCACCGCACCTGGCCTCTTTTCTTTTTTTATTGATGCCTTCAGATGATACGCTCCTTTTTTTTGGCTTCACAAAAGTCTCAGTGTCTAGGAATTGGCTTTAAGACATTTTGCCTTCCCCTTGCTATTTAAGTCATTCTGGGGTGATACTGTCTCCTCTTCCCAACGTGATAGAGTAAAAGAGAACCAGCTAGGGAGTAAGGCTACATGAAAGCTTTTTGTGCGGCTTTTTTCGAGACAGGGTCTCCCTCTGTCACCCAGGCTGAAGTGCAGTGGCACAATCTCGGCTCACTGCAACCTCCGCCTCCCAGGTTCAAGAGATTCTCCCACCTCCGCCTCCCAAGTAGCTGGGATTACAAGTGCCCACCAACACACCTGGCTAATTTTTGTATTTTTAGTAGAGACAGGGTATCACCATGTTGGCCAAGCTGGTCTCAAACTCCTGACCTCAAGCAATCCATCTTCCTCAGCTTCCCAAAGTGCTGGGATTACAGGCATGAGCCACCATGCACAGCCAAGACGTGAGTTTGAATCCTGGCTCCATAATGCCCCAGCTGCAGATTGCAGAAAAGTGACCCCATCTACCTAAGCCTCAGTTTTTGCTCCTGTAAAATGGAGACAGTATCTACCTCATATAGTTCTTGTAAGATTCACAAGGCTTAGCTCCCGCTTCACAGATGAACAGTGGTGCCACTCCCTTTCTATCCTTTCACTCACTGTTGCTACCATCTAGGTTATTTTGCCCTAGCCAGGGTTTCAAAGAACAATTTTAATAATCAATTTGAAAGACCATAAACAAATTGTTTTAACTCTTATTCAAATGGAAGAGGGATTAATTTTAAATAATCAACAGATATTTATTGTGCACTGTGCTTGGGAATAAAAAGAACTATTAAGATAACTTTCTGGAGGTTGAAATTACTGATTTGATTGAGATCTTTGAATTATGGGTAGATTTTTATTTTCCCTGTATTTCCTGATACCAAGACCTAGGGTTAATTGAGAATTCATTACAGATAAAAATTTGCTAGTTCTGGGTCTAGTGCTACAGAGGAAAACGAATATAGCCCATCAGTTGTCTGTGTTCCCAGAAATGAGACATTCGTGAGTCACTGAGCTCATACATCCAATGCTTTCTTGAGGCTCTAAATTCTGTGCACAAAGACAACAGAAGGAGAGTTGGCTCAGGGAGCCCTGCTTCGTTATGAGACACTCTCTTTTTTGGAATACACTTTTCATCTATCAATCAGGGCCATAGTTTTCCCATCAAGGAAATGAATATATGAGTCTTTAGCAGAGGTTTTAGCTTATCTGTGAACATCATGTGCAAAGAATTAAGTTAATCTTACATTTTTGGTCATGACACTATTTCTGTGACCATTAGGTCCTTGTTTTTTATTCCACAAATATGTATATAGTGCCAGGCCCTTCTCATGAGCCATGCACTATCCAGCACTTTGATTTTTTTTTTTTAAGACAAAATCCTACTCTGTCGTACAGAGCTGGAGTGCAGTGGGGGAATTTCGGCTCGCTGCAACCTCCACCTCCGGGGTTCAGTCCGTGGCATCTGTTTCTAGGGCGTCTTGAAACGGCTATGGAGGCCCAAGTCTCCTTCCTTAGCCTCCCGAGTAGCTGGGATTACAGGCGCGCGACCACCATACCCAGCTAATTTATTTTATTTTATTATTTTTTTTTTTTTAGTAGAGGTGGGGTTTCACCATGTTGGGCAGGCTGGTCTCGAACTTCTGACCTCGTGATCCGCCCGCCTTGGCCTCCCAAAGTGCTGGGATTACAGGCGTGAGCCAATGAGCCCGGCCCTATCCAACACTTTAAAACTTACCTCCTGGCCAGGCGCGGTGGCTCACGCCTGCAATCCCAGCACTTTGGAAGCCTGAGGCAGGCAGATGGCTTGAGTCCGGCAGATGGCTTGAGCCCAGGAGTTCGAGACCAGCCTGGGCAACACGGTGAGACCCCCAGCTCTCCACAAAATACAAAATATTAGACAGGTGTGTCGGTATGCACCTGTGGACCCAGCTACTCAACAGGCTGATGTGGGAGGATCACTTCAGCCCCGGAGGTCGAGGCTGCAGTAAGCCGAGATGGCGCCACTGCACTTCCTGCCTGGTGGACAGAGCGACACCCTGTGTCAAAAGAGAAAAAAATAAAATTACTTTATTTAATCCTCATAACCTTATCTAGTGCCACGTAACAGAACTTAGTGGTCCAAAACAACTACGTTATTGTATCTCATTATTCCACGGGTTGATCTGGCCACAGCTGGGCAGTACCTCTGCCAGGTGTCTTACACAGTCCGATGGCACAGTGCTGCTCCATGTGGCCCGCCTCTCCACGTGGCAGCTGTTTGTAGGACTCCGTGAAATGGCAGTGGCAGCGGCCCAAGGCTCCTGCTTAAACACGGGGCTAGGCAGTCCCAGGGCAGTGCTTACTCTGTATCCTATTGGTCAAAGCAGTCACAGGCCCGCCTCTTGTGGGAGGAGCTACACGCAGACAGGGCAGGACAGAATTTTTTGGAGCCCGTCTTCGCCTATCGTCCCCAGCCCATTTTAGGGATGAGGACACTTAACTAAAGAGGTTGTTAATTGCCCAAGGTAACAGAGCTAGTTAGAGGCACAGCTGGGATTCAGAACCATGCAATCAGAGCATGGACTCAGCCACTAGTTTTAAATATTTTCCCTTTCACTTCTAATCTCCACTCCTATCTCCTTCCTTCCTCCATTAGGCACCCACTCTCTAATATGTTTGATATTATAAATTGAATATGTATGCTTCTTTGCAAAACATATTGTTTTGTAAGTATGTCTTAATTTACATCAACGATATTACAACTGTCCTTTTTCACTGAACACTGTTTCTAAGATGCCTCCATGTTGCTGCGTGTGCTACCTCATTGCTAATGGCTGTTTGGGATTCCATTTTACTTTTCCATTCCCTTAATGTTACCTCCAGCTCCCTGACCCAGCCAACAGTGCTGTGATGGACATCCTCGTGCTCATCCACATATGAGCCTGTCAGAAAGTTTCAGTGCATCAGTGTCCACCAGTGGGAGTGCTGGGTTATTGGACGAAGACATATTTAACTTCACTATTTTGGTCTTGTTCTCCAGGAGTATTTCACTTTAGACACCCCTCCCTGTAGTAATAGTTGAGTTTTCCCATTTCTCCATATTCTTTCCAACACAAGCTATTATTTATTTGTTCATTGTCGCCAATGTGATAGTATAAATCTGTGTTTTATTGTTATATTGCTTATTTGTCCAAATTTACATTTCTGGTTTTTTTCCTGTTGGGTTCCCTATCTTTTCCTTTTTAGTCTCCTTAGTCAGTTTGATGTCAGACAAAGTCATCTCTCATTTGTTCACCCCTCTCTTAATTTTGTTTATGGTATTCTTCATTGAACAGAAATCCTTAATTTTGACATAGTCAATTGTGAGTTTTGCTATGTAGTTTGTACTATGGGTAGTCTTACTTAAATTTAAGAAGTTCTTTCTCATTCCTGAAGCACAAAGTTATTCTCTCATTAGCTTTAGTCTTATCTTTCACCCTTAGGCCTCTAATCTGTCTGGAGCTCACCTTTGTATATGGTATAAGATAGGGATCCATTGTTATCTTCTAAAGCAGGCAGTTTTTTCATCATCATCCACTAAACAATCTACCCTTTGCTCATTCATTTATAGTGTCACCTGTATCATATATCTAGTTCCATATAAACATGGGTCTGTTTCTGAGCACTGAATTTATGGTTTCAGTCTTTTTGTCTGTTCCCACATTATCTCACCATCTATCTTACTGTGGCTTTTTTTTTTTTTTTTTTTCCTAAGACAGAGTCTTGCTCTGTCTTGCCCAGGCTGGAGTGCAGTGGTGTGATCTTGGCTCACTGCAGCCTCTGCCTCCCGCATTCAAGCGATTCTCCTGCCTCAGCCTCCTGAGTAGCTGGTACTACAAGCATCCGCCACCACACCCAGCTAATTTTTGTATTTTTAGTAGAGGAGGGGTTTCCCTATGTTGGCCAGACTGGTCTCGAACTCCCAACCTCAGGTGATCCACCTGCCTCGGCCTCCCAAGGTGCTGGGATTACAGGCATGAGCCACCGCACCTGGTCTTTACTGTGGCTTTACAGCATGCCTCAGTACCTAGTGGAATGACCAACTCCTCCCCAACCCCTTAACAACTTTACTCTTCTTTTCAGAATTGGCTTAGTTATTTGTGATCAAGCTTTTTATTCTTGTGTATAAATTTTAGAATTGTTAAGTAGTTGAAAAGGTCTTAATGGAATTTTTACTGGCATTGTAGTGAATTTATAATTCATTTCATTAAAATTGACATCTTTACAATTTTTAGTAACCCCATATAATGATCATAGCATATCACGACATATTCAGCTGCTTTCTGTGTCCTGTAATAGCGTTTTAATCTTTTCCAATAAAATTCTTCTGTGTTCTCTGTTAACTTTATTCCCAAATTTTATAGTTGGTACTGCCATTATAAATGATACTGGCTGGGCACCGTGGCTCACGCCTGTAATCCCAGCACTTCGTGAGGCTGAGGCGGGTGGACCACGAGGTCAGGAGTTCCAGACCAGCATGGCCAATATGATGAAAACTCGTCTCTAAAAATACAAAAATTAGCCGGGTGTTTTGGCACACACCTGTAGTCCCAGCTACTCGGGAGGCTGAGGCAGAAGAATTGCTTGAACCGGGAGGTGGAGGTTGCAGTGAGCCGAGATCGCACCACTGCACTCCAGCCTGGCAACAGAGTGAGACTCCGTCTCTAAATAAATAAATAAATAATATCTATCTTCTATTACATTTTCTAGTTGGTTAGTGCCAGTGTAGATGTACACTAGTTATGCTGTATCTTTGTTGAACTCTGTAGGAGTCTCATAGTTTGTTGATCATGACAGTTTGTTTATACCTGGCTAGGTCTGCTCTCTCCTGTGTTAATGTAGTGGCCAGGCGCTCCGCAACTCTCCCACTGCTGTCTAGTTAGCAGTTATATTTGCTGGTTTTCCAGTCTTCAAGGGTGTGTTCTGTTTCTCTGCCAGTGTGATTTTTTTTTACATTTTTCCTATATTCTATTTCCTTTCTATTCTAATACTCTGTGTTTTAAAAATTCTTTTCAAGAACATTCAATAATAATTATGTATAATCGATAGCTGCTAATAAAACTGTATAATTATAATTAATTATGTATAATTCACAAAACATTGAGAAAGTTGTGTGACTCTCTACTTTTCATTTGCCAGTGTAGTATGATACATTAATGTTGCACCATCCTTTCATTCCTGGATAAATCTTACTTAATAAAATTTTCTACATCTATCTATATTCATATATGGAAAACCAAGAGTTCACAGTGACACCATCAATTGCAATTCAATACCACAGAGGTGAATTTTGTTTCTATTTCCATATTTCTATCCCCCTTTCCTAACAGTGAGAAAACTTGACTTTCATTGTCTTTGATTTACTTGCCTATTTAATCAATTCCTCTGCATGGAAGCCATCTCCCGGCTTCATAGCCATCCCCTCCCCAGCACGGAAGGCCTCCTCACTGCTCTCGAGCTCTGACACCCAGACCAGGCTACACCCAACCCACTATAAGGACACCCTCCTCATCCCAGTACAACTCTGGTGCACCCAATGGGTGTTCCTCACCTTCATTCAGCCTGCAGTTATCCTCTTCTTCATTTGATGTTTTATTTCCATCCTCTCTTTTACTTTTTGTCTAGGAGGAGTGGATTAATGGTGTATTCACTAATCTTTGTGAAGAGTAAATGTAGAACTTTCTTAATCTTCTCTTTCTCTCACCCTCTTTTGTCCTCTATCTCACTGATTTTAGCTTTATGTTTATTTCTTCCTCCTTTCTTCTTTTAATTTACTCTTGTTTCAGTCTTTTTTTTTTTAACCTTTGGATGAGTGATTTAAAGCTATAAATTTTCTTCTAAGTACTACTTTATCTCACACAATCTTTTAAAGTTTTCATTGTTTAAATTTTAGTTCTAAGTATGTTTTTTAAGTTTCTCTTGCTTCCTTCTTTAACCCAAGAATGCTTTAGTAGTGAGTTTTTTTTAGCTTCCAGCAAATGAACAGAAGGGAGGATGTTATTCTTTTGTGCTTTAATTATTTTAATTATTACATTATGATCAAAGAACTATGATCTCTATGATGTAGATTCTTTGAAAGTATGGCATTTTTGTGGCTTAATACAGGATTGTTGCAAATATATATATGTATATATGCTACATATATATGCATATATTCTATACATGCTATATATATGTGTCTATAAATAAACTACAGTTTATTGGGTAGTTTACATCTTCACTTTTTTCATGCTTTATCAAACTCTGAGAGGAGCATATAGCATTTTCTGATTACAACTGCTGATGTATTTATTTCTCCCTTCAGTCCTGTTAGTAGCTACTTTATGTATTTGAAGCTATGTTGATATGTTTATTATTATATCTTCTTGACATATTGTTCCTCTTACAAAAATATAATATCCCAATATTCTGCTTGTCCACTTTGATGTTTTAAACTTCTCTTTTGTCTGATATTAATACTAAATATTTCTATAACCTTTCTAACTCAGGAATAGAAAACCAAACATCGTATGTTCTCACTGATATGTGAGAGCTAAGCTATGAAGACTCAAAGGTGTAAGAATGATACAACAGACTTGGGGATTTGGGTGGAAGTGTGGGGGATGAGGAATAAAAGACTGCAAATATGGGGCAGTGGACACTGCTCGGGTGATGGGTGCACCAAAATCGCACAAATCACCACTAAAATACTTACTCATGTAACTAAATACCACCTGTACCCTAAGAACCCATGGAAAAATAAAAAATAAAAAAAGATAAAGGAATACTAGGAAAAAAATTTTTTTTTTTGAGACGGAGTCTCGCTCTGTCGCCCAGGCTGGAGTGCAGTGGCGCGATCTCGGCTCACTGCAAGCTCCGCCTCCCGGGTTCACGCCATTCTTCTGCCTTAGCCTCCCCAGTAGCTGGGAGTACAGGCACCCACCACCACGCCCCGCTAATTTTTTGTATTTTTAGTAGAGAAGGGGTTTCACCATGTTAGCCAGGATGGTCTTGATCTCCTGACCTCACGATCCACCTGCCTCGGCCTCCCAAAGTGCTGGGATTACAGGCATGAGCCACCATGCCTGGCCATGGAAAAAAATTAATAAACATTTCTATAACCTCTTACATCTATAGACAACATACTGTTAAATATTATTTTTAAAATTTAATTGGCAAATATTTGTCTTGGGATTGATGAGTTTAATCTACTTACTTTTATTTTACTATCATGTTGGTGTTAATTCTACCACCTTTTTTCTTTCTTTCTTTCTTTTTTATGAGATGGAGTCTCACTCTGTTTCCCAGGCTGGAGTGCAATGGTACAATCAGCTCACCGCAACCTCCGCCTCCTGGGTTCCAGCAATTCTCCTGCCTCAGCCTCCAGAGTAGCTGGGATTACAGGCAGCCACCACCACACCCTGCTAATTTTTGTATTTTTAGTAGAGACAGGGTTTCACCACAGTAGCCAGGCTGGTCTCGAACTCCTGACTTCAAGTGATCCTCCCGCCTCGGCCTCCCAAAGTGCTGGGATTACAAGCATGAGCCACCGTGCCCAGCCCACTACCACCTTTTTTCATGTCTCATTATATTTTCCCTGTGATCTCATATTCTCCTGCGGATCTTGACTACCTTGGCTAGTGGTGAGTATTCAGGGTGAGAAGAGCTGAATCCCTGGTGGGTCAGCAGGGAGGGCGGGGCACACACTGAGGGTGGGAGATCCTCTGGGGTTGCCGTTTGGACTCGGCCACTCCCCATTTGCCACAGTTAGCATGTGACTGTGCCCTCAGGGAACCGCCACATACCTCCATCCTGGCGGAAGTTCCATCTCCCTGAATTGCAGTCAGCTCGCCTTTGAAGAGGAGAAGGCTGGGGAAGAGGAAATTCCATGCGGTTGGCAGATCTGCCTGCACGTATTTTGTATGCACCTGCCCCCGTGTGGGTAGAATGCAGCCCTAATCTTACCCTGCTGCCCCGGAGCCACCTATTGCTATTGGTTGTTTTCTGGGGTGTGATGCTTCCATGGAGAAGCATTTCACAGGAGGGAGACAAGGATGCTACTCTCCGCCCATACCTGTCCCCTAGGTGTAGTGTCCTGTTCTCCCCCCGCACCTTCTGTAGCCCCCGTGTTCCCTGTTTTGTTTGGTTTGGTTTTTTTCTCAGACTCACCAACCATTATCTCACTTATTTGGCGCTTGCACGGGTGATTGGGGAAGGGGGCCAAAAGTCAGGGTAAATTTGCCATACTATATGCCATCAGCACTTCTCCAAAAGTCCTTCTTGGAATCCTGCAGTTGCCATGGGGACAGGCCATGGGAAAGAGACCAATCACCTTGGCTCTGGTGCCTTGGCCCCATTCAGCCAGTTTCTCTCTGCTTTATAGAGTGGGGATCTGGGCTAGATTTCACTGGAAAGAAAAGGATTGCGCTCTTAAAAATGATAATGTTGAAATTTGTTAAATCCTGTTTTATTCTAAAATTCTAGGTAGCCTCATCTGGTTCCCTGGTTCATGGGGACTCTGTGTTTACCAAAAGCAGTGAAGTGCTTGGTAGGAAAAAGCCTGCACCGCACGGGTCTGTCTTACATAAAAATGACACCCACACAGCATTCCTGGCTCTCATCCCTTCCCCAGTGCCAGAAAGGAGGCAGCCGTAACTTTCACCCAGCTGCAAATAAGTAATGCTCAGTAGACATATGAACTGTGTTTTACTCTCAGGGGGCTTAAAGACTGCTGACGTTAGGAATTTTTTTTAAGTCAGTCTTGAGATTTGTGAGAGAGAATGTCTGGAAGCCACCAAGAGGGCAGATCTGCAGAACACCGGTCCCAGTGCAGCCAATGCCAGGGAGGCCAGGCAGGCGGCAAGAAGGCCTGCGGTGGGGATATCACCAGCAAAGGGTCAGCTGCATTACTTTTACAATGTAAGAACTGGAACCGTGTTTTCCTGGCCTTTAAACAGTACACTCAGACAGGCTTTTGGGCACTTGGCAATTAACTTTGCTAATGTATAAAATGTCACTGGGTTTTCTCCATCATTGACCTTCCTTGTCACTCCCCCTGCCTCGTAACTGCAGGGCTGAAACTTTGTTAGATGCCTCTGGTTTGGCAGCTGAGGGTGCCCACGGCTCAGCCATGTCCATAAGACACCACATGATAGGTGCCCTGCTCACTCAAGGCTTGCCTCTATAAGGGCCTCTCAGCCACTAGGAGCCCAGGGAGACCAGGCTGAGCTGGCCCAGACATGGAGGTGAGATAAGGAGAGTCTAGGGAAGCCATCTAAGACTCTATCATCTGGGTATTGGTGGCTCTATTCTAGAGTCTGTGTGAGGGCCCAGGACTCAGTCCTCGTGGGCAACATCTTACAGCAAAATTAGCAGTCCTGAGTTAGGAGGTCTGCTATGTGAGGAGAGATTCCCCAGAAGCATGCACCATTCTGGACAGTACGCCAGGGTCGTGGGCAGCTCTGGCCGGGTCAACCTTTGCAGCTCCACAGAATCTTTGCATTGTGGGAGCTCTTAGGAGGAAGAGGAAAAAATCTAACATTTGTTAGTAAATCTGCTTCATCCCAGATGAGAAGGACTAAGAATCAGTCTCGGCCATGGTCTGCAAAAGTCAAGGGACTTCAGTTTTCTTGTTTTGGGGTGGTTTTTGTTTTTTTTGTTTTGTTTTCTTTTTTTAAGACAGGGTCTTGCTTTGTTGCCCAGGCTGGAGTGCAGTGGTGAGATCACAGCTCACTGTAGCCTCAATCTCCTGGGCTCAGGTGATCTGCCTACCTCAGCCTCCCAAGTAGCTAGGACTACAGGTGTGCAACACCAAGCCTGACTAATTTTGTGTGTGTATGTGTGTAGAGACTGGGTTTTGCCATGTTGCCCAGGTTGGTCTCAAAGTGGAGATCTCACCACTGCACACCAGCAATAGAGCAAGACTCTGTCTCAAACATAAAATAAAATATAAAATAAAATAAAATAGGCTGGGCGCGGTGGCTCACGCCTGTAATCCCAGCACTTTGCGAGGCCGAGGTGGGCGGATCACGAGGTCAGGAGATCAAGACCATCTTGGCTAACACAGTGAAACCCGGTCTCCACTAAAAATACAAAAAATTAGCCAGGCGTGGTGGCGGGCGCCTGTAGTCCCAGCTACTCCGGGGGCTGAGGCAGGAGAATGGTGTGAACCCGGGAGGCGGAGCTTGCAGTGAGCCGAGATAGCGCTACTGCAGTCTGGCCTGGGCGAAAGAGTGAGACTCTGTCTCAAAAATAAAAAATAAAATAAAATATGTACTGTGTACTTGAAAGTTGCTAAAAAAAAAAAAGTAGATCTTAAATGTTTTCACCACAAGAAAGATAGCTTGATGTAATCATTTCACAATGTATACATATGTCAAAACATCACATTTAACATCATAAATACATAAAATTTTTGTCAGTTATACCTCAATAAAGTGAACAGGAGAAAATAGAATATTATGTGACATACAGCGCATATGTAAATATTATCTTTAGTATATTCTGAAGAGTAAAATTGTATTACAAACTAAAAAAAAAAAAGTCATGCTATTAATGCTATATCTGGGATTCACTTTAAAATAATCCAAAAGATGACAGAGTAGAAGGTGCAAGTATGGATGAAATAAGATTGGCCACATGTAGGTAATTGTTGACTTCAGGTGATGTGTATATGGTATTCATTATACTACTCTCCAGTTTTATATAGGTTTAAGTTTTCCATTTGTGAAATCACTTGTATTTAAAAAAAAAGAGTTGGGCACTGCTGCCTGATATACGCTCTCTCTAAAAGAATTCACTGCTCTGCAGGGACTGGTTGCTGAGCAGAAGGGAGCCTATAGCTCATAGGCTGTAGGCTCAAGGTTGGTCATTTTACATAGAGATGTTAAGTATATGAAATCAAACATGATCAGAGTAGTACAGTAAGGCAATGGGCTGACTGTGCAGTAATTGTAGATAGGGGAAGGGAAGCAGAGGTCAGAGAAGAGGCCTCAGGCTCAGTGCCAAGAATGATGCTTTTGGTCACGGACAAAAGGGCTTCAGAGCATCCCGTTAAAAAAGAAAACCCACATCCTGCTGAGATTGGAGGCGGCCGATAAGGCTGTCGCCCATCTGACAGTGCTACAGTGATGGAGGCATCCCACCACACTCTAGAAACAAAAAGAAGACAAATGTCAACAGATGCCTCGATTCTGCTATCATCAAGTGTGCGTGTGCACATGGCTTGGTTTGAGGCAGGGGATGCGGGTTCCATGATGAGAGGGATGATTCTCATTAGCTTGTTCTCGATGCTGTCTTTGTGCGCCACAAGGTTAATACAGGAAATATGAAAGGCGCTCAGACTGCCAGGAGCAGCTGCTCGTGGGTAGGTCAGCCCTGAGCAAACCTTCCTTAGGTCCAGACCATGACTGTCCTGCCAATTGTTCATAGTGAGAGGTGACAGCGTGCTGGCAGCCCTCGCTCGCTCTTGGCGCCTCCTCGACCTCCGCGCCCACTCTGGCCGCGCTTGAGGAGCCCTTCAGCCTGCCGCTGCACTGTGGGAGCTCCACTCTGGGCTGGCCGAGGCTGGAGCTGGCTCCCTCTGCTTGTGGGGAGGTGTGGAGGGAGAGGCGCCGGTGGGAACCAGGGTTGGGCGCACACTTGCAGGCCAGCGTGAGTTCCGGGTGGGCGTGGGCTCGGCAGGCCCCCGCACTCCGAGCAGCCGGCCTGCGCCCCCAGCCCGGGGGCAGTGAGGGGCTTAGCACCTGGGCCAGCAGCTGCAGAGGGGGGCGCCAGGTCCCCCAGCACAGCCGGCCTGCCCGTGCCATGCTCAAATTCTCGACGGGCCTCCACTGCCACCCAGCCGGGCAGGGCTGGGGACCTGTAAGCAGCCATGCCCTACCCCCCGCCCCCCCCCCCCCCCCCGGCCCCTGCACTAGGCTCCCGCTCAGCCTGAGCCTCCCGGACGGGTGCCGCCCCCTGGTAGGAGGCACCAGGTCCCATCAACCACCCAAGGCCTGAGGAGTGCAGGCGCACGGTGTGGTACTGGCGGGCAGCTCCCCCAGCAGCCCTGGCACCGCAACCACTAGGCAAAGCCAGCTGGGCTCCTGAGTCAGGTGGGGACTTGGAGATCTTTTATGTCTAGCTAGAGGATTGTAAATGCACCAATCAGCACTCTGTGTCTCGCTAAAGGTTTGTAAATGCACCAATCAGTGCTCTGTGTCTAGCTAATCTAGTGGGGACTTGGAGAACTTTTGTGTCTGGCTCAGGGATTGTAAGCACACCAATCAGCACCCCGTCAAAACAGACCAATCAGCTCTCTGTAAAACAGACCAAACAGCTCTCTGTAAAATGGACCAATCAGCAGGATGTGGGTGGGGCCATATAAGGGAATAAAAGCAGGCTGCCCGAACCAGTAGTGGCAATCAGGTGAGGTCCTCTTTCCTGCCGCGGAGGTTTTTTTTCTTTTGCTCTTTGTAATAAATCTCGCTGCTGCTCGCTTTTTGGGTCTGTACTGCCTTTATGAGCTGTAACACCCAACACGAAGATCTGCAGCTTCACTTCTGAGGCCAGCCAGACCACGAACCCACCGGGAGGAATGAACAACTCCAAGAGCGCAGCCTTAAGAGCTATAACCATTTGCCGCGAAAGTCTGCAGCTTCAGTCCGGAAGCCAGCGAGACCACGAACCCACCAGAAAGAAGAAACTCTGAACACGTCCGAACATCAGAAGGAACAAACTCCAGACACACCATCTTTAAGAACTGTAACACTCACCGCGAGGGTCCGTGGCTTCATTCTTGAAGGCAGTGAGACCAAGAACCCACCAATTTCCGACACAATAGCACCCAAGCATCAACTTCACTCTGGTGGCTGGCGGGGGCCACTAGGAGGGCACATCCTCTGTAATCCATCCCAACGTGGGACATGGAGGGTGGGCTGTGTGTCACAGGGCGGAGCAACGATCTCTGCCACCTGAACGACGAAACAGGAGAAAAGCTTGTGAAACAAAGCCCTCCATGGCCCAGGTGAAGAAAAACATCTAGACAGATGAGCAAAATGGGTTTCCTCTCCTAGCGGAAAACTTACCATTTTAAAAGGTTATTCTGACCCAGAAAATAACGCTCTTGCCCTCCCCCCACCCCCAACACCCCACACACATACATCATGCATGAATACACACTGAAAAACTATGGCACAGACACACAGTCACACGCAGCATTAGAAGAATCCTGGGCCAGGTCAACTCTGTTGTCAGTATCAGCAAGTCTCAAAGTGAGCCCTCTGAAACCCCTGTGATCCCCTCTCCTCCCTCTCCCACACTCGTGATGACAGCTCCTTGTGGCTAAGTTCAGCACCAAGTAAGGAAGAAGTGCCTGCAACAAGCTTGCTTGAGGAGGAAAAACAGTAAGGCGGCAGGTGTCGGAAGCAAGTCACCCCCGGGAAAAGTCAGGGAGAAGTGGCCACATGCCCCTCTGGGGTCAGGATTAGAGCTCAGAAAATGACTCATTTGTCTCTACAACCCCGCAGTAGCGCTTCCAAACATGAGAGGGGGGTCACAAGCCCAGACAGGGTGAATTTGTTATTAAACAAACCAATGGAGGGCAGGCAGCACATATGTTCACGTTTCCTGCCTCTCCCATCTCTTTTTGGAACTGAATGAGCCCCTTCAAACAGCAGGCTTTTGGAATCCTGTCAGTTTCCTCGTTTACCACAGAGACAATATCTGCGCACTAAATAGTTTCCCAACTATAACCCTCCAAAATCAGGCTGGGCGCGGTGGCTCACGCCTGTCATCCCAGCACTTTGGGAGGCGGAAGCAGGTGGATCACTTCAGGTCAGAAGTTCAAGACCAGCCTGGCCAACATGGTGAAACCCCGTCTCTACTGAAAATACAAAAACTAGCCAGGTGTGGTGGCACACACCTGTAATCCCGGGATTACAGGAGGCTGAGGCAGGAGAATCTCTTGAGCCTAGGAGGTGAAGATTGCAGTGAGCTGAGATCGTGCCACAGCACTACAGCCTGGGCAAGAGTGAGACTCTGTCTCAAACAAAACAAAACAAAAAAGTCATTTGCATCAAGTCAGCCACTTCCTGCAGAGTCTGTTGAAGAGCACACACAGAAAAACAAATTGCCTAAGAGCAAGGTACCCTGGAGTACTCCGTTAAGGGGCTGATCTCATTACCGTAGTTTAGGATTCAGGTGCCAAGGATGACAAAATGAACTGCCTTGCTTTATTTCATAATTCAGTGTTTCCCAGCCTTCCACTATTCATTTTGGGAAAGAGTTGTCAAAAACCCATAGTTATTTCTCCCAGCAACCTGGGAGGGGAAGGAAGGAAAGTCACTCAGGCTTAGTCACATGTCTTTCTGGCGTGCCAGAGGCTTTGTCCATTGGGGATACTTCAATCCTCTTTCCCAGCTGAGGCCTTAAACTATTTGTTTAAATGAAAATCTGAAATAAAACTACAGCTGTTATCAAGAACAGGCAGGAGATCCTGTCATCTTGGTTCCATGGATCAAGCAGAGGGCCAGTGTTCAGTGTTTGTGAAGAGCACCGGCGTGATTTTCCAGCAGCGGAGGACAGCCCCAATGCAGTGTGCAGCCCTGTGAGCTGGGGAAGGCAGACAGAGGTTGGCCAACTGGCAGGAGCCAGAAGATTTTCTTCATGTTCGGGTCTCAATGGAAAACTCAGAAGTGACTGCCAAACACGTTCCGGGAATCTTCTCCATTTCCCATTTGAGCGCTGAGCACACGGGGCACCTCCACAGTCACAGTCTTCTTCGGTTTTAAACAACAGGGGCAAAGGTTCCAATGTGACCAACCTGTCACAAGTACTGACAGTATTCACAAATGCCTTCTTCCTGCCAGAAATGCAGAGAGACCCAACCAGGCACCCGGCACCTCCACACGGTGGAGACAAGCCACGTGACTGAGTGTTTAAAGCAAAGAGAAGGGAAATCACAGCATTGAAAAATGATTTGGAACAAACAAGCACGATGGAGGCCACTTCGGGGGAAAGCTGACATTTGTCTAAAATGGAAAAATCCAAACGCACTTTCCAAAGCATCAAGCTGGGAATAGTCATTGTCCCTCATATAATATTCAATTTGCAACAGGAAAAAAGCAGATTTTGCCACTTATTTAAGTGTTGCTTTTACTTGTCCAAACCGGGTAGGTATAGGGTGGAAGAGGATGTGAGTTATGATTCTCCCAGGTGGGGATCTCTCTTTGAAAGCACTAGGCCCTCAAACTCCAAATTAACCAGGCACTCCCACTTTCTATCCCAAATCCCATCAGAGCAGGGAGAACCAAGTCTCAGGGAACCTCAGGGGAACTCTGAATTCCATGCAATTGGCTGAGCGACATTCTCGGCACACATAGCCTGCCGTTTCCATGAAAGCACTCTGGACTGACCTGGACCCTTGAGTTCGGGTGCCTGTGAGTACCCAGGACCACTCAGGAACACCAGGGAAACAGACTGAGGCTGCAGGACTGTGGCCCCTCTTTCTCCACTGTTCTGTCTGCAATCAAGTTCTGGCTGGAGTCTAGACGGATTCTTCCAAGGTTAGAGCAAAATGCCCTATCAGGATCACCAGCTGTATCCCTTAGCTAATGCTCTGAGAGATCATGGCCAGTTTTTAATAAGCTCAAATCGTCTTAACGAGAAGTCAAAGAATTTGAACCTCCCCCTTAACGTCCCCAACCTTGGAGCTGTTGTCATGACTGCGGAGGCGAGAACTTCACCTTTGAAACTCAGCCTCCTACCAGACAATTCTTTCCTAATGACCATTTCCCATAAAAGACCAGTGCTCCTGAAGCGTGCCGTGTGGTGCCTGCCTTTTATAACAGCAGTTGACCACAGTTGTTGTTCTACACATCGGTGTGAATATTTGATTGATGCCCCCCACCCCCACCCCAACCAGGGTCAGGCAGAAATTTCTTTTCGCTCACCATTGTATTGCCAGTGCACAGCATGCAACTTAGTAAGTGATTAATCAATGTTTGTTGTGGGCCAGGCACAGTGGCTCATGCCTGTAGTCCCAGCACTTTGGGAGGCCAAGGTGGGCAGATCACTTGAAGTCAGGAGTTAGAGACCAGCCTGGCCAATATGGTGAAACCCCATCTCTACTAGAAATACAAAAATTAGCTGGGAATGGTGGCGCACACCTGTAATCCCAGCTACTTGGGAGGCTGAGACAGGAGAATTGCTTGAACTTGGAAGGCAGAGGCTGTATTGCACTCTAGCCTGGGCAACAGTGAGACTCCGTCTCTCAAAAAAAAAAAAAAAGTTTGTTTAATTAATATTAATATTTATTAATAAAATGAGTAAAATGTGGTGTTTCCAGTGTTCTCAATGGCCTTCCTTGTTTAACCACTCAGTTGACTTAACCCAGGAGAAATGTTAATTCTGACTGGCACTATTTTTGCTAATAGACTTACTTAAGCCAACAATAATTAACAGCCCTGCCATTTTATAACAGGACAGCCTCACCTTACTTCCCATCTTAATTCCCGTGATCAAAAAATTTTAAGTTAATTAGTTTTAAATTCCTATTTCTTTACAACCTACTATATTGGTATGACCATCTTACATGGCCTCATTTATTCCACTATCAACTCTTTGTAACAGGATCTTTAGTTCCAATTTACAGATAAGGAAACTGAGATGCAGGAATGTTAGCTTTTTTAGACTTACATCACTAAGTGACAGCAACTTAGTGTCATTAACTACTTCTCTTATCAAGGGTTTTCCATTCACAGACCTAGTTCAAAGGCAAAAACAATGTGCTGTTTATTCTTTCTACGTGAAGTCTATCTATGGAGAAGACCCATCTATGTGGGAAAGTATAAATTTGGGACATAACCCATGACTATAATTGAATTCTCTATCATTAAAAAATCATTTATTTTATTTCCTTTCCAATCAAAGCTGAATCACCAGTTCCAATAATTCCTGTTATTCACAGCATCCCCACCCTACCCCCATCAGGATAACTTGGATGTACTTGCATACCCTCTGGGTCATTTTCAACACTTCCTAGATACAGTAACACATTGCATCACTGGGGTCCAAACTGCTTTCACCTACTTGCTGGGTGGTGTGTTAGCTTACCTAAAGGTGACTATCCCCCCAAAGGAGAGTTTTAAATCAGAACACTTAACTACCTCCCTGATGTCAGGGAAAGTGCATCCTGAAACAGCCAGTTTAGGAAAGGTCATTCTACCAGGGCTGTGGCTTTCTGCCTTATCTGAGAGCTTACGATGCGATAGTGGGAGGAAGGCAGATTGAGCAAGAGCTGGAGCTGTTCCTGCTCCTAAGTCCATCTTCATACGCTGAGAGGTGCAAATCAGCTAATATACAAGAAAGCATTTTCTAAACCTCACCATGAAAACAATGTTTATTACATTTGCCATTAATTTGAAGAACATTAGAAACAACAGAGATTTTAAATAGGGATTTGGGGATTATCCGACAGTTGGAATTGTTCCCATTCATTTCAACAATTAATAGCACCGTTTTCATTAGTAAACTGGCTATGTTATTTTTTTTTTTGACAGCTCCCTGGGATAGCAGAATAGGCATAGTCATCAAGGATAATAGAACTGTGATCACACTGAGTTCCTCAAGAAAAGAACTGGCTGTCTCATCTTGGTATTCTTGATGCCTTGCTCAGTAGCGCCTGGCAAAACTAAATCTCCCAGTGAATGGTTGGTGAAGGAATGAACAAGTGAATAAATGACAACCTGTGGGCCTGTTATCCCATCTACAAAACAAGGACAATACTAATAATGCAGTATTGTGAGCTGTAAGGTAATGTTTGATGTGACAACTCAAGCATGAGTGAACATTCAATAAATGTTTGCCCCCTTTCCTTTCACCCTGCTTCCTCTTGATGGGTCTTATGCTGCTTTTCTGCCTTCCTATGTGAGAGTGAAAGTGTCCCGTGTGTCAGAGACCAACACGTGCTGGTGTGTACTCCCCACATGTCAGAGCAGCACTGCGTTTCCAGACCCTGCCCCTGTCGGTTTCTCCCAGTGGGGTCCCCAGTGTTCCCCAGCTGTAAGGTCCGGTAAGGGCCCAGCTTCAGGTCCCCTCTGGGATTTCTGGTATAAGGTCTGCCTGAGTGACCCAAAGCATTCACCTCTAGCACCCACGCCCTTCTTTCTCCAGGGAAGGACCCCTCCCAGAAGGATTGTAATAATACGCATTACTTTTCCTGGTAATGAAATGCAACATGTCTCGGGATAGAACCCAGGCTCACTATTTCTTTTATGACATAATATGAATGTTTGCAGATCTTGATTTTTTTTTTCCGAGTTCAAATTTCATAACAATTTTCCTCTTAGCAAGACAAAAATTTTTTAAAGAGAAATGATCTGATTCAGTAGCTGGGAAAACAGTTCATAGGAAAATTCTGTGAAAACCCTATGATCCCAGAAAGAGCTTGGGTTGAGTCCCTTCCTGGCATCTGCTGGTTGGAAGAGGCAGCGTAACAAGGGAGTGAAAGCTGGCAGTGAAGAGGAAGGCTGGGTCATGACCCCAGTCCTAGGAAGAGAATGAACTAACTGCCAGGGTCACAGTCACACTGCTCGCTAAAGGGCAGTGTGAGAGGGAGGCTCCTTGGCCTAAATGTGGACAATGGAGAGAAAATCAGAAGAGAAAAACAAGTGATCTGGGACTGTTTGTGAAACTAGATAAAAAAACAGGTCATCTGAAGATCACTCTCAACCACTGCATTAGGAAGCCAGAGAAACACATTCAGCACAGTCAGACATTTGTGTCCCTCTGGTCACAGTGGACACTTTTAACTAGTACTTGTGGCTAAACTTAAGTCATGGGACTCAGGACTAGAAGGGGCTGTGGAAACATCCGCGTGTATTCAACAGACGAAACCAGACAATTTGAGAATCATTATCCAGACTGAGTCAGGAAACACTGAAGAAAACCTCGCACTACCAAAGGGACCTCCACCCTATCACAATTACACAGTGAGGTCTGCCCCCAAAGACAGATCCATGCAGAAAAGCAGCAGATGCTACAGTGGGAGGATTAGGGCCACCAGCTGTAAGCCAAGTGGGTCACAAGATAAGTCTTAAAAGGCAAGTAGGAATTTATTTTTCATCAAAAAAAAAACAACACTAGTATTTAAGAAAATGACATATAAATGCAGAGAAATCTTCCGGTTTCACAGACTGCAGCTCATTTGGAGTAATACACAGCCAAAGTAAGTATTTAAAAACCCAAAATGGAACAGAAGCGGCATTTCTCTAAAAGCAAACTTGGCTGGCATTTAAACTGAGAATTCCAATTCAGATTGGTGGAGGAAGCACTCACATCATAAATCTGGGTGAATATGTGTTTTATTGTTATAAAGTAATTAAGCTACTGAGGCAGGCTGTGTCCCTAAATTGAGAGGTGTATTTTGTCTCTGGAGAAATGTCAGGAGAGGACAGGATTTACCATGCTGTTAAAAGTGAAAGAAAATGCATTATTGTGGAAGTGAGGGGTAGGAGGACGTAGGCAGTGAGGGATTTTACACTCTGGGTCCCATGCATGGCTCCAGGGCAAACTGGTTACTGATCTGCCTCTAAGATTGTTCTCTGTCCTCACTCTGACCCTCCAGGACAGCAAAGCAGCATCCATTTACAGTACTGTTCCCTGTTAATTCCTCTTCCCACTCAATACTGCTAATGTGACGCCTCTCCCTGAGAACTTGAAATATGACTTCTGTGAGTTTTGCATGTATTTTGCCACGTATTTGCCTCATTTTCATCAATCTGGCTCTGAATGTCCCCTTCAGTAAGGCAGCCAAATAGAAGAAACACAAAATTCTAAAAACTACTTCCTTCAATACCTTTTTTTCATGGAATTTCCCCCCCCTAATTTGGTAGACAAGGAAGGACAGTCAGTCCCAACTTCAGAATTCTGGGTTTTCCTGTGTAAACACCACAGATACTAGAGCCTTGCTTCAGGGACTCAAAGGCTTGAACCCTAAGAAACATTCCCCTCTGGTGGCACCTCCTAAAATTCCATGTTGTTACTTCAAGCAATGGAATTAAAAAGAAAAAATCTGCATTTTGTTTAGAAGCCAATGATCCAGAGGGTATGGATTATTTAAAGATTCTTTTCAATTTTTCTCATTTTATCATGTGTTTTGGCAAGAAAAGAAGGGGCATCCAAATAAATTTCTTTGTAATTTAAGATATGATGAAAAGGATGATGGGTAAGATATTGAAACCCAAGAGGAACGTGACTTAGAATCATATCTCTTAAAAATATACACAGATGCACTCATGTATGATAGCAGATTAAAATGACATGGACAACCCCTCCTTCCACTACAAGATTGAGAAAATAGAACAAAATTTGTTTTAATAGAGCCAAGCTTTAAAGAAAGAACAAGAAATGTCCAGGTGCCACAAAGAATTCAAAATCTGGAATATAAGCCTTAAGGGCTGGTAGTTGAGGACAGGAAACAGCTTTAGCTCTTTGCAAGGGAGTGAACCTAGAAACCTAGAAGATTGTTGAACAAAGCACAGAACCTTCCATTGCTCCCTGCAGCCTCACACTACCAGAATACTGCCTGTCAGCCCAGAGCAAAAACAAACTACCGGCGGGGCGGGGCGGGGCGGCGGGAGAGGCGGTGCTTTTCGGCAGGATGAGGAAGCTACTTGAGAAAAACAGAACAACCATGCATGTAAAAGTGTCACAGTAGATTTGTATTACCACGAGGTGAGAAAGTGACCCAAAAACGGTCCTGGGACTCTGGCACAGGAAACTTCCAAATTCCTCTGTAGCAATACCATCAAAACCCTGGGACACGGATTGTCAGGCCTCTGAGCCCAAGCCAAGCCATCGCATCCCCTGTGACTTGCACGTATAAGCCCAGATGGCCTTAACTAACTGAAGAATCACAAAAGAAGTGAATATGCCCTGCCCCACCTTAACTGATGACATTCCACCAAAAAAGAAGTGTAAATGGCCGGTCCTTGCCTTAAGTGATGACATTACCTTGTGAAAGTCCTTTTCCTGGCTCATCCTGGCTCAGAAAGCACCCCCACTGAGCACCTTGTGACCCCCACTCCTGCCCGCCAGAGAACAAACCCCCTTTGACTGTAATTTTCCTTTACCTACCCAAATCCTATAAAACGGCCCCACCCTTATCTCCCTTCGCTGACTCTCTTTTCGGACTCAGCCCGCCTGCACCCAGGTGAAATAAACAGCCGTGTTGCTCACACAAATCCTGTTTGGTGGTCTCTTCACACAGACGTGCATGAAATTTGGTGCCGTGACTCGGATTGGGGGACCTCCCTTGGGAGATCAATCCCCTGTACTCCTGTTCTTTGCTCCGTGAGAAAGATCCACCTACGACCTCAGGTCCTCAGACCGACCAGCCCAAGGAACATCTCACCAATTTTAAATCAGGTAAGCGGCCTCTTCTTACTCTCTTCTCCAACCTCTCTCACTGTCCCTCAACCACTTTCTCCTTTCCACTCTTCAATCTCTCCCTTCTCTTAATTTCAATTCCTTTCATTTTCTGGGAGAGACAAAGCAGACACGTTTTATCGGTGGACCCAGAACTCCGGCGCCAGTCACGGACTGGGAAGGCAGCCTTAGCCTTCCCTTGGTGTTTAATCATTGCAGGGACACCTCTCTGATTATACACCCACGTTTCAAGGGTGTCAGACCACGCAGGGACGCCTGCCTTTGTCCTTCACCCTTAGCGGCAAGTCCCGCTTTTCTGGGGAAGGGGCAAGTACCCCAACCCCTTCTCTCCTTGTCTCTACCCCTTCTCTGCTTTTCTGGGAGAGGGGCAAGTACCACTCAACCCCTTCTCCTTCACCCTTAGTGGCAAGTCCCGCTTTTCTACGGGGCAAGAACCCCCAATCCCTTATTTCCACACCCCGACCTCTTATCTCTGTGTCCCAATCCCTTATTTCCGTGCCCCGACCTCGTATCTCTGCACCCCAATCCCTTATTTCCGCGCCCCAACCTCTTAATATCTCTGCGCCCCAATCCCTTATTTCCGCACCCCGACCTCTTATCTCTGTGTCCCAATCCCTTATTTCCGTGCCCCGACCTCGTATCTCTGCGCCCCAATCCCTTATTTCCGTGCCCCAACCTCTTAATATCTCTGCGCCCCAATCCCTTATTTCCGCACCCTGACCTCTTATCTCTGTGTCCCAATCCCTTATTTCCGCACCCCGACCTCTTATCTCTGCACCCAATCCCTTATTTCCGCACCCCGACCTCTTATCTCTGTGTCCCAATCCCTTATTTTCGTGCCCCGACCTCGTATCTCTGCACCCCAATCCCTTATTTCCGCGCCCCAACCTCTTAATATCTCTGCGCCCCAATCCCTTATTTCCGCACCCCGACCTCTTATCTCTGCGCCCCAACCCCTTTTCCCACTTTTCTGGAAGGTAAGAACCCCCGAACCCCTTCCCTCTGTTTCTCTACTCTCTTTTCTCTAGGCTTGCTTCCTTCACTATGGGCAACTTTCCACCCTCCATTCCTCCTTCTACTCCCTTGGCCTGTGTTCTCAAAAACTTAAAACCTCTTCAACTCACACCTGACCTAAAACCTAAATGCCTTATTTTCTGCAATGCCGCTTGACCCCAGTACAAACTCGACAGTAATTCCAAATAGCCAGAAAATGGCACTTTGAATTTTTCCATCCTGCAAAATCTAAATAATTCTTGTCGTAAAATAGGCAAACGGTCTGAGGTGCCTGACGTCCAGGCATTCTTTTACACATCAGTCCCTTCCTAGTCTCTGTGCCCAGTGCAACTCGTGCCAAATCTTCCTTCTTTCCCTCCCGCCTGTCCCCTCAGTACCAACCCCAAGTGTCGCTGAGTCTTTCTAATCTTCCTTTTCTACAGACCCATCTGACCTCTCCCTTCCTCCCCAGCCTGCTTGCTCCTCGCCAGGCCGAGCTAGGTGCCAATTCTTCCTCAGCCTCCGCTCCTCCACCCTATAATCTTTTTATCACCTCCCCTCCTCACACCTGGTCCGGCTTTCAGTTTCGTTCCGTGACTAGCCCTCCCCCTCCTGCCCAGCAATTTACTCTTAAAAAGGTGGCTGGAGCTAAAAGCACAGTCAAGGTTAATGCTCCTTTTTCTTTATCCCAAATCGGATAGCGTTTAGGCTCTTTTTCATCGAATATAAAAATCCAGCCCAGTTCATGACTTGTTTGGCAGCAACCCTGAGACACTTTACAGCCCTAGACCCTAAAAGGTCAAAAGGCCGTCTTATTCTCAAAATACATTTTATTGCCCAATCTGCTCCCGACATTAAATAAAACTCCAAAAATTAAATTCCGGCTCTCAAACCCCACAACAGGATTTAATTAACCTCGCCTTCAAGGTGTACCATAATAGAAAAAAGTTGCAATTCCTTGCCTCCACTGTGAGACAAACCCCAGCCACATCTCCAGCACATAAGAACTTCCAAATGCCTGAACTGCAGCGGCCAGGCGTTCCTCCAGAACCTCCTCCCACAGGAGCTTGCTACACTTGCTGGAAATCTGGCCACTGGGCCAAGGAATGCCCGCAGCCCGGGATTCCTCCTAAGCCGCGTCCCGTCTGTGTGGGACCCCACTGAAAATCGGACTGTTCAACTCACCTGGCAGCCACTCCCAGAGCCCCTGGAACTCTGGCCCAAGGCTCTCTGACTGACTCCTTCCCAGATCTTCTCGGCTTAGCGGCTGAAGACTCACACTGCCTGATTGCCTCGGAAGCCCCCTAGACCATCACGGATGCCGAGCTTCGGGTAACTCTCACAGTGGAAGGTAAGCCCGTCCCCTTCTTAATCAATACGGGGGCTACCCACTCCACATTACCTTCTTTCCAAGGGCCTGTTTCCCTTGCCTCCATAACTGTTGTGGGTATTGACGGCCAGGCTTCTAAACCTCTTAAAACTCCCCAACTCTGGTGCCAACTTGGACAATACTCTTTTAAGCACTCCTTTTTAGTTATCCCCACCTGCCCAGTTCCCTTATTAGGCTGAGACACTTTAACTAAATTATCTGCTTCCCTGACTATTCCTGGACTACAGCTATATCTCATTGCCGCCCTTCTTCCCAATCCAAAGCCTCCTTTGCGTCCTCATCTTGTATCCCCCCCCACCTTAACCCACAAGTATAAGACACCTCTACTCCCTCCTTGGCGACCGATCATGCACCCCTTACCATCTCATTAAAACCTAATCACCCTTACCCCACTCAACACCAATATCCCATCCCGCAGCATGCTTTAAAAAGATTAAAGCCTGTTATCACTTGCCTGCTACAGCATGGCCTTTTAAAGCTTATAAACTCTCCTTACAATTCCCCCATTTTACCTGTCCTAAAACCAGACAAGCCTTACAAGTTAGTTCAGGATCTGCGCCTTATCAACCAAATTGTTTTGCCTATCCACCCCGTGGTGCCAAACCCATATAACTCTCCTATCCTCAATACCTGCCTCTACAACCCATTATTCTGTTCTGGATCTCAAACATGCTTTCTTTACTATTCCTTTGCACCCTTAATCCCAGCCTCTCTTCGCTTTCACTTGGACTGACCCTGACACCCATCAAGCTCAGCAAATTACCTAGGCTGTACTGCTGCAAAGCTTCACAGACAGCCCCCATTACTTCCATCAAGCCCAAGTTTCTTCCTCATCTGTTACCTATCTCGGCATAATTCTCATAAAAACACACGTGCTCTCCCTGCCAATCGTGTCCGACTGATCTCTCAAACCCCAACCGCTTCTACAAAACAACAACTCCTTTCCTTCCTGGGCATGGTTGGATACTTTCGCCTTTGGATACCTGGTTTTGCCATCCTAACAAAACCATTATATAAACTCACAAAAGGAAACCTAGCTGACCCCATAGATCCTAAATCCTTTCCCCACTCCTCTTTCCATTCCTTGAAGACAGCTTTAGAAACTGCCCCCACTCTAGCTCTCCCTGACTCATCCCAACCCTTTTCATTACACACAGCCGAAGTGCAGGGCTGTGTGGTCGGAATTCTTACATAAGGACCAGGATTGCGTCCTGTAGGCTTTTTGTCCAAACAACTTGACCTTACTGTTTTAGGCTGGCCATCATGTCTCCGTGCAGCCGCTGCTGCTGCCCTAATACTTTGAGGCCCTCAAAATCACAAACTATGCTCAACTCACTCTCTACAGTTCTCATAACTTCCAAAATCTATTTTCTTCCTCATACCTGACGCATATACTTTCTGCTTCCCGGCTCCTTCAGCTGTACTCACTCTTTGTTGAGTCTCCCACAATTACCGTTGTTCCTGACCCAGACTTCAATCTGGCCTCCCACATTATTCCTGATACCACACCTGACCCCCATGACTGTATCTCTCTGATCCACCTGACATTCACCCCAGTTCCCCAAATTTCCTTCTTTTCTGTTCCTCACCCTGATCACGCTTGATTTATTGATGGTGGGTCCACCAGGCCTAATCGCCACACACCAGCAAAGGCAGGTTATGCTATAGTATAAGCCACTAGCCCGCCTCTTAGAACCTCTCATTTCCTTTCCATTGTGGAAATCTATCCTCAAGGAAATAACTTCTCAGTGTTCCATCTGCTATTCTACTACTCCTCAGGGATTATTCAGGACCCCTCCCTTCCCTACACATCAGGCTCGAGGATTTGCCCCACCCAGGACTGGCAAATTAGCTTTACTCAACATGCCCCGAGTCAGATAACTAAAACACCTCTTAGTCTAGGTAGATACTTTCAGTGGATAGGTAGAGGCCTTTCCTACAGGGTCTGAGAAGGCCACTGCAGGCATTTCTTCCCTTCTGTCAGACTTAATTCCTCAGTTTAGCCTCCCACCTCAATACAGTCTGATAACAGACGAGCCTTTATTAGTCAAATCAGCCAAGCAGTTTTTCAGGCTCTTAGTATTCAGTGAAACCTTTATATCCCTTACGGTCCTCCGTCTTCAAGAAAAGTAGGACTAAAGGTCTTTTAAAAAAACACACCTCACCAAGCTCAGCCACCAACTTAAAAAGGACTGGACAATACTTTTACCACTTTCCCTTCTCAGAATTCAGGCCTGTCCTCGGACTGCTACAGGGTACAGCCCATTTAAGCTCCTATATAGACGCTCCTTTTTATTAGGCCCCAGTATCATTCCAGACACCAGACCAACTTAGACTGTGCCCCCAAAAAACTTGTCATCCCTACTATCTTCTGTCTAGTCATACTCCTATTCACCGTTCTCAACTACTCATACATGCCCTGCTCTTGTTTACACTGCCGGTTTACACTGTTTCTCCAAGCCATCACAGCTGATATCTCCTGGTGCTATCCCCAAACTGCCACTCTTAACTCTTGAAGTAAATAAATAATCTTTGCTGGCAGGACTATGCTGAATCTCCTTAGGCACTCTCTAATCAGATATCCTGAGTCATCCCAATTCTTAGACCTTTTATACCTGTTTTTCTCCTTCTGTTATTCCATTTCGTTTCTCAATTCACCCAAAACCGTATCCAGGCCATCACCAATCATTCTATACGACAAGTGTTTCTTCTAACACCCCCACAATATCACCCCTTACCACAAGACCTCCCTTCAGCTTAATCTCTCCCACTCTAGGTTCCCACGCCACCCCTAATCCCGCTTGAAGCAGCCCTGAGAAACATCGCCCATTCTCTCTCTCCATACCACCCCCAAAAATTTTTGCCGCCCCAACACTTCAACACTATTTTGTTTTATTTTTCTTATTAATATAAGAAGGCAGGAATGTCAGGCCTCTGAGCCCAAGCCAAGCCATCGCATCCCCTGTGATCTGCACCTATACACCCAGATGGCCTGAAGTAACTAAAGAATCACAAAAGAAGTGAATATGCCCTGCCCCACCTTAACTGATGACATTCCACCACAAAAGAAGTGTAAATGGCCGGCCCTTGCCTTAAGTGATGAGATTACCTTGTGAAAGTCCTTTTCCTAGCTCAAAAAGCACCCCCACTGAGCACCTTGTGACCCCCCACTCCTGCCCGCCAGAGAACAAACCCCCTTTGACTGTAATTTTCCTTTACCTACCCAAATCCTATAAAACGGCCCCTCCCTTATCTCCCTTCGCTGACTCTCTTTTCGGACTCAGCCCGCCTGCACCCAGGTGAAATAAACAGCCGTGTTGCTCACACAAATCCTGTTTGGTGGTCTCTTCACACAGACACGCATGAAACGGATCACTCACAACATAGCCCTTGCTGGAGATGTGTTCACAATCCTAAAAACTCCATGAGAAAGCCAACTACCATTAGGAAAGTCAACAGACACAGCTAACAGAAAAATTAGCATTCTCCAAAACTCAAAAAAATAGAATTGAGACTATAAAATATGGTTAAAATGATTCATAAAAAGAATAAAAACTATAATAAAAAATTATGAAAAAGATAAATTTGAGAAAGAATCAAAGACAACTTCAGAAACAAAAAAATGAAGCCTAAAAAGTTCAATGGCTGGAATAAACAGATAAGACAGGGCTGAGAACAGAATCAGTGAGATAAATACGAAGGAGTTAACTGAGAATATAGTGTGGAGAAACCTAAAATACATGAAACAGGACAGGTTCAACACAGGTATAAAAGAAACCCCAGAAGGAAAGAACAGACAGTGGGGATGAGATAATACTCAACAAAATAAGAACATCCAAAATTTTCTTAATGAAGAACACAGAGATAAGACCTGAACAAGAGGAATAAAAATAAATCCATATCTAGGCGTGGTGGTGTGCACCTGTAATCCCAACTACTCAGGAGGCTGAGGCAGGAGAATCGCTTGAACCTGGGAGACAGAGGTTGCAGTGAGCGGAGATTGCACCATTGCACTCCAGCCTGGGCAACAACAGCGAGACTCTGTCTCAAAAAAATAAATAAAATAAAATAAAATAATAAAATAAATCCATACCTAAACAGAGGTGAAAACAAACACTGAAGACAAAACAAGGGGAAAATGTGAATCATGCTTGTTATCAAATAAATAATCCAAAAATGTATATATATGCTGTATGCCTAACATCAATTTCATGCGGAGATGCTGATTTTAATACACAGGATGGCAGCGTGCCCTCTAGCTCACTCACATTCTGCGGGAATGGGTTTAGGTGCAGCTCAATTTCAGAAAACCTCAATTTAGTCCAAAGTTTGTCAGTCTAAACAGACTCAGGAATCTACTACTGCCACACATCCAGGGGCAACAAACTGTTTATGTTGAGCCCTGCATTTGTACTCTCAATTTCCCCAGCATACACACTATTCTACTATGTTACAACTGCCAATTTTTCTTAATGCCCAAATTAATTCAAGTGTTGGCTTTTATAACCTAATTTATCCAGCAATAAAAGCACCTAGAATGTATTTTGATGACAAGAACCCCATCTTGTGGCAAAATGTTTCACAGCTGAGTTTGGCTGTGTACTGTAATGCCATTCCCACTCTGAAGATAAATCTGCGTTGAGAAGTTATCATTTTATCTGCTTTACCAGACAGAATTTCTAACCCAGCATTTATCTTGTGTCTGCGACGGCACCAAAGTATGCAGTAAATCTGCGGAACACAGTAATTCTGGGGCTTTGTGAGTTATTTTCAAGTGAAAGCTGGTAGTCTTTGTGCAGCTTACTGCAGGAATATTTTAAGAGAAAAACAAACACTGACTAGGGTTAGCTTCTGAAATATTATCTGTCCATTCTAGGAAGAGTTCAGATATTGCACTTCCTATAAGATGAACTCACTTAACTAAAGCAATCAAGACAAAACCTCCCCAAATCCACACGAATTGACACCATAATTAGCACCATACATAATAAAGCTACCCCACACACAGCACATTCGTATTTCATAGCATTCATGTTATTTTTCTAAAAGGTGGCTTTTAATCAATTTCTCGGCCCTTCCTATTTTAAAAGACAGTAGAATTACATTCTAAAATATTCTTCCCATTTTTTCTTTTACTAGGAATGTCCAGCATGGGAAACATGACAAAATGCTCTCTACGAATACAAAAACATTAGCCGGACATGGTGGTGTGTGCCTGTAGTCCCAGCTACTTGGGAGGCAGAGCCCAGGAGAGGTCAAGGCTGCAGTGAGCTAAGACCGTGCCATTGCACTACAGCCTGGGCAACAGAGTGAGATTCTGTCTTTAAAAAAAAAAAAAAAAAAAAAGGAATGTCTTCCTCAATGTTTTCTACTGTTCCTATTTGGTTTTCCTGAAGAAATTTTAAAAGGCCTTATTGTTAATAAGCTAAAAAATGTAATGAAGCATTGAGCATGATATCTGGCTCAAAAACATTAGTTATTATTATTGCTTTTATTATTGTTGTTATTAATGACAATTAAATACTGAAAGACCCCCAAAATAGCTTATCTTCCACAACTGGCAAAGCCTTAAAGAAAAATCCAGTTCAAAGAAGTCAAATTATATTTTTATCAAAAGCAAAACTGAAACAATACTTTTCTCCCCTCAAAATCTGTTTTTAAAGCGTTAAAAAGGACAGTATATCAATATTAAAAGAGCTTTTTTATTTGTTAATGTCACATAAGAAATTTAAGCAAGTTACACTATCTTAAAAAACACAACGAATGCATTTTAATAGAGAAACCCTTCCCTCCCTCCACCTCCCTCCCCCACCCTCCTCATGAATTAAGAATCTAAGAGAAGAAGTAACCATAAAACCAAGTTTTGTGGAATCCATCATCCAGAGTGCTTACATGGTGATTAGGTTAATATTGCCTTCTTACAAAATTTCTATTTTAAAAAAAATTATAACCTTGATTGCTTATTACAAAAAAATTCAGTACAAAAGTTCAATATATTGAAAAATGCTTTTCCCCTCCCTCACAGCACCGTTTTATATATAGCAGAGAATAATGAAGAGATTGCTAGTCTAGATGGGGCAATCTTCAAATTACACCAAGACGCACAGTGGTTTATTTACCCTCCCCTCCTCATAAGAACTTAAAAAAAAAGAAAAAACACACATACAAAAAAAGTCAAAAAATTTGAGGAACCCCTTCCGAACAGTACACAGTTATTAAGTTCAGTGTCAATAATTCACATCTTGCAACAAAGTGTATGGACATGATTTCTTTTACAAAACTTTCAGTGTCAAAAAGGAAATTAAGGCCATCAGATTTGCAGCTTAAAAATTCACATAAAGGAAATATAAAAATATTCTGTGCTTCTGAGAAGGCTCTGCACTGTATACAGGTAAAGATTACCATACTTCTTTATTTTGAGGAAGACAGTTGAAAATTTTACATAATTGCACAGCTTCTATTGGATGCTCTTGGGGTTCCCTGATGAGGAAAACAGAAGGAAAAATTAATACTAAAGAAATAGATCACAGTATTCTAAAATAAGACAAAAACTTTTAACTACAGGGATACCAAACCATATTACCTAACCTCAAATGGACCCTTTATCATCTCTCATCTTTTCTAACCTTTTCTTTTTTTCTTTTTCTTTGTTTGTTTGAGATAGAGTCTCACTCTGTTGCCCAGGCTGGAGTGCAGTGGTGCAATCTTGGCTCACTGCAACCTCTACCTCCTGGGTTCAAGCGATTCTCATGCCTCAGCCTCCCGAGCAGCTGCGACTACAGGTGTGCATCACCACCACGTTAGCCAGGCTGGTCTTGAACTCCTGGCCTCAAGTGATCCACCTGCCCTTGGCCTCCCAAAGTGCTGGGATTACAGGCGTGAGCCACCGTATCTGGCCTCTAACCTTCTTTTATGGACTTCTTTCTAGAATACCCCCCAACAAATTCCAGAACAGTAATTGTCAACTCTGGCTACACATTCAGATCCTGAGGAGTTTAAAACAAATTCTGATCTAGGTCCCTTGATCAATCAAATAAGAATTTCTCATTTTACTGGGAAAGGGTAGCTATCTATATATAATTTTAAAGTAATTCTAATGTGCAGCTCAATTTGAAAACCATTGTTCAATAACCTCTTTTGATAACTTAGGAAATAGGAGATCAGTGGATCAGCTTTTAACAACCACATCGGAGACTACAGCTTGCTAGATCCTGAACTTACACATCCCAAGCCATCTGCAGTGGATTTGTCCTCCAAGGTGAAGTCAACATGGCTCCTCTACCCATTTCTTTATCACTCATTAATTTCATATAACCTCACAATATGACTTGTGACTCACCACTGATTGAACTAAAACTGGTTTTTTGAAGGTCACCAAAATATTTCTAATCAATTCAAAAGGCGATTGGATTCATCCTCAAATATGAAGTTCAAACGCCTGTTCTGCCCTTCCATCTTCCCTCTTATGAACCTTGGTATCATTAGTTTCTGTGATCACAAAAGCTAAAAACCTCATACATCTTTATTTTTTTTCTTCTCTCACCCTCAAGTTTAGTCACTAAGCCTTAATAAATTTCCATTATATATTCCCTCACTGCCTCTGGAATCTCCTCTCTAGAGTTAGTCCCTCTGATTCAGCTTGGCCAGTGATATTTTAAAATGCAGTCTTAACTTCTCCTTTGTTCCAAATTGTACAGAAGCTACATCCCTAAGCATTCCAGACTATGTCAGTTTAATTCCAATCTTTCAACTTCATTTAACTCTCACATGAACCCTACAAAATAACTGGATGAGCGGATATAGTTGGTGCATTAAGTCTTTTTTTATGAGGCAGAGTCTCACTCTGTCACCCAAGCTGGAGTGCAGTGGCGCCATCTCAGCTCACTGCAAGCTCCGCCTCCCGGGTTCACGCCATTCTCCTGCCTCAGCCTCCCGAGTAGCTGGGACTACAGGCTCCCGCCACCACGCCCGGCTAATTTTTTGTATTTTTAGTAGAGACGGGGTTTCACCGTGTTAGCCAGGATGGTCTCGATCTCCTGACCTTGTGATCTGCCTGCCTCCCAAACTGCTGGGATTACAGGCGTAAGCCACCGTGCCCGGCCACATTCTTTACACATCCTCTGTAGTGAGTTAAAGATCACCATGAATTCTTTGCCATTCCTCCCACCAACAGGTGGAGACTATTTACCCCCACTTTGAATCTGGACTGGCCTCATGACTTTGACTAAGAGAATGTTACAAAGGGCCCTTTAAGAAACCTGGTACTCTCTTGAGATTGAGATTGTCGTGGCCAACATGGTGAAACTCCATCTCTACTACAATATAAAAAATTAGCCAGGCGTGGTGGCGCATGCCTGTAATCCCAGCTACTTGGGAGACTGAGGCAGGGGTATCTCTTGAACCTGGGAGGTGGAGGTTGCGGTGAGCTGAGATTGCGCCACTGCGCTCCAGCCTGGCGACACAGCAAGACTCTATCTCAAAAAAAAAAAAGAAAAAAGAAAGAAACCTGTACCCTCCACTTACTCTGTTAGACAATTGCCATGCTATAAAGCTTTGACTAAACTCTTAAATCATAGAAATCCACACAGAAAGAGACCTAAAAGATATTCCAGCCGAGGCCAACCTCTGAGCTGAACACAGCCTGCTCGATTGAGTTCAGTCTGCAGCATGTGGAACAGAAACACTGCCCAGCTGAGCCCAGTCAAACCACAGAATTATGGGAAGTAAGAAATCACTGTTTTAAGCCACTAAGCTTTGGGGTGGTCTGTTAGTGAAGCAATGGTGAATTCCAACATCCTCAGAGCACCATCATCTGCCTTCTCTCCAATAACCAAATAATCACCCATCCTTCAAATTAGTGGACAAGCATCACCTCACAGAGTTCTTCTCAACTACTCTGCTGGCCTGGAGTACCTCCTCTAGCATCTGACATGCTATATAACTCATGCTGACCCTCTTGTCTGGTGCCTTGAGTTATCTCTTACATAATTATTTTACTTCTAGTAATTACGATGGTTCCCATTGAAGCACAGAAAATGGAACTTGTGCTTGTTTCTTGTAAGTTAAGTGTAACATATGTGTTTTAAAATATTCCTCCAAAATGTATGAGAAGGCATCCAGGTAAAAAATTCATGCTACTTCATGCAACCCACCTCAAGTGGTTCTCAACCCTGGGGGTTAAATATATGAGACAGTGTTTATTTAGACCAGGACTAGGGCTAATGAAGCAAAGCAGACTTAAGACTAAAAATCTGGAGCCATGGAAACAAAGTCTTATCAGGATAAGGGTAGACACTTTGATTAATGATCGGACTCAAACAGCTTGAGAATATAAACTGAAGGCTCATTAGTTATTAATAATTCCAATTTAATTATAATTAAAACCAAATTTGGAGTTTCTTTATTTCAAGGGCTCTCAAAAGCCCAACCATCAGCCAAAATCTATCTTCAATTAGATAATGATTAGGAACTTAATACAGCAAGAATTTTGTTTCACACTGAAGTTGAATATTACTTTGTTTTTTTAAAGTTTATATGCAGATTCTTGCTCTAAATTAGTGATCTAAACCTTTTAATCATAGGACCCTACAGAGTAAACAAGTTTGGAGTAAACATCCAATCCATAGACATGTTTTACTGTAACACATAATGCACATTAGAAAACAAAGGACAAAACTGAAACTTGGTACAATGAGAAAAAATAAAAATAAAAGTGCCAACATATTCTTCCAGTACCCTAAAGTATCACCTTGAATATCCCTTTGGGGAGTACAAACCCCACTTGGTAGATAACTGCGCTGGTTCATCAACTGATAGGGGAAAAACCCAACCACACTCTTGGTCTTCATGTAATTCTGTGAATAAAATTTGAAATAAATATATTAAATAAATAAAGTAATACCTGCTGGTGGAAAAGTTCTTCCTCAACAACCACTCCAGCTGCTTCTTCCTCCTCCTCCTCTTCTTCAGGTATGGTTGTTTTAAAGACTGTACTTCTTTGAGCAACCTCCTAAAAACAATAGTAGTTTAAGTTAAAAAACACACTTAAAATCACCAAATGCGGGGGAGAGGGACCTTTTCTTTGCTTAAGAGACAGCATTTCTTGCCAGGCGCAGTGGCTCACACCTGTAATCCCAGCACTTTGGGAGGCCAAGGCAGGCAGATCACCCGAGGTCAGGAGTTAGAGACCAGCCTGACCAACATGGTGAAACCCCGTCTCTACTAAAAATACAAAAATTAGCTGGCCATGATGGCACGTGCCTGTAATCCCAGCTACTCAGGAGGCTGAGGCAGAAGAATGGCTTGCATTGAGGTTGCAGTGAGCCGAGATCACGCCACTGCACTCCAGTGTCACAGCAAGACTGTCTCAAAAAAGAAAAAAAAAAGAGACAGCATTTCTGTTTATTATTATTACTATTATTCATCCCTTTTTTTGGAGACAGAGTCTCACTCTGTCGCCCAGGCTGGTGTGCAGTGGCATGACCTCGGTTCACTGAAACCTTCACTTCCCAGGTTCAAGCGATTCTCATGCCTCAGCCACCCCAGTAGCTGGGATTACAGGCATGCACCACCACGTGCGGCTAATTTTTATACATTTTTAGTAGAGATGGGGTTTTGCCACGTTGGCCAGGCTGGTCTTGAACTCCTGGTTTCAAGTGATCCACCCACCTCAGCCTCCCAAAGTGCTGGGATTACAGGCATGAGCCTCCACACTTGGCCCCTGTTTATTATTTTTAAAGGGGTGGGGCGGGGGGAGCTGTATATCAGTAACTTTCTGGTTACTAAACTGAAATTTCCGCATAATTAGTAGCAGTTCTTATACCTTCCATATTTCCTGCAGGGGAGGAAGTACTATCCAATTCGAAATATCTGCTGAGAAGTTTCCACTGCTTTTTATCCTATTCTGTTACTAAGAATTCTACAAATTATTTGACATACTAAATTCTTTATAAAACTCAACATGAATTCAGCTTAAAGATCTTAGCTCCTGGCAAAGATAAGGTGCTAAATAAATGCTGAATAAAATGAAGCTGGAAGCCAACTGTGATCTCAGGGACTACCAGCAACAGGACCACCTGATAAGTGAGAAGAAAGGACAAGCTCCTTTCATTCCTTTCAGCAACTGATACCTCTTGAATGAAACAAAATCAAGACAGATGAACACTGTACACTATTTACCAATAACGTACTAGTGAGGTTCCAATGTATTCTGTACAGAAATAGGTCTCCTATCATTCACTAAAGGTATGACAGAAAGCAACTATTTCCATTTTCTACTAAAAAGGTCAAATACAGATTACTTTCCTGTGGAAAATGCTGACTTGGCACAAATGCAGCAGTGTTTTTGCTTAAGCACAAGGCTAACCTGATGATCTGGCAGCAAGTAAATGAGTGTGTCCTCAAGAGTGCTGCAGAGCATATAATTTTATTCTGTACCCTGTCCTAAGGTCACTCAAGAAAGAGAATGCTACAGGGGAAGACACAATATTACTTCAGTAAAAGCTTATCTAACACAGACCAGCTAGTTTACAATGGCAGAGAAAGAAAATCAAAACCCAGTGTCACAGAAATGAGACTTCGATTTGAAATATGCCCAATAATGTGTTTTGTAAATAAAGTAAGGTGGCAGAACAGTATTTTGTGGGGATTTTTTATTACTCTTGCAGGACCAAGGAAGATGGACCATTTTGAGCCTCTCAATTAGCCAGTAACTTCAATTCTGTGAAATTGGTCTATCTTTACAAACAGAAATAGCCATTTCACAAATATCAGTGTTTTAACCAAATTAGTAATAAAAAAAATGTGATTCTTTAGATCAACCACCGTTCAAGCTATCAACTAGGAGATAGCAGCATATAAAGCAGAAAAATAAATTCTTAAAAAACTTTGAGAGTACCCAGCTTTTCTCAACTCATCTTAAAATGAGGAACGAGTCAAATAAAATCTTCTATAACAAAATTACCACATTCCAGCTTCTAGAAGCTCGTGGTATACATCCCATATGCAAACATTGGCTCTTAAGGCTCATGATGTAGCTTAAGACTATTAGCCTCAATGAGAACCTCAGAAAACAGCAACTTGCCTGTCTTCATTATTATGAATTACCTTAACATAACTACTTTAAGTGTAACCCTGCTGTTAAGCACTCTTCATTTGAAAACATGCAAAAACCAATTAATCTAATACAGAAAGCCGTATAAAAAATGGGTGAGCTAATGTCTAAAAATCTAGGTAGAAAAATAATAAATAATAATTTAGAACCAAAAAGCTGTTGGGAGGTTTAGATCAAGGAAATTGTTATTAGTCAAGATGCTACTAAATAAATGTGTTTACCCCAAGTGTCCTGAAAGGTTCACATAAATAGTCTTACATGACAGGCTTTACTCTGTCTATAAAATGCAGCATTGGTCCGCCCCTGCTGCGAGCCTTGGGCATATGAAGGTGCACTGATCTGTGCAGTGGTGCCCGGAGCTGGCTGCACCTGCTGATGCTGCTCATCACTGCACAGCTCTGTGCTCAGTCACATAATGCTGGAAGCCTGGCATCAGCCACAGTAGGAGTATTTATACCACAGAAATTAGCAAATGCTACAAATCAGGGCGATCTTATGTGGACGAAAGATGATTGTTTATATTTTATATATTGCATCTCTACATATATAAGTAATCATTTGCATATACAAAAGTTTCCATTATATCTATATTCTGGAAAGTTTGGAAGGACTGCTTTATTTTTTATTTCCCTCATAAAAAACATCTTGTTTTTGCCATGGTGACAATCGCTGTTTTTAACCACCCAGTGCCCCCTCCCTCCTGAATAAGAGCCCCTAGGTTTACCTGGGTACACACCCCCCATGGAGCACACGTGTGTCACAAGGAGCCCAGTGCAATGTGGCTGTAGAGGGGAGGAAGAAGTCTTGAGCTCTAATTCCGCCCTCCCAACTCCAGGAACTGGTTTAGAGGTGGGCACGTGACCCACCCTAGTCCAGTGTGAGTGAAGCCCAGGATGGGTGCCTCACAGGGGATGAAGTTTAGCTTCCCTCCATAATTCAAACACTCAATATCAGATTATTTGGTGGGCTGGATTGTCCATTCTTTTAACAAACTTCTACTGCCTTCTGCTTGCTAGGCTGTTCTGAGAGAGTTCTGTCAGGAACGAGGAGAGAAAGTGGTATGAATACAGGTCTTATTTCATTAGACAGTTACTTTTGGTATGTATTCATTTAATTGGGTAAGACCATGTTTATCTGTCAGTAGTACCGGACCACGTTAGCAACAATCTATAAACTCCACCATAAAGAGCACTTTTTTGAAAGATCACCTTCCCACAAAAAGCAAATAGAAAAGACGTACCTCTGGGAGCAGCCAGCAGCTATCCTGCGTCCCCAAGGGAGGCAACCAGAAGAGAAACAACAGACAGATCCCCGGGGACATGCTGTGAGCCACTGGATTAGGTCCACTATTTAAATTTTTTATTATGTGAGCCCAAAAAATTTCCATTATTTCTAAGCCAGTTTAATTGGGTTTTCTGACATTTCCAATGCCCCAGCAAGAAGAAAAAAAAAAACATAAGAAACAAAACTGACTAAGCCAGTTACCAACAATCTTACTGCAAACTGGTCTTTATGGCGGGGATTGTTTATAGATTGTTCCTAATGTGGTCTGGTCCCTACTGACAAATATGGTCTTATCGAATTAAATGAATAAATGCCAAAAGTAACTGTCTAGTGAAATAAGACCTGTATTCATAATACTTTCTCTCCTCATTTCTGACAGAACTCACTTAAAACAGAGCCTCGCAAGCTGAAGGTATTAGAAGTTTGTTAAAAGAATGGACCAACCTTGGCCGGGCATGGTGGCTCACACCTGTAATCCCAGCACTTTGGGAGGCCGAGGTGACGGATCACAAGGTCAAGAGATTGAGACCATCCTGGCCAATATGGTAAAACCCCATCTCTACTAAAAATATAAAAATTAGCCAGGTGTGTTGGCACGCACCTGTAGTTCCAGCTACTCAGGAGGCTGAGGCAGGAGGCGGAGGTTGCAGTGAGCCGAGATCGTGCTATGCCACTCCACTCCAGCCTGGGCAACAGAGTGAAACTCCTTCACCAAAAAAAAAAAAAAGAATGGACCAACCAACCAATCAATCAATCAAATAATCTACTATTCAATGTTTGAGTTATGAAATGGAGCTAAGCTTCAGTTAGCTTTACTAATATGTCATCAGTAATACTAGTAATACTGTCTGAAGATGCATCCCATGTCATAATATCTACTACTTTGTTCATGTCACTGTATCTATTTTTTGGGGCATTTAAACCTACTGCTCCATTCCAAATATCCTCCTATAACATTGTTTCTAACTTGGAACACACTTTCACAGAGAAAAAAAAAATGACATAAATAATGACTAGATTCCATGGCTCACGAAAGTCCATTTAATCTGCCTTGTACCCCTTATAACAGTGCTTTTCAGTCTTATCTGAGCCAATCACCACTCTTAACAATGTTTCACAAGAGACATGGTTACAGTGAGGGATAGACAGGAAGATGGCCATGAACAGAACTTTTTATCCAGGCACCTCAGACTCTTATAATGAATGCTGCTATTGCTTTATTTCTCTGAACGTAAGTCAAGGTCCATGTCTGATTTTTTTTTAAAAAATGCATCCAGTAAATGCTTCCTGAATTCCTGTTATGTGCCAAGCATGATACCAGGATCTACCAGAACAGGCCCTTGCCCTCAGTGTGCTTCCTCTAGTGAGTGAGAACAATGTGATGAGCACCACGCAGGTTAGAGGCCTGCCCGTGGCACTATGGGAGCAGACAAAAAACCCCTAAGGGGACGGTGTGATTTGACCCGCTGACCACTCCTTTCACAGATACTTTCCTCCCTTGGCTTTCCTGACATCACACACCATTTTCCTCTGACTTCACTGGCTGCATCTTCTACTTCCTTTGCTCTTATTCCTAATGTCAATATTTTCTAGGGCTCAATTCTGGACCCTCTCCTGACAAACTTTACTCAGCGAGTCCTGTAACTTTATTTATTTATTTGAGACACAGTCTTGCTCTGTCGCCCAGGCTGGAGTGCAATGGCGCAATCTCAGCTCATCCCGAGTTCAAGCAATTCTCCTGCCTCAGCTTCCTGAGTAGCCTGGACTACAGGCACGTGCCACCATGCCCGGCTAATTCTTGTGTTTTTAGTAGAGACGGGGTTTCACCATGTTGGCCACGCTGGTCTCTAACTCCTGACCTCAGGTGATCCACCCACCTTCGGCCTCCCAAAGTGCTGGGATTACAGGCATGAGCCACTGCGCTGGGCCTGATACCACAGTTTATCTTTATTACCTTTATCAGAAAATCACTTTATCTTATTCCCTGGCTCCCTTACTCTCTTTACAATGTGGGCTCCATGATGCCAGAAACCACGTATGGCTTTTTTCCTGCTTATTCCTAACACAAAGTGGCTGGCATACAGCAGATACTCAGGATTTTCCAAATAAATGAATAGCCCTGCACTTGTAAATATGGTTAGCTTCCCTACCAGGTTTGCCAGCCTAACATTCCCCCTATATATCTCCTTTCAGCACCACTCAGACTGAAATGCATACCCAGTCAGGTTGTAAGGTACAAACAGCAGAGCCTGCCAGCCTGGAAACTGGGTGAAAAGGTCAGAATCAGTAAGCATGTCAGAACAAGGTTATGACCAATGGCTTCCTTGCAAGCCAACTTACAGCTCTCCTGGTAGGCAAAGGATGAAAAAGCAGTATTACAACTAAAAGGAAAATGAGAAGAACAAACCATGCTGAACTCACAACAAAAGCTCCATTAACATGCTTATGGCAATAGCAACAAAGGAGGGACTCAAATTCTAAACAGAGGCTCAGTGATGCGTGGTACAGCACCTGGATAAGGTGATTCGCTAGGGAAAGACAAGGAGGAAGCCATGTTTTACTAGCTTCAAAGCACACTTTAGCCGCTTTATTAGGAAGTAGTATTTCTAAGACTAGTATTGGTAGGGGTATATGCAGTGTCTTTATGTGGCAATGGGGAAGGTAAGGTACTTTGACAAGGATTCTAAGACTGACACACTGAAAACACACACTCCAAGAAGATGTACACTCCACAATCTTCAAACTCACAGTTTCATGAACATTCTGAGAGCTAGTAACAAGGTTAATAATTTAAGCATTTACTAGATAAAGGTACTATGCCAGATACTATTCCAAGCATTTCCCAAGTACTGTCTCATTCTTATTATTAGCTCATGGATATTGTGTCATTAATATCCATTTTTAAATGACAAATCTAAGAGAGGTGAAGTAACTTGCCCAAAGTCACAAAGCTAATGTGCAGTGAAAACAGAAACAGGACACAGAAAATCTGTTCTGGAGCCTGTGCTAATAATCAGTACTCTATAATACACTCCTATTTATTCCTAAAACTTAAAGACAGCTTCAGTTCAATTAACTTAGCAGCTTTGGTCTGTTTATGCAATCGGTTATTGCACGTTTCAATCTGATCTTGATTATACTTGCACAGTGAACTTTAAGTGAAATTAACATTGTGGTGGTCCTGATAAACTGGCCATACCTCTCCCTGAGAATTTTTCAATATAACCTTCACATCTTCGCCAGTGCCCCACGAGTTCTGGTTCTTCCAGATGAGGTCAGTTGGGGGGCTGGCTGTGACACCAGCGTTTGCAGCCCAAATCTGTAAAAAACCAAAGCATGTCAGTACACCCAGAACCCAGTTCTCCCACACGCCAACGACAGCAATGCGATGAGACTCAAACACTTGATTCTAAAAGTCTGAGAACTATGCCCCAGCTACAGAGTGCTATACACAGCTATGTGGCCAGGAGAACTCACAGAGCTTCTCAAGGCCTCAGCTTCCCCATCTGATAAGTGAAGATGATAATATATAAGACCCTGAAGTAAAACTGCCTACACTCACATCCTAGTTCCTTTACACACCAGCTGACCCTGAGCAAGTTACCTTACTTTAGTCATCCATAAAACAGGGTAGAAATGGCACCTGTAACAGGTGCGATTATTGAAAAGAGCAAGTGATAACCCACATTCAGTGGCTGGCTAACTCAGTGAATGGTAGCCTCAGCGTTCTATTACTCTGTGGGTTTTATAGGCCATCCTTCCATGTTAGAGCCTTCTGTGACTCCCTCTAATAATGTTCTCTGGCTGCCTACAGCAAGAACTAAAGAGACCTTCTGCAGCAGAGAGCCTATCTAGAATAATCTTATGGAAACTGGTACGTCTCCAAACAGACAATGTCACAATACCCTAGAGTATCTGAGACTGCGCTCCAAAAAGAATGCTGGAAATGTATAAATCACTCGCTGTTCAAGGGAAAATATAATTGCTATTGAAATAGGTCAAAGAAATAATTATATTTCCCTTCTCATGAGCATGAAATTCTTTTTATATATCTACTGGCAAAAGAGAATGGATAGAGTGAAGAACACCTGGCAGTCAGAAAGCCTAGGTTTGAATTCTGGACAAATCACTACACCTCTAGGAAACTCAATGCCTTTAGCTACAGGGATACTACTAGCCCTGATCTCTTAGAAAGATCATTTAAAAACAAATAGAAACAGAAAAGTTTGTAATCCATACATTGTTATAGAATATAAAAGACTTTATGACTGCAAAAGGAAAGCTGAAGATGGCAAAGCCAAGTATTATTTCAAAATGGGGGCCAGGTGTAGTGGCTCCAGCCTGTAATCACAGCACTTTGGGAGGCCGAGGCGGGCAGATCACTTGAGCTAAGGAGTTTAAAACCAGCCTGGGCAAAATGGTGAAATCCTGTCTCTATCAAAAAAAAGAAAGGGTGGGGGGGTGGGGTGGAAACAGGAAAAAAAAAATCTATGAATTACTGATTAGGAGAGAGCCCTTACTTTTGAGATGTTCCCCTGAAGCATCCAGATCTTTCATCAGCATTACAAATGGAAAAGGGCACAAGATATTAACTGGGATTAAACTGAAAAAAAGAACTGAATCTGGTCCAACATTCAGACTATGTGGAATGTTAGTGTTTCCCTAATTGTAAGCAATATTTCTCACTAGCCTATATGTAATCACATAGTTGATTTATGTTAGTAATCATCATCATAAAATGTCAGTATCCTTGCTGGCTAACTTAACCTAAAACTAATATGTCCTATAGCCATGTCATTCAATACCGCAGCAAAATGTGGCTTGTTAGCACTTAAAATATGGCTAGTCTGAAATGAATGTGCTGTAAGGGTAAAATACACACTAGATTTTGAAGACTTAGCTAAACATAAAAAAAAAAGAATGTAAAAATATCTGACTTTTTAGACTGATTACATGTTAAAGCAATATTTTGGATATATTGGGTTTCATAAAATATAGTTCTAAAATTCATGTCTTTCTTTTTTACTTTAATGCGGCTATAAGAAAATTTAAAATTACACATGTGGTTCTCATATTTCTATTCTAGAGTTTTAAACTGATCTTTGCTTTTGCCTCTGCAATTTTACAGAAAGATCACTTATTACTACCATGTTCCAAAGAGCTGCTTATCACATTTAATGCCAGTAACTGAAGGGAAAAAAGTATCACATTATTTTATATGATAATTGAGTTATCCACTAGATCTCTAGAATCCATGTATTTAGTCCCTGAGGTAGTATACCCAGTAGAAAAAGCACATGATTGGCATAAGGCTTCCATATTACTTCTGAGATAGAGAGCACACTCAATTCTGAATCCTCTGAACTAAAATGTCAGATTCTTTTTACCACATTATACAGCTTCCATAAGACATATAATAGCAATTGCTATAGTGAGCAATTTTTTCTCACTATAGTAATTACTAACGAGAAGAAAGGATATTGTAGTTAGGATAGTTGATCCCATTTTTACCCATTATTACCAAATTAGCATTTGATATTTTCACAAAGTGGCATCATGCTCTCTGAATACACCTTTTTAAAGAGAAGTCTGAGCCTTTGATCTTCAACAGTAAGGTTTGTATCAACATAAAATTATAAACACATTTAAAACATGCGTTTAATATTTTTTAAAGAATATATAAAAGGAAAGAGACAGTCACCTCTACATTCTTTTAGGATGAAAAGAGTGACTTCTTTGAAATCTGTATCAAAGTTAACATATTTTATTGTTAGCTAAATCTACCTACTAAGTAAAAGCAAAAGAATCTTTGATTACTCAATGAAACATACTTCTCTAAAAAGTAAGCTAATAATAATTCAGTAACTATTAAAGATGTAGTATTTCAGAACATACCAATAGAGAGCCATTTAGAAATCAAGACACAGAATGCCAATTAGTGAAAATTTACAAGGGTGCCTATAATCTAAGGACTTTTATTCAAAACCTAGGCTCCTACCCCAACCCTAAAGATAGCAAAGGGTGAAGTAGGGCCTGAACACCAAAATACTACCCAAATGATTCTGAAGCTCACCCAAGGCTAGAGATTGCTGTTTTAGGCATATGTTAATGCTAAATTCTTAACAGTTCTTTATGCCAAGCAGTGTCTCCTGAATGACACTGGGCTATAAGTATCAGCCTAGAGATAGCTTTTATATCTACTGGAATAGACAAGATAAAAATAATTCAAAGGTCCATTCTTCACTACTCTCAATAAGACAGAATTTTAAAAATCTTTTATAGCACTTGTAATGCCCTAATAATATAAAAAGTACTTTAACGGCCATTTCTAAAATGCTTCTCTTTTAGCCAAAAAACTTTTTGAGTTACTTTGTTAGTTAACACAATGAAGTTAAATTAAATGATGACTAGATTCACTTACTGTAACAGTCTGGCCTGCCTTCAGCACATATCTTGAGGTATATTTATAACTGACTGATGTGTCTCCAATTTTTCTGATCATCTCCCAGCCTCCCATTGGTTGATCCTACACACAGAAAGGAGGGTGAGGGGTGTTACTTCAAAGATAAAGAAAGTTGTGGAATAATCAAATAAATTAATCCATACAGGCAGTTAAACTAAGACCGCTTTATGGTCATCTTCCCACATTTCAGGTTTTCCTACTATAAAAAGAAAACACGATTCTGTCATTTTGTCAAACAGTAACTTCAACAATGAGTTAATTAGTAAGGTACTTGACTTTAAAGAGGACAGAACTGGAAGAACAGGGTATGAACCAAATTAAATGGTCAAATTCACTGCTAGATAAGGTGGGTCTTTCAAATTTACAGCACTATCTAGCTGTCATAATCACAATTTTTAAACATCAAGTATTGGATTACTTCAAGCTTTTAAAATAGACACATAAGCTTAGAAACAGAAGAAAATCTGTCATTTTCCTTCTGCATCTGTCCCACTTCTGCCCACATTCAGCTCTCATACATGAAAGCATAAGGGGCTCAAAAAAAGGGTCAGTGGGGCTGGGCATGGTGGCCCATGCCTGTAATCCCAGCACTTTAGGAGGCCAAGGCGGGTGGATCACCTGAGGTCAGGAGTTGGAGACCAGCCTGGCCAACATGGTGAAGCCCTGTGTAAAAATACAAAAATCAGCAGGCGTGCTTGCGTGCACCTGTAATCCCAGCTACTCAGGAGGCTGAGGCAGGAGAATCTCTTGAACCCAAGAGGTGGAGGAGCCAAGATCATGCCACTGCACTCCGACCTGGGCAACAGAGCAAGACTCAAAAAAAAAAAAAAGGCTACAAAGAGACCTTAGAGCCTATTCTCTTTAGCATTAAAACTGTTGGTGCTCATTAGTGCTCCTTCACTCATCCAAATTACATATTCATCCACATGCAAGATAGTTTTAATAACTGTGGTGAGAAAAGACTAATTTTCAAAACTACTTTTAGCAGGCCCTGAACATATGTTTCAAGATGTGACATCCATCCCACTGCCGCCTGCACGCTCCCAGACCATGCCTTCCTCTAGTATCATCTCACAACCCATCATGGCCTCCAGCTCCTTGATGCAGAGCTAGGGAAGGCCCACACTACAGAGCTCCCGAAAGCCCCAGCCCTAAATTTCAGAAATCTCTGCTATGAATACTTCATGTTTACTTTTAAACATATTTCAAAATAAGGCTTCATGCTATTTTTCATGTAAAGTATTAGCATTTGTTCATTCATTTATTTGCAGGGAAAAATATTCCCTTAATATCTGAGTCCAGGCTCTTATCTCCTTCTTTCAGTAAGCTTTTTATTAAGTTAATGACCGAAAGAATATCCACCATTTTCATCCAATTGCTCCAACTTCTTCACAAATTTGGCTAGGGCAGAGAATAATAATAACTCATCCTCAGAACCACTGTGATAAAAGGAACATGCTTTTCAAAAAAGCCCTGGCCCTCTAAAGAAGGGTTAATGAAGCAAATCTTTAAACTACTAAGGGTACCTAACTCTTCCTCCTCCTATTTTAATTTTTATTTTATTTTATGAATTTAAGTAAAAAGGACATAAACCCTTATTCCATGAAGACGTAATGAATCCAAACAAAAACTAAGGAGCTATGACAATTGCAAGAGAATCTAGCAATCCACAAAGCCTTGCTAGAAAAAAAAGGGTCTATTTTATTACCTGTTCAGAAGTGTTCTTCAAGCGGATAAATTTCCCATCAACATCAATTTCTTCGATGCAAACATTTCCAGTGGCTGAGGCGGAATGAGAGATGCTAACACTACTACTCGCCTCTGATTCTTCCACATCAACCCTCTTCCGCTTTCCTCTAGTTGTACGTACACTACGACTTGAGGATGCTCGGGATACTGTCACACGGGAAGAAGGGCTTGGAGACAGCTTCAACCTATATGGGAAAAATAAAACAATTCATTTTTAAAACACATATGCCCTTCTCGCCTTAAAAAAAAAAAAAACAAAAAAACAAGGGCTGGGCACAGAGGCTCATGTCTGTAACCCAACAGCACTTTGGGAGGCCAAGGCAGGTGGATTGCTTGAGGTCAGGAGTTCAAGATCAGCCTGACCAACATGGTGAAACCCCGTCTCTACTAAAAATACAAAAATTAGCCAGGCGTGGTGGTGGGCGCCTGTAATACTAGCTACTCAGGAGGCTGAGGCAGGAGAATGGCTTGAACCCGGGAGGCAGAGGCTGCAGTGAGCTGAGATCACACCACTGCACTCTAGCCTGGGTGACAGAGTGAAAACCTGTCTCAAAATAATAATAATAAGAAGAAGAATATCCCACCCATGCATTTCTAAAGCAAAATATTACTTACAATCTGTTAGCCAAAGCCAAAGTTTACCTTAACTAATGTAAACTTCTTCATAAGGTGCCCATCGTCAATTTTCTTTTTTAAAAAATAACAATCTGAATGTTTTCTCTAGGGATGGAAGTAATATAACCATAATGCAAGAAGTCTGGTAAATGGGTAGAAAGTCATCTGATCTACCACCACCCACCACAGCCACTGTTATAGTTGGTGTACTTTTTTCTCTTTTCGTACCTGTACTTTCTTATGATCACAACGGATATAATATTAAAATTATCTGGCTTTTTATCCTAAATCAGCCACTTTCCTTTTGGAACTTTTTTTTTCTTTTTCTTTTTTTTGTGAGACAGAGTTTCACTCTTGTCACCCAGGCTGGAGTGCAATGGCACAATCTTGGCTCACTGCAAACTCCACCTCCCAGGTTCAAGCAATTCTGTCTCAGCCTCCCAAGTAGCTGGGATTACAGGTGCCTGCCACCATGCCCAGCTAATTTTTGTATTTTCATTAGAGACGGAGTTTCACCATGTTGACCAGGCTGGTCTTGAACTCCTGACCTCATGTGATCCGCCTGCCTTGGCCTCCCAAAGTGCCGGGATTACAGGCATGAGGCAATGCACCTGGCCCTTTTGGAACTCTTTTCTGAGAACAGGTGTCAAAAATATTTATACATTGACCAGATTTAAAATATATATAAAGCCAGCCGGGCGTGGTGGCTCACACCTGTAATCCTAGCACTTTGGGAGGCTGAGGCGGGTGGGTCACTTGCAGTCAGGAGTTTGAGACCAGCCTGGCCAACATGGTGAAACCTCTTCTCTACTAAAAACAAAATTAGCCGGGTGTGGTGACACACGCCTGTAATCCCAGTTACTCAGGAGGCTGAGGTAGGCAAATCGCTTGAAACCAGGAGGTGAAGGTTGCAGTGAGCCGAGAATCACACCACTGCACTCTAGCCTGGGCAACAGGCTGAGACTCTGTCTCAAAAATAAATAAATAAATAAATAAATAAATAAATAAATAAATAAATAATATGTAAAGTCTCTTTCAGCCAGTTTGGCATTTTACAATATATTAAATCACCAAAACACTTAAAATCTCAAAGGAACTAATCCATCCTGATGCAGTTCAGCATTTAAAGTAATAATAATAAATAAACTAAGAGTACTTGAGCAACATTTTCTGCGATGAGGTAGAAATATGATCTATTACTACTTCTATACCTAGGTGTTCAAAGAAATGACCAAGAAAATAAAGTTCTTTTTAAAATGCTATTTATTTTTATTTCAATAAAAAGGGTGAGAGGCAAAAAGTGGACCATAAGGTAGGGTGACCCTTAAGTTCCTTACCTCTCTTCTTCGCCTTCTAAGAGTTTCCTGTAAGCACTGATTTCCATGTCCAGGGCTAACTTTACATCAAGAAGCTGTTCATAGTCATTCAGCTGTTGCTGCATTTGATCCCTTATTTCCGCCATCTCTCTCTCTTTGTCTGTCAGCATGCGACGAGAGTTGTCTTTTTCTTTAGCAAGCAAGTCCTCTAATTCTTGAATCCTTTCCAAACATGCTCTAGACTTAAGATGCAAGGAAACATATTTACTTTCTAGGAACATTCCAACATTAGCACCAGGCAGCTATTTTAAATCATTTCCTAGACTGGAAAACAGTACAACCCTATGGAATCTCTAACTCACTAGAATTCAAGAGATTTTAAGAAATTAAAACCCAAAATTCCTCAAATACAAAACACAGACCTCAGGATAGTTTTGGCTGATAAAAGAATAAAAGACATATTCCACAAATGTAAGTTCTGTAAATATACATATAATTTTTCTGTACTTAGCCAAAAAAATGTTAAGATGTGGTTTTGGTAAAAGTCAAGTCTGGCTCCCTTACAAAGCCTTTACTTCCAAAAGTATAAATTAAATAAAGAACTTAAAAAGATAAGAACACTGGGTGGGTGTGGTGGCTTACGCCTGTAATCCCAACACTTTGGGAGGCCGGGGCAGGTGGATCACCTGAGGTCAGGAGTTTGAGACCAGCCTGACTAACATGGCGAAACCCCGTCTCTACTAAAAATACAAAAAAAATTAGCAGGTTGTAGTGGTGGGCGCCTGTAATCCCAGCTACTTGGGAGGCTGAGGCAGGACAATCGCTTGAACCCCGGAGGCAGAGGTTGCAGTGAGCCAAGATCACGCCATTGCACTCCAACCTGGGCAACAGAGCGAGACTCTGTCTCAAAAAAAAAAAAAAAAAGATATAAACACTGACTGACAAAATAAACCTAAGAGTGGGTAAAAGTACGTTTTAGCAGACTGCTGAGGAATATTCAGAAACCAAGGCAAAGGGACTCTGGTTACTATGTGGAAGGCACTACCTAGTGTCCCTTTAGGATTGCTGGGCTATCTCATGTTCAGTTAGCACACAAAGGACACACAATATAGGGTGATTTGTAAAGTATTACTGTGAATATAGAAGCTGTATATTTGGCATAAAAAAATTAAAAATCACACATCCTACACCAGAAAGTTCATCTTAGAAACCTTGTGGCTCGCTGGGTAATTATTCTTCTGTGTTTCTCCATGACAGAATTCATCTCAGTAGCCTCAGAAAGTGACAACTCAAAAAGACTGATGGATAGCTTAGGCCCTCAGAATCACAAGTACCTGCAACAGAGCAGGAGAGAAAGGGCATCTAATGTGCAAAAACTAAATCTAGAAGGCTAGAGATAAAAAGGAGCTACCAAATACATAAAAACTGTACTCTTGCTGGTAAATTTACTTTTCACAGCAGTACAGGTTCAAAATTTTGAAACTGCTTTAACATATACTGGGGCTGAACAGATAAGTAAATGGATGATAAAAACCAGGTTTCTCACTCTGAGAGAGAAAAGATACAGGTATGTCAGAAAGGAAGCCAAAATTGAATGCTGTCCTACTAGATTCAAGTCAGAGACATCTGTATGAATTCATGTTTATCTTAACACAAATGATTAGACAGAAAAAGTTATAAATATGTGCATACACATGGGTTAGCATACATAAAATGTTACCCACTTTTATCGGTGAGAGGGCCAAGAAGCAGTGATACCCAGTACCAGTGAGCACACTCAGTGCCCAGATCTTAATTTCTATATACCATTCTCCAATAACAAGAACCAGGGCTCCTTGGAGACTGGATAATTCTAGGACTGGGGCAGGGAAAATGCAAGATGAGCCTAGAGCATGTTATAGTACCAGAAAGCAACAAAGTGCTCAAAAAACAATGGGACATAGTGGCCAAGCTGACAGAACTCCCAGTGGCCAAATATGAAACAATTTAAGCCAAAAAAGTAAATACTGCAGTATTAGCTTACAACCCAAAGTATAAAGTAAATGCCCATGGTCCATACGGACACAAACAAACAAACAAACAAACCAAACAAACGGGGAATGGATAAATCGTTACAGAAGAATGCCATTTAATAAATGTAGATTTCCCTCCAGAATGTGGCGCTTAAGTCCTGCCCTGTCCTTCACCCTTGAGGGTAGGCTGGACTTAGTGAGCTGTTTTCCATGAACAGTGTATGGGAACGGAAAAATAGTAGCGCTGTTGACAGTGGAGAAACCTGACAAACACTATCTTAAACCAAACACCACCAGTGATGTCATGTGGTTATCACATACGTGCAATCCCTGATACGATGTGACAAAACGGGCACTTAAAACCCAAAACCCCAGTCTAATCACGTGAAAAGCACCGGACAAATCCAAATTGGGGGACAGTCTACAGGATACCTGGACAATCTTACTCAAGACTCAAGCTCATAAAAAACAAGGAAAGCCCAAGAAACTGTCACAGACCAGGGGAGGCATGTGGCACCTGGAACAGAAAGAAGATAACAGAAGAACTGGTGAAATCCAAATAGTCTGGAGACGAGTTCACAGTAATATACCAATGTCAGTTTCTTAGTTTTGACAAATATACTATGGTAACATAAGATGCTAACAACAGGGGAAAATGGGTGAGAGGAAAACAAGAACTGTCTATAGTACTTTGCCAACTTTTCTGTAAATCTAAAATTATGCCAAAATAACAAGGTTATTTAAAAAATAATCAAGAGTCACTGTAAACCTATTTGGGGGCAGAGGGGGTGCCTGGTTCACACGCACACACAAAAATATATTTTTAAAGAAAAAAAATTGACCAATCAATTAATTAAATTCCAGAGTAGTATATGACTTGACATGCTATTTAGACAGGCACTCCTCTTAAGATGGATATTACAAAGGTAGTCCCTGAACCTCAGAGAACTTGCATTTAACTGCGTTTGCAAAAATCATGCTATAAATGGAGAAATCCATTTCCCCGCTACCATGTTCCTTGTATTTTCTTTTTCTCCAAAAGAAAAAAAAAAAGTCATGTAAGTTCAAAATGCCTCCCTTTATTTCATATATCAGAGGTAGAAGATATATTTGAATGGGCAAAAAGGTAGAATCTAAAGGAGAGTTGATGAGAGATATAAACTACCCAAGATTCACAGATAACCTGAGCCGAGATTTATAAACCCAATGATGTCTCTGTTTGACTGCCTTTGATGTTGTAGAGCTCTTTAAGAGGGAAAAATCAAAATCTAGGTATAAAAATTTTAAAGTTACTCTGAATCATTCTGTATTTTAAATAGAAATATTTAAATTCTATTTTCAGTAGCTGCACTTACACCTGTGTAGTGAAATATAAGGAACACAGTATGAGAAGTTAGACCTAGATTCTCCTTTCTAATTCTGCCATTGAAACTACCTATGAGGCTATAAGCAAGCTGTAACTAATCTCACTAAACCAGTTTCCACATAAGGAAAATGAAGAGCTCTAACTATCTAGATGATCTCTCAGATCTTGCCACTAACCCTAAATTTTATGACTTCTGATGATCTTGGGGTTTTTAAATATTTTATAGTATGTAATGTAATTGTACTGGTTTATTAAGGTCTAGCTGCAACCAAAGTCTCCAGAATCTGGGTGTTAGAAAAACAAAAGTTAGAGGTGTTTTTAAGTACCATACTGTACTCTTCTCTAAGGCAAGCAGACTCTAACCAACCAATTCATTTGGTCCCAAGTCAAAAATCTAGAGATGCTATAAGCAATGTAAAATTTCTAATTCCAAAACATAACACTGCTACCATCTATATATTATTTAAATATATCTTGTAAAACCAGTATTTTAAAGCCATGTCAATTTTAAGTAAAATTTAAGAAGTACTTCACTAACCTGAGTTATTTAACCAAAAGGAAATTCTTATGGCCTAATAGGCAGCATGATGAAACTGATATGACTCAGCAACAAACACTATTAAGACAAACAATAGGAAAATATTCAAAAAGATAACATTTTTATTTTTGATGATTTTTCTAAGGCTAAAATTTATCAACTAATAAAAATATTCCTCAAAATATACTGTTTACCATAAAGTCTGTTACCAATAATGAACAGAGGAAAGATTCACCCCAGAGAAATTAAAAACTATTTTGGCTAAAGGGATTGCTCGTCTCCTATCTGCTAAGGAGTTAGCTCCTGGAAACCCCCAGTGCACTGCCTAACATTACTTAAAAACCACTAAGATAAGGTTAACAAAAAAAACTTGCAGCCAGGCACAGTGGCTTACACCTGTAATCCCAGCATTTAAGGCAGCAGCTCACGCCTGTAATCCCTTCCATTTTGGGAGGCCAAGGTAGGCAGAGTACCTGAAGTCAGGAGTTTGAAACCAACCTGGCTAACATGGTGCACCCCATTTCTACTAAAAATACAAAGAATTAGCTGGGCGTGGTAGCGCGTGCCTGTAATCCCAGCTACTCAGGAGGCTGAGGCAGGAGAATCACTTGAACCTGGGAAGCAGAAGTTGCAGTGAGCTGAGATAGTGCCATTGCACTCCAGCTTGGGCAACAAAAGCAAAATTCTGTCTCAAAAAAAAAAAAAAACCAACTTGCAAAAATGGGAATTCAATTAACAGGGAAACAGCCTTGAACCTAGGTTAGAACACATAGCTACTAAGTTTCAGAGCCCACTACTACTTATTAATAACAGTCTCCTCATCCAAAGCACAGTGAAGATCAACCTCAAGAGAAGATCTGTACTAAGTAAATCAAATGGATTAGGCAGCAGCCAAAAAAATAATAATACAGTAGGAAAAAATAAAATTGAGGGATAGACAGTAACTAGTAGACAACTTACTATTAGTAAATGGAAAAGAGTAGTAAATGCCAACTCAGTACAAGAACAGAGAGGCCCATTTTTGGAAAAGTACCTGTTAAGACAGTTGATATAGGCCAGGTGCAGTGGCTCACGCCTATAATCCCAACACTTTGGGAGGCTGAGGCGGGCGGATCACCTAAGGTCAGGAGTTCAAGACCGGCCTGACCAACATGGAGAAACCCTGTCTCTACCAAAAATACAAAATTAGCAGGGTGTGGTGGTGCATGCCGGTAATCCCAGCTACTAGGGAAGCTAAGGCAGGGGAATTGCTTAAACCTGGGAGGCGGAGGTTGCAGTGAGCCGAGATTGCGCCATTGCACTACAGCCTGGGCAACAAGAACGAAATTCTGTCTCAGAAGAAAAAAAAACAACAAGAAAAACAAAGACAGTGATACAGTCTGTGTGTTTGTGTTCCCACAAATTTCATGTTTAAATCCTAACCCTCAAGGTGATGATATTAAGAGGTAGGGCCTTTGAGTGGTAATTAGATCATGAGAGGAAAGCCCTAGTGAATGGGATTCATGCCCTTATAATATAGGGCCAAGGGTGCTCATTCACCCTTTAACCATGTGAGGACACAGCAAGAAGGCACCATCTATAAATCGGGGAACAGCCCTCACCAGGCAGATATCCAATCTGCCAGTGCCTTGATCTTGGACTTCCCAGCCTCCAAAACTGTGAGAAATAATTTCTGACATATCTGTTGTTTATAAGCTACCAAGTCAATAGTAGTTTGTTATAGCAGCCCAAAAGGACTAAGACAGATGGTGCAATGGAAAAAAAGATTATCTGTTAAATTTCTAAAAGTAAATCTTCTTTGAAGAAAATGAGTTATAAAAGGAAAAACTGGGAAGGAGTAGAGAAACCCATTTATCAGTCTGCAGCCTCTGGGCAACGGGCAAATCATTAAACTCACCTAGATCTGTGGTTACATGGAATGAACTCAGAGGTGCTTCCAGCTCTGCTATTAAATGAAAATCTTCAAAACACTATCAGCACAAAATAGGTTTAAAATAATTTAAAAATTTGTGCCGTAAGTAACAAAGCACATGATAGACAGTGTAAAAGCCCCTGTGTTAACTAAATTATTTTATATCACCCCATTTTATGGGACTCATTTTCTGCTTTATTTCTAAGTTCCTGCAACAGAGGTCATCAGTTTTATAATTAGAAAAATATTTTACTAAAAATGGTAAAAAGAAAAAGGAAGGAAGAAAAGCCCAATCAAGAGTAAAATAGGCTGGGCACGGTGGCTCACGCCTGTAATCCCAGCACTCTGGGAAGCCGAGGCGGGTGGATCATGAGGTCAGGAGATCGAGACCATCCTGGCTAACACGGTGAAACCCCGTCTCTACTAAAAATACAAAAATTAGCCGGGCGTGGTGGCACGCACTTGTAGTCCCAGCTACTTGGGAGGCTGAGGCAGGAGAATGGCGTGAACCCGGGAGGCGGAGCTCACAGTGAGCCGAGATCGTACCACTGCACTCCAGCCTGGGCGACAGAGTGAGACTCCATCTCAAAAAGAAAAAAAAAAAAAAAAAAAAAAAAGTAAAATAAAGTTTATTCTCATGTGGAAAATTCAAAACAAGATTTCCTCCCTTGAGGAAAATAGAAGCGGAAGTTATTTCCAAAATAATTAAGGTGACGAGTTAATTGCTGAATCATTCTGAATGCAGTATATGGAGTATATGTACTTTGTGTCCACACTGACATCACCCTAGGCTAAAACTGATCTGAAGTAGTGTCCATGCCTGCTTAAGCAGCACCTGAAGCACACCATCACACCCTGATAGGCAGCCAGTCAACACAGCCGGCAATAATGCCATTTGTCACTTAGGCGTACCAACGAATGAATGAGTCACTAAATTCTTATCGGAATATGCAAATTAAAGCTACTTTCCTGGATCCTAATTGTTATATACTTTAAGCACTAAAGAATTTGTCTAGAAACACAAAGCATTCACCACCCACAAAGAATTTTTGCATGTTTTTCTTCATTTTGGTTTTCAAATGATATAAAAAAGGAAGGTGTTGAGAATAACTCTGTAGAGATGAAGCTGTTAGACAGGTCGGAAGATCCGGGTCCTAGGGTAAGTACAGTGAATAAACTAGCAGGCTCCTTCCTCAAGGGCAAGTCCCTTAGCTCTGTGTAATCTACTAATTAGGAACAATAGTATCTGCTCACAGGATGTTTATGCAATGCAAAATGAACGAATCTAGAAAAGTACTGTGAAGACGAAAGCACAGGATGACACCATCCTCTGTAACAAACAGAGGGAGGAGTGACATCAGCCCAAGCAAAGCAGGTAGGTGCCCGTGGTGAAGGTAGCCTTCAAGTCTAACTTCTTACAGAAAGATGATTATTTACCTCTTTCTGTAGATTAGAAAGCTGGGATGAAAGGCTCTCAATTCTCATGCGGCTTTCCATCAGTTCTTCCCTGGCACTGTTGACAGTAGAAGTATTCATCTCTGATGACAGTCTGGCATTCTCAAGCTAAAAGAAGAAGCAAAGCATAGTCAGTCTTATCTAGAACTGAAACAAAAAAGGAAGCATGATTCACCTCAAGGCATTTCAAACCTAAGTCCTGCTGGTAACTGGTAGATGAAACACAGGAAAAGCATCATGAAGTTTGCTGATATGGTGTGAATGATGGTAATTCTGTGTGACTTTTAGAGTCACTTCCTAAATAATGAGCTTTAAGAATGCTAATATACCTAGGCCTTTACCCAAAGCTTATTACTTCAATATTTCATCTATTAAACCTTTAATGTCTAAGATAACACTGATAATAAGAAGACTGGGCAATAGCAACTTGACTGTGGTGGTGTCTGTAAGAAAAGAAACATCACATATCCCTAACCCACCAAATCCAATACAGAATGTAAACCAACAAGCAGAAAATACTAGTTTATAGATTCGTTCAAACCAGATAGAAACACTTCCTTTCAGAAGCAAAAAAAACTCCTTGAGTAAAATACAAATCCCATAACACTATTGTGTATGTGTGTCTCAGGGACATGCTCCTGTGTCTCCTCCCTGGCTCCCTGTGAGGCCACAGTCTGTGACGGATCCTTACTTTAGCTCCTTCACTGTATAGCTCAATGTGTGATATTAGATAAATGTTATACAACTGAAGTTACTGCTTATAATAAGATCTTTCACTTTCACTAACTGCTACTTCATACAATAGATAAAAAGCAACATGAACAGTTTAAAGCCATGCAATGAAAATTTTCAATAACTCTGTGACTCTAATATTCTAAGTCAACCACAAAAAAGTCTTTTTAATCAAATCATGTAACATTTAAAACACAAGGCAAAATCATTTACCAGGGAAAGCCTGTACTAGTTGGTGATTTTTATGAATTCTTGTAAGGTCAGCTAATATAAGTGGGAAGTTTCTACAATATTTTTTTAAGTGAATAATAGTGACAGAAGAAGAAATAGCAGAGACTTTCCATTTGGCCCTTATGCAAAAAAGCCGGAAGTGTGGTAGTCACAATCTATGCACAATGATGACATGAAAGTGAGATCTAATGCAGTCTGACATTCATTCATTACTAAATGGATGTTTATGTAGGACAGCATGATCAGTACTTGTTATTGGAAGAAAGTTATTTCACATGGTTTGGGTTCAACTACTATGGCATAGTACGAATGATCAATGGGACAAAAAGACAAAACCTAACCTCTAATAAAATTGCAACAACCCTACATTCTTCTAGTAATTTTTAATAACATTTAGTTTATAGAAAACTGCACTTTTTTGAAAAAATCAATTTTCTATATATTTCATGGAGACTAGGGGAATCATTTTTAAAAACTAGAACAAAATAAACATAAAGCCATGTTCATCATGGGAATTGTGAAGTAATGATTTTAAGTGTTCAAAAGAATCTTCTGAAGAGAGCTCACTTTGGCATGGTAAGTCTGCTCCAGCTCCTCCTTATACAGCCTCACTTGGGCATCATGTTGCTCTCTCATCTCATGAAGGGCTTGCGCCAGCTTGTACTCATACTCAATTTGACGCCCAGAATCCACCTCTACCAAGCGCGTTTCATGCTTCCTTCTGGTCTCGTTAATCTCCTGGGGAAAAAACAAAAAGCATAAAGCCAAGCTACTTACCATGGCTGCATTGGTACACATCTGAGTGACATCACAGCCATCTGAAGTTTTACACACGAACTTCCTCCTGTTTGTCCTCAGGCGGTCATGTGAATAAACACTTTTTTGCCTCTTAGTTTTCAGTTGAGGTTTTTGAAATGGAACTAATGACAGAAGTGGTAGCATCTCAAGCCTTAGGAACTTTCTATTCCTTTTCAGGAGCATAGCTATTTATTTTTCTGAAGCCAAGGAAAGGCCTGGATGGCCTACTAAAACTATCTGCAATCAAGGATTTATACACAGTATACTATACTAAACACTAAGCAAAAATTATTTTTCTGAATTGTTTCATTGATAATCTTAAGAACATCTCTGAAAAAACAGCACATGGAAAGTTAAACTTAACAGTTGTGATAAATTCATGTAAAGATTTATGTGAAATGAAACTATTTTCTTTTCTTTTCTTTTCTTTTCTGAGATAGAGTATCACTCTGTCGCCCAGGCTGTTGTGCAATGGTATGATCTCAGCTCACTACAACCTCCGCCTCCCGGGTTCAAGCAATTCTCCTGCATCAGCCTCCCTAGTAACTGGGATTACAGGCACATACCACCATGCCCAGCTAATTTTTGTATTTTTAGTAGAGATGAGATTTCCCCATGTTGGCCAGACTGGTCTCAAACTCCTGACCTCAGGTGATCCATCTGCCTCAGCCACTCAAGTTGCTGGGATTACAGGTGTGAACCACCTTGCCCAGCCATAAAACCATTTTCTTAGACATAATAATAGGCAGCACAAGCTAATTTACATGACTTCTTTAAAAGCCGGTATTAAGCTATCATTATCAAGTGACACAGGATCTTATTAACAATATTAGTTGACTAACTCAAATATTTATGAAAAATTTACCATTGAAGAATAGAAGTAGTTGTCATGATCCTTTCCTTTACTCTGTTTTAAGGAAGTGTCTAAATAAAATTAGAATGGAAGGCTGGGCGCGGTGGCTCACGCCTGTAATCCTAGCACTTTGGGAGGCCAAGGCAATCAGATCACCTGAGGTGAGGAGTTCAAGACCAGCCTGGCCAATATGGTAAAACCCTGTCTCTACTAAAATACAAAAATTAGTCAGCCATGATGGAGGGTGCCTGTAATCCCAGCTACTCAGGAGGCTGAGATGGGAGAATCACTTGAACCTGGGAGACGGTGGTTGCAGTGAGCCAAGATCGCACCACTGCATTCCAGCCTGGGCAGCTGAGCTGGACTCCGTCTCAAAAAAAAAAAAATAATAATTAGAATGGTAATATCTGAAGAAGCCACAAGAGGGAAGTATAACCCACCAAAGTTGCTGTTTGTGTATATTAGCGCATGTATTTTCCTTTGCATTTCTTCATCTTTCTCTTAACTACTACACAGGAGCATGCACTTGACAAAATCTGAAAAATCAGAAAAATCAGGAGGATTCTGCTATCACCTTCCCAGAGATCACATCTATTTCATGAAGCAAATAATACCTAAATCACAAAAATACTGAAGAGTGACTGCTAATGGTTTGTTCTTTGTCTACCTCCTCCTTCCTCTTTCGTCTTTCTCCTTCCTTTTTTCCCCCAACTGTTCATAATAAGGAAGTTAGATATTATTACTGAATATATATCATGAATGTAAAAAAAAAAAGTTAAGGCCAGCGTAGTGGCTCACACCTGTAATCCCAGCACTTTGGGAGGCTGAGGCGAGTGGCTCACCTGAGGCCAGGAGTTTTAGACCAGCCTGGCCAACATGGTATTACTTAGTAAAAAGTAAGGAAAAAAAAAAAAAGTTAGCCAGTTGTGAGGGTGTGAACCTGTAATCCCAGCTACTCGTGAGGCTGAGGCACAAGAATCATTTGAATCCAGGAGGCACAGGTTGCAGTGAGCCAAGACCGTACCACTGCACACCAGCCTGGGCAACAGAGTGAGACTCTGTCTCACACAAAAAAATTTTTTTTAAAGTAAAAAAGGCCAGGTGCGGTGGCTCACAACTATAATCCCAGCACTTTGGGAGGCCGAGGCAGATGGAGCACTTGAGTTCAGGAGTTCGAGACCAGCCTGGCCAATGTGGTGAAACCCTGTCTCTACTAAAAATACAAAACTTAGCCGGGCATGGTGGCACATGCCTGTAGACCCAGTTACTCCAGAGGCTGAAGCAGAAGAATCGCTTGAACCCAGGAGGTGGAGGTTGCAGTGAGCCAAGATCGTACTACTGCACTCCAGCCTGGGCGAGAGAGCAGGACTCTGTCTCCAAAAAGAGTTAAAAAAAACAAAAACAAAAACAAAACTGAAGAGGACTATCTTAACATCCATTCTCAAAAAGGCAAAGGCCAAAAATTCAAAGATGCTATGCACTCTAAAAATATTAAATTACTTTTTACTGATGCTATTTTTTATATAGAACCAGTGACCTTACAAAGAAAAAAAACCCTACTCCTGGTTGTCTACACACAACATCAGAAATAAGTAATGATAAATCACAATTTTTACAAAACAAAACAAAAATGTAAGTCAACCTCATATCAAAATATCTGCTTTAACAAAGCAACACTTAGTAACAATTATATGACAGCACTTGCTACAGTATCCAAAGAGTTTTCACACACAGTATTCCACTTTGATCCTTACCACTCATTGAAGAAAAAAATAGCAGTATTAGTATTTCATTTTAAATAAGAAACTGACACTAAGAGTTGTCCAAGGTCTGACTGCTTGTCTGGTGCACCTTGCACTAATATCTATTTTGTTTAAAGCCTGTAATTTTAAAAAATAATCAGATTTCTATTATTTTTCCTCCAACTAAAAAACTGGTTTGCTAACTGCTACAATGAATTCCTATTTGCACTGTTTTCAAAATTACACTACTTCTAAAAACATTAAGCCTAGCACATTAACAGCATGTTCTCCCCCATGAGTTGATTTCAACCCTCTACAATTTTCATGAAATATACATTCCCCTTTCCTCAATTTTATTACTTCCTTTGTTTGACAACGGTTTTGCCCCTGCCCCTTGACCACAGCAGTTAAGGCTTATAAGTGATATTTTAAGATTTCCACATGAGTGAGCCGGGCACGGTGGCTCACGCCTGTAATCCCAGCACTTTGGGAGGCTGAGGCGGGCCAATCACAAGGTCAGGAGATTGAGACCATCCTGGCTAACACGGTGGAACCTCGTCTCTATTAAAAATACAAAAAATTAGCAGGGCGTGGGTGCATGCGCCTGTAGTCCCAGCTACTAGGGGGGCTAAGGCAGGAGAATAGCTTGAACCCAGGAGGCAGAGGTTGCAGTGAGCCAAGATCATGCCACTGCATTCCAGCCTGGGCGACAGAGCGGGTCTCGTGTCTCAAAAAAAAAAAAATTTACACGCCTATAAATGCTGTGAGTAGCCGCATTTCCAGATGTGAGCCATAGGAGAAGGCCAAAGTGATGGTATGTAACCTCTGTGATTAGGTTATAGAAGACAATCTGGCTTCTGCCTTGGTAGCTGGTAGCATGTATTCATGTTCTCGTTGTGTTTCTTTCTCTCTCTCTCTCTCTTTCTCATCACTGACCCTTAGGGGGGCCATATCATGAGCAGCCCTATGAAGAAGACCATGAGGTGAGGAACTGACACGTCCTGCCCACAGCCCTGTGAAAGAGCTCAGATGCCATTCCTCCAGCCCAGGTTAAAAGCTGTACTGCAACCTCATGGGACCAAGAAACAGAACCACCCAGTTTAGCAGCTCTGAATTCTGACCTTCAGGAACTAAGAAATTAATACAAGTCTGTGGTTTTAGGTTGATGAACTTTGGAAGTAATTTGTTAGGCAGGAATAGATAACTAATGCTTAAACATGTTGACAGTAATTAGCTGCTGTGACCAAGCCTTTATAAGTTAAGATGAAGTGAGGCCGGATGTGGTGGCTCACACCTGTAATCCCAGCACTTTGGGAGGCCAAGGTGGGCGGATCACGAGGTCAGGAGATCGAGACCACCCTGGCCAATATGGTGAAATCCCGTCTCTACTAAGAATACAAAAATTAGCTGGGCGTGGTGGCGCACGCCTGTAGTTCCAGCTACTCGGGAGGCTGAGGCAGGAGAACTGCTTGAACCCAGGAGGCAGAGGTTGAAAGGAGCCGAGATCGTGCCACTGTACTCCAGCCTGGCGGCAGAGCAAGACTCCGTCTCAAAAAAACAAAAACAAAAAAACAAAAATAAGTAAGATGAAGTGAAATCATATCTGTTTACGGTAACAGCTTGAGTTCTCAAATGCGGTCTTTTAGCAGCAGTAGCTTGAATAATCTACCTGCAAAATTTCTCCCCATCCCCAAACCTTATTATTTCTTTATCTGATATATTTTTGTGGCAAAGAAATCATAAATAAAATATAATTACATGTTTAGCTATGACAAAGTCATTCTAGAACCCCTCCATTCCTTTACAAAGCAAAATTATATATAGTTACCTCTTCATACATGCTTTTGCGAAACTCCAAGTCCTCAGTAAGGCTCTGACAACGATTCTCCAAATCTACTTTAAGTAAAGTTTCATCTGCTAACTGTTTTTTGGCTGCAGCTAAGGAGGCTTCCAACTATTACAAGGAAAAAGAATTGTGATAAAAATTACATGGCAATCATTTAATAATGAACATAAGATATCTATGAATCAAATCAAATCAAGTGTTAAAATTCCTATATATTTATCAATGTATAATTACTTCATCTTAACATTTATCACAGAACTGGGTATTCATTTGCTGGTCCCACCCACAGAGTATCATACCAAACGACCAGTCAAATTGTTAATTGGCAACAGGGAATAGAACAGAGACGTATGACTCACTCACATTTCAAAAATCAAACTAGTTATTTTAGCTAACCACTTTCATTTTTTCCTGTGTGGAGAGCAGCATTTTGGCATCTCTTTTCTTACTTATTTCCTAACTAACAAAATAGGCTTTGAGAGCAGAGACAGAATGAGTGTGTGCACAATAGGGAAGAAGAAGGGAACCACAAGATCTGGCCAATCCAGATATAATGCCTGGGAGGTGATAATGTTTTGCATGTTAGCTACCTCAAGACTTTTCTTCAAGTAAACCATCAGAAAACAAATATATAAAATTTCAAAAATAAAATACATTTGAAAATCAATCAATCAATCAAACTATGGCTTAAGGCAGATGAGGCAATTAACCTGTCACATACGGCTCAAGAGTAGGCTTGACCTTACCTGGGCAATCTGATCCTTCAGATCCTCCAAATCTCCCTCTAAACTTTTTTTGTCACCAAGTGCAGTAGCAAGAGCTGCATCTTTCGAATTCAGTGCTGCTTCATATTCTCGAAGCTTGATCTGGGCGCCATTAAGATCAGATTCCTTCTTAGCATAGCTGGAACAGATTTAAAAAGCATAAGACATCAAACCATACTGATGACTTGAGGTCTTCTCCCTCTCTGCTGAAGGGACAAACAAAAGAAGTAGTTTAAATAAAGGCTCCCATCACCTATCAAAATTAGAGAAGCAATTCACAAGCACTGGATCTAGAGTTTTTGTTGGCTAACATTCTCTTTCAATGTCACATGATTACTAATAACTATGGGTCAAAGACGTCCATATTAAAGACCAATGTACCAGAATCCTGCTTGTCCTTGAGTGAGACTGCATGTCCCCCTTGTTCTATAAAGAGGCACACTAACACAGGATATTTTTGAAGAAATGAAAATTCATTTTTTAAATATAATGCATATTATAAGCCAAAACATACAGGAACTGTAAGTCAGGATATCATGCTGAGCGCAGTGGCTTACGTCTGTAATCACATCACTTTGAGAGGCTGATGTGGGAGGATCACTTGAGACCAGGAATTCAAGACCAACCTAGGCAACATAGCAAGACCCCAAATCTACAAAAAAAAAAAAAAAAAAAAGAGCCTGGCACAGTGGCACACATTTGTAGTCCCAGCTACTTGGGAGGCTTAGGCGGGGACATCGCTTGAGCCCAGGAGGTTGAGGCTGCAGTGAGCCATGACTGCACAACTGTACTGCAGCTGGGCAGTAGACCAAGACCCAGTCTCAAAAAAAAAAAGAAAATCAAATTACACTAAATGAGAAGAAAAGGTTATTTTAAAAAGTAATGTTATAACCCAATGCATGATACTGAAACTCCCCTGATATTAGTAAGAACTAATTGACCCCAAGCTTGCAAGTACCTCCCATTTTGTTACATAGAGGTAACAATAAATAACGGCCTCCCTAATATTTTGCATAAAAATTATTTCAGTTTATAAAACCAACTACCAAAAAACTGAGGTTCAGGGCCGGGCACGGTGGCTCATGCCTGTAATCCCAGCACTTTGGAAGGCCAAGGCTGGCGGATCACTTGAGGTCAGGAGTTCGAGACCAGCCTTGCCAACATGGTAAAACCTCGTCTTTACCAAAAAATACAAAAACTTAAGCTGGGCATGGTGGCGCAATGCCTGTAGTCCCACCTACTCGAGAGGCTCAGGCAGGAGAATCACTTGAACTCAGGAGGTGGAGGTTGCAGTGAGCCGAGACCGCACCACTGCACTCCAGCCTGGGTGACAGAGAGAGACCTTGTATCAAAAAAACAAACAAACAGGCCGGGCGTGGTGGCTCATGCCTGTAATCCCAGCACTCTGGGAGGCTGAGGTGGGCGGATCACCTGATGTTGGGAGTTCAAGACCTGCCTGACCAACATGGAGAAACCCCGTCTCTACTAAAAATACAAAAAAATTATCCAGGCATGGAGGCGCATGCCTGTAATCCCAGCTACTCAGGGGGCTGAGGAAGGAGAATCACTTGAACCCAGGAGGCAGAGGTTGCAGTGAGCCGAGATTGTGCCATTGCACTCCAGCCTGGGCAACAAGAGTGAAACTCCGTCTCAAAAACAACAAAAACAAAAAACAAGCTGAGGTTCAAACTGAAGTTTCTTTTTCTCTAAATATCACTTTTTTTTTTTTTTGAGATGGCATCTCACCATCACCTAGGCTGGAGCGCAGTGGGGCGATCTCGGCTCATTGCAACCTCTGCCTCCTGGTTTCAAGTGGTTCTCATGCCTCAGCCTCCCAAGTAGCTGGGATTACAGGCATGCGGTACTAGGCCGAGATAATTTTTTGTATTTGTAGTAGAGATAGGGTTTGCCTATTTTGGCCAGGCTGGTCTCGAACACCTGGCCTCAAGTGATCTGCCAGCCTCAGCTTCCCAAGATGCTGGGATTACAGGCATGAGCTGCTGCACCCGGCCTCTAAATAACCACTTTTTTTTAAATGGAGTTCTACATTATAAAATTATAGTTCATTTGGATATATTTTGCCCAATAATTATATTTTAAAGGTCAGTATTTCTCTCATCCAAATAATTATTAACAGTAGTTACACAGAGAAGCCTTAATAATACCAAAATTATTGCCGGGCATGGTGGGCCATGCCTGTAATCCCAGCATTTTGGGAGGCCGAGGCAAGTGGATCACCTGAGGTCAGGAGTTTGAGGCAAGCCTGGCCAAAATGAAGCCCTGTCTCTATAAAAAATACAAAAATTAGCAGGGCATGGTGGGGTGTGCCTGTAATCCCAGCTACCTGGGAGGCTGAGGCAGGAGAATTGCCTGAACCCGGGAGGTAGAGGTTGCAGTGAGCCGAGATCATACCACTGCACTCCAGCCTGGGTGACAGAGTGAGACTCCGTCTCAAAAAATAATAATAACATCAAAATTATTAATACCTGTTCTTAAAACTGCTATTGTATTTTTCTTGGAGAAACAGGATCTTAAAAATAAACTAAAAAAGTAAAAGAGTACTTTTACTTACTGATGTTTGAGGACTGGCTAAAGGAGGAATCTTTAATTAATAAAAATTTCAAAATAATATTGTAATATTAAAATAAAGTGAAGAAATAAACTGGCCAAATGTTGATCACATATGAAAAGATTTAATAGTATTCACTTTTTACTCATCATAAAAGCTCAGCAGTCATGCCACATGCTTAAATCTCATGCTTTAAAACACCACACGATGGCAGGCTTTAACTGAAGACTAGTCCAGAAGAGGAAAAAATTAACTGTTAAAAAAAATCCCATACTGTAATAATTTACAACCAAAATGCCTAGTTCACACAAGTGCTGGGTCTCCACAGGAATGAACTGACACTTGTGAAGGAGTCTCTATTTTGCCCCACTATAAAACTACCAGAAGGGCTAGGATACATGTCATAAGACATATGACTGAAAATAAAACCATATTTTAAATGCAGTATTACACAATACTTACAAAAGCTACTGACTCAAAATTAATTACTTAACAATTACAAACAGTAATTTTTAAAGCTCAGGTCATAATGTGGTACTTCTCAATGTGATCCTGCCTCATGGCAGGAGAATGACCTGTGCCTTCCAGGGACCAAAATGGTCCAGCAAGAATGATACTGCATAAAACAGCATGTCAACTTTACAAGTTATTGTATGGAACAACCTGTAAAATCGGCATATTTTATGCAGTATTGTTCTTGTTTATTTGACTTCACAGATTTAATAAGTAATACATGCAAATAGCTCAAAACTCAAGATGTCATACTACCAAGTGAAAGATACTGTGTTCAACATCTTGTGGAGTGTAGAAAACACAAGAAGCCAAAAATTAACCCAAGGCAGTACATCCAGATGACTAGAATATGGTGATTTCTTCCATAAAAATAAAAACCAAAGAAGATAAGGAGGACAGGGGATGAAGAGAGTATTTACTTGTGGTACCCTGAGGGCCACCCAATGATACCAGTGGAAATTTTATAGGAGCTTTAATTTCAATCATGACTAATGCTTCTACTGTTCATTTTATGTCAAGTTCTTAGTCACATAAAACACTGTTCTATGAAAATATAAATTGTTCTGTTATAAATTACTTCTTGGCCAAGTGCGGTGGCTCACGTCTATAATCCCAGCACTTTGGAAGGGAGACTAGCCTGGGCAACACGGTGAGACCCCATCTCTACTAAAAATAAAAAAAATTAGCCAGGCGTGGTGGCACATGCCTGTAGTCCCAGCTACTAGAGGGGCTGAGGCGGGAGAATCACTTGATCCCAGGAGGTCGAGGCTGCAGTGAGCCCTGATCGTGCCACTGCACTCCAGCCTTGGTGAGAGAGTGAGACCCTACCACCAAAAAAAAAAAAAAAAAATTATATATATATATATATATATATATATATAGTCTGGCTGCAATGGCTCACACTTGTAATCCCAGCACTTTGGGAGGCCGAGGCAAGCGGATCACCTGAGGTTGGGAGGTCAAGACCAGCCTGACCAACATGGAGAAACCCAGTCTCTACTAAAAATACAAAATTAGCCAGGCGTGATGGCACATGCTTGTAATCCCAGCTACTCAGGAGGCTGAGGCGGGAGAATCGCTTGAACCCGGGAGGCAGAGGTTGCGGTGAGCCAAGATTGTGCCATTGCACTCCAGCCTGGGCAACAAGAGTGAAACTCCGTCTCAAAAAAAAAAAAAAAAAAAAAAAAAGAAGATACAGTGTAGGGTCCAGTGTCCCATCAAGCCCCATCCCAACAGTCCTAGTTTTCTGCAAAACAGTTTGAAAACTTCTGACCACCAAGAAATATGCAAGCTCCTTGGCATGGCAGTCCCCCTAGAAAGCCCTTCAGGTCTAAGTCCTAAAGACCTTCTGAGCCTCGGACTTCACTCTCCCCCACTCCATGCCATCTATTCCCATTCCTAACTCCATCTAATTCCTAACCAACTGCCATTGGAAACTAAGACCAAGGATGGAACAAATGTCATCCTTCCTCTGTAATGCTTCCCTGCTTTACCTCTCCTAGCAGAAAAAAATCATGTACCTTTCTGGGCTCCACAGCACTTGGTGCATCATTCTCATATGGTGCATGGTATATACATCTTTTTAAAATTTAAGATTCCATGTCTGTCTCCTACACTGGAATGTGGGTAAAATGAGATTACCTTCAGATCCTCAGTGCCTGGCAATGTCTGGTATAGGGTGGGGATACTCAATAAAATTTCTGTTAAAAAATGAAAGAAGCAAGCCACAGGAAAGCAGTGCTTACAATTTTACTTTAATATAACAACTCATGAAAAGATAAGTACTCAGCCTCTGTTACAGAGGACCCAGGTTATTCTGAGACCCAAATAGTCAATCTAGATCTGCCCTGCAGTGCCTGTACAAGCCACCACAGCCTTCACAAGCAGGTGGGCAGCAGGCATTGTACCAGGCACTGAAGAGAACTCAAGAGTCAGCTACCGCCCTTGGTGCAAAGTAATTTATAGTCTCTTCTCATAAGAGGTTATGAACACACTTTTGCTTTTTCTAACCCACACAAATGTACAGTGGCATTTATATGCACTCTTATGCACAGGTACACAGGAGAGTTTCGAGACGGTGCGGAAAGGCTCAGTCCAGGTCCCTAGTTTTGAGACATATTTACCTAATCCAGCAGACATTACTGAGTATCTACTATGTACTACCAGGAAGAGAAAGATAAATAAATAAGACAGGGTCCCAACTAAGTGCGTTTTTAGTATTCCCTTCCTTCTTCTGGACCCTCAGTACCTTTACTGCTCAGGGTCAGGCACTAGGCCATGTCACCACACTTAGGTGTGTAGCTGTCTAGGTAGCATAAAGACTTATCTTGCAGATGCTGAAGTAAAATGATGAAAAGGGACTTGTGGGGCTACCTGCACTGGGAGCTCAGGGCAGACAGTTCTTACAGCTGTCCTTACCTTGTGAGCCCTTTAACTCCACAAACAAATTGTTCTGTGTTCATATATTTTTCCTCTTCCTCCTTAGGCCACAATATTAACAGTGAAAAAGTCAATGCATCGCGGCCGGGCGCGGTGGCTCACGCCTGTAATCCCAGCAGTTTGGGAGGCAGGCGGATCACGAGGTCAGGAGATCGAGACCATCCTGGCTAACACGGTGAAACCCCGTCTCTACTAAAAATACAAAAAATTAGCCGGGCGAGGTGGCGGGCGCCTGTAGTCCCAGCTACTCGGGAGGCTGAGGCAGGAGAATGGCGTGAACCCCAGGGGGCGGAGCCTGCAGTGAGCCGAGATTGCGCCACTGCACTCCAGCCTGGGCGACAGCGAGACTCCGTCTCAAAAAAAAAAAAAAAAAGTCAATGCATCATGAAGTGGCTAATAAAGAGAGAAGAACTGACTACTATCTCTTCCTCTTGCATATACAGCACTTACAGTGCATTGATCATACAAATCCCTGTATTTGTGGATATGCTTAGCTACCTCAAGAGACTGTAAACCCTTTGAGGGCAAGGCCCATGACTTATTATTCCTACATCTTCTGCACAGAAAACTCAGATAATGACTATTTTGCTAAATGTTACAAGCACACGCACACACACACACACACACACACTTCTCTTTTTTCATCCTATGTAAAATGTATCATGTGTTTTCCAGGAAGGAAAAAAAATCACACACACAGACACACACAACTTCTCTTTTTTCATCCTATGTAAAATATCATGTCTCTTCCAAGAAGAAAAAAATAATAACTGATGCTTCTATAATCTCTAAAACTCACATGCATGGGTATCCTCTCTTTCTTCCTACCAATTTCCCAGGCTGAATGAATCATGAAAAAAAATTCTTAAGGTTACACCCATGTCTCCATCAGACAATAGCAATAAATCAATGAGTTGGAGTTTTTTTGTTTGTTTGTTTGTTTTGAGACAGAGTCTCGCTCTGTGGCCCAGGCTGGAGTGCAGTAGCGCGATCTCGGCTCACTGCAAGCTCCGCCTCCTGGGTTCACGCCATTCACCTGCCTCAGCCTCCCGAGTAACTGGGACTACAGGCACCCGCCACCATGCCCAGCTAATTTTTTTGTATTTTTAGTAGAGACGGGGTTTCACCGTGTTGGCCAGGATGGTCAACTACTGACCTCGTGATCCAACCGCCTTGGCCTCCCAAAGTGCTGGGATTACAGGCTCGGTGAGCCACCGCGCCCAGCTTGTTTGTTTGTTTGTTTGTTTGTTTGTTTGTTTTGAGACGGTCTCGCTCTGTTGCCCAGACTGGAGTGCAGTGGCACAATCACGGCTCACTGCAACCTCTACCTCCTGGGTTCAAGCAATCCTCCACGATCATGGCTGACTGTAACTTACACCTCCTGGGTTCAAACAATCCTCCCATCTCAGTCCCCCAAGAAGCTGGGAGTATACACATGTGCCACTACGCCCGGCTAATTTCTGTATTTTGCTGGGGCAGATGGGAAGACAGGGTTTTCCTATGTTGCCCCGGCTGGTTTCAAACTCCTGGGCTCAAGTGACCTGTCCGCCTCAGCCTCCCGAAGTGCTGCGATTACCAGCATGAGCCACTGCACTCAGCCAAATCAATGAGTCTTCTATGTCACATGAGTTGTCAAGGATACATGGGGAGCCATGCAGTGAGTTAATATTCTGAACATATTCTTGTCATAATTTTCTAACCATATTATTTTTCATTCATCAATATAATGTAGAAAGTCCAAGTGTAATTATCAGCACATAGTCAAAGTGCAGAAACCTGTAGAACTGATATCCTAAAACATACATACATGGACTTGCTGCAGCTATCACCTAAGCACAGAATGACATCTGACAATGCCTCCAAACACAGAGCAATTTAGATAGGAATCCTAAATTACTAGAAGCTATCTAACACTTAAGATATTAGTATACATTTACTTTGAGTCCATTTCCTGACTGGATTTGTTGTGTTATCCACCTGCCTGATTAAACTATTTATATTCCAGATAAGGAGATCTTCCTATGTTAAATTCAACATGTGAATCTAATACTAGAAATATACACGCTCCTGAAAATAAGTCACAAAACATACCCATTTGCTTTAGATGTTTTACAGAAGAACCAAACTCTAACTGCAACCAGAAAAAAATAAAGTTTTATAAATGTAACTGGCATTCTATGCTAATTAAGAATTTCCTCCCTTAATAAACCAAATTAGCTTTCATTTCAAGTAAGCTTGAATTTTATTGGTCTAACAAGTAACCAGGTGTAATCAAGTATCTGGCCATTAAAAAGAAAATTAGCCAGGCTGGGTGCAGTGGCTCACTCTTGTAATCCCAGCACTTTGGGAGGCTGCAGCGGGTGGATCATATGAGGCCAGGAGTTCAAGACCAGCCTGGCCAACATGGCGAAACCCCATCTCTGCTAAAAATACAAAAATTAGCCGGACATGGTGGTCCATGCCTATAATCCCAGCTACTCGGGAGGCTGAGGCAGGAGAATCGCTTGAATCTGGGGGTGTGGAGGTTGCAGTGAGCTGAGATCGTGCCACTGCACTCCAACTGGGTCAAAGAGCGAAGCTCTATCTCAAAAAAAAAAAAAAAAAAAAGAAAGAAAAAAGAAAAAGAAAAAGAAAATTAGCTAGAAAGGATATATTTATATTCCTGCTAACATTCTACAGCAGTGACTTAAGACTAACATACACAGCTTTACTATGGTTGTACTTTCCCAATAAAACCTAGTACCATGTATCTGGGACACATGCCTATCCTCTCCTGAGGCCTATAGAACTAATCTAAATCCAGTTGGTTAACACTTTCTAAAATGCTCCTAAGCACCTTCTACCACCAGCAATACCATATACTCTGCTGCTTTAATCATGCTGGTTGTTCAACATGCCGCCAGTTTGACCTTGACTTGTTTTAAGGTCATTTCCAACCCTGGCTTCTGCATTGAACTACTTGGTTCTGGAACTTAGTGTCTGAACTTTGCTTGGCCTCTGCACTAGTCCTTCTGTGAGGATGACTCTCTCTCACTCCCTGGGTGTCCTTCATTTGTCTAGGTGTACCCTACTCCAGACTAGTCCTACCAGTCAGAAAGTAGAGATCAGTCAGCACCATAAGAAGACAGGGCAAGGCAAAAAAAGGAGATTAAAAAATGCATCCAGGGCCGGGCACGGTAGCTCACACCTATAATCCCAGCACTTTGGGAGGCTAAGGCTGGCGGATCACCTGAGGTCAAGAGCTCGAGACCAGCCTCAACACAGAGAAACCCTGTCTCTACTAAAAATACAAAATTGGCCGGGCGTAGTGGTGCATGCCTGTAATCTCAGCTACTTGGGAGGCTGAGGCAGGAGAATTGCTTGAACCTGGGAGGCGGAGGTTGCAGTGAGCCAAGATCGCACCATTGCACTCCCACCTGGGCAACAAGAGTGAAACTCCGTCTCAAAAAAAAAAAAAAAAGCATCCTGGGCCAGGCGCAGTGGCTCACGCCTGTAATCCCAGCACTTTGGGAGGCCAAGGAAGGCGGATCATGAGGTCAAGAGTTTGAGACCAGCCTGATCCAACATGGTGAAGCCCCGTCTAACTAACAAATACAAAAAAATTAGCCAGGTGTGGTTGTGCATGCCTGTAATCCCAGCTACTCGGGAGGCTGAGGCAGGAGAATCGCTTGAACCCGGGGGGGCAGAGGTTGCTGTGAGCCAAGATTGCACCATTGCACTCCAGCCTGGGCGACAGAGCAAGGCTCCATCTAAAACAAACAAATGAACAAACAAAAAAACCACATCCAATCACAGAATCGCTGGAAAATGAACCCTCAATGGAACTCTTAGAGAAATATATCATTACTAGGTGATAACTTTAGGGTACATTCTTCCAAAAGTCATACCACATACATAACATGCAGAAAGTCATTCCAGGCCTGCAATAACAATAACTACTTGAAAATGAATTAGGAGGCCAGGCCCGGTGGTTCATGCCTGTAATCCTAGCACTTTGGGAGGCCAAAATGGGCAGAATGCTTGAGCCCAGGAGTTCGAGACCACCCTGGGCAACATGGTGAAACCCCATTTCTACAAAGAATACAAAAATTAGCTGGGAGTAGTGGCCTGTGCCTGTAGTCCCAGCTACTAGAGAGACTGAGATGGGAGGATTGCTTGGGCCAGGGAGGTTAAGGCTGCAGTGAGCTGTGGTCATGCCACGGCACTCCAGCCACTGTCGCTCTGGGCAACAGAGCAAGATCCTTATTTAAAAAAAAAAAAAAAGGAAAAGGAATTAGTTAGCATATTCCAACCATAAACACTTGAAAAAATAAGATTGTCCACTTAAACAGGGAACAAAGAATTAGTGTGAAACAAATCAATAAGTAAACTTGCAGGGACAAATACAACATAATCTGAAGCTCATTACAAAATAGTTTTAATTAATTTGGTAACGGCAAATTATTGCCCACCTGTTAACATTCTCTTGGTCAGTTTGTGTCAGTACCTATCCCTAACATTTCACCTCAGGCCCATTCTTATTTAGAAAAACAAATATATTACAGGAGATGAAAGAGAAAAGCCATTTAGTTTTTCACCTGTAATCAGCTAACAGAAATCATTCTATACAAAATTCTTATTTCTAATCAAAGCCACAAAACAAGGATTTTTAAATCCCTTAAAACAGACCCACTGTACATACAGAGCCAGGCCAATTAGGCCTAGCTGGCTAAGCTCTGTTCCTGCTTTCATATACTGTAAGGTTCTTCTGAACAGCTGTCTGGTAGCCCCTGAACACCACTCAACACTAGTGCAGTACTCAAGTGACTATCACACAAATCCGTGTCTGGGGATCTCTTCACACCCAGAGCTCAGCATCAACATGCCATGTCTCTTATATCTAGCCATGCTCCAGACCTTTAGAGAAAAAATAAACCTTATTTTCAATTTAAAGTAAAATATACCCACATAAAAACCTTGTCCTAAAACTAGATAATTTTATTTCGTAACAGGCTCAAACTGCTTATCAAGCATGCATTTGCTCCAACAGCCACTCATCAGCTTCAACACTGTCCTCATGTTAACTTCCCTTCCAAAGGGAAAAAGGATGTGATCCACAGTATTTTTCCAAAGGAAAATTAATGAACTTCCCCGAAATTAAAACAAATATAACTTAATACACAAAAACTCGGCCAGGCACGGTGGTTCACTCCTGTAATCCCAGTACTATAGGGGGCCGAGGCAGGCAGATCACCTGAGGTCAGGAGTTAGAGACCAGACTGGTCAACATGGTGAAATACAAAAATACAAAAGTTGGCTGGGCGTGGTGGCTCATGCCTGTAATCCCAGCTACTCAAGAGGCTGAGGCAGGAGAATCGCTTGAACCCAGGAGATGGAGGTAGCAGTGAGTCAAGATCACTCCATTGCACTCCAGCCTGGGCAACAAAGCGAGATTCCATCTCAAAAAAAAAAATTACACAAAAACTCTAGAAGGTCTTATGATCACAATTTCTTTCTTTCTTTCTTTCTTTCTTTTTGGAGATGGAGTTTCACTCTTGTTGCCCAGGCCAGAGTGCAATGGCGCAATCTCAGCTAACTGCAACCTCCGCCTTCCGGGTTTAAGTGATTCTCCTGTCTCAGCCTCCTGAGTAGCTAGGATTACAGGCGCCCGACACTACATTCGGCTAATTTTTGGTATTTTTAGTAGAGATGGGGTTTCACCATGTTGGCCAGGCTGGTCTCGAACCCCTGACCTCAGGAGATCCACCTGCCTCGGCCTCCCAAAGTGCTGGGATTACAGGCGTGAGCCACCATGCCCGGCCTTGTGATCACAATTTCTATTAACAAGGGTCTCCTCTGGCATATGCAAAAAGACTAAGAAGATGCTTTTGCATAAACTCAAAGTTACAAAGGATAGTTTCCGGTGCCAATAAAATTCTGCTACTCACTGAATAAACTAATCTGTCAAAGAATTAGCAACAACCTAATCAGACTCAGGCAAACTCTAGTTGAAACTCGGGTAAAATTAGGAAAAATACTAAATGAGATTGAAACTGGACCACAAAACCACTTCTTTGAAACAAAAAAAAAAATCACTGTAACATAAACAGGCACAGGAGTATGGAGCAGACTCGTACAGATTAAGTCTTAATTTAAATGACTGATTCATTTAAAAAGAAAAAGAAAAACCAATAACTACTACCTTTGTCACTCATCTACAATGTGCTAGGCACTGACCTGGGTGTAAAATATTTCTGAAACAGTGTTCCAATGTCCATTCTCCAGTTTGCTGGGTGTTATGAGGCAGCTATTCCTAAAGCAATAGCAGTGGCAGCTTCCTAGTCCTGAATAGTAGCTATATACTGTTTTTAAAACAGTTTACTGGTTCCATTGGTGGCCTCACACATAAAAGCTCCCAAAGAAGGTCAGTTCTACAACAATGTTCTAAGCATCATTATTGCTCCTCTAGCCTCTCTAAAAATCATTTCTAAGCACCTACATCTCATATTGTTTCCCTTTCTGCTTAAAATCCCTAGTGCTGCCGGGCGCGGTGGCTCATGCCTGTAATCTCAGCACTTTGGGAGGCCGAGGCGGGTGGATCACCTGAGGTCGGGAGTTTGAGACCAGCCTGACCAGCATGGAGAAACCCCGTCTCTACTAAAAATACAAAATTAGCCAGGCGTGGTGGCACATGCCTGTAATCCCAGCTACTAGGGAGGCTGAGGCAGGAGAAACGCTTGAACCTGGGAGGCGGAGGTTGCGGTGAGCCGCGATCGCGCCACTGCACTCCAGCCTGGGCAACAAGAGTGAAACTCTATCTCAAAAAAAAAAAAAAAAAAAAAAAAAATCCCTAGTGCTTTCTGTTCCCTGCACTGAGTGATGACACAAAGACCTAAACAGAAAAAGAAATTAACTTAGCAAAGAGGGACTATGAAGGACAATGAAGACTTCTGCAAAGATAAGAGAAAGTACCAAACACACCAGGCACAGTGGCTCACGCCTATAATCCCAGCACTTTGGGAGGCAGGCGAATCACCTGAGGTCAGGAGTTTAAGACGAGCCTGGTCAACATGGCAAAATCCCATCTCTACTAAAAATACAAAAGTTAGCCAGGCGTAATGGCACGTGTCTGTAATCCCAGTTACTCGGGAGGCTGAGGCAGGAGAATCACTTAAACACAGGAGGCGGAGGTTGCAGTGAGCTGGGATCATGCCGCTGTACTCCAGTCTGGGTGACAGAGTAAGACTCTGTCTCCAAAAAAAAAAAAAAAAAGGAACCAAATCCATCAAATTTAGACAAAAACAATGCTATAGAGCTATCAAGAAGAGAATAGGCTGGGTACAGTGGCTCACACCTGTAAACCCAGCACTTTGGAAGGCAGCGATAGGTGGATCACTTGAGGTCAGGAGTTCGAGACCAGCCTGACCAACATGGTGAAACCCCGTCTCTACTAAAAATACGAAAATCAGCCCGGTGTCATGGTGGGCACCTGTAATCCCAGCTGCTTGGGAGGCTGGGGCATGAGAATCACTTGAACACGGAGGCAGAGGTTGCAGTGAGCCAAGATCGCACCACTGCACTCCAGCCTGGGCAACAGAGCAAGACCCTGTCTCAAAAACAAAAAAAGAGACATCAAGGGAATAAAAAAGGCTAGGCATGATGGTTCACACCTGTAATCCCAACACTTTGGGAGGCTGAGGCAGAAGGACCACTTGAGCTCAGGAGTTTGAGACCAGCAACATAGTAAGACCCTGTCTCTATGAAAAAAATCAAGAAATTAGCTAGGTGTAGTGGCACACACCCAACTACTCCAGTAGTAGTCCCAACTACTCCAGAGGCTAAGGTGAGAGGATCACTTGAGCCTAGGAGGTTGAGGCTGTAGTGAGCCAAGATCATGCCACTGCACTCCAGCCTGGGCAAGGGTAAGACCCTATCTTTAAAAAAAAGAGACAGAATAAAAAGAAGCTATTAGAAATTTAAAATACAATAGCAAAAATTGGAAAACAAAATTGAGAACATCTCTTAGTAGAGAAAAAATATTTTTTAAAAAAGGGAAGAAAACCAAAGGATCAATGTAAGAGATCCAACATTTGAATACTAGGAGTCTCATATGGTAATAAAAGAGGAGAAAATCTCAAGAAAATTTCCAACAACTGAAGGACATAAATTTCAAGACCAAAAGAATTCAATCAGATGATCAACACAATGGATGAAAAGAGATCTACAACAAGGAACATCCCTGTGAAATTTTAGAACTGGATCAAAAGAAGATCCTACAAGCTTTTAAATTTTTCACTCATCATTACTTCTGCAGCCAATGAAAGCTAGAAAACTAAAGAACACGTCTTCATTTTATTTATTTATTTGTTTATTTGTTTATTTATTTATTTATTGAGACAGAGTTTCGCTCTTGTCGCTCAGGCTGGAGTGCAATGGCGCGACCTGGGCTCATTGCAACCTCCACCTCCCGGGTTCAAGCAATTCCCTTGCCTCGGCCTCCTGAGTAGCTGGGATTACAGGCACCCACCACCACACCGGCTAATTTTTTGTACTTTTAGTAGAGTACAAATGTTGGCCAGGCTGGTTGCGAACTCCTGACCTCAGGTGATCCACCCACCTCGGCCAAAACATGCCTTCAAAAGTCTAAGAAAATAGCATTTACAACCTAGAATTCTATACCCAAACTATCAATGCTTATACAATACAACTAGACTGTAGAAAAACACAAGGTACCCAAAGGTAATTCTTTATTTAATGAGGTAAAATTAATTTAAAAATGATCCTAAATGATTTGATGTTCTAACAACTGGCATAGACTCTATATAATTATACAAAAAAGTAAGTGGGAAAAAGTACTATTTTTATAGGTGATCAAAAGGTGTGATAGGCAAAAAAAACTAATCACAGTATATTACTGAGTTCTGCTGGGGACTATGTAAGTATTTCTGCTATAACATATGTTGCTTCTGACAACTCCTGCATTCTGCACAAATTAAAAATAACACAGCAGACCAGATGTGGTGGCTTACATCTGTAATCCCAGCACTTTGGGAGGCCGAGGCAGGCAGATCACCTGAGGTCAGGAGTTCGAGACCAGCCTGGCCAACATGGCAAAACCCCTTCTCTACTAAAAATACAAAAATTCACAGGGCTTGGTGGTGCACGCCTGTAATCCCCGCTACTGGAGAGGCTGAAGCACAAGAATCACTTGAACGTGGGAGGTGGAGGTTATACTGAGCAGAGATCATACCACTCACTACTCTCCAGTCTGGGCAACAGAGCAAGACTGTCTCAAAAATAAAATAAAATAAGGCCGGGCTCAGTGGCTCATGTCTGTAATCTCAGCACTTTGGAAGGCTGAGGTGGGCGGATCATCTGAGGTCGGGAGTTCAAGACCAGCCTAACATGAAGAAACCTCATCTCTATTAAAAATGTAAAATTAGGCCGGGCACAGTGGCTCACGCCTGTAATCCCAGCACTTTGGGAGGCCGAGGCAGGTGGATCATGAGGTCAGGAGATCGAGACCAACCTGGCCAACACGGTGAAACCCCATCTCTACTAAAAATACAAAAAATTAGTCGGGCTCGTTGGTAGGTGCCTGTAGTCCCAGCTACTCAGGAGGCTGAGGCAGGAGAATCACTTGAAACTGGAAGGCAGAGGTTGCAGTGAGCCAAGGTCACACCACTGCACTCCAGCCAAGAAGACACAGCAAGTCTCGTCCTCAAAAAAAAAATTCAAAGGAAACTCCAAATGCAAAGTCCCTATTTTAAGAGGATCACAGTAAACGGGACTGAATAAAGGATTTCATGGCTAAAGAGGAGTAAACAAGTTCAACTGTGGTATGAGATGAAGCTGGAGGGTCAGACTGGGACCAGCCCATGTAGGGAAAGAACTTTTAGGTAGGATAACCTGGGCAAATATGTCCCAGATTGCCAAGGACAAGTTCCATTTATGCGAGCTGTCACTGCATAATTATTAACAGCTCCCTCTTTCATACACAAAAGTATCCCAATTTGGATGCCAAATTATATGGTCACCCTACTATTAGTAGGGTCTTAGTCTTTACCCTAGAAGCTACTAAAATGTTTTATACCAAAAGGGGTGAAATGATCACATTTTAGGACACAACCTTAGAGAGATAAGGGTTCTGGTCCCCTGTCCAATGTTTTGTTACATAAACACTGAGTAAGAATCTAGTTTAAATTGACCCTTAAGAATGCCTCCCTCCCGCCAGACACAGTGGCTCACACCTGTAATCCCAACACTTTGAGAGGCCGAGGCAGGCGGATTGCTTGAGCTCAAAGTTCAAGACCAGCCTGGGAAACATGGCAAAACCCTCTCCCCACAAAAAATTAGCCAGTCGTGGTGGTGTGTGCCTGTAGTCCCAGCTACTCCAGAGGCTGAGGTGGGAGGATCACTTGAGCCTGGGAGGTCCAGGTTATAGTGAACCATGCACCACTGCAATCCAGCACCGGCAAGAGAACAAGACCTTGTCTCAAAAAAAAAAAACAAAAAAAACAAAAAAAAACTTGTCTCCTTCCCTTCACTGCCAACATTCTTAAACAAGTATTCTAAACTCATAATCTTTTTCCTCTCATTCTCCCCTTAATTATGGCCAGTGGTTTCCTCTATTAACCAAAGGCTCTCCTCTCAGTCAACAATCACCTAAGGCACCAAAAACACCAATGACAACAGATACTTTTTAGGCTTCATCAAACAAAAAACCCTTGTTCCATGACTCACCTCTCTTTTCTCACCTTTTAGGACGAAGTGTCCCTCTGTCACACAGGCTGGAGTGCAGAGGCGCAATCTCAGCTCACTGCAACCTCCGCCCACTACAACCTCCGCCTCCCAGGTTCAAGTGATTCTCCTGCCTCAGCCTCCACAGTAGTTGAGATTAAAGGCATGTGCAACCACGCCTGGCTAATTTTTGCATTTTTAGTAGAAACGGGGTTTCGCCATGTTGCCCAGGCTGGTCTCAAACTCCTGGCCTCAAGTGATCCACACACTCAGCCTCCCAAAGTGCTGGGATTACAGACATGAGCCACCACGCCCAGCCTCACCTCTCTATTACTTATCATCCCCATTGTGGGTTCTCCTTTCTCTACCCAGTCCTCATATGCGCATGCTTTCCATGTCTCTTGAGTACTTCAAATTGCCAACTAACATTGCTACCTAAAGTCCGGCAAACACCACTAATTCACTGACTTAGGGTCCTCCAAACCTGTTCATTCCCCACCAATTTCGGTTAAGAGCAATATTGTCTACTCAGGCACCCAAGCATGGAAGCAGTCACCCTAGACTCTTTCTTCTCCCTAGTCCTTTATGTTCAGTATCTCTTAAATCCACCTTCTCTCCTTTCTTCCACCTGCCTCAGTTCAAGGGCTGCCTTGTTACTCCCCAAGTGTTCTTACTAGTGTTTGTACCTCTCCTCTTTTTTTCCCTCCACAGCATAGCCAGAATGATCATGTCACAATTCTGCCTTAAAATCTTGGGTCCACTCATTACTAAAAATACAATCCCCTTCCCCACCCCATGTATTAAATATATATATGGCTCCAGTAGGCCAGGTGCAGTGGCTCACACCTGTAATCCCAGCACTTTGGGAGGCCGAGGTGGGTGGATCACCTGAGGTCAGGAGTTCATGACCAGCCTGGCAAACATACTGAAACCCTGTCTCTACTAAAAATTCAAAAATTAGCCGAGTGTGGTGGCAGGCGGCTGTAATCCCAGCTACTTGGGACGCTGAGGCAGAAGAATCATTTGAACCCAGGAGGTGGAGCTTGCAGTGAGCCGAGACCACACCATTGCACTCCAGCCTGGGCAACAACAGGAGTGAAACTCTATCTCAAAAAAAAAAAAAAAAAATATATATATATATATATATATACCCCCACACACACACGTTATATATAACATATACTTCATATATAAGTAACATATACATAAAGTATATGTTATATATAACATATACATATAAGATGTATATATACACACACATACACATATATATGGCTCCAGTTATATAAATTATTTGACATTCAGGACAACTCACTCTCCATTTTCCATTTAGAAGCAAATCCCTACTTACCTCCCTGCACTTAGCTCAGATTCCCCTGGGATGTCTTTCAAAATTTCACACGGCTCCTAGCCTGCCTTAGGTAGCGGTCCTTGTTTCTCCACAGCAACACCTGGATACTGGCATCACAGCACTTAATATATTTTATTAGTATACTGCACTTACAGTATCACAATCCTGTAGTGTTGGTTTTCTGTCTTCCCCACTAGACTGTAAGTAACTTGATAATGGGGACTGAGTATCCCATTTCTCTATTCCCAGCATCTGGTTCAAGACCTGGCATATAGTACCTGTTCCACAAAAATGTGTCTTGAATAAAGAATGAAAGAACACCCTGTCATGAGTATTAAAGATTTATTTAGAGGTTTTAATTTCTTTTAAATTATTAAGGCATGGAATAAAGTTGGAAAGTAGCTTTTTAAGAAGAGAAAAAAGATAAAAGCGATCTCTTTCAGTAATTCATCTTCACCTTTCTTTAGCAAATGAAGCCCTCAGTATTTCAAACAGCTGTTTCAACTACTGACCACTACCCTTCTGACAAATCCAAAATTACCTCCCTTGAAGGCTACAAACTATCAACGTGAAAAACATGCAACTAGTAGCATTTCCAAAAGTAGCACCCAAAGGGATCTGAAAATCAACTATCCTATCTGAGACTTCAAGTACCAACCACAGATAATGATGCTCTGTGAGCCTGCTACATGTCGGTAAACCAGAGTAATACCTGTAGAACACTGTTGTATGGATGAAATAAGGTTATGTATGTGAACACCCTATCACAATGCTAGAAGTCAGGCTACCATCCTTTCTAGCTTTCATTACTTGCTAAGTAATACCAGGCAAAATACTTAAACTCTCTGAGCCTGAAGTTTCCTTACTCATCAGCAGTTATCATGAGCTTAAAAGATAATGTCTGGCCGGGAACGGTGGCTCACGCCTGTAATCCCAGCACTCTGGGAGGCCAAGGCAGGAGGATCACGAGGTCAGGAGATCGAGACCATCCTGGCTAACAGTGAAACCCCGTCTCTACTAAAAAATACAAAAAATTAGCCGGGCGTAGTGGCGGGCACCTGTAGTCCCAGCTACTTGGGAGGCTGAGGCAGGAGAATGGCGTGAACTCAAGAGATGGAGCCTGCAGTGAACCGAGATCGTGCCACTGCACTCCAGGACTCCAGCCTGGGCGACAGAGCCAGACTCTGCATCAAAAAAAAAAAAAAAAAAAAGATAATGTCTGTAAAGCATCTACTGTAATGCCTGGCAAACAGAATTGGCACAAAATAAATGTCAGCTTTTTTTTTTCCTGCATCTTTTCCCCCACCCCCCAAAGGGAGTCTTGCTTTGTCACTCAGGCTGGAGTGCAGTGGCACGATCTCGGCTCACTGCAACCTCTGCCTCCCAGGTTCAAGCAGTTCTCCTGCCTCAGCCTCCTAAGTAGCTAGAATTACAGGTGCCCACCACCATGCCCGGCTAATTTTTGTATTTTTAGTAGATACAGGGTTTTGCCATGTTGGCCAGGCTGGTCTCGAACTGCTGACCTCAGGTGATCCGCCCACCTCGGCCTCCAAAAGTGCTGGGATTGCAGGCATGAGCCGCTGGTCCCAACCTAAGGGTTGGGCCCAACCTAAGGCCCAACCAAGAATTTTCTTCTTGGTGTTTGTGTTTTCTCCTTTTCTATAATGAATATACATTTGCTGTTTAAAAAATTTAATTTTTGGCCTGGCACCGTGGCTCACACCTGTAATCCTAGCACTTTGGGAGGCTGAGGCAGGCAGATATTGCCTGAGCTCAGGAGTTCAAGACAAGCCTGGGCAACCTGGTGAAACCTCGTCTCTACTAAAATACAAAAAAAAAAAAAGAAAAAGAAAAAGAAAAAAAAAATTAGCCGACGTGGTGGCGTGTGCCTGTAGTCCCAGCTAATCAGGAGGCTGAGGCAGGAGAATTGCTTGAACACGGGAGGCAGAGGCTGTAGTGAGCTGAGATCGTGCCACTGCACTCCAGCCTGGCGACAGAGCAAGACTCAGTTATTAAAAAAAAAAAAAATTAATTTTTAGGCAGGGCACCGTGGCTCACACCTGTAATCCCAGCACTTTGGGAGGCCAAGGCGGGCGGATCACGAGGTCAGGAGATCGAGATGATCCTGGCCGACATGGTGAAACCCCGTTTCTACTAGAAATTAAAAAAAAAAAAAATTAGCCGGGCATGGTGGCGGGTGCCTGTAATCCCAGATATTTGGGAGGCTGAGGCGGCAGAATCACTTGAACCCGGGAGGCAGAGATTGCAGTGAGCCAAGGTTGTGCCACTGCACTCCAGCCTGGTGACACAGCAAGACTCCGTCTCAAAAATAATAATAATAAAATTAATTTTTAAAAATTCGGGCGGAGGGCAGTGGCTTACGCCTGTAATCCCAGCACTTTGGGAGGCTGAGGCGGGCGGATCACGAGGTCAGGAGATCGAGCCCATCCCGGCTAACACGGTGAAACCCAGCCTCTACTAAAAATATAAAAAAAAATTAGCCCGGCGTGGTGGAGGGCGCCTGTAGTTCCAGTTACTCAGGAGGCTGAGTGAGGCAGGAGAATGGCGTGAACCCGGGAGGTGGAGCTTGCAGTGAGCCGAGATGGCGCCACTGCACTCCAGCCTGGGCGACAGAGCAAAACTCCGTCTCAAAAAAAAAAAAAAATTCAAGCCAGGCACGGTGGCTCACGCCTGTAATCCCAGCACTTTGGGAGGCCGAGGCGGGTGGATCACGAGGTCAGGAGCTCAAGACCAGCCTGGGCAAGATGGTGAAACCCCATCTCTACTAAAAATACAAAAAATTAGCCGGGCGTGGTGGCACGTGCCTGTAATCCCAGCTACTCCGGAGGCTGAGGCAGAGAATTGCTTAAACCTGGAGGGGCGGAGGTTGCAGTGAGCCGAGATCGCACCACTGCACTCCAGCCTGGGCGACACAGCGAGACCCTGCCTCAAAAAAATAAAATAAAATAAAATAATAAAAATTCAAATGACAGCCGGCCAGGTGCGGTGGCTCACGCCTGTAATCCCCGCACTTTGGGAGGCCAAGGCGGGCGGATCATCCAAGGTTGGGAATTCCAGACCAGCCTGACCAACATGGAAAAACCCCAAGTCTATTAAAAAAAAAATACAAAATCAGCCGGGTGTAGTGGCGCATGCCTGTAATCCCAGCTACTTGGGAGGCTGAGGCAGGAGAATTGCTTGAACCCGGGAGGCGGAGGTTGCAGTGAGCTGAGATCGCACCACTGTACTCCAGCCTGGGCAACGAGAGCAAAACTCTGTCTCAAAAAAAAAAAAAAAAAAAAAAAAAAATCAAATGACAGCCAAAGCACAATCTCCTTATCAAAGAGGTACACTGTAAAAAGGGTTTAAAACTGATTTTAAAAACTTCCCTGATCCTAAAAATAATGGGACCTATACAGGGTCCCATTACTCAACTGATACCTGAGGCTCATTCTCAACATTTGTACATGAAAGAGACTTACACTAATGGCATAAAAAAAAAGTCTGAAGATTTCTAACTCAGACATATCAGAGGTGACACCATCTATACAAACGAAAGAATAAATATAACCAGCAACTGTGTAAAGACACAAAAAAGAAAAGACCCACCATATTTTAATAGTGCTTTATCTTTCATTCTGCCTGTTTACTTCCTTGAATCTGGGTATGCAAAATATTACCTAGTCTCATCCCCTAAGTTAAATAAACAACTCCAAAAGATCTTGCTTTATCAAACATCTTTTGAAAGCATGGGAAGGAAATGTCATGACAGTTTAATTACTTGGGACCTGCTTCCTAGACTTTTAAATCATTTTTAGGGGTTTGGTCCTTCCAAGTCTTCCCTTGAAAATTAAAGTAACATTTAACATAACTCTGTTATAAAAGAACTATGAAAAGCAGTTTAACTAGTTTTATAACTCTTATAAAGAAAACTAGTTTTATAACTCTTATATTTTAAGTTATAAAAATATAAAAGTTTGATAACTCTTATATTAAGGCCAAGATGTATACTGTCAATCTGCTTCAAATAGGGCAAAATCAGTACATTAAAAAAAGATATAGTAATACACAGGATGATGAAGGTTTGTTTTTTGTGGTTTTTTTGTTTGTTTGTTTTTGTTTTTGAGACAGAGTCTCGCTCTGTCGCCCAAGCTGGAGTGCAGTGGTACGATCTTGGCTCACTACAACCTCCACCTGCTGGGTTCAAGAGATTCTCCTGCCTCAGCCTCCCAAAGTAGCTGGGATTACAGGCGTGCACCACCACGCCCGGCTGATTTTTGTATTTTTATGGAGATGGGGTTTCACAGTGTTGGTCAGGCTGGTCTCGAACTCCTGACCTCATGACCCTCCCACCTCAGCCTCCCAAAGTGCTAGGATTACAGGCGTGAGCCACCACGCCCAGCCAAAGGTTTTTGTTTTTCAATTAATCATCCTATGTACAAAGAAAACACTCCTAAAGAAGATTAGCATGTTTTTGACCAGGCACAGTGGCTCACGCCTGTAATCCCAGCACTTTGGGAGGCAGAGGCGGGCAGATCACGAGGTCAAGAGATCAAGACCATCCTGGCCAACATGGTGAAACCTGGTCTCTACTAAAAATATAAAAATTACCTGGGCGTGGTGGCGGGTGCCTGTAATCCCAGCTACTTGGGAGGCTGAGGCAGAAGAATTGCTTGAACCCAGGAGGCAGAGGTTGCAGTGAGCTGAGATTGTGTCACTGCACTCCAGCCTGGGCAAAAGAGCGAGACTCTGTGTCAAAAAATAAATAAATAAAAACAAAAATTCACCATCTTTTATCTATACTTCCAGAGTTTGAAAACCTAAAATTTTTATTAACACATTTAGTGGCAAAACCTGACCTGAAACCAGGTCTATTTTCAATCTGTCTTTCTCCACTTGCCATGACAATATCTTTCCCTCAGAAATGTTTCATGATAGAGTGCTAACTCTATCTACCCTAACTCTATCTATAAACCCCACTGGGGGTGTCATATCCAGTATGTGCATCATATTACCGTCTTAAATTGGAATTGCTTTAACTTCCAAAGCACATCTGGCCCCCAGGGTTTTACAGAAAAGATACGGGACCTGTATCACTGAAGGAAAATAAATGTCTGAATCCACAAAATCAGTTATTGAAGACTGATGTAAACACTTAACTTTCTGTTATATCTAGTTTTCCCGTATAGTTAACAGTGAAAATCTGAAACAAGTCAATTTCTCTGTACTTTTTGTTTAAAGTGTTGAGTGATGGCATTCATCATCATTTTTGGAAACTGTTCTCTCAAAAAAGCTTTCAGCAAAATATAATCAGTCTTGGACTGAATCAAAGTAACTGTACCTTACATATGAGGTCTGTTTTCTATGGATTCAGACACCACCTGCATGGAAACTGTTGCCAAATTCTCTTTAGACCAAGCATTTCCATGCTCTGCCTCTAAGGTATCTTGTTTGCTGAGGAACCAAAAAGAAACTAAGTAACCTGGAATCTATAATTCTCTCAAAGCTGTTTTCTTAATCTAAATCTACCTAAATGATGATTATACTTAATTACAAACACTCTAGTTCCAAATAAAAAATTAAATATAGGCCAGGCATGGTGGCTCACGCCTATAATCCCAGCACCTTGGGAGGCCGAGGTGGGTGGATCACCTGAGGTCAGGAGTTGGAGACCAGCCTGGCCAACACGGTGAAACCCCGTCTCTACTAAAAATACAAAATTAGCCGGGTGTGGTGGTGCACACCTGTAATCCCAGCTACTTGGGAGGCTGGGTCAAGAGCATCGCTTGAACCTGGGAGGCGGAGGTTGCAGTGAGCCAAGCTCCGTCTCAAAAAAAAAAGAAAGACATTAACAACCCTAGATGCCAGAAGACAATAGGGCAAAATAATACTTTCCAAGTTCTGGAAAAATGTTAACCTAGTATTCTATACCTAGCCCAAAGCTATTTTCAGACATACAGGACTCAGAAAGTTTACCTCCTGCCATCCTTTCTGAATAAATTACTTAAGGATGTTCTTCAACAAAATATGAAGAAACCAAGGAAAAGGAAAATACACCCAGGATGGAGTGCGGTGGTGTGATCTCAGCTCACTGCAACCTCCGCCTCCCCGGTTCAAGCAATGCCTCCTGCCTCAGCCTCCACAGTAACTGGGATTGCAGGCGTCCACTACCACACGCGGCTAATTTGTGTATTTTTAGTAGAGACGGGGTCTCGCCATGTTGGACAGGCTAGTCTTGAACTCCTGACTTCAGGTGATCCACCTGCCTAGGCCTCTCAAAGTGCTTTACAGGTGTGAGCCACCGTGCCTGGCCAGGAAGCTGTCTTTAATAAGTTACAGGACATCAGTACACAGCCTACCTTAAGCAAAGAGAACTCTAGGGAAGAAAGCAGATTCATGTGATAGATATTATGATTAAATATCTTCAAAAAGTCTGCAAACACACTGAGGGCAAATTTTTCTTAACAAGAAAAATGAAAAGCTATTGAGGAATAAATCCATATAAAAAAAGTCCTAATTCAAATAAGGAGCAAACTAAAATGTGGCATGTTTTGAGCAAATGATGGTATGTTGGGGGGAAAAGAAGAGTCATCTAATCCTGGCAATAGGAATATACATACAGTAGCACAGACTTAAGAAAAATATAATCCCAGAACACTACTAACCCTCAGAGAATAGGTACTGTCAACTCCTCAGACAGGCCTTCCTTAATCACACTAACCCTTCACTCCGCTTTATTTTTATTCCCTTAGCATCTGCTATTACCTAAATTGTATCACATGCATTATTTCATTGATTCTAATACACATTATTCTCATTTTTTAACCCCGCTGAAACCAGCATGCATTTTAGAATCGATACATTTACAACTACTGTCAGCCAGGTGGCAGCCTTGTTACTGTGTGAAAAACCTCCTGTGGCTAACTCCTGGAAAGATTACAAAAGCGCCAGCATCAAAATGCTTCACATCAGACAAAAGACAATCTTTCTTTACTTGCTGGGATATAGCTCCCCCACTACACTCTCAGCAACAAAGAACAGTAATTCATTTTTTTAAAAAAATCTTCATATCCTCTAACATAGAACGGTGACTGGTACGCAACAGATATTTGATCTGTGTTAATTTTTTTTTTTAGACGGAGTCTCACTCTGTCACCCAGGCTGGAGTGCAGTGGACCATCTGGCTCACTGCAGCCTCTGCCTCCTGGATATCAAGCGATTCTCCTGCCTCAGCCTCCCCAGTAGCTGGGATTACAGACGCCCGCCACCACGCCCGGATTTTTTTTCTTTTTTGAGATGGGGTCTCACTCTGTCGCCAGGCTGGGGTGCAATGGCGCAATCTCAGCTCACTGCAATATCCGCCTCCTGGGTTCAAGCGATTCTCCTGCCTCAGCCTCCCAAGTAGCTGAGACTACAGATGCATGCCACCACGTCTGGATAATTTTTTGTATTTTTAGTAGAGACGGGGTTTCACCTTGTTAGCCAGGATGGCCTCGATCTCCTGACCTCGTGATCCGCCCGCCTCGGCCTCCCAAAGTGCTGGGATTACAGGCGTGAGCCCCCGCGTCCGGCCAATTTTTGTATTTTTAGTAGAGACGGGGTTTCACCATATTGGTCAGGCTGGTCTCGAACTCCTGACCTCAAGTGATCCGCTCACCTCGCCTCCCAAAGCGCTGGGATTACAGGCGTGAGCCACCACGCCCGGCCCTGTTTGACATTTTAATATCTATGAAACCCATCATGATGGGTCCAACAGGATGGATCCTACACAGTTGGTCCTGATGTTTTTATTTTCTTAGTGGTACACATAATAATGGCAAGTCTTACAAGCAACGATATCTAAGATTTGAAGGAATTCAGTGGCAAAAAATTTGGAGGAACATAGAAATAATAGTGTGAGTTAACTGACTGCTCATTTTAAAAGATGAAACCAAGGCTTAGTAAATCCAAGAAAGGGAAATACAAGCTTAGTATTATTTTCGAGTTGTATAACTAAATATCCAAAGAAATAAAAACAAAAAGGGATAAATGTGATTGCCTCCGGAAAGAGGTAGTGCAGTTATCGTTTTTCGCTACAAACCAGTCTATACTATTTTATTCTTACCACGTGCACATGCTTTTTTATGAACCGAAAACATATGATAGGAGGGATAAGTAAAAATACACAAAATCTCAGAGACTTCGGACAGGGACATTCACGCAGATACAGACAGAAAGACATCCAGGGGCAAAGGGTGTCAAAGTGAGAATAAGGTACCTCCAGAAATTTCAGCTGGCAGTGCTAATGGCGACCATGAATTTCAGACCCAAATTTTGCAAATCTCTAAAGCATGACATCAACACTTGTTGCCTACTGATGACAGGCCATTTTGCTTATCAGAAAGTCAAAATAAGGCCAGCAAAGGTCTGCAAATGTATCCTTGTGCACTGGAATGAAAACTCGCACTCGCTTAGGTGAATTACAAACTCTCCTTCGCTCAAACACTCAGCATTTACACAGCACCCTGTCACCTGCCCTGGTCTACTATCTGCACAGTGGTCGACTAAGGGGTACTAAGCACAGTCTCTACCCGAAAGCCTGACTATACTACGAGGAGGCAAAAGCTGGGGACAGAGGGCCGCTGCCTGAGGGGTAGGAGAACCGCAATTCTAAGAACGGTAGCCGTGACATGCACAAACCCAGCTTTCCTTCCCTGCGCAGAACCACCCGAGGGACCGCACCATCCCCGCTGGGACAGGACACATTTCCCCAGAGAAAGCTAACCAGCTAGCAAACCTAACTTGCCCGGGGCTGGCTGGAGGCGCACGGATCAAGCTCCGCCTCTCTCTCCCGCCTAAAGCAGGCGTAGAATCTTCGCAAAACGTCACAGGGCCAAGACTGAGCGCGCCAAAGCGGGACCCACCCCCAGGAGACGCGGATGCTGCGGGAAGGTCCCTCCCCTTCCTCTCTCTGCCCGCGCGAAGCTCATTCATTCTAGAGGCGGGCTGCCAGTCCTCCCCGGCCGCCCATCCCGGCACTGCAAATCCGCTAGACGCTTTGTCTCGCGCCGGCCGGAAACTGGGGCGCGCACGCGAGCGCGCGCTCGCGCTCCAGCTCCCCGCACCTGGGGCCTGAGGGGCCGCCTCTCCGCGCCGGCTCCCCGGATTCGAGTGCGAAAGCGGGAGCTCCTTCTCGGCAGTCCCAGGCGCGCACTTACCACGTCCCAGCGGGTATCCAAAATCTAGAAATGGGCATCACGGCCCCCCAGCGCTACAGCTCGAGCCCCCTCCGCGACCCCTGCTCCGCTATGAACTCTAGATTCTTTCTCCTTTCCGGAGACCGAGACCCTGTTCCTTCAGAAGGACGCGTGCATCCTGGCCTCTGCTCCCTCCCCACGGCAGAACCCGGTGAGCTGGTCGCCGCGGTTGCGCCCCCGCCCCTCCTTGGCGCTAACGCGGCCGCCAGCTAGCACTCACTTGAGGAGCAGCTGGTCGTGTTCCGCCTTGCACTTGCCCAGCTCGATCTGCAGCTTGGCGCGCTCGCGGGCCGTGTCGTCGAGCGCGCGTCGCGCGTCGGCCAGCTCGGTCTCGTAGAGCGCCTTGAGGCCGGTGAGCTCACGGCCGCGCACCTCCTCGCGCTCCGTCACCTGCAGCTGCAGCGCGCTGTTCTCCGTCTCCAGGCTGCGCACCTTGTCGATGTACACCGCCAGCCGGTCATTGAGCTCGCGCAGCTCCTCCTTCTCCTGGAGCCGCGACAGGCGCGTGGGGCTCAGCGGCGTGGTGGGGCCGCCAGCGCGGCTGCCCATCCGCGGCGGCACGGGGGTCGCAGTCGCCATGGCGGGCGGCGGAGACAGCGGGGCGGCGAGGCCGCGAGCGGGACCGTGATAAGGAGGGGACGGCAGGGGGCGAAGCGGGGACCGAAGGCACAAACCGGCGACCTGCGCTCACGTCCAGACGCTGGCGTTTAGAGGAACGGAGAAGCACCTGGGATGGCGGGAGCTCGATTACAGCACAAAGGGCAAAGGCGCGCGGGGGGGAACTACGAATCAATCGATCGATCGCGAAATACCCTTTGTAAGAAAACACACACACCCACTCACACACGCACGCGGGAAAATGCAAGACGAGGGTGACTGGAGGCCCAGCAGGGTTCGCGCCGCCGCCGTCTCCTGCTCGCAGCACTTTGTTTCCTCTCAGGCTGCACGGAGCGGCGGGCGGGGGGAGGAGGGCCGGGAGGGGCGGGCTGGAGGCAAGCCGCGGGGGGCGGAGGTGGCGCGGGCCGCGGCGCCGCACTCCCCAACATGGCCGGCACGCCCCGGCGCCTCCACGTGACTACCATGGGCCAATGGGGAGCAGGCAGCGCGCTTCGGCGGTTCGGGGGCCGGGCCTGTAAATTTAAAATCTGGCCCTTGGGCAACCGTCAGCTCGGCCCTCCCGGCTGGGCGGTTCCCGGACCAGGCTCAGGGCTGTAAGGAAGGACGCCTGGGACTGCCCACCCGCGCGGCTCTGGGCCCAGGGCCCTCCCGCCGCCCCGCGGGGACCCCTTGGAGGGGCCGGGCCTGAGAAAGGCGGGAAGGAGCCCGGAGGTTTCCGGGACGGATCTGCGCCACCGCCCACACTCGGCGGTTCAGGGAAATTCAAATATAAACGTCCCTAAAAGCCACACGCGAAACTCAGAGTGTCCCCGGCCACCGCGGGCGTGGTAACCTTATCCCCCGCTCCGCTGGAGGGCTCGGGAAACGGCCTGGAGGCCGGGACGCTGTGGAATTACGTAATAGGCACTTGAGTCCGAGGTTCCAAATGCACGGCTTGCAGGTTCCAAGTACCAGCCTTTATTTTTCTCTCCGGTGGAAAACTGTATCAGGCAACTTCTTTCCATGAAAGTGAGATCTGTGCGTCTTGAAGCCGATAGATTATCACAGAAAAACCAGCAACCCTGATTTTAAATCATTTGCCAACAGTGTTAATGGGCGGTTCCTAATCCGTTTCTTAATTTAAGGGTTTGTAAAATCAAAAAACAGCTCAGAAATGATACGATTAACATATGACGGTGAGTAACTACGAGAGCAAGCTGTTTCATACTCCGTTAAAATCAGGTACATAAAAATCTGAACTTGTGAAAATTTAAGATGAAATAATTTTTTGCTTTTAAAAAGAGGCTCCCAAGATGTCACTGGCAGCTACTTCTATTAGAAAGCACATTCATCCCTTTGAAAAGTTCCTAATTTTTAGCTAACATTTATTGGGACTGAGTGCCAGCACCAGGCTTTTCATGGATTACCCATCCACACAATCTCCGTGTGATGTGGGAAACTGGATTGTTTCTATTTGAAAATTCATCCGGGCGGGCGCGGTGGCTCACGCCTATAATCCCAACACTTTGGGAGGCCGAGTGGGGGAGGATCACCTGAGCTCAGGAGTTCAAGACCAGCCTGACCAACATGGTGAAACCCCGTCTCTACAAAAATACAAAAATTAGCCGGGCATGATGGCGGGTGCCTGTAATCTCAGCTACTTGGAAGGCTGAGGTGGGAGAATCCCTTGAACCCGGAAAGGGGAAGTTGCAGTGAGCCGAGATGGCACCATTACACTCCAGCCTGGGTGACAGGGAGACCCCGTCTCAAAAAAGAAAGAAAGAAACCATCCATTTTATAGATTCACTGTCTGAAGGCTGCTCCGCAGGACTGCGTTTGACAGGTCCCAGGATTCTAATTGACTCGAGTCTGGCCCTTAGCTATACCCTAGATGACCACCTTACCACCTATTAGGAACGCTTCTGTAATTAATGGTTACTTACTTTTAAAATGGCAGAAATGGAGACCAGGATATTCTTTAACTGTTAATCAAGTCATGTACATAAGAATTAGTGAAGAGCACTGGGAGCTGCATATTCATCCCAGATGAATTTTTGGCACTCTGTGAATGATGACATTCTCCTTATTAATGGTTCTATTTCCTGTCCGGTTTCCTAAAATACTTCCTTGCTTTTTGGGGGGTGGGGGGGTGGGGGGGAGGATGGCAGGGAGACGGAGTCTTGCTCTGTCGCCCAGGCTGGAGTGCAATGGCACAATCTCAGCTCACTGCAACTTCCACCTCCCGGGTTCAAGCGATTCTCCTGCCTCAGCCTCCTGAGTAGCTGGGACCAACGCCACCATACCCGGCTAATTTTTTGTATTTTAGTAGAGACTGGGCTTCACCGTGTTGCCCAGGCTGGCCTCGAACTCCTGATCTCAGGCAATCCGCCCGCCTCGGCCTCCCAAAGTGCTAGAATTACAGGCGTGAGCCACCGCGCCTGGCCATGAAATACTTCCTTTCTTAACCTCATTGAGAAATAAAGAATCGAAAAGCTTAGACTTTAAGTATTCAAGTAATCTTAAAGGGAACTTTAAAATCTAAATTACTGATGAGAAAACCGGCCGGGTGTGGTGGCTCAGCCTGTAATCCCAGCACTTTGGGAGGCCGAGGTGGGCAGATCACTTGAGGTCGGGAGTTCCAGACCAGCCTGTCAACATAGTGAAACCCCGCCTCTACTGAAAATACAAAAATTAGCGGGGTGTGGTGGCGCGCGCCTGTAGTCCCAGCTACTCCGGAGGCTGAGGCAGGAGGCAGGAGAATCGCTTGAACCTCAGAGGCAGAGGTTGCAGTGAGCTGAGATTGCGACACTGCCTAGGCGTCAAAGCAAGACCCTATCTGCAAAAAAATAAAAAAAATTTTTTAAAGTTAAATAAAATAAATTACCGATGAGGAAATTAGACCAAAAGAAGGTGAGTGCTGGGTCCCAGGCTGTGGAACCAGGATTGGAATGTAAATCTGCTTGTTCTCACTTGGTTGTGAGACCCTTTCCACTACGACAGGTGATATAGTCAATCCATATGGTTTTATGGTTTTCATTCCTTGCTCCCCTTTACCTGTCTTTTAAAAATACTTGGTTGGGAGGCCGAGGCGGGCGGATCACGAGGTCAAGAGATGGAGACCATCCTGGCCAACATAGTGAAACCCCGTCTCTACTAAAACTACAAAAAAAAAAAAAAAAAAAAATAGCTGGGCGTGGTGGCACGTGCCTGTAGTCCCAGCTACTCGAGAGGCTGAGGCAGGCGAATGGCTTGAACCCGGGAAGCGGAGGTTGTCGTGAGCCGAGATCGCGCCACTGCACTCCAGCCTGGCGACAGAGCGAGACTCCGTCTCAAAAAAAAAAAAAAAAAATTGTCAGTTTTCTTTTAAAATTATTTCCTGTCCATTTTTTAAGTTTTAAGATTATATGTGATTCCAGCAATGATCTCTATTGCTCTCAACCCCATGAAGCTTTGTTTTTTGTTTTTGTTTTTGTTTTTTTTTTGAGACAGAGTTTCGTTCTTCTTGCCCAAGCTGGAGTGCAGTGGCGCGATGTCAGCTCACCACAACCTCCATCTCCTACCTCCTGGAGGGTTCAAGCGATTCTCCTACCTCAGCCTCCCGAGTAGCTGGGATTACAGGCCTGCGCCACCACACCGGGCTAATTTTGTATTTTTAGTAGAGACGAGGTTTCATCATGTTGGTCGGGCTGGTCTCCAACTCCTGACCTCGTGATCCACCAGCCTCAGCCTCCCAAAATGCTGGGATCGTAGGCGTGAGCCACCACGCCCGGCCTGAAGCTTTCTATTGATAGAGTTCCTCAATTTTCAGATTATTTGAAGAGGCTCACATTATACATATCCTATTATATAAAACAACTTTCTTGGAGTCAGACAATTGAGGATGTGCTACTGATAGCTGTATAACTTTAAGAAAATTATTCCGTGATTTCCTTCAAGGAAAATGGAAATGGAGCCGGGCACAGTGGCTCACGCCTGTAATCTCAGCACTTTGGGAGGCTGAGGCGGGCGGATGACGAGGTGAAGAGATCGAGACCATCCTGGCCAACACGGCGAAACCCCGTCTCTACTAAACATACAAAAAAGTTAACTGGGCATGGTGGTGCGCGCCTGTAGTCCCAGCTACTCAGGAGGCTGAGGCAGGAGAATCTCTTGAACCCAGGAGACAGAGGTTGCAGTGAGCCGAGATCGCGTCACTGCACTCCAGCCTGGCGACACAGCGAGACTCCGTCTCAAAAACAAAACAAAACAAAAAAACACATGCCGGGCTCGGTGGCTCATGCCTGTAATCCCAGCACTTTGGGAGGCTAAGGCAGGTGGATCACCTGAGGTCGGGAGTTCGAGACCAGCCTGACCAACATGGAGAAACCCCGTCTCTACTAAAAATACAAAATTAGCTGGGCGTGGTGGCGCATGCCTGTAATCCCAGCTACTTGGGAGGCTGAGGCAGGAGAATCGCTTGAACCTGGGAGGCAGAGGTTATGGTGAGCTGAGATGGCACCATTGCACTCTAGCCTGGGCAACAAGAGCAAAACTGCGTCTCAAAAAAAGAGAAGAAAGAAAAAGAAAATGGGGGCCGGACGCGGTGGCTCACGCCTGTAATCCCAGCACCTTGGGAGGCCGAGGTGGGCAGATCACCTGAGGTCGGGAGTTCGAGACCAGTCTGACCAATATGGAGAAACCCCATCTCTACTAAAAATATAAAATTAGCCGGGCGTGGTGGCACATGCCTGTAATCCCAGCTACTCAGGAGGCTGAGGCAGAAGAATCGCTTAAACCTGGGAGGTGGAGGTTGCAGTGAGCCAAGATCGTGCCATTGCACTCCAGGCTGGGCAACAAGAGCGAAACTCGTCTCATAAAAAAAAAAAAAAAAAAAGAAAGAAAGAAAGAAAAGAAAATGGGAATGGTTTTTACCTTGCACAGGATTTGTAAAGATTTAATAAAACAATATATGCAGTGTGTTAGACATACAACATGTGAAGGCTAAATAGTAACGCTTACTAATAGTAATCATGTGTTTCCATTGAAAATCAAGGAAAAAGAATGGAAAATCTTGAAGCCTTAGAATTAGGTAATTGTGGCCGGGCATAGTGGCTCACCCTTGTAATCCCAGCACTTTGGGAGGACAAGGTGGGTGGATCACTTGAGGCCAGGAGTTTGAGACCAACCTGGCCAACACAGTGAAACTCCATCTCTACTAAAAATACAAAAAATTAGCCAGGCATGGTGGTGGGCACCTGTAATCGCAGCTACTCGGGAGGCTGAGGCAGGAGAATCGTTTGATCCTGGGAGGCAGAGGTTGCAGTGGGCCGAGATAGTGCCATTGTATTCCAGCCTGGGCAACAAGAGTGAAACTCCGTAGCAAAAAAAAAAACAAAAACAAAACACACACACACAAGAATTAGACAATTGTGCACATTTTTGGTCAGCTACTTTACAAAATATACACTTTCCTTATTCTCTAGGTGTTTCCCATACCTAATGCTAAACCTGGATTATGGCCTTCTGTTCTCTCATACTAAGTTAGTCAAGCTCCCTTTATTCAAGTAATTCCTGAAATCTTATCCCTCCAAAGTTTTCCCCAATGAATTAGAAGTAACAAATTTGTAAATTTGGTGACAACACTTCTGCATTTACTAGGATAGTGGTGATTTCAAATATCCTGCCTTTGTTTTTACTATACACCTCCATTTACTTGTCAGGGCACATGTCCTGATTATTGGTTAGACCATATATATCCCCACCAAGTCTCAAAATGCCATGCCATCATTTTCCCTTGTCCATACTCCTCCTACAACTACCTCACTACATGTAAAGAACTTAATTGACATTTGTCCTACTTTATGTATGTCATTTGGATCTGGGACAGAAAAATATATGATACATAAGACATCTGGGGAGAAGGGGCCATACTAGGATGGGGTGAGAAGGAATGGGGAGGAGAGACTGAAAGCTTAGCAGTAACCCACTTTTGTCTTGGGAGAGGGGAGTGACAGCTGGCAGATAAATTGAGTATACATTGCAAACAAATAGGATAGCTAGGACTGCGACACAAAATGAAATAAAAAATTGCTAAATGGTATCTCTTCAATATATGTTTGCTGAATGGATGAATGAAGAAATAACTGAATACATGATCTTCTCCTGGAACAGATTGTTCGACTAAATATATTTTACAAACTTGATACTTTTTCCAGTTATTATAAAAGTGTAGACATCATGTTTTAGAAGGTTGAGTGACTATCCAGAATGTCTTCCAAGTCTGATTTTGATTTTCATGTTAAAAAAAAAAGCTTAGGAGTTTTAAAGTATATTTACCATCTTTAAGAGGATTCAGGTAGCACAGCCACCTGAAGTTTTTATACTGCTCAAACTTGTTTTCCTTTTTTTTTTCTTTATAGGTAGGGGTTTTAAATTCTGAGAGTAAGAACAAAAATTTTAAAATTAAAAAAAAAATAGGGGTGAATGACCGGGAGCAGTGGCTGACGCCTGTAATCCCATGACTTTGGGAGGCCAAGGCGGGCAGATCAACTGAGGTCAGGAGTTCGAGACCAGCCTGGCCAACATGGCGAATCCCCATCTCTACTAAAAATACAAAAATTAGCTGAGTGTGGTGGCAGGTGCCTGTAATCCCAGACACTTAGGAGGCTGAGGCAGGAGAATTGCTTGAACCCGGGAGGCAGAGGTGGTAGTAAGCCGAGATCACGCCATTGTACTCCAGCCTGGGCAATGAAGCAAGACTCCATCTCAAAGAAAAAAGAAATAGGGGTGAAGGAGAGTCAAGTGACAACGAACCACATGGGATTCCCACAAGAATGAGGAATTCATCCTAAAAGGGATAAGAAGAGGCTGAACAAACAAAAACAACATACCATATGTATATCTACTTCATGGAGCTTGAATAAGAGAAACTAGTCTCCTTCAGGCCTAAATGCCCAGAGATTCACATATTTTAGAAAAACTGGCCAGATGCGGTGGCTCACACCTGTAATCCCAGCACTTTGGGAGGCCAAGGTGGGCAGATCACCTGAGGTCAGGAGCTCGAGACCAGCCTGGCCAACATGGTGAAACCCCGTCTCTACTAAAAATATAAAAATTAGCCGGGCATGCTGGTGAGCACCTATAATCCCAGCTAATTGGGAGGCTGAGGCAGGAGCATCACTTGAACCCAGGAGGCAGAGGCTGCAGTGGGGCCGGGATCATGCCACTATACTCAACCTGGGCAACAAGAGCAAAACTCTGTCTCAAAAAAAAAAAAAAAAAAAGTCATATTTATTTGCTCACTCATTAATCCGTGCATTTATTCAACAAACATTTGTTGAACACTTACTACATGCCAAGCAAGGAATGTCTAAGGTACATGATCCCTGCTTGGAGAAGCTCAACGGTCCAGCTATGGGCAGGCAAACATGTATATAATAAATTATGCCTCAAAATGTCAAGTACTAAACAGGCATGAACAAAGCGGTGTAGGCATGTTAAGGATGGAGCAAGTTTCTGTGTGCAGGAGGAGGGAGCAGACAAGATGATCTCTAAGCTGGGCTTCTGAGAATATCAGCCTTCAGGGACTGGCAAAAGGACTCAAAACCTTGTGGAGGGCTGTAAATGGCAACCCACAGCCCCCAGGGAGAATTAGAGGGAAACCCCAGACAGAATCTCTAATTCCTTATGGTGTGCTTTTTATTTCAAACCACACCAAGCAGGAGGTGGTTTAAACTAGGAATTTGTAAAGTGGTAAGAGAAGTGTATTTTAGTCAATAATCTTAACTTAGGTCTGGCTTACACTAGTCAAGAAAAATGGAAAATTGAGAAAATTACCATATAATTTTTAAAAAGCATATAATTTACTTAAGCTGTCATAACAGTTATGCCTTGCCTAAAGGCCGGACGTGGTGGCTCTCACCTGTAATCCCAGCACTTTGGGAGGCCGAGGAGGGTGGATCACGAGGTCAGGAGATTGAGACCATCTTGGCCAACACGGTGAAACCCCATTTTTACTAAAATTACAAAAAACTAGCTGGGCGTGGTGGCGGGTGCCTGTAGTCCCAGCTACTCGGGAGGCTGAGGCAGGAGAATGGCGTGAACCTGGGAGGCAGAGCTTGCAGTGAGCCGAGATCGTGCCACTGCACTCCAGCCTGGGCAACAGAGTGAGACTCCGTCTCAAAAAAAAAAAAAAAAAAAACAACAGTTGTACCTTGCCTAAAGCAAAACAAAAACAGAAAAACCAATGAAGCAAGAAATGCTAGAGTACCTCCTATGTGCAAGACACTCCACTGGATGACTGAATTTTGTTTTGTTTTGTTTCAAATTTGAAAAGAAATGAGATCTTACCATGTTGCCCAGGGTGGTCTCTAACTCCTGGGCTCAGGCAATCCTCCACCTTGGCCTCCCAAAGTGCTGGGATAACAGACATGAGCCACCATGCCTGGCCTAGGAGTTTTTTGTTTTGTTTGTTTGTTTGTTTTTAAGTATAAGATATAGTTCCTTCCTTCAGTGAAGGCACTGTATTGTTTGTGTGTGTGTGTGTGTGTGTGTGTGGAAATAAAATGTTTACATGTGATTAAATAGGGTAAGCAATGATGCCATAAATTATGAAGGCCCAAAGAACTGACATTGATGACAAGTGTCAAATCACTGAAACTGCTAAATTTTTTTTTTTTTTTTAAGACAGAGTTTGGCTCTGTTGCCCAGGCTGGAGTGCAATGGTGCGATCTCCGCTCACTACAAGCTCCGCCTCCCGGGTTCACGCCATTCTCCTGCCTCAGCCTCCCGAGTAGCTGCGACTACAGGCGCCCGCCACCACACCTGGCTAATTTTTTGTGCTTTTTAGTAGAGACGGTGTTTCACCGTGTTAGCCAGGATGGTCTTGATCTCCTGACCTTGTGATCCGCCTGCCTCGGCCTCCCAAAGTGCTGGGATTACAGGCGTGAGCCACCGCGCCCGGCTGAAACTGCTAAAATTTAAAGAAGGAATCACTTCAGTTCAGGACAACATGATAGAACATCCTGCAAGAGGACCATTTGAACTGGACATGGAAGTAGGGGAAGATGCATTCAGTTAATGATTTGAATTACACAAATTAGCTTTATAAGTTTTTCAGGAATAAAACTATCACATAAAATGAGATGACTATCTTTTGTATGAAATATTGTATTTGTGTATGTTGAGAATTTATATTGGTAACTGGGCAAGAATTATCCAGGATTTGGTTGCCCACATACTTGGAATTTAATGCTACAAAATACATTCTGTTAAAGTCTCTGAAAAGAGATGACACTGAAAAGTAAATAGGGACCTCTCCAATTTACATACAGAGTACAGGAGCAACTGAAACTTTTATATACTATTGATGGGAGTGTAAAATAGTACAACCACTTCAGAAATTGTTTGACAGTTCTCCAGCCTGACCAACGTGGTGAAACCCCATCTCTACTAAAATTTAACAACAACAACAACAACAAATTAGCCAGGCATGGTGGCGGGTGCCTGTAATCTCAGCTACTGGGGTGGCTGAGGTAGGAGAATCTCTTTTTTTTTTTTTTTTTTTTTTTTTTTTTGAGACGGAGTCTTGCTCTGTCGCCTAGGCTGGAGTGCAGTGGCGCAATCTCTGCTCACTGCAAGCTCTGCTTCCGGGGTTGACGCCGTTCTCCTGCCTCAGCCTCCCAAGTAGCTGGGACGACAGGTGCCTGCCACCACACCCGGCTAATTTTTTTGTATTTTTAGTAGAGATGGGGTTTCACCGTGTTAGCCAGGATGGTCTCAATCTCCTGACCTCGTGATCCACCCACCTCGGCCTCCCAAAGTGCTCGGATTACAGGCGTGAGCCACCGCGCCCGGCAGGAATCTCTTGAACCCAGGAGGCAGAGGTTGCAGTGAGCCGAGATCATGGTACTGCACTCCAGCCTGGGCAATACAGCCAGACTCAAAAAAGAAAGAGAAAGAAAGAAAGACAGACAGAGAGAAGAGAGAGAAAGAGGGAGGGAAGAAGGAAGGAAGGAAGGAGAAAGAGAGAGAAAGAAAGTTGTTTAACAGTTCTTTATAAAGGTAAAAATGGGTCCTATAGTCCAGCAATTCCACTCCCAAGACAAATGAAAGCATATGTACACTAAAAGACTTGAACAAGAAGTTTATAGTAGCTTTACTCATAGTAGCTGAAGGGGTTCAGAACATGCCACCCCAGAATGTCGCTTTTGGCATATTGATTATTTTGAGCTGAAGCCAATTGGGAATTACAGCAGATGTAGAAAAGACTCTGCCAGGCACAGTGGCTCACGCCTGTAATCCCAGCACTTTGGGAGGCCAAGGGGGGGGGTGTGGATCACCTGAGGTCAGGAGTTCAAGACCAGCCTGGGCAACATGGTGAAACCCCATCTCTACTAAAAATACAAAAATTCGCTTGGCATGGTGGCAGGCACCTGTAATCCCAGCTACTCGGGAGGCTGAGGCAGGAGAACTGCTTGAACCTGGGAGATGGAGGTTGCAATGTGAGATCGCACCACTGCACTCCTGCCTGGGCAGTGGAGTGCGACTCCATCTCAAAGAAAAAGAAAAGAAAGGACATTTATATAAACTCTCAGTCCTAACCACTTCTTCGGTCTGTTTTTTCTTATGAAGCCTCTGGTACAATTAAAAATATTAAGTAAAATTTGTATACTTTTATCCTATTGAAATGTCTCAGGTTGGCCGGACGCGGTGGCTCACGCCTGTAATCCCAGTAATTTGGGAGGCTAAGGCGGGTGGATCACAAGGTCAGGAGTTCAAGACCAGCCTGGCCAACATGGTGAAACCCTGTCTCTACTAAAAATCCACAAATTAGCCGGGTGTGGTGATGGGCGCCTGTAATCCCAGCTACTGAGGAGGCTGAGGCAGAGAAGTGCTTGAACCCGGGAGGCAGAAGTTGCAGTGAGCCAAGATCACGCCACAAAGAAATGTATCAGGTCAGTTTAATTCTCAGGCCCAGCCATAGAAGCTAAGAGTAGGGGAAAGTTTGTACTCCCTACACAGCCAAAACTGAAAAAGATCCAAATGTTCATCAACAGGAGAATAGAAAAATGGATTGTGGTATAAGTACTATTTAGCAATTTTAAAAAAAGGAATGGCAGGTACACCAACCACATGGTTGAATCTCATAAACATTATATTGAGCCATAGAAGCCAGGTAATAAAAAGTACATCTTGTAAGATTTATTTATATAAGTTTAAGAACAAGTAAATCAAATTTATGGTGAAAGAAATCAGAACAGTGATTTCCTACAGGGTTGAGAATTGATTGGAAAGAGTCATTAAGAAACTTTCTGGGCCCAATGTGGTAGCTCACACCTGTAATCCCAGCATTTTGGGAGGCCGAGGTGGGAGGATGGCTTGAGCTCAGGAGTTCAAAATGAGCCTGGGCAATATGGTGAGACCCCCATCTCTATTAAAAAAAAAAAAAAAAGCCAGGAGTGGTGGCTCCCAGGACTTTGGGAGGCCAAGGTGGGTGGATCACCTGAGGTCAGGAGTTGGAGACCAGCCTGGCCAACATGGTGAAATGCCATCTCTACTAAAAATACAAAAATTAGCCGGGCTTGGTGGTGGGCACCTGTAGCCCCAGCTACTCGGGAGGCTGAGGCTGGAGAATCGCTTGAACCCAGGAGGTGGAGGTTGTAGTGAGCTGAGAACAGGCCATAGCACTCCAGCTTTGCCGACAAGAGCGAAACTCCGTCTAAAAAAAAAAAAAAAAAAAAAAAAAATCCTGGGCGCGGTGGCTCACGCCTATAATCTCAGCACTTTGGGAGGCTGAGGCAGGCTGATCACCTGAGGTCGGGAGTTTAAGACCAGCCTGACCAACATGGAGAAGCCCGGTCTCTGCAGAAGTACAAAATTAGCCAGGCATGGTGGAGCATGCCTGTAATCCCAGCTACTCGGGAGGCTGAGGCAGGAGAATAGCTTGAACCTGGGAGGCAGAGGTTGTAGTGGGCCAAGATCATGCCACTGCACTCCAGCCTGGGCAACAAGAGGGAAACTCCGTCTCAAAAATAAAAATAAAAATAAAGGCCGGGTGCGGTGGCTCATGCCTGTAATCACAGCACTTTGGGAGGCCGAGGCAGCCAACATGGTGAAACCCCGTCTCTACTAAAAATACAAAAATTATCTGGGCGTGGTGGCACGCGCCTGTAGTCCCAGCTACTCGAGAGGCTGAGGCAGGAGAATCGCTTGAACCCAGGAGGCAGAGGTTGCAGTGAGCCAAGATCACACCATTGCACTCCAGCCTGGGCAACAAGAGCAAGACTCCGTCTTGGAAAAAAATAAATAAATAAAAAATAAAAGAATAAAAATAAATAAAATGGTTGGTGCAGTAGCTCATGCCTATAATCCCAGCACTTTGGGAGGCCGAGGTGGGCATATCATTTGACATCAGGAGCTCCAGACCAGTCTGGCCAACATGGTAAAACCCCATCCCTACTAAAAAAAATTGGCTGGGTTCAGTGGTTCACGCCTGTAATCTCAGCACTTTGGGAGGCCAAAGTGGGCAGATCACTTGAAATCAGGAGTTCGAGACCAGCCTAACCAACATGGTGAAACTCCGTCTCTACTAAAAATACAAAAATTAGCCGGGTGTGCTTGCGCATGCCTGTAATCCCAGCTACTTGGAAGGCTGAGGCAGGAGAATCACTTGAGCCCAGGAGGCAGAGGTTTCAGTGAGCTGACATCGTGCCACTCCACTCCAGCCTGGGTAACAGAGTGAGTGAGACTCCGTCTCAAAAAAAAAAAAAATAAAAATAAATAAATAAAAATTAAAAAGAAAATAAGAAAATGAAGAAAAAAAGAAACCTTCTGGAACAACAGGAACGTTCTATACCTTGAGTGAAGTCATGGGTACATGGGTACATACAATTACCAAGACATTAAATTGTACACTTAAGATCTGTGGATTTTACTATATGTACAATACATTTTACCATGATAAAAAATGGAAATATTGGGAGGCTGAGGCGGGCAGATCATGAGGTCAGGACTTCACGACCAGCCTGACCAATATGCTGAAACCCCGTCTCTACTAAAAAAAAAATGAGCCGGGCATAGTGGAACGAGCCTGTAGTCCCAGGTACTCGGGAGGCTGAGGCAGGACAATCGCTTGAACCTGGGAGGCAGAGGTTGGAGGTTGCAGTGAGCCAAGATTGCGCCACTGCACTCCAGCCTGGGCGACAGAGCAAGACTCCGTCTCAAAAGAAAAAAAATCAAGAAAGAAAAATAAAATATATTCTGGTCTCCTATACATTAGATTTAAAAATTTATAAGGTATATTTTGAAGCTTTTTTTTGTAAGTAGATAAAGTCTCCACCATATTTGATGCTTAATTCTAAATTTTCTGTGGACTCTTCCCTTTTTACACTCATGCTATAAAACCTGTGTGATTTCTTCAGGAGTCAGAAATTGCATACAATCAGGTTTTTTTAAGCCTATGATTTGATCAGGTTTAAAAGATGTATTTGAGTAACAAAAGCAGGTGTTAAGAGTGAAACAAAACAAAACAAAGCTGAGCGCAGTGGCTCACGCCTGTAATCCCAGCACTTTGGGAGGCCGAGGCGGGCGGATCACGAGGTCAGGAGATCGAGACCATCCTGGCTAACACAATGAAACCCCGTCTCTACTAAAAATACAAAAAATTCTCCGGGCGTGGTGGCGGACGCCTGTAGTCCCAGCTGCTGGGGAGGCTGAGGCAGGAGAACGGCGTGAACCTGGGAGGCAGAGCTTGCAGTGAGCCGAGATTGCCCCACTGCACTCCAGTCTGGGCGACAGAGAGAGACACTGTCTCAAAAAAAAAAAAAAAAAAAAAAAAAAAGAGTGAAACAAGTGACTCAAAGAGGGTTGCTGTCATTTTTGTCTTGGAAAGATTGGAATATGAATAAAGTATTATGAAACAGATCTTTAAAGAGAAAAACATCGGCTGGGTGCATTGGTTTATGCCTGTAATCCCAGCACTTGTGGAGACTGAGGCGGGTGGATGACCTGAGGTCAGGAGTTCAAGATCAGGCTGGCCAATATGGTAAAACCCCGTCTCTTTTTTTTTTTTTTTTTTTTTTTGAGAGAGAGTCTTGCTCTGTTTCCCAGGCTGGAGTGTAGTGGTGCAATCTAGGCTTACTGCAACCTCTGTCTCCTGGGTTCAAGCAATTCTCCTACCTCAGCCTCCTGAGTAGCTGGGATTACAGGCGCCTGCCACCACACCCAGCTAATTTTTGCATTTTTAGTAGGGCTGAGTTTTCATCACGTTGGCCAGGCTGGTCTTGAACTCCTGACCTCAGGCTATCCACCCGCCTCAGCCTCCCAAAGTTTTGGGATTACAGGCGTGAGCCACCGCACCTGGCTGAAACCCTGTCTCTGCTAAAAATACAAAAAGTATCCGGGCTTGCTTGCGCGTGCCTGTAATCCCAGCTACTCAGGAGGCTGAGGCAGGAGAACCGCTTGAACCCAGAAGGTGGAGGTTGCAGTGAGCTGAGACAGCACCACTGCACTCCACCCTGGCCAACAGAGCAAGACTTGGTCTCAAAAAAAAAAAAAAGAAAGAAAGAAAGAAAGAAAAGTTCAAGGCTGGGCGCAGTGGCTCACGCCTGTAATCCCAGCACTTTGGGAGGCTGAGGCGGGTGGATCACGAGGTCAGGAGTTCAAGACCAGCCTGGCCAAGACGGTGAAACCCTGTCTCTACAAAAAATACAAAAATTAGCCTGGCGTGATTGCTGGCGTCTATAATCCCAGCTACTCCAGAGGCTGAGGCAGAGAATTGCTTGAACCCAGAAGCGGAGGTTGCGGTGAGCCGAGATCACGCCACTGCACTCCAGCCTGGGCAACAAGAGCGAAACTCCGTCTCAAAAAAAAAAAAGAAAAGAAAAAAAGAAAAGTTCAGTAGTCACTGTGACATTCATTTGGGAAAATCACCCTGTGGTAACCTGAATCAACTTCTTCATAAGGTTTTCAGGAACCTGTTGTCATTTATAAGAAATTGGTTTCATTTCTCCAATCGTAACTTCTTAGTTACTTTCATTTACTATATACTTCCTTTAACAGATTTAAGTTGGGTTGATCTCAAAGTGAAGGATGGAGAAATGAATTCTCTATTGTCATAAGGAAAAGGGAAGTCATGAAGTTAGAAGGGTGAGTCCATCGTTTTTATTTTTTAAATTACAGTGAATCAAAATATCTGCTTCACTGCAGATGGATTAAGATGCCATTCTTCCTATGAACTACTATAGCAGTCATTTGGAACCCAACATATTGCTTTTTAGTCTACCTTTTCAACTAAATCATGACTCTAAGGCAGCAGAATGTCTCCCTGGGGGACAATGAAATGATGCAATGATGTCATCTTTCTGTCTGCCAGCGCCCATATGTAAGTAGAACCAATATAGGACAATGGAAGATCTAAGTACCCTTATCTTTCACCAGTCTCTTATTCCTCATAATGAATCTACCATATCAAAGAGATACTTGTGCATACTTCCTTTGAGTAAATCACCCTAATGGACGTGAATCAAGAGATACATACTTTTGAAACTTTTCAAAACAATATTTATTTATTTATTTATTTATTTATTTATTTATTGAGACAGAGTCTCGGTCTGTCGCCCAGGCTGGAGTGCAGTGGCGCAATCTCCGCTCACTGCAAGCCCCGCCTCCCGGGCTCATGCCATTCTCCTGCCTCAGCCTCCAGAGTAGCTGGGACCACAGGCGCCTGCCACCACGCCCGGAGAATTTTTTTTGTATTTTTAGTGGAGACGGGGTTTCACCGTGTTAGCCGGGATGGTCTCGATCTCCTGACCTCATGATCCACCCGCCTTGGCCTCCCAAAGTGCTGGTTACAGGCATGAGCCACCGCACCCGGCCAACAATTCTTTATAATAATTACATGTGGAATGTATCCTATTTCCTATTATTTTTGTCTGAAAATAAGAAACTGATTTGTAATGTTTATTTTAGTGAACATATATCTATTCGTGTTAAGATAGTACCAAATATAGTAAATAACATGTAATGTAAGACTTATTCTCTCTAAATACCACCAGACTATTTCAGTTTCAAGTTTACTGTGTCATGTCAAATGCTTCATCAACTGGTCATGACAACTGATGAAGAAACTGGAGGAAATCAACCACTTAATTAAAATGCATACTTTAAATACTGTGTAGTGTGCTAAGCAATGAGAGAGAGAGAGCCATGGATGTAGCAGCTGCATCAAATAGAATCTAGTTAACATTAGACATGTTACTAGAGCTGAAAGATGTTCAGCTAATAAGATACCTGCATCACATATTAATAAGCACAAGATGAATGTGAAGGTTGGGGAATTTGGCAAAAGGAGGTTACAGAATTGCACATTAGGAACAGAATTATTGGGCCAGGCGTGGTGGCTTATGCCTGTAATCCCAGCACTTTGGGAGGCCAAGGCGGGTGGATCATGAGGTCAGGAGATCGAGACCATCCTGACTAACACGGTGAAACCTCATCTCTACTAAAAATACAAAAAATTAGCTGGGCATGGTGGTGGGCGCCTGTGGTCCCAGCTACTCGGGAGGCTGAGGCAGGAGAATGGCATGAACCTGGGAGGCGGAGCTTGCAGTGAGCCAAGATCGTGCCACTGCACTCCAGCCTGGGTGACAGAGCGAGACCCCGTCTCAAAAAAAAAATAATAATAATAAGGAACAGAATTATTGCTCCGTGATAGATCACGGGCAATACACCATTTCACTTCCCTTTGTCTTTTAAAGTCCAAAAATGATCTGAATGTAGGAAAGTTAAGCCATTGAAAATCTGGTTGGGAGGCCAAGGCGGGTGAATCAAGAGGTCAGGAGTTCAAGACCAGCCTGGCCAAGATGGTGAAACACTGTCTGTACTAAAAGTACAAAACTTAGTGGGGCATGGTGGCGGGCACCTGTAATCCCAGCTACTCGGGAGGCTGAGGCAGAGAATTGCTTGAACCTGGGAGGCAGAGGTTGCAGTGAACCAAGATTGCGCCACTGTACTCCAGCCTCGGGGACAGAACGAAACTCCGTCTCAGAAAAAAAAGAAAGAAAGAAAATCGGGCCGGGCGCAGTGGCTCACGCCTGTAATCCCAGCACTTTGAGAGGCCAAGGGGGGGTGGATCACTTGAGGTCAGGAGTTTGAGACCAGCCTGACCAAGGTGGTGAAACCCCATCTCTAATAAAAATACAAAAATTAGCTGGTGGTGGTGGCACACGCCTGTAATCCTAGCTACTCAGGAGGCTGAGGCAGGAGAATTGCTGGAACCCGGGAGGCGGAGGTTGCAGTGAGTTGAGATCGCGCCACTGCACTCCAGCCTGGGGGACAGAGTGAGACTCCGTCTCAGAAAAAAAAAAGAAAATCTGGCTACAGATCTCATTCTGGCCTTTGGACTGGGAGCAATAAAAAGTGTGGAGAATGCTTTGGAGATAGAGTGGGCTAATTTTACCAATCACTAGACAGATAAAACTGGGAGCATTTGAGGGAATAATGAGGTTTTGAGGATCAGGTAAATAAATGTAAGACAGTACAGGACAGCAGGACAGTCAGGCATACCCACGTGAGAATCCTGCTCAGTCACTCCCTTTGTGACCCCTAGCAAGTTACTTAACATCTGCAAACCTTCATTTTTTCATCTGTAAAAAGCAGAGAAAGATCTACCTTATAGGGATGTTGAAAGAATTGAATATGTTAAATGTATGCCAAGGGTATCTGACACAAGGGTAGTACTCAGTAAATATTTATTCCTTTGTCTTCCCCTACAAAAATAGATATTAGGATCCTTGCTTCTCAATTTTGAAAGCAACTATTTAATTTAGCCCATAAGGCATTATACTAAAAATCAGTGCTAGTTACACATTGCATTTTCAAAATGTTAACTGTTTTACCTTGCCATACTCACTAATGTTTATATTGGCATGGAGTCAATATTTACACAAATATTGAATAGCGTATGTAGTGATTGACTTACTATAACTTGATTCAATTTAACAAACTTTCAGTTACTGTTACTATAGTCAGCTCCAGAGAAATTATGAAATGATCAAGACACAGAAACTAACAGGGTGTGCAAGGAAAGACCTGCGTTGTTAGTAACCCAACCTCTCTCCAAACACAAGATGCTGTGGCTTGAGTTTGGATTTCATAGCCAGTTGTATCGTTTTAGTGATTATTTCTTACATACCCTGGAACAGTTTGATTAATTTGAATTGACTTTTGTAATAGAAAGGATAAATCACTTTCAGTTGATGTTGTGAAACTATAAACAGGCGGCCAGGCATGGTGGCTCATGCCTGTAATCCCAGCACTTTGGGAGGCTGAGGCGGGTGGATCACGAGGTCAGGAGATCGAGACCATCCTGGCTAACACGGTGAAACCCCGTCTCTACTAAAAATACAAAAAAATTAGCCAGGCGTGGTGGTGGGCGCCTGTAGTCCCAGCTGATCAGGAGGCTGAGGCAGGAGAATGGTGTGAACCCGGGAGGCGGAGCTTGCAGTGAGCTAAGATCACGCCACTGCACTCTATCCTGGGTGACAGAGTGAGACTCTGTCTCAAAAAAAAAAAAAAAAGAAACTATAAACAGGCACCTAGTTATTGCAAAAAAATGGAAGAAGATAAGATCTATTTTTCTTAGATACACATAATATTTTAATCTACATTTTCCCTTTGTATGTCCCTACACCACATCCACATTCTGAAGACAAAAAAAAAAATGCGTGCTTTCTACGTGACCACAAGACCAACCACTACTGCCTGCTAGACAGAAAAAGGGTGGCATTAAGTGTGCAGCCATCTGCTTGTCACTGGCTCCTGGTGAGGCAAGAAAAGCTAATTAGCACCCTCACCCCACCCCCACTCTCGCCTCCATGCCCCACCATCTGGCTGGTCACCCCTTTGCCGCCAGTGCCAGTTTCTTTCTGCACCCTCTGGCTTGAGGAGGCCAGAGACATTTGCCTTCTTAGGAAGCGGCAAGAACAGGCTTCAGCAGCACCTTAAGTCATGAATTTCTAAAACTCAAACGAGATTACACAAATTACTTCCTCTCTCCATCAGCAATGCTCTCTCCTTCACTGATCCCTGTTATCTTACCTAAAACATCTTTTCCTCTCTATCCAGGAAAATAGCTCTGGAATCCAGTCCATTTTGTAATTGACAGTTGTCTAATGATCAACAGGTATCTAATTCCTATACTGAGTCTCTCTCATCAATTTTATTTAAGGATTTGGGGGCAGAAATTAGATGCCAAATTATTCAGTAAATGTAGGGTATTTCACCATAAAGCCACAGGAAATGGTGAAAGGGGACATTTAATTGAAACAGTAGTGACAGCTCAAATCCCTCACTCATTAAAGAGATGTAGAATAAATAGGACATCAGCAAAGCAGACTAAGATTTTGAGATTTCACAGAATAAGCAGCGAACTTTCTAATGAGTAAACAAATATAGACTAGCTATCACCAGACAAGAAATATGATTCTCCTATTTGCCTGAGAAATAATGCTATCTGGACAAACTGATGTTTGTTTCACTAAAAAAAAAAAAAAAAAAAAAAAAAATCTCTTGCTAACCTAGGATTCAGTTTTTTTAAAAAAACACATTGTTTTTTCCCTATACTTCTTTCTTGTTCTGACTTCTTTCTTCTCTTTTTCTAACTTGTAGTAATACAAGCCACTCACTTTTAAAAACTTAACAGTGCCAGCTTAAAAAAGGAAAGGCAATAGGAAAATAGAAAATAAACTTTGAAAATTTCAAAACTGTAAATATTGGCTTAGAATATGAATCCGATTAGAATCTTAGAGATAAGCTGTAGCTAAGCTTACTATGAAAAGACTTGCTCCACAGTTGTATTCAAAAGCAACAATGTAAACTTGGAAAAGAAGACAAACTATAAAAAACTATGGGGTTTTGATGCCAGAATTTTTACCTCGCTATAATAACTTGGTAGAATAAATTGTCCAAGTGTATCTTTTTAATAACAGAAGGAAAGGGAAGCAAACCAACTTTAGTTTAGAATAGTTTTCTAAGTTAGATGAAATAATGCTGTGACCCAGATCTGAACAGAACACCAGATGCTTCCTACCTACAGGAGACATTTGCAAATTTTTTGGTTGCTCACCCTCTGAACTGTCTTCCTACGTTTGAGGAATTCCTCACCATTTGAGTCTTAGTAAGAAACAGGGTCCTGCTCCCACTCTAGATGCTAAAAAGCCATCCACCCATGTCAGCCAACTATTTCTTTTGCAGGCCTAGGTGTCGCCAATCAGGTGTACCAGCTCCAGATTTTTTTTTTTATACAGGATCTCGCTCTGTCGCCCAGGCAGGAAAGTGCAGTGGCATGATGTTGGCTCACTGCAACCTCCGCACCACCACATCCAGCTATTTTTTCGTAGAGACAAAAAATGTTGCCCAGGCTGGCCTCAAACTCCTGAGTTCAAGCAATCCAGCTGCCTCGGCCTCCCAGAGTGCTAGGATTACAGGTGTGAGCCACCATGCCTAGCTCCAGAATTTTGACTTTGGAGCCAGTCAGTCAAAGCAATGGAAGAAAGGCGCATCCATTCTGGTAGCCACACCCAGTTTCAAAAGGCAGTCAGGGCTGGATGCTGTGGCTCACGCCTGTAATCCTAAAACTTTGGGAGGCCAAGGTGAGCAAGTCACTTGAGGTCAGGAGTTCGAGACCAGCCCAGCCAATATGGTGAAACCATGTCTCTACTAAAAGTACAAAAATTAGCTAGACTTGGTGGTGCACGCCTGTAATCCCAGCTACTTGGGAGGCTAAATCACGAGAATTGCTTGAACCTGTGAGGCCCAAGTTGCAGTGAGTGGAGATCACACCACTGCACTCCAGCCTGGGTGACAGAGCAAGACTCCATTTCTGGAAAAAAAAAAAAAAAAAAAGGCAGCGGGGACGACAGCACGATCCTACGTGCTGGTGAGTGTGGCAGCTGTAGACTCTCCTCCTTCTTGGCAGCAGCAATGACCTGCTCAGACACATCCTGGGACCCCGGTATGTAGCCTCCTTTGACCTTGGACTTCTTGCCCTCCCGTGATTCTGTGAGCTACCCAAAATGTTTTCAGTACTGTCCTTTTCTGCTTATGCCAGAATCAACTTCTGTTACTGATTCTAAAGAACCCTAAGGGACACAGAGCCTCTGGAATAGTGACTTAGAATAAAAAAAGAGAGGCTGGGTGCGGTGGCTCACGCCTGTAATCCCAGCACTTTGGGAGGCCGAGACAGGCGGATCACGAGGTCAGCAGATCCAGACCATCCTGGCTAACACGGTGAAACCCCGTCTCCACTAAAAATACAAAAAATTAGCCGGGTGTGGTGGCGGATGCCTGTAGTCCCAGCTACTCGGGAGGCTGAGGCAGGAGAATGGCGTGAACCCGGGAGGCTGAGCTTGTAGTGAGCCGAGATGGTGCCACTGCACTCCAGCCTGGGCGACAGAGCAAGACTCCGTCTCAAAAAAAAAAAAAAAAGAATTAAAAAGAGAGAGGAACCAGGGCACGAAATATAGTTTCTTATAAGCTGTATACTACTCACAAAAGACATCTAATTGAAGATAAGATCATTAATTTATGTGTATATTTTTCCTTAGTGTAAGCCAGGGAGGTGTGTCCAGGAGGACACACGGGGGAGTGGGGAGGCTGCAGAGGACAGGTGGGAGGGGCGGCAGGAGAGAGAAGGGGCCCCGGGGGGAGAGGTGGCTTTCACTGGCAGTTGGGAAATAGTGAAGGGAAACCTCATCCCTTTATCGAGGTCTAGGCCCCAAAACTCTTTTGCAAAATGCAGGGCTTGTATCTGAAGGCCTCTGGCCAATGTGCCTGCTGCCATTTCCTCTGTCCCTGAGGTCTCCAGAAGAGAAAGGAGCTCCAGCCTTGCATTCTTTGGGTGTGGAGAGGAGCAGAGCAGAATGGAGCCTGCAGGTCATGCCAGGAGTCACCGCAAGGCTGTGGCTGTCAGCTCAGGTACCAAGCTCAGGCACGCGGTTGTAAGAACACCTGGGGTGGAAAGCCATGTGCAGAGGATGATGATATTAAACAACCTCTTTTACAAACAAAACTCTTTTAGTCTAAGCCTAATTATAGTGCTCCCTTTGGCTGTACATACACTAAAATTGGAATGATACAGAGATTAGCATGGTCCCTGTGCAAGTATAATGCAAATCTGTGAAGCTTCCATTAAAAAAAAAAAACTGGAGGCCGGGCGCAGTGGCTCATGCTTGTAATCCCAGCACTTTGAGAGGCCGAAGTGGGCGGATCATGAGGTCAAGAGATCGAGACCATCCTGGCCAACATTGTGAAGCCCCATCTCTACTAAAAATACAAAAATTAGCTGGGCGTGATGGCTCACACCTGTAGTCCCAGCTACTCAGGAGGCCGAGGCAGGAGAATCGTTTGAACCCAGGAGGCGGAGGATGCAGTGAGCCGAGATTGTGCCACTGCATTCCAGCCTGGCTACAGAGCGAGACTCCGTCTCGGAAAAAAAAAAAAAAGGGGGAAGAAAATACAGCCTGGACATATATCAAGGCCTTCTCTCTAGAAAAATAAAAATAAATATAAAAATTAGCCAGGCGTGATGACTTTCACCTGTACTTCCAGCTGAGGCTGAGGTAAGTTGGAGGATGGCTTGACCCTGGGAGGTCGAGGCTGCAGTGAGCCTTGAAGCCATGATTGCACCATTGCACTCCAGCCTGAGTGACACAGCGAGATCCCATCTCAAAAAAAAAAAAAAAAAAAAAAAAGGCCTAGTTATAATAGAGCAATATTCTTAAGTGTTTTGTTTGGTGTGATGAAAAAGTTTGGAAATAGTGCTAATGGTTGCACAACATCATAAATGTAAGTAGTGGCACTGAATTGTACACTTAAAAACGGTGAAGATGGCAAGTTTTGTTGCATATATTTTACCATAATTTTTATTTTTCACAATTTTTAAAAATTAATAATTTTATATACCAAAACCCATTGAACTATACACTTTAAGTAGATAAATTTTATAATATGTGAGTTATGTCTCAACAAAGCTGTTTTCGCTTTTATTTTTTTGAGACAGAGTCTGGCTCTGTTGCCCAGGCTGGAGTGCAGTGGAGTGATCTTGGATCACTGCAACCTCTGCCTCCCAGGTTCAAGAGATTCTCCCGCCTCAGCCTCCCAAGTAGCTGCTATAACAGGCATGCACCACGCCCAGCTAATTTTTGTGTTTTATTTATTTATTTATTTTGAGTTGGAGTTTTGCTCTTGTTGCCCAGGCTGGAGTGCAATGGTGCAATCTCAGCTCACTGCAACTTCCGCCTCCTGGGTTCAAGCGATTCTCCTGCCTCAGCCTCCCAAGTAGCTGGGATTACAGATGTGCCACTGTGCCCAGCTAATTTTGTATTTTTAGTAGAGATGGGGTTTCTCCACGTAAGTCAGGCTGGTCTCCAACTCCCGACCTCAGGTGATCTGCCCACCTCAGCCTCCCACAGCACCCAGCCTTAATTAATTTTTTTTTTTTTTTTTTTTGAGACGGAGTCTCTTTCTGTCGCCCAGGCTGGAGTGCAGTGGCACGATCTCGGCTCACTGCAAGCTCCGCCTCCCGGGTTCACGCCATTCTCCTGCCTCAGCCTCCCGAGTAGCTGGGACTACAGGTGCCCGCCACCACACCTGGCTAATTTTTTTGTATTTTTAGTAGAGATGGGGTTTCGCCATGTTCTCCAGGATGGTCTCGATCTCCTGATCTTGCGATCTGCCCTGCCTCAGCCTCCCAAAGTGCTGGGATTACAGGTGTGAGCCACCATGTCCAGCCTAATTTTTTTTTTAAGGCTGAATAATAGAATGTTAGGAAAGAGCATGTCAGTTAATGTGATGATCACTGTATATAGAAAATAAGCAAAACTTGCCTTTAGCTGTAATACATGATTATAACATTAAAGTCTATGTGTGGTTGGCAATGCACTGCCCCCAGTGCTCTCTGAGAATCTCCTGATGTGTCCTCAGGAGTGGATGCTTCTCAGCCTTGTTTCTGCTGTGTGGTTCTATCCTATCATATTATCATCGCTCACTGGCCCAGAGGTGACCCCGAGCAAAGAAGGAGCAATTAGCTTCTCTTTTCCAGGAAGTAGACATTTTGATGAAGAAGCGCTTGAGGCAGCACTCTAAGGAGAAGGTCTCTGCATGAGTGCATGCTCACAGAGTTCTCCAGATGTGCCCTGGCTTCTGTCCCCTTGAGGCCTGGTCTCCCACTCTTCCTCGGATTCAGGGTTGCTCTGGTATTCTAGTAGTGCCTCTACCCCCTTGTGTTTTTGTTTTTTGCTTAAGCTGTTTTAGTTTTTAGTCCCTTGTGACCAGAGAATATTTAATTTAATATAATACAGCACAAATATTTAATATGATATTATTTCAGTGCTAACACAGAATTTCTGGCTTATGGTAAAATAAAGATCATACGGTCATCTGCCACTTCCCACTGTCCTTTCTGAAGTACAAGAACTCCAAACAGCTACAGCTGATGTGTTTTTTTTGTTTGTTTGTTTTTTAATTATTACACTTTAAGTTTTAGGGTACATGTGCACAACGTGCACGTTAGTTACATATGTATACATGTGCCATGCTGGTGCGCTGCACCCATTAACTCGTCATTTAGCATTAGGTGTATCTCCTAATGCTATCCCTCCCCCCTCCCCCCACCCCACAACAGTCCCCAGAGTGTGATGTTCCCCTTCCTGTGTCCATGTGTTCTCACTGTTCAATTCCCACCTATGAGTGAGAACATGCGGTGTTTGGTTTTTTGTCCTTGCGATAGTTTACTGAGAATGATGATTTCCAATTTCATTCATGTCCCTACAAAGGACATGAACTCATCATTTTTTATGGCTGCATAGTATTCCATGGTGTATATGTGCCACATTTTCTTAAAGCTGATGTGTTTTAAATTATTTGAAGGTAAGTTAACACAATGTTTTAGAAAATCACTTAAGGACTCTGGGGGAAATATGAGGTCTGTTAACTTAAATGTTTTTTTTTTTTGTCCTGGGTAGTTTTTGTGGGGTTTTTTTGTTTTTTGTTTTTTTGTTTTTAAGTAAAAATACGTTATACTTCCTTTCAGAATTCCATCATCACTTGGGAGATTTCTGCGAATCATCACTAAAGCCATTCACTTTCTCATAACTAAACAAGAATCTTCTTCTGGAGTTAAGTATCAGATATGAATGTTCTCACTGACCTCAGGAAGCAAAAGTCCTAAATCATTATATGGCAGTGAAGGTACAAAAAAAAAAAAAAATCAGCAGGAAATAAAGCGGAACTGCTGCCAACACATACAAGCTGCAGTAGCACCCACAAAATGTGTAGTATCTATTCTAACACATTCATTGGACTGATTACATTGGCTCATAGACTTGGTTAACTCTGGAAGAACATAATAGGTGTTTATTGTTTACTATGGGGATGGGAAACATAATTAAGTCTATAGTCTCCAATTCTTCTCAAGTTCAAATGAAACCAACACTTTTGGTTTTGTCTTAACATTCAGGATGTGTTTCTAATTAAACTGAAATCACAGTAAGCACCTCCACTTTCTTTCTTGGGATCTCTATCATGAAAATTAATTGTGTGATTTTCCCCTCCCACCCAACCCCGCTTCTTCTGGAAAAAGCTATATTTACACTTGCTATACCTGAAAATCCCCATTTGGGGCAGAGTAGGCATTATGGCATTTGTCTGATCTCTGGTGTGCCCAAAAAGAAATCGCCTGAAACTGGGGGCATATTAAGAATGCAAATGGTGATTTGGGTTAGAGTTCCAACCTGTAGCTAACTAGAACATCCTTTCATTGACTTCTACTCTCTCAATTAGTGTTTTGTTTTTTTTTTTGGTTTTTTTTTTTTGAGACGGAGTCTTGCTCTGCCGGCAGGCTGGAGTGATGCAGCACGATCTTGGCTCACTGCAACCTCCGACTTCCTGGTTCAAGTGATTCTCCTGCCTCAGCCTCCCAAGTAGCTGGGATTACAGGCACGTGCCACCACGCCCAGATAATTTTTGTATTTTTAGCAGAGACAGGGTTTCACTATGTTGGCCAGGATTGTCTTGAACTCCTGACCTCGTGATCCGCCTGCCTTGAGCCTCTCAAAGTGCTGGGATTATAGGTGTGAGCCACTGCGCCCGGCCTTTTTTTTTTTTTTTTTTTTTTTTGAGATGGAGTCTCGCTCTGTTGCCCAGGCTGGAGTGCAGTGGCTTGATCTCGGCTCACTGCAACCTCCAACTCCCGAGTTCAAGCAATTATCTTGCCTCAACCTCTCCAGTAGCTGGGATTACATGTGCCTGCCACAGGGTTTCACCATGTTGGACCAGGTTGGTCTCGAACTCCTGGCCTCAGATTATCTGCCCGCCTCGGTCTCCCAAAGTGCTGGGATTACAAGCATGAGTCACTGGGCCTGGCCTAGTGTTCTTTATCACTCAAATAATTGTTAGACGATCTTAAGAGAACTCCTAGTCCTACGTTTTTGTGAGGATGTCTTATAAGACCACACATTTCCTGGTCTAAATGCAAATTTCAAACATCTCTTAGAGGTTTTTTCGTTAAGTTCAGTGAGTGAGTCTTATTGTTACCTACAGGTAGTTGGATAGGCAGGAGCCAGACAGGAGAGGGCTCTCCCCCACCCACTAAGCCTATCAGCAATTACGGCATTGCCTCTCCGAGTGCGATAATTCGGCAGCGCCAGGGAAAAGGCATTTCCTGAGGGTCCACACCTGTTAATATGAAATGTTAATTGAATGCAAGCCTCAGGGAGAAGAAACTTCCTGGGCATGCATATTAAGAGGCAAAAATGGCGAATTATGATCTTCCAGGTAAACTCCACCGGCAAAAGGAAGAAAGCCTCAGATAGGCATGCTTATGACTCCCTAAACACACTGCGCTGTGCTCAATTCCAAAGGGTAAGGAGGGCACTGTGCAGGCGGGCAGCCCACCCTAAGGGAAGAATCATGGGAAAGAGGTGAGCTTATACAAGTCCTAGTATCACCGGGCGCGGTGGTTCATGCCTGTAATCACACCGCTGCACTCCAGCCTGGTGACAGAGGGAGACTCCGTCTCAAAAAAAAAGTCCTAGTATCACAGTTAAATGGGGCACTTGACTCTCCCTTTTTGTTCTTTGGGTCTCTTCCAAGTGTGCTTTCCTTCTTTCCTATTCTAAAGCCGTTTTAAACAAACTTCTATTCCTGCTCCGAAACTTGTCTCGCTCCTTATGCCCTTCAGTAGAATTCTTTCTTCTGAGAAGGCAAGAACCAAAGTTGCTGCGTACCTATACAGATGTAAGGCTGGATAGGTGGCTGGTAACTCAGGGTGGCTCTGATCTCTTCCGCTGGTAACATTATTGTCAGCGGAAACTGACAATTCCCGCCACACTGAGTGAGTCCTCCAGCACCAGAACCCTGACCAATTCACCTTTGCATCCCTAGTGCCTAGCATCATTCCTGCTATTAGGAAGTTCAATAAATATTTATCAAATAAGCATATCATTTATCTTCCCTACTAGACTTTTCTTCTCAGAGAGATTAAGAGCCACGTGGACTTAAACTTTAGATTGGACACAGGTCTGACAAATTAGATGCACAGGGAAAGGACTTAAAACATTTATTTAGGGCCGGGCGCGGTGGCTCACGCCTTTAATCCCAGCACTTTGGGAGGCCGAGGCAGGTGGATCACGAGGTCAGGAGATCGAGACTATCCTGGCCAACACGGTGAAACCCCGTCTCCACTAAAAAAAAAAATACAAAAAATTAGCCGGGCATGGTGGCGGGCGCCTGTAGTCCCAGCTACTTGGGAGGCTGAGGCAGGAGAATGGCGTGAACCCGGGAGGCGGAGCTTGCAGTGAGCCGAGATCGCCCCACTGCACTCCAGCCTGGGCGACAAGGCAAGACTCCATCTCAAAACAAAAAAAAATTTTTTTTATTTAACATATATTTGTCAAATTAAATAAAAAGTAGTATGTTAAGAAAAAACAAAGATATTTCAAATACAGAGTCTACAGTGAAGTTGTGGAGACTGAACAAGGAATATATTTTTTAAAACAACCAGGGTGGGCCTGGTGGCTTATGCCTGTAATTCCGACACTTTGGGTGGCTGAGGTGGGTGGATTGCTTGAGCTCAAGAATTTTGGCAATATAGAAAGACCGCGTATCTATAAAAAATCAAAATAAATTTTAAAAAAGAAAAAAGCCAGGCGCGGTGGCTCAGGCCTGTAATCCCAACACTTTGGGGGGCCAAAGCGGGCAGATCACGAGGTCAGGAGTTCGAGACCAGCCTGGCCAACATGGTGAAACCCCGTCTCTACTAAAGATACAAAAAATTAGCGGAGCGTGGTGGTGCGCACCTGTAATCCCAGGTACTCGGGAGACTGAGGCAGAATTGCTTGTACCCGATAGGCAGAGGTTGCAGTGAGCCAAGACTACACCATTGCACTCCAGCCTGGGCCACAGGGCGAGACTCCGTCTCAAAAAGGAAGAAAGAAAGAACGAATGTAAAGAAAGACTGAAAGAGAAAGAAAGAAAGGAGAGAGGGAGGGAAGAAAGAAAAGAAAGGAAGGAAGGAAGGATGGAAGGAAGGAAGGAAAGAAAGAAAGAAAAAAGAAAGAAAGGAAGAAAGAAAGAAGAAAGAAAGAAAGAAAGAAAGAAAGAAAGAAAGAAAGAAAGAAAGAAAGAAAGAAAAAGGAAGGAAGGAGAGAGGGAGGGAAGAAAGGAAGGAAGGAAGGAAAAAGAAAGAGAAAGAAAGAAGGGAGGGAGGGAGGGAAGAAAGAAAGGGAAGGAAGAAAGGAAGGAGAGAAAGAAAGAAAGAGAAAGAAAAAGAGAGAGAAAGAAAGAAATAAATAAAAAAAGAAAGAGGGAGGGAGAGGGGGAGGGAAGAAAGAAAAGAAAGGAAGGAAGGAGAGAAAGAAAGAAAGAGAAAGAAAAAGAAAGAAAGAAAGAAAGAAAGAAAGAAAGAAAGAAAGAAAGAAAGAAAGAAAGAAGAGAGAGAAAGAAAGAAAGAAAAGAAAAAGAACCACAACCCACTAAAAATCCCTGGGTTTTGTGCTTGGAGCCAAAGAAGTAGCCTTCAATGCAAGCGCCACTGAAGGGAAATCCTGGTGGGCTGGGGATCTGGGGGCGGGCCTCAAGTGAGAAGTAGAACCTACTCTGACTGTGAAGCCTGAGCAAGAGTCAGACACAACGACAAACCAACCACTTCCACCTACACAGGGTTCCTAAATAGTCACCACCCCCACTCTTTTCAGTTGGATGATGAGTCAACTAAAACTCTCATCAAAGCTGCCAGGCTTTTTGCCCCCTGCTGTTTTTAGACCCAAGACGAAATCCTCAAGGTACTGAAGGAGATCAGAATCTGCCACCCCCAAATATGCCACTTCCGCATAAAGATGATTTTGAGCTGATGGCAATTAGGAAGCAGCACATGAAGGAAGAACTCCGTGTCCTCCCACTTTCTGCCTAAAAGCAGGGCATAAAATCCTCCTTCTAAAGGTGTTTTCCTTTTCTATATCAGAGAGAGGAAAATGACTCTTATTTGCATAACAAGGCTTACTAAACGACACTTATCTACTATACATTTCCTGGTCACCTTCCTGCCATTTACCACTTTTAGAAGGCCAAACTCTTTTTCCTCTGTCTGGTCACTTCTCCACCAGTTATTGCTTTTCATTAAAATGGTATATAAGCCCTTGGGTCTAACTACCTCTTTGGGTTTCCACTTTATTTCTGTAAAGTCCCCGTGCACATACAAATGTTAACATTAATAAATGCTATGATTTGAATATTTGTCCCCTCCAAAACTCATGTTGAAATTTAATTTTCAGGCCAGGTGTGGTGGCTCACACCTGTAATCCCAGCACTTTGGGAGGCTGAGGCAGGTGGATCACCTGAGGTCAGGGGTTCAATACCAGCCTGGCCAACATGGTGAAACCCCATCTCTAGTAAAAATACAAAAATTAGCCAGGCATGGTGGTGCACACCTATAATCCCAGCTACTCTGGAGGCTGAGGCAGGAGAATAGCTTGAACCGAGGAGGCAGAGATTGCATGAGCCAAGACCACGCCACTGCACTCCAGCCTGGACGACAGAGGGAGACTCCATCTCAAAAAAATTTAAAAAAGAAAAGAAATTTAATTTTCAACGTGGTAATACTGACAGGTGGGACCTTTAAGAGGTGAATAATGAATTAGTGGGATAGTGTGGTAATGGGACTGGTAGCTTTATAAGAAGAGGAGGATCTGAGCTAGCATGCCCAGCCCCATCACCATGCAATGCCCTACACTGCCTTGTCACTCTGTAGAGAGTCTCCACCAGCAAGAAGGCCCTCACCAAGTGCAGCCCTCTGACCTTGGACTTCTCAGCTTCCATAACTGTAAGAAATATTTTTTGTTGGCGGAGCACGGTGGCTTACGGCTGTAATCCCAGCACTTTGGGAGGCTGAGGCGGGTGGATCACGAGGTCAGGAGTTGGAGACCAGCCTGGCCAATATGGTGAAACTCCATCTCTACTAAAATACAAAAATTAGCTGGGCATGGTGGCACGCACCTGTAGTCCCAGGTGCTTGGGAGGCTGAGGCAGGAGAATTGCTTGAACCCGGGAGGTGGAGGTTGCAGTGAGCCAAGATCGCGCCACCACACTCCAGCCTGGGCAACAAGAGTGAAACTCTGTCTCAAAAACAAAAACAAAAAATAAATATTTTTTGTCTATATATTATCCAGTTTCCAGTGTTCTGCTCTAAGCAACAGAAAACAAAGAGAATAAAGTAACGTATGCCTTTGCTACTGTTAATGTCTTTTGTGAGTTTAATTTGCAGGCCCCAGTTACTAAACCTAAGAGGAAAGGTTTTGTTTCATTTTGTTTTGTTTTTCTCCCTTGCAGCCTAACAAAAAACAAAACAAAACAAAACAAAACAAAAATAAACTTCTCCAATAAAATAGTATGCTTGAAGAAGGAGTTACTTACTGTTTTTGGCCAGTGTTGACTAAAGGGTTAACTCAGCATCTACCCCTTCCAAGGAGTCTGTGTGGGAGGAGAGAGGAGAGGACTGATTACATTCTTTCTCCACACAAGCTTTCACCTATCCTCCTCCTGAAAATAACTCTTTATCTAGAACTTAAGTGGGATAGGGTCTAATGGAATTTCATGTGTGAAATTTTTATTTTTTTAATATGAGAAAAAGAAACAACAAACTAGTGCAGCAAATGCCACTGAATTGTACACTTAAAAAAGGTTAATGGTTCATTTTATTTCTGTGAATTTTACCTCAATAAAAAAATGAATGAAACTACCTTAATTTGGTATCTCTGAAAATCTTTCCTGGTCATGAAATTTATCCATCCTCTTTTGTGTTTGTAAAGGGCTGGATCAAAACTGAAAAGAATTTAGCCCTGTGAAATGGCTTGGACACAAAGTTTGAGGTGTGGTCCCAGCTCTGCTTCATCTTGGGGATCCTTTACTCTCGATATGCCTCCATTTCTATTATGAAATAGCAGATTTGAATATTGGATCTCTTCCAGTTGTAAATTGTTTGATTTAGAATCAAGAGGTGATTTATATCTCTATTGTTATTTTTCAGTAGGGCTCATTTTACATTGCATTATTCTGTAAGCCTAGAGACTGTGATCTGATATAAGCCTTGAAACCCAAGCAAATCATTTTTACTGGTGTCTCCTTACCTAGGTACTCATTCATCCAGAAAAACCAACCAAACAAACAAAAAACAAAAAGGCCAGGCACTGTGGCTCACACCTATAATCCCAGCCCTTTGGGAAGCGGAAGTGGGTGGACGGATCGCCTGAGCTCCAGACCAACCTGGACAACATGACGAAACCCTGTCTCTACGAAATAAACAAAAATTAGCCAAATGCGGTGGTGCATGCCTGTAGCCCCAGGCACTGGGAGGCTGAGAAGTGAGAATTCCTTGAGCCCAGGAGTCTGAGGCTGCAGTGAGCTATGACTGCACCACCGAATTCCAGCCTGGATGACAGAGTGAGACCTGTCTCAAAAAACAAACAAACATAACACAAAATGAAAACAGTAACAATTTAACATATTCCAAGACACAAAACCCAATTCTATCCCCAAGAAATTTGCAGTCTACTGATCATTACATAACTGCAGTGGGCCCTCCCTCTCTGTGAGTTCAGCATTTGTGAATTCAACCAACTAGGGATTGACAATATTTGGAAAATGCTTTGGCATGGTGGCTCATAGCTGTAATCTCAGCATTTTGGGAGGCTGAGGTGAGTGGATGACTTGAGCCCAGGAGTTCAAGACCAGCCTGGGCAACATGGCAAAACCCTGTGTCTATAAAATATACAATAATTAACTAGGAATGGTGGTGCATGCCTGTAGCTCCAGCTGCTCAGCAGGTGAGAATGTGAGCTGGAGTCATAGCCTGAAAAGCCTCATATACACTATTATTCCTACCACGAAGATGAAGAAATCAGGCCTAGCATCAGAAACATGTGGCTCCCTACAATCTTACTTATAAAGAGAAAAATAGAATTATCTTACAGTGGAGAAAACTGGCAAACACATCCTTATCCTGAGATCAAAGTTAAAAATCACCAGATCAGAAGAAATTGACGTCATGTGCTTACTGGATATAATGCACTGAGAATTCTGTGAAGTTTTTGCCAAAAATACCTCCTCTGAATTTAATCATAAGGCTCCAGCCAAACCCAAACTTGAAGGACACTCTAGAAAATAAATGACCAGTATTTTTCAAAAATATTAATGTTGGCCAGGTGTAGTGGCTCATGCCTGTAATCCCAGCACTTTGGGAAGCTAAGGTGGGAGAACTGTTTAAGGCCAGCAGTTGGAGACCAGCCTGAGCAACATAGCAAGACCCCATATCTATTAAAAAAATTAATGTCATGAAAGAAAAAAAAGAAATTGATCGTTTCCAATTAAAGACAACTAAAGAGACATATTCACTGAACACAATACATGATGTAGGATTTCTTTTGCCATAAAGAACATTATTTGGACAACTGGAAAGATCTGAATAAGATCTATTATCAATAATAATATTGTATCAATGATAATTTCCTGACTTTCTGGTTATGTAAGAGAATGTCCTTATCTTTTTTTTTTTTTTTTTTTTTGAGACGGAATCTCGCTCTTTCACCCAGGCTGGAGTGCAGTGGTGCAATCTCGGCTCACTGCAGGCTCCGCCCCCTGGGGTTCACGCCATTCTCCTGCCTCAGCCTCCTGCGTAGCTGGGACTACAGGCGCCCGCTACCTCGCCCAGCTAATTTTTTGTATTTTTAGTAGAGACGGGGTTTCACCGTGTTAGCCAGGATGGTCTCGATCTCCTGACCTCGTGATCCGCCCGCCTCGGCCTTCCAAAGTGCTGGGATTACAAGCGTGAGCCACCGCCCCCGGCTGAGAATGTCTTTATCTTTAGGAAATAGTCACTGAAGTACTAAGGGGTAAAGCCTAAAAAAATTTAAAACGCTGGACATGGTGGCTCACACCTGTATTGGAGTACTTTGGGGGGCCAAGGTGGGAGGATTGCTTGAGGCCAGGAGTTCAAGATTAGCTTAGTCAACATAGCAAGACGCCGACTCTTAAAACAAAAGAAAACAAAACAATTTTTTTTCTTTTTTCTTTTTTTGAGACGGAATCTCGCACTGTCACCCAGGCTGGAGTGCAGTGGCACGATCTCAGCTCACTGCAAGTTCCACCTCCCAGGTTCACGCCATTCTCCTGCCTCAGCCTCCCAAGTAGCTGGGACTACAGGCACCCGCCACCACGCCCAGCTAATTTTTTGCATTTTTAGTAGAGACAGGGTTTCACCGTGTTAGCTAGGATGGTCTCGATCTCCTGACCTTGTGATCTGCCCACCTCGGCCTCCCAAAGTGTTGGGATTACAGGCGTGAACCACCACAACCGGCGTTTTTTTTTTGTTTTGTTTTGTTTTGTTTGAGACAGTGTCTCACTCTGTCACCAGGCTGGAGTGCAGTGGCGGGATCTCAGCTCACTGCAACCTCCCCCTCCTGGGTTCAAGCGATTCTGTCTCAGCCTCCCGAGTAGCTGGGACTACAGGTGTGTGCCACCATGCCTAGCTAATTTTTGTATTTTTAGTAGAGACAGGGTTTCACCATGTTGGTCAGGCTGGTCTTGAACTCCAGACCTCAAGTGATCTGCTTGCCTTGGCCTCCCAAAGTGCTGCGATTACAGGCATGAGCCACTGCGCCTGGCCTTTTTTTTTTTTTTTTTTTTTTTGAGATGGAGTTTCACTCTTGTTGCCCAGGCTGAAGGGCAATGGTGAGATCTCGGCTCACCGCAACCTCCGTCTCCCAGGTTCAAGTGACTCTCCTGCCTCAGCCTCCCTAGTAGCTGGGATTACAGGCATGCACCACCATGCCCGGCTAATTTTGTATTTTTAGTAGAGACGGGGTTTCCCCATGTTGGTTAGGCTGGTCTCGAACTCCTGACCTCAGGTGATCTACCCTCCTCGGCCTCCCAAAGTGCTGGGATTACAGGCATGAGCCACCGCACCCGACCTGACAGACATATTTTATTTAACAGTTTGTTGGCTTAACTTGTAACTTTTAAATATTTTGACATAAGGTATGTGGGATCTCCATTTATCCTTCAGTCCCAAGCCCACTATTGTTATGGGTGGGTGCTTCACAGCCTGTGAAAGAGTGGAATAACAGTTCTCTACTGGAAAGCAACCAATCTTTTTGCTGGCTGAACCTGAAAACACTTGTACTATGTAAAACATTTCTTTTGCCGTTGAGTTGCCTTTAGTACTCACAGGTATGTCATGAGTGGTCACAGTATGCCATGAGAGAGACACTCTCCCTGGTCTCTTTTATTTTCCCAGTTTCTACCCATTTGTTCTCCCTGATAAACTCCAGGCTCCAACCTGTTGACATACACCACACAGTAGGGGTCCTTGACACTGCGGCCACTGGTTCCATCCTGGGAGGACATCAGGCCTTAACATTCAGGTTCATCTGCAGCATCTACAAGCAGAAAATAAACCTTTCTCTTGCTAAAATTGTTTGCCTTTGATGGCATAAGTTCTGGGGCCTTATATTAAAAATTTGGGGGTGGAGGGTGTTACACAGGACAGAAAATCCCTTTCTTTCACATTTGGTTATGAAAACTTAAAAACTTTTCATTATCTTTATGCAATTGATATTTTGTAAGTACCTGGTGTCAAAAGAGTGAACAGACAACCTGCAGATTGGGAGAAAACATTTGCAAGCTGTGAATCCAACAGGGGACTAATATCCAGATTTTACAAAGGACTCAAACAACTCAACAAAAGACGACAAACAATTTATTTAAAAAAGATATAAATAGGCTGGGCATGGTGGCTCATACCTGTAATCCCAGTACTTTGGGAGGCCGAGGCGGGCGGATCACAAGGTCAGGAGTTCGAGACCAGCCTGGCCAATATGGGGAAACCCCCATCTCTACTAAAAACACAAAAATTAGCTGGGCGCCTGTAGTCCCAGCTACTCTGGAGGCTGAAGCAGGAGAATTGCTTGAACCCAGGAGGTAGAGGTTGCATTGAGCTGAGATGGCACCACTGCACTCCAGCCTGGGCAACAGAACAAGACAAGACTCCATCTCTAAATAAATAAATAAGTATCAGCGCCCTTTCTGCTCAGATATCCCTCTCCCTACATATAGAGAGCTGTTTCTCTTTCTCTTCTCTTCTGCCTATTAAACCTCTGCTCCTAAACTCCTTGTGTGTGTCTGTGTCCTAAATTTTCCTGATGGGAGACGATGAACCCCAGGGTATATGCCCCAGACAATGTAGCCACTTCATACTGGGGCCCTCATCCGGGATACCAAGGTACAACATTCATTGAAACGCAACATCTGGTGGAGGCAAACCAGGGTTACCACCCATTGGAATGGCTGACAGCAATCTAACTCCAATGGTGCTGTAGACAGAACCACGAATGGACACAATTTTCTTCCGAGGATGCTTAGATCGACCACAGGAGGAGCCCTAGCTGCTGTTCCCCATACAACACCCCTTTTCGGCAGGATTAGCCAGAAATAATCATCGTCCAACACCCCTAACAGCAGTTAGGGTTACCACTCCGGAGAGGGGAATGATACAGGAGGAGTTAAGATGAAATTACTTGGACAGATAATAAAGGTATGGGAGTCCTCAGCAAGGCTTTTTTTTTTTTTTTTTTTTTAGATGGAGTTTCGCTCTTGTTGCCCAGGCTGGAGTGCAATGGTGCGATCTCCGCTCACTGCAACCTCCGCCTCCCAGGTACAAGCGATTCTCCTGTCTCAGCCTCCCAAGTAGCTGGGATTACAGGCGCTGCCACGCCCGCTAATTTTTTGTATTTTTAGTAGAGACGGGGTTTCACCACGTTGGCCAGGGTGGTCTCAAACTCCTGACCTCGTAATCTGCCCGCCTCGGCATCCCAAATTGCTGGGATTACAGGTGTGAGCCACCGTGCCTGCCGGGTTGTTTCTCATTCTCTTCTCTTCTACCTATTAAACCTCCGCTCCTAAAAATAAAAAATAAAAAGAAATCCCACAGATAATCCCATTAAAAAGTAGGCAAGTGGGCAAGGGACATGAATAGACATTTTTCAAAAGAAGACATACAAATGACCACCAAGCCCATGAAAAAATGCTCAACATCACTAATCATCAGAAAAGTGAAAATTCAGCTAGGCAATGTGGCTCACGCCTGTAATCTTAGCACTTTGCGAGGCCAAGGGGGGTGGATCACCTGAGGTCAGGAGTTTGAGACCAGCCTGGCCAACAGGGGCAAACCCCGTCTCTACTAAAAATATTTTTTAAAAATTCACCAGGAATAGTGGTACACACCTGTAATCCCACCTACTCGGGAGGCTGAGACAGGAGAATCTCTTGATTCCGGGAGGCAGAGGTTGCAGTGAGCTGAGATCGCACCACTGCACTCCAGCCTGGGCGACAGAGCAAGACTCTGTCTCAAAAAACAGAAAACAAAAAGACAAAACAACAACAAAAAAGGAAAATGAAAATTAAAACCTCAGTGATATATCATCTTACACATTAGAATGGCTATTATTAAAAAGACTGGGCAGGCTCAGTGGCTCAAGCCTGTAATCCAGCACATTAGGAGGCTGAGTGGGGAGGACCTCTTGATCCCAATAGTTCCAGACCAGCCTGGGCAACATGGTGAGACCCTGTTTCTACAAAAAAATTGAAAATTAGCTAGGTGTGGTGACATACAAGACCTTGTTTATAAAATAAATAAGTAGATAAATAAATAGACTAAAAATAACTGATGGTGAGAATGCAGAGAACAGAACACTTACACATTCTAGGTGGGAATGTAAGTTAGTTCAACCTCTATGGAAAATAGTTTAGAGATTTCTCAAAGAACTAAAAATAGAACTACCATTTGACCCAGTGATCCCACTACTGGCAATCTACCCAAAGGAAAAGAAAAGAAATAGTTGGCTGGGCACAGTGGCTCAAACCTGTAATCCCAGCACTTTAGGAGCGTGAGGTGGGAGGATCCCTTGGCCCAGGAGTACAAGAACAATCTGGGCAACATAGCAAGACTCTATCACTCTCTCTCTCTCTCTCTCTATATATATATATATTTTATATATATATAATATATATATATTTTATATATATAATATATATATATATGCTGGGCATGTATATATATAATATATATATTTTATATATATTATATATAATATATATATTTTATATATATTATATATAATATATATATTTTATATATATTATATATAATATATATATTTTATATATATTATATATAATATATATATTTTATATATATTATATATAATATATATATTTTATATATATTATATATAATATATATTATATTTTATATATATTATATATAATATATTATATATAATATATATTATATATAATATATATAATATATATATAAAATATATATATTATATATATAATAATATATAAAATATATATATTATATATATAATAATATATATATGCTGGGCATGTTGGCATTTGCCTGTAGTCCCAGCTACTTGGGAAGCTGAGGCAGGAGACCAGGGAACAGGAGTTTGATGTTGCAGTGAGCTATGATGGCACCACTGCACTCCAACCTGGGCAAGAGCATGAGACCCTGTCTAAAAAAAAAAAAAAGAAAAAAAAAAGAAAGAAAGAAAGAAAAGAAAATATAAAAGAAATCACCATACCAAAAAGAAGATACCTGCATTCATACGTTTATTGCAGCCTGAGCCTAGGAGTTCAAGACCAGCCTGGCCAACATAGTAGGACTCTGTCTCCATAAAAAAATACAAAAATTGGCCAGGCGCGGTGGCTCACGCCTGTAATCCCAGCACTTTGGGAGGCCAAGATGGGTGGATCACGAGGTTAGGAGTTCGAGACCAGCCTGGCCAACATGGTGGAACCCCGTCTCTACTAAAAATACAAAATTAGCCAGGTGTGCACGTCTGTAATCCCAGCTACTTGGGCGGCTGAGACAGGAGAATTACTTGAACCTGGGAGGTGGAGGTTGCAGTGAGCCGAGATCGCACTACTGCACTCCAGCCTGGGCAATAAGAGTGAAACTCCGCCTCAAAATAAATAAAATAGAATACAATAAAATAAAAATACAAAAATTAGCCAGGAATGGTGGCACAAGTCTGTGGTCCCAGCTACTCGGGATGCTGAGGCAGGAGGATCACTTGAGCAGGGGAAGCCAGGATTCAAAGAAAGTCAAATACCATGTTCTCACTTATAAGTGGGAGCTAATCTCAGCTACTCTGGAGGCTGAGGCAGGAGAATCGTTTGAACCCGGGAAGCGGAGTTTGCAGTGAGCCGAGATCATGCCACTGCACTCCAGCCTGGGCGGCAGAGCAAGACTCCATCTAAAACAAAAACAAAAAACAAAAAAACAAAACAAATAAGTGGCAGCTAAATAATGTATATACATGGACATAGAGTGTGGGATACTATACTTTGGAGAGTTGGAAGACTGGGAGGGTGGGAGGGGGAGGAACGATGAGAAGTCACTTAATGGGTACAAGTTACACTATTCGGGTGATGGTTACATTAAAAGCCCAGACAATATATCCATGTAGCAAAACCTCACTTGTATCCCTTGAGTTGGAGGGTTGGAAGACTGGGAGGGTGGGAAGGGGAGGAACGATGAGAAGTCACTTAATGGGTACAAGTTACACTATTCGGGTGATGGTTACATTAAAAGCCCAGACAATATATCCATGTAGCAAAACCTCACTTGTATCCCTTGAGTTGGAGGGTTGGAAGACTGGGAGGGTGGGAAGGGGAGGAACGATGAGAAGTCACTTAATGGGTACAAGTTACACTATTCGGGTGATGGTTACATTAAAAGCCAAGACAATATACCCATGTAGCAAAACCTCACTTGTATCCCTTGAGTTTATACAAAAAAGGGAAAGAGGTCTCTCCTTGCGGCGCTGCACGAGAGCAGAGTACGAGGCTGCGGCGGAGGGAGTCATGTCGGGACAAACCTTTAGAAACTTTCTTCCACTCTGACCGAGTATCGGTTGAAAGGAGTACTGCCGAAACTGTAACCAAAGGAGGCATTATGCTTCCAGAAAAATCTCAAGGAAAAGTACTGCAAGCGAGTAGTCGCTATTGGATCGGGTTCTAAAGAAAAGGGGAGAGATTCAACCAGTTAGCATGAAAGTTGAAGATAAAGTTCTTCTTCAAGAATATGGAGGCACCAAAGTAGTTGTAGATGATAAGGATTTTTTTTATTTGTTTATTTTTTTTAAGACAGTCTCACTCTGTCGCCCAGGCTGGAGCGCAGTGGCGCGATCTCGACTCACTGCAACCTTCGTCTCCCGGGTTCAAGCCATTCTCCTGCCTCAGCCTCACGAGTAGCTGGGATTACAGGCATCCGCCACCACGCCCAGCTAATTTTTTTTGTATTTTTGGTAGAGACGGGGCTTCACCATGCTTGCTGGCCAGGCTGGTCTTGAACTCCTGACCTCAGGCGATTCGCCTGCCTCAGCCTCCCAAAGTGCTAGGATTACAGGCGTGAGCCACTGTGCCCAGCAGGATTATTTCTTATTTAGAGATGGTGACTTTTTTTTTTTTTTTTTTTTTTTTTGAGACGGACTCTCGCTCTGTCTCCTGGGCTGGAGTGCAGTGGCGTGATCTCAGCTCACTGCAACCTCCGCCTCGGATTCACGCCATTCTCCTGCCTCAGCCTCCCGAGTAGCTGGGACTACAGGCGCCCGCCACCACGCCAGGCTAATTTTTTGTATTTTTACTAGAGACGGGGTTTCACCGTGTTAGCCAGGATGGTCTTGATCTCCTGACCTCGTGATCTGCCCGCCTCAGCCTCCCAAAGTGCTGGGATTGCAGGCGTGAGCCACCGCGCCCGGCCGAGATGGTGACATTCTTGGAAAGCAAGTAGACTGAAATAAGTCACTATTGAAATGGCATCAATGTGAAGCTGCCCATTCCACTGAAGTTCTGAAATCTTTCATCATGTAAATACTTTCCATACCTTTTATTGACCGTGCCCGGCCAATAAAAGGTATTTTAAAGAAATCTAGGCGTTGTGGCTCACGCCTGTAATCCCAGCACTTTGGGAGGCCAAGGCGGCCAGATCACGAGATCAAGAGATCCAGACCATCCTGGCCAACATGGTGAAACCCTGTCCCTACTAAAAATACGAAAATTGGCCGGGCGTGATGGTGCTCGCCTGTAGTCCCAGCTACTAGGGAGGCTGAGGTAGGAGAATCGCTTGAACCCGGGAGGCGGAGGTTGCAGTGAGCCAAGATCGCGCCACTGCACTCCAGCCTGGGCGACAGAGCAAGACGCTGTCTAAAAAAAAAAAAAAAAAAAAAAAAAAAGCTGTTAAATGTGTTAGTTTTGTAATTTTGGGGGGCTTTTTAAAAAGGTAAGGTCTGAGTTAGTCATTCATGGAGAGCCTGAAAAGGTTAATTAGAAACAGCTGGAGGCAGGTAATGACCTTAAAACCCTAAACAGCACCCAGAGCAGAAGCTAAGCACCCTCTGGATCGCCCCTGGGGTTGCAGCAGGGAATGGTCCTCAGTGTCAGCTTGGGACTACAGATTCCTTCACTAGCAACTACAGCTACTTGTGGATCCACACCACCTAAGACAGCACCATGCCAGAGACGTGTGACCAAAATGGTCAGAGTGAGTAAATGCCCCAAGGCGGGTATTAGGAGAAAGTGTAGAGGTGAAGGAGTCAGACACCAAGGAAGATAAGAATGAGGAATATACAATTAGGACAGAGGAAAATGGTTTTGGATCAATTTCAGAGGTTTTAGTCATTGCCTAAAGATGAGCTTTACATTCTACTTACAGAATGTTGGTTGGTCAGGCTAGATGCTTTGGAATGTTTCAGAATGGAACACATCAGAGAGGATAAAAAGTTTAAAGGGGATTGATGTCAATGTGGCAAAACAAGACAGAACTGAACAGAGACAGGTGTCTGACCAACCCCCAACTCCCTCAAATGATTTGAGACTCAATGATTTGAGAGAATAGATTGAGTCAGTAACACCTAATAAGTCTTAAAAATTGGCGTTTATGGCCAGGCGTGGTGGCTCACGCCTGTAATCCCAGCACTTTGAGAAGCCAAGGTGGGCGGATCACCTGAGGTCGGCAGTTTGAGACCAGCCTGACCAACATGGAGAAACCCTGTCTCTACTAAAAATACAAAATTAGCCGGATGTGGTGGCACATGCCTGTAATCCCAGCTACTGGGGAGGTGAGGCAGGAGAATCGCTTGAACCCGGGAGGCGGAGGTTGCAGTTAGCCAAGATCGCGCCATTGCACTCCAGCCTGGGCAACAAGAGCAAAATTCCGTCTTAAACAAAACAAAACAACAACAACAACAAAACAAACAAAAAAATTGTGTTATATAGTTTAAAACTCCTAAACTCAGCTTGGCAGCTGATATGCAAGATCAAAGCAGTGGAGACACTGGATATCTGAATTTTTTTTTTTTTTTTTTTGAGACAGAGTTTTGCTCTGTCACCCAGGCTGGAGTACAGTGGCGCTGATCCTGCAATCTCCCTGAAACCTCCGCCTCCTGGGTTTAAGTGATTCTCATGCCTCAGCCTCCCAAGTAGCTGGAACTACAGGCCTGCCACCACGCCTGGCTAATTTTTGTATTTTTAGTAGAGACGGGGTTTCACCATGTTGGCCAGGCTGGCCTCGAATTTCTAACCTCAGGGGATCCACCTGCCTCAGTCTCCCAAAGTGCTGGGATTACAGGCGTGAGCCACCGCGCCCAGCCTGGATATCTTCTGGATTTAAAGGTAACAAATATAATGCTTTTTGGCCTGTAATCCCAGCACTTTGGGAGGCTGACGCTGGAGGATTGCTTGAGCTCAGGAGTCGGAGACCAGCCTGAGCAACATAGCAAGGCCTCATCTCTACTAAAAATAAAAAATAAATAAATAAAAATAAATTTAGCCGAGCATGGTGGCGCACACCTGTAGTTCCAGCTACTCAGGACACTGAGGCAGGAGAATCGCTTGAACCCGGGAGGTGGAGGTTATAGTGAGCGGACATCGCCTCCCAAAGTGCTGGGATTACCTGTAATCCCGGCTACTTTTGAGGCTGAGGCACATGAATCGCTTGAACCGGGAGGCGGAGGTTGCAGCGAGCCGAGATCGTGCCCCTGCACTCCAGCCTGGGCAACGGAGTGAAACGCTGTCTCAATAATAATAAAATAATAATAATAATAATAATAATAATCATCATCATCATCATCATCATCATCATCATCATCATCATCATCGGCTGGGCGCGGGGACTCACGCCTGTAATCCCAGCACTTTGAGAAGCCGAGGCGGGCGGATCACCTGAGATCAGCAGTTTGAGACCAGCCTGGCCAACATGGTGAAACCCTGCCTCTACTAAAAATACAAAAATTAGCTGTTCGTGGTGGCAAGCCCCTGTAATTCCAGCTACTCAGAAGGCTGAGGCAGGAGAATCACTTAAATCCGGGAGGCGGAGTTTGCCGTGAGCCGAGATCGCGCCATTGCACTCTAGCCTGGCTAGCGAAACTCTATCTCAAAATAAATAAAAAAATAAATAAAGAGTTAGTTTATCTTTGGTAATAGTACACATCTATGTAAAATACTCTGTGGGAAGAGGTGTCCTTTTTGTGTCTTAGTTTACATTCCAAAAGCTTTTCACATCCAAATCGATGTGCTACACTATTCAAAAGATACACATCTCATTTGGTAAATGCATAGAGAAAGCAAACAGCATCTTTAGGGCATGCCAAAACCTCCCGGGTATGTATCAGCTCCATCACTGACTGCTTTGACACTTTATTTTGTCAAATTGGAACTTGTATATTTTCATAATAAACAATTTAACTGTTTGTTTCTCAACCACTTAAAGCAAGGTGAAATGGTCTCCTCCCAAAGCTCAAAAATCTAATCTGCAGAAACAAATTTACAGGATTATCTTTTGTTCTGAAACAAAACGAAGTAGGACCAACTCTGCAAATAGTGAGGATCTACTATATAAACTATTACAGTTGTGATATCCAGTGAAAATTCTAGAAGAATATTGGATAGGTTTCACATTTCTAAACAGTTGGAATCCTTTTAGTTCCTTAAGCAAATCCACTTAGCATCAGATCCTCAGGATATTTAAGGGAATTACCCAAAGGGAACACAACAACAAAAGGAGGCTATTTAAGGTGATACTTAGTGACAGTATCAATTCCTCAAAACTCTTCAAAAATGGATTATTGATTGAAAACATCAAAGACATATTCTTTTCTGTTCTATGAATGTCCAGAAGAGATGAGCAAAGTACAGCTGGAATAGATAAAAGTTGCTTTTGACAGCAGGTGAACTTGTTGAAAAAAAAAAGATATAAGTTGCAGTTTTATGAATTTTTTCAAAGGATTTGTGTTTTAAGGTATATACTTTTTAGGTTCTGGTAGCCAAAAGACACTTGTATCTGACAGTTAAATAAATTTGCTTTAGAAAAAAAAGTGATAGATCTTCCAGGAAACCTATTGTTCTTTTCTTTTCTTTTTTTCCTTATCTTTTTTTTTTTTTTTTTGAGACCGAGTCTTGCTCTGTCGCCCAGGCTGGAGTGCAGTGGCACGATCTCACCTCACTGCAAGCTCCGCCTCCCAGGTTCATGCCATTCTCCTGCCTCAGCCTACCGAGTAGCTGGGACTACAGGCGCCCGCCACCACACCTGGCTAAATTTTTTTGTATTTTTAGTAGAGACCAGGTTTCACATGTTAGCCAGGATGGTCTTGATCTCCTGACCTTGTGATCCGCCTGCCTCGGCCTCCCAAAGTGCTGGGATTACAGGGGTGAGCCACTGCGCCCGGCCTGTTCTTTTCTTAACAAGGTCAATTTTCAAAAATGCTGGAAACACAGAGAAAACCACAACAATGTGGAGGGAATCTTTCAGGTACTGCAAGTGGAACGAATGGCTCTCCCAGAGGTTACTTTTCATTGGAATGTATATCCTATTAGGGGTGATACCTCAGCAGAGTAATGTGCTTAGCATCACTCAGGCAGGAATCTCACTGGCCATAAACATTTCAGAAATACACATTTAAGCCAGCCTTGACCAGGAGCCAAGACAATATACTAATCCACTTGGACAGCTGAAAGGGTGAAGTTGGGTCAGAGATAAGCAGCACCAGCTGAATGCTCATAGCTCACCTACAACCTGACAAGCCCAAGCACGGGGGTGTGCAATTGGCACAGGTGTTCTTGTTGAGCTGGCTGAAGGCTTAACAACCCCATGATCCAAACTCTGTTACTGTAACTACACTTATCCCTGACACTTCATATTTGCCAAAAAGAATAAATTTTCTAAATTCATGCATAATGGCAGAAATAAAATCCTCAGTGCTTTAAAATAATGTTAAGTTTTTCTGGGTTCTCTTTTCATTTATTTATTTATTGCCATGATCTTCATGAACATATGGGTTTTCTTTCTTTCTTTCTTTCTTTCTTTCTTTCTTTCTTTCTTTCTTTCTCTTTTCTTTTCTTTTTTTTTTTTTTTTTGTTTTTTTGTTTTTTTGAGACAGAGTCTCACTCTGTCGCCCAGCCTGGAGTGCAGTGGTGCAATCTTGGCTCACTGCAAACTCTGCCTCCAAGATTCAAGCAATTCTCCTGTCTCTGTCTCCTGAGTTGCTGGAAATACAGACACGCGCCACCACACCTGGCTAATTTTTGTATTTTTGGTAGAGACGGATTTTCACGTGTTGGCCAGGCTGGTCTCGAACTGTTGACCTCAGGTGATCCGCCCGCCTCAGCCTCCCAAAGTGCTGGGATTACAGGCATGAACCACTGCACCTGGCTGACATGGGTTTTCATTTTATTTATTCAATGAGTATTTATTTAGTGCGTCCTATGTGTCAGGGTTTTCCTTATGGTTAAGCCAACCAGGAAAGAGAGCTGCCAATACTGGCCATATTCAATTTCCTTTCAAGTGAACAAATTCCCAAAGGTGTTGGCAGTTTAGAGTTGATTTTTTTTTTTTTTTGTGGCAGCTGCCAGCGGCAAGGGAACCAAAGTATTATAGCCCACTGGCGAAAGCTGGAAGTAATGGCTTGGGTTCAGGAAAAAATGCAAGTTTATGGACCAACAACATAAAAAAGCCAAAATTATTTAGCCAGTTATGCAATATTTTAAGGTGTAAAGTAATATGAAAGTATAATTTAGATAGAACACTTTTGTGCTGTCAAAATAGTAATGCAGCTGGGAGTAGTGGCTCATGCCTGTAATCTCAGCACTTTGGGAGGCTGAGGTGAGCAGATCACTTGAGGTCAGGAGTTTGAGACCAGCCTGGCCAACATGGTGAAACCCCGTCTCTACTAAAAATACAAAAAATTAGCTGGGCGTGGTGGTGCATGCCTGTAATCCCAGCTATATGGGAGGCTGAGGCAGGAGAATTGCTTGAACCCAGGAGGCAGAGGTTGCAGTGAGCCATGATCATGCCATTGTGCTCCAGCCTGGGCAACAAGAGTGAAACTACATCTTAAAACACACACACACACGTAATGGATTTGAAAATTCAAGTATTATGATTATTAGTTTAATACCTTCTATTTACTCTTTATTTGTGGTGTAGCAGCCAGCATGCTTTCTGTTAGAAGTGACAGAAACTCAAAATAGTCTGAGCATAAAAGAGTTTATTGGCTTGTGTAACTGGTAAATTCAGGGTGTAACTGGTTTCAGGATGACAGATACAGGTTCTCAAATGAGCTTCTTAGGTCTTTCAACTTAGTTTTTTTCATTGTTCTGGACTTACTCTCTTCCTGTAGGTGGGCTTTTTCCACCTGGCAGGGGAATTATCAGATAATATTACTCAGTTAACGTCTGTCCCACCTCCATAATGCAAAAAGCAAAGCACTTTCTCCTCCATATCCAAATGTAAATCCTGGGCAAAACTCTAATTGCCCTGACTTGGGATGCATGCCCCTGTCTGGAACACTCGCTAAAGCCAGATAAATAAGACATTAGAATGTCTGGAATATCATGTGCCCACTACAGAGCAGGGTCCTGATTTAGAAAACCCATCAAAACCACATGATTGTATTGCTGTGAGACAGAAGCATTTCCTCAAAAAAAGAAGAGCTTTGTGAACAAAGACAAAAGACACTGCCTTTACTTTTTTTTTTTTTTTTTTTTTTTTGAGACAGAGTCTAACTCTGTCACCCACGCTGGAGTGCAGTGGCATGATCTCAGCTCACTGCAACCTCCAGCGCCTGGGTTCAAGCAATTCTCCTGTCTCAGCCTCCCGAGTAGCTGGGACTACAGGTGCATCCCACCATGCCCAGACAATTTTTGTATTTTTAGTAGAGACAGGGTTTCACCGTATTGGTCAGACTGGTGATCCCAAACTCCTCACCTCAGGTAATCCACCTGCCTTAGCCTCCTAAAGTGCTCGGATCACAGGTGCGAGCCACCATGCCCAGTCTGCCCTTAGTTTTTGGTTCAGCCACGTTCCCCTGAGTTTTTTTTTTTTTTTTTTTTTTAGAGGAAGTCTCACTCTGTCACCCAGGATGGAGGGCAGTGGCGCAATCTCAGCTCACTACAACCTCCGCCTCCTGGGTTTAAGTGATTCTCTTGCCTCAGCCTCCCAAATAGCTGGGATTACAGGTGCCCACCACCAAGCCTGGCTAATAGTTTGTATTTTAGTAGACATGGGGTTTCACTGTGTTGCCCAGGCTGGTCTCGGACTCCTGAGCTCATGCAATCCACCCGCCTCAGCCTCCCAAAGTGCTAGGATTACAGGCATGAGCCACCGCACCCAGCCTATTCCCTCAAGTTTTTGAGTAATCCGGTTATATTTCTAGCTCAGTGGTTCTTAAACATAAACACATGGCAGAATCATCTGGGCTGCTAAAATTCCATTTGCTGGGACCCACCACAGAGTTTCTGATTCAGTAGGTCTGTTTCCAGGTGGTGCCAAGGCTGCTGGTCTGAGGACTATACCTTGAAAACTACTGTTCTAGGATTTTATTTTTAAAATTATCAAAGAACTTCTTATTCAAATGAACACCAGTCCTGGATAAATTTCACAGGTAAATACTTTCAAATCTTCAAGGAACATGTCATGTTGATTAACTTTGTGGTCTTGGGCAAGTTACTTAACCACTCTGTCAGTTTTTTTTCTTCTCTTGTGTAGATAGAAATAATGGTACTTATATGGTTGTTGCAGAGATTAGATGAATTAATGTATTCAACATACCTAGAAGAGTTCCTGGTACATAGTATTTACAAATATTTGCAAGTATTTATTTATCTTATTTATTTTTTTGAGACAGAATCTGGCTCTGTCCCCCAGGCTGGAGTGCAGTGGCACCATCTCAGCTCACTGCAAGCTCCGCCTCCCGGGTTCACGCCACTCTCCTGCCTCAGCCTCCTGAGTAGCTGGGACTACAGGCGCCCGCCACCACGCCCTGCTAATTTTTTTGTATTTTTTAGTAGAGACAGTGTTTCACCATGTTGGCTAGGATGGTCTCGAACTCCTGACCTCGTGATCCACCCAACTCGGCCTCCCAAAGTGCTAGGATTACAGGCTTGAGCCACCGCGCCTGGCCATTTATTTTTTTGAGACAGGGTCTGGCTCTGTCGCCCAGGCTGGAGTGCAGTGGTGCAATCTCAGCTCATTGCAACCTCCACCTCCCTGGCTCAAGCCATCCTCCCACCTCAGCCTCCTGAGTAACTGGGACTACAGGCACGAACCACCACGCCCAGCTAATTTTTTTGTATTTTTTAAAGAGATGAGGTTTTGCCGTGTTGCACAGACTAGTCTTAAACTCCTGGGTCCAAGCAATCTGCCAGCCTCAGCCTCTCAAAGGGCTGGGATTACGGGCATGAACCACCACGCCCAGCCTCCAAGTATTTAAACTGCTCCAGAGAATAGAGAGGGAAGAAAATCATCCAAACTATTTACAATGGAATCAAAATTTAGATACTAATTCCTGAAAAGGATTATACACGCCAATCTCACTTATGAATTATCCATGAAAAATCCTAAATATTGGCAAATAGAATGCAGCTGTATATTAAAAGAATACAGTAACACCACCAAATGAATTTTATTGCAAGAATGGGAGGATGGCTGAACATTAGGAAATCTATCAATGTAGTTACTTTAGTAATCAATCTGATGCAAAAAATAATATTATCATTTCAAATACTGAAAAGGTAATCAACATTGACTCCCGGTGAAATTTTTAAGGAAAAATAGAATAGATGGAGAGTAGACATTTGTGGTTTCTATTCTTGCCTACTTAGCATCAGCACCCTATTCTGGGGTAGAGAGTTTGTATGAATCTTGGTAGAAAATGTGCTCCCACTGGAAAGCCAGGCACTTACTTTTCCTAACCCTGGGTGCCGTAGTGCTGGTTCTGACCCAAACTTGGCTAACCAGAGACCCTTCCCTGGGACTCTGAGTCAGGAGTAGGTAATGCACAGAAGTAGGGTGAGTTAGAATCCAGTCCGGTGGTGGCAGCAGTACCAGTGTTCAGGGTCTGCAGGGGCAACAAGAGGCATCTCAACCTGACTCCTCCTGAGGGACAGTTTTGGCTGAAGTCTGCTTTTTTTCTTTTGGAAGAGATCGAATTTTATTTTATTTTAAAAGATTAATATGGGCCAGGCATGGTGGCTTACGCCTGTAATCCGATCACTTTGGGAGGCCGAGGCAGGTGGATCACTTGAGGCCAGGAGTTAGAGACCAGCCTGGCCACCATGACGAAACCCCATCTCTACTAAAAACTCAAAAATTAGCCAGGCATGGTAGCGCGGGCCTGTAAACCCAGCTACTCAGGAGGCTGAGGCAGGAGAATTGCTTGAACCCAGGAGATGGAGTTTGGAGGTTGCAGTGGGTTGAGATAGCACCACTGCACCCCAGACTGGGCTATAGAGTGAGACTCTGTCTCAAAAATAAATAAAAAAATAAATAAATTAGCATGAATGTATCTTGTAAAGGTGAAAAAAGCATTCTAGGCAGAGGAAATAGAATGCATTAGGTTTATTGTGATCACCCAAGGGATAAAACTAGAAACAGTGTGTAGATGCTATAGGAGGTCAAAGAAAATTGGCAACACCATTACTAGCATTTAGACAGACAGAGGTTGGATGGGTGGCCACTTGGTAGAAATGTTAAAACGCAGACTTGCATATCAGATGGGTACTTGGACAGGATGAATTCATGATATTTGCAAATATCTGAGATGTCTTACTGGATGCTTCCTGGTTCAGGGAACACACAAAACTCCCAAATGCCAGCATAGTCTTGATCTGTTGCCCAGGCTGGAGTGCAATGGTGTGAACTCAGCTCACTGCAACCTCTGCCTCCCGGGTTCAAGCCATTCTTCCACCTCAGCCTCCCGAGTAGCTGGGATTACAGGTGCGTACCACCACGCCCGGCTAATTTTTGTATTTTTAGTAAGGATGGGGTTTCTCCATGTTGGCCTGGATGGTCTCAAACTCCTGGCCTCAGGTGATCCACCCACCTTGGCCTCCCAAAGTGCTGGGATTACAGGTGTGAGCCACTGTGCCCAGCTTGAAATAAAAAATTTTGATTAGAACAAGATGAATCTCTTCTTGACCTGATTTTATTTTATTATTATTATTTTTTAAGAGATGAGGCTTTACCATGTTGGCTAAGCTGGTCTAGAACTCCTGGCCTCAGGTGATCTACCTGCCTTGGCCTCCCAAAGTGCTGGGATTACAGGCATGAGCCACCACACCCGACCCTGACCTGATTTTAAAAGTGTGTGTCTCAGCCAGGCATGGTGGCTCACACCTGTAATCCCAGCACTTTGGGAGGCCAAGGTGGGTGGATCACCTGAGGTCAGGAGTTTGAGACCAGCCTGACCAACATGGCAAAACCTGGTCTCTACTAAAAATTTAAAATTAGCAGGGTGTGGTGGTGCATACCTGTAATCCCAGCCACTTGAGAGGCTGAGGCAGGAGAATCACTTGAACTTGGGAGGTGGAGGTTGCGGTGAGCTGAGATGGCACCATTGCACTCCAGCCTGGACAACAAGAGTAAAACTCTGTCAAAAACAAAACAAAATGAAACAAAACAAAAGGTGTGTCTCAGCCAGGTGTGGTGGCTCACACCTATAATCCTAGCACTTTGGGAGGTTGAGGCAGGCAGAGTGCTTGAGCTGAGGAGTTTGAGAGCAGCCTGGGCAACATGGCAAAGCCCCATCTCCACCAGAAAAAAAAAAAATTAGCCAGGCATGGTGGCACATGCCCATAATCCTACCTGTTTGGGAGGCTGAGGCAGGAGGATCGATTGAGCCCAGGAGATCAAGGCTGCAGTGAGCTGTGATCATGCCACTGCACTCCAGCTGGGGTAATAGAACAATACACTGTCTGGGAAAAAAAAAAAGTGTGTATCTCAAACCAACCAAGGGGCAACATTATATTTAATGGGGAAATGCCAGAAACATTCCCATTATTGCCAGCAAACAAGACAAGGGTGAGCTCCATGATCATCTCCCACAGGAGTCTATAGATTTTTTTTTCTTTTTTGTTGGGGTAGAATGTGGCAGGGAACAATTTTTATTTCACTAAAACCTTGTGAATACAAACATGAGCAAAGTAAGTTGAGTGGCCAGTAAAATGCCGGAATCAAGTCAAGGAGAATTTACCATAAACTGAGTCAAAGGAGCTGCAGCAGAACTTGATAATATGTCTGAAAGAGTTGAACAAATGTTCGTACCCTTGTCTCAGTGGTTTATTTCTGGGGATCCAGTCTAAGAAAATAATCAGGCTAAGAAAAAAGACTTGTGTGTAACGGGAAGAAAATTTGCACCTGGCCTCAATAGAGGACAAGCAGTCTCTTAAGTAGGAAGCTGTTTTATTTTTCTTCTTCTCCTACTTCCCTCCTCATTCTCTCCTATTCCCTTCTTTCTTCTTCCTCCTCTTCCTTCTTTTCTTTCTCCTCCTCCTTTCTCTCCCACCCCCCAATACCTGCTTTTAATTTTTTTTTTTTTTAAGACAGAGTCTCACTCTGTCACCCAGGCTGGTGTACAGGGCACAATCTTGGCTTACTGCAACCTCTGCCTTCCAGGTTCAAACAATTCTCCTGCCTCAGCCTCCCAAGTAGCTGGGATTACAGGTGTGCACCACCATGCCCGGCTAATTTTTGTATTTTTAGTGGAGACAGGTTTCTCCATGTTAGCCAGGCTGCTCTCGAACTCCAGACCTCAGGTGATCCACCTGCCTCGACCTCCCAAAGTGCTAGGATTACAGGCATGAACCATTGCACCTGGCCCCCTGCTTTTAATTTTGTCATACCTTAATATACCCTTTGGTTGTAAGAAACAAGGTCCTGGGCCAGTCCTGGGATAGGTTGGAAAAAAGTTAGTTAAGTGCCTCTGAATAACAAATGGGAATTTTCAGATTGGGCTTTGACACATCAAGTGGTAGAGGCCCTTGAACTACGAATCAAGAGAAGATTGGAGAAAACCTCTCAGGATGAGAAGGTGGACCCCAGTATCATGGAAGCAACTGGGAGCTTTGGCAAAGGATAAAAAATAGCAAGTTCCCTGTGGCTGAGAAAGATTCATGAACTGGAGGGCCAGCGATGATTGATCAGCCCTATTTTTTTTTTTTTTTGCAAGCAATTAAATTTTATTTTCCCCAGAATTTCCATGAAAATCTATAGCACATAAAAGCCTAAAGATGGTGATGTCTGGAGCTCATGCTTATGTTGGAAGTGAAAGGTGGGGGAAATAGGCACACATAAAGACCATCTGGAGAAGACCTGAAAACATGAGCAGAAGGAATTGGTGCTAGGTGACAGAGACCCTCCTGGAGAACTTCTGGATGAGTGCTGGGCTTTCTGCACTTATGTGGGGTCACAACATATGTGTTTTCTTAGGAAGGTGAAGAAAAAGGTAATCCAGAAGGCAAGGGAATTTAGGAACATTCCAATTACATTTGTGCGAGGGTGCTTAGGGCTGCATTATTTATATCCAGAATATCTACCCTCAGAAGGACCTGAAACTCTATTACCAATTCAGAATTCTCAAACTCACTGTCTGCCCCAGCTGGGGGAGGCAGACAGAGCTGGTCCATTCCCAGCTCCAGGCCCCTTCTGGCCTAGCCACTTTCCTCTCCAACTCTCAGATCTTTCCTGACCATGGGACAGACAAGTGTGCATCTGTGGGAACTTCTCATCCATGTGTCCAAACTCCACCTAAATTCTTGCCCGCCCCTTGGACCCAGAAGCAAGCACACCAGTGGTGTGGCCCATTCTCAGGAGAATGGACCAGGGAGGGGGCCCATGAAGGTCCAGAAAGTGAGCTTCTTATGGCAATTTGGCAGAAAATTCCAGGGTATCCACAGCACCCTTGAAGGGGAAACTGGACTCCAGGGCCTTGAAAATGCTTTGCTCAGCTGGGCGTGGTGTCTCATGCCTGTAATCCCAGCACTTTGGAAGGTTGAGGTGGGCGGATTGCCTGAGCTCAGGAGTTCAAAACCAGCCTGGGCAACATGGCGAAACCCCATCTTTACTAAAAATATACAAAATATTAGCCAGGTGTGGTGGTGCATGCCTGTAATCCCAGCTACTCAGCAGGCTGAGGCACGAGAATTGCTTGAACCCGGGAGGCAGAGGTTGCATTGATTGAGCTGAGATTGCACCACTGCACTCCAGCCTGGGCTACAGAACGAGACTCACACACACACACACACACACACACACACACACACACACAAGCACACAGAAAGAAAATGCTTTCCCCTTTGGGACGGGGCATGGACTTTGGGAGGAAGTCTCATTCAAGAAATGGATCAAATCCAAAAGAGCTTTATAAAGATAACCTTAGCCTTGTTTTCTCTGTGATTTCAGAAGTCTTGTTAAGGTACAAGGATATTTGAGGACACATATACTCAAATATACATGTCCTCCCCATATACCTTAGGGACGTATATACTAGAATTTAGCTTGCTGTGTGGGGGACTGGCTGTGTGATTGGGTCTGTGAAAGCAAATAAGGAGGGCATTAACCTAAGCGTATCTGGAACTGGAGCTCTGCAAATGAACTTAACTTGGAAACGTTTCTTGTAGCTAACAAAACAAAATAAAAACAAAAGTGAGACTTAGCCAGTCACAAACAGTTAACCAGCTGATTGGTCATACAACTTGGGACCTCCCATGGGAGCATAACCAAATAAGGCAAATGCTCCATCACACTATGCCCAAATATGGCAAACATCTAGCTGAAATCAATCAGGCAATTTCTTCACTTTGTTTCAGTGTTAGCTGCTCATACTGCTGGAACAGACCTCTTCTGGTTTTGAGTGATGCCCAATTCATAAATCTTTCTTTGATCAAGTAAACTCTATTAAATTTAATTTGTCTAAAGGTTTTCTTTTTTCTTTCTTTCTTTTTTTTTTTTTGGAGACAGAGTCTTGCTCTGTTGCCCAGCCTGGAGTGTAGTGGCACAATCTTGGACTCACTGCAACTCCTCTGCCTCCTGGGTTCAAGCCATTCTCCTGCCTCAGCCTCCTGAGTAGCTGGGACTATAGGCATGTTCCACCACACTTGGCTAATTTTTTGTACTTTTAGTAGAGACGAGGTTTCACCATGTTGGTCAGGCTGGTCTTCAACTCCTGACCTTGTGATGCGCCCGCCTTGGCCTCCCAAAGTGCTGGAATTACAGGTGTGAGCCACCGTGCCAGGCTGGTTTTCTTTTGACAAATCTAAAAGACTCTCCAATTAGAGGTTCAAGCCCTGTGACTGACCAGACCATAGTGGGCATTGCTCCTCCCTCTGGCTGCAGTGACAGCAGCATGGGGGTTCCTTCTACTTTAGAGCAACCGTCTCTGGTTATGGATGTCCCCAGGGCAAGAGCAAGGGGCATGATGGGAATGAGGTACACAGAGGCTGAGCATCTGAGTTTGGGCTCTGGCAGTGAGACATAAGCAAGCAGGACTCCCCTTGAAATGAAGTGTTTTGGGTGATTCCTAACATATTAGGGGAGATGGCCCAAGGGATATACACTGAACTTGCTGATAATCTCTGGATATTCAAGTGGAAGGCATTGCTTGCACCTCCAAGTATCATATGAGACACCTCCATTATTATTATTATTATTATTTTATTTTATTATTATTATATATTTTTTAGATGGGGTCTCACTCTGTTGCCCAGGCTAGAGTGCAGTGGCGTGATCTCAGCTCACTACAACCTCCCATCTCCAGGGTTCAAGTGATTCTTGTGTCTCAGCCTCCTGAGTAGCTGGGATTACAGATGTGTGCCACCACACCCAGTTAATTTTTGTATTTTTAGTAGAGATGGGGTTTCACCATGTTGGCCAGGCTGGCCTCAAACTCCCGTCTTCGGGTGATCTGCCCTCCTCAGCCTCCCAAAGTGCTGGGATTACAGGTGTAAACCACCACGCCCAGCCACCTCCATTACATTTTGAGGAGACTAGAACATTCACATTATTGCTCTGAAATCCTAAAATCTTCACATTGGACATTAGAGATGACTTTAAAAATCATCTCATTAAAGTCATACCTTATGTTTAAGTTTCCTTGCCTAGAGTCTTGCAGCCTGTTTCAACAGACTTGGAGACTGGGACTCACTATTTTCTGTAGCAACTCATTTTATGTTTGGAAAACATTAATAAAATGATATTTTGAAAATTAAACCTGCTGGGCACGGTGGCTCATGCCTTAATCCCAGCACTTTCGGAGGCCGAGGAGGGTGGATCACCTGAGATCAGGAGTTTGAGACCAGCCTGGCCAACGTGGCCAAACCTTGTCTCTACTAAAAAATACAAAAATTAGCTAGGGGTGGTGGCACGTGCCTGTAGTCCCAGCTACTTGGGAAGCTGAGGCATGAGAACTGCTTGAACCCAGGAGGCAGAAGTTGCAGTGAGTTGAGATCCCACCACTGCCCTCCAGCCTGAGCAACAGAGCAGACTCCGTCTCCAAGAAAAAAAAGAAAAAAGAAAAAGAAAATTAAACTTAAATTTGTCCCTGTAATGTGCCCCCTTTGGTCTAGGTTCTACATCCTGAGGCAATGCAGGCTAAGTCTAGTCTATTTCCCACAAAATACCCTTCACAAATGGAAAGGCAGCCAGCATAACTGAGATGACTCTTTTCAAAGCTCTTCAGGTTAGTTTTTTCAACTGTTCCTTGCTTGACATGTGTCAAGGCCCTTCAGTCTCCTGATGCATTTTGAAGTTGTGTTTTTTGGGAGGTTTTTTGTTGTTGTTGTTCTTGTTCTTTTTTTTTTTGTTTGTTTGTTTGTTTTTTTTTTTTGAGACGGAGTCTCACTCTGTTGCCCAGGCTGGAGTGCAGTGGCATGATCTCGGCTCACTGCAACCTCCGCCTCCTGGGTTCAAATGATTCTCCAGCCTCAGCCTCCTGAGTAGCTGGGACTACAGGCATGTGCCACCATGCCTGGCTAATTTTTTGTATTTTTAGTAGACACGGGATTTCACCATGTTAGCCAGGATGGTCTCGAAATCCTGACTTCGTGATCCGCCTGCCTCGGCCTCCCAAAGTGCTGGGATTACAGGAGTGAGCCACCGCGCCAGGCCTGGGAGGTGTTTTTTTTTCCTTTTTTCTTTTTTTTTTTTTTTTTTGAGTCAGGGTCTCACTGTGTCACCCAGGCTAGAGTGCAGTGGCACAATCTCAGCTCACTGCAACCTCCGCTTCCTGGGCTCAAGCGTTTCTCTGGCCTCAGCCTCCTGAGTAGCTGGGACTAGAAGCATAAGCCACCAATGCCAGCTAATTTTTTGTATTTTTGTAGACAGGGTTTCGCCATTGTTGCCCAGGCTGGTCTCAAACTCTTGGGCTCAAAGCAATCTACCCATCTCAGCCTCCCAAAGTGCTGGGGTTACAGATATGAGCCACTGTGTCTGGCCTGAAGTTATATCTTTTTAGAAATAGTTATCTGGGCCAGACACGATGGCTCACACCTGTAATCCCAGCACTTTGGGAGGCCAAGATGGGCGGATCACCCGAGGCTGGGAGTTCGAGACCAGCCTGACCGACATGGAGAAAACCTGTCTCTACTGAAAATACAAAAATTAGCCGGGCGTGGTGGTGCATGCCTGTAATCCCAGCTACTTGGGAGGCTGAGGCAGGAGAATCGCTTGAACCTGGGAGGCGGAGGTTGCGGTGATCTAAGATCATGCCCATTGCACTCCAGCCTGGGCAACAAGAGTGAAACTCTGTCTCCAAAAAATAAATAAATAAATAAAATAAAAATAGTTATCTACATCCAGAATTGAATATCATGCTTCTCAGTCGGCAGAGAGTGACTATCATATATTTTTCTGTTAATACTGACCAGTATCATATTGGCCTTTTTTTTCTTTCTTTCTTTTTTGGTGGAGACCTCAAATTTGGCGTAGACTGATAGAACTGCTGGCTACATTCCCTAAATTATTTTTGCATGAGGTATTGCTAAACCTGGCTTTTGCTTTGCTCAGGGCAGCTGCTATGCTGTAGTGAGACTCAAATGCCCTTAAGGGGCATTTGTCCATTCAATATCATTAAATCCATGTTTCGATTCAAGACAATCTAATGTTTTCAGTCACACGTTGTATCTTTTCATAAAGCAATGATTAAGTATCTTAAAATGTCAGAGGGTGTGCCTGATTCTCTAAAGTTTTTCTTTTTTCTTTATTTTTTTTGAGATGGAGTCTTGCTCTTGTCACCCAGGCTGGAGTGTAATGGCGCAATCTCAGCTCACTGCAACCTCTGCCTCCTGGGTTCCAGTGATTCTCCTGACTCAGCCTCTTGAGTAGCTAGGATTTTAGGCATGTGCCACCATGCCCGGCTAATTTTTTGTATTTTTAGTAGAGATGGGATTTCACCGTGTTGACCAGGCTGGTCTTGAACTGCTGACTTCAGGTGATTCACCCACCCTGGCCTCCCAAAGTTCTGGGATTACAGGCGTGAGCCACCATGCCCGGCTTAAAGTTTTAATAAATATGCTTTGTTCTGCAAATGTGGAAGAAGCATAAAAATTATAGGCATTTTTTATTTTCACTTAAAACTTAGATTCAATTTCCAAGTGTCTTTAATCTTTGAATTCTGAAGACTTAATGGATTCTTAAGAAAATATAGTATTGAGTTTAAAGACTAATTTTTGAAGACTGTCAGGAAAATTACTGTCTTTTTTTTTTTTGAGACGAAGTTTCACTCTTGTTGCCCAGGCTGGAGTGCAATGGCACGATCTCAGCTCACGCCAACCTCCGTCTCCTGGGTTTGAGCTATTCTCCTGCCTCAGCCTCCCAAGTAGCTGGGATCACAGGCATGCGCCACCACACCCAGCTAATTTTTGTAGTTTTAGTAGAGATGGGGTTTCGCCATGTTGACCAGGTTGGTCTCAAACTCCTGACCTCAGGTGATCTACCTGCCTCAGCCTCCCAAAGTGCTGGGATTACAGGCCTGAGCCACCATGCCTGGCCAGGAAATTACTTTTATTATCACAAAGACTAAGCCTTAAAATATAAAATTACAATTCACTTTTTAGTCTTTAAGAGTTCGAAAAAAGATTAACATTAAAGCAAGTGTTAGTGATGTTTAGAAAAATTTATAGAATGTTTCAAAGCACTAAGTTGTTGCCCTGTTGTCTAAGTTTGGCTTAGGTAAGCACTTGCAACCTCAGAAATCAATGCTATGTACAAAAAGCATTAGATCTAAGATGACAGTGCTTGGAATTAACAGTGCTTGGATGTTCTTACAAATAAGTGAGTTTCTGCAGTTTGGTTTTTTTTTAAAAACATATTTGGGTAATTAAAAAAATTTTACCATTAATTCAGCTGAAATTAGTTTGTTAGCCCAAAACAAATTACTTCATACTTCATCATTCTTTGGAACTGAAAATGTTCTAAATCACATTTGGACTCGAGCTGGTTGTAATCTTATCCAACATGTAATGCTAAAAAGGGAAGAATAAGAAATATTTTCAGCCAACTTTGGTGGTTATATACCTGAAATATTTCTTTGTTTTTTTTTTAGGTAATGAAATGAGTTTTTTAAAAAACTGAATAATAAGAATAAAAGTAATGGCATAAAGTAGTCACCTTGTAAAGACACTGTTTCACTCACCAGCGTGCAGATGGACAAGGCGGTATCTAGGACTGGCCCTTCCTATCCTCCTTACCTGGAGGCCAGGGTCCTGGGTGGAATTTCTGAACGTAGAATTTGCAGAGCTTGGCAGTGTTTTGTGAAATGTGAGCTGAGAAGTAAATGTGGCCCTCCTCCATCCTTTCCTGCCCTTATGTTCTGCTTTCTACTGATAGCCCAACCCAGTTGTGATTGCAATGGAAGGTGTCTTCCCCCATAGCCCTGCTCAGTGGGAGATGGCACCCAGCTTCTGTCTGGCCCAGTCTTGTTCTGGTGAGAGCTATCAGGCTAGGGAGGGCCAGGTGAGTACGAAGAGCTGCCGGGTAGGGAGGTGGAAAAAGCTTTGCTGGGAAAGGGGGTTGCCGTTTCTGATAGACAAGCAATGTGTGGTATGCTAACCGCTCTGTGAGTGGGATAGGGGAGAGTCGCCAGACAAGGACAATTAGCAAGGCACCTCAGCGGAGCAGTGAACCGCCCTCTCATACATGGAGACTGAACAGCCTCTGGGAGCTGACCTCCACTGACAGGAGGCTTCCTTGTTCCTGACCAACACCGATGCTCTTTCTCTGCTCATGTCTTCCTGTGTGGTCTCTCCTCTCTTTCTCTTCTTAGCGACAGTGGAATGTTAATTTGGTCTGGGAGAGCAGGAAATACTGTAAATGTGTATCTGAATATCCCTGTCTTCATCTAGACCAGTGCCTTTCTAATTCCAACATACCAGTAATGGAATCCTTCCCCTAAGCAAAGGATAACTCATCTCTAGCTTACTTTGAAGCTTTCTACAACTAATTAATTGACTTTAGAGAGAATGGCCGTGAATAACCTGTAATTAATAAAAAACCAGGCTGGGCCCGGTGGCTCACGCCTGTAATCCCAACACTTTGGGAGGCTGAGGCAGGCGCATCACCTGAGGTTGGGAGTTCGAGACCAGCCTGCCCATCATAGTGAAACCCTGTCTCTACTAAAAATACAAAATTAGCCAGGCATGGTGGTGGGCACCTGTAATCCCTGCGACTTGGGAGGCTGAGGCAGGAGAATCGCTTGAACCCAAAGAAGCCAAGGTTGCAGTGAGCCAAGATCACGCCACTGCACTCCAGCCTGGGCAACAGAGCTGTCTCAAAAACAAAACAAAACAAACAAAACCCAACAAACTAAAATTATTTACCATGAAAAGGAAATAAGCTGGGCACAGTGGCCCACGCCTGTAATCCCAGAACTTTGGGAGGCTGAGGCAGGCAGATCACGAGGTCAGGAGATCAAGACGATCCTGGCCAATATGGTGAAACCCCATCTCTACTAAAAGTACAAAAATTGGCCAGGTGCAGTGGCTCATGCCTGTAATCCCAGCACTTTGGGAGGATGAGGTGGGCGGATCACCTGAGGTGAGGAGTTCAAGACCAGTCTGACCAACATGGAGAAACCCCTTCTCTGCTCAAAATACAAAATTAGCCGGGCGTGTTGGCACATGCCTGTAATCCCAGCTACTCGGGAAGCTGAGGCAGGAGAATCGCTTGAACCCGGGAAGCGGAGGTTGTGGTGAGCCGAGATCGTGCCATTGCACTCCAGTCTGGGCAACAAGAGCGAAACTCTGTCTCAAAAATAAATAAATAAATAAGTAAATACATACATACATACATACAAATACAAATACAAATACAAAAATCAGCTGGACATGGTGGCGCGTGCCTGTAGTCCCAGCTACTCGACAGGTGAGGCAGGAGAATCGCTTGAACCCAGAAGGCAGAGGTTGCAGTGAGCAGAGATCGCACCATTGCACTCCAGCCTGCCGACAGAGTGAGACTCCGTCTCGAAAAAAAGAAAAAAGAAAGGGAGATAAAAACCAAACCAAAACCAAAACGAAAAACTAAAATTATTTATAAGGGTAGTTCCTTTAGGTTCTATACTTCAGTACGATGAAGGAATACCCATAAAAATGAAAGTAACACATTTATAATTAAGTATGTTACAAAATATCTGCAATACTTGGGGAAAATGTTAGTTAAGTGTGGTTAATGTTTATCTCTATCTGTTTTAATTCCTATTAGTGGAATGAAGTTGTTCGAGTGTCACCAATGGGCCCATGCTAGCAAATGTAATAATGGCTCCTTTCCTGTTTTCTTGGCAGTATTTAACTAGTTGGCTATACATTCTTTTTTTTTTCCTATAACCTCATATTAGAAGTGATCACTCTCATTTTGTTTCTTTTTTCCAAAAATTATATACACACACAGTGTAGAGTCAAAAAATTCCATAGTTTGTTATAAAGAAAAATCCCAGCTGCTCCTCACCATCCCAACCAGTCACCCCGCCTACATCCCACTTCAATTTCCCATTTCCCAGATCAATGCTTTTAACTACTTTTGCTCATTCTTTTGATACTTACCATGTCTCTAAATAATATGCTTATAATACCACTTCTTGAATTTCCCCTTTTGGGTGTTATCTAGTGATTTCACAGTATGGGAGATGAAGAATTAATATGGGCTCTTACACACACACACACACACACAGACACACACACACTGGCCTTGGTATACAAGTCTATTTTTCATTCCCTTTGTCTCAAAATAAAGTTACCTGTAAAAGTAATTACAAAAATATTCAGCAGCCAGCCGCAGTGGCTCACGCCTGTAATCCCAGCACTTTGGGAAGCCAAGGTAGGTGGACTGCTTGAGGTCACAAGTTTGAGACCAGCCTGGCCAACGTGGTAAAACCCCATATCTACCAAAAATGCAAAAATTAGCTGGGCTTGGTGGCGTGTGCCTGTAATCCCAATTACTTGGGAGGCTGAGGCAAGAGAATTGCTTGGACCTGGGAGGCAGAGGTTGCAGTGAGCCAAGATCGTGCCATTGCACTTCAGCCTGGGTTATAGAGCAAGACTCTGTCTCAAAGAAAAAGAAAAAAATTCGGCATTTCAATGTTATGACTATGTAAACATTATCCACTGCTAGGCCAAGTGGTATCCTGTGAATATTCTCCCTCTTCTGTGGAACATTCCTCCCTGCCCCACCTTCACTCCCATACCCCATACTTAACTTTTTCCTCCATTTGCATAATTTTCTCTGAATAGTACTTTTTACCAGCTTAATCCTAAACTTTCTCCTAGTTTTGAAATTCTTGTTTCAGTAAGATCAAATACATTAGGCACTCAGTCAGTTCCTTCTCTGTAAAGAAATCTTTCCTGCAGCTTCCCAATGGGTTCTAGTCAGGATAGGTGACCCTCAGCTGTTCTGAGCAGCTCTTGCCCTGAGAATCTTCCAATATCATCTTTCTGGAGAATCCTTTTGCCTCCCTATTGTGTTGGATCCTTGTTTCCCAGATCCTATACCTTCCTCAGTCTTTATTTAGTCTTTTTTTTTTTTTTCTTTTTGAGACAGAGTCTCGCTCTGTCACCCAGGCTGGAGTGCAATGGTGCGATCTCAGCTCACTGCAACCTCCACCTTCTGGGTTCAAGTGATTCTCCTGCCTCAGCCTCCCGAGTAGCTGAGACTACAGATGTGTACCACCATGCCCGGATAATTTTTGTATTTTTAGTAGAGATGGGGTTTCACCATGTTGGCCAGGCTGGTCTCAAACTCCTGACCTCAAGTGATCTGCCCATCTCATCCTCCCAAAGTGCTGGGATTACAGGCATGAGCCACCAGGCCCAGCCTCTTTTAATTTAGTAAAGCCACATCCTCCCATAGACTCCTGAGACTGAGTGGGTCAGTAGTTCCTTCTTTTTACTGCTGTATGTTGCTCCATTGTGTAACTATATCACATTTTGGTTTTCTTTTATTGTTGATGGGCTTTTGGATTGTTTCCAGTTTGAGGCTATTACAAATAGTGCTACATGGCCAGGCGCGGTGGCTCATGCCTGTAATCCCAGCACTTTGGGAGGCTGAGGTGGGTGGATCACCTGAGGTCAGGAGATCGAGACCATCCTGGCAAACATGGTGAAACCCCATCTCTACTAAAATACAAAAAATTAGCCGGGTGTGGTGGCATGCGCCTGTAGTCGCAGCTACTTGGGAGGCTGAGACAGGGGAATCGCTTGAACCCGGGAGGCGGAGGTTGCAGTGAGCCGAGATCGTCCCAATGCACTCCAGCTTGGTGACAGAGCAAGACTCCGTCTCAAGAAAAAAAAAAGGTAGTGCTACCATGAAAATTTTAGCACGTCTTTTGGCATCTAATTATATAATAATTTTTTTTTTTTTGAGACAGAGTTTCACTCTTGTTGCCCAGGCTGCAGTGCAATGGCGCGATCTCGGCTCACCGCAACCTCTACCTCCTGGGTTCAAGCAATTCTCCTGCCTCAGCCTCCTGAGTAGCTGGGATTACAGGCACCTGCCACCACGTCCGGCTAATTTTGTCTTTTTAGTAGAGACAGGGTTTCTCTATGTTGGTCAGGCTGGTCTTGAACTCCTGACCTCAGGTGATCCACCCACCTCGGCCTCCCAAAGTGCTGGGATTACAGGCGTGAGCCACCATGCCCAGCCTATAATAATTTTTTGTTGGTGTATACTTAGGTGTGAAATTTCTGGTATAAGATATATATATATATATATATATATATATATATATATATTCAGATTTAGTAGATATTGCCAGGAAGTTTTCCTAAGTTGTTGGACTAAGTTATAGTCCCACCAGGAATGTATGAGAATCCAAATTCCTCTACAGCTTCACCAGCACTTCATATTTTCTGCCTTGCTTCCATGTTTGAAGGTTGTAGAAGTTTATGTTTTTTTATTTTTAAAAAGCATATCTCTTCTTTTTCATTTTTAACATTTTTATTGAGATATAATTTACACATCGTAAAGGTACCCATGTATTTATTTATTTATTTATTTGAGACAGGGTCTGGGTCTGTGCCCAGGCTAGAGTGAAGTGGCGCTATCTCAGCTCACCGCAACCTCTGGCTCCTCCCACATCAGCCTCCCAAGTAGTTGGGACTACAGGCGTGCGCCACCACCCCAGCTAATTTTTGCTTTTTTTTTTTTTTTTGGTAGAGATGGTGTTTGGCCATGTTGCCCAGGTTGGTCTTGAATTCCTAGGTTTAAGTGATCCACCCACCTCAGCCTCCCAAAGTGCTGAGATTATAGGTGTGAGCCACCATGCCCGGTCCAAAGGTAACCGTTTAAAATATATAATACAAATTCAATTTAGTATAATCACAGAGCTGTGCCATCATCACCACAACGTGATTTTAGAACATTTTTGTCACTCCAAAAGACCATACCCATTAGCAGTCACTCTATTTCCCTTCCCTCACAGCTCCTGATAACCACTATTCTGCTCTCTCCATCTATGATTTGGACTATTCTGAGTGTCTCATATAATTGGCCTCACACAATATTTGCCCTTTTCTGTCTGGCTAATTTCAGTTAGCATGTTTTCAAGGTTAATTCATGTTGTAGCATGTATTGGTACTTCATTCTTTTTCATCAGTGAATGATATTTTATTGTATGGATATATCACATTTTGTTTATCGGTTGATGGACATTTGGGTTATTTTTACTTTTTTGCTATTATTAATAGTGCTTCTATGAACATTCATGTACAAGTTTTTGTGTGTACATATGTCTTCCACATATTTCTCTTGGATAGATGCTTGGGAGTAGAGTTGCTGGGTCATATAGGAAGTCTATGTTTAGCATTTTGAGGAACTGAAAAACCGTTTTCTAAAGTGGTTGCATCATTGTACAGTCCCACTAGCAATGTCTGAGGATTTCAATTTCTCCACATCTTCAACAATATCTGTTATTATCTATCTTTTTTGTTACAGCTATTCCAGGATGTATTAGTCAGCTTGAGCTGCCATAACAAAATATCATAGATTGGCTGGGCATGGTGACTCACACCAGTAAACCCAGCACTTTGGGAGATCGAGGTGGATGGATCACCTGAGGTCAGGAGTTCGAGACCAGCCTGGCCAAACTGGTGAAACCCTGTCTCTACTAAAAATACAAAAAATATTAGCCAGGTGTGGTGGCGCACACCTGTAATACCAGCCACTTGGGAAACTGAGGCAGGAGAATTGCTTGAACCCAGGAGACGAGATGGAGGTTGCAGTGAGCCAGATCCCACCACTGAACTCCAGCCTGGGCGACACTGCAAGACTCTATCTTAAAAAAAACAAAAAAACAAAAAAACAAAAACACAAAAACAAAAACACACCATAAACTGGGTGGCTTAAACAGGAATTTCTCACGTTCTGGAGGTTAGGACGTCCAAGATCAAGGTATCAGTTTGACTCCAGGTGAGGGCTGTCTTCTTGCAGGACCCTATCCTTATGACCTAATTAACCCTAATTACTTTCATAAAGGCTCTATCTCCAAATACTATCTCATTGGGGGTTAGGGTTTCAACATATGAATTTTGTGGGGCCACAATATGTAGACCATAACATAGAAAGTATAAAGTGGCATCTCATGTTTTTGATTTGTATTCCCCTAGGAGTAATGATGTTGTGTATCTTTTCACGTGTTTATGAGCCATTCATATATCTTCTTTGGAGAAATGTCTATTCAAATCCTTCGTTATTGTTACATTTAGTTTTTGTCTTTTTATTATTTGAACAGTAAGTCCTTTGTATATTCTGGATAAATTCCCTTAACAGATACATGATTTGCAAATATATATATATATATATATATATTTTTTTTTTTTTTTTTTTGAGACAAAGTCTCCCTCTGTCACCCAGGCTGGAGTGCAGTGGCGTGATCTCAGCTCACTGCAGCCTCCGCCTCCTGGGTTCACACCATTCTCCTGCCTCATCCTCCCGAGCAGTTGGGATTACAGGCGCTGGCCACCACGCCTGGCTAATTTTTTGTATTTTTAGTAGAGACGGAGTTTCACCGTGTTAGCCACGATGGTCTCGATCTCCTGACTTTGTGATCCACCCACTTCGGCCTCCCAAAGTGCTGGGATTACAGGCTGAGAAACACATATTTTCTAAAGTAATCATTTTTAATTATAAAATGTCACAAAAACACAAACTTCTGCAAATACTGGAATTACCAAAAAAGCAAAGAAAACAAATTACATTGTGAAAGAATTAAATTATGAAAACAGAAAACATAAAAGAAAATCATAGAACCAAGACCAGATATGTCTATTATATCAAACAATCAGGCCAGGTGCAGTGGCTCACACCTGTAATCCCAGCACTTTGGAAGGCCCAGGTGGACAGATCGCTTGAGCCCAGGAGTTTGAGACCAGCCTGGGCAATATAGGGAGATACTGTCTCTGCAAAAAAATGAAAAAAATTAGCTAACCATGGTGGTCTACACCTGTAGTCCCAGCTACTCAGGAGGCTGATGTGGGAGGATCTCTTGAGCCTGGGAGCCAAGATTGCCTTACTGTACTCCAGCCTGGGTGACAGAGTGAGACCTTGTCTCAAAACAAAAAACAAAAACCCTGAACAAAATTTACATAGTAGAAATAATATATGTCACATTTTCTAATTGCAATGTGATAATAGTAGACTTACAGTATCACAAAATAACAAGGTTCTTCTATCCAAATGTGTAAAGAAAACAAATACTCTCTTACATAACTCTTGGTTCAAGAGGGATATTCTATACTAGGTAGCCATAACTTGTAAATGAAAATGATGCACTAAAAATTAAAGCACACCGAAGTTCTTGAATTGTTCAGGAGGTGAACAGAATCATCAGTTTTTGACTTTGTCAAATAACATGTGAGTATCTAAAAATTTGGGGATTGCCAGTGAGAAAAATAAATAGCATGTGTAATTTCTAAACTAGTAGAAGCAAATGGAGCCCTAAAGAAAAATTTAGCAGTATGGCAGAAAGGCAGAAGTCAGAAAAATTTAGCAGAAGGCAGAAAGGAGTGGGGAGAAAAGCAAAGAAAGTAAACAGAATTTATAGAAATAAGTCCAAATATATCAAGAATAATGATACATTTGGCCAGGCATGGTAGCTCACGGCTGTAATCCTCAGTGCTTTGGGAGGCCAAGGCGGGCAGATCACTTGAGGTCATGAGTTCGAGACCAGCCTGGCCAACATGATGAAACCCTGTCTCTACAAAAACTACAAAAATTAGCCCGGCGTGGTGGTGCATGCCTGTAATCCCAGCTACTAGGGAGGCTGAGGCAGGAAAATCGCTTAAACCGAGGAGACGGAGGTTGCAGTGAGCTGATATTGCACCACTGCACTCCAGCCTGGGCAACAGAACGAGACTCCATCTCAAAAAAAAAAAAAAGTTACTAAGGTTTAAACTACATTATTAACAAGCTAGATTAAATGGACATGTATAGAACCCTGCACCAACAGTTAGAGAACTCACATTCTTTTCAGGCACATGGAACATTTTCAAAATTGACATAGTAGGCCATGAAGCAAATCTCAACAAAGTTTGAGGAATCTATTTCAAACAACCAAATAGTTTGAACAAATATAATGAAATTTGAAAATAATAATTAAGTGCCAGCCAATTACCTTATACATTTGGAATATTTAAAATACTTTTTAAAGTAAGCAGTGAGAGGTGGGAGGATCACTTGAGACTGGGAGTTTGCAACTGTCTTGGGCAATATAGCAAGACCCCATCTCTACAAAAATAAAAAATAAACAAGGAATGAAAGAATAAATAGAAATGTAAAAACAAACAAACAAATAAATAAAGAAGTTTAAGTCAGGCTGTATTTTGAACTTACCAACAATGAGAACACTACTCACTAAAATTTGTCAGATGCAGTTGAGAAAGGATTTGGAAAGAACCAATAGTCTTAAGATGCATACATTAGAAAATAGAAAATATTAACAAATAAATAAACTAAATATCCAATGCAAGTTAGAAAAAAAAAAACCAGAGTCATCCCAAGTAAAAGGCTGGAAATAAGATAGCAGTAGAAGTTAATGAAATAGAAAGCAAAGAAGCAAGGCCGGGTGCGGTGGCTCACGCCTGTAATCCCAGAACATTTGTAGGCTGAGACAGGTGCATCACTTGAGGCCAGGAGATCAAGACCAGCCTGACCAACATGGTGAAACCCCATCTCTACTAAAAATACAAAAATTATCTGGGCATGGCAGCATGCACCTGTAATCCCAGCTACTGGGGAGGCTGAGGCAGGAGAATCACTTGAGCCTAGGAGGCGGAGGGTGCAGTGAGCCGAGATCGTGCCATTGCACTCCAGCCTAGGCAACAGAGTGAGACTCTGTCTCAAACAAAAAAAGAAAGCAAGGAAGCAATAGGAAGTATAAATAAAATCGAGGCTGAATCTCTACAAAGACCAGTAACGTAGACTATCATCTGGTGAAGCTGGGCACAGTGGCTCACACCTGTAATTCCAGCACTTCGGGAGGCCAAGGCAGGTAAATCAACTGAGGTCAGGAGTTTGAGACCAGCCTGCCCAACATGGTGAAACCCGGTCTCTACTAAAAACACAAAAGTTAGCTGGGCTTGGTGGTGTGCACCTGTAATCCCAGTTACTTGGGAGGCTGAGGCTGGGGAATCGCTTGAATCTGGGAGGCAGGGGTCATAGTGAGCCGAGATTTCACCACTGCCCTCCAGCCTGAGCAACAGGAGACTCTCTCCGGAGGAAAAAAAAAAAAAAAAAAAAAAAAAAAAAAAAACCTCATCTGGTGAAATTTTTCAAGGAAAATGAGAGTTGAGGCAGAAGTAAATAATATTAGGAAGGAAAAACAGGATATAACGTAGAGAGTTTAAAAAATTCAAAAGATAAAAACTATGGACAACTGATGCCATTACATTCAATTACTTTGGCCAAATGATTAACTTTCTAGAATAATTCAAGTTAATAAACTCACTCAAGCTGATTAAACAAACTTGTAATTGTTAAAGTAGCAGGATCAACATTTAAGAATATACCCAGGGAAAGCATCAAGGCCAGAAAATTTTACAGATGAGTTTTGTCAAGCTTCAAAGATCTGATAATTCTTATTATCTACAAATGTTTCCAAATACTAGAGAAACAGAAAACTTACTCATGATGCTTAATGTGTAATTTTGATATCAAAACTTGAGAAGAAAGTCATGAAAAAAGAAGATTATAGCTCATTATTGGTTATACACATAGAAGCAAACATCCTAAATAAAACATCTATAAATAAAATCCAGCAATATGTGACTAAGTAGACATTATCCCAGGGATGTAAAGATGGTTTAAGATGAGAGAATCTATTAATATAATATACCACACTAACAAATTAAAGGACAAAAACTCATTTTAATCAACATAAAAAGGGCACTGACAAATTTTGATACTTCTTCAAGATTAACAACAACAAAAAATTAACCAAAAAAAAAAAAAAACAATTAGCTAAAAATCTGTTTCTTAACCTGATAATAGTAATCTCCAAAAACCTACAGCAACCATCATACTTAATAGTGAAATAGTAGAAATATTCTTATTAATGCCTGGAATGAGAAAAGGATGTTTGCTGTCACTGCTTCTATTCAACATTGAACTGAAGATCCTAGACTATGCAAGAAGTCAAGAAAAAAAGTGTAAGGATTAAAAAGGTTAAAACAAATTCATCATTATATATAGAAAGTATAACTCTCCACATAGAATATTAAGAATATATATGGGAAAACTATTAAAAATAGTAGGAGAATTTGACAAGGTTGCTGGGTAACAGACTAAAGCAAAAAACAAAACAAGGTGACAGAGGGGAGTTTCTGTATATCATTGTAAACAAAAATAAAATGCAACTTTTGATCACTATCAGCTACAGATTTCTTGGTTCCTTCTCTACTCCCAGTGCTTCACTTGACTAGCCTAAAAACAAAAAAAGAAAAAGAAAAAAGGAAAGATAATTCAACTTTTTTTTTTTTGAGATGGAGTCTTGCTCCGTTGCCCAGACTGGAGTGCAATGGCACCATCTCAGCTCCCTACAACCTCCGCCTCCCAGGTTCTAGAGATTCTCCTGCCTTAGTCTCCCAAGTAGCTGGGATTACAGGTGCCCGCCACCATGCCCAGCTACTTATTTTTTTTTAGTAGATACGGGGTTTTGCCATGTTGGCCAGGCTGGTCTCAAATTCCTGACCTCAGTTGATCCGCCTACCTTGGCCTCCCAAAGTGCTGAGATTACAGACATGAGCCGCTGCGACTGGCCGAAAATGTAACTTTTTTTTTTTTTTTTTTTGAGACAGAGTTTTGCTCTTGCTGCCCAGGCTAGAGTGCAATGGCATGATCTCGGCTCACTGCAACCTCTACCTCCCAGGTTCAAGCGATTCTCCCGCCTCAGCCTCCTGAGTAGCTGGGATTACAGACACGTACCACCAGGCCTGGCTAATTTTGCATTTTTAGTAGAGATGGGGTTTCTCCATGTTGGTCAGGCTGGTCTCGAACTCCCGACCTCTGGTGATCTGCCCGCCTCGGCCTCCCAAAGTGCTGGTATTACAGGTGTGAGCCACTGTGCCCAGCCCAAACATAACTTTTTAAATAGTTTGAATAGAATTTTTCCTTTTTTCCCCAATTACTGCAGCTAAGGCCAAAAGTGAAGTAAAAGGCACTAAGTTCCACACATTTTAAAATCGGCAGACTGCAACATGTGGAGATAATTATGTCCCAGAGGGCTTATTGAGATGAGCCAGAACCAGATCTTCCATCACTCACTCTCCAATCAGTCAATAAAAAGTAAGCACTTAGAAGAAAGTTTAGGGACTGTATTTGTCAGCTTTTGCTGCAGCAACAAACATTCCTTAAATCTCAGTGGCTTACAACATCAGATATTTATTTCTTGTCTGCAGTAGAGAATGACAGTGAGTTGGCTGTAGGTCTGCTGAACTCACTGGATTTTTGTGTTTGCTCATCTTCTCTTTCAAAGACCCAGGCTGAAGAAACAGCCACTGTCTGGAACATGCTGTTTTCATGGAGGAAAGCAAAAATTCAAGAGAAGAAAAACCAGCCCACTCAAGTGTTTTTGCTTGAGACAGAGGCTTATTCTGTCACCCAGGCTGGAGTGCAGTGATGTGATCATGACTCAATGTAGCCTCGACCTCCTGGGCTCAAGCAATCCTCCCACCTCAGCCTCCCGAGTAACTGGGACTACAGGTGCAGGCCACCACCCCTGGCTAATTTATTATTTTTTGTAGAAACAAGATGTCCCTATGTTGCCCAGGCTGGTCTTGTACTCCCGGGCTCAAGCAGTCCTCCTGCCTCAGCCTCCTAAAGTGTTGGGATTATAGGCATGAACCACCCAGCCCAGCTCACTCAAGTGTTTTTTTTTTTTGTTTTGTTTTGTTTTGTTTTGTTTTTTTTAGACGGAGTCTCGCTCTGTAGATGGAGTCTCGCTCTGTTGCTCAGGCTGGAGTGCAGTGGTGTTATCTCGGCTCACTGCAACCTTCGCCTCCCGGGTTCAAGCAATTATCCTGCCTCAGCCTCCTGAGTAGCTGGGATTATAGGCATGCACACCACATCCAGCTAATTTTTGTGTTTTTAGTAGAGATGGGGGTTGTCTCACCATGTTGGCCAGGCTGGTCTCGAACTCCTGGCCAGTCTCGAACTCCTGGCCAGTCTCGAACTCCTGGCCTCATGTTGATCTTCCCACCTTGGCCTTCCAAAGTGCTGGGATTATGGTGTGAGCCACTGTGCTAGTGAAGTTTTTTTTTTTTTTTTAACTGCTTGAATAAAGAGAAAAACAAAAACAAAAACAAAAAAAAGAAAAAAACTTCTGCTTGAGGGTGGCATACATTATATCCATTCACATGAACAAAGCAAATCACATGGCCAAGCCAAAGTATAAGCTAGGGAGAGTCCAGTCAGCTAGAGAAGAATGGAAAGGACAAGAGGAAAACAAATGAGAGTAAACAAATAATATAATCTACCCCATTAGCCTTTGGGGGAGTAAAGGCTCCTGCGGATAAACTATATCCTTTCCACATGCAGGGAAAAAAGAACGTATTTATCTTCTTCAAAGACAAGAGGAGGCCAGGCATGGTGGCTCACGCCTGTAATCCCAGCACTTTAGGAGGCCGAGGTGGGCGGATCACCAGAGATCAGGAGTTCAAGACTAGCCCGGCCAACATGTTGAAACCTCGTCTCTAATAAAAACACAAAAACTAGCTGGGCATTGTGGTGGCTGCCTGTAATCCCAGCTACTCAGGAGGCTGAGGCAGGAGAATCGCTTGAACCTGGGAGGTGGAGGTTGCAGTGAGCCGAGATGGCACCACTGCACTCCAGTCCAGGTGACAGAGTGAGATTCTGTCTTTTTATTATTATCATTATTTTTTTAAAGAATCTTTAAATACTGAGACTAGTTGCAAAAACATTTGCAGACTGGCATTGTAATCAGCTGGATGTGTTTATACAGTGGATGACCTGCTCTTCTTTGCTTCATGAGCAAGGGGAAATAAAATATGAAAGAGATGGCATGTGGGAGGACTGCCAGAAAGAGAGAAGGCCAGGATTGTGCCCCTGCCCCCACCTCATTCAAGTCTCCAGACAGTCAATACATCCAGGAAATGTCCATTAGCCTGAGAGTTTGTCATGAATTTTGAATAAAATAGAAGACCATCAAGAACCAGATTGCTACAGATTGGGAAGCACAGAGACAAGAACCTCCGAGGGATGTGAATGAGTGCCACTGACTGGGGATCACCCTGAAGATACCACCGAATCAGGTAAAGGGTCACCAATGCTTGGTGAACTGAACTGAGGAAGGTGGCATGTTTCCTGTTTTATTGGCACACATAGAAAACGAAATGGAGCTGGGCACAGTGGTTCAGGCTTGTAATCCCAGCACTTTGGGAGGCCGAGGTGGGTGGATCACCTGAGGTTGAGTGTTCAAGACCAGCCTGGTCAACATGGTGAAACCCTATCCCTACTAAAAATACAAACATTAGCTACGTGTGGTGGTGCACACCTGTAATCCCAGCTAATTGGGAGGCTGAGGCATGAGAATTGCTTGAACCCAGGAAGCGGAGGCTACAGTGAGCTGAGATTGTACCACTGCACTCCAGCCTGGGCAACAGGTAAGATCCTGTGTCAAAAAAAAAAAAAAAAAAAAAAGGCCAGGCATGGTGACTCATGCCTGTAATCCCAGCACTTTGGGAGGCCAAGGCAGGCAGATCACCTGAGGTCAAGAGGTCGAGACCAGCCTGGCCAACATGGTGAAACCCCATCTCTAATAAAAACAAAGATTAGCCAGCTGTGGTCGTGGGTGCCTGTAATCCTAGCTGCTTGGGAGGCTGAGGCAGGAGAATGCTTGAACCTGGGAGGCAGAGGTTGCAGTGAGCCAAGACTGCGCCATTGCACTCCAGCCTGGGCAACAAGAGTGAAACTCTATCTAAAAAATAAAATAAAATAAAATGGAATGGAAAGGCAGGTACAGAGGCACATACCTGTCATTCCAGTGATTTGGGAGGCTGAGGCAAGAGGATCACTTGAGCCTAGAAGTTCAAGGTCAGCCTAGGAAACAGAGAAACCCTGTCAATTAAAAAGAAAAGAAAAGAAAATGAAATAGAAGAGTAGTTATCATCAGCCAAGGAGAGGATTTCAGCCTCATCCAGTTGAGTAAAGAGAAATTTGCCCATTGTCCTTTCCTTTCTGCCCTGTGTGAAGGATTCAATGTGCTGAGGCAGCGAGAGGGAAAGGTATAAAAGAACAGATGTTGCTGTTTCCATGCCCTCCTGCTAGCCTCTCCACATACACAGATTTTAAGCTGCAGAGTCAAACAAATCGATACAGGAGAAAAAGGAAGATAGAATTAAATGGAGTTTGAGATTACCATCTTTAAAAAGTGTTAAATATTGGCCGGGCATGGTGGCTCATGCCTGTAGTCCCAGCCCTTTGAGAGGCCAAGGCGGGCAGATCACCTGAGGTCAGGAGTTCGAGACCAGACTAGTTAACATGGTGAAACCCCATTTGTACTAAAAATACACACACACAAAAATTAGTTGTGTATGGTGGTGCACACCTGTAATCCCAGCTATTTGGGAGGCTGAGGCAGGAGAATCACTTGAACCCAGGAGGCAGAGGTTGCAGTGAGCCAAGATCGCACCATTGCACTCCAGCTTGGCAACAAGAGCGAAACTCCGTTTCAAAAAAAAACAAAAAAGTGTTAAATATGAAAACGAAACTATTCTGATCATTGAAAGTAACTGAAAACTATGGAATCTGGGCATTATGTTGCTATCTAGCAGAGAAGGAGGACTTTATATACTAGAATGTAGGGACATCCCATGGGAAGGAAATTTTATTATTTTTATTTTTATTTTTTGAGACTGAGTCTCGCTCTGTCACCTAGGCTGGAGTGCAGTGGCATGATCTCAGCTCACTGCAACCTCCACCTCCCAGGTTCAAGCAATTCTCCTGCCTCAGCCTCCTGAGTAGCTGGGATTACAGGTATGTGCCACCATGCCTGGCTAATTTTTGTATTTTTAGTAAGGACGGGGTTGGCCAGGCTGATCTTGAACTCCTGACCTCAAGTGATCGGCCTGCCTCGGCCTCCCAAAGTGCTGAGATTACAGGTGTTAGCCACCATGCCCGGCCAGGAAGGAAACTTTTATATTTAGAACCCTGTGAATTACTAACCAGGTAATAAGTTTAAGATATTTTAAAAACTGATACTACATCCTAATTGTAAGGTCCTCTGAGCGGGGTACACCATGGTCGAGCCATTGTGACCTCTGTGACCCACACATACAGGCCTCCTGGAGTCACAAAGCCTGGAGCAACAGGAGAACCACTAAAGAAGAAGAAACAGCTAGTTACTGCCTTAACTGATTAACCGACCTTGCAACATTCCCATTGTGATATGTTCCCGCCCTACCCTAGCTAATCGATCGACCTTGTGATATCATGCCTTGTGACCTCCCCCAAACCTCGTGACTATGCACCTTTTGACATTCTTCCCCTGCCCCTCCAAAAAACTGCCCCTAACTGTAACTTTCCACTACCTACCACAAACCTATAAAACCAGTTCCACTCCCACCACCCTTCGCTGACTCTCTTTTTGGACACAGCCTGCTCACACCCAAGTGAATAAACAGCCTTGTTGCTCACACTTAGTCTGTTCAGGGTGTCTCTTCACTTAGATGCGTGCATAACACTAATAAGAGTGTCATTGATGATTACAATAAACTGTATCAGATAATTAAGACAACATTTAAAAAAATAAAGCTTCTTATAGATTATAAAATTTTATTGCAGGACATAAAAAAATACTTAAATGGAGAAGTAGACGATGTTCATGGATGAGGAGAATCAATATGATAAATATGGAAATTATCCCCAAATTAATTTATTGAGTTAAAGCAATTATTGCCACAATTGCTGCAGCACTCTTTCCTTTATTTATTTATTTATTTTTTTCTTTTTTTTGAGATTGAGTATCACTCTGTCACCCAGGCTGGAGTGTAGTGGTGCAATCTCGGCTCACTGCAACCTCTGCCTCCTGGGTTCAAGCAATTCTCCTGCCTCAGCCTCCCTAGTAGCTAGGATTACAGGCGAGCACCACCATGCCTAGCTAATTTTTTGTGTGTTTTTAGTAGAGATGCAGTTATGCCACGTTGGCCAGGCTGGTCTTGAACTCCTGACTTCAGGTGATCCACCCTTCTCAGCCTCCCAAAGTGCTGAGATTATACACGTGAGCCACCGTGCCTGGCCGCACTTTTTCCTTAATTCGGCATGTTGACCTTAAAATTCGTATGGAACACACCTGTAATCTCCGCACTTTGGGAGGCGGAGGAGGGCGGATCACCTGAGGTCAGGAGTTGGAGACCAGCCTGGCCAACATGGTGAAACCTCGTCTCTACTAAAAATACAAAAATTAGCCGGGCATGGTGGTGCATGCCTGTAATCCCAGCTACTTGGGAGGTTGAGGGAGGAAGATCACTTGAACCTAGGAGGTAGAGGTTGCAGTGAGCCAAGATTGTGCCACTGCACTCCAGCCCAGGCAACAAGAGTGAAACTCTGACTCAAAAAAAAAAAAAAAAAATATATATATATATATTCATATGGTATACATATATATATTCATATGGTATATATATATTCATATGGTATATATAGTATATGGTGTGTGTGTGTGTATATATATATATTCATATGGTAAGGACAAAAGAAAAACCAAAAAGAAGAAAAATTAGAAGAAGGAATTCACCTGAACAGACACAGAATCTTTTATTAAAACTTGGAGTAATTAAAACAGCATGGAATGAAAACAGGGGATTGAAAAAGTTTCGAATATTGTACTTTAAAAAAGCAGTCTGTATTTTTAGTAGAAATGGGGTTTCACCATGTTGGCCAGGATGGTCTCGATCTCTTGACCTCATGATCTGCCCGCATCAGTCTCCCAAAGTGCTGGGATTATAGGCGTGAGTTACTTGGGAGGCTGAGGTAGGAGAATTGCTTGAACCCGGGAGGCAGAAGTTGCAGTGAGCTGAGATCGTGCCACTGCACTCCAGCCTGGCGACAGAGTGAGACTCCATCTCAAAACAACACCACCACCACCACCACCACCAGCCTGGATGCAGGCCTTACATATGTGGGAACTTAATATATCATAGAAGTGGTCTTACAAACTACTGGTCTATTTAGTATATGTGGTGGACAATGAGAGAAAAATATTCCAGAGGTTGAGATCATGGGCTTTAGAGCAAATCTACCAAAGATTGACAGCTGACTCTGCTGCTTAATAGCTGCATTACTTCAGGCAAGTTACTTAACATATTTGTGCCTCTGGTTTTTTTGTGTATGTGTATTATTGTTTTTCAGACAGGGTCTCTCTCTGTCACTCAGGCCAGAAGGCAGTGGCGCAATCTCAGCTCACTGTAACCTCCGCCTCCCGGGTTCAAGTGATTCTCATGCATCAGCCCCCCCGAGTAGGTGGGATTACAGGCATGTGCCACCATGTCTAGCTAATTTTTGTATTTTTCATAGAGACAGGGTCTTACCGTGTTGGCCAGGCTGGTCTCGAACTCCTGTCCTCAAGCAGTCGCCCACCTTGGGCTCCCAAAGTGCTGGGAGAACAGGCCTGAGCCACTGCACCTGGCCTGTTTCTCTATTTTTTTTTTTAACCTATAAGCAAGGATAATGTTATTATTTCCTCATGAAGTTGTGAGAATGTAATGGGTTAAAACAGGTAAATCATTTTAAACAGTGCACTCACGCAGTACACACAATAAATATTTACTATCTTTATTAGCTCTCTGTATCTCTATGTGAGATCCCTATCTCAAACCCTATATAAAATATATTTCAGGTAGTTACTAGAGCTAAATAAGCAGTTTATATGTTAAAATTTTTAGAAGAAAATTGGCTGGGCATGGTGGCTCATGCCTGTAATCCCAGCACTTTGGGAGGCCAAGGAGGGCGGATCTCTTGAGGTCTGGAGTTCGAGACCAGCCTAGCCAACATGGTGAAACCCCGTCTCTACTGAAAATACAAAAATTAGCCAGGCATGTTTGCACGCGCCTGTAGTCCCAGCTACCCTACTTGGGAGGCTGAGGCAGGAGGATCACTTGAACCTGGGAGGTGGAGGTTGCAGTGAGCTGAGATTGCACCATTGCACTCCAGTCTGAACAACAGAGCGAGACATCATCTGAAAGAAAGAAAGAAAGAAAGAAAGAAAGAAAGAAAGAAAGAAAGAAAGAAAGAGAGAGAGAGAGAGAGAGAGAGAGAGAGAAAGAAAGAAAGAAAGAAAGAAAGAAAGAAAGAAAGAAAGAAAGAAAGAAAAAGAAAGAGAAAGAAAAGGAAAGGAAAGAAAGAAAAGAAAGAAAGAAAAAATATAGAAGCAAATCTGGGGCTGTGCGGGGTGGATCATGCTTGTAATCCCAGCACTTTGGGAGGCAGAGGCAGGTGGATCACCTGAGTCCAGAGTTTGAGACTAGCCTGGCCAACATGGTGAAACCCCATCTCTACTAAAAATACAAAAATTAGCCAGGCATGGTGGCCGGCACCTGTAAATCCCAGCTACTCAGGAGGCTGAGGCAGAAGAATCACTTGAACCCAGGAGGCGAAGGTTGCAGTGAGCCGAGATTTTGCCATTGCACTCCAGTCTGAACCACAAGAGTGAAACTCCATCTAAAACAAAACAAAACAAAACAAAACAAAACAGCATATCTTTATGACATGTAGGCAGGAAAGGATCTTAAAACCTTAAAGAAGGCACAAAATACAAAGAAAGATAATGAAAAAGTTGAGTTAGTTTTAAAATTCAGCTCAATAGAAAGAATCAAATATAAACTTAAAAGACAAACCACGGACTTGAAGAAAGTGTTGCAATACACCTTTTTTTTTTTTTTTTTTTTTTTTTTTTGAGTTTCGCTCTTGTTGCCCAGGCTGGAGTGCAAAGGTGAGATCTCGGCTTACCACAACCTCTGCCTCCTGGGTTCAAGTAATTCTCCTGCCTCAGCCTCCCAAGTAGCTGGGATTATAGGCATGTGCCACTACACCAAGCTAATTTTGTATTTTTAATAGAGATAGGGTTTCTCCATGTTGGTCAGGCTGGTCTCGAACTCCCGACCCCAGGTGACCTGCCCTCCTTGGCCTCCCAAAGTGCTGGGATTACAGCCGTGAGCCACCATGCCTGGCCAATACATCTTATAGATAAAGGATTAATATCCGGAATATTTATATTGATAAACAGTGATAAAAAAAAGGCAAAAGATGAACAAATAATGAGAACAAGGAATTGTCAGGAGGCAAAACTTGAATGGCCAGTGCAGATATGAAAAATGCTCACCCTCATTAGCGTTTGGGGAAGTGTATTTTAAATCCACAAGAATTCTACAACTTACTGACAAACCACTGCTACAGAGTGCAAGTTTGTATGGTCTTTGCAAAAAAACTACTTATTTAAAACAACAACAAAACACACATATACACGTATACCATTCCACATCAATCAGATGGGCATGTGTTATATAACACTAAGCATTGGTGGAGATGTGGGACATGGAAATTCTAGACAAAACTTTGCAGAATGCAGGTGAGGCACGGTGGCTCACGCCTGTAATCCTAGCACTTTGGGAGGCCGAGGTGCAGATCATGAGGTCAGGAGTTTGAGACCAGTCTGGCCAACATAGTGAAATCCCATCTCTACTAAAAAAATACAAAAATTAGCTAGGTGTGGTGGCAAGGGCCTGTAATCCCAGCTACTCAGGAGGCTGAAGCACGAGAATTGCTTGAACCTGGGAGGCGGAAGCTGCAGTGAGCCAAGATCGTGCCACTGTAAAGCCTGGGTGACAGAGCAAGACTTGATCTGAAAACAAAACAAAACAAAACAAAACAAAACAAAACAGACTTTCCAGAATGCTTTCCCAGCCAAGCGTAGTAGCTCACACCTGTAATCCCAGCACTTTGGGAGGCTGAAGCAGGAGGATGGCTTGAGCCCAGGAGTTTGAGACCAGCCTGGGCAACATAGGGAGACTCTATCTCTACAAAAACAACCAAACAAAACAAACCTCAAAAACACCCAGAATGCTACCCCATCTATAAATGTCAATTTAAATAATGTCCCTAGTTTAATTTTAAGACTGCATACAGGGAAAATCTCAATTTCTCAAATGGTGCTTTAAAGCTACTAAGCCATTTTCATAATTTCCAACAAAGCCCAATGACCTATCTCATAAATCAGCTGATTTTTCCAAAAGAACCACAATATTATGCTCTCTAGTAGAAAGTGACCATTTTATCTTTCATCAGAGAACAGACAGAAACTTTAGAGTCACAATTCAAAGTTGTTTTCCTTATACCAAACAGACCAAAAAATAAAAGAGGTGTCTCGGTATTGCAGAAGAGCACATAATAATAATTAAAACATATTAATTGCTACATGAAATGAATAAAAGAAATTGCTTTTGGATGCCCATCCAAACAATACTTTATCCACAGAGCCCGGGTGGTTGCTATGATTTTAATGTATGTGTCCCTCCAAAATTCATATGTTAGAACCTAATACCCAATGTGATAGAATTATGAGGTGGCACCCTTTTGGGAAGTGATTAAGTCATGAGCTCTCCACCATCATGAATGGGATTAGTGCTGTGATAAAAGAGGTTTAAGGGAGCTCCCTAGTTCCTTCATTTTTTCTTTTTCTTTTTTTTTTTTTTTTTTTGAGATGGGGTCTCTGTCTGTTGCCCAAGCTGGAATGCACTGGCGTGATCTCAGCTCCATTCAACCTCCACCTCCCAGGTTGAGGTGATTCTCCTGCCTCAGCCTCCCGAGTAGCTGGGATTACAGGTGCCCAACACCACATCAAGCTAATTTTTGTATTTTTAGTAGAGATGGGGTTTCACCCTGTTGGCCAGGCTGGTCTTGAACTCCTGACCTCAGGTGATCCGCCTGCCTCGGCCTCCCAAAGTGCTGGGATTACAGGCATGAGCCACCATGCCCAGCCCCTAGATCCTTTTGCCCTTCTGCCATGTGGACACAGCAACAAGGTGCCATGTTGGAGGCAGAAACCAAATCCTCACCAGACATCAAATCTGCTAGCACCTTAATCTTAGACCTTCTAGCCCACAGAACTGTGAGCAATAAATTTCTGTTCTTTATAAATTACCCAGTTCCAAATATTTTGTTATAGCAGCACAAATGGACTAAGACAGTGGTCAACAGTACACCTTTAGGAATTGATTCAGAAATGAACGTGAAAGTTGTAAATATAACAAAGTAAAAACTACTAAATGTATCTAAAAACATGCTTCATAAAGTTGTAAATATAACAAAGTAAAAACTACTAAATATATCTAGAAATATCCTTCAAAAAGAAACAGGCACATCCTGCTCTTCCATGCTGAAACGTGCTGGCTGTTGAGGGAAATGGCATTCATATGCAGTTCTGAAATGAGGAACAAGATAAAACCATTTCTATGACTTCCATGGGTTGGTCAATTAGAGTATCTCAATGATATATTCAACTCATGTATATCCTCAGTTAATCACTTCAAGTTAAAAATGGCAGAATATCTAGTGCTGAGGTGATCACATATCTAACTCATTAAGAAGAAAATCTGTGGGCTGGGCACAGTGGCTCACGCTTATAACCCCAGCACTTTGGGAGGCTGAGGTGGGCGGATCATCTGAGGTCAGGAGTTTGAGGCCAGCCTGACCAATATGATGAAACTCTGTCTCTACTAAAAATACAAAAATTAGCCAGGTATGGTGGCATGTGCCTGTAATTCCAGCTACTTGGGAGGCTGAGACAGGAGAATCGCTTGAACCTGGGAGGTGGAGGTTGCAGTGAGCTGAGATCAAGCCATTGCACTCTAGCCTGGGCAACGAGAGTGAAACTCCTTCTCAGAAAAAAAAAAAAAAAAAAGGAAAATCTGTAATGGAAATTATTTGGGCATCAAAATTTATCTCTTTCCCCACACTTAATTTTCTTCACGAGTCAGAGAAAGAAATCAAGGAGGTATTACTCTCTGCATTTTAAGACCACATTCTCATGCTCTAACTGACCATGAAAAATTATTTTTGCAGCTAATTCTCTCAAGTTGTATATATAGTCTGAAATTCAAAATATGGAATCCATGTTTATTTAGCATATCAGCATTGGAGTTGTCTTCCAATGAAAAAAACTCTATAATTTTGGTGTCCATGCCTTATATCAGTGTGGTCCCAAAATGTGATCTCTCTAGGGACTTGTGAGAAATGCAGACTCTTGGGCCTCACCCACACCTACTGGATCAGGAACTCTGGGAGTGAATCCCGGCAATCTCTGTTTATGAAATCTTTCAGGTGATTCTGACCATTGGTCTTTGAAAATATCTAGAATTAATATAGCTGTTCACTGCTAGCTTTCTCACAATGAACTATAATTGTGCAATACAGATATTTTCTTTAGTAGAAATAGAGTTTTGTTGTTGTTGTTGTTGTTGTTTTTGAGACAAAGTCTCGTTTCTGTCACCCAGGCCTGGAGTGCAATGGCACAATCTTGGTTCACTGCAACCTCTGCCTCCCGGGTTCAAGCAATTCTCCTGCCTTGGCCTCCCAAGTAGCTGGGATTACAGGTGCCCACAGCCATGCCTGGCTAATTTTTGTATTTTTAGTAGAGATGGGATTTCACCATATTGGCCAGGCTGGTCTTGAACTCCTGACCTCAGGTGATCCACCCACCTCAGCCTCCCAAAATGCTAGGATTACAGGCGTGAGCCACCATGCCCAACCAATTTTTTAATATTTTAATATGTAAATCAGTGGTCATGGCTACATTACAACAGTGCTCCTCCAACTGTAGTTGTGCATATGAATCCCTGGGAATCTTGTCAAAAATGCAGATCCTGATCTAGTATTTCTGCAGAGGGTGGAGATTCTGCAGGTCTAACAAGCTTCCAGGTGGAGCAGATGCTGCTGGCCCTTGGGCCACACTTTGAGTAGCAGTGAGGCACTAAAAGATATAAAGAAGTCAGATCCTTGAAGCTGCTTGTAATCAATAGGATTGGATTTAAGAGAAGAAGATCAGAGGATATTCCATCCAAGAAAAATGAAATAGCAGGGGGACAAATGTGATTTATGTTTGTAGACGGTAAAATAAAAAAAAGTAGGGATAATGTGCTAAGACTGTGTACTGGAGGAAATGAGAAGGTGTGATATTGTTACAAATGAGCAGTGGAATTGTGTTAATCCAGCCCACTAGGGTTGTTAGATTTCCAAAAGGACTTTGCAGAACACTTTCAAACCATTACATAACTTCAACATTATAACAAGTGACACAATGGGATGCCTATGATGTGTCATCAGTGATCAAATGTGTTCTAAGAGGGAAATAATGAATCACTACTAATAGTTCCTTTTCCAGTTTTTAAATTATTTTATTTTATTTTATTTTTTTGAGATGGAGTCTTGCTCTGTTGCCTGGGCTGGAGTGCAGTGGTGTGATCTTTGCTCACTGCAACCTTCACCTCCTGGGTTTCAAGCAATTCTTCTGCCTCAGTTTCCTGAGTAGCTGGGATTACAGGCATGCACCATCATGCCTGGCTAATTTTTGTACTTTTAGTAAAGACAGGGTTTCACCATCTTGGCCAGGCTGGTCTGGAACTCCTGACCTCAAGTGATCTTCCTGCCTCGGCCTCCCAAAGTGCTGGGATTACAGGCATGAACCACTGTGCCCAGCCTCCAGTTTATTTACTATCAATTTTTTAGAACTGTAACCATATTCACATAGGGAGGAAGTTCAGAGTTAGTAAATCAATTATTTAGAGACATGTCTTCAATTCATTTCCTTATTCATAACCACCTTTTCCTAAATTACAGAGGTTTGGGGAGTAACTTGTGAAAAACAACAACAAAATGCTTTTTATTACTTAAATCTACCAAATTGTCATTGATTTATGTTTGAAGTGGGTTCATTATGGTGGATCACTGGAAAGGCATGCAATATGAGGCTAATTCTTTGTCGTGTGAGACATTTCCACACACGGAGGGAGGTCCAGCATTCCTAGTTCCCATCCATTAAATGCTAGTGTTGCATCCTCTAATCACTGTGAGGGATAAAAAGATCTCTACAAACTTCCAAAACACACTTCAGGATGGGGTAGAACCCTGCTGACCATCACTGTATAAATCATCAACTACACTAGACTAAACTCTAGATTTTAAAGATTTGATGCAATTTCCAAACGTCTGACTTGAAAGCAGACATTTAATATATCAAAGCAATAAATGCTTCACAACTGTCTCCTAATCCAAACTTTCATGCGGAAAGGTCAGGCCCTGGAAAAATTTGACGTATTCACTTGGGGTTTATCACTAAAAACCTCAGGTACATGGGTCACCAATGAACCCTGTAATTTCTTCCCTTACTAACTGGAAATACAGGAACAACAGCCTCTACTCTTCTTGTAACTTGTTTTATCCAAGCATGGGCTTCTCTTACTCTCTTTTCTAAGCACAACCTGAGGACACTTTGTTCAAATCTACTTTGTTTGCAGGATTTGGTAGCATTTCTTATGGAAGGTGGAACCATATTTTGTATCATAATTTTCATGCTTAATTAACCTATCCTGAATGAGGTAATTTCAGGGGACCATCTGTTCAGAGAATAACTGGATGAACACTTCAGAGAAAATACACGAAAAGGGTTATTGATGTGGTAATCAAAACAATGAGACATACAAGAATGTGTTTGGTTAATTTGGAAATTCTCATTCACATGCTTCTTTTACCATAATATCTGTATAAAATTATGTGATGTGTGTGTATCGGGCCTTGTAATTTGCAAAACTACAGTGTTGCCAACAAATCAATAAACTCTGGCTTATTTGTCCATGACAATAAATTTGACCCTGAAACCAATATCTAGATGGATTAGTAGCATCAATAAATTAACTCTTCATAGTTTTAGTAAATTATGAAAAAAAATTCTGATACTAAGTTTCTAGGGTCACAAGATGCTCTTTTAATATAAGCTAAAGCCATGTATTTTTGCAATGCCTGTCATGATCATGCTTCAGTTTATTCCAAACATTAAGGCAAAAGGGTCAAATGTTACTTGTTTGCTGAATCTGATTTTAAGACATCTACCTGTGTACTGTGATATGTAGAATACAATTTGGAAAATGACTACAAAATATTAACAGTGATTGTCTCTGGAAGCTGGTTACATATAATCTTTATTTTGTTCTTTATATTTTTCTGGATTTTTTCTAAACTTTTTTCATTGACGATGTCTTACTTTTATAACCATAATCAGAAAAAAAAAAAAAGTAATGGGCCAGGCACAGTGGCTCAGGCCTGCAATTCCAGCACTTTGGAAAGCCGAGGCAGGTGGATTACTTCAGGTCAGGAGTTCCAGATCATCCTTGCCAACATGGCACAACCTGTCTCTACTAAAAATACAAAAAATTAGCTGGGCATGGTGATGCCTGCCTGTAATTCCAGCTACTCAGCGGGCGGCTGAGGCACGAGAATTACTTGAACCTGGGAGGCAGAGGTTGCAGTGATTTGAGATTGCCCTACTGCACTCCAGCCTGGGCAACAGAGCAAGACTCTGTCTCCAAAAATATATATACAAAAAAAAAAAAAAAATTAGCCAGGCACTGTGGCCAACATAGCAAAACCCCATCTCTACTAAAAATACAAAAAATTAGCTGGGCATGGTGGTGCCTGCCTGTAGTCCCAGCTACTTGGGGCTGAGGTGGGAGGATGGCTTGAGCCCAGGAGGCCGCAGTGAGCTGTTATTGCGCCTCTGCGCTCCAGCCAGGGTGACAGAACCAGACCTCGTTTCAAAACAATTTTTTTTTTAAGTAAAAGTTATTTTTTTAAAAAGTAATGCAGCCTGGCAACATGGCGAAACCCCATCTCTACAAAAAAAATACAAAGATTAGCTGGGCGTGGTGGCAGGCGCCTGTAATCCCAGTTACTCAGGAGGCTGAGGTAGGAGAATTGCTTGAATTGGGAGGCGGAGGTTGCAGTGAGCCGAGACTGCACTACTGCACTCCAGCCTAGGTGACAGAGCGAGAATCCGTCTCAAGAAAAAAAAAAAAAAAAAGAGTAATGCATCACTAGTAGAATGTTGACCAAAGGTTGTTGTTTAAACATATTTTACTGAATGGAAATAAATACCAATCTGTAATAAGAAGTACAGAGAAAATAATGCATTGGAAAAACTAAAACCACAACTATGCCAAGCATTACCTGGGAAAATGGAAATTTCAGATGTTGGGCAAATAAAATATCTTGTAATAAAAACCATACTGGAGTCTTTATTATTTTATTTTATTTTATTTTTTGAGATGGAGTCTCGCTCTGTTGCCCAGGCTGGAGTGCAGTGGCGCAATCTCGGCTCACTGCAAGCTCCGCCTCCCGGCTTCATGCCATTCTCCTGCCTCAGCCTCCCGAGTAGCTGGGACTACAGGCGCCCGCCACTATGCCTGGCTAATTTTTTGTATTTTTAGTAGAGACGAGGTTTCACCGTATTAGCCAGGATGGTTTCGATCTCCTGACCTCGTGATCCACCCGCCTCGACCTCCCAAAGTGCTGGGATTACAGGCGTGAGCCACCACGCCGGCCGCATACTGGAGTCTTTAAACAAATATTTTGCTATTAAGAATTAAGTTTAGGTCGGGTGCGGTGGCTCATGCCTGTAATCCCAGCACTTTGGGAGGCCGAGGCAGGCAGATCATGAGGTCAGGAGATCGTCTTGGCCAACACAGTGAAACCCTGTCTCTACCAAAATAAAAAAAATTATCTGGGCGTGGTGGCAGGTGCCTGTAATCCCAGCTACTTGGGAGGCTGAGGCAGGGGAATCACTTGAACCTGGGAGGCGGAGGTTGCAGTGAGCCAAGATCGCACCACTGCACTCCAGTCTGGTGACAGAGCAAGACTCCGTCTCAAAAAAATAAATAAATAAATAAAAAGAATCAAGTTTAAAATTAATTTCCTTTTTTTTCAAAAGACTTTATGTCATGAAAGCATTTTAAATCTCTGTTTAAAAACCTTATTTAACATTGGTTAGATTATCTTTCAGGTAAGGGTACAATTTTTCTCTTTCGAGCTGTTTCTGAGGAATTCTTTTTGAGGTAGTCGTAAAAACTGTGGGTGAGTGATTGACAATAACCAGGTATCTCCAGGTCTCCATGGGTCTCAGGGGCCAGTAGGTCCACTCTCTGATTTTTACATATGGATGAACTTTCCTACACACATACATTATATAGCAGCAGTTCTCAAAGTGTGATCCTGGGATGCCTAAGCATTCCTGAGAACTTTTGGGGAGGGTCTATGAGCTCAAAATTATTTGTATAATAATGTTAAGGCATTATTTGCCTTTTTTTAACTGTCATTCTTAGAGTAGTGAACCATGGAGTTTTCTGAAGGCTGCATGGTAGGGGATATTGCAAGAGAGAGAATGCAGAAGCAAGTATGAGACTCCAGCTGCCTTCAATTAAACTAAACATTAAAGAGCTTGTAAATCTGGCCACTTTTCTCATTAAACTGTTTTTTGTTTTGATAAATTTAATATTTTTTCATTTTGGTTTTAATTTCTTTCTCGTTCTCTCTTTCTTTTGAAAGCGTCTAACTCTGTCACCCAGGCTGGAGTGCAGTGGTGCAATCACAGCTCACTGCAACCTCAAATTCCTGGGATCAAGCAATCCTCTTGCCTCAGCCTCCCAAGTAACTGAGACTACAAGCGAGAGCAACTGTGCTCAGCTAATTTTTTTTTTTTTTTTTTTTTTTTTTTGAGTCAGAGTCTCGCTCTGTTGCTCAGGTTGGAGTACAATGGCGCAATCTTGGCTCACTGCAACCTCTGCCTCCCGGGTTCAAGTGATTCTCCCTGCCTCAGCCTCCCGAGTAGCTGGGATTACAGGTGCCCACCACCACGCCCGGCTAATTTTTGTATTTTTAGTAGAGACGGGGTTTTGCCATGTTGGCCAGGCTGATCTCAAACTCCTGACCTCAGGTGATCCACCCAGCTCGGCCTCCCAAAGTGCTGGGGTTACAGGTGTGAGCCACTGCACCTGGCCACTCGGCTAATTTTTTTATGGGAGAGACAGGGACTCAATATGTTGCCCAGGTTGGTCTTGAACTCCTAGGCTCAAGTGATCCTAATGCCTTGGCCTATCAAAGTGCTGGGATCACAGGCACGAGCCACCACGCCCAGTTGGTTCTAATTTCTTATGTAGTAGATATCAATAGATACAAGTCACATGAACATAAACTCCTTTGAGGTCCTCAATAAACATTTTTTTTGAGACAGAGTCTTACTCTGTCACCCAGGCTGGAGTGCAGTGGTGCAATCCTGGCTCACTGCAACCTCCGCCTCCCAAGTTCAAGCAATTCTCCTGTCTCAGCCTCCTGAGTAACTGGGATTACAGGTGCACACCACCACACCCAGCTAATTTTTGTATTTTTAATAGAGACAGGGTTTTGCCATGTTGGCCAGGCTGGTCTCAAACTTCTGACCTCAGGTGATCTGCCCACCTCAGCCTCCCAAAGTGCTGGGATTACAGGCATGAGCCACCATGCCCTGCCCTCAATAATTTTTAAGAATGTAAATGGTTCCAAGGAGCAAAACATTTTAGAAGCACTGTTTATTAGTATAATCTCTCTGAAATCAGAAAGCACAGAGGGCTTAATATGTGAACATCATTGTTAGAAATGATTTAGAAATGATCTTCAAGCAGTGTTTTGTTTTGTTCATTGAAGAAACAGACCAGTGTAGAATGGGTACATATTCCTACACCTCTAACCCACCCCAGGTGCACACATGAATGCATAAATTAATTTAGTGGGGGAAATTTACATGCCAGTACATGAGACTCTGCCATGGAAAGAGTGTGTCTTCACTCTCATAAGTGCTGAGAAGCACTAAGCTTTCTTTTGTCATGTTTTTCATGGCTACAGTTATTAGCCTAGACTGTCATAAATGAAATGCTTTGTGCAGGAAATTGCAGTGGTAGAAATAGCAAATTTTGAACCAACACAGACACTAATGTGTGAACAAATTGAGGCTTGATGCTCCCACTAATTGTATCAATACAAAAGAGAGTCATGATTTGAACATGTAGTGGTCTTCATTTTTTCTTCAATGATACAATTCAGGGAGATGACAGAGTAAGTATCTATACTTAGATACATGAATTTCTTACATTTTCATTATGGAAATTTAAAAATATGTATGAAAGTAGAGAGGATAGCACATTAAACTCAATGTGTTTGTTATCAGCTTCAGCAATTACTATTATGTTACCAATATTGTTTCATCTATCCCTCCCACCACCCCTCTTTTTAGATGAAATTTTAAAAACAAATTTCAGACATTGTATTATTTCACTCATAAATGCTTTAACGTGGATTGCTAATAGAGAAGGACTTCAAAATGATATGTAGTACAATGGACAATAATTTCTTGGTATCATCTAATACCTAGTCCGTGTTTGAATTTCCCTGATTGTCTTAAAAATATTCATTTGCAGTGGGGATTTTTATTATTTATTTATTTATTTTTGTTTTGTTTTTCTGAGAGACAGGGTCTTACTCTATTGCCCAGGCTGGAGTGCAGTGGCATGATCTTGGCTCACTGTAACCTCCACCTCCCAGGTTCAAGCAATTCTCTGCCTCAGCCTCCCAAGTAGCTGGGACCACAGGTGTATTCCATTACGCCTGTAATTTTTAAATTTTTTGTAGAGATGGGGTCTCCCTCTGTTGCCCAGGCTGGTCTCAAACTCCTGGGCTCAAGTGATCCTCCTGCCTTAGCCTCCCAAAAGAGTTGGGATCACAGGCATAAGCCAGGTCACCTGGCCTGCAGTGGGTTTTTGGTGGGTTTTTGGTGGGTTTTTGTTTGTTTGTTTCTTTTTTTGCCCCAGGATTAAATAAGTTTCACTATTTCCTTTGTCTCTTAAATCTTTTTAAATCTCACTTGTGGCTGGGCATGGTGGCTCATGCCTAATCCCAGCACTTTGGGAGGCCGAGGCAGGTGGATCAGAAGGTCAGGAGTTCAAGACCAGCTTGGCCAACATGGTGAAACCCTGTCTCAACTAAAAGTAAAAAAATTAGCCTGGCATGGTGGCATGTGCCTGTAATCCCAGCTACTTGGGAGCCTGAGGCAGAGAATCATTGGAACTGGGGAGGCAGAGGTTGCAGTGAGCTGAGATCGTGCTACTGCACTCCAGCCTGGGTGACAGAGCAAGACTCCATCTCAAAAAAAAAAAAAAAAAAAAATCTCATTTGTTTGTTGAAGAATCTAGGCAACATGTGAATTATTAAACTTTATAAATAAGGAAGTAAAAGAGCACAAAGAAAAAGATACCAAACTCCTTTTAAAACATAATAAGGCCGGGCACAGTGGCTCACACCTGCAATCCCAGCACTTTGGGAGGCCAAGGGAGGAGGATCACTTGAGGTCGGGAGTTCAAGACAAGCCTGGCCAACATGGTGAAACCCTGTCTCTACTAAAAATGCAAAAATTAGCTGGGCATGGTGGCGCATGCCTGTAGTCCCAGCTACTTGGGAGGCTGAGGCATGAGAATCGCTTGAACTCAGGAGGCGAAGGTTGCAGTGAGCCAAGATTGCGCCTCTGTACTCCAGTCTGGGCAACAGAGTAAAACTGTGTCTCAAAAAAACAAAACAAAACAAAACAAAAAAACAGAAAATACCATAATGGATTCAAGTTAGATAGTTAGATGTAGCTAAGAATCTCTAGCTAAAATTAGACTGGGAGATAAAATATGGCATTTAAAGTAGAGTGGTAAACTGCTTTCTCAAGGCAAGTCACTTTGGTTATTTCTCTTTCCTCTTCTGTCACCTGAGGGAGAATGGGGGCCTCAAAGGAATAGAAAGACCCTCTTGGATGAGACAGGGCTAGGAGGTCGAACCAATGTCAGAGTAATCTGTTTAAAGAAAAGAAGGCTACCGGCCCCCAAAGACAATTTCAAAGGAGGGCTTTCAGTGCCAGCCTTCTATAATTTCAGAGTAGAGTACTGGCTCCTTGCCCACCATACGCAAGCTATTCTATTTTCTTTTTCTTTTTTTATTGAGATAGAGTTTTGCTCTTGTCCCCCAGGCTGGAGTGTAATGGGGCGATCTTGGCTCACTGCAACCTCTGCCTCCTGGTTTCAAGTGATTCTCCTGCCTCAGCCTCCCGTGTAGCTGGGATTGCAGGTACGTGCTGCCATGCCTCGTTAATTTTTGTATTTTTAGCAGAGACAGGGTTTCACCATGTTAGCCAGGCTGGTCTCGAACTCCTGACCTCAAGTGATCCACCCACCTCGGCCCTCCAAAATGCTAGGATTGCAGGTGTAAACCACCACGCCCAGCCTCTATTTTATTTTTCAACAAACTTGAAGTTGCTCTGCCCGGATCTTCTTCAGGGCTCTGAAATCCCTAACCCTGCTGTGGGGAATGTCAATGGGTGAACCGCATGGAGCTACCTTTCCCAGGGCCTTCCCAGAGGGCAGCCCTAGGCCAGTGATGGGCTGCAGGGGTTGGGGGCACAAACTCCTGTTTTTCTTACCTCAATTTGTTATGATGCTGAAGGACCATCCCAACTCCAGAGCTCATCACAGAACTGTAGAGCAGGCTGAGTTCTCAGCTGCAACTGCACTGTGGGTTTCTAAGGCCTCTGGTCTCAGGCAGGCCTAGGAAGGGAGCCCAGCTGGACAGGCAGCAGCAACCATGGCTCCCAGTGCCCAAGGACCAAGGGCAACAGGTGGACAGCCTTGACCAAGACGTGTCCTGAAAGATGGTCAGGCCAGGGTACTCCAAGGGTACATAGCTCTTCCCTCAATCCACCCCCCAGTAAATAAGCACAAAACCTGGCCACTGCAGTCTTAGCCCCCAGGGATTCCCTGACAGACCATAGAGAACTCCCAGAGCCCTGGGGACAGCTGTACTTGCCCCACATTAAAAAAAGAAAAAGTGCTGCTTTCCTCACTTCCTGCAGGTGTTATCTCCAGAGAACACTCCCCAACAAATCTTCTGCACTCATTTCTATCTCAGAGTTTGATTCCCACAAACTCAAGCTAAAATACTTGGTTTAAAAAAAAAAAAGTCTCCTTCCACTCTTATTCTCCAGCCACCCAGTTTCTTTCCAGAATCAATGATATTTATCAATTTGCCATATATACTTGCAGAGATATTCCATGCAGTTACAAACATACATGCATGGATTCTGTCTCTCTCATTGTTTTTACACAAATGGTAGTTACTATACAAATCATTCTACGCTTTGCCTTTTTCTTTTAATCATGTATCTTGCAAATCTGCCTTATTATTTTTAATGGATGTTTATAATAGATGTTCCACGGGTTATTTGGCCATTACTCTATTATTATTGTGTATTAAGTTGCTTCCAATCTTTTGCTATTACATACCATACTACTTACATACTATAATCTTGTGTATGTGTCTTTTCAGAAGTATGTGATCACATCTCTAACATACACAGCTAGAAGTAGAATTGCTTGGTCAAAGAATATGTGTCTTAATTTATTTCATTTTACTTTATTATTTTATTTTGTTTTTTCTTCTTCGAGACAGGATCTCACTCTGTTGCTCAGGTTGGAGTGCAGTGGCATGATCTCGGCTCGCTGCAACCTCCAGTTCCCAGGTTCAAGAGATTCTCCTGCCTCAGCCTCCCGAGTAGCTGCGATTACAGGTGCACACCACCACACCCAGCTAATTTTTGTATTTTTAATAGAGACAGGGTTTCCCATGTTGGCCAGGCTGTTCTCGAACTCCTGACCTTAACTGATCCTCCTGCCTTGGCCTCCCAAAGTGCTGGGATTACAGGCGTGAGCCACCACAACCTGGCCTAGAAAGGACTATTTTAATGAAAATGTTGAATAAGATTAGGACTATTTTTAAGTTATCACTGATAATGTAATAAAAATCTGTCTTCCCTTCACCCCACCTTCCAAAACTTGCTCCTCTTGTAGTCTACCACATTGTGGTGAATGCCGACTTCATCCTTCTAGTTGACAAAGGATAACTAAAATTATGCTTGTCTCTTCCCTTTCTCTCACATCCTGTATTTGACCCATCAGTGGATCTTGTCAGCTCTACCTTTAAAATATCTCTAGAGTCTGACTTCTTTCTGACTTCTTTTCATAACCTTGCCCACCACCCTGGTCTAAGCCACCATCACAGATTATTGTAGAGGCTTCTAAATGATTTTTCCTGTTTCTATCCTGGTCTTTCCACAGTTTACTCTCAGGAAGTCAGAGAGCTCCTTTTTTCTTTTTTTTTTCTGAGAGTCTCACTCTATCACCCAGGCTGGAGTGCAGTGGCACCATTTGGCTCACTGTAACCTCCGCCTCCCAGGTTTCACTTGCGTCCGTGTGAAGAGACCACAAAACAGGCTTTGTGTGAGCAATAAAGCTTTTTAATCACCTGAGAGTCAGCGAACGGAGATAGGGGTGGGGCCGTTTTGTAAGATTTGGGTGGGTAGTGGAAAATTACAGTCAAAGGGGGTTGTTCTCTGGCAGGCAGGGGAGGGGGGTCACAAGGTGCTCAGTGGGGGAGCTTTTGAGCCAGGATGAGCCAGGAGAAGGAATTTCACAAGGTAATGTCATCAGTTAAGGCAGGGACCGGCCATTTTCACTTCTTTTGTGGTGGAATGTCATCAGTTAAGGCAGGAACCAGCCATTTTCACTTCTTTTGGATTCTTCACTTGCTTCGGGCCATCTGGACTTATACGTGCAGGTCACAGGGGATACCATGGCTTAGCTTGGGTTCAGAGGCCTGACACCAGGTTCAAGCAATTCTCCTGCCCCAGCCTCCTGAGTAGCTGGGATTGCACTCATGCGCCACCATGTCTAGCTAATTTTTGTGTTTTTAGTAGAGACGGGGTTTTACCATGTTGGTCAGGCTGGTCTCGAACTCCTGACCTCAGGTGGTCTGCCCGCCTCTGCCTCCCAAAGTGGTGGGATTACAGCCATGAGCCAGCTCTCCTGGCCGAGAGCTCCTTTTAAAATACAATTCAGGCCAGTGTGGTGGCTCACGCCCGTAATCCCAACACTTTGTGAGGCTGAGGTGGGTGGATCACCTGAGATCAGGAGTTCAAGACCAGCCTGGCCAACATGGTGAAACCCTGTCTCTACTAAAAAAATACCAAAAAAATTAGCCAGCTTGGTGGCACCCACCTGTAATCCCAGCTACTAGGGAGGCTGAGGCAGGAGAATAGCTTCAACCTGGGAGGTGGAGGTTGCAGTGAGCTGAGATTGTGCCACTGCACTCCAGCCTGGGCAAGAGAGTGAGACTCCATCTCAAAAAAAAAAAAAAAGAAAAAGAAAAATTAATGCTGGAAAATTAAGCAAGTTAAAGCTTAATTTTAAGATATGCCAGGGTAAGGTTATATTTAATTACGTATGCAGTAGACAACCACTGAGAAGAAATGAGCAGAAATAAATAGGACAGGAAATGGGTTTAAAATGAATAGTCTACTAGCATGTCAAGATGCCTTGGGGCTAGAAAGGCTGTTCAGAGTCTAATGCTATGGTGTCATTGAGGGAGCCTGAAATAAGTGATGGCAATTTTAGAAAGGAATGATATGAAAAACCCTGTGTATATTGACTAGACATAAGTTGGCAAATGAATGGTTTTAGAAGGTAAAAGAGGAAACACAGAGGCCACGGAGATTTTAAGTCCAGGTGATACTAGAAGCACGTGCTAGATGCTGTTCGTTCCTAATGGAACGGGTCTTAGATCCTCCAACACCTCGTCTTAGTCTATTTACAGTGCTATGAAGAAATACCTGAGACTGGGTAATTTATAAAGAAAGAGGTTATATTTGGCTCACGGTTCTGCAGGCAGTACAAGACACATGGTACCAGCATCGGCTTCTAATGAGGGCCTCAGGAAGCTTCCACTCACAGCAGAAGGCAGAAGGGATCAGGCATCACATGACAAGAGGAAGGAGGCAAGAGAGAGGGGAAGGTACCAAGCTCTTTTTAAGAACCAATTCTTGAGGGAACCTAGTAGAGCAAGAGAGAACTCACTCATTACTACGAGGATGGCACCAAGCCATTCATGAGGGATCTGCCCTCGTGACCCAAACACTAGGACCCACTCCGATATTGGGGATCAAATTTCAACATGAGATTTGGAGAGGGAAAATATCCAAACTATATTAACCTCCTCTAGTGTTTGATGCATTTTTCTGTAAGGAGATTTTGAAATAATTCCCCAGATCCTCAGCAGAGAAAGCCAGCAACACCTTAGGTCTCAGTTCTTAAGGAAATCACTGTTCCTTTTATACTAGTAATAGGAGTACACAGATTAAACACTGAAGAGCCAGGTTTGTGGTAAACTGAATGGAGCAAAATGCTTGACAAAGAGGGGGAAGAGATCATCTGTCTTTTCTGTCCCTTGAAAAGCCTTACAAGATGTCTTTGCTCAAACTGCAGCTGAGCACTAGAATTTGACAAAAACTTGCATGGCTATTCAGCAAGGCATCATCCAACAGTTGAAACTGAATCTAGTAGCCCAGCCTCTGAGGATTGCTCATTGTCCTCACTTGTGGGAAAGTCAGCCCAATGGAAACATGCATATTACACAATGGGTGAGAGACATAGGCAGCCCAGAAAAAGTCAGAGACCCAGATGCTTTCCAGTCCCTTCCTTGTCTATACTTGGCCTAGATTTCTTTTCTTTTTCTTTTTTTTTTTTTTTTTGGAGACTGAGTCTCGCTCTGTCACCCAGGCTGGAGTGCAGTGGCGAGATCTCGGCTCACCTCAAGCTCCGCCTCCCGGGTTCACGCCATTCTCCTGCCTCAGCCTCCCGAGTAGCTGGGACTACAGGCACCCGCCACCACACCCTGCTAATTTTTTGTATTTTCAGTAGAGACGGGATTTCACCGTGTTAGCCAGGATGGTCTTGATCTCCTTGCCTCAGCCTCCCAAAGTGCTGGGATTACGGGCATGAGCCACCACCCCCGGCCCACTTGGCCTGGATTTCTTACACAAGCATCAAGTGATCAGTTAAATGCCCTGTCCTGTACAAAAAAAACCCAAAAACCAAAAACCAAAACACAAACAAACAAAAACTATGTGAGATTCAGAAAAACAGAATGTCAGAAGACTTTACATTTACCAGGAAAACAGATTTATCTGCGGTAGCTTTTGGAAATCTTTCTTTAATAATTTTGTGCCTTCCAAATGACTTTCTTTAAAAAAATGATTACTGAAACCAGAAAATAGGATTTTATTGGAACACAGCCATACCTATTTGTTTCTAAAGGAATTAAAATTTCAGTAGCTTTTAGCTTAACGTTGAATTCATTATTGGCTTGGGCTATGCGTCACTGATGCGGTGGTGGCCAGGTGCCCTGGAGTGTTTCTTGGTATTGCCAAACACAGCCATTTCCCACTGGACTTCCTTGGCCCCATTCTGCACTCCTCTGAAAGATAAATCACCCCCAATTACTGCCTTAATTGAATGGAATATTTGAGTCTACGTGATTATATCTAGCGCCAGAAGCAAAGAATCTAGCGTCTTTGACTCATCTCCAAATGTTAAACTCCAAAAATAAAAGATACTCAGTGATTAAATAGTTTATTGTAAGTTAAGTTGACTGCAAAATTTAATGCATTGAAGTTCTGTGCTCCCACTCCTCTCAGCCTATAAAGAACTGTTGCTGTGTATTTCTTGAAGAAATACACTATAGATAATCATTAAATATCAGAGCTAGAAAGGCTCTTAGAGGTCCCATTGACCTCTCTCACATTTCATCTTACAGTTGATAAAACTCAGGCTCAGAGAGGTAAAGTTACGTTTTACCACCAGGTGCAATGGCTCATGCCTGTAATCCCAGCACTTTGGGAGGCTGAGGTGGCCAGATCACCTGAGGTCAGGAGTTTGAGACTAGCCTGGCCAATATGGTGAAACCTTGTCTCTACTAAAAATACAAAAATTAGCCTGGTATGGTGGCAGGTGCCTGTAATCCCGGCTACTCGGGAGGCTGAGACACGAGAATCGCTTGAACCCAGGAGGCGGAGGTTGCAATGAGCTGAGACCGCACCACTGCACTCCAGCCTGGATGACAGTGCAAGATTCCGTCTCAAAAAAAAAAAAGTTTTTTTACCAGACCCTATAACACGCTGGTAGAGGAGCCAGAACTGGAATCTAGTTCTCAGCCATGGGCTTTTGTGCTTTATCATGTTTACAATAGAATAGCTAAGTGACACCGTTAGCAATGTAATCTTTAGGCAGAATAACTAAAACAATTCAGTCATTTTTCAGAGATGTGCCAGAGAATCTGGATGAAAAGAAACCTTTGGAAACATGCAGTTCAACTTTCTAGTACATCAGAAATTCCATTAGAGTTCCTAGGTAGAGGGTATACTAGTTAGATTAATATCCCTCTTGCTGCTGCTTTAAAAAAACAACTCCTGGCCGGGCGCAGTGGCTCACTCCTGTAACTCCAGAACTCTGGGAGCCCTAGGTGGGCGGATCACCTGAGGCTGGGGTTCAAGAATGGCCTGACCAACATGGAGAAACCCCGTCTCTACTAAAAATACGAAAAATTAGCCGGGCTTGGTGGCACATGCCTGTAATCCCAGCTACTCGGGAAGCTGAGGTAGGAGAATTGCTTGAACTTGGGAGGCGGAAGTTACGGTGAGCCGAGATTGCACCATTGCACTCCAGCCTGGGCAACAAGAGCGAAATTACGTCTCAAATAAAATGAAATAAAATAAATAAAATAAAATAAAACAACTCCTAAACCTTGGTGGCTAAACACAGTAAAAGTTTATTTCTCATTCACTTAACAGTGCAGGTGTTCCTGACTGGTGGCAGCCTTCCATGAGGTGATTCAGGAACCCAAGCTCCTTTAATCTGGGTAGGGTTAACCAGTAGGGTTAACCCAGCTGTAGGGTTTCCATGTCCTCTGCGTGCAGGATGAAGGATGGAGAAAGAACAAGCAGAGAAGGCTTCTTAATCTTCTTGGTCTTGAGAGAATACATCTCATTTCCTCTCACATTCCACTGATGAGAACTATCCACATGGCCCTGGCTCGTTGCAAGGAGGCTGAGAAATGCAGTCTATGGCTGGACACTGCCTCCGGGCACTGTGGAAGGGGGAGCACAAATGTTTGGTGAACCTTCCGGAAGCAAGGGGCTGGGCCTATTCCCCTGCATCCAACAGTCATTGACCACAGATTATCTGTGGGGTGGGGAGTATGTTAATCTTTCAGTCATCTGAGGCTTAGGCAGCTCCCTTCAGCCAAATGCAAATCTCTGGGGAGGAGCACATGTGTAAACCATTAGCAGCCAATGCTGGCACACCAGCCTGTCTAGGGGGGTTTATGAGGGCACCAACAGCATCTGCTACAGTCTACCCTTTGTACCATTCAGCTCCAAATGTTTCTCATGTTAATGTCAGTCCATCTGGCTGCAGGTTTTCTGGGATTCTGGCTGGTGCAATTTCTGGGACCTTAAAAGAGAAAGGCTAGTGGAACAAACTGAACAACCCTGACTGCTGCGGCTGGTCCTGAGGCTATAATAAATACAGTGTTGCCCAGGTTGAATTGTTGCTCTTTGCAGAATGAAAGGGGTCTGATATAATCATTTTACCAACAAGTAGCGGTTGGTTTTCTCAAGGTGCTGTACTGCCTGGAGGGCTCAGTTTTGCTCTTTGTTCCTGTGGCTGGACACTCAGCAGCAACAGTAACTGGATCAGCATTTTTGAGAGGGAACCCATGCTGCTGAACTCACGCATAACCCACATTGCTTCTACCACAGCTACTCTGCTCATAAACCACTGTGCAAACGCTGGTGTGGCTGAGGATAGAAGCTAGCTGGCATCCACTAGGTGACTGCCTGTTTAGAGCCTCATCTGCAGTGCATGCTCTCTAGTGGACATTAGCTGGCATTTCTTGCCCACTCCCATCAATCTACTCACATGCTTCTTCTCCAAGCATTCTTTTTTTGTTTGTTTTTGAGACGGAGTCTCGCTCTGCTGCCCAGGCTGGAGTGCAGTGGCACAATCTTGGCTTGCTGCAACCTCTGCCTCCCGGGTTCAAGCAATTCTCCTGCCTCAGCTTCCAAGGGGCTGGAATTACAGGCGTGTGCCACCATGCCCAGCTAATTTTGTATTTTTAGTAGAGACAGGGTTTCACTATGTTGGCCAGGCTAGTCTCAAATTCCTGACCTCAGGTGATCCACCTGCCTCGGGCTCCCAAAGTGCTGGGATTACAGGCATGAGCCACCATGTCCAGCCTCTCCAGGCATTCTTTGTAATTTTTTTCAGTCTTGTTATTTCCAAGCCGGCAGACCACTTGCCACTGCCCATGAACCATGTATCCCCACCTTTTGCTGGGCAATGTTTCTCTCCACACATAGTAGACAACCAGGAGTCCCCCGTCCCCTGAATTTCTGGCCATTGAGATAATTAGCGTCCACCATTATCTTTCAGCCCAAATGGGCCGTAGAGCAGCAACAGTCTCTTTTCTGCCTATAGCAACATACCAAGGCCAGGATTTTTCTTTCTCTATTGGGTGGTCCTAGTGAAGCCTCATGAAACTATAGGTATGAGCTGAAGGAAAAATGTTTGTGTAAGAATAGTGGGTGATATGTCAGCCTGGACTACTGACATCAGTTTGTACAGATTATTTGTGCCTTCCGGACCTACCTGATCCCAGTTTCAGATGTACTGTTTCCACCTTATGATGGAATGCACTGACATCTGCGAGTTTATGACTTGGTAGATCATAATAGGCAGCTCACTCTAATTTCATGATCATTGGATGTCTCATAATCAGTCTCTTCCAGGTCCCAATAGTGTGTGAGAAGCTGGGTTTTTTGTTTGTTTGTTTTTGAGACAGGGTCTCCCTCTGTTGCCTGAGCAGGAGTGCAGTGGCCTGATCTTGGCTCAATGCAACCTCTGCCTCCCGAGGCTCAAGCAGTTCTCATGCCTCAGCCTCCCAAGTAGCTGAGACTATAGGCCCATGCCACCACACCTGGCTAATTTTTTGAATTTTTAGTATAGATGGGATTTACTATGTTGGCTAGGCTGGTCTTGAACTCCTGAGCTCAAGTGATCCACTCACCTTGGCCTCCCAAACTGTTGGGATTACAGGTGTGAGCCACCACGCCAGAGCTGGTTTTTGTTGTTGTTGTTGCTTTTTTGTTGTTGTTTGTTTGTTTGTTTCAGATGGAGCCTCGCTGTGTCATACAGGCTGGAGTGCAGTGGCACAATCTTGGCTCACTGCAAGATCCGTCTCCCAGGTTCAAGTGATTCTCCCACCTCAGCCTCCAGAGTAGGTAGGGTTACAGGTGTACACCACTACGCCCAACTAATTTTTGTATCTTTAGTGGAGATGGGGTTTTGCCACACTGGCGAGTCTGGTCTCAAACTCCTGACCTCAAGTGATCTGCCTGCCTTGGCCTCTCAAAGTGCTGGGATTACAGGCATGAGCCACCGCGCCTGGCCCAGAAGCTGTGTTTCGAATGGTATATAGTTTTGTTGCCAGTGGCTTGGCCTTGCCCCAGAACCCTTCTCATCTGCCCTGAGATTCTCATATTTGAGCTTTTACACTGCATCTTTATCTACCACAGATACATCTAGTACCTTAGAATCTCCTTGGTCATATGGCCCAAGTGGTAATGTTCCTTGCAGTGCAAACTGGATCTACTATAGAGCCTTTTTCTGCCCTGGGTTTCACTTAAACTGGTAACTTTAAGGCTGGAGGCGGTGGCTTACTCCTGTAATCCCAGCACTTTGGGAGGCTGAGGCAACCAGATCACCTGAGGTTAGGAGTTTGAGATGAACTGGCCAACATGGTAAAACCCCGTCTCTACTAAAAATACAAAAATTAGGTAGGTGTGGTGGTGGGCACCTGTAATCCCAGCTACTCGGGAGGCTGAGGCAGGAGAATTGCTTGAACCCAGGAGGTGGAGGTTGCAGTGAGTCGAGATTACATCATTGCACTCCAGCCTAGGCAACAAGAGCGAGACTTTGTCTCAAAATAAAAATAAAAATAAATAAATAAACTGGTAACCTTCATCATCATCTAATAAATGAATCAAAGCAGTGTTCTCCAAGTGTGATACATAACTCCAATATGCATAGTGGCCTACCATGCTCTGTGCTTTTTTCTTAGTGGTAGGAGTTGGAAGGTACAATAGCTTGTTCTTTACCATAGAGGACATGTGCCGGCATGCCTCAGAGCACTGGACCCCTGTAAACTTCACCAATGCATGTGGCAGACTCCTTTAAGGGCTTATCTTCTACCTTCTGAAGTGCATGTGTCTTATCAGCAACCCAGGGTACTTCTTATGTTCACTTATCATATCAACATAACTGCTGAATGTGAAATTCTGTGGAATGGCCACATGATCTGGGTCCCTTTGGACTGCATTGTGATGGAGAATAGGAGCGTTAACATAGTCCTGACACAAAGTCATGAATATATTCAATTGCATTAATTTATATTTATATAGTTGCCAGTCCAATAGCTACACACCACATATCAAAATCTATGTTAATCTGTTCTAGTAAAAATAATACTTCCAGTCCAAGAGCTTTAAATGGGGATACTATTTGTTGAGTTTCTGGTAGTCCATGTCATCTGGCACAATTCATTTGATTTTTGCAGAAACCAAGTTATTGAATTAAATAGGGATATGTGAGAATCATTGTTTCTGCATCTTTTAATCCTTGAGGATGGTACTAATGTTTACTAGTCCACCTAGGATACAATATTGTTTTCATGATATTGCTATTTATTTACTTCAGTGGTTTGTTTTGTTTTGTTTTGAGACAGGGTCTCACCCTGTCACCCAGGCAGGAGTGCAGGGGCACAATCATGGCTCACTGCAGCTTTGACCTCCCTGGCTCAAGCGATCCTCCCACCTCAGCCTCCTGAGTAGCTGGGACTATAGGCATGCACCACCATACCCAGCTAATTTTTGTATTTCTTTGTAGAGATGAGGTTTTACCATGTTGCCCAGACTAGCCTCAAACTCCTGGGCTCAAGCAATCCTCCTGCCTTGGCCTCACAGAAGGCTGGGATTACAGGTGTGAACCATCTCGCCCAGCCTATCTTCAGTTTTTAAAGTTTTTATTTTGAAAGAATTACAGACACACAAGAAGTTGAAAAAATAGTACAGTGGCCCTGCATGCCCAGGTTTCCCCTGCTTTCTCCATACACTCAAATGCCAGAGCCATTCCACAAGTTAACACAACTTCTAACTACACTTCGTCCCCAGTAAACTACAGGTGAACATTTTAGCAATTGCATCATCACAGTAATTCCCACCACCGATGATGGGGTTCTCACTGCCATCTAGTGGACGAGTGATCCAATGTCCAAATCTAGATCTAGTCACTTTCCTAGGCCAACTTCTGTCACTACCTTTAGATTATGTTCCCCGGTGGGCAGAAACTGAGGCAGGAATTCTTCCTTCGGTGATTTTAAGAAGGAAGCTGGGAGTAAGAAAAGTAGAAGACACCAGGGAAAAAGTTAGGCAAAATGACTTCAGAAGTTTAGCCTCCTGGCCGGGCGCAGTGGCTCACGTCTGTAATTCCAGCACTTTGGAAGGCCGAAGCGGGTGGATCACTTGAGATTAGGAGTCCAAGACCAGCCTGGACAGCATGGTGAAACCCCGTCTGTACTACAAATAAAAAAATTAGCCGGGCACGGTAGTGTGTGCCTGTAATCTCAGCTATTTGGGAGGCTGAGGCAGGAGAATCGCTTGAACCCGGGAGGCAGGCGGAGGTTGCACTGAGCTAATATCATACCACTGCACTCCAACCTGGGCAACAGAGTGGTGAGACTCTGCCTCAAAAAAAAAAAAAAAACAATAATAATAATAATAAAGGAAATTTAGCCTCCACCTCATCCCCACGGCAAGCTCTCAGCTGTTAATTGTACCACAGAAGTTGTCCCACCCCGAGACCAGAAGGCTGCTATATCTCTTCATCAGTGAGTCTTTGGCCCTGGCTCCTCCAGGAGGAGGACATAACCTCTCAGCCATCATCTTCAGGACCCACTTCTAGGGGAGGAGGCTCCTCTCAGCCAACAACAATCCTCTGTGAAAGGACAATGGCCTGAGCCATTAGCAGCCAAGGCCTGTAGCAGCTGGAGGGTGAATGCACAGCCTGGTGAGGGGGTATGGGCAGGGCACCCAGCAGCATCTGCTCTACCTCCCCTAGGAGATGACATTCAATTTAAAAGCTGAACAATGTGGCTGGGCAAGGTGGCTCACCCCTGTAATCCCAGCACTTTGGGAGGCCGAGGTAGGCGGATCACCTGAGGCCAGGAGTTTGAGACCAGCCTGGCCAACATGGTGAAACCCCGTCTCTACTAAAAATACAAAAATTAGCCAGGCGTGGTGGTGCACACATGGAATCCCAGCTACTCCAGAGGCTGAGGCACAAGGATTGCTTGAATCCGGGAGACAGAGGTTGCAGTGAGCTGCGACTGCACCACTGCACTCCAGCCTGGGTGACAGAGTGAGACTCTACCTCAAAAAAAAAAAAGGAAAAAAGAAAAAACTGGGCTGACTTTCTTTTCCGGCTCAGCCCGCCTGCACCCAGGTGATTAAAAAGCTTTATTGCTCACACAAAGCCTGTTTGGCGGTATCTTCATGTGGATGTGCGTGACATTTGGTGCTGAAAACCTGGGACAGGAGGACTCCTTTGGGAGACCAGCCCCCTGTCCTCGCCCTCACTCCATGAGGAGATCCACCTACGACCTTGGGTCCTCAGACCAGCCAGCCCAAGGAACATCTCACCAATTTCAAATCGGGTAAGCGGTCTTTTCACTAAACTTCTGCCCTCCATTCCCCCTTCTTCTCTCAAGAACTTAAACTTAAATGTCTTATTTTCTTCTACAATACTGCTTGGCCCCAATACAAACTCGACAGTAGTTCCAAGTGGCCAGAGAATGGCACTTTCGATTTGTCTATCCTATACAAGATCCTTATACAAGATCTAGATAATTTTTGTCGAAAAATGGGCAAATGGTCTGAGGTGCCTGACGTCCAGGCATTCTTTTACACATCGGTCCCTTCCTAATCTCTGCTCCCAATGCGACTCTTCCCAAATCTTTCCTCTTTCTCTCCTGTCTGTTCCTTCAGTCTCCACTCCAAGCTCTGAGTCCTTTGAATCCTCCTTTCCTACGGACTCATCTGACCTCTCCCCTCCTCCCCAGGCTGCTCCGCGCCAGGTGTAGCCAGGTCCCAATTCTTCCTCAGCCTCCCCTCCCCCACCCTATAATCATTCTATCACCTCCCCTCCTCACACCTGGTCTGGTTTACAGCTTCGTTCTGGGACTAGCCCTCCCCCACCTGCCCAACAGTTTCCTCTTAGAAAGGTGGCTGGAGCTAAAGGCATAGTCACGGTTAATGCTCCTTTTTCTTTAACCGACCTCTCCCAAATCAGTTAGCATTTAGGCTCTTTTTTCTTTTTCATCAACTATAAAAACCCAGCCCAGTTCATGGCCCATTTGACAACAACCCTTAGATGCTCTACTGCCCAAGACCCAGAGAGGACAGAAGGCCGTTTTATTCTCAATATGCATTTTATTACCCGACCCCTCCCGACATTAGAAAAAAACTCCAAAAATTGGATTCTGGTCCTCAAACCCCACAACAGGACTTAATTAACCTCACCTTCAAGGTGTACAATAATAGAGAAGAAGCAGCCAAGCGACAATGCATCTCTGAGTTACAGCTACCTGCCTCCACTGTAAGACAACCCAAAACCCTGTCTCCAGCATACAAAAACTTCAGAACATCCAAGCCACATCTCCCAGGGGCTCCTTCAAAACCTCCCTGTGGACCTTGCTTCATATGCCAAAAGCCTGGCCACTGGGCCTCAGAATGCCTGCAGCCCGGGATTCCTCCTAAGCTGTGCCCTGTCTGTGCGGGCCCCCACTGGAAGTCGGACTGTCCAACTCACATAGCTGCCACTCCTAAAGCTCCCAGAGCTCAAACCCAACGTTCCTTGGCCGACTCCTTTCCAGATCTCCTTGGCTCAACAGCTGAAGACTGACGCTGCCCAATCGCTTTGGAAGCTCCGGGACTATCACGGACCCCGAGCTTCGAGTAACTCTTACAGTGGAGGGTAAGTCCATCCCCTGTTTCATGCGTGTCCGTGTGAAGAGACCACCAAACAGGCTTTGTGTGAGCAACAAGGCTGTTTATTTCACCTGGGTGCAGGCAGGCTGAGTCCGAAAAGAGAGTCAGCGAAGGGAGATAGGGGTGGGGCAGTTTTATAGGATTTGGGTAGGTAAAGGAAAAAGGGGGGTTGTTCTCTGGCGGGCAGGAGTGGGGGGTCACAAGTTGCTCAGTAGGGGTGCTTTTGAGCCAGGATGAGCCAGGAGAAGGAATTTCACAAGATAATGTCATCAGTTAAGGCAGGAACAGGCCATTTTCATTTCTTTTTTGGTGGAATGTCATCAGTTAAGGCAGGAACTGGCCATCTGGATGGGTACATGCAGGTCACAGGGGATATGGTGGCTTAGCTTGGGCTCAGAGGCCTGACACCCTGTTTAATCAATACGGGAGCTACCCACTCCACATTACCTTCTTTTCAAGGGCCCGTTTCCCTTGCCACCATCCACTGTTGTGGGTATTGATGGCCAGGCTGCTAGACCCCTTAAAACTCCCCAACTGTGGTGCCAACTTGGACAACATTCTTTTTTTTTTTTTTTTTTTTTTGAGGTGGAGTCTTGCTCTGTTGCCCAGGCTGGAGTACAGTGGCACGATCTTGGCTCACTGCAAGCTCCGCCTCCCAGGTTCATGCCATTCTCCTGCCTCAGCCGCCCAAGTAGCTGGGACTACAGGCGCCTGCCACCATGCTTGGCTAATTTTTTGTATTTTTAGTAGAGACGGGGTTTCACCATGTTAGCCAGGATGGTCTTGATCTCCTGATCTCATGATACGCCCTCCTCGGCCTCCCAAAGGGCTGGGATTACAGGCGTGAGCCACCGCGCCCAGCTGGACAACATTCTTTAATGCACTCCTTTTTAGTTATCCTCACCTGCCCAGCTCCCTTACTAGGTCGAGACATTTTAACTAAATTATCTGCTTCCCTGACTATTCCTGGGCTATAGCCACACCTCATTGCCACCTTTTTCCCCAGTTCAAAGCCTCCTTCACATCCTCCCTTTGTATCTCCCCACCTTAATCTACAAGTATAGGACACCTCTACTCCCTCCTTGGTGACGGATGATGCACCCCTTACCATCCCATTAAAATTTAATCACCCTTACCCCACTCAATGCCAATATCCCATCCCACAGCACACTTTAAAGGATTAAAGCCTGTCATCACTTGCCTGTTACAGCATGGCCTTTTAAAGCCTATAAACTCTCCTTACAATTCCCCCATTTTACCTGTCCAAAAACCAGACAAGCCTTACAGGTTAGTTCAGAATCTGCGCCTTATCAACCAAATTGTCTTGCCTATCCACCCCATGGTGCCAAACCCATATACTCTCCTATCCTCAATATCTCCCTCTACAACCCATTATTCTGTTCTAGATAAACCTAGCTGACCCCATAAATCCTAAATCCTTGCCCCACTCCCCTTTCCATTCCTTAAAAAACAGCCCTAAAATCTGCTCCCACACTAGCTCTCCCTAACTCATCCCAACCTTTTTCATTACACACAGCCAAAGTGCAGGGCTGTGTGGTCAGAATTCTTACATAAGAGCTGGGACCACGCCCTGTAGCCTTTCTGTCCAAACAACTTGACCTTACTCTTTTAGCCTAGCCCTCAAGTCTGCGTGTGGCAGCTGCTGCTTCTTTAATACTTTTAGAGGCCCTCAAAATCACAAACTATGCTCAACTCACTCTCTACAGTTCTCATAACTTTCAAAGTCTATTTTCTTCCTCACACCTGACACATATACTTTCTGCCCTCCGGCTCCTTTGGCTGTATTCACTGTTTGTTGAGTCTCCCACAATTACCATTGTTCTTGGCCTGGACTTCAATCCGGCCTCCCACATTATTCCTGATACCACACCTGACCCCCATGACTATATCTCTCTGATCCACCTGACATTCACTCCATTTCCCCATATTTCCTTCTTTCCTGTTCCTCACCCTGATCACACTTGGTTTATCGATAGCAGTTCCACCAGGCCTAATCACCACACACCAGCAAAGGCAGGCTATGCTATAGTATCTTCCACATCTATCATTGAGACTACCACTCTGCCCCTCCACTACCTCTCAGTAAGCTGAACTCATTGCCTTAACTCAGGCCCTCATTCTTTTTTTTTTTTTTTTATACTTTAAGTTTTAGGGTACATGTACACAATGTGCAGGTTAGTTACACATGTATACATGTGCCATGCTGGTGTGCTGCACCCATTAACTCATCATTTAGCATTAGGTATATCTCCTAATGCTATCCCTCCCCCCTCCCCCCACCCCACAACAGTCCCCAGAGTGTGATGTTCCCCTTCCTGTGTCCATGTGTTCTCATTGTTCAATTCCCATCTATGAGTGAGAACATGCGGTGTTTGGTTTTTTGTCCTTGCGATAGTTTACTGAGAATGATGATTTCCAGTTTCATCCATGTCCCTACAAAGGACATGAACTCATCATTTTTTATGGCTGCATAGTGTTCCATGGTGTATATGTGCCACATTTTCTTAATCCAGTCTATCGTTGTTGGACATTTGGGTTGGTTCCAAGTCTTTGCTATTGTGAATAGTGCTGCAATAAACTTATGTGTGCATGTGTCTTTATAGCAGCATGATTTATAGTCCTTTGGGTATATACCCAGTAATGGGATGGCTGGGTCAAATGGTATTTCTAGTTCTAGATCCCTGAGGAATCACCACACTGACTTCCACAATGGTTGAACTAGTTTACAGTCCCACCAACAGTGTAAAAGTGTTCCTATTTCTCCACATCCTCTCCAGCACCTGTTGCTTCCTAACTTTTTAATGATTGCCATTCTAACTGGTGTGAGATGGTATCTCATTGTGGTTTTGATTTCCATTTCTCTGATGGCCAGTGATGATGAGCATTTTTTCATGTGTCTTTTGGCTGCCTAAATGTCTTCTGTTGAGAAGTATCTGTTCATATCCTTCGCCCACTTTTTGATGGGGTTGTTTGTTTTTTTCTTGTAAATATGTTTGAGTTCATTGTAGATTCTGGATATTAGCCCTTTTTCAGATGAGTAGGTTGTGAAAATTTTCTCCCATTTTGTAGGTTGAACTCAGGCCCTCATTCTTGCAAAGGGACTATGCATCAATATTTATACTGACTCTAAATATGCCTTCCATATCCTGCACCACCATGCTGTTATATGGGCAGAAAGAGGTTTCCTCACTAGGCAAGGGCCCTCCATCATTAATGCCTCTTTAATGAAAACTCTTCTCAAGGCTGCTTTACTTCTAAAGGAAGCTGGAGTCATTCACTGCAAGGGCCACCTTGCAGTGGCCTCATCGCTCAGGACAATGTTTATGCTAATAAGGTAGCTAAAAAGCAGCTAGTGTTCCAACTTCTGTCCCTCACAGCCAGTTTGTCTCCTTCTCATCGGTCACTCCCACCTACTCTCCCACTGAAACTTCCACCTATTAATCTCTTCCCACACAAGGCAAACAGTTCTTGGACCAAGGAGAATATCTCCTTCCAGCCTCACAGGCCCATTCTATTCTGTTGTCCTTTCATAACCTCTTCCATGTAGGTTACAAGCCGTTAGCCCACCTCTTAGAACCTCTCATTTCCTTTCCATCATGGAAATCTATCCTCAAGGAAATCACTTCTCAATGTTCCATCTGCTATTCTACTACTCCTCAGGGATTGTTCAGGCCCCCCCACCTTCCCTACACATCAAGCTTGGGGATTTGCCCCTACCCAGGACTGACAAATTGACTTTACTCACATGCCCCGAGTCAGGAAACTAAAATACCTCTTGGTCTGGGTAGACACTTTCACTGGATGGGTAGAGGCCTTTCCCACAGGGTATGAGGCCACCACGGTCATTTCCTCCCTTCTGTCAGACAATTCCTCCGTTTGGCCTTCCCACCTCTATACAGCCCGATAATGGACCGACCTTTATTAGTCAAGTCACTCAGGCAGTCTCCCAGGCCCTGGGCATTCAATGGAAACTTCATGCTCCTTATTGCCCTCAATACTCAGGAGAGGTAGAAAGAACTAATGGTCTTTTAAAGACACACCTCACCAAGCTCAGCCTCCAGCTTAAAAACGACTGGACAGTACTTTTACCACTTGTCCTTCTCAGAATTCGGGCCTGTCCTCGGGATGCTACAGGGTACAGCCCATTTGAGCTCCTGTATGGACGCTCCTTTTGATTAGGCCCCAGTCTCATTCCAGACACCAGCCCTCTAGGTGATTATCTTCCAGTCCTCCAGCAAGCTAGACAGGAAATTTGCTGAGCTGCTAATCTTCTTTTGCCTACCCTAGATTCCCAGCCATATGAAGACACCCTAGCTCATCGATCAGTTCTTGTTAAAAATCTGACCCCTCAAACTCTACAACCTCGGTGGACCGGACCCCACTTAGTCATCTATAGTACCCCAACAGCTGTTCATCTGCAGGACCCTCCTCCCTTTAGGTTCATCATCCCAGAGTAAAGCTGTGCCCATCAGACAGACAGCCTGATTTCTCTTCTTCCGCCTGGAAGTCGCAAGTACTCTCTCCTACTTCCCTTAAACTCACCTGCATTCCTAAAGGATAATAGTAACCCTTATAAGCCTAATACATCCTTTCATTTTTATTAGGTCTCTTCTTCCTTACCCTACTCTTTACAATGCAGAGTACTCTTTACAACGCAGTCACCCCCACTACTTGGACTGCACCCCAAAAACTTGTCATCCCTACCATCTTCTGTCTAGTCATACTCCTATTCACCATTCTTAACTACTCGTATATGCCCTGCCCTTGTTTACACTGCCGGTTTACACTTTTCCTCCAAACCATCGTAGCAGATATCTCCTGGTACTTTCCCCAATCTGCCACTCTTGACTCCCTCTTGGAGTGGATAGATGATCTTTGCTGATAGGGCACACACAAATACTTTCACCCTGATGAAGTCCTATTCTTTACTTTTATATTCACTCTTATTCTATGCCACCCTCTACCTCTCCCCAGCTATCTCCACCACACTGTCAATCTTACTCACTCTCTCCTAGCCATTTCTAATCCTTCTTTAACAAACAATTGCTGGCTTTGCGTTTCTCTTTCCTCCAAAATTGCTGAGGACCCGACTTAATGCTACAAAAATAAAAAGGGGACTCTGTATATTTTTAAATGAAGAGTGTTATTTTTACCTAAATCAATCTGGCCTGGTATATGACAACATAAAAAAAAAAACTCAAGGATAAAACCCAAAAACTCGCTAGCCAAGCAAACAACTATGCTGGACCCCCTTGGACACTCTCTAATTGGATGTCCTGGGTACTCCTAATTCTTAGTCCTTTAGTACCTATTTTTCTCCTTCTTTTATTTGGTCCTCTTGTCTTCTGTTTAGTTTCTCAATTCATGCAAAACCACATCTAGGCCATCACCAATCATTCTGTACAAATGCTCCCTCTAACAACCCCACACCACCACCCCTTACCCCCAAATCTTTCTTCAGTTTAATCTCTTCCACTCTAGGTTCCCACGCCGCCCCTAATCCCACTTGAAGCAGCCCTGAGCAACATCCCCCATTATCTCTCCATACCATCGCCAAACATTTTCGCCGCCACAACACTTCATCACCATTTTGTTTTGTTTTTCTTATTAATATAAGAAGACAGGAATAATTAATAATTACTATAAGAAGTCAGGCCTCTCAGCCCAAGCTAAGCCATCATATCCCCTGTGACCTGCATGTATACATCCAGATGGCCTGAAGCAACTGAAGAACTATGAAAGATGACATTCCACCATTGTGATCTGTTCCTGCCCCACCCTAACTGATCAACTGACCTTATAACAATACACCCTCCCCGCCCTTGCGATAACGTACTTTGCGATATTCCCCAGCCCTTAAGAAGGTACTTTGTAATATTCTCCCCCACCCTTAAGAAGGTACTTTGTAATATTCTCCCCCACCCTTAAGAAGGTACTTTGTAATATTCTCCCGCACCCTTAAGAAGGTACTTTGTAATATTCTCCCCCACCCTTAAGAAGGTACTTTGTAATATTCTCCCCGACCTTGAGAATGTACTTTGTAATATTCTCCCCCACCCTTAAGAAGGTACTTTGTAATATTCTCCCGCACCCTTAAGAAGGTACTTTGTAATATTCTCCCCCACCCTTAAGAAGGTACTTTGTAATATTCTCCCCCACCCTTAAGAAGGTACTTTGTAATATTCTCCCCGACCTTGAGAATGTACTTTGTGAGATCCACCCCCTGACCACAAAAAATTGCTCCTAGCTCCACCACTTATCCCAAACCTATAAGAACTAATGATAATCCCACCACTCTTTGCTGACTCTCTTTTTGGACTCAGCTCACCTGCACCCAGGTGATTAAAAAGCTTTATTGCTCAAAAAAAAAAAAAAAAAAAAAGGAAAAGAAAAAGCTGAATGATGCCAGGCATGGTGGCTTTCACTTGTAATCCCAGAACTTAGGAAGGTTGAGGTGGGAGGATCACTTGAGCCTGGGAGGTCGAGGCTGCAGTGACAGCCTGGTGACAGAGTGAGACCCTGTCTCAGATAAATAAATAAATAAATAAATGATAAGAAAGAGACAGCCATGTGAAAATCTCAGGAAGAACTTTCCAGGTCATTCTGAGATGGGGACAAACTCACCATATTTGAAGTACAGGAGGAAGGCCAACATCAGTGGAATGTGGTGAAGGAGAGGAAACAGGGAGAAACTAGGCTTGTGAATCTTCTTTTTTTTTTTTTTTTTTTTTTTTTGAGATAGGAGTCTCACTACATTGTCCAAGCTGGTCTCGAACACCTGTTTTCAAGCAATCTTCCCACCTCAGGCTCCCAAGTAGCTGGGATGACAGGTGCATGCCCAGCTGTGAGTTTCTGAATCCAAGAGGGCAGTATAAGATAATTGGCAGTAGCTGGCTTTTATCCTGACTACTGCTTCCTCAGGGCATTTTATATCTCCAAAGCAGGTTGATAAAGTTATTTATTTTCTAAATAAATAAGTAATACATGTTGGGAATTGCTTTTTTAATAAGATAAATGAGAGTCATAGTGTTAATTTGATTTGCATTAAGACACGAGAAATTTGAGTTAGTGACATGATTAGTTATGTCATTCCTGCTTTGATTAAAAATGCACACCCACACATCCATTCATGGCTTGTTCTCAGTGTATCAATTCTTAAATATTGCCACTCTCATGAGTCTTTAGAAGGTAACAAAGCAAGTCCAATCTTGATCTTGGGTGCATAGTCTATTCCCTCCTAATTAGGCTGTACTTAAGTGAACTATTTCGGAAGGGGAAAACAGATTAGTCATACTAAATGCTTCCTTAAAAAATTTCACCATAAAAGAAAGCTCCCACCAGGAGCAGTGGCTTACACCTGTAATCCAAGCATTTTGGGATAATGGGGCAGGAGGATCACCTGAGGTCGAGAGTTCAAAACCAGCCTGACCAACATGGAGAAACCCTGTCTCTACTAAAAATACAAAAATTAGCCGGGCGTGGTGGTGCATGCCTGTAATCCCAGCTACTAGGGAGGCTGAGGTAGGATAATTGATTGAACCCAGGAGGCAGAGGTTGCGGTGAGCCAAGATTGTACCATTGCACTCCAGCCTGGGCAACAAGAGCGAAACTCAGTCTCAAAAAGAAAAGAAAAGAAAGCTCCGTACGTCTTACTACTTCTGACACCACACCTTGGTTTCTTTCTTACTTGATTTTCTTTCTTTTTTTCTTTTTTTTTTTTTTTTGGAGACAGGCTTTTGGTCTTGTTGCCCAGGCTGGAGTGCAATGGTGCAAACTTGGCTCACTGCAACCTCTGCCTCCCAGGATCAAGCGATTCTCATACCTCAGCCTCCAGAGTAGCTGGGATTACAGGCACATGCCACCACACCCAGCTACTTTTTTTATTTGTAGTAGAGATGGGGGTTTCACTATGTTGGCCAGGCTGGTCTCGAACTCCTGACCTCAGGTAATACACCTGCCTTGGCCTCCCAAAGTGCTGGGATTGCAGGTGTGAGCCACTGTGCCTGGCCGATTTTTTTTTTCCTCTCTGTATCACCATCTGTCTTTCTAGAAAAATGTTTTATTCCTTTTTTTTTTGGAGGTTAAAATAACTCTCTTTAATATTGCCTTCCTGACCTCCTTTATAAAGATCACTCCCAAGTACAATTCACCTCTTCTGCTGTGGGTCAAACCTGTGTCCATGTGCCCAATTCTCCATTGTGTATGTGATTCACTCCAACATAAAATGTCACAAGCAGCCCCTTTGTCTTCATTCACACAGCTTTGATGTGAATCTGGCACTTCTTACCTGGATATGTTTCCAAAGAAGTGTCCCTGTCTCTTTGTCTCCAATTCATCCTTTGAAGTATTGCCAGATTAATTTTTGTCAAATCCTGTTCTGATCATGAACATCCCCTCTAATTCACAGTAATCTGTGTCAATCATTTGTTTGGGGATTTAAAGTTTTTTACAGGATGCATCACATTTCTTATCTAACAGTATATTTTTTTATTCTCCAACAGAAACCTTCTGTTTTACCCAGGAGGTTTTCACCTTCCCATAAATACAGTGGGTGTTTTTTACTTCCTTATTGCCTCTATTTGTACTTTTTCCTCATGTAGAAAGTCCACTGCAGTTTTAATTTCCTCAAATCCTTTTTTTTTTTTTAACAGAGATGGGTTTTCACTATGTTGCTCAGATTGACCTTGAACACCTGGACTCAAGCAATCCTCCGGCTTTGGCCTTCTGAGTAGCTGGAACTACAGGCCTATGCCACCATGCCCAGCTCTCATCTCCTCAAATCCTGTGACCTCTTGGAACCCACTCTGACCCTTGGCTCACAAAAACTTCTCTCTCCTCTGACAGGTAGCACCGGTCAAAGACTTCTTGTGTGGTAAACACTTAGGATAAAGTGCACAGGCGATTGCTTGAAAAAACTATGACACAAGTATCATCTTTGTCTTCCAATACCAGAATGACAATGAACCTTCCTGTACTTGAAAATAATTAATCAACTCCCCAGAAAGACAAAGGATGAACACCTTTATAATCCTGACCAAAAAGGAAAGGAAGGAAGGAAGGAAGGAGAGAGAGAGAGAGAGAGAGAAAGAGAGAGGGGGGGAGAGAGATAGAGAGAGAGAGAGAAAGAAAGAAAAGAAAGAAAGAAAGAGAAGAAAGAAAAGGAAGAAAGAAAAGGAAGAAAGAAAGAATGCCGGGTGCGGTGGCTCACGCCTGTAATCCCAGCACTTTGGGAGGCCGAGGCGGGTGGATTGCCTGAGTTTGGGAGTTCGAGACCAGCCTGGCCAGCATGGTGAAACCTCATCTCTACTAAAAATATACAAAAATTAGCCGGGCGTGGTGGCAGACGCCTGTAATCCCAGCTACTTGGGAAGCTGAGGCCGGAGAATCACTTGAACCTGGGAGGCAGAGGTTGCAGTGAGCCGAGGTCACACCATTGCACTCCAGCCTGGGCAACAGAGTGAGACTCTGTCTCAAAAAAAAAAAAAAAAAAAAAAAAGAAGAAAGAAAGGAGTTATCATTTTGAAGATATGAGGCCCCAATCTTTAGGAAAATGGCTCATAAATATAGAAAAGAGAAAGTGTATTTAATGAAAACAAACTCACAGAGGTTACAATGTTGCAAAGGGCTGGTCTGGCCGGGCACGGTGGCTCACACTTGTAATCCCAGCACTTTGGAAGGCCGAGGTGGGTGGATTACCTGAGGCCGGGAGTTCGAGACCAGCCTGGCCAACATGGTGAAACCCCATCTCTACTAAAAATACAAAAAAATTAGGGGCATACAGTGACCTCGGGCGGCGGGTCGCGTCAGCGGGGCATGGCGGCATGGAGCCCGGCCGCAGCAGCGCCTCTGCTCCGCGGGATCTGCGGGCTTCCACTTCACCATGGGATGTTTGCCACCCAGACTGAGGGGGAGCTCAGAGTGACCCAAATTCTCAAAGAAAAGTTTCCACGAGCTACAGCTATCAAAGTCACTGACATTTCTGGAGTTGTGGGACGATGTATGAAATTAAAATTGAATCAGAAGAATTTAAGGAGAAGAGAACTGTCCAGCAGCACCAGATGGTTTATCAGGCACTAAAAGAAGAAATCAAAGAGATGCATGGATTGCGGATATCTACCTCTGTCCCCAAACTCTGACCACATCCTGGCTGCATAGATGCTGCTGCTTAAGACCTTGGATGAACTTGACTGACATCATTCTTCCCTAAGCATTCACCAAAAATTTATATATTTTGCTCATATACATTTCCATATTATAATTATAGAACATGTATAATCTATTTAGATGTTAATTTAAAGGAAACAAACAACTGAAAAAAAATACAAAAAATTAGCTGAGTGGCGTGGCACATACCTGTAGTCCCCGCTACTTGAAAGGGTGAGGCAAGAGAATTGCCTGAGCCGGGGATGCAGAGGTTGCAGTGAGCTGAGATTGTGCCACTGCACTCCAGCCTGGGCAATGGAGCGAGACTCTGTCTCAAAAAATAAGTAAATTAATTAGTTAAAAGTGCATTATGCTGAGTGAGAAAACCCAGTCTCAAAGGTTATATGCCTTATGATTCCATTAATATTACATTTCTGAAGTGGCAAAATTACAGTAACAAAGAACAGATCAGAAGTGGCCAGAGAGGCCAGGCGTGGTGGCTCATGCCTGTAATCTCAGCACTTTGGGAGGCTGAGGTGGGCAGATCACCTGAGGTCAGGAATTTGAGACCAGCCTGACCAACATGGCAAAACCCCATCTCTACTAATAGTAAAGTACAAAATTAGCTGTGCATGGTGGCGCGCACATATAGTTCCAGCTACTCAGAAGGCTGAAGCAGGAAAATCGCTTGAGCTCGGGAGATGGAGGTTGCAGTGAGCCGAGGTTGCGCCATTGCACTCCAGCCTGGGAAACAGAGGGAGACTCCATCTCAAAAAAAAAAGAAAGACAGGGCGCAGTGGCTCATGCTTGTAATCCCAGCACTTTGGGAGGCCGAGGTGGGTGGATTGCCTGAGGTCGGGACTTCAAGACCATCCTTGCTAACACGGTGAAACCCCATCTCTACTAAAAATACAAAAAATTAGCCAGCTGTGGTGGCACACGCCTGTAGTCCCAGCTACTCGGGAGGCTGAGGCAGAAGAATTGCTTGAACCTGGGAGGCGGAGGTTGCAGTGAGCCAAGATTGCACTACTGCACTCCAGCTTGGGCAACAGAGTGAGACTTCGTCTCGAAAAAAAAAAAAAAGTATTAAAGGAAAAAAGTGGTGTGTGTGTGTGTGTGTGTGTGTGTGTGTGTGTGTGTGTGGTTGTCTGAGGGAGAGAGAGTTAAATTCCAAAGACTCCAGACAGAGGACAGTACATTTTTCTCCTGGTGATCTTCAGAAAAAAAAAATTGATTTCAAAGCCTTTGCTAATTCTTCATGCTGCTGATGGTAGAGACTAGGTATAAATGGCTGTTTTGTTTTGCTAAGTAAAGCATCACAAATAATTTTCTTGTTAGTGCAAAGATCTGGAGAGCCCAAATTATTTTCTTCATTGTGTGCAGGAGTCATCTTTGAAAATTATTTTTGTGTTTGGGAAAATGTGTGTTGTTCTTAGTTTGGATTTGAACTTCATCATCGCTGAGAATTATTGCTCATCTGTGCTTGGGGTGTGTGTGTCTGTGTGTGTGTGTGTGTGTGTGTGTGTGTGTGTGTGATTTGCCCAAGGCCTATCCATAGGAGACAAGAAGTCCCTAGAGAAAATAAAGGGGCATGCTTTTCCCTCACGCTGCCAGAGAACAAAGAGGATGCTCTCTTTTGTTAAATGCCTGTTTGTCTGTTTCCCATTTGAAAGATTGGAGCCTGGCCAACGTGGCAAAATCCTGTCTCTATCAAAAAATACAAAAATTAGGCCAGGTGTGGTGGCTCGCGCCTGTAATCCCAGCACTTCGGGAGGCAGAAGCAGGTGGATCACTTGAGATCAGGAGTTTGAGACAAGCCTGGCCAACATGGTGAAACCCTGTTTCTACTAAAACTATGAAAAAAAAAAAAAAAGGTCAGGCATGGTGGTGCACACTTGTAATCCCAGCTACTCTGGAGGCTGAGGCAGGAAAATCACTTGAACCTGAGAGGCAGGGGTTGCAGTGAGCGGAGATCGTGCCACTGCACACCAGCCTGGGTGACAGAGTGAGACTACATTTCAAAAACAAAACAAAAGAAAAATTAGCCGAGCATGGTGGCACACGCCTGTAGTCCCAGCTACTCAGGAGGCTGAAATGGGAGAATTGGTTGAACCTGGGAGGTAGAGGGTGCAGTGAGCCAAGATTGTGCCACTGCACTCCAGCATGGGCAACAGAGTAAGACCCCATTTCCAAAAAAAAAAAAAAAAAATTGGATTGCTTATTTTTTTTCTTATTGATTTAAAGGGGTGTTTTATATATTCTGAATGGAAGACTTTGGATTTATGTATTTCACATGTCTTCTATCAGTCTATGGCCTTCCTTTCACTCCCTTAATGGAATCTTATGATGAAGATAAGTTTTTAATTTTAATGAACATCAAATTTTCACTCTTTTCTTTATGGTTAGTACTTTTGCATGGAGTCTAAACAATATTTTCGCTAACCTTAAAGTATTTATATAACAGTTGCCTCGGCCGGGCATGGTGGCTCACGTCTGTAATCCCAGCACTTTGGGAGGCCAAGGCAGGTGCATCACTTGACGCCAGGAATTCGAGACCAGACTGGCCAACATAGTGAAACCCCATCTCTGCTAAAAATACAAAAATTAGCCAGGTGTGGTGGCGCACGCCTGTAATCCCAGCTACTTGGGGGGCTGAGGCACGAGGATCGCTTGAACCTGGGAGGCGGAGGCTGCGGTGAGCCGAGATCATGCCCCTGCACTCCAGCCTGGGCGACAAAGTGAGACTCTGTTTCAAAAACAAAAACAAAATCAGTTGCCTTTATAGACTCAGGATATACTCTCTATGACCTACCAGCCTTTGGGTTCAGTACTGAGGACTCAGCACTCTGTATTTGGTGGTGGAGAATGATTCTTCTCTCTGTTTCTAGATCATTCTGTTTTCAAAAGCTAGGCCTAAAAGCTTTCAGAAAAGAGCAGTAATCAAAATCATTGACACACTATTCAGCAGTAGTATTCATCAATCAGAATGAACATGGTCATAAGCAGCCTGTACTAGTGAAACAGCAACATCATCAACCTTGCTTATAGGAAATGAAAGTCATTTACCCATGATCCAATTTCTCTAAATCTGCCTCAGTTATGTGGGCTGTGGCTGTGACTACTGTAAACAAAAAAGATCTGAGACAGGTTCAATCAATTAAGAAGTTTATTTTGTCAAGTTTAAGGACATGCCTGGAAGAAATAAACAAGAAATCACACAGTCTGTGGTCTGTGCCTTTCTCCAAAGATGATTTTGAGGGCTTCAATATTTAAAGGGGAAAAATGGGCTGGAGGGGAAAGAGGAAGTGTATGGTAGTCCACATGTTGCAGGAGAAAAGGAGCAGGGAGGGTAATAGTCAATTATGTATTCATTTCGCTCTAAGTAAATCATAAGTTAGCACTTTACATAAAAGGTGAACACAGAGTAGCTACCTACAGAGAGATTTAACCTTTTATCGGTAGCTATCTGCTTAGGAACAAAAGGAAATACAATTTCTTTTTTTTTTTTTTTTGAGACAGGGTCTTGCTCCGTCACCTAGGCTGGAATGCAGTGGTGCGATCTTGGCTCATTGCAACCTCCACCTCCCGGGTTCAAGTGATTCTTCTGCCTCAGCCTCCTGAGTTTCGAGGATTACAGGTGTGTACTACCACATCCACCTAAAGGAAAGCCAACTTCTTTTTTTTTTTTTCAGACAGGGTCTCACTCCATCACCCAGGCTAGAGTGCAGTGGTATGATCTCGGCTCACTGCAACCTCCGCCTCCTGGGTTCAAGCGATTCTCCTGCCTCAGCCTCCTGAGTAGCTGGAATTACAGGGGCCTGCCATTGTGCCTGGCTAATTTTTTTTTTTTTTTTTTTTTGAGACAGAGTTTGGCTTTTGTCGCCCAGGCTGGAGTGCAACGGTGCGATCTCAGCTCACTGCAACCTCCGCCTCCCAGGTTCAAGGGATTCTCCTGCCTCAGTCTCCCAAGTAGCTGGGATTCCAGGCCCATGCCACCACGCTTGGCTAATTTTTGTATTTTTAGTAGAGATGGGGTTTCACCATGTTGGCCAGGCTGGTCTCAAACTCCTGACCTCAGGAGATCCACCCACCTCAGCCTCCCAAAGTTCTGGGATTACAAGCATGAGTCACCGCGCCTGGCCTAAGAATGCTATTTTTTGAAATAGAAAATGTATATTTATATTAGACCAGGAGCTCAGTCCTCAAGTAGGTTCAAAACTCTTTCTTTGTGTTTTTGTTTTCTTGTTTTTTAAGAGACTTTTCTCCGAAAATAAGAAAAAAGAAAAAAAGTTTAAAAAAAAGAAAAAAAGGTAAAAAAAAAAAACAAAAAAGGAAAAAAAGAGTTAAACTTTTCTCCTAGTAAAAATGGCCAAGTAAAATGGCTAAGCTAGTAAAAATAGCTAAGAAGTCCAGAGTTCATTGTTACAAATCATTTACAATGAAGATTCATCTGTTTTTTGGGAGGAGTTTGGGGGGACAGTGTCTCACTCTGTCACCCAGGCTGGAGTGCAGTGGTGCATTTATGGCTCACTGCAGCCTCCAACTCCTTGGCTCAAGCTGTCTTCCTACCTCAGCCTCCCAAGTAGCTCCGTGCGAAGCACTGTGGTAAAAGTGAGGGGAAATACCAAGAGGATTAAGGCACGGTCTCAGTCCTTAAGAAGATTTATACAGGCAGAATAGTGATAGAAAACACTGAAGCCCAGCAAAAGAGATTATTTCCAACACGACAGATATGAGAGGGAAGACTTCATGGACGAAATGCAGCTGAACTGGGCTTTGAATGGCTGGAAGGTCAGCATATGGTTATATCCAGCAAGTTTGAAAAACAAAAGAGCTAAATCCAAGAAAAAGCACAGGCTAGGTATGAGGACTTTGAAGGAAGTTGTTGCCGAGAAAGGAGTGTGAGTGCAAGCGTATGTGGGGGCGCTGGGGGTGGTATGACCATCATACAGTAAGATGCAGCTGTACTAATGAAGATTGACTGGAGTTGGATGGTGATGGTCCCTATAGAACATTATGTTGTGGATGTTTGAATCATTAATTTTTTTGGTAATAAAATATGCATAACATAATATTTATTATTTTAACCATTTTTGAGTGTAAGTTCAGTGGCACTAAGTACATTGACATTGTTGTGGAATCACCGTCACCATCCATCCACAGAACATTTCATGAATGGCTTTTTTTTTTTAGACAGTCTTGTTCTGTCACCCAAGCTGGAGTGCAGTGGCGATCTCAGCTCACAGCAACCTCCATCTCTCGAGTTCAAGCAATTCTCATGCCTCAGCCTCCTGAGTAGCTGGGACCACAGGCCCGCGCCACCACGCCCGGCTAATTTTTTTAATTTTTAATAGAGAAGGGGTTTTGCCATGTTGGCCAGGCTGGTCTCAAACTCCTGACCTCAAGTGATCCACTCTCCTCGGCCTCCCAAAGTGCTGGGATTATGGGCATGAGCCACCGCACCCTGCCTATGAATGGCTTTTTAACAGAAAGATGAAGGGACCACAGGTGACTACATCATTCTAGTAGCAGCATACAGAATTAACTGAATTGTCCCAATTTATTTATGGGAAAGGTGAGAGAGGAGGCAGGGGATGAACTAAGAGGTTATTGTAAGACACTTGGTGCCAGGAGAGTAGTTCCCACAGTGAAAATTAAAGAGCGGACAGCTATGCTAGGTGTGGTGGCGTGCGCCTGTAGTCACGGCTTGGAGGTTGCAGTGAGCTCAGATCGCACCACTGCACTCCAGCCTGGGGGACAGAGTGAGACCCTGTCTCAAATAAACAAACAAAACAAAACAAAAAACCCATCATTACCACCACAAAATAAAAACAATATTGTGAATTAGCTATCAGTATCCCCACTTTCAAGATGAGAAGCTGAGGATGAGGCCTGTGGTGTATGGAGCATGCTTAAAGTTGCACAGTAAGTGATGGAGTCAAAACTCAAATACCGGCCGGTCACGGTGGCTCACGCCTGTAATCCTAACACTTTGGGAGGCCAAGGCAGGCAGATCACCTGAGGCCAGGAGTTTGAGACCAGCCTGGTCAACATGGTGAAACCCTGTCTCTACTGAAAATACAAAATAAATTAGCCGGGCATCGTGGTGCACACCTGTAAACCCAGCTACTTGGGAGGCTGAGGCAGGAGAATCACTTGAACCCGGGAGGCAGAGGTTGCAGTGAGCTGAGATCGCACCACTGCTGAGATCCAGGCTGGCTGACAGAGCAAGACACCGTCTCAAAAACAAACAAATAAACAAAAACAAAAAACACAAAAAAACCTCAAATCCTAGTTGGTCTAACTCCCAAGTTGATGCTTTGAAGTACTGTACTAATGGTTTTTAGTTTGTCCCTGGAAAAGTTTGGTTTTCCTGTTTAAATGTATTCTCTCTTGTTTTCTCTTTTTCTACTTTCAAAGTTTTACATATCAGATAAAATTCTCTGTGGCTTAGTAAAGTGCTAGGTACTAATGAGAATAATCCAAAGGCTATAAGTTTCCATTTGTTGATAATACTCCACTTGAAAACTTGTTAGTTACAGAGGCACTGATAGATGTTTATGTCTAACTTCTATAATATCATAATATCTCTAGGAAATATAATATCATATTTCTAAAGAAAAAGTTTTCCCTTAGTAAAAAAGAGCAAAACAAAACAAACAAAAACCCCAAAACAATTTATCAGAAAGGCTTTGCTTTTTCTTAAGCGACGCAACACCGACCTCTTCTGGTCAGGAAGCGGAAGTATTAGGCAAATAATGAACTTGGAAAAATCAGGGTGGAAAAGTCAAGTTAAGGAGAAAATAGACTAGGAAACAGGTTTCACAGAAGACTTGACATTTATCTTGGATTTGAAACTCTAACAGACAGAACAGAGGGAGAGTGCATTCCACACGAGGAGCAGTGTATACAAAGCAAAAATTGTTCCGTCTTTTCTGATAAAATACATCTGCTGTAGATAATTTTTATTTTCTTTCTTCCTTTTTTTTTTTTTTTTTTTTTGTTTTGAGACAAGGACTTACTCTGTCACCCAGGCTGGAGTGCAGTGGTGCAGTACGGCTCACTGTAGCCTCGACCTCTCAGGCTCAAGTGGTCCTCCCACCACAGCCTCTGGAGTAGCTGGGACAACAGGAGTGCACCACCACGCCCAACTAATTTTTGTATTTTTGGTAGAGACGGAGTTTTGTTATGTTACCCAGGTTAATCTCGAACTCCTGGGCTCAAGCAATCCCCTTGCTTCAGCCTCCCAAAGTGTTGGAATTACAGGTGTGAGCTATCGCCCAGCCCAGCCATGCTGTTGATAATTTTTAAAGGTATAAGGATATAAATAAGAATCATCCATAACTCCTCCATGCAGAAATAATACTGGAAACAATTGGATGCACTGACTTTGTTTTCTGGTCATATGCGTTATTTTTGTCCACAAAACTAGGTAAATCTCAACTTATTTAGTATTCTATCACACACATCTTCCCACATTCTAAAAAGAAGAAAAAGATGTTTTCTGAAAGGCAGGCTTCTATCAGTAAATCACGTTAAAGTCAGAGAAGACGTCTTACTGAGTATTTTTATATTGATCCCCATTTGCCAGGGCCTCACTGAATGCCCTGAGATTCACACAGCTTGGTGAGTGGGGTGCTGGCTAGATTCCAGCCACTGCTCACCTCCTCTCCCATACTCCCCTATATGGGATTCACCTACAGACCTGCTCTTGGTGATGCTCAGCCTGACAAGAAGCTAATGAGTAACTGTGAAATGTAATCACCAGTATTCTCAGCATATGAAAATTATACTCACTGGCATTTTTTGCAATCACTGGGACTAACCCACCCAGCATAATATTCTGCTCTCTTGTGCGGAAGTTTACAATCTCAAACTAACAAATTGTGGAAGAAGAGGGCTCTGAAAGGAGTAGGCCAAAGGTATAAATTAATTAGAGTTTACATTTAAGAGAGTGAAATTAAATGAGGAATGATAGAATTGCTCATTGGGAAATAACTTGGAGGGGTCACAGAAACTTAGGGAAAATTAAGCAGAAAAGCAGAAAAATGGATATTTTAGGATAATGAGATAGTCTTCGAGTCAGATCTCACAGAATGGTGAATGGATTAGCATGGTCAACCTAAGTAACAGAGAGAGGGTCTCTAAGAGAAAATGATATTTGGGAATAAAGCTTTGCAATCATTAACTATATGTGTATTCAGGGAGGTAAAAGAAGACAAAGGATTTTTAAAGGAAATAAGGAGGATTATATAATTGTTTTATAATAATTATCTTTGGCTACGAAGATCAATAACAAAGGTGATACCAGTCCAAAGGTGGACAGGCAGTTGCAGGGCAGATGTCCTTACAGAAGTATTTTTTGTTTAAGGTTTTGGTAGCTTTTGTGTGAGGCTGTGGTTTTTGCAGAGCCTTTTGTGATGTTTTTGTTTTCAGGCATACAAGTGTGAGAACTCTCTCTTCGTAGCCTTTCTGGTTCTATTTGTTAGGGTTTTGTGTGTGTTTTTTTTTTAACAGTAGTGATTTTATTTTCATTCTGACAACTTTCACATTTTCCTCTGTTGATCAAGGTCTTTCTCTGAAAGTATCACTGATTAATCACCCTGTACTTAGGTATTTTGCTTTGTTTGTTTTGTTTTTTGAGACAGAGTCTTGCTCTGTCACCCTGGCTGGAGTGCAGTGGCAAGATTTCAGCTCACTGCAACCTCTGCCTTCCCAGTTCAAGCAATTCTCCTGCCTCAGCCTCCAGAGTAGCTGGGATTACAGGCATGTGCCACTACACTTAACTAATTTTCATGTTTTTTATAGAGATGGGATTTTGCCATATTGGCAAGGCTGGTCTCAAACTCCCAGCCTCAAGTGATCTGCCGCCTCGGCCTCCCAAGGTGCTGGGATGACAGGCATGAACCACCGCGCCCAGCCTGTACTTAGGTTTTGATGTCCCTCGGTGCAGGGATGAATTTGTCCCAGTTGCTGGTTTCTTCTCGTGTTAAGGGTAGTGACTAGTGACTAGTGACTAGAAGTCAGTGTCAAAAGACTTTCAGCAATATTTAAGCAACAAGGGAGGTTCGAAGGGAGGGGCTCTCAGGCTAAGTATACCTAAAGTCCATTATTAAAGTTCAATTTTGTCTGTTCCATAGTCTTTTACCATCATCTCAAAGTGTTGAGCCAGTATTATTTTGTTAAGAGTTGTACTTCTGTAAAAATTTAACAAGTAGCAGATACAAAGTTTAAAAAGGAAAAATACAAAGTAAAATGAATAATAGTATGACAATCCCAATTTGCATAATATGTTTTTGAGCCATAAACCTAGGCTTAAAAACAACCAACTGATTAAATCAAATGACCATATGGAATTGCATGTTGTACAAATACCTGTTGTAACCATGTGGCCTGTTTTCTTGTTTTGTGTAAGTGGGCCTGATATGGTTTGGATCTGTGTTGCCACCCAAATCTCACATTAAATTGTAATCACCAATGTTGGAGGTGGGGTCTAGTGGGAGGTGATTAGCTCATGGGGAGGGGTTCTCATGAATGGGTAGGACCATCTTTTCTGTGCAGTTCTCATGATAGTGAGTTATCGTGAGATCTGGTTGTTTAAAAGTGTGTAGCACCTCCCTGCTCTCATTCTTGCTCCTACTCCAGCCATGTGATGTGTCTGCTCCTCCTTCCCCTTCGGACATGATTGTATGTTTCCTGACGCCTCTCCAGAAGAAGAAGCTGCTATGCTTCCTGGACAGCCTGCAGAACTGTCAGCCAATTAAACCTCTTTTCTTTCTAAATTACCCAGACTCAGATATTTCTTCTTTTTTTTTTTAATAATTAAAGAATATATTTTTATTTTCTTTAGAGACAAGGGTCTTGCTATATTGCCCAGGCTGGTCTCCAACTCCTGAGCTCAAGCAAGCCTCCCACCTCAGTCTCCCAAAGTCCTGGGATTACAGGCATGAGCCACTGTGCCCAGCATAGGTATTTCTTCGAAAACAGACTAACACAGGGTCTCAACTTTCCCAAGGAATTTATCCAGTTACAGCAGGTAGTATTAACAATAGCACAGAAATTTTCTTATTTAACCAATGAATAGGAAAGGATTTCTTAGGCTAGAATCTGCTAAATTGACAGCAGAAGCTTCTGATTATGAGATTTCAATAATATCATTATCCTGCCAAATGAAAAATATAGCATTAAAAAGGGTAAGAGGGCCAGACATAGTGGCTCACGTATGTAATCCAAGCACTCTGGGAGGCCGAGGCAAGCGAATCACTTGAGGTCAGGAGTTCAAGACCAGCCTGGCCAACATGGTGAAACCCCGTCTTTACTAAAAATACAAAAACAAACAAACAAACAAACAAAAAACTAGCCAGGCAGGGTGGCATGTGTCTGTAATCCCAGCTACTTGGGAGGCTGAGGCAGGAGAATTGCTTGAACCCAGGAGGTGGAGGTTGCAGTAAGCCGGTATCGCACCACTGCACTCCAGCCTGTGCGACACAGCGAGACTCTGTCTCAAAAAAAAAAAAAAAAGCAAACAACAACACAACAAAAAATGGCCAGGTGCAGTGGCTCATGCCTGTAATGCCTCATGAGCAGCTGAGACTATAGGTGCGTGTCACCATAACTGGTTATTTACTGATTTATTTTTTGTAGAGACAAGGTCATGCTTTGTTGCCCAGGCTGTAATTTTTAAAATGTTTATTAATAAATCAAATATATTTAGTCTTTCTATAAAGGTTAAGAAGCCAAGAACAAACATATTTTTGTTCAGCAATCAGTTTTATCATTTTTTTCCCAGTTGTTTCTTTTTGGCCTCTGTATGGCAGAAAAAGTAAAATTTTTATGCCAAGCAGAGATTCCTGATATTATTTTTCTAAGCTTTAAAGTATTGACCTGTTTGATATGACAGCCTTTTATAAACACTTACCTAGTTCTTTTTCTTTTAAATTATTAGTTTTTCAATTAAGTGTTCTATCATTGTAATCAATTGTTAGGAAAACTTAAATTTATATTTCCTAAAGCTATCTAAGTTGTTGGTTACCATGAAGCTGTTGTAATTTGTAAAGTCATTAATTTGAAGGCCTTTTGAAAATTAAGAAATTTGAAATTCTGAGACTTAAAAAAAAAAAATCATGGCTGGAATGCCATAAGCAGTGAGTTTTATCTCAAGGCCAGTAGATTTGTCAGCAGATTGAAAGTAAAGTAGGGAGAAAAAAAAAATAGAAAGATGGAGAACTTAGAAGACTACACGCTGGCTCTATAGTTGTGAAATTTTTTTTTTGATAGTTTGAATAATCACCATTTGAGCTCTGAACCAACCTTCCTTCCTTCCTTCCTTCCTTCCTTCCTTCCTTCCTTCCTTCCTTCCTTCCTTTCCTTTCTTTTTCTTTTTTTTGACAGAATCTGGCTCTGTCCCCCAGGATGGAGTGCAGTGGCACGATCTTGGCTCACTGCAGCCTCCACCTCCCAGGTTCAAGTGATTCTCCTGCCTCAGCCTCCGAGTAGCTGGGACTACAGGCACGTGCCACCATGCCCAGCTAATTCTTTGTATTTTTAGTAGAGATGGGGTTTCCCTATGTTGGCCAGGCTGGTCTCAAACTCCTGACCTTTGGTGATCCGCCTGCCTTGTACTCCCAAAGTGCTGGGATTATAGGCATGAGCCACCGTGCCTGGCCTGAATCTTTCTTGATGTAATTTTGTTCATCAATTTAAAAATGTGCATCAGTTTAAAAATGGGCTATAATTTGTAGCTCTCTGGAGTCCCAAAAAACCTGGCATGCCTTATTGCTTGAAAATCCTTTTCCATTTCTTATTAATATCTCAAGAGCAAAGAAAATTCTATAAATCCTGTCAGGAAATGGTAGAAGTTTAAACCAGTCTTTTAGATGGTGATGAATGCCCCACTGGCTTTTAATTAGCCATCCTGTGCCCACCATCCAGAACAATTAATTTTGTTCCTGAAAGATTTTTAGCAATAATCAAGGGAAAAGAGTTAAACTAAATAAAAAGAAACCAAGATAAGAAAGCTCACAAAAATTTTAACCCAGGAGTGCAGGTTAAATATTTAACTAGGCGTGCAAACCAAACCAAAAATAAATTAACCAGAAAAGACATGCCTCACAGGCAGAATGTCAATTCTGTAGACTCCAGAGTACTCAGTCTAGAAGGATATACATTCTTATACAAGAAATAAGTTACCATAAAAGACAAAAAGTCTTTTATCATCTCAGGAGGGATGGATGGTTTGCCATTAAGATGGGCTTGTTCAAATCAGATCCCAAACAAAGTTAAGAGGTTCTACCAAAAAGAGGGAGGCCTGGCCTGAGAGTAGACTCAGCGCAGAAAAGGCTAGCCATGGAAGCAGAGAGCTCAAAGGGCTCAATTGACTACTGCACTCCAATTCCAAGAATTGCCATCGTCTTCCAATAGTGATCTTTTTCAGGTCCCATTTCTGACACCATGTCAATTTAAATAACACATAGAGAGAGGCGCTCCAAAAGAAAATGATATTTACTTGGGACTAGAGCACTGCAATGAGAATACACATGCCATAGTATGTATGTATTCAGAGAAGTAAAGCAAGACAAAGGTTTTTTTGTTTTGTTTTGTTTTTAATGAAGAGGATTGCATAACTGTTTTGAAATAATTATTCTTGGCTACAGAGATCAATAACAAGGGTGACATCAGTCTGAAATTGGACAAGGAGTTACTAGGCAGATGTCCTTGCAGAAGTTTTTTTTTGTGTAAGTTTGCAATGGAGGTTGGTTTTTGCAGAGCCTTTTGTGATAGTTTTTGTTATCAGGCATATAAACATGAAAATCCTCTCTTCACAGCCATCCCTGGCTCTATTTATCAGGGTTTTATTTTTAACATTAGGTACTCCATTTTTCTTCCTGATAACTTTCACAGCACGATTAGATGCAAATGATATATTCAGATGTTTTCGTGGGGCCAGAACAAAGCACTGTGCATTGTTCAGTTCAACTCTTGTGTTCACCTTCTTTTTTTTCCCATTTAATTCTGGAAATGTACAAAAATTTTACTCTAATGAGCTCCTGGAGTGCAAGGTATCTGTTCATAGAGGGTGTAGCCCCTTTAGGATGCCCTGCAACATTCCCATTCCTCATTCCTAGGAAATCTGGTCTCAGTAATTACCTTGGATTTTGAATTCTAGTTGAGTGGTATAAACATAAGAAATACCTCAAAATTTTACTCGAAGACCTTGCTGGAAATTATTCTATTACCAGCTAAATTTACCTTTAGCCCTTTCAGTGGAAGGGAAAATAATGGAAATATTCTTTTTTTTTTGAGACAGAATTTTCCTCATTGCCCAGGTTAGAGTGCAATGGTGCAATCTCTGCTCACTGCAACCTCCACCTCCCGGGTTCAATCAATTCTCCTGCCTCAGCCTCCCGAGTAGCTGCGATTACAGATGTGTGTCACCATGCCTGGCTAATTTTGTATTTTTAGTAGACAGGGTTTCTCTATGTTGGTCAGGCTGTTCTCAAACTCCTGACCTCAGGTGATCCGTCCTCCTCAGCCTCCTAAAGTGCTGGGATTACTGGTGTGAGCCACCGTGCCTGGCCCTGGAAAGATTCTTAATAGACACAGAGTGCCGATACTGCTTCCTCTTAAAGAGAAGTGGCTTAATTGGCTCTGGTCTATTTTAGTGGTAAGGTAGTATTAGGGGATTATAAGAAGTAAAAATCTACTTATCCTAAATAGCTTTTAGAAATTCAGGACTACCAGCTTTTTGTTCCTTAAATGTATAAAATAACTCCTCTGTGAGGTACTCCCAGTTATTTCTCAAGTCTTGGACTGAATTGGGTTACAGAATGGCACAGTTATGTAAATTATAGCTCACTGTTTATCTCTTCTCATATACCTTTACTTAGGTTTCAGTACGTGCCAAATAAGAAGAGAGAATTAGTCTAGTATTTCTTCTAATTCTTTGGTCCGTACTTATGTTTTCTATGTTATGCGAGTCTGTGTGAAGAGAGTCCACCAACAGGCTTTGTGTGAGCAACAAGTCTGTTTATTTCACTTGGGTGTAAGTGGGCAGAGTCCGAAAAGAGAGTCAGTGTAAATATTGACACACAGTCCTTTTGCAAGGGTGAGGGCTCGAGTTAAGGCAATGAGTTTGGCTTGCTGAGAGGTAGTGGAGTGGGGCAGAGCGGTAGCCTCAACGATAGATGTGGAAGATACTATAGCATAGCCTGCCTTTGCTGGTGTGTGGCAATTAGGCCTGGTGGAATTGCCATCAATAAACCAAGTGTGATCAGGGTGAGGAACAGGAAAGAAGGAAATATGGGGAAATGGGGTGAATGCCAGGTGGATCAGAGAGATACAGTCATGGGGGTCAGGTGTGGTATCCGGAATAATGTGGGAGGCTGGATAGAAGTCCGGGCCAGGAACATGGTAATTGTGGGAGACTCAACAAAGAGTGAGTACAGCTGAAGAAGTGGGGTGGTGGCGCAGAAAGTATATGCATCAGGTGTGAGGAAGAAAATAGATTTTGAAAGTTATGAGAACTGTAGAGAGTGAGTTGAGCATAGTTTGTGATTTTGAGGGCCTCTAAAAGTATTAGAGCAGTAGCAGCTGCCGCATGCAGACATGAGGGCCGGCCTAAAACAGAAAGGTCAAGTTGTTTGGACTAAAAGGCTACAGGGGGCAGTCCCGGTGCTTCTGTAAGAATTCTGACCACATACTCTAGAGAACATGACTCTCTAGATGAACTTGAACTTGAATACAGGGCTTCTCTTCTCCCATTTCTAGTCAGAGGGCTATCCTCCCAGGAGGGGCAAGATGTCAGTATTTCTCATCCTTCCCCCTACCTGTTTCTCAGGCTAAGCACCAGGCAAGTGTGACCAAGAGGTGGGGACTGTCTTCTACCCTGCTTCAACCCATGGGATAGAAGCTCTCTACATTGCGCACATAGCCACCAAGAATATTGAGGCCCCAATTACACTTGCCCAGGTTGTAAGGTGGTGGTTCCATGCTGGGAGAAGCAAGATAAGAAGACCCAATTACACTGTCCTTCCATTCCAGTGAATGCTCAACTCCTGGAATAGGTGTGTCATGTGGAGAGATTTGTGCCTTTTTTTTTTTTCTTGGGATGGAGTTTCGCTGTTGTTTTCAGGATGGAGTGCAACTCCCAGGTTCAAGTGATTCTCCTGTCTCAGCCTCCTGAGTAGCTGGGAGTACAGGCTTGCACCACTAAGTTTGTATTTGCCCGGCTAAATTTGTATTTTTAGTAGAGATGGGGTTTCTCCATGTTGGTCAGGCTGGTCTCGACCTCCCGACCTCAGGTGATCCACCCGACTTGGCCTCCCAAAGTGCTGGGATTACAGGCATGAGCCACCATGCCTGGCCTATGTGCCTTTTTAAAAATCATCCCAAACTCCACAGCCATGGCTTGGAGATTTTGCCTGAGGGGAGAAGCAGGCCATAACACACCTAGCTCCTACTTTCTTCCCAGGGGACATGACTTTTTTGCAAAAGTGTTTGGAGAAGCTTAAGCCTAAGGGGCTCTCCAACACAAGGGAGGTTGTCATGACAGGCAATCGAAAGGATATTGGTAGACTCACTGGAGATAGAAACTGTAGGCTGGCTAGTTTGACTGAGAGAACCAGGGAAAGAGATAGCTGGAAGGATCCTTCTGGAGTAAGAACAAATCTCACTGACCTTGAGAACTATCCCGTCAAAAGAGCCCAAGGCTGGTTGCGGTGGCTCATGCCTGTAATCCCAGCACTTTGGAAGGCCAAGGTGGGTGGATCACCTGAAGTCAGGAGTTCGAGACCAGCCTGGCCAACATGGCGAAACTATCTCTACTAAAAATACAAAAAGTAGCTGGGTGTGGTGGCATGGGACTGTAATCCCAGCTACTCAGGAGGCTGAGGCACAAGAATAGCTGGAACCCAGGAGGTGGAGGCTGCAGTGAGCTGAGACTGAAAAAAAAAAAAGAGCCCAAATGTAATGGGATTAGTCTTTGGAGCAATTCATTCCTTAGGGTGTTGTTGAAAACAATAGAGCAATCAGCCTGCAATTAGTGGAGCTTAACAGCTGGGTGGAGTTAGGGAAATAAATATTGAAGAGAGTCCTGCCAAAACCACTGTCATCAGAGGGTAACTGGGCATAGCCAAGGCTGAGATCCTGAGAAACAGCATCAGAGGTTTAACACTGCAGGTGGATGTGGGGGTGGGAATGGGGGTGGGGAGAGATTAAACTTCACTAAAATTATCCAGCCAGTCACTAAACAAGTAAACAAGCAAATAAGAACAAAATGCACTAGAGTTGGGTGGGACTGGAAGGAGTTAGTACCCAAAGTTGCTACAATATATTTTCTAAAATATCCATTTTCCAACAAAAAATTTTGAGACATGCAAAAAAAAAGAGAGAAGTATAATCCATTCACCAGAAAAAAAAAAAAAGCAAGTAACAGAAATGACCAGCTGTCAGTTTCTTTTTTGTTTATTGAGATGGGGGGTCTCACTATGTTGCCCAGGCTGGTCTTGAACTCCTGAGCTCCAGTGATCCTCCCTCAGCCTCCCAAAGTGCTTGGATTACAGGTGTGAGCCATTGTGCCTGGCCAAGCTGTCAGTTTTAACAAAGCCTTCAAAGGAAACATTAAGAAAACTATGATTAAAGAAGTAGTTCCACCAGCCTGGGCAACATGGCAAGACCTTGTCTCTACAAATAAATAAATGAAAATTTTAAAAAAATTAGTAGGCCAGGTGTGGTGGCTCACGCCTGTAATCCAAGCACTTTGGGAGGCCGAGGTAGGTGGATCACCTGAGGTCAAGAGTTGTTCATGACCAGCCTTGCCAACATGGTGAAACCCCATCTCAACTAAAAATACAAAAAAATTAGCTGGGCATGTTGGCAGTTGCCTGTAATCCTAGCTACTTTGGGAGGCTGAGGCAGGAGAATCACTTGAATCTGGGAGGCGGAGGTTGCAGTGAGCCAAGATTGCACCACTGCATTCCAGCCTGGGTGACAGAGCGAGACTCTGTCTCAAAAAAAAAAAAAAAAAAAAAAAAAAAAAAAAAAAAAATTAAGTGTGGTGGCATGTGCCTGTAGTCTCAGCTACTCTGGAGGCTGAGGTAGGGGGAGTGCTTGAGCCTGGGAGGTGGAAGCTGCAGTGAGCCATGATCACACTACTGGACTCCAGCTTGGGTGACAGAGCAAGACCCTGTCATTAAAAAAAAAAAAAAGAAAGAAAGAAAGAAAGAAAAGAGAAAGAAAAAAATAAAATGAATAGTTTCAGGTTGCTGAACACATGCAGGTGCTGAGAGGGTGGTGCACCTGAAGAGAGCATAGGGGCTCCCTGCTCCTTCCTCCATACCTTGCCTTATGCATGTCTTCCACCTGGCTGTTCTTAAACTGTATCCTTTTATAATAATAAAAAAAGAAGTAGTAAAGGAAGATATGAGAAAAATGTTGCATTAAATAGAGAATAACAGTAAAGAGATAGAAACTCTAAAGAGACAAATGGAAATTCTGGAGTTGAAAAGTATAACAACAAATTAAATATTAATTCACTAGGGGTTGGGGGTAGGGAGGAGGGGATTCAACAGTATCTTCAAACTGGCAGAATAAAAAAAGTAGTGAATTTGAAGATAGATTAATAGGGTTTATGTAACATGAAGAACAAAAAGAAAATAGAATGAAGAAAAATTTACAGAGTCTTAGAGAAATTTGGGACACCACTAAATTCATCAATACAGAAGTAACGGAAGCATGAAGGAGAGGGGAAAAGGAATGGAGCAGAAAAAAAAATTGAAGATACAATGGCTGAAGTCTTGCCAAATTTATTGAATGTTAACTGACACATATAGAGTGCTCAATGAACTCTAAGTAGGATAAACACAAGTAGACCCACAAACAGAAACATCATAGGAAAAATGCGGAGACTCAGCAACAAAGAATAGCCAAAGAAAACAATGAGTCACTTACAAGGGAACCCCAATAACATTAACAGTTGACTTTTCAGCTGAAACAGTGGCAGCCAGAAGGCAGTGGAATAACAAACATATTCAAAGTGCTCTAAAAAAAAAGAAGCAAAACTAAACCTGACAACCAAGAATCCTATATCCACCAAAGCTTCTTTAAAAAATGATGGTGAAATAAAGATTTCCCAGATTAACAAAAACTAAGACAATTCTTTGCTAGTAGACATGCCTTAAAAAAAGTAAAGGACGTTCTTCAGACTAAAAGAAATGAATCTCAGAAGGTAATCTGAATCTACACAAAGAGCAGTAGTGACTTATTTGGCTCTGGCTGCTGTAACAAAATACAGTAGACTGTGTGGCTTAAACAACATTCATTCATGTCTCACAGTTGTGGAATCTGGGAAGTCCAAGGCCAAGGTGCCAGAAGATTGAGTTCCTGGTGAGAGCCTTCTTCCTGGCTTGCAGATGGCCACTTTCTTGCTGTGTTATCACATGGTGGAGAGAGTGAGTGAGCTCTGGTCATTTTCTCTTCTTTTTTTTTTTTTTTTTTTTTTGAGAAAGACTCTCGCTCTGTTGGCCAGTCTGGAGTGCAGTGGCACAATCTCAGCTAACTGCAACCTCTGCTTCCCAGGCTCAAGCGATTCTCCTGCCTCAGGCTCCTGAGTAGCTGGGATTACAAGCATGTGCCACCATGCCCAGCTAATTTTTGTATTTTTAGTAGAGACGGGGTTTCACCATGTTGGCCAGGCTGATCTCGAACTCCTGACCTCAGGTGATCCGCCCACCTCGGCCTCCCAAAGTGCTGGGATTACAGTGTGAGCCACTGTGCCCCAGCCCTCTTTCTCTTCTTATAAGGACACTAATCCCATCATGGGGGCTCCACCCTCATGACTCCATCTAAACCTACTCACTTCCCAATACAATCACATTGGGAGTTTAGGTTTCAATCTTTTAATCTGAGGGGACAAAAACATTTGGTCCCTAACAACCAGTAAGTGTAATTATGTAATTATTCAAGATAGTATAAATGCATATTTCTTCTGCTTTATTTTTTTAACTGATTTAAACAGCAATGGTATAAAATAATATGTATACACTGTATTTTGGGACCTATAACATAAACAAATATATTTGCCTGGATGGGCGCTGTGGCTTACGCATGTAACCCCAGCACTTTGGGAGGCTGAGGCAGGTGGATCACCTGAGGTCAGGAGTTCATGACTAGCCTAGGCCAACATGGGGAAACCCTGTCTCTACTAAAAATACAAAAATTAGCAGGGTGTGATGGCACATGCCTGTAATCCAAGCTACTCAGGAGGCTGAGGCATGAGAATCGCTTGAACCTGGGAAGCAGAGGTTGCAGTGAGCCAAGATCACACCACTGCACTCCAGCCTGGGGGACAGAGTGAGACTGTGTCTCAAAAAAAAACATTAACAATTTAAAAAAACAAGAAATATATTTGCTAATAACAGCCCAAAGGAGATGGGTGGTAGCATAGCTGTATTGGACTAAGGAAATGACTCCAGATGGTAACTCAAATCCACAGGAACAAATGAAGAGAGCCAGAAATGATAAGTGAGAAGGTTGATATAACAAAAGCTATGAATATATACTTGCTATCTTTCCTTCTTTCAGCTTCTTTAAAAGACATAAAATTATATAATGATTATAACAATGTACAGTTGTATTTGTAACATTTAAAAATGTAATATGTGTAACAGTAATAACACAAAAATGGGGGGCAAGAAATAGAGCTATATCGGAGTAACAGGTCTATATCTCACTGAAATTAAATTAGTTGAAATCTGAAGTTGATAAATTAAGTTGCATATGGTAAGCCTGAGAGCAACCACTAAAGAAATAATTCAAAAAATGTATTAAATAACTATTAAATAAATTAAAGTGCTACTTTGAAAATATTCACTTAGGCCGGGCGCAGTCGCTCACACCTGTAATCCCAGCACTTTGGAAGGCCAAGGCAGGTGGGTCACCTGAGGTCAGGAGTTCGAGATCAGCCTGGGCAACATGGTGAAACCCCGACTCTACTAAAAATACAAAATTAGACGGGCGTGGTGGCACATGCTTGTAATCCCAGCTGCTAGGGAGGCTGCGGCAGGAGAATCGCTTGAACCTGGAGGCGGAGGATGCAGTGAGCAGAGATCGCGCCTTTGCACTCCAGCCTGGACAACAAGAGTAAATCTCCATCTCACCAAAAAAAAAAAAAAAAAAAATTCACTTAATTCAAAAGAAAGCAGTAAATGTAAATTGAGGAACAAAAAGGACATGAGGCATATGGAAAACACAGTAAAATGGCAAATATAAATCCAACTATATTCATATTAATTCAGCGTTATTTATTTTTAATATTATCAATAATAATAAAAACTCGGGCCGGGCGCGGTGGCTCATGCCTGTAATCCCAGAACCTTGGGAGGCCAAGGTGGGCGGATCACGAGGTCAGGAGATCAAGACCATCCTGGCTAACACAGTGAAACTCCGTCTCCACTAAAAAAATACAAAAAATTAGCCGGGCCTGGTGGCGGGCGCCTGTAGTCCCAGCTACTCAGGAGGCTGAGGCAGGAGAATGGCGTGAACCCAGGAGGCAGAGATTGCAGTGAGCCGAGATCGCGCCACTGCACTCCAGCCTGGGAGACAGAGTGAGACTCTGTCTCAAAAAAAAAAATAATAATAATAATAACAAAAACTCACTCAAGGAAAAAAAAAAGACAATCTGAATAGACTTACTACAAGTAAAAAATTGAATAAGTAACCCAAAACCTAACTGCAAAGAAAAGCCCAGGCTACGGATTGCTTCACTGGTCAATTCTACCAAACATTTAAAGAAGAATTTATACCAATTCTTTTCAAACCCTTTCAAAAAATAGGAAGGATATTTCCCAATTCATTCTATGAAGCCAGTATTAACGTGATAGCAAAGCTGAACAATGATATCACAAGAAAAGTACAGAGCAATATCCCTTTTGAATATGGATGTAAAAGTCCTCAGCAAAATACTATCAAATCATATCCCGCAGCATATAAAAAGAATCACAAGCATACCTCATTTTCTTGTGTTTTGCAGACACTGTTTTTTACAAATCGAAGATCTGTGGCAGCCCTGTGTTGAGTAAGTCATTGGTGCCATTTTTCTAACACCATGCACTCGCTTTATGTCTCTGTGTCACTTTTTGGAAATTTTAACAATTTTTCAAGCTTTTTCATTATTATTATATGTGTTGTAGTGATCTGTGATCAGTGATCTTTGATGTTACTATTGGAATTGTTTTGTGGCACCATGAGCTGCACCCATAGAAGACAGCAAACTTAATGGATAAATGTGGTGTGTGTTCTGACTACTCCACTGACTGGCCATTCCCCTATTCCTATCCCTCTCCTTGGACTTCCCTATTCCCTGAGACACAACAATATTGAAATTAGTCCAATTAATAACCCTACGATGGCTTCTAAGTGTTCAAGAGAAAGGAAGTACACACGTCTCCCACTTTAAATCTGTATTAGTCGGTTCTTGCATTGCTACAAAGGAATACCTGAGACTGGGTAATTTATAAAGAAAAGAGGTTAAATGGGCTAATGGTTGTGCAGGCTGTAGAAGCATGGCACCACCATTGCTTGGCTTCTGGGGAGGCCTCAGGAAGCTTTTACTCATGGTGGAAGGCAAAGTGGGAGCAGGCACATCATAAGGCAAAAGCAGGAGCAAGAGAGAGTCGGGGTGGGGGGAAGTGCTACACGCTTAAAGGACCACATCTCGTGTGAACTCATAGCGAAAGCTCACATATCACCAAGGGGATGGCCCAAGCCATTCATGAGGGATCTGCCCGCATGATCCACACACCTCCCACCAGGTCCCACCTCCTAGGCTGGGGATTACATTTCAACATGAGATTTGGACAGGAAGATACATTCAAACTATATCAAAATTGAAAGCTAGAAATGGTTAAGCCTAGTGAAGAAATGTTGAAAGCCAAGATAGGCCAAAAGAAAGCCTCTTGCACCAAACAGCCAGGTTTTGAATGCAAAGGAAAAGTTCTTGAAGGAAATTAAAAGTGCTACTCCAGGGAATACATGAATGATATTAATAAGTGAAACAGTCATATTGCTGACATGGGGAAAGTTTTAGTGATCCATATAGAAGGTCAAACCAGCCACAAAATTCCCTTAAGACAAAGCCTAATCCAGGGAAGCTGAGAGGTGAGGAAGCTGCAGAAGAATAGTCTGAAGCTAGCAGAGGTTGCCTCATGAGGCTTAGGAAGCTGAGTCTATAATACATAGAATTGGTGAGAGCAGCCATCTCTATCTTCTTCCTGATCTTAGGAGGAAGTGATCCAATCTTTCTTCACCATTAGTTATAATATTAGCTGTGGGGTTTTTGTTTTGTTTTGTTTGTTTTTCAATTTTTTGCTGTGGGTTTTTCATGGATGAGCTTTATCAGGTTGAGGAAGTTTCCTTTGATTCCTAGTTTTTATCACGAAGGAGTGTTAGATTTTGTTACACGCTTTTTTAGTGTCTACTGAGATCATCATGTGGCTTTTGTGTTTTATTCTTTTGATATAGAGTGTTACATTAATTGATTCTTGGATATTAATCTAACCCTGCATTCCTAGGTCAAATCACATTTAGTCAGGATGTGACTTATACTTGCACCTTATACATCCTGACTAAATGTGATTTAACCCAGGAATGCAGGGAGGGAGATACTGCACGTTCAGTTCCAGACCACTGGAAGTGCTCTGAATTAAGCTTTGGCTTAAGGGAATTTTGTGGCTGGCTTGATCTTCTGTGTAGACCACTAAAACTTTCCCCCTATCAGCAATATGGCTGTGTCATTTATCATTCATGTATTCCCTGGAGTAGTACTTTTAATTTCCTTCACTGGAAAAATTGCAATAAAGCAAGTATTGCAATAAAGTGAATCACACAATTTTTTTTTGGTTTCCGAATGCATATAAAAGTTACATTTACGGCTGGGTGCGATGGCTCACGCCTGTAATCCCAGCACTTTGGGAGGCCGAGGTGGGTGGATCACGAGGTCAGGGGTTCGAGACCAGCCTGACCAACATGGTGAAACCTCATCTCTACTAAAAATACAAAAATTAGCCAGGCTTGGTGGCACACACCTGTAATCCCAACTACTCAGGAGGCTGAGGCAGGAGAATCGCTTGAACCTGGAAGGCGGAGGTTGCAGTGAGCCAAGATCGCGACACTGCACTCCAGCCTGGGTGAGAGAGCAAGACTCCATCTCAAAAAAAAAAAAAAATTACATTTATGCTATACTGTAGTATACTAAGTGCTCAATAGCATTCTGTCTAAAAAATGTATATACTTAAATCTTAAAATATTGTTTTTGTTTGTTTGTTCTGAGATGAGGTCTTGCTCTGTCACTCAGGCTGGAGTGCAATGGCCCGATCTCGGCTCACTGCAACCTCTGCCTCCTGGGTTCACGCCATTCTCCTGTCTCAGCCTCCCGAGTAGCTGGGACTACAGGCGCATGCTGCCATGCCCGGCTAATTTTTTGTATTTTTAGTAGAGACGGGGTTTCACCGTGTTAGCCAGGATGGTCTCGATCTCCTGACCTCGTGATCCGCCCAGCTCAGCCTCCCAAAGTGCTGGGATTACAGGCCTGAGCCACCGTGCCCGGCAATATTGTTTTTTAGAAAAGCCGCAGTATGCTATGTTTGCACCTGTGAATAGCCACTGCACTCCAGCCAGTGCAACATAGCAATAATTTGTATCTAGGAAAATAAAACAAAAAGGCCGGGCATGGTGGCTCACGCCTGTAATCCCAACACTTTGGGAGGCCGAGGCAGGCGGATCAGCTGAGGTCAGGAGTTCAAGACCAGCCTGGCCAACGTGGTGAAACCCCGTCTCTACTAAAAATACAAAAGTTAGCCGGGCATGGTGGCAGGCGCCTGTAGACCCAGCTCAGGAGGCTGAGGCAGGAGTATTGCTTGAACCTGGGAGGCGGAGGTTGCTGTGAGCCGAGATCACGCCACCGCACTCCAGCCTAGGTGACAGAGCAAGACTCCGTCTCAAAATAAATAAATACATAAACAAATAAGTAAAACAAATAACCTAACATTTAAAAAAAATGTATTACTGGCTGGGCACAGTGGCTCATGCCTGTAATCCCAGCACTTTGGGAGGCCGAGGTGGGTGGATTGCCTCAGCTCAAGAGTTCAAGACCAGTCTGGTCAACATGGTGAAATTCAGTCTCTACTAAAAATACAAAAAAATTAGCTGGGCATGGCGGTGTGCGCCTGTAGTCCCAGCTATATTACTAAATAGCTTTTTTGGTGAGGATATGCCAAGAACCTCAAGTTTGAACCGCTTCTTATCCAAGGCTGCCATCTCAGTTATCTTTGATATGCTACGAAGCACCTGGCATAAGTTAAACAGAATTTATATGTGCCACGCGATATGAAGACGGCATACTAAGCATTTGTCACGTTAAAAATAGCTGTGCTGGCCGGGCGCGGTGGCTCACGCCTGTTATCCCAGCACTTTGGGAGGCCGAGGCGGGTGGATCACGAGGTCAGGAGATAGAGACCATCCTGGCTAACACGATGAAATCCCTTCTCTACTAAAAATACAAAAAAAATTAGCCGGGCGTGGTGGCAGGCGCCTGTAGTCCCAGCTACGCAGGAGGCTGAGGCAGGAGAATGGCGTGAACCCGGCAGGCGAAGCTTGCGGTGAGCCGAGATCGCGCCACTGCACTCCAGCCTGGGCGGCAGAGCGAGACTCCGTCTCAAAAAAAAAAAAAAAAAAAAAAAAAAAAATAGCTGTGCTTGGCCGGGCCGCGGTGGCTCACGCCCGTAATCCCAGCACTTTGGGAGGCCGAGTCCGTCGGATCACGAAGTCAGGAGATCGAGACCATCCTGGCTAACACAGTGAAACCCTGTCTCTACTAAAAACACAAAAAATTAGCCGGGTGTCCTGGCACGCACCTGTAGTCCCAGCTACTCGGGAGGCTGAGGCAGGAGAATCGCTTGAACCCGGGAGGTGGAGGTTGCCACTGCACTCCAGCTTGGGCAACAGAGCGAGACTCCCTCTCAAAAAACAAACAAAAACAAATAAAATAAAATAAAATAAATAAAAGTTTTGCTATGTTGCTCAGGCTGGTCTCTAACTAATGGGCTCAAGCAATCATCCCGCATCAGCATCTATAGTAGCTGGGACTACAAGCCTGCACTACGACACCTGGCTGGCCCTTTTTGAATATCCTATTTAGTGGCATTAAGTACATTCACCTTAGGCAACCATCCATCTCTAGAATTTTTCCATCATGCCAATATGAAATTCTGTACATATTAAATGATAACTTCCCATTCCCTCCTCCCCCACAGAACCTGGTAACCACCTTCCTTCCTTCCTTCCTTCCTTCCTTCCTTCCTTCCTTCCTTCCTTCCTTCCTTCCTCCCTCCCTCCCTCCCTCCCTCCCTCCCTCCCTCCCTTCCTCCCTTCCTTCCTCCCTTCCTCCCTTCCCTTCCTCCCTTCCTTCCTTTTTTGTGTGTGACAGAGTTTTGCTCTTGTTGCCCAGGCTGGAGTGCAATGGCGAGATCTCGGCTCACCACAACCTCCACCTCCTGGGTTCAAGCCATTCTCCTGCCTCAGCCTCCCGAGTAGATGGGATTACAGGCATGAGCCACCACACCTGGCTAATTTTGCATTTTTAGTGGAGACGGGATTTCTCCATGTTGGTCAGGCTGGTCTCGAACTCCCGACCTCAGGTGACCCACCTGCCTCGACCTCCCAAAGTGCTAGGATTACAGGCGTAAGACCCTGTGCCCAGCTATTCTTTCTTTCTTTCTTTATGAAGGTGACTATTTTAGGATCTCACATAAGAGGAATCCACACAATATTTATTCTTTTGTGTCTGGGTTGTTCCATTTAGTATGAGGTTTTCAACGTTCCTCCATGTTGTAGCATGTATCAGAATATCACTCCTTTTTGTGAGTAAATAATATTCCATTGTATGTGTATACCACATTTTGTTTATCCATTCATCAGGTGATGAACATTTGGGTTGTTTCCACATTTTTGCTATTGTGAATAATGCTGCTATGAACACTGGTGTACAAATATCTGTTCACGTTCTTGGTGTCAATTCTTTTGAGTATATTCTGAGAAGTGGAATTGCTGAATCATATGGTAATTCTATGTTTAATTTTTTGAGGAACTGCCAGGCTGTCTTCTACAGTGGCTGTACCACTTTACATATGGTAGTTTTTATGCAGCCAAATTATGTGAATAAATTATTTGCTGTAGGAAATTGGCACTTGTATACTCTAAACCAATACAGAAAGTACATCTCTCTCACTAAAATTGTTTGATGCATCAAAGAGTTGTCTGCTAAACACTTCTAATTACCATGGTGATTAATTACCAGTATCCAGAATCTTAGATATATGTGTGTTGGAGGCGTGGGTCAGAAAAGAGGAGGTTAGGTGGAATCAGCAAGCAGCAAAAATATTTCCAAATCCTGCCAGGCGTGGTGGCTCACACCTGTAATCCCAGCACTTTGGGAGGTTTAGGTGGGTGGATCACTTGAGCTCAGGAGTCTGAGACTGGCCTGGGGAACATGATGAAACCCCATCTCTACAAAAAATAAAAAATTAGCCAGGCATGCTGGCGTGCACCTATAGTCCCAGCTACTTGGGATGCAGAGGTTGCAGTGAGCCACTGGGCAACAGAGTGAGACTCTGTCTCAAAAATAAATAAATTAATTAATTAAACATCCTGCAACTCTATTTCAGTTTGGTTCCTCTGACATTGAAGATCAAAGAGGATGAATAATAAAGATATAGTGAGGAGGAGAGAAAGGTAGAGGAATGTGGTAAGGTTAGGCAGTGGAACTGGACTGGTCTGCTGATTCTTATGTAGTTAGTGTGAAATGAATGTCAGCAAGGCAGTTTTCCTTCTTCCTCCACTTCATCTCAGATTATCTCAGAGTCTGTTTCCTTGCTAAAGGTTGTATAATCTATAAATTATACAACTGACTTAAGACCTTTAAACAAATTGAACTTGCAGGTGAAATACAAATTTACAACGAACTTAAACATTTATCAGAGACAGTAAGAGAGCAGAGATTGAAACACTTTATTATTTTATTCTTCTTTCATTAGACTAGTCGCCTCCTGAAGCCATGGGAAATCACAGTGCTTTGGTATCTGGAGAGAGGCGAATGCAAAGGCATATCTGCAATTTTTATTTCTGGTGGGCCTTTTTGGAAGACAACTTTACGATCTTCCCCATGGCAAAGCCTTTCACTGTGATTCAAAAACAGAGAGTCTTCTAAAGGGCCAGTATGGATCCCACACACTTCTGCTTGCTAAGAGAAAAGAAAATCTTCTGTGTATCACATCAAACATCATTTTCTTGTTAGATTAAGAAGGAAGTTTCATCAGGAGCCATGGCTCATGCCTGTAATCCCAGCAATTTGGGAGGCCAAGACAGGAAGATTGCTTGAGCTCAGGAATTTGAGACCAGCCTGGGCAACAGAGCAAGACCCCATCTATACAAAAAATAAAAAATTAGGTGGGTGTCGTGGCACGCGTCTGTGAGGCTGAGGCAAGAGAATCCCTTGATCCTGGGAAATCAAGGCTGCAGTGAGCTATGATCACACCCCTGCACTTCAGCCTGGGCAACAGAGTGAGACCCCATCCCCTCTCCAAAAATGATGGAAGTTTCCCAATAGTTTTTCTAACTATCCTTGTTGAGAAGGAAGCTCTGCTGAACAGAGGAACATCCCTTTTCTAAAAGCAATGCTTTGTGGGTCAGTGTGATCTGACTACCAGAAAGAGTCATGCAGACTATAAATGTGATATATTTGGAGGCAGATTGTTGAACTTTAGCTTCACTACTTAACGTGACCTTTTCAAGTCATTTACTCCCAGAAGACTCAGCTTTTTCAAATATAAAATGGGAATATTAAAGGATTCTTTGAGTAGCAGATAAAATATATGTGAATGAAAAAGCTTTGCCAACTACAAAGTATCAAAAAGGTTTAAAGTATGATGATGCTGTTATGACTGTTGAATAAATAAATAACAACTGTTTGAAGTTATTAACTTAAATACACATCTACTTTTGATTCTTCAGTATTGCCAAATAGCATTCTGGTCAGTTCTTGGGATGCAGCCCCAACTCTGGTATGCTGTGTTTCATATATATATATATATATATATATATTTCACAGACGGGGCCTCAGTCTGTCACCCAGGCTGGAGTGCAGTGGTGCAATCATAGCTCACTGCAGCCTGGAACTCCTAGGCTCAAGCAATCCTCCTGCCTCAGCCTCCCAAGTAGCTGGGACTACAGCACACACCACAATGCCTGGATAATTTTTTTTTTTAATAGACAGGATCTCGCTATGTTGCTCTGGCTGGTCTTAAACTCCTGGCCTCAAACTATCCCCCTGTCTCAGCCTCCCAACGTGCTAAGATTAGAGGCATAAGCCACTGCACCTAGTCTGTGTGCTATATTTTTTAATGTTGTTAGATGCAGTTTTTAACTCCTAATGGAAAAATGGTGAGGATAAATAAAAGGAAGGAAAGCATAAGTTAGCATTTACTAGCATTTACTCAGTGTGGGCACATTCACTTTACTTAATTCACTTATTTAAGTTTCATTGGTAGGAACACTGTCAACTAAATTGCAAAAGTAAAATAGCTCTGAAAAATGATGCTGAATTATACTCTAAAAGTAAGGTCAAGAATAAGTGTTTTGATGCAATCAAAACAAAGTTTTTCTTTACTGATTTCAACTTATAAAGTTTACAACCTATAATTCTCATAAATGAAAAAGTCAGTACTGTCACCATGCTGAAGCTACTTAGGGCATTGAAAATGACCTTGATATGCCACTAAATTACATGAAATGCAGACTAATATTAAGACTGTAGTAAGTCTGAGTAAACATTTATTTATTTGTTTGAGATGGAGTCTTGCTCTGTTGCCCAGGCTGGAGTGCAGTGGCGTGATCTGGCTTGCTGCAGTGTGTCTCCCGGATTCAAGCGATTCTCCTGCCTCAGCCTCCCAAGTAGCTGGGATTACAGGCATGTGCCATCATGCCCGGCTAATTTTTGTATTTTTAGTAGAGATGGGGTTTCACCATGTTGGCCAGGCTGGTCTTGAACTCCTGAACTCAGGTTATCTGCCCGCCTCCGCCTCCCAAAGTGCTAGGATCACAGGCATGAGCCACCACGCCAGCCAGAAAATGTTTTAAAACAAGCCTGTTGGAATCCCTGCTTTCAATTATTTTGAGCATATACTTAGAAGTGGAATTGCTGAATCATATGGTAATTCTATGTTTAATTTTTTGAAGAATGGTCTCACTATCTTCTACAGTGGCTGCGGCATTTTACCTATAGTAGTTTTCCTGCTGTTATAAAACTACTGACTGGAGCCGGGTACAGTGGTTCATGCCTGTAATCCTAGCACTTTGGGAGGCTGAGGCAGGAGAATCGCTTGGGCCCAGGAGACCAGCCTGGACCACATAGTAGAGATCCCATCTCTACAAAAAATACCAAAACTCTCCGGGCATGGTGGCATGTGCCTGTAGTCCCAGCTGCTCAGGAGGCTGAGGTGGGAGGATCACCTGAGCCCAAGAGGTTGCTGCAGCTGCAGTGAGCCATGATTGCATCATTGCACTCCTGTCTGGGTGACAGAGTGAGATCCTGTCTCTAAATAAATAAATAAAGTAGGCCCGGTGTGGTGGCTAACTCCTGTAATCCTAGAATTTTGGAAGGCCGAGGCAGTAGGATTGCTTGAGCTCAGGAGTTCAAGACCAAACTGGAAGACATAGTGAGACCCCATCTCTACTAAAAATCAAAAAGCTAGCAAGGTGTGGTGATGTGCACCTGTAATCCCAGCTACTTGGGAGACTGAGGCAGGAGGATCAATTGAGCTCAGCAGATGAGGCTGCAGTGAGCTGTGATCACGCCACTGCACTCCAGCCTGGATGACAGAGCGAGACCCTGTCTCCAAAAAGAAAAAAAGGAATAAATAAATAAAACTGCTGACTGAACAGGAGCATTGAATGGGTAAATCATGTGTAAACTAGCCAAAATATTCCCATGCCTCTCTATCTGAATATGCAGTATAATCTAAAAAATATATGCTTTGTAGTGTACCTTTAATATTAATGGCATCTTCTGATGATGAGTTTAACAACTGCAAGATAGCATGATGTAGAGTTTCTGAAATTCTTCGGTATATAATTAGGTTATTTAAACAGATATTACTATTTAACATTTGTTTGCAAGTTTGTGACAGTACATCAAAATAGTTTTTGTATAGTTACACACGTCTATCACAGACATACTAAATTATATATATATATATATATATATATGTAAAATTTATTTATTTATTTAGAGACAGAGTCTAGCTCTGTTGCCCAGGCTAGATTGCAGTGGCGCAATCTTGGCTTACTGCAACCTCTGCCTCTCGGGTTCAAGAGATTCTCATGCCTCAGCCTCCCGAGTAGCTGGGATTACAACTGCCCGCCACCATGCCCAGCTAATTTTCATATTTTTAGTAGAGATGGGGTTCCGCCAGTTGGCTAGGCTGGTCTCGAACTCCTGACCTCAAGTGATCCACCCGCCTCGGTCTCCCAAAGTGCTAGGATTATTGGCACAAGTCACCGCATCCGGCTTAATGTTTTTGTTTTTGTTTTTTTTCCTTATGTGTGCTTATGGGGAAATACCTTCAGATTCACATTCCTGAATATCATGTTTTCTTTCCAAGGCATGACATAACGTCTTGGGATCATCCCTTGCTTTAATGAAAATCGTGGCAAATGAATCTCTTCATACCTGATGATTAGGAAAGCAAGAAGACATCTTGTGAGCCAAATACAATCATTTTAGCATCATTCCAGGCACTGGAGGCAGTTGTGCATTCATGTTTGGTCCCCTGCTGTTGCAGGACAGACGGCTGTGCCATTGAAACTCAGCTAAAAGATAACCATTTAAGTACCCATGTATCAGCAAGATCAAGTCAGGGCCAGGTATCTGTAATTCTAACTGCATGCTGTCCTTTACAATTTGCCCACAATGTCCATTTTAATCTGACTTTTTTTTTTTTTTTTTTTTTTTTTTTTAATGAGATGGAGTGCATTATCATGCCCAGCTGGGGTTTTGCCATGTTGGTCAGGCTGGTCTCGAATTCCTGACCTCAAGTGAACCACCCACCTTGGCCTCTCAAACTGTTGACATTACAGCCGTGAGCCACTGCACCCTGCCCATTTTAACTTGACTTTAAGGGAAAAGGCAAGGCACCTAGATTTGCCTCAGGCCTACCGACTGCCTAAAGGAAATGTCTGGCCAGCCACAAAAAACAGAAACTATATTGGCTTCTGAATTTATGTATGCTCTACACTCAGGTCAGATTTGCTTTCCCTGCACACATATTTCCCTCTGGAACATAAAGCTTTCTGTATAGATGCCAAAGGGGAACACAAAGTTATTGACCGTATCTTTGTGGCTCCCAGGTTGCAAAACAAGCAAACAAAAAACCCCAGAATCCCATAAATCCTTACTTATTAGCAGATTTATAGAGACTCTCATCAGAGCAGTTGTTAGTGAGTTTAGGCAAAGTAGGACAAGTATCTTTCCCTGAAGCCATTCCTGACAGCAATGGATGGAATACTCATCTAAAACTTCACTAACTCACTAGTCTAATTATGATGACAACGCTGCTCTGATGTAACAATGTTTTGCTAACTTCATAGTAACTCTCGGCAGTTACAGTAGCAGTTAAGAGTGTCCAGCTCACAGGTGTGGTGGTGGGTGCCTGTAATCCCAGCTACTCAGGAGGCCAAGGCAGGAGAATCACTTGAACCCAGGAGGCAAAGGTTGCAGTGAGCCGAGACTGCGCCACTGCACTCCAACCTGGGTGACAGAGTGAGACTCTAAATCAAAAAAAAAAAGTGTCCAGCTCAGAGCTATTTTCAGGGCTTTAAAAAAAATCCCCCTTCTGGCCTGGCACAGTGGCTCATGCCTGTAATCCTAGCACTTTGGGAGGATGTGGCAGGAGGATCACTTGAGCCCAGGAATTTGAGACCAGCCTGGGCAACATAGTAAATTCCGGTCTCTACAAAAAATAAAAAAATTTGGCCAAGTGTAGTGGCTCATGCCTGTAATCCCAGCGCTTTGGGAGTCCGAGGCAGGTGGATCACTTGAGGTCAGGAGTTCAAGACCAGCCTGGCCAACATGGTAAAACACCTTCTCTACTAAAAACACAAAAATTAGCCAGGCATGGTGGTGTGCGCCTGTAATCCCAGCTACTTGGGAGGCTGAGGCAGGAGAATTGCTTGAATCCGGGGGCAGAGGTTGCGGCAAACAGAGATGATGCCACTCCACTCCAGCCTGGGTGACAGAGCAAGATTCCATCTCAATAAATAAATAAATAAATAAATAAATAAATAAATAAATAAGCAAGCTGGGCGTGGTCACATGTACTTGTGGTCCCAGCTATTTGAAAGGCTGAGGCAGGAGGATCACTTGAACCCAGGAGATCGAAGCTGCAGTGAGCTGTGATTGCACCACGGCTCTCCAGTCAGGGCAACAAAGCAATACCTTGTCTCCAAAAAACAAGACAAAACAAAACAAAATAAAACAAATTCCTTTTTGAGTAGAACATCATTCTTATAATGAGCAATTAAAAATGAAGATGTTTGTGACACAAATTTGACACATACTAGAAAATACGTTGAACTGAACAATTATTCAGTAATTAAAAAATAATCACTTCAAATTAACATTCTGTATTGGTCCGTGGCTGATTTTCCTCTTTATATATTGCGTATGCCACCTACAGTCAACCGATTTTCAACAAAGGTGCCAAGAACACACACGAGGGAAAAGACAGTCTCTTCAATAAACAGTGCTGGGGAAATTGAACATCCCCATGAAGAAGAATGAGACTAGACCCCTACCTCTCACCATACACAAAAATCAACTCAGAATGGATTAGGATTAAATGTAACTTGAAACTACAAAACTACTAGAAAACATACAGAAATACTCTACAACATTGGGCTGGGCAAGGTTTTTTTTTTTTTTGAGACGGAGGTTCTCACTCTGTCACTCAAGGTTGAGTGCAGTGGCACAATCACGGCTCACTGCAGCCTCAACCTCAATCAATCGTGGGCCCAGGTGATCTTCCCACCCCAGCCTCCCAATAGCTGGGACCACAGGTGTGCACTACCATGCCTGCCTAATTTTAAAAATTTTCTTTTTTTTTGAGACAGAGTCTCACTCTGTCACCAGGCTGGAGTGCAGCGGTGCGATCTCAGCTCACTGCATCTTCCGACTCCCTGGTTCAAGCGATTCTCCTGCCTCAGCCTCCCGAGTAGCTGGGATTACAGGCATGTGCCACAACGCCCAGCTAATTTTTGTATTTTTAGTAGAGACAGCATTTCACCATGTGGGCCAGGATGGTTTTGATCTCCTGACCTCATGATCTGACCGCCTTGGCCTCCCAAAGTGCTGGAATTACAGGCGTGAGCCACCGCGCCCAGCCTAATTTTTAAATTTTTTATAGAGATGGGGTTTTGCCATGTTGCCCAGGCTAGTCTTGAACTCCTATGCTTATGTGATTCACCCACTCAAGCCTCCCAAAGTGCTGGGATTACAGGTGTGAGCCACTTTGCCTGGCCCAAGGATTTTTAAAATAAGACCTCAGCAAAACAGGCCAACAAAAGCAAAAATAAACACATGGGATTACATCAAACTGACAGGCTTTTGCACAGCAAAGGAAACAAGAGTGAAGAGACAACCTACAGAATGGGACAAAACATCTGCAAAATATATATCTGACAAGGGGTTAAAAACCAGACTACATAAAGAACAGTGAAAAATGACCAATCTGATTTAAAACTGGGTAAAATGACTGGGTGTGGTGGCTCATGCCTATAATACCAGCACTTTGGGAGGCTGAGGCAGGAGGATTGCTTGAGCCCAGGAGTTCGAGACCAGTGTGGTGCTAAGCATGATGGATCCTCAGGCAGGAAGATCGCTTGAGCCTGGAAGGTCGAGGCTGCAGTGAACCATGACTGTGCCACTGCACTCCCAGCCCAGGCAACACAGCGAGACACTGTCTTAAAAGGTGAAAGATCTTAGTAGACATTTCTCAAAAGAACACATGCAAAGGTCAAGTAATGAAAAAATGCTCAACATCACTATATACTGCACAACTGATATGTGTCCCATTTATGTTTCACCATCTATTACATGCAGCTCAAGAGTGTAAATCCAATTTGTTTAAACTCAAACCAATCCAGCCTATTTTATCCCCTAAGATTTGTCATATTGCAGAATATTTTAGGTTATGAAAACTGATTTTAATAAAGAAAGGTTACTAGTGAGGATAAATGCTTAAACTACTATAACAGAGAGGTGGATGGTTATTAGTGTAAGTCCTACCCACTGGCAAGTAGAAAAAATATTATTAGGCTAAGCAGGAAGAATTACTGCAAGATATGCTGGTTTGATGAGAGCATAAACTAAAAGAATACATACCTAAGAACAGTTTGCACATCTTGATTTGGATAGCCAGAAAGGTTCAGAGTCATCTTAGATAATTTTTTATTATATTTTTGGAGATGGAGTCTAGCTCTGTGCCCAGTCTGGAGTGCAGTTGCATGATCTTCGTTCACTGCAACCTCCGTCTCCCGGGTTCAAGCAATTCTCCTGCCTCAGGCTCTCAAGTAGCTGGGACCACAGGCACACACTGCCATGCCCAGCTGATTTTTTGTATTTTAGTATAGACGGGGTTTCACCGTGTTGCCCAGGCTGGTCTCGAACTCCTGAGCTCAGGCAATCCGCCTGCCTCGGCCTCCCAGTGTTAGAATTACAGGTATGAGCCACCATGCCGGGCCGATAAATTTTTAAAGAACCTTAAAAACTGCCCTTTCCTCAGCTGCTGCCAAGGTGCTTGGTCATTCCAAGGAAGCTAAGGCCACATTGGGGTGAGAGCCTCACTTCATCCGGCGATTAGCACCTCATCCAGCAGCGCCAGCCCCACACACACCCGTGCCATGGCCTCCCTCTCCGAGCTCGCCTACATCTACTCGGCCCTCATTCTGCATAATGATAAAATCAATGCCCTCATTAAAGCAGCTGGTGTAAATGTTGAACCTTTCTGGCCTGGCGTGTTTGCAAAGGCCCTAGCCAATGTCAGCATCGGGAACCCCATCTGCAATGTAAGGGCTGGTGGACTTGCAGCAGCTGGAGATCCTACCCCCTCCACTGCTGCTGCTTCAGTTGAGAAGAAAGTGGAAGCAAAGAAAGAAGAATCCGAGGAATCTGATGAGGACATGGGCTTTGGTCTTTTTGACTAAACCTCTTTTACAGCATATTCAATAAAAACCTAAACTTTGAAAAAAAGAAATAACCTTAAAAATTGAAGCACTGCTTTCTGTATGGCAGTAGGATGCAACACAAGCCAGAAATCTGAGTGGTTTCCAAATGTTAAAGAAACAACTATTGGCTGGGCGTGGTAGCTCATGCCTGTAATCCCAACACTTTGGGAGGCTGAGGCAGGTGGATCACCTGAGGTCAGGAGTTTGAGACCAGCCTGGCCAACATGGTGAAACCCTGTCTCTACTAAAAATACAAAAAAATTAGCTGGGTGTGGTGGCGTGTGCTTGTAATCCCAGCCACTTGGGAGGCTGAAGCAGGAGAATCGCTTGAACTCGGGAGGCGGAGGTTGCAGTGAGCTGAGATGGTGCCATTGCATTCCAGCCTAGGCAACAAAAGTGAAAACTCCGTCTTAAAAAAAAAGAAAAAGAAAAAAAAAAACAACTATTGCTAAAAAACCAGGAAGGTGTGGGGAAGAAACAATCTTGATGAAGATAAAGTAGCTTCAGGCATCAACGCCCTTTAAAAGGCATAACTTTTGCTAGAAAAATTGGCAATATTTACATTAATATGTGGCATTTAAGTATTCAGAATAATTATCTTTCTTAATGTACTATTTCTAAAATCACCTCCCATAAATTGTCTTAGGGTCAATATCCAATTACCTTTTAAAAATATTTTTCTTGGCTATAGCATTTTTATGAAAAAACATTCAAGATTTAAAAATATAATCACTTGAAGCTCATTAAGGACTGCCAAAAATCTAATTTTATTTTTGCATCCTTTATAAATAAAAAGCAACCGATAACCACTTTCCTCTTAGATCCAACTTCAATGACCACATTCTCAGAACTACCAAAAGACTTCAAGTACACTGTCTGTAAGGAACAGTTTATAATTGCTGAATTTTACATTTTTGCTTAATATACAACATTTCTGCTTAATATATCAAGCATATTTTTGCTTAATATATTTTTGTAAACTATAGTTAACTCTTGGAATGTCTAAACTACCTTATTTTCTTCATTAATAAAAATGAGTAATTTAAAACTTCATGCACATGTAACATTTTACTATTATTATTTTTGAGACAAAGTCTTGCTCTGTCACCCAGGCTGGAGTGCAGTGGCACGATCTCGACTCACTGCAACCTCTGCCTCCTGGGTTCAAGTGATTCTCCTGCCTCGGCCTCCCAAATAGCTGAGATTACAGGCATGCACCACAATGCCCGGCTAATTTTTTGTATTTTTTTTTTTTTTTTTGAGAGGGAGTCTCGCTCTGTCGCCAGGCTGGAGTGCAGTGGCGTGATCTCGGCTCACTGCAACCTCCACCTCCTGGGTTCAAGTGATTCTCCTGCCTCAGCCTCCCTAGTAGTTGGGACTACAGGCATGCGCCACCACGCCCAGCTAATTTTTGTATTTTTAATAGAGACAGGGTTTCACCATGTTGGCCAGGATGGTCTCGATCTCTTGACCTTGTGATCCACCCGCCTCCACCTCCCAAAGTGCTGGGATTACAGGTGTGAGCCACCGCGCCCGGCTAATTTTTTGTATTTTTTGTATTTTTAGTTGAGATGGGGTTTCACCATGTAGACCAGGTTGGTTTTGAACTCCTGACCTCAAATGATCTACCTGTCTCAGCCTCCCAGAGTGCTGGGATTACACACATGAGCCACTGCGCCGGCATATGTAACATTTTAAATACCTGACTTCCTTAACATAAGGTAAGACAGTCTTAGGCAGGCTGCCACTGGGAATGTTTTTTTCTTTTTCTTTTTTAAATTAGAGACAGGGTCTCACTACATTGCCTAGATTGGTCTCAAACTCCTGGGCTCAAGCAATCTTCCTCTCTTGGCCTCCCAAAGTGTTGGGATTGCAGGTGTGCGCCACTAGGCCCAGCTTGAAAAATTTTTTAATGCATGTGGTAATCCACAGGAGATCACATTTAGTATATGACCAAGTTAATTAAGAAGTCAAAAAACACGTTAAATTTAAGCAGAATAAGGCTGGGTTCGGTGGCTCATGCCTGTGATCCCAGCACTTTGGGAGGCAGAGGTGGGCAGATCATTAGGCCAGGAGTTCGAGACCAGCCTGGACAACATGGCGAAAGTCTTTACTAAAAATACAAAAATCAGCTGGGCGTGGTGGTACACACCTGTGATCCCAGCTACTCAGGAGGCTTAGGCACATGATCGCTTGAACCTGGGAGATGGAAGCTGCAGTAAGCTGAGATCCTGCCACTGTACTCCAGCCTGGGTGACAGATCAAGACTCTAACTAAAAAACCCCCCAAAAAACAAATAGTTACTTGGAAAACTTCCGACATTTATTTACTTCTGGACAAACAAATGAGTGGGAAGAATCATCAGTATACACCTCTTAATTGTATTTTTTTTTTTTTTTGAGACAGAGTCTTGCTCTGTCGCCCAGGCTGGAGTACAGTGGTACGATCTCAGCTCACTGCAACCTTTGCCTCCCGGGTTCAGGTGATTCTCCTGCCTCAGCCTCCCGAGTAGCCGGGATTATAGGCATGGAGAACCACACCTGGCTAGTTTTTGTATTTTTAGTAGAGATGAAGTTTCACCATGTTGGCCTGGCTGGTCTCAAACTTCTGACCTCAAGTGATCTGCCCGCCTTGGTCTCCTAAAGTGTTGGGATTACAGGCGTGAGCCACCGTGCCTGGCCAATGTTAGTTTTTATCCTTAAAATTGCCTGAGTTCTTAGAACACAGAAAAAACAAATTTGAATGCATTTCTAACAGCTTAATAATTTATATGTCCCATTATGATTTTAGCGGAATGTTTTAAAGCAAAGCATAATTCACTGCAAAGATAAACCTGAAAAAGCAAACAAACTTACAAATGGTATGTTATGACCTAGACAAAACTGATTATCAACTAGTAATACTCATAATTAGCACATGCAACAGATTGAGAAATTAAATCCTGTGCTATATACTCTTAAGTATTTTGTCAGATATATCTTTAAATGTTCTATCAATTGCATTCCTTTCCACACATATTTTAAACAAGAAAACAATTGTCTTTCCTCCAGATTCTCATGTTTATCAGTGCAAAACGTTGCAATCTCAGTAAAAATGGTTTATTACAATGTTATTTTAGAAAGGCTTAGTCCTCAAACTGTTGAAAATGTACTTAAAAGATGTCCAAATCATGAGAATGATCAACTTCAATGGCTTCCTCTGCCTCCAACTTGGCTTCTGCATGTCCTTCCTGTGACTCATCAAGAGAGGCCAAGGCCTCATTCGTGTCACTTGCAAAAGTTTCTCGTGATGTATCATCATCTTCTTGAAAATTTAGACTTTTAATAGCTTGTTTCATCTTTTTCCCCAACACTTGTGTTCTCCTCTTCCTAGCAGCTTTTTTATTTTCATATTCCTTTTGGTTTTCAATGTAGAAAATGTCCTGTAATAAAGGAACAAAGTTAGTAAACAAGAACTACCACGTTATTAAAGGTTTATTCCATGACTGTCCCTTTAAAATCATTATCTCCATTTCTTACAAAAAATACAAGTATTATTAGGCTCATTATTAAGATGGAGTTCAAGATATTAAGTAAGTACTCATTGCAAGATTGAAACTGATTTAAACCCAGCCTAGTGTTAGGTTTAGGGCCCATGCTTATTCTACCTTAATGTATCATCTCTACAGTTAAAAATTTCCTAAATGAAGGCTGGGCATGGTGACTCATGCCTGTAATCCCAGCACTTTGGGAGGCGGAGGTGGGTGGTTCACTTGAGGTCAGGAGTTGCAGACCAGCCTGGCCAACATGGTGAAACCCTGTCTCTCCTAAAAATACAAAAAGTAGCCGGCTGTGGTGGCACACACCTGTAGTCTCAGCTACTAGGGAGGCTGAGGCAGGAGGATCATTTGAACCCAGGAGACAGAGGTTGCAGTGAGCCGAGACTGTGCCACTGCACTCCAGCCTGGGCAGCAGAGCGAGACTGTGTCTCAAAAAAAAAAAAAAAAAACCCAAAACCAAACCAAAACAAAAAGTCAAAAAGTTTTGGAGCATTTTGGATTTTCAGATTAGGGATTGTCAACCTGTACTAAAACAGAGACGGTTCAAAGGTTTAAAAAAGAAGCTAGTGTAGGCAGGACACACTTCTGGGACCCTATTATCTCCTGGGCAGGGATTCCAAAAAGCTCAAGCCAAGCCAGTCCCTGTTATATTCTTAAAGAATACAAATCCCAATCCCTTCTTGTTTATAAAAAGCACTATGGAAGATGGTGGGATGAAGGAGACTCTCTCCTAAAATTTATGCTAAATAGTTACAAGCAGCACACAGAATTAACAGAGGAAGGTGTAAAGATCTTTGAAATGAAGAGGTAAGGGGAAACTTCAGAATATGAGTGTTTTGATGAAGAGAAATAAGAAAAGTATTTGCTAAAGAGGAGGAACTGAGGAGGGAGAAGGAGGGTACATACGTGAGAAAAGACAAAGGTAAATTCAGAATATAATGAGGCTTGCTACCAGTTATCAAGTGAGTACTTTTACGTACCAGGCATTTTGCTAAGGACTTTACACACACATTAACTCATTTCGTCCTCACAAAAGCCTTATGAGGTAGTTAACTATCCTTGTTTTCAGATGTGGAAAATGAGGCACAAGATTACAGGGCTACCATGTGAAGGTATGAAGTCTGAACTCACATATGATTTCTCTAATATTCTCCTTTTTAAAAGTTTTTGATAGAGATGGGGCCTCGCTGTCACCCAAGCTGGAGTGCAGTGTATAATTATACCTCACTGCAGCCTCGAATTCCTGGACTAAAGCAATCCTCCCGCCTCAGCATCCCAAGTAGCTGCTGATTTCTCCTACATTCTTATTTTTTTTCTTCTTCTTTTTTTTTTGAGACAGAGTCTGGCTCTGTCACCCAGGCTGGAGTGTAGTCGTCTGATCTCGGCTCACTGCAATCTCCATTTCCAGGGTTCAAGCAATTCTCATGCCTTGGCCTCTAGAGTAGCTGGAACTACAGGCGTGAGCTACCACACCTAACTATATTTTGTATTTTTAGTGGAGATGGGGTTTCTCCATGTTGCCCAGGCTGGTCTCCAACTCCTGGCCTCAAGTGACCCACCTGCCTCGGCCTCCCAAAGTGCTGGGATTACAGGGGTAAGCCACCGCGCCCGGCCCAATGTTCTTAAAATCTATTATACTGCCTTCACAAAAGTGTGATGATTTGCAATTTTTTCCAAGAGTTCACTTACCTTTAATTCAAAGAATATGAAGAAGCCACAGTAGAAGCATTTTCATTTTATATGGAAGCATATCCAAGCATCTTGCTAAGAATTCTAAGTAGTATAATGCTTGGTAACACTGAGTAAATTTTACGAAACTGCCCTTTTCTCTCCAAATATGGCAAGCCTTATTAAAAAGAAACTTTGGCCAGGTGTGGTAGCGCATTCTTGTAATCCTAGCATTTCAGGAGGCCGAGGTGGTCAGATCACTTGAGGTCAGGAGTTCGAGACCAGCCTGGCCAATATGGTAAAACTCCATCTCTACTAAAAAAAAAAAAAAAAAAAAAAAAAAAAAATACAAAAATTAGGCTGGGTTTGCTGGCTCTCGCCTGTAATCCCAGCACTTTGAGAGGCTGAGGCGGGCGGATCACGAGGTCAGGAGATCGAGACCATCCTGGCCAACATGGTGAAACCCCATCTCTACTAAAATACAAAAAATTAGCTGGGCATGGTGGTGCGAGCCTATAATCCAAGCTACTTGGGAGGCTGAGGCAGGGGAATCACCTGAACCCGGGAGGCAGAGGTTGCAGTGAGCCGAGAGCGCGCCACTGCACTCCAGCCTGGCGATAGAGCAAGACTCCATCTCAAAAAACAAACAAACAAACAAAAACACAAAAATTAGCCAGGCGTGGTGGCGGGCACCTGTAATCCCAGCTACTTGGGAGGGTGAGGCAGGAGAATTGCTTGAACCCAGGATGAGCCAAGATCTCACCACTGCACTCCAGCCTGGGCAACAGAGCTAGGAGACTCCGTCTCAAAAATTAAAAAAATAAACAATAAACAAAATAAAAACAAACTTCATTCCCATGCGTTATGAATTTAATAGAACAAAGTGGGAAATGGTCCCCAAAATGTTGTTGCAACATGTTGTTAATATCTTTATCACAAATGCAGACAGGTAATTTGAGGGAAAATTTCCCCCCTCCCATCCATATCTATATATACTTAACTCTCCAAGTTAAGGATCTAACTCTAGTGTTTTAGCTGAGCTTTTTTTTTTCTTTGAACAAAGCAAATAAAGTTTTAACTATTGCTTTTTTCCTTCAGAAAACTTTGTATTTTTCAAAACAAAACTTAATTGTGAGGTCATGTACCCAAATGGAATTTTAAAACAGGAAAACAAACTTAGTCAAGTTCTGGCTTCTAAGTTCTACATATGGTGACTGTTAGCAATATAGCAATTAAAAGAATAATTATAACATCATCATTTAGGTGGCATCTGAAATAAATGATCTATAATAAAATTTTATTGGTCAGGCATGGTGGCTCACACCTGTAATCCCAGGACTTTGGGAGGCCCAGGCAGGAGGATTGCTTAAGGCCAGGAGTTTGAGACTAGACTGGGCAATATAAGACCCTGTCTCTACAAAATATTTTAAAAATAAGCTGAGAGTGATGGCATGTGCCCTACAGTCCCAGCTACTAAGGAGGCTGAGGCAAGAGGGTCACTTGAGCCCTGGAGTTTGAGGCTACAGTGAGCTACGATAGTGCCATTGGACTCCTGCCTGAGTGATAGCAGGAGACCTACCTCTTCAAAACAAAACAAAACTGCCAGGTACAGTGGCTCACACCTGTAATCCCAGCACTTTGAGAGGCCGAGGCATGAACATCATTTGAGCCCCAGAGTTCAAGACCAGTCTGAGCAACATAATGTGAGACCTGGGTGACAGAGTGAAACCGTCTCTTTTTAAAAAGAATTTTTTGGCCAGGCGCAGTGGCTCACTCCTGTAATTCCAGCACTTTGGGAGGCCGAGGAGGGTGGATCACCTGAAGTCAGGAGTTTGGGACAAGCCCAGACAACATGGTGAAACCCTGTCTCTACTAAAAATACAAAAATTAGCCGGGTGTGGTGGTATGCCTGTAATCCCAGCTACTCGAGAGGCTGAGGTGAGAGAACTGCTTGAAGCTGGGAGGCGGAGGATGCAGTGAGCCGAGATCGTCCACTGCACTCAGCCTAGGGGACAGAGTGAGACTCTGTCTCAAAAAAACAAACAAACAAAAGAATGTCCTTGTAAGTCAACATTTCCCTATTATTAGATATTCCAAGTGTTTCTATTTTTTGTTATTATAATGCAAAGTTTCTGGTAGTTTGACATAAAAACTTTCTAGTATTAAAATCCTTTCCCTAAATGAGCTGGAATAACTGAATTACAAAGACATAATACAGTGAAAATAACTCCAACATGGTTTTGGAGTCAGAGTGGTCTGTGTGATCTCAGGCATATAATTTTGATTATTCTCCATTTGTAACATTCACGGTGATACAATGTGGTGAAGATTAAGTTATATAATATTAATCTTTGGTCCAGTGGGAGGAAATCAATAAATGTTACAGTATTTCTTTTCTCCTGCCTGAGAATATTATTTGTCCAAGGTTTAGTTACTTAGAAGGTATCTTTTAAGTACATACTTTTTGTCAAGAATTACTTTGGGTGAGAGGAGAGAACATTAGAGTATAATCTTTGCTACCACTCAACAGTTGTGTTCCTAAGGAAACTTACATTGTTACAAATCATGTTACTGAAACAGTTGTTACAATGAAATGAAAAAAGTAGTTACTAGAGATTTTAGATTTACAGTAACATTTCCTATAGGAATGTCAATATAGCAGACTCTATTAAAATGACTGTTAAGAGAACAGCCAGAAAACTTAAGGAAAAAGAACACTGAGCAGATGCAAAATGCAATTACCTGGACCAGCTCAAGGTAAGTTGCTTTATCTGTCATCATTAGCATTACAGTCAGTATGGCTAAAAGACACATTCCTATTACCTTTATCACCATTGTTATCATAAGGAAAATGTGCGGCTACTCAAATACAACAGCTGTGATAGATGTGCACCACCTCTTTCCTATGCAAGAGTTTAGTTCTCAATCTTTAGTCTATGAATAAATGCTAAGTGCAAATCATGTTCTCGGATTAACAAATTAAAAGAAAACAAATTTTAAGTTTTGAAAAATCCATACTGTAGAAGAATGTCCGTAAAAGATATTCCCAGTAACACAAACATGATTTAAAATACTAAAGAGTCTACACCTTCTAGTTTATAATACTGGAGACAGAAGAATGAATGAAAGCCACAAGGAGACAATCACCAAAATATAATAAGGTAACCTAATATTCTGTAAGATAACCACCTGTAACTTTTTTTTTTTTTTTTTAAAGACAGAGTCTTGTTCTGTCACCCAGGCTGGAGTACAGTGGTGTGATCTCGGCTTACTGCGACGTCCACCTCCCAGGTTCAAGCGATTCTCCTACGTCAGCCTCCCGAGTAGCAGGGATTACAGGCGCCCGCCACCATGCCTGGTTAATTTTTGTATTGAGTAGGGTCGGGGTTTCACCATGCTGGCCAGGCTGCTCTTGAACTCCTGAACTCAACTGATCTGCCCACCTCGGCCTCCCAAAATGCTGGAATTACAGACAGGAGCCACCACGCCTGACCTAACCATCTTTAACTCTTCAAAAGGTCTAAATCATGAAGGAAAATGTGGGGTTAAAAAGAATAAAGGAGGGCCAGGCAAGGTGGCTAACACCTGTAATTCCAGCACTTTCGGAGGCCAAGGTGGGAGGACTGCTTGAGCCCAGGAGTTGGAGACCAGCCTGGCCAACATGGAGAAACTCCGTCTCTACAAAAAATACAAAAATTAGCTGGCCATAGTGGTGCATGTCTGTTGTCCCAGCTACTTGGGAGGCTGAGGGTCATCTAAGACCAGGGAGGTCAAGAATGCAGTGAGCTGTGATGATGCACTCCAGCTGGGGCAACAGAGTAAGACTTTGTCTCCGGCCGGGCGTGGTGGCTCATGCCTGAATCCCAGCACTTTGGGAGGCCAAGGCAGGCAGATCACGAGGTCAGGAGATCGAGACCATCCTGGTTAACATGGTGAAACCCCATCTCTACTAAAATACAAAAAATTAGCTGGGCGTGGTGGCGCAAGCCTGTAATCCCAGCTACTCAGGAGGCTGAGGCAGGGGACTTGCTTGAACCCGGGAGGCAGAGGTTGCCGAGATCATGACACTGCACTCCAGCCTGGCGACAGAGCAAGACTCCATCTCAAAAAAAAAAAAAACAGTTTTTAAAAAAAGACTTTGTTTCCAAAAATTAAAAAAAAAAATTTAATTAAAAATATATAATACAGGAGGAGATACAACAAATGGAATATGGAAACCTAGACTGTATTCTGCTTAGGGGGAAAGTATATAAAATATATTCTTGGGACAAATTAGGAAATTGGAATAAGGTCTAGATATTGAATACTATGAAATTGTTTTTATTTCTCTTAGGAGTGATAATGGGTCTTGTGGTTATGTAGGGTATTGTCATTACTGGGAGATACTTTTTTTTTGTATTTTTTTTTTGGTGGGGGATGGCACCAAGCTGAAGTGTTAACTGTACACTCACTCCAGACTCATTGCCTGCCCTTACGCTTGTTCAAATAATTAGAACTAAGCATCTGATGCTTGTTATTTATTTCCACATGGAACAGGAAAAGACTGTATAGGCCAGGCGTGGTGGCTCATGCCTATAATCCCAACACTCTGGGAGGCTGAGGTGGGTGGATCACTAGAGCCCAGAGTTCCAGACCAGCCTGGGCAACATCTCTACAAAAAATACAAAAATTAGCTGGGTGTAATGGCATATGCCTGTACTCCCAGTTACTCTGGAGGCTGAGGTGGGAGGACTACTTGAGCCCAGGAGGCAGAGGCTGCAGTGAACAGAAATTGCGCCACTGCACTCCAGCCTGGGCAATAGAGCCAGGTCCTTAGACCCTGTCTCAAGGGGAAAAAAGAAAGAAAGAAATAGAGAAACAAATAAAAAGTGTATAGGTAAAGAAAGAATGGTTCATGCCTGTAATTGCAGCACTTTGGGAGACTGGGGCAGGAGGATTGCTTGAGCCGAGACGTACAAGACCAGCCTGGGCAACACAGCAAGACCCCGTCTCTACAAAGAATAAAAGGCTGGCTGGGAGCACTGGCTCACGCCTGTAATCCCAGCACTTTGTGGGGGCCGAGACGGGCGGACTGCTTGAGGTCAGGAGTTTGAGACCAGTCTGGCCAATATGGTGAAACCCCGTCTCTACTAAAAATACAAAAATCAGCCAGGCATGGTGGCATGTGCCTGTAATCCCAGCTACTTGGGAGGCTGAGGCACGAGAATCACTTGAACCCGGGAGGCGGAGGTTGCAGTGAGCTGAGATCATGCCACTACACTCCAGCCTGGGTGACAGAGTGAGACTCCGCCTCAAAAATAAATAAATAAATAAAAGGCATAAATGTTACTTAAGATAATAACAAAATCAGTCCACTGAAGGCAGAACAGGTAATGCATATCCATAGAAAATGAAGGTAGAGGGTGAGTAGAAGTCAAATTATGATGGCGCTTAAGAGGTGAGGACATTATCATTACCTTAATTTGTTCCTCGCTGATACTAGGAGTGTTTTTCAAGAGATTCAGAAAAACTCCACCTGGTGTTCTTCTTCGACTACCATTCTACAAAAAGGAACAGAAAAGGTAAACTGCATATACTCTTCCCATAAATGGTCAAGGCATCTTTTAACAGAGACACAATTAAGGGGATAGAAGAAATACCAGATCTGAAGTCCAGTCCTGATTCTGACTCTTACAAAATAGGTAACATGAGTAAATTACCGAAATATGAGTTTCAGTTTCTTCATCTATAAAATGAAGGCCAAAAATATTTGGTCTTTTTTAATTCTGAAATTCCGTGATTTAAAAAATCTATATGGTAACAAAGAGAAATAGGCCACTCAGCTCAAATGACCTAACAAATGACTGGATTTTCTGTTTTAATCTGCCACCTGGCTAAGTCAGTGAATATTCTTTTTTTTTTTTTTTTTTGAGATGGAGTTTCACTCTTTCGCTCAGGCTGGAGTGAAATGGCGCGATCTCGGCTCACTGCAGCCTCTGCCCTCCGGGGTTCAAGCGTTTCTCCTGCCTCAGCCTCCTGAGTAGCTGGGATTATAGGCACTCCCCACCACGCCTGGCGAATTTTTGTATTTTTAGTAGAAACGGGGTTTCGCCATGTTGGCCAGCCTGGTCTCAAACTCCTGACCTCAGGCGATCTGCCCGCCTCAGCCTCACAAAGTGCTAGGATTACAGGTGTGAGCCACCGCACCCACCATGAATATTCTATTAGATGTTAAAACACATCATAAACTCTAAATAATTAAAACAGTATGGTTCCAAAATAAAACTAGAATGATCAGTGAAGCAAAATAGAAAACCTAGAAAAAAAAGCCAAATATATATGGGTATTTAGTCTATGATACAGATACTATCTTAAATTGGAGAAGATAAATGTATTATTCAAGAATTGGCATTTGAGGCTGGGCGCAGTTGCTCACGCCTGTAATCCCAGCACTTTGGACGCCGAGGCGGGTGGATCACCTGAGGTCAGGAATTCAAGACTAGCCTGGTCAACAACATGGTGAAACCCTGTCTCTATCAAAAACACAAAAATTAGCTGGGCATGGTAGCACATATCTGTAATCCCAGCTACTTGGGAGGCTAAGGCAGGAGAATCACTTGAACCCAGGAGGTGGAGGTTGCAGTGAACCGAGACTGTGCCATTGCACTCTAGCCTGGACGACAAGAGCAAACCTCCATTTCATTTTTTTTTTTTTGAGACAAAGTCTCATGCAAACCTCTATTTCAAAAAAAAAAAAAAAAAAGTTGGTGGTTGAGCTACTGGGTAGCCACCATGGAAAATATTATGTTGGATTCACACCTCATGTCTTATACCAAGATATATTCCAAAGGGATCAAATATTTAAATGTATATATATAATAAATCAGATATATATACACACATACAGTGGCTTCTCAATAGTCATGGTAGTTACGTTTTATAAAGTTGCTGCAAACATTGAATTAGCAAATATTGAAACATTCCTTCTGAAAAATACAGGGTTAGGTTCCTGAAAGCCTCTGATAGACAACACTTTTGTCAACAGATCAGTATATAACCTTGTATGTATCTTGGTTTAAAGACACCTTATTGAAAACATATTGTTGATTCATTAACATTGAATTAGTGGCCAACAGCCTATAACTCATGCCTAAACGATGCTTATCTAACCATATTTTCTCTCTAACGCATGTCACAGTCTTCTTGCACTTAGAAACACTAGTTGGCACTACAGCACTACCCTTGGAGGGGCCATTTTAAACAGCAAAATCCCCAGAGGGGCGCAAAAAAAAAAAAAAAAAAGCACAGAATGTGAAAAAGATGGCACTAAAATAGACCTTGAAAAGAACACCTGTTTATAGTATGGAAGCTGAAACAAAGCAATGTTGCCCTGTTTGACCTCAGCTAAGCATGTGCATGTCGGACAACTCAAATTTTTTTAGACACTGCACATCTGTGAATGACTGTGAAACCACCACTAGTATTGATTTGAGGTTATGAATAACTTTTACCAGGTAGGCAAATTTGAAAATATAAAATCTACAAATAATGAGGATCGACTGAGCATGTATGTCATATACACATAGTCATATAAATTATGATATAACTATTCACTGGAATGCTAGCAACTGCAAAAAAGAATGAGGGGGCTCTCTACATACTTGATAAGGTTTCTAAGAGAAATTAAGTTAAAAAAAAAAAGCAAGGTATAGAATAGTATGCATAGTATATGACCATTTGTGTAAAAACAAGTGTGTTAGGGCCGGGTACGGTGGCTCACGCCTGTAATCCCAGCACTTTGGGAGGCCAAAGTGGGCAGATCATGAGGTCAGGAGTTTGAGACCAGCCTAACATGGTGAAACCTTGTTTCTATTAAAAATATAAAAATTAGCTGGGCGTGGTGGTGTGTGCCTGTAATCCCAGCTACTTCGGAGGCTGAGGCAGGAGAATCGCTTGAACCCGGGAGGCAGAGGTTGCAGTAAGCCGAGATCGCACCACTGCACTCTAGCCTGGGTGACAGAGCGAGACTCCATCTCAAAAAAAATAATGGGTGTTGGAGAGGAGTCTGGGTGGCTCAAGGATAGGTGTGGTCCGGGTAGCCTCTCACTACACACTCTTTTACTGATTTTTTATTGTGATAATAAAGACATGACAAAAAAATTTTGTCATCTTCACAATTTTTAAGTGTACAGTTCAGTAGTAAAGTATATTTACACGGTTATAAAACAGATCTCCAAAACTGTTTCATCTTGCAAATCTGAAACTCTGTACACATAAATTTCCCTTAGCCTCCTCCCTTTAGCCCTTGATACTCTTTCTTGTTTTACCATGTGAACTGGTTGCCTATTCAAATAACTGAATTTTTAAAAATAAGGAAATAGGTACATATACACACTTGTGGCCGGGTGCGGTGACTCACGGGTTGGGTGTTGGGTATTATACCCAACACTTTGGGAGGCCGAGACGGGTGGATCACTTGAGGTCAGGAGTTTGAGACCAGCCTGGCCAACATGGTGAAACCCTGTTTCTAATAAAAATACAAAATTAGCTGGACATGGTGGGATATGCCTGTAATCCCAGTTACTCAGAAGGCTGAGGGCAGGAGAATTGTTTGAATCTGGGAGGCAGAGGTTGCAGTGAGCTGAGATGGCAACACTGTACTCCACCCTGGGTGACAGAGCAAGACTGTCTCAAATATATGTTAATTGCAGAAAAAGTAGCAAAAACATGCGGTTAAAAGAAAAAATAGGCGGGGTACAATGGCTCACACCTGTAATCCTAGAGGCAGATGGATTGCTTGAGTGCCCAGGAGTTTGAGACCAGCCTGGGCAACATGGTGAAACCCTGTCTCTACAAAAAATACAAAAATTAGCTGGGCATTGTGGCTTAAGCCTATAGTCCCAGCTACTTGGGAGACTGAAGTGGAAGGACTGCTTGAGCCAGGGAGGTCGAGGCTGCAGTGACCTGCGATTGTGCCACTGTACTCCAGCCTGGATGACAGAGTGAGACCCTGTATCAAAAAGGAAAAAAAAAAAGAAAGAAAGAAAAAGAAAAGAAAAAAACCACCCATGATCCTACTAACCATAGGTAATCACTGTAACATTTTGACACATATAATCTTTTTACTTTTTTCTGACACAGTCTCGCTCTTCACCCAGGCTGAAGTGAGGTGGTGTGATCATGCCTCACTGCAGCTCGACCTTCTGGGCTCAAGGGATCCTCCCACCTCCTTAGCCTCCCAAGTAGCTGGGACTACAAGCATGTGCCACAACATACAGCTAATTTTTGTATTTTTTTGGTAGAGATAAGGTTTCACCATGTCACCCAGGCTGGTCTCAGGATTACACACGTGTGAGCCACCACACCTGGACATCTTTTTACTTTTTTATATGCCACATATATTTGTAACTCCAACCCCAAATGGGATTCTGTCATATAAATTGGCTTGTTTATTTATTTTTGAGACAGAGTCATGTTCTTGTTGCCCAGGATGGAGTGCAGTGGCACAATCTCTGCTCACTGCAACCTCCACCTCCCAGGTTCAAGCAATTCTCCTGCCTCAGCCTCCCGAGCACCTGTGATTACAGGCACATGCCACCACACCCGGCTAATTTTTGTATTTTTAGCAGAGACGGGGTTTCACCATGTTGGACAGGCTGGTCTCGAACGCCTGACCTCAGGTGATATGCCCGTCTCAGCCTCCCAAAATGCTGGGATTACAGGCATGAGGCACTGCGCCTGGCCAATTGGTTTCTAATCTGTCTTTTCATTAAACAATCCATTATACATACCCTTCCATGTTCATGTTAAATAGACTTTTGAGACTTTGAAGCCAATGTGAATTTTTGGATATTGCTCTTCAAACTGGCTAAAAACCTTGGAGTCATCTTTGACTCTTCCTTTTCTTACATCCTCCATCTAATCCACTAGGAAATTCTGTTGGCCGTATCTTCCACATATACCCAGAATCTGACCACTTTTCCTTCACCCCACTGCTACCATGCTGGTCAGACCCATTGGAAAGGCTTTTCCTGCATCTAATCTTATTCCCCAGTTCAGTCTATTCTCAAAACAGCAGCGGAAAGGAAATGCATTTCTTTTTCTTTTTTGAGACCGAGTTTCGCTCTTGTTGCCCAGGCTGGAGTCCAATGGCGCAATCCCGGCTCATGGCAACCTCCACCTCCCGGGTTCAAACGATTCTCCTGCCTCAGCCTCCTGAGTAGCTGGGATTACAGGCATACACCACCATACCTGGCTAATTTTTGTGTATTTTTAATAGAGATGGGGTTTCTCCACATTAGTCAGGCTGGTCTCAACTCCTGACCTCAGGTGATCCGCCCACCTCGGTCTCCCAAAGTGGTGGGATTACAGGTGTGAGCCACCACGCCCGGCCTAGGAAATGCATTTCTTATCTGTTCAAAACCCTCTATGGGCCATTTCATTTAAAGTAAAAGGAAAATTCCTTAAGATGGCAAACAAGTTCCCACTAGACCTGGCCCAATTATCTCTCTGACCTTATATCCTACTCACTCTCTCATGCACTCTGCTCCTGCCACATTGGCCCCTTGTTGAGACAGGAACTAGGTAGAGATTAGGGTGGAGAGAGCAGTCTTGCCAAGTACAGGGTAAGAGCCTATCTTTAAAATTTTGTCCATTATGGATTTTTTGCATTAATTTTGATTTTTGAACTGGTACATTCAAATATTATTTATTTTGATTATTGAGTTTTTAAGGCACTGTCAAATTTTGAACCTAAAGCAAGTAAACTGCTCACTTCATGCTAGTTCTGGCCTTGCTGGGCACCCTTCACTTCTACAATAGCTGTTACTTCTGCTTGGTCTATTCTTCCTGCAGTATTCATTGCTTCACCTCAAGTCTTTGTTCAAATTGCACCTTCTTAATAACATCTACCCAGACCACTCTAGTTTAACTGCAACGTCCTCCTCTCTGCTACTATTCCCTATAGCTCCATCTGATTTCTTTCTTTTCCCATAGGATGTATCACTTTTTTTTTTTTTTCGAGACAGGGTCTCGCTCTGTCACCCAAGCTGGAGCGCAGTGGCACGATTACAGTTCACTGCAGCCTTGACCTCCCAGGTTCAAGTGATCCTCCCACCTCAGCCTCCTAGGTAGTTGGGACTAAACACATGTGCCACCAAGCCTGGCTAATATATGTATACATATTTTTTGTAGAACAGGATTTCACCATGTTGCCCAGGCTGGTCTCGAACTCCTGTACTCAAGCAATCTACCCTCCTTGGCCCCCCAAAGTGCTGGGATTACAGGTGCATCTGGTCAATGTATCACTTTTTAACATACTTGAAGTTATATTTATTGTTTATAGACTGTCTTCCTTTCCCCCAACCACAACATAAGCTCCCTCCTCTAGAACAGTGCCTGGCACGTAGAAAGCACTGAATTCAAGGAAATAATGTATCCAAAGAAAGTAAATTTGGAGGCCGGGCGTGGTGCCTCACGCCTGTAATCCCAGCACTTTGGGAGGCCGAGGCCGGCAGATCACCTGAGGTCAGGAGTTTGAGACCAGCCTGCTCAACATGGAGAAACCCTGTCTCTATTAAAAATACAAAATTAGCCGGGGTGGTGGCGCATGCCTGTAATCCCAGCTACTTGGGAGGCTGAGGCAGGAGAATCGCTTGAACCCGGGAGGCAGAGGTTGTGGTGAGCCAAGATTGCGCCATTGGACTCCAGCCTGGGCAACAAGAGCAAAACTACATCTCAAAACAAACAAACAAACAAACAAACGAAAAGAAAAAAAACAAAAAAAAAAAGAAAGTAAATTTGGGGGCTGGACATAGTGGCTCACACCTGTAATCCCAGTACTTTGGGAGACCGAGGTGGGCAGATTCCTTGAGCTCACAAGTTCAAAACCAGCCTGGGCAACATGGTAAAACTCCATCTCTACTAAAAACACAAAAAATTAGCCAAGCGCGGTGGCACGCACCTGCAATCCCAGCTACTCAGAAGGCTGAGGTGGGGGATGGCTTGAGCCTGGGAGGTGGAGGATACAGTGAGCTGAGATCGCGCCACTGTACTCCAGCCTGGGCAAGAGAGCCAGACTGTGTCTCAAAAAATAAAATAAAATAAGAAAGTAAATTTGAACTTGCATCTTCCCAATATTCAGTAAATCTGCATTAGCTCACTGGAATATAAAGTTTTATCACTACAGTACTAAAATATTGATGAAATCTGTAACTCTGTGTTCAACTGAATGAAAATTGAAGTACTTTAACAATGACACAAATAGGGATGGCAGTGCATTCATGATTATTATAATTTCTTTTGTTGCTAACTTCTGTTTTGACTTCTGTAATTTATGTTCACAGGCTGTTTCCTTAGCCAATGCTATTAATCCTAACTGGGTTTTTTTTCTCCCCATGTCCAAAGCACAATATTGATCTACTCCCTTGTGATGTTATTACAGTATTCAGACTTATCAGTAACAAAAAACAAGGAAGTCATTCAAACCTTCATCCTCACCCTGTGGTGAAAGCTGAATTCAATGAGATATGCCAAACCCTTCTATAACCGCCAGTGCTCGTGATCTGGCCTAGCCAGAGGAGCTCTTTCTGTCATTCTGAAACAGTAAAGAGCTTCTCAAACTTTTCTCCCATTATTGCTCTACCACCCCAGGAACTTTTTAGACTTCCCCCAACTTTCATTCTTATACCCAGGAAATTTTAATACACACAAAAATACTGTATACCTATTTGTACTTTATTGTGTATCTATCTGTGCTTACATAACAAAAGTGTTGACCGGGCACAGTGGCTCAAGCCTGTAATCCCAGCACTTTGGGAGGCCGAGGCAGGCGGATTGCCTGAGCTCAGGAGTTCTCAACCAGCCTAGGCAACATGGTGAAAGCCTGCCTCTACTAAAATACAAAAACTAGCTGGGCGTGGTGGCAGGCTATAGTCCCAGCATACTTGGGAGGCTGAGGCAGGGGAATTGCTTGAACTCGGGAGATGGAGGTTTCAGTGAGCTGAGATCGTGCCACTGCACTCCAGCCTGGGCGACAGAGTGAGATTCCGTCTCAAAAAACAAACAAACAAAAAAAAGGGTGTTTTGTTTTTTTTTTTTGCCCTCTTTTTCAAGAATGCATGAATTAAGTGAACCAAAATGAACACTTCTGTTTACCATTGCTAAAGTGCTGGGCACTGTGGTCAGTATTTCATGTGCACCATCTCCTCTAATCCTTAAAATGTAGGACTAATCTCCATTTTACAGCTGAGGAGACTGAGGCTCCAAGAAGTCAAACAACTTAGCCGAATTTCAATTAGTATGTTGAAAATCTAGAAGTAAAAAAGGGTACCCAAACTCTAAAACCCATATTCTCAAGATCTGAGCTCCTAGGCTCCCCTAGACTTTGTCGTCTTAAAACTTCAACCCTTTGGCCGGGTGCAGTGGCTCACGCCTGTAATCCCAGCACTTTGGGAGGCCGAGCTGGGTGGATTGCCTAAGGTCAGGAGTTTGAGACCAGCCTGGGCAACATGGTGAAACCCCGTCTCTACTAAAAATACAAACGTTAGCCGGGTGTGGTGGTGCATGCCTGTGATCTCAGCTACTTGGGGGGCTGAGGCAGGAGAATTGCTTGAACTCGGGAGGCGGAGGTTGCAGTGAGCCGAGATTGCGCCACTGCACTCCAGTCTGGGCGACAGAGCGAGACTCCTTCTCAAAAAAAAAAAAAAAAAAAAAAATTCAACCCCTACCTTTAACAAATCATGTAAGAAATGTTTTGGTGACTATACGGCAACAGGCTATAATTTATGTTTGTTTGTTTGTTTTTTTGTCAGGGAAGTACTAACTGCAAAAACAACTGTACTAATTTTTTTTTCTTTTTATTCTTTTTTTTTTTGAGACGGAGTTTCGCTCCTGTTGCCCAGGATGGAGTGCAAGGGTGCGATCTCAGCTCACTGAAACCTCTGGTCTCTCAGGTTCAAGTGATTCTCCTGCCTCAGCCTCCTGAGTAGCTGCGATTACAGGTATGTGCCACCACGCTTGGCTAATTTTGTATTTTTAGTAGAGACAGGGTTTCTCCATGTTGGTCAGGCTGGTCTCGAACTCCCGATCTCAGGTGATCGGCCCGCCTCAGCCTCCCAAAGTGCTAGGAATACAGGCTTGAGCCACCGTGCCTGGCAACTAATTTTTTTTTAACAGTCTTCATTGTTGATAATAGTTTAAAAACTTCAAACATACTGTAAGAATGCATGATAAATCACAGATCCAACAAGGGCAAAGTTAAATTTGTAATCAAAAACAAAAACACAGGATAAACAATACAAAAACAAAAACAGTTAAGCAGTCTTACCATTATAAAGAGACCACCATTTTGTTCAACTTCAGCGGTTTCCATCAGAAGTTCAATTGCCTTTTTGTTACCAATAATCCTCACTACTCGGGCTATCAGGTCTTTCTTTGGTTCCTGTAACCTGATGAGAAACAAGTAAAATTATCCTCTTTGTTTGTTGTACAAAGTTGAAGAAATCTACCTTAGTCACCAGCTAGAATAAAAATCTGATTCTAGTAACTTTTGGTTTTCTAAATCTTCAATATTTAATCTTGGAATCACTGACATGTAAATATTCCTAATCTTGGGTCACAGAAGGAGATGGTAACCTCAAGTTTCCATCTAAACTCTCATAATTGGCTTATTTGTCTTATTGGATTATAGCAGATTTCAAAATGCACATGCAGCACGATGAATGCAGGTCTGAATGCAAAAGATGATAAAGGCAGTCCACTATTGTCAAAATAAATAACAGACATATATACTTTCAATTATTACGCCTAAAAGCTAAGGCTCACATAATTCCAGAGATGTCTGGAGCTTTAAAATGGGATAGGACCTTTCCCTCATAGACTCCCTGCCTCAGAACAAAAAATAGAAACAGCTAATATTTACTGATGGCTTATTATGATTATAATAAGCACAATCCTAAGAACCTTACATGCACTATGCCAGCTGATTCTCTCAAGAATGTACAAGATAGGTACTATCGTTTTCATTTTGTCACTGAGAGGTTAGAAACATAGGTAGCCTAAGTAATTCTTCCAGTGTCAAAGCTCACACTCTCAACAGATCAAGAATTCAGCTGGGTGTGGTGGCTCACACCTATAATCCCAGCATTTTGGGAGGCCGAGGTGGGTGGATCACCTGAGGTTGGGAGTTCGAGACCAGTCTGACTAACGTGGAGAAACCCCGTCTTTACAAAAAATACAAAATTAGCTGGGTGTGGTGGCACATGCCTATAATCCCAGCTACTTGGGAGGCTGAGGCAGGAGAATTGCTTGAACCCTGAGGCTGAGGCAGAGGTTGCAGTGAGCCAAGATGGCACCACTGCACTCCAGCCTGGGCAACGAGAGTGAAACTCCGTCTCAAAAAAAAAAAAAAAAAAAAAAAAAAAGAATTCAGACCTGGCACCCTTTGTTTCTTCTCAACAGGAGGCAGTGCATTTTTGTGGAAAGAGAAATAGACTAGGAACACAAGGATCAGGGTTTAACTCCAGGTCTAATATTAATCTGTGAAATGAAGGTTTTGGTTTACAACATCTCTAAGTTTCTTTCCAGCACTCAAATTCCAAACTTCCCCAGTATTTTAAAAATCAAGTACTGGTGTTCAGATAGGCTTGCCTGGAAAGTAAATACTTGTTTTCCTACCACCTGCATTACTCTTGAACCGTATCTGTTTTCAAATTTATGACACTGTTCATTAGTAATTTAGAGCTAATGAAAATGTTAATTCAAAATCTGAACTTGGTAAAAATACATGAATTGTAAATTTACCATACACCAAGCAATTCTACTTCTGGGTATTTACCTGAAAGAAATGAAAATATGGCCAGGTGAGGTGGCTCATGCCTGTAATCCCAACACTTTGGGAGGTCGAAGGGGGTGGATCATCTGAGGTTAGAAGTTTGAGACCAGCCTGGTCAACAAGGTGAAACCCTGTCTCTACTAAAAATACAAAAAAAAAATTATCTGGGCGTGGTGGCGCACGCCTCTAATCCCGGCTACTAGGGAGGCTGAGGCAGGAGATTTGATTGAACCCAGGAGGCGGAGGTTGCAGTGAGCTGAGATCATGCCACTGCACTCCATCCTGGGCAACAGAGTGAGACTCTGTCTAAAACAAAACAAAAGAAAACAAAGATATGAAAATATGTGTTTAAAGATCTGGATGTGAAGGTTCATAACAGCATTATTCATGATAGCCAAAAAGTAGAATATTCAATATGAATATATGCATATATACACACACTATAAAAATGTATTGATTCCTGCTACACCATGGATCAATCTCAAAAACACAACATTGGCTGGGCACAGTGGCTTACGCCTCTAATCCCACCACTTTGGGAGGCTGAGGTGGTCTGGAGTTCGAGACCAGCCTGGCCAACATGGCGAAACCCTGTCTCTACTAAAAAATATAAAAATTAGCTGGGCGTTGTAGCACATGGCTGTAATTCCAGCTACTCACGAGGCTGAGGCATGAGAATTGCTTGAACCCAGGAGGCGGAGGTTGCAGTGAGCTGAGATCGTGACACTGCACTCCAGCCTGGGCAACAGAGTGACACTCTGTCTCAAACAAACAAACAAACAATCAAAAAAACAAACCACACACACAAAAAAACAAAAACAAAAACAAACAAAAACATAACATTAGCTGACAGAAGCAAGGCACGAGATTACATACTACATGACACCATTTATATGAAATATCCAAAAAAGGCAAATTTATAGACAGAAAGTAGATTAGCAGTTATCTGGGAATGAGAACAGGGATTAACTATAAACTGGCATGTGGACATAAGGGATCTTACTGGGTGACAGAAATGTTTCAGAGGTGATGGTTATACAACTTGATATGTTTCCTAAAAAAATTAACACTAGAAATGGGTGAATATTATCTGTAAAATATACCTCAAAGTTAAGAAAAAAGTCACAAATTCTTGAAAACACTAAACAAACAAAAACAACCCATGATTTAAAAATATATGCTTTATTTAAAAAGCTCTATGGCACTAAATGCAACAAGTTGTTTAACAGTTCATAAAAGTCTACAAAATTATTCTATCAGGCTTGTCCAAATTTAAGAAAACACAGTGGGTGCGCAGCTCACGCCTATAATCCCAGCATTTGGGAGGCCAAGGCAGGCAAATCACTTGAGGCCAGGAGATCGAGATCAGTCCGGCCAACATAATGAAACCCTATCTCTACTAAAAATACAAAAAAAAAAAAATTATTTGGGTGTGGTGGCGAATGCCTATAGTCCCAGCTACTCAGGTGGCTCTCTCACGTTCAAGCAATTCTCATGAGGGGACGTTGCAGTGAGCCAGGATACCACCACTGCACTCCAGCCTGGGTGACAGAGCAAGACTGTCTCATAAACAAAAAACCAACAGAAAAATACATTACGAATGTATTCATATAACCAAATTATCCCAGTTCCTTAAAGAAAAATTTTCAAAGACTCAGGTACAGTGGCTCACACCTATAATCCCAGCAATCTGGGAAGTTGAGGCAGGAGGATTGCTTAAGCCCAGGAGTTCAGCTTCAATGAGCTCTGATTGTGCTACTGCACTCCAGCTGAGTGACCAGAGCAAGACCATCTCTTAAAAAAAAAAAAAAATCTGTGGACAGCGCAGTGGTTGATGCATATAATCCCAGCACTTTGGGAGGCCAATGTGGGAGGACTGCTTGTTCCCAGGAGTTTGACACCAGCCTGGGCAACACAGTGAAACTCCTAATTTTTTTTTTTTTCTGAGATGGAGTCTAGTTCTGTCACCCAGGCTGGAGTGCAGTGGCACAATCTCGGCTCACTGCAACCTCCGCCTCCCGGGTTCAAGTGATTCTCCTGCCTCAGCCTCCCGAGTAGCTGGGATTACAGGCGCCCACTACCACGCCCAGCTAATTTTTGTATTTTTAGTAGAGATGGGGTTTCACTGTGTCGGCCAGGCTGGTCTTGAACTCCTGACCTCATGATCCACTCACCTCAGCCTCCCAAAGTGCTGGGATTACAAGCATGAGCCACTCTGTCTGGCCATAATTTTTTTTTTTTAATTGGCCAGGCATAATGGCCTGAGCCTGTAGTCCCAGTTACTCAGGAAGCTGAGGTGGAAGGATCCTTTCAGCCCAAGAGTTCTAGGTTCCAGTGAGGTGTGATTGCAGCACTGCACTCCAGCCTGGGCAAGAGTGAGATCCTTTCTCAAATAAATAAATAAATAAATAGATTAGGCCAGCCCATGGCTCACGCCTGTAATCTCAGCACTTTGAGAGGCAAAGGCGGGTGGATCCCTTGAGCTCTGGAGTTCGAGAGTAGCTTGGACAACATGGCAAGACCCTGTCTCTATTAAAAATACAAAGAATAGCTGGGCGTGGGGGTGCATACCTGTGGTCCCAGCTATTCAGGAGGCTGAGGTAAGAGAATCCCTTGAGCGAGGAGGCGGAGGTTGCAGTGAGTAACTGCACTCCAGCCTGGGTGACAGAGCAAGACCCTGTCTCCAAAAAAAAAAAAAAAAAAAGGAACATATCATTAAAGTATTTGGCATTCATTTTATTTCCTGTAAATAGAAGCCATCTGGTCAAGTACTTATTTGTAATTCAAATGCTCACCTGAATGAAATTTCATCAGCCACTTTCTCTTGAGAATCTTCCGCTGTGATCTCGTATCGACCTTTATAGTTCATTTCTGGTCTGTTCCCTAGCCTGTCTTTGACAGGTCGTTTCCTTTTGAGATGACCTTGCCCATTTTCCTCTTCCTTTGATCCCATTTTTTTGCCACCATGCATATATTCATCTAGTTCCTTGTCTAGATCTTTTGTATGCTCTTGAGATTCCTTCCTAAGTTTCTTGGCAAGCAAATAATTGTAGGTCTCGGATTGTCTGCTTCTGTCAATAGTGCCCTCCATTCCCAAGATACCAAGTTCAGTGGCCACTGCATCTTGATTCTGTTCCTGCAGCACAGCACCCCATATGTTGTTAATCTTCTTTCCTCCAGCAACAGGTGGTTTCTGACTGCTCTGGCCAAACTGAAAAGGCTCTGGTTTGGGAGGAGGGTTAAAACATTTCTGTCGTTTGCGTTTCCAAAGACAGCTATCATCATCTGAATCAGAAAAACTTTCTTCACTTGAATCCACACTTTCAACAGCTCGATAATGTGATACTGGTGCACATGCAGTTGCCGTGTTCTGGAAGGCCCTCATAGCACTGTCGCCACCTAGCACTTTCTGCAAGTGAAAAGAAACACAATCAATTTCACAAAACACATAAACTCCACCTACCTAATTTTTAAAAATTTAGAGATTCAACTTTGCCATTCCAAAATGGAACTGATCTTCAAAGACAAATCTGAGACCAATCAAGTTCCTACTTTTCTAAGTTCCACATGGAATTTGCCAATTTAAAAGCCACAAATTCTTATCTTTACAACTAATGCAGCACTTTGTTCTAAGATCTCCTTCTACTATATTACCAAAGCTCTTGTCACCTTTAAAAGATTTCAAACTTTTCAGTTACTGTCAGAATGTTTTAAAATGACATACATAATAATTGTTACTTTTTTTTTTTGAGACAAAGTTTTGTTCTGTGGCCGAGGCTGGAGTGCAGTGGAGCTATCATGGCTCACCACCTCTCAGGCTCAAGCGATCCTCCTACCTCAGCCTCCTGAGGGACTGGGACTACAGGCAACCTTCACCATACCCAGCTATTTTTTTTTTTTTTTTGCATTTTTTGGTAGAGACGGGGTCTTGCCAAGTTGCCCAGGCTGGGCATGTATTTTTTTTTTTTTTCTTGAGATGGGAGTCTTGCTCTGTCACCCAGGCTGGAGTGCAGTGGCGCGATCTCGGCTCACTGCAAGCTCCGCCTCCCGGGTTCACACCATTCTCCTGCCTCAGCCTCCGGAGTAGCTGGGACTACAGGCGCCCGCCACCACGCCCAGCTAATTTTTTTGTATTTTTAGTAGAGAGGGGGTTTCACCGCGTTAGCCAGGATGGTCTCGATCTCCTGACCTCGTGATCCACCCGCCTCGGCCTCCCAAAGTGCTGGGATTACAGGCGTGAGCCACCGCGCCCAGCCTGGGCAAGATATTTTTAAAACCCCAGAGTCCACGGCATTAAGTTTATTTACCAAGTCATGGGTCAATTTATGTAAAAACAACCTGAGATTGAAAAACAAAATATCTTGGTACTAATTTCCTAAACATTTATATGCAAAAGCAAGTATTTGTCTTTGTTAAACTCCTACTACGCTAGAAATGGAAGTTGGGACTATCTATCTTCCTATCTTCAAATAATAATCAGAGATAACACTTACCAGGCATTACTGCACACTGTATGCTCCACAGAATCCTTGCAATAACCCTATCAGTGGTACATCATGCCAATTCCACAGAGGTAGACAAAAAGCAGTGAGGCTAAATAAACCTGCTGTAGGTCACACATCGGTGGCCCCAGGATCTGAACACAGGCAGCCTGGCACCAACGCCCTCTCAAAGAGGTTGCTACCTACCAAGGCAGTCAAGACAAATTCCCGTTTAGAAAGCAGGGAAGCTGGGCCGGGCGCGGTGGCTCGCGCCTGTAGTCCCAGCACTTTGGGAGGCCGAGGCGGGTGGATCACTTGAGGTCGGAAGTTCAAGACCAGCCTGGCCAACATGGAGAACCCCCGTCTCTACTAAAAATACAAAAATTAGGCCGGGCGAGGTGGCTCACGCCTGTAATCCCAACACTTTGGGAGGCCGAGGCGGGCGGATCACCTGAGGTTGGGAGTTCGAGACCAGCCTGACCAACATGGAGAAATCTCGTCTCAACTAAAAATACAAAATTAGCTGGATGTGGCCGGGCGCCGTGGTTCACACCTGTAATCTCAGCACTTTTGGAGGCCGAGGCAGGCCGATCACTTGAGGTCAGGAGTTCGAGACCAGCCTGGGCAACATGGTGAAACCCCGCGTCTACCAAAAATACAAAAATTAACCGGGCGTGGCAGCGGGCGCATGTAATCCCAGCTACTCGGGAGGCTGAGGCAGGAGAATCGCTTGAACCCGGGAGGCGGAGGTTGCAGTGAGCCGAGATCGCGCCACTGCACTCCAGCCTGGGCAACAGCGTGAGACCACCTCAAAACAACAAACAAAATCAGAGAGGCTAATGCAAAAGCCTAGTGCCATGGTACCGCATGACAAAGCTAGGTTCGGTGGAAACATGGAAAACCAGATCTTTGAGTGAGCGATAAACTTCATTCCTGGGCCTCAGTCTCCCTTCGGCTCAGGGAGAAAATGAGCATCACAGGCTGTTTCAGGCTGATGTCCCTAGATGCTACATATTTGGCAAAATCTGCCCCTTTATGGTTACCTAGCGGCGATGGAGTGGGGAAGCCCCAAGTTTAGAAAAGAAAGAGCGGTAGGCGGAGGTGAGACGTCTAAGAGGCCGCCGCAAGCCGGCCTCCAGGAGGCGCCAGGGCTCGCGCGCCCCGCCTCGCAGGGAGCAGCCAGTTCGGGGTTCGCACGGCCAGCCGCTGCCGCTGCCGCCGTCGCCCCTCGCCCCTCGGCCCCCGCAGCCCGGGCTCCGTGAGCCCGCCTGGGGGACGTCTGCTCGCCCCTTCTGCGGCCACTGACCCGACAGCCTGGGCTCCTCGCTCTGGCCCGGGCTCCTAGCTCCCACCCCTCACCCTCACCGCTGCCTGCGCGCTCCCCGGGGCCCAGGCTCCGCGCGCCCAGCCACGATCACCCACCCTCCTTTCACACTCACTGGCAATTGCAGCGGCCTGTCGCTGGGTGCGACCGTCATGTCGGAATCCGAGTCGGAAAGCTGCCCATCTTCCATATCGCCGACCTCCAACGCCATCTTCCCGCGGTGCGCTGCGCTGCACAGCGGCGGGTCAGGAGAGCACTTCCGGCGGGGCAGCCGGAAGGCCCGGCGGCTCGGCTGCTCGGGCGCCCCCGCGCGGAGGCCAGCCTGTCCCAGCGGCCTGAGGCGTCCCATTGCATTCCAACTACCCCGGGAAAATGAATCCCTTGTTCCCCCAACACTTTTCTTCCAAACTTTATTTTCGTGCAAACATAAATATGTCACGTATCGCGGTCGTCTGGGATTCCTCCCTTGGCCGTACATCCTTCCCCTGTATGCTCTGGACAAGCCTCCCCGCTTCTGTTCTTGCTCCTCCACAATCCACTCTACATATTGCTTCCAGGGAAGCCTTTCAAGCTGTATAGTCCGCCCTCTGTATCCACTCCCCATCCACGGATGCCGAACCTGCGGATGGGAAGGACCCACCGTGCACCCCCACATAATGTAAGGGGCTTGAGCATGGCGGATGTTGGTATCTGTGGGGGTCCTGAAAACAATGACCCGCGGATACCTAGGGAGGATTGTACCTTAGCTCGAATCTTCCAAGTGCATCCCTCCCCAAAACAAGGACTGAGTTCTCAGCATGGTGTTTGAAATGTTTGTTTTCCGGTGTCGTAAAGAAATAGCAACATAAATTTAACTTACTGAATAAGGCCATTTTTACTTTCTGCAGAAAGGGTACACTCGCCAGCAGTTTTGCCAGGAGAGTACACTGAACAAAAGGAGACAGGGTCATTTATAACCTGACGTGTTTACCTTACTGCTGTGGCTGGTTTTTATTGGCTGGACCGGACCTCACATTTTGTATTTGTCCCGATTGGCTAGCAACTTAGAACTTTTTAAAAGAGGCAAAGGTAGAGGAGAACAAAGGAAGGAGGAAGTAACTTGTGGAATGCTGAGAAAGATGAAAACACTTTTAAATAAGGAAGAGGAACAGGCTATGACCTAATGCTTGCTTGGACTAGTAAAAGCATGCCAGGGCAAATATTTAGGCTAAATTGTGGGAGCTAAGAACATAAAGTACATTTTTTTTTATTATGGCTAGCAGATATTTAAGAATGTTAGCACAGATCTTTGAATAAATTTTGCTTTTAAGAGAAGTTACTATTTATTCCTAATTAGACGGGGAGGAAAGTTTTTGAAGAGGAACCTCTGTTTTACTTTGCCACATGGCAAACAAGGTCATGTGGACTGGGCATCTGGTCACTGGTCCTAGTGTGTCCCCCTGCCTAACCGCTGGCGCGCTGAACCTGTTGTTCCTCAGGCCAGGCCTCTGCATTTGCTGTTCACTCGGCCTGAGAGGCCCTTCCCTCAACCCACCCCATTCTTTAAGGGTTATCTTGGAACCCGCCTTTGCGAAAATTATAACAGTGAGAAAATTATGGCAGTGGGAGAGATCTGATCTAGCCAACCCCTATCTTGCTTTTAGCCTTCAAGCTGCCCTTAATTATTCCTGTGCTTGGGCCTGTCAATGTAACTTTGGGAGACATTTAGTTTATAGTTTAAATGATAATAACCCTTCCCCAAAAGCCAACCGCCTTTGTAAAGCTAGTAAGAGACCACCAGGGTAGACGGATAAAGGAGGCTGAATTCTGCTAAGGTGTAGACATAAACCGTTGCCAGTCATTATCCCAGAGGTCACAAGGTATGCAACTTTTCCATTACTCTTCCAGATAATATCACTATTGTAGACCCTAAGATTGGCGTTTTGAGATATCTTTTCAGATATTTTGCATGTCTGACTACCAATGGTTCCACCTGAACCTCTAACCGCTTCTGGGTTCCCACACAGAAGTTGTCGAGCTGCTTGAGGACAATTTCCCATACCCCTATGACTGCATCCCCAACCAATAAGCAGCAAGAACCCATTGCTTAGCCACTCCATCCCTTCCCCAAACTATCTTTGAAAAACACTAGTCCCTGAATTCTCCAAGAGATTGATTTGAGTAATAACTCTGTCTCCCACGTGGCATGGGTGGCCTCCTGTCTATTAAATTCTTTCTTCTTTTTGAGACAAGAGTTTTGCTCTGTCTCCTAGGCTACAGTGCAGTGGCAAAATCTCGGCTCACTGCAGCCTCTGCCTCCTGGGTTCAAGCGAGTCTCATCCCTCAGCCTCCCGAGTAGCTGGGATTACAGGCATGCACCACCAGGCTCGGCTAATTTTTGTATTTTTAGTAGAGACGGGGTTTGACCATGTTGGCCAGGCTGGTCTTGAACTCCTGACCACCCTGACTCCTGATCTACCCTCCTTGGCCTCCCAAAGTGCTGGAACTACAGGCGTGAGCCACAGCACCTGGCTCCTCTGCCACTTTTAATACAGAACTGTTTTAAGGTGTCCTGAGTTTAGCCACTGCATTTTCATTTCTACAGGGCTTTGCAGTTTTCAAAGTGCTTTCATATATGATTCATTTAATTCTGTCTCTTCCTGCTCAACCTCATTACAATTCATCATTTCTGATTTTTCCTGAACTCCTGTTAAGCAGGGCTAACAGGAGTTTTGAAAAAAGGATGTAGAAGAAGGATGCAATCCCTGTTTTCAATGTGAGCAGTTGCTGGTGCCTATATTCCCAGAATTGGCTTATTTATTTTTTGAGACAGGGTCTTGCTCTGTCCCCCAGGCTGGAGTGCAATGGTATGATCTTGGCGCTCTGCAACCTCCATCTCCTGGGTTTAAGCGATTCTCCAGGCTCAGCCTCCCAAGTAGCTGGGACTATAGACGTGTACCACCACATCCAGCTAATTTTTGTATTTTTAGTAGAGATGGGGTTTCACCACGTTGGCCAGGCTGGTCTCGAACTTCTGATCACTCAAGTGATCCTTCCATCTTGGCCTCCCAAAGTTCTGGGATTACAGCTATGAGCCACTGTGCCCAGCCAGCCAGAATTGGTTCAGAAGGATGGGCACACTTCTCTTCTTGACTTGAAGAGAGGGCAGCCAACACTCCTTGATGACACTATGTGTTGCTCCTAATCCTTTGTGCCTCTATGTATTTTAATTTCGTTGAAGTGAATGGAAGAGAAGAGAAGGAAGAATGTGGTTTTGGGATATGTGGACAAATAATCTTGTTGGCTGATAGAAAGTGATGAGAATCAGTTAAAATGTCTGAGAATTAGCCGGGCGCGGTGGCTCATGCCTGTAATCCCAGCACTTTGGGAGGCCAAGGCGGGCGGATCACGAGGTCAGGAGATCGAGACCATCCTGGCCAACGTGGTGAAACCCTGTCTCTACTAAAAATTGAAAAATTAGCCAGGTGTGGTGGTGAGTGCCTGTAGTCCCAGCTACTCAGGAGGCTGAGGCAGGAGAATCACTTGAACCCGGGAGGCGGAGGTTGTGGTGAGCCAAGATTGCACCACTGCACTCCAGCCTGGGGACAGAGTGAGACTCCGTCTCTAAATAAATAAATAAATAAATAAATAAAGTCTGAGAATTAAAATTAGAAAAATTAGCACCATGGTCCTCCGTGTAGATGGAAGACAGCAGCAGGGTTGTTGATAGAGATTACCAATGTCAGATAGGGCATTGCAACTCCTTCGACGGTGTTATTCATTGGTTCATTTGTTCATATACTCATGTAAGTGAGCGTAAACTTGGAACAATGCTAGGAACTGTGGAGCAATGCAAAGATGAGTCAGAGATGGTCCTTGCCCTAACAGGAAAAAACTGTAGCATTTACAAAAGGAAGCATCATTCATGTATGCCTAGTACTAACTGCAGTTTCTGGTAGCTGCTTGATACATGCAGAGTGTTTGTTCAAATCATTTGTACTATAAGGGTGGAAGAGATAAAGCTTATGTTTGAATGCAGAGATGAAAGGGGCCAGGAGTGGTGGCTCAAGCCTGTAATCCCAGCTCTTTGGGAGGCGCAAGGCAGATCCCTTGAGCCGAGGAGGTGCGGACCAGCCTGGGCAACATGGGGGAACCCTGTCTCTACAAAAAATCCTCAAAAATTAGCTGGGTGTGATGGCATGCCTGTAGTCCCAGCTACTTGGGAGGTTGAGGTAGGAGGATCACTAGAGCCTCGGAGGTCGAGGCTTCAGTAAGCCATGATCCTGCCACTGCACTCTAGCGTGGGCAAGCATATTTTAAACTCATGTTCAAATAATGATGATTGAGATATTAGTATTTCCGTTTTACAGGGTAGGCCCAGTTGTTGTGAAATGAGATGGGGCATGCATGAATGGAAAGGATATTGTAGGAAGACAGAAATGGAGAATGAAAGAAATTGATCAAAACTGTCTTTATTCTTTAAGAGTAAGAGCTGGGCGTGGTGGCTCACACCTGTAATCCCAGCACTTTGGGAGGCTGAGGTGGGCGGATCACGAGGTCAGGAATTCGAGACCAGTCTGGCCAACATAGTGAAACCCCTTCTCTACTCAAAATACAAAAAATTGGCCAAGCGTGGTGGTGGGCGCCTGTAATCCCAGCTACGCAGGAGGCTGAGGCAAGGAGAATCGCGTGAACCCGGGAGGCGGAGGTTGCAGTGAGCCGAGATTGCGCCACTGGACTCCAGCCCTGGCAACAGTGCGAGACTACGTCTCAAAAAAAAAAAAAAAATGTAAGAATAGGCCGGACACAGTGGCTCACGCCTGTAATCCCAGCACTTTGGGAGGCAGAGGCGGGCAGATCACGAGGTCAGGAGTTCGAGAGCAGCCTGGCCAACAGGGAGAAACCCCGTCTCTACTAAAAATACAAAAATTAGCTGGTGTGGTGGTGTGCACCTGTAATCCCAGCTACTGGGGAGGCTGAGGCAGGAGAATCACTTGAACCTGGGAGGTTGAAGTTGCAGTGAGTGGAGATCGTGCCATTGCACTCCAGCCTGGGCGATAGGGCGAGACTCCATCTTAAAAAAAAAAAAGTAAGAGGCCGGGCGCAGTGGCTCATGTCTCTAATCCCAGCACTTTCGGAGGCTGAGGCGGGCAGATCATCTCAGGTCAGGAGTTCCAGACCAGCCTGACTAACATGGTGAAACCCCGTTTGTCCTAAAAATACAAAAAATTAGCCGGGTGTGGTGGTGCACACCTGTAATCCCAGCTACTCAGGAGGCTGAGGCAAGAGAATCCGCTTGAACCCGGTAGGCGGAGGTTGCAGTGAGCCGAGATCGCGCCGTTGCACTCTAGCTTGGGCAAGAAGAGCGAAACTCCGTTTCCAAAAAAAAAAAAAAAAAAAAAAAGTAAGAATATACCCAGGCAGGATATTTATAGAGGAAATGCAGCAATCTAATATTTATCATTAATTAGAAAACTTTAATTTGTAATCTACCAAAACAGTGAAAACAACCAACCCTTCCCCCGCCCCCCAATACAAACCCTCCGTTGCCTACTCCAGGGACAAGAGGCGTCACCATCGCTGAGGAGCTGGTTAGGAATGTCGGCTCTCCGACCCTAGCCCAGACTTACTGAATCAGAATGTGCATTTACCACGACGACCAGGTCATTACACGCATTTTACAGTTTCAGAACCCCTGCTATAGCCTACTGTACTTCAGCGCCAATATTTTGCTGAAAAGAATTCCCAGCTGGAACTGTGGCTCCCGGAGTCTTTCACCAGATGGCAGCAGCCCACTCCTCCCTGTAGCACTCCCATTGTTCCAGGCAGGATTCAGCCGCAGGCTCCTCCGGAAGACCAGGGGCAGACGGGGCGGTGGCGGGGTCGTGCCCAGTGGGAGGGGTCGGGTCTGCCCAATGGGTTCTCCCGGGCGGGGGGCGGGGCTCTATTTCAGCAGCTCTCAGGGCCTTGGGCTCATCCCGAGTCCCGGGCTCAGTATGTGGCGCCTTCCTCGCGCGCTGTGTGTGCACGCTGCAAAGACCAGCAAGCTCTCTGGACCTTGGAGCAGGCCTGCCGCCTTCATGTCCACTCTCCTCATCAATCAGCCCCAGTATGCGTGGCTGAAAGAGCTGGGGCTCCGCGAGGAAAACGAGGGCGTGTATAATGGAAGCTGGGGAGGCCGGGGAGAGGTACGCGGGCGCTCAAGAAATCTCTGCAGCCGCCGGGGCTCGCTCGAGGAGGCCGGGCGGGCACTGACCTACCGACTCCCCGCTGGCGCTGGATGCGGTAGTAGCATGGGAGATTTTGAAGCTCCACAGTAAAAGTTTTCTCGTGTAGGGTGCCTTTAAAACAAAAACTTAGATTTTAGGTCCTTGTGTGCTATGCAGAATCGACGTCATTTTGGAGCTGTAGGGGCTAAACTTCCCGCGCATATTTAAAACATTATGGTCTACCGGGCGCGGTGGCTCACCCCTGTAATCCCAGCACTTTGGGAGGCCTAGGCGGGCGGATCACCTGAGGTAGCGAGTTCAAGACCAGCCTGACCGACATGGAGAAACCTTGTCTCTACTAAAAAAAATACAAAATAGCCGGGCGTGGTGGCGCATGCCTGTAATCCCAGCTACTAGGGAGGCTGAGGCAGGAGAATCGCTTGAACCCGGGAGGTGGAGGTCGTAGTGAGCCGAGATCGTGCCATTGCACTCCAGCCTGAGCAACAAGAGCGAAATTCCGTCTCAAAAAAAAAAAAAAAAAAAAAAATTAAAACCTTATGGTCTTGGGATCTATGGTCTTGTGAGAAATGTGGCACACTGAGCGGTGCAACTGATCTTAATTTAGAGCTTAACTCTGGCTCTTCAGCTGTGACGTGCACCGCAGGTAACGTTCTTCAGTGTAGTTTTAAGTTATCTTCCTTCCTGAATTCTTTGGGAGTTTGCAAGCTTGGACGTGCCGAAATCTTGCCATGTTGTACGTTGGGCTGTGAACTCCTTTGAGGACTGGATTTTCAGCATTTCTCCATTGCCCAGGGCTTAACACCGCGCCTGATACCCATTACTGCTCAAAACAATGTTTTATAGAATACAATGGAAAGGTAAGGTTATTATCGCCCAGATTTTTTTTTAAAAGAAAGTTTTTTATAGGAGGATGTTATGTAACAGTTAACAAACTTTGTTGGACGTTGTATATTATATAATGAACCTGCCTTGGTAGAGGGAACACGTCTTTTGGTAATCAGTGGCTGTAGGAGATACAGATAATTTTAATTGCTCCTCAGACCTCGGTGTTTCATCCTGATTTCCGTGTGGTATCTGATCATTAGGCTCTTGGAGGCCTTTTTAGCTGTGCCTTGATTTTCCCTTTCATTGTTGACCTGAGACCTCTCCAGTTGGTGTGGACACGGGACTTTCCAACAGTTTTCCTGCCTTGGCCATTTCATCTCTGAGCAGAGGGTGGGCAGAGTAAGGAAGAGAAGAAATAACTAAAACTAGTCAGTTTGGTCTGTTATTAATGGAAAAAGAGACAAAATAACTGCTTATGTTAAGGCTTTTGTTTATATGCCTAATATTGAGATGTCAGAGGCGAGTTTTGCAGAAAGGTAGTTTCTAATGTTTAAGTCAGAAATGAAAGACAACCTCTGTAGAGTGGTTTATATGTAACAGAAGTTAACCTAAGCTTTTTGAGTTTGGGTATTATATCATTTTTTCCTCTCTTGTTTTTCTTCCCCGTTTGGTCTATTCCCTTACTTCAAAAGGGATTACGTTTTCTATACATGATCATCATCCTTTTGTTTTAAGGTTATTACGACCTATTGCCCTGCTAACAACGAGCCAATAGCAAGAGTCCGACAGGTAAGAGTGTGTGTGTGTGTGTGTGTGTGTGTGTGTGTGTGTTTAATTCAAATTATACACAAGGAGTTTGTGCAGGCTTTCTTTAGAGGCAGAAGCCAGTTAGGCAGGTCAAGAATAATATAAAATCACAAATGAAGAGAATAATGTGTTTATTTTTCATTTGTCATTTAGGACTGTCTGGGGGAGACTGTCCTCTCTTGGGTGGGGGCGTGAAAAGGAAAGAACCATAGAAAAGGTGAAGCGTAGAAAGATTAGGCAGGGGGCCATTTAAGGCAGTGCTTCTGAAGTACCTGAGGATTTTGTTAGAATGAAGCTTCTGATTTCCGAAGTCTGGGTTGGAGCTCAAGGTTCTGCATTTCTAATATGCCTTACATGTTCCCAGATGAAGCTGACAGATTTTGCTTTGAAAAGCAAGGTTTTAAAGCATAGTTGGATACCAACCTGTTTTACCGGGTTCTAGCTAGTTTTTGGAAGTATAGACTGTGGGAATCATTCTCAGCCATAAATGTTAGGGAACCCTAGAGATTTCCCAACTCTTTTCTGAAAATATTTTTGTGTTCTAGAAGATCATCATCATTTCTCTTTATTTCCCCCTTTCTGTCCCCCTAATTCTTAATTTAGGCCAGTGTGGCAGACTATGAAGAAACTGTAAAGAAAGCAAGAGAAGCATGGAAAATCTGGGCAGATGTAAGTATGGCCTTTGTTTCTAGAATTCAGAAAAGATCACTTTGCCTATTGTAACCAATGAGATACATAAACATCTGATAAGCAGGTCAGTGCCGCCTTGTTAAAATGTGAGCTCCTTGGGGGCTGTGATACTGTACTAGGGCTCCTGCTGTTTTGGAAACACCTCTGCCATATTTCTAGGGTAGTGCCTTTTTTGTACTTGCCATTCATTGAATGGATAAATTTAAATGAATTAAAACTTTGTGCTGGTATAGTATAAACTTGAGCTGTGAACACTATTCTTCACTGAAATTACTTGAATTTATAATTAAATAGAAAATGAATAGAAGATCTATGCCAGAAATATTTGTTTGCTCCTCCTCTATCCCCCTGCCAGATTTGTCTGGGAGTATCTCAGCAATAGGTCAGCATTCCTGGTTTAAAGAACAACAGCAGATCGCACCTGGTGGCTCATGCTTGTGATCCCACCACTTCAGGAGGCTGAGGCGGGTGGATCATCTGAGGTCAGGAGTTCGAGACCAGCCTGGCCAACATGGTGAAACCCTGTCTCTAGTAAAAATACAAAAATTAGCCGAATGTGGTGGCGCGTGTAATCCAGCCTACTCAGGAGGCTGAGGCAGGAGAATTGCTTGAGCTTGGGAGGCGGAGGCTGCAGTGAGCCAAGATAGCATCACTGCACTCCATCCAGCCTGGGCGACAGAGTGAGACTCCATCTCAAAAAAAAAAAAAAAAAAAAGAGCAGTGGCAGCATCCCTTTCTCAGGGCCAGAGGCTCATGTTCCTTGACTGTCTAATCAGGCTGTGAGGCAGAGTCAGCCTCCTTGGTCTCTGAGTCTCCACCATTGGTTAAATGAGCAAATGTGGGAACTGTGACTGGTGCTGGGCTGGCCACACTGACTTGTCACTAGGTGGGAGCTAGGCTCCTGAGAAGGGGAGAGTAAAGGCGAACTAGGATAGCCTGATTTCCCAACCTTTCCACTACCCCCATCCTCAGTGTGCTTTGTCTTGTAAAAAGAAAAGACTGGGGGTGCCTGTCTCCTGGGAGGGTTAAATGAGTTAATCATTTAAAGTGCTTACTGGAGAGCCTGGCACAGGAAAAGCCTCAATACATTTGAGTTAAACCCTGTGCTGTTGGGTGTGGGACTGCTGAGGGACTACTGAGCTGCAGTATTTTCTCTGAGTGAGTGATTGCAAGGGGGGTTGGGTGGGGTTGGGGTGGATTGCAGAGTAGCAGCCTGTCCAACAGAGCCCTGGGTTGGATGAAGCTTTTTTTTTTTATCAGCCAAGATACGTCTTTGTGTAAAGCATGAAGCACATCTTTCCTCTACTTTAATTATGGATAGAAGTATGGCCTAGGGTTCCATTATACACAATCAAAAGTATCCTTGGGCAGAAAAATACCACTTCCACAAGTAAACAGTGTGCTAGGTAAAGTTCACCCTACCTGGATAGAGAATACTGTCCAAAACAGTGTCCTTCATTGTTTTAAAAACTTACTTGTATTTATTTCTGATCATAAAAGTAATAAATATTCTTTTTTTTTAGAAAAGATTGATGCTGTAAATAAGATAAACAAATTTAGTCCCCTTACCCCAACCTCTGCAATGCAAAATGTTCATTAGGTTTAGGTTTTGGTGCATTTCCTTCCAGTCTTTCATGTATTTATTTCATAGTTGTGATTATTGTACATCCATATATACATGGTGTGTATAAAATTTTGTGACCTGTGATGCTTGCATTCCATACCATCCTAAAGTTATTGCTTTTTTTTTTTTTTTTTAAGACAGGGTCTGGCTCTGTCACCCAGGCTGGAGTGCAGTGGCCCAATCTTGGCTCACTGTAACCTCTGCCTTCTGGGCCTGGGATCCTCCCATCTCAGCCTCCCAAGTGGCTGGGATTACACGTACACACCACCATGCCTGGCTAATTTTTTTGTATTTTTTGTAGAGGTGGGGTTTCACCATATTGCCCAGGGCGGTCTCGAACTCCTAAGTTCAAACGATCTGCCCTCTTTGGCCTCCCAAAGTGCTGGGATTACAGGCGTGAACCACCAGGCCCAGCTGCATAATTTTTTTTAAATTGTTGTTTTCCTATACATACATACTTTTTTCTTTTGAGACGGAGTCTCACTCTGTCACTCTGCAGTGGTGTGATCTCAGCTCACTGCAACCTCTGCCTTTCGGGTTCAAGTGATTCTCCTGCCTCAGTCTCCCAAGTAGCTGAAACTACAGGTGTGCGCCACCAGGCCTGGCTAATTTTTTTAAAAAATATATTCTCCAATTTAAAACTTTTAATTAAAAAGTAAACTTTAACATCAAAAATGCAAACTTGGAGAAGACAGAAAAGATCACACACAAGGCTGTCACTTCACACTTGGAAGGTTGCACAGCGGCCAGGCAGAGGGGCTCCTCACTTCCCAGACAGGGCAGCGGCCGGGCAGAGGCGCTCCTCACTTCCCAGACAGGGCGGTGGCCGGGCAGAGGCGCTCTTCACTTCCCAGACAGGGTGGCGGCCGGGCAGAGGCGCTCTTCACTTTCCAGACGGGGTGGCAGCTGGGCAGAGGTGCTCCTCACTTCCCAGACAGTGGCAGCTGGGCAGAGGCGCTCTTCACTTTCCAGACGGGGCGGCAGCTGGGCAGAGGCACTCCTCACTTCCCAGACAGTGGGCAGCTGGGCAGAGGCGCTCCTCACTTTCCAGATGGGGCAGCAGCTGGGCAGAGGCACTCCTCGCTTCCCAGACATTGGGCAGCTGGGCAGAGGTGCTCCTCACTTCCCAGACAGTGGGCAGCTGGGCAGAGGCGCTTCTTACTTCCCAGATGGGGCGGCAGCTGGGCAGAGGTCCTCCTCACTTCCCAGATGGTGGGCAGCCGAGCAGAGGCGCTCCTCACTTCCCAGTCAGTTGGGTGGCTGGGCAGAGGCACTCCTCACTTCCCAGATGGTGGGGCGGCCGGGCAGTGGCGCTCCTCACATCCCAGATGGGGCGGTGGCTGGGCAGGGCGCTCCTCACTTCCCAGACGGAGTGGCAGGCCTGGCTAATTTTTGTATTGTTAGTAGAGACAGGGTTTCACCATACTGGCCAGGTTGGTCTCGAACTCCTGAACTCGTGATCCACCCACCTTGGCCTCCCAAAGTGTTTGGATTACAGGCGTTAGCCACTTCACCTGGCCTTCCTATACATATATACTTAAAAAAAACAAAAACAAAAAAATAGACCAGGCACGATGGCTCACGCCTGTAATCCCAGCACTTTGGGAGGCCAAGTGGGCGGATCACCTGAGGTTGGGAGTTCGAGACCAGCCTGACCAACATGGAGAAACCCCGTTTCTACTAAAAATACAAAATTAGCCAGGCATGGTGGTGCGCGCCTGTAACCCCAGCTACTTGGGAGGCTGAGGCAGGAGAATCACTTGAACCTGGGAGGCCGACCTTGCAGTGAGCGGAGATTGAGCCATTGCACCCCAGCCTGGGCAACAAGAGCAAAACTCTGTCTCAAAGGAAAAAAGAAATTAATAGACTTTTATTTTTTACAGCAGTTTTAAATTTACAGAAAAACGAGTAGAAAGTACAGAATTCCCATTACTCCCTCATTCCTCTTCCCAAGTTTCCTTTTCTTCTTTTTTTTTTTTAAGACAGAGTCGCCCAGGCTAGTGTACAGTGGCATGCTCACAGCTCACGGCTCACTGCAGCTTTGACCTCCTGGGCTCAAGCAATCCTCCCACCTCAGCCTCCTTGGTAACTAGGACTACAGGCATGTTCCTCCACACCTGGCTAATTTTTGTATTTTTTGTAGAGATGAGGTTTTGCTCTGTTGCCTAGGCTGGTCTCAGACTCCTGGGCTCACGCAATTTACCCACCTCAACCTCCCAAAGTGCTGGGATTACAGGCATGAGCCACCATGCCTGTAATAGGCCATTTCCCCTGTTATTAACATTTTGCATTAGTATGTCATATTTTGTTACAACTGATGAGCCAATGTTCATGTGTTATTATAAACTAAAGTACACAATTTACATGAGGGTTCACTCTTTGCATATCCTGTTTTGAATGCTAGTGCAACTTAACATGTTGTCTTTTGACTAGAAACGTCTATTGTATGTGTCTATTTATCTAGGGTAAATACAAACATTTGAAAAAAAAAGAATTTATGTGAATTCAGGGTCTTGTCTTTTCCTGAACTGGTTTTTATTCTGAGACTGAGTCTTGCTCTTGCCTAGGCTGGAGTGCACTGGCATGATCTTGGCTCACTGCAACCTCTGCCTCCTAGACTCAAGTGATTCTCCTGCCTCATCTTCCTGAGTAGCCGGGACTACAGGCATGAGCCACCATGCCCGGCTAATGTTTTTTTTTTGTATTTTTTAGTAGAGAACAGGGTTTCACCATGTTGGCCAGGTTGGTCTTGAACTCCTGACCTCAAGTGATCTGCCCACCTCTGCCTCCCAAAGTACAGGCATGAGCCACCACACCTGGAATGAACTGGTTTTTAAATCTATCTTTGCCCTAGGGAGTGCCAGCTGACATTATGATCTTTCTTAAATATTGGGCTGTACTTTTTTTGTTGCTATTTTCACATTCAGGATCTCATTTGGCAGTCAACTCTTACCCACCATGCCAGCCTCTGCACCTAACATCCTTTCTCATACTTCTGGTGCTTTTTAGACCTCCCAACAAATAGAATGGGGGTGCTACGTGGGAACAGGTTGCTTTCCTGGGTAATAGTAGAGTCAGCTGGGGATCCTACTTGTTTGATTTTGAGTTAAGCAATTGAGTTCAAGGTTTAGGGAAGAGGCAGAGTTTTTCCTAATTGTGCTCTGGGGCTCCTCCCTGGGGCAGGGACTTAGAGAGGCTCGGTAAGAACAGACCAAAGCTTGACCCCCTTCTCGTCACAGAAGCTTTCCCATCTCGATCCTCCCTCACGTGAGGCTTCTCTGCTTGGCCCTCATCCATTTGGCTGACCTTGACTGTGTTAGGACAAACCACTGTTTCATGTAGTTCATTTGAGTTAATTCTAGAATTTTTCTTTTTCTTTTTTTTTTTGAGACAGAGTTTTGCTCTTGTTGCCCAGGCTGGAGTGCAATGGTGCCATCTCGGCTCACTGCAAGCCCTGCCTCCCCGGTTCAAGCGATTCTCCTACCTCAGCCTACCAAGTAGCTGGGATTACAGGTGCCCGCCACCAATTTTTTAAATATTTTTAGCAGAGATGGGGTTTCACCACGTTGGCCAGGCTGGTTTTGAATTCCTGACCGCAAGCCATCCACCCGCCTTGGCCTCCCAAAGTGCTAGGATTACAGGCATGAGCCACTGTGACTGGCCAATTCTAGAATTTTTCAAAGGGAACATTTTTCTTTAAGGAAAATGGAAACAAAGTGAAACATATGGAAAGGTAGTTTATAGAAATTGATTTCTTTCTAAGGAATAGACTTGCTGCTTTCTTCCATGAGCCAGTTTCAGCACAGAATGTAGCCCATTTCTGCCGTCTGCATCCCCATGTGTCCTCATTTTCCCTCCCATCTCTGGTGAGAAAGAGTAGGAGTCTCTCTGTTCTTGAAGACAGGGAACTGTTTTTTTTTTTCTTTCTTTTTTCTTTTTTTTGAGACAGTCTTACTCTGTCACCCAGGCTGGAGTGCAGTGGTGCGATCTCGGCACACTGCAACCTCTGCCTCCTGGGTTCAAGTGATTCTCCTGCCTCAATCTCCTGAGTAGCTGGGATTACAGGTACCAAGCGTGGCTAATTTTTGTATTTTTAGTAGAGACAGGGTCTCACCATGTTGGCCAAGCTGGTCTTGAACTCCTGATCTCAAATGATCCACCTGCCTCGGCCTCCCAAAGTGCTGGGAATACAGGCGTGGAACCACAGCCCCCGGCCATAATTTTCCAAAACCACTTTCTCTTGCTTTTCAGCCTTTGCATATGCTCTGTACCCCTCTAACCCCATGCTTTTCCTCCACTTTGCCTACCTCTTCACAACACCTGGCATGCTTTAGGTCTTAGCCCTAAACTTCTAAACTTGTAAAAAGCCTACTTCAGGTTGCTCCAGTTGTGAAATCTAGCTCCCCTTTCATGGCATTTGCCACATTAGATTGTAATTGCCTGTTTCTTGCCTTTATCACCCCCATGGACTGTCAGCTCTATAGAGGGCAAGAATTGTAACTGCCTCATTTGCAGTAGAATATCCAGGGATTAGCACAGTATCTGGCACATAGAACATATGCAATAATTATTTGTTGAAAGACTGACTGAATAAAATGTGTCCAGAATGGGAGGTAAAAGGCCATGTATACTGGCCATTCTGAGTTGAAATTAACCAACTTAACTAAGCTTATAAATGTGCTGACTAAATTCAATTGAAACATCATTAAACCCACACCATGTGCTAGGAAATGTATAGGTTATGTGCTGATTGATATAATGCTACAGGTTTTTGTTTCCTGTTTCCAAAAGTGTGCATATGTTGTGAAAATGACAGACATTGCAAACATATAAATTGTGGATGAAAATCTGTTATAATTTCATTCCCCACAAAAAACCATTGTGAACAGCTTGGTATATGTTGCTCCAAATTTAAGCAAAAGTTTACTTACCATAAGTGTTTTCTTGTTTTGTATTATTCTATTATAGCTTTTCAATGTTTTCCCATAAAAATCGACCTTATTTTATCACTGTTCCGTAATTAACCAATCATGTGCTGATGGACAGTTGGTTTCTTTTTTTCTTTACTAGAAACAGCACTGCAATGAATATCATTGTACCTATACTTTTGCATACTTATGTATATAAGCTCAGTTTCTGTAAGCAGAGCTGCTTAGTTAAAGGGTAGGAATGTCATGCCTGTAATCCCAGCACTTTGGGAGGCCGAGGCAGGCGGATTACCTGGGATCAGGAGTTCGAGACCAGCCTGACCAACATGGTGAAACCCCATCTCTGCTAAAAATACAGAAAATTAGCCGGGCGTGGTGGCAGGCGCCTGTAATGCCAGCTACTTGGGAGGCTGAGGCAGGAGAATCACTTGAACCCAGGAGGCAGAGGTTGCACTGAGCCGAGATCGCGCCACTGCACTCAAGCCTGGGCGTGACAGAGCGAGACCCCGTCTCAAAAAATAAATAGATAAAACAAAGGGTAGGAATGTTTTAAATGTTAATAGATTGCAAAGTGACCATCCAGAGAAGCTGTACTAAGAGACAGTGATACACTTGGGGAGAAGAGAGAGCAAGGAAGAACCTTGAGCTCACAGCCAAGCTCTGTGAGGCAAGTGTGAGCAGTGCTGTGATTAGGAGCAGTGGGAGTTAGGGGGAGGGTGTGATTGGCTTCTGCCTGGGGGAAGGTTTCATGGAGGGGAATGTTCCTTTTACCTGTACTTTATTATTTTTTTTGAGACAGAATTTCACTCTTGTCATCCAGGCCGGAGTGCAATGGCGGGATCTCAGCTCCCTGCAACCTCCCCCTCCGGGGTTCAAGTGATTCTCCTGCTTCAGCCTCCCAAGTAGCTGGGATTACAGGCACCTGCCACCATGCCCGGCTAATTTTTGTATTTTTAGTAAAGATGGGGTTTCACCATGTTGGCCAGGCTCGTCTTGAACTCCTGACCCCAAGTGATCCACCTGCCTCAGCTTCTCAAGTGCTGGGATTATAGACGTGAGCCACCGCGCCCAGCCTTAGCTGTACTTTGAAGGAGAGGCAGAATTGGGAAGAACTTGATGGGAGAGAGGGAGTGATGGTCACAGTTGGAGAAATTGTGTCTCATTCATAAATCACATCTCAAACTTTATGTGACATAAGCTGTGCTCTTTACCCCCAAAACCTGATGTTTCCCTTCAAGTCTTCTTCATCCCAGTAATTATACTTCATCTACCTACCTATTTAAGCCAGAGAGCGGGAAGTTATCCTGAGTTCTTTAATTCTCTTCATTTCCTGCATCTGTGTGTCCTGTCAATTCTACTCCCAAAACAGACCGTGAATCCACTTGCTGTTTCCCTTGTTACCACTGCAATCTTTTTTTTTTTTTTTTTTTTGAGATGGAGTGTCACTTTGTTGCCCAGGCTGGAGTGCAATGGCGTGATCTCAGCTCACTGCAACCTCTGCCTCCTGGGTTCAAGCGATTCTCCTGCCTCAGCCTCCTGACTAGCTGGGATTACAGGCGCACACCACCATGCCCAGCTAATTTTTGTATTTTTAGTAGAGACGGGGTTTCACCATGTTGCCCAGGCTGGTCTCGAACTCCTGACCTTGTGATCTGCCCGCCTCAGCCTCCCAAAGTGTTGGGATTACAGGTGTGAGCCACCACGCCCAGCCTCCTGCCATCCTTTTAGGTAAAGTAACTTACCCATTTCCCCTCCAATCTTGCTGTTTTTCTCTGTCTCAGCTTCCTTTTTATTTCCTTTGTCTTTAAAACCCTGATGGCAATTTGTAATTATTTGTTGGCAATTTGTAATTATTTGTTGCCTTTTCTTCTCCTCTGTGCCTTCCAGTAGATATTTGCTCCATGAATGCCTTGCTTCTTATTTTGGCTCCAGTGCCTGGCCATATCACAGTTTTGATGTGATCAAAAGTCTTCTTTGATATGATTGTAATTTGTTCTTTTACAGCACACATCCAATACTGTGTTATAAACATGAATTTATGCTTTGAATCAGACACAAAAATTGCATTCTTTTCTTAGATTCCTGCTCCAAAACGAGGAGAAATAGTAAGACAGATTGGCGATGCCTTGCGGGAGAAGATCCAAGTACTAGGAAGCTTGGTAAAGTATTTTTGTAGTATATACACAATTCTTTGAGTGGACAATAAGGCTGTCATGCTTTTCTATATATAAAATTGTGAGGTTTTTTTTTTTTGAGATGGAGTCTTGCTGTCACCCAGGCTGGAGTGCAGTGGTAAAATCTTGGCTCACTGCAGCCTCTGCCTCCCATGTTCCAGCAATTCCCCTGCCTGAGCCTCCCGAGTAGCTGGGATTACAGGCTTGTGCCACCACGGCTGGCTAATTTTTTGTATTTTTAAAGTAGACATGGGGTTTCATCATGTTGGCCAGGCTGGTCTTGAACTCCTAACCTCAGGTGATCCTGCCTGCCTCGGCCTCTCAAAGTGCTGGGATTATAGGCATGGGCCACCACACTTGGCTAGAAGAGTTTTTAAGAAAAGTAATTTATATTATATTATATTTTATTATTTATTTATTTATTTATTTATTTTTGAGATGGAGTCTTGCTCTTATTGCCCAGGCTGGAGTGCAATGGCAGGATCTTGGCTCACTGCAACCTCCCCCTCCTGGGTTCAAGCGATTCTCCTGCCTCAGCCTCCCGAGTAGCTGGGATTACAGGTGTGCACCACCATGCCCGGCTGATTTTTGTATTTTTAGTAGAGACAAAGTTTCACCATGTTGGCCAGGCTGGTCTTGAACTCCTGACCTCAGGTGATCCGCCCGCCTTGGCCTCCCAAAGTGCTGGGATTATAGGCATGAGCCACTGTGCCCGGTTGTACTTTATATATTTTAAAAATTCTTTCCTTAGAGGAAAGATTAACAAGGTAGACAGGAAAAAGTGAAGGCAATTGTTGTGTTTTAAAATTCTTTGGAAAATGAAACAGACTTTCTTCAGTTTATTACATTTACAAAACATGTTTTGCTTCCCCCTTTCTTTAATTTAATGTTTATAATGTGAATTCTGTTGGAAAAATTCTGCTTGTCGTTTTATATTTCTAGGTGTCTTTGGAGATGGGGAAAATCTTAGTGGAAGGTGTGGGTGAAGTTCAGGAGTATGTGGATATCTGTGACTATGCTGTTGGTTTATCAAGGATGATTGGAGGACCTATCTTGCCTTCTGAAAGTAAGCAATGAAATTAGTTAAGCTGAGTTTTGTACTCTGATATACAGAGCTCCAAAAAAAATAAAATACTCTGGCTATTGACTGTGCAAAAGAGAAATTTCAAGTGGCATAAATATGTGAAAATATCCTCAATCTTTCAAAGAAATGCAAATTAAAACAGATGAAAATGTTAGATCAAGAACCTTTTTGTTTTAAAGATAAAACTTAATGTTGGCAAGTCCACGGGTAAGACACTTTTAACTCATCTGTAAAACGATTTGGAAATATACCCAAAGAGCTCTAACTTTAAAGAGCCCAGTTTTAAGAATCTAAGTAAATAATCTGAAATAAGACAGAAGTTATGTTTAAAGAAGTTCATTGTGGCATCAATAAAAAACATTAGAAATGACCTAAATGTCGAATCATAAGGGGAAAAAATCTAAGCCAATTTTGGTAGACTATTAGCATGTACTAAAAATAATGTTTGTGAAGGTTGTCTTCCCCTAACCCACACTTTTACGGGAGGATTTTATTTACTTATTTTTAAATTATACTAATGTTAATTTTTTTTGAAGAAACGATAGATTCATATCAGAAAATAAGAAAGCAATAAAAGGTTGAAGGATTAAAAGTTTCCCTCCTACCCCCATGACTAAGCCATAGTACCCCATGGAAGTAGTGAATGCTTTCAATTTCTTGTGTGTCTTTTTTATATTTTGTAGGATCTTGCTGTGTTGTTCAGGCTGGTCTCAAACTTCTCTCCTCAAGTGATCCTCCCCTTCAGCCTCCCGAGTAGCTGGGATTATAGGCATGAGCCACCTTCCTAGGCCCTTGTGTATCTTTTTAGAGCACGTACAGCCAAATATGTAGCAAACTATACATTTTTTTTTTTTTGAGATGGAGTCTCGCTCTGTTGCCCAGGCTGGAGTGCAGTGGCGCGATCTTGGCTCACTGCAACCTCCACCTCCCGGGTTCAAGCGATTCTTCTGCCTCAGACTCCTGAGTAGCTGGGATTACAGGTGTGCACCATCACACCCGGCTAATTTTTGTATTTTTGGTAGAGATGGGGTTTCACCATCCTGGCCAGGCTGCTCTTGAACTCCTCACCTCATGATCCACCCACCTTGGCCTCCCAGAGTGCTGGGATTACAGGCGTGAGCCACTGTGCCCGGCCGCAAACTGTACGTTCTGTTTTATACTTTTATATTCAATAATATATCTTGGAAATTGTTTTTTTGTTTTCTTTTTTTGAGACAGGATTTTACTGTCTTGCCCAGGCCAGAATGTAGTGGCATGATCACAGTTCACTGCAGCCTCAACATCCCCGGGATCAGGTGATCCTCCTACCTCAGCTAGGACTGTAGGTGCATGCCACCATACCTGGCTATTTTTTTTTTTTTGTAGAGGTGGGGTTTTGCAGTGTTGCCCAGCTGGTCTCGAACTCCGGGGCTCAGGTGATCTGCCTGTCTCAACCTCCCAAAGTGTTAGGATTGCAGGCGTGAGCCACTGTGTCAGGCTGGAAATTGTTTTCGTATTATTCTATTAAGGGGCTTCCTTCATCTGTGTTTGCAGCTATCTATTTTGTTATAAAGAGACTATAATTTATTTAGTCAGCTTCCAAATGATGTATATGTAGGGCTGTTTTCAGTGTTTTGCTATTACAAGCTGTTCTGTAAGAACCAATCTTATACTCTGAGGTTTTAACAATGAAGATACTAAGATGACAGCAAGAGTAAGAAAAAAAAAAAAGCTGGACAAGATGGCTCACACCTGTAATCCCAGCACTTCAGGAGGCCAAGGTGGGCAGATCACCTGAGGTCGGGAGTTAGAGACCATCCTGGCCAACATGGAGAAACCCCATTTCCACTAAAAATACAAAATTAGTGAGGCATGGTGGCGCATGCCTGTAATCCCAGCTACTCGGGAGGCTGAGGCAGGAGAATCGCTTGAACCCGGGAGGCGGAGGTGGCGGTGAGCCGAGATCGTGCCATTGCACTGCAGCCTGGACAACAAGAGCGAAACTCCATCTCAAAAAAAAAAAAAAATGAGGTTAAGAGTGTAAGCAATTTGTGATGTTTGCAATGTGGATAGAGCAAAACAGGTGACTGTATGTCTGCATTGGCAATGGTGGGATAGAAGTGTATGCTAAAGTGGTAGCAGTGGTTATCTCTGTGGCAGAATTACTAGTAGTGGATTTTCTTCTATTTTTCTGCATTTTCTAAATTTCCATGATGGTTATTAGGTTACATTTATAATAAGGAAATAATATTTTTTAAAAAATCATATTTTTCTCTTTTTCTTGGAATATTGAGTAAATTCCCTACTTGTAGAAAGAGTTGGGGGAGTCTTTTTAAGTCTAATTAAGGACACTTAATGTCCTTAATTAGATATCTAGCAATGATTCCCATTATCCAATATTAATTTTATGTCATTGAACACTTTCAAGAGTTTTTTTCTAGCTAAGAAAAGTTAATAGGCCCACCGTGGTGGCTCACGCCTGTAATCCCAGCACTTTGGGAGGCAGAGGTGGGCGGATCACTTAAGGTCGGGAGTTTAAGACCAGCCTGACCAACATGGAAAAACCCCATCTCTAATAAAAATACGGATTAGCTGGGCATGGTGGCACATTCCTGTAATCCCAGCTACTCGGGAGGCTGAGGCAGGAGAATCACTTGAACCTGGGAAGCGGAGGTTGCAGTGAGCCGAGATCACGCCATTGTTCTCCAACCTGGGCAACAGAAGAAAACTCTGTCTCAACAACAACAGCAATAACAACAATACAGTCAATAAACCTCCAATTTGGGGATATGTACATGTGCAAGCAGGTAACTATTTGATTTATACCTACTATGATGCCTGCCTCACAATTAACAATTAAAATTTTTCTCAATTGCTTGCACATTTTCGTTTGTTTATTTGAGATAGGATCTGTCACCCAGGCTGGAGTGCAGTGGTGTGATTATAGCCCCTTGCAGCTTGGACCTCCTGGACTCAAGCAATCTTTCCACCTCAGCCTCCTGAGTAGCTGGGATTACAGGCACATGCCACCAAGCCCAGCTAATTTAAAAATTTTTCTTGTAGAGACGAGGTTGCACTATGTGGCCTAGGCTGGTCTAGAACTCCTTGGCTCAAATAATCCTCCTGCCTTGGCCACTCAAAGTGTTGGGATTGTAGGCATGAGCCACCACACCTAGCTTACACTTCTATTTTTTTTTTTAAAGCAGTTTACTCATTTATGTAGAGACTTTGGGGTAACTTTGGCTTTATTAATTCAATAAATGCTTATGGAGCATCTATCAGGTGCCGGGTAGTCTACTAGGTGATACTCGAGCTATAAGGCATAGTCCCTGTCCTCAAGGGATTTATAAGCTTATAAATTATACCTTAGAGTGGGAGATAAATAAACAGGTAATTATATCCAGCATAATCCAGCATGGTAAGTAATATGAGGGAGTAAACGGTAGGATGGTGGGCACATAGCTGGGATCCCCTAACCCAGCCTCATGAGTGCAGTCCAGGAAGGCCTCCAAGAGAAGGTTAGCCAAGGTAAGGTCCCAAATGGGACAAAGAGGAGAAGGAGTGGAGTGCTGGAAGTTGTTTTAAAGAAGGAAGAAGCCTGTGTGAAGGCTGAGAGGGTCTGGCTTATTTGGGAGGATTGCATTGCTTCAGCACAGCTGGAGGGTGCAGTGGTAGGGCAGATAGAGTGGAAAGAGAACCTCGGGAAGAGATTTTGTCTGACAAGGAGATTGGACTTTATTCTGAGAATAGCTACAGTAGGTATCCAAAATCCACAGGGTTATAAGCAAGGGGGTGACATCAGGGCAGAGATGGGAGGGCTGGAGAGGAGGAGGCAGGCCCTGCCAGGAAGAGGCAGGCCCTGCCAGGAAGAGGCTGTGCCAGCACTTCATCTCTAGGGATTAAGGTGCCCAGATTAAGGAGGGCCCAGGAGTGAGGTGCTGTGTCTGGTATGGTCCCTCATCCTAGCTAGCAGTGTGAGTGTGGCTAGAAAGACTGATGGCTGGGACAGCCACCTTTCCAGTTGGTCTGTGGTTTTAACTGGGATTTGTGAACCATCGTATTCGTGTGGTATGGTTCTATACTGTCCAGCTGCCTTTAATTAAAATAAACACCTTGTAGGATTATGGGTGACTTTAAAGTTTGTAAGTTTGTATTTAAAATACAATATTTTTGTTTGTTTTTTCTTTTCTTTTCTTTCTTTTTTTTTTTTTTTTTGATACAGGGTCTTACTCTGTTGTCCAGGCTGGAGTGCAGTGGTGCAATCCCAGGTCACTTCAGCCTCAATACCCTGGGCTCAAGCAGTTCTCCTCAGCCTCCCAAGTAGCTGGGACTACAGGCATATAACCAATCACACCTAACTAATTTTTAATTTTTTTTGTAGAGTCAGGGGTCTTGCCATGTTGATCCAAGTCTCAAACTGAGCTCAAGTGATTCTCCCGTCCCAGCATCCCAAAGTGCTGGACATTGTAGGCATGAGCCACTGCTCCTAGCTGATTTGTATTTTTAGTTTCTTATAGTGAATGTAAAGATTTGCGTAATTCATTTTATTTATTTATTTATTTTTTGAGGCGGAGTCTCCCTCTGTTGCCCAGGCTGGAGTGTAATGGCAGGATCTCGGCTCACTGCAACCTCTGCCTCCCGGGGTCAAGTGATTCTCCTGCCTCAGTCTCCTGAGTAGCTGGGATTACAGGCACCCGCCACCACGCCCGGCTAATTTTTGTTTTTTCAGTAGAGACAGGGTTTCACCATGTTGGCCAGGCTGATCTTGAACTCCCGACCTCAAGTCGGGAGTCCACCTGCCTTGGCCTCCCAAAGTGCTGGGATTACAGGAGTGAGCCACCACGCCCGGCCTGCATAATTCATTTATTCAACATATATATAATTATTAGAACTCCCCCTTCCCATCTTCCACCAATAAATGAGCCACCTTGTCTTGAATTCAGAGAAGTTGGCCCAGGGATTCGTCAGGTAACATAAAGAATATGTGAGGCCAGGCGTGGTGGCTCACTCCTGTAATCCCAGCACTTTGGGAGGCCAAGGTGGATGGATCACTTGAGGTCAGGAGTTTGAGACCAGCCTGGGCAACGTGGTGAAACTCCTTCTCTACTAAAAATAAAAAATTAGCTGGGCATGGTGGTGCGTGCCTGTAATCCCAGCTACTCAGGAGGGTGGGGCTCGAGGATTGCTTGAACTCGGGAGGTGCAGTTGCAGTGAGCTGAGATTGCGCCACTCCACTCCAGCCTGGGTGACAGAGTGAGACTGACTCAAAACCAAACAAAACAACATGGGCCTAAGCCCCTGTGCCCTGGTCATGTTCTGCCCTTTGTGATCATACCACCTAGGGCACCCATCAACTCTAGAAAGTGTCCTTGTCTCCCAGGTGCACTGATACTGCTCTGATCTATGCAGAGTTCCTATGAAGATCAGAGGCATAATGAATATCATTATGATTTACAAGGTAGTGTGGTAATAACCACTTTTGTTGTACATTAGTTAATGTACTGATATCCCATGGCTGTGTAGCAATTTCCCACTATAAGGCATCTGGAATCTTCTCCAGTCTGCTGTACGTTTGTTCTTATTAACTTGATGGGCATTAAATTAACATGCTTCTGCATGTTCCATCCTTTTTCTGTCCTCAGGATCTGGCCATGCACTGATTGAGCAGTGGAATCCCGTAGGCCTGGTTGGAATCATCACGGCATTCAATTTCCCTGTGGCAGTGTATGGTTGGAACAACGCCATCGCCATGATCTGTGGAAATGTCTGCCTCTGGTAAGACCTGCTCACTTTCCTATTTAGTAGTGAGTGATAAAAATAGCCATTTCTAGATACTACTACCTCAGCCTCTTCAGTAACTGGGATTATAAGTGTGCATCACCACACCTGGCTTCTTCAATAAAACTTTATTTTATTTTATTTTTTTGAGATGGAGTTTCACTCTTGTTGCCCTGGCTGGAGTGTAATGGTGCGAACTCAGCTCACTGCAACCTCCGCCTCCCAGGTTCAAGCAATTCTCCTGCCTCAGCCTCCCAAGTGGCTGGGATTACAGGCATGCGCAACCATGCCCGGCTCATTTTTTGTATTTTTAGTAGAGATGGGGTTTCACGATGTTGGCCAGGCTGGTTTTGAACTCCTGACCTCAGGTGATCCACCTGCCTTGGCCTCCCAAAATGTTGGCATTACAGGTATTAGCCATTGCACCTGGCCAATAAAACTTTGGTAGTGAACTCCCAAGTAATTCTGAGGCAGTTGGTCAGTGTTTCCATTTAGGTCTTAAATTTTTCAACTCTGCAAAATATCTGATAGTAAAAATGTTATATTTTAGATGGCAAACAGTTACTTGTTTTTTACTTTTGTGTTCAGTGGAAGAAATTAAATAAGGAAAATCAGGACAATTGTCTTTAGCTCATTTTGCTTGCATCTGTTCCACTAGTTATTAATTTGTTTTAAATGTGTGGTACTCAGTTGAATGTATTCAAAAACTAACTGTAAAATAGGACATATTTGGGAGGACTAATAACTGTATTTCTTACTTTAACAAGAGAAAAAACTCTGCTTGTCCACAATTCTTTTTTTTTTTTTTTTTTTGTGACAGAGTCTTGCTCTGTCGCCCAGGCTGGAGTGCAGGGGCGCGGTCTCGGCTCTCTGCAAGCTCCGCCTCCCAGGTTCACGCCATTCTCCTGCCTCAGCCTCCCGAGTAGCTGGGACTACAGGCGTCTGCCACCACGCCCGGCTAATTTTTTTTGTATTTTTAGTAGAGAAGGGGTTTCACTGTGTTAGCCAGGATGGTCTCAATCTCATGACCTCGTGATCCGCCCGTCTCGGCCCCCCAGAGTGCTGGGATTACAGGCGTGAGCCACCGCGCCCTGCCTGTCCACAATTCTTTAGCCTGCAGGGCATTGATATTTTCTGACCGACATGGTTTGGTGGGAACTAGCCCCGAGCTCTTTCAGGGTTCTGCCCCATGTTGTGAAAGGAACTCATGTTTTCCAACATTCTAATCTAAAAAGGTTCATTGTGTAGTTTTCCTCAGCTCTCTGAGTTTTCCAAGGAAGTTTACTTAATGCAGCACGTTGGTAGATTTCTGCTTCACTCAGTTCCTATAACTGGCTGAGGTTAATGTAGTGATTCCTGCGATCAGTGCAGCAAGCTGATTCAGAATTGCTTGGTGCCATTTTTATGTTCATGAAAGTTTTGTTGTTCCTTAGGTCTCAAAGACACCCAGCTGAAGGACAGATTTCTGTTTCAGTTACTAGACTCACTTGTTAGTTGTCTAATTGGACAGAGCTTTTTCTCACACTTTTGCTTCTGTTTGATAATAAAAGGTATTTATGGTTTCCGTCAAATAAGTTTTTCTTTTTCTTTTTTTGTTTTAACCTTCTTAAGGAAAGGAGCTCCAACCACTTCCCTCATTAGTGTGGCTGTCACAAAGTAAGTACATGTGGCTTTCTTTTTCCTGGGTATGGAATAATATTGAAAGGGTTATTGATAGGCCCTGACTTTTTAATCTGATGTCAGAGTCACATAGCATGGAATTTGGATAACCTCTTTCTCCTTTGCTTGTAATATTATTTTTATATACAGAGTGCTTTCAGTGCCATGTCATTTAATTTAACTCTTTGGAAACATGCCAGATATTGACATATTGATTGAACTCTTGCAGACATTATTTTGTCACTTGGAAAATAAAAGCATCTTCAGTGGAAAGGAAAATTTTGCAATTTAGGATCTATATTTTCTCACTATTCAACAAGTTAGTGGTTTTGAGAATAGATTTCTATCTAGCTAATACTTTTGTTGCTTTTGCTTAATAGAGTGTTAACAAAACTGATTATTACACTAATCTGCTGATTCATCTAACACTAAAATGTATCGCATCTTTTGGTTAAAAAATTATTAATGCTTTACTTATATTTGAGAATTTGGCAGCTCTGGTTAAGTCATAAAAGCAATGTGACTGATTTGTCATTCTGGAATTTGGAGGATGTATAGAGTTAGGGTGCCTTCCCATGTAGGATTAGGATGTACCTTTGATGTTCCATTGGTTGCATCTGCATTCTGATTTCAGAATTATTAGTAGAGAAATTGGGGTGGAGACTGTGGGCAAGAGGGTTCTTCATATTAGAATATTATTATTATTATTATTATTATTTTTTGAGATGGAGTCTTGCTCTGTCACTCAGGCTGGAGTCCAGTGGTGCGATCTCGGCTCACTGCAAGCTCCACCTCCCGGGTTCACGCCATTCTCCTGCCTCAGCCTCCCGAGTAGCTGGGAGTACAGGTGCACACCACCACACCCAGCTAATTTTTTGTGTTTTTAGTAGAGATGGGGTTTCACCGTGTTAGCCAGGATGGTCTTGATCTCCTGACCTCATGATCCACCTGCCTCAGCTTCCCAAAGTGCTGGGATTACAGGCATGAGCCACCACGCCCGGCTATTATTATTATTTTTGAGATGGAGTCTTGCTCTGTCGCCAGGCTGGAGTGCAGTGGTGCAATCTTGGCTCACGGCAACCTCCGACTCCCTGGTTCAAGTGATTCTCCTGCCTCAGCCTCCCGAGTAACTGGGATTACAGGCTTGTGCCACCACGCCTGGCTAATTTTTTGTATTTTTAGTAGAGATGGGGTTTCACCATGTTGGCCAGGATGGTCTCGATGTCTTGACCTTGTGATCCGCCTGCCTTGGCCTCCCAAAGTGCTGGGATGGGCATGAGCCACTGTGCCCAGCCTAGAAGATTATTTAGAATAGTGGTTTAGGAATTGGAAAGTGGTGGGCTGGAAAAGAGCAAGGGTAATATGTTTTCTTTTTTTTTTTTTTTTTTTTTTTGAGACAGTCTTTGTTGCCCAGGCTGGATTGCAGTGGGGCCATCTCAGCTTACTGTAGTTTCTGCTTCCTGGGTTCAAGAGATTCTCATGTCTCAGCCTCCCGAGTAGCTGGGATTATAGGTGTGGGCCACCACGCCGGGCTAATTTTTTTTTTTTTAAAGACAGAGTCTTGCTCTGTCGCCCAGGCTGGAGGGCAGTGGCACAATCTCGGCTCACTCCAACCTCTGCCTCCCAGGTTCAAGCGATTGTCCTGCCTCAACCTCCCAAGTAGCTGGGATTACAGGTGCATGCCACCATGCTTGGCTAATTTTTTCTTTTTTTTTTTTTTGAGACTGAGTCTTGCTCTGTCACCAGGCTAGAGTGCAGTGGTGCGATCTCGGCTCACTGAAACCTCTGCCTCCCGGGTTCAAGCGATTCTCCTGCTTCAGCCTCCCGAGTGGCTGGGACTACAGGTGTGCGCCACCACGCCCGGCTAATTTTTTGTATTTTAGTAGAGATGGGGTTTCACCATGTTGGCCAGGATGGTCTCGATCTCCTGACCTCGTGATCTGCCCGCCTCAGCCTCCCAAAGTGCTGGGATTACAGGTGTGAGCCACCGTGCCCAGCTAGCTAATTTTTATATTTTTAGTAGACATGGGGTTTCACCATGTTGTCCAGGCTGGTCTTGAATTCCTGGCCTCAAGTCATCTGCCTGCCTCGGCCTCCCAAAGTGCTAGGATTACAGGCATGAGCCACTGCCCCTGGCCTAAAAATAAACCTAAAAAACAAACAAACAAAACAAAACAAAACCCAGCAGAATAATTAATGTGGAAGTAGTGAACTGACTTAATTGTTACGAAGTAGCTGGTTAAAATATTGTTCATTTTGATACTGGTTTTGCTTTAAGCTTTTTTTTTTTTTTTTTTTTTGCTTTAAATGGTTGAAGAATTTGAAATGTTCATGTAAGAGTTTATATGCTGGTTGATGGTCTTCAAAGCACTGAAAATGTTATTTGCTTTTGTAATAGAAGATAAGTAAAATGATGCTAAATTTTGCTGGAATTAACTAAGGGTGATGCAGTGCTACAAAGAGGTCTTCGTAAATTCAACTAAATTTTCAGATTCCTAAGATGACCCCAGGCCACATATGGTTCTTCTGTGTATTCAGAAGGATATAGGACAGCAGCATAGCTTGTCAGGAGGATGGCATCAGGTATTCCTCTTTAATCAGTGTTCTTGTCACAATCATACAGGTACAAGAAAGTGAGAGCCCCATTGGAGAGGTGTGGGGTTACCTTGGCTTAAAGCCTAATGCCCCACAGAAACCAAAATCTCTTGTAACAATTGTAGCTTTCAGGGGCCACAGGGACATGCAGTTACAAGTGTCACTGCACTCAGGAAAGGCCAAAAAGCATGGCATTCCCATTAATAGCTCATAGATACTCAGTTCAGATGGAAGTGACCAGGCAGGGATCATTTTTACCATAAGCCGGGTTGTCTAAGAAACATTGATGACACTCTGACACTTATCAGGTGACATGGAGAACAGTGCTAGAGTTCAACTTAAAGTTAGATTCTCATGCCTTAGGGGCAGGGGTTTGTTAACCTTTACCCATAGGCACAAAACAAAAGCCTTGCCCTTAAAGAGAGTACAGTCTACTTGTGCAGACAATATAGACACCCGGAGTCCCTGGGAAGAATTGTACATCCTGAAACCTGGTCTTGGACATGAGAGCTGGAGTTCATGATCCTTGATTGGATCCTGGATTGGAAGGAAGAAAGAAAACAGCTATAAAGGGTATTTTAGGGGAACTTAGGTGTGATAATGATACCTTTTCTATGAAAGTGAGCATGGGATTTGAGAGTTTTTGAAATTTAAACAAATTGGAAAGTAGCCAGTAAGTTGAGATGATTGATGAAAATAACCTTTGCTCTTTGGTCCTCTGGAAACTCAAAATGAATGGAATCCTTTTTCAGAGAAACCAGAATTATTTTAGCCATTTTTTTATGACTCAAAATCAGATTTAAGTAGTACTTAAATGTATTTCTCATTCTAACAAGAGAAAAAACTCTGCTTGTCTGCAATTCTTTAGCCTGCAGGGCACTGATATTTTCTGACCGACATGGTTTGGTGGGAACTAGCCTCAAGCTCTTTCAGGGTTCTGCAGGGTGGCCCCAGCTCCTTCTTTTGTGTCTGTGGCATTTACTTTAGGTTTTGGGGATCCCTTCCCCTTCCCCAATTTGTGCTTTACAACTTCTCTAACTCTGCTTTGCAGAGATGTGTTTAAATCTCTTATTTGCTGGTGGTGACTACCTCTAATTTCCTTCATCGTTCTAGGTCTTATTCCTTTTTAATCATCATTTTAATAGATTTGTGTAAGACCAAAAAAAAAATAAATAAATAAATAAAAGGCCCAGTGATCAGTCTGCTGTCTTGAACCAGATGTGTCCTCATAGTTTGGGAGAAAATACTTGAAAACAATGACAGTTTGAGCTACCTAAACAATGCTTCGTGTCTTCTATTTATGTTCTATGTTTTTTTCTTCTTCTCAAGATTCTTTTTTTTTTTTTTGAGATACAGTCTCCCTGTCTTCCAGGCTGGAGTGAGTGGCATGATCTCAGCTCACTGCAACCTCTGTCTTCCAGGTTCAAGCGATTCTCCTGCCTCAGCCTCCTGAGTAGGTGGGATTACAGGCTCCCACCGTCACTCTCGGCTAATTTTTATATTTTTAGTAGAGATGGGGTTTCACCATGTTGGCCAGGCTGGTGTTGAACTCCTCACCTCAAGTGATCCACCTGCTTCGGCCTCCCAAAGTGCTGGGATTGCAGGCATGAGCCACCACACCTGGCCTCAAGATTCTTTTAGGGCTAAAAAAAAAAAAAAAAAAAAAAAAAATCTGCTAATAGTTTTTTGAAAACGGCATTTTCAATATGTGAGGAGAAATCCAGGTCTGAATGTTTGAGGACAGAAGGACAGAGTCTGGTATAAGAGGGTTCTTAATGTTAGAAGTCCATTTAGGAACAATGACTTAGAAATTGAAAAGTGGGCTGAAAAAGCAAGAGAGTAGTATATTTGAGGGATGGGAGAGAAAGTTGAAAAAAGGAGAGTCAAGTGGTTGGAATTTATTCCTTGTTTTTAAAAAAATGCCTTAAATTATTGCCTCAGTAATTGCTTTTTCCTTTCTAGGATAATAGCCAAGGTTCTGGAGGACAACAAGCTGCCTGGTGCAATTTGTTCCTTGACTTGTGGTGGAGCAGATATTGGGTAGGTTACTAGGCTGAGAGCATCCTCTGTTGAAGGACCCCAGGTTGACCAACTAGAATCATCGTTACTAGAATAATGAACTCACTTATAACTAAGGAGTTGAGAATGGTTTTTGAAATCATTATTATTATGGACTTTGTTGGGTTCTTATTTTATTAATGCCTAACTCCTATTGGAGGATGAATAAGAATTGTCTTTTTAATTGCCCAGAGGTACTATTTGTTAAGGTGTTTATATCCTGAAATAACAAACTGCTGTAATGGGGGGCAGCCTGTGACTTCCTGACACTTGGTTTATCAAGGTGTTTACTTACAAAGAAAGCTATGAAATTGTAGTCTGGGGTCTCACTGCCTGCCAAGAACCTAGCCTATTGTCTGAGTTTCTCAGCTGACTGAAAAAGGGAACCCTGGGAACACAGCCTCTTTTTAGTAAAATTGTTTTTTTCTTTTTTAATTGCCATATAATTCACAATTCGTGTACCATAAAATCATGAAATGCTCTCTTTTAAAGTGTACAATATAGTGGTTTTTAAAATATTCAGAGTATTGTATATCTATCACCACTATCTTATTCCAGAACATTTTGATCAGCCAAGAAATTAATCCCATACCCACTGGCAGTCTCTTCCCATTCCCCCTGCCCTCATGCCCTGACAGCCACTAAAGAATTTTCTGTCTCTATGGATTTGCCTATTTGAGACATTTTGTATAAATGTAATCATATAACATGTGGCCTTTTGTGTCTTGCTGCTTTTACTTGGCATGATATTAAGATGACATGGACTATACTTGTGCTGAACTGGGATGAAAGCTGAGGTTCTTACCAGCTTAGACTTTGATTAGGTGAGTTTTTCAGGAGTCAAGTCTTACAACCCATACTGGTGTGGCTAAAGTGTTAGTTTCCTTGCCTTCCAACACTTTTAAATACTATTGTACTTACTGGGCAATCTCAAAAAGGAGCAATAAGTTACTCTGTTTTTCATTACTCTGTTTTTCATATTAATGAGAAAATTTTAGAAATACAACTCCCACATGTATAATGCAGAGTGAAATATTATCTAAGTGTCATTTAAAACATGAGTTGGCCTTTGACTGTATTCTTGCATTCTAGGTATTTAGTCCTTGTGCTGGCCTTGCAATAGCTCAGATAATTATGGTAGTATATACAGGAGCATGTTAAGCAGCAGCCACTTTGAGTATTAGTGCTCATGCTTGCTGAGTTGAACCTTGGAAGACTGACCTAGGCAATTGAGCCAAGCCGTCCAGCCCTACGTTAGACTGATGCTGTGGCTGCCCTGCTTGGTTCACACTGGACCCTTTGTAGCACTGAATTAGGAAGAAAGAGGTTCAAATCAGTAGTGTCTGATTTGCATTCCTTAGAAGCAACTGGAAATCCTAGCATAGCCTTTATAAGTAGGCTTCCATGAGGAATACTTTAGGATAGCGGTCCCCAACCTTTCTGGCACCAGGGACTGGGACTGGTTTAGTGGAAGACAATTTTTCCATGGACCACGGCAGGGGGATGGTTTTAGGCTGAAATTGTTCCACTCAGATCATAAGGCATTAGTTAGATTCTCATAAGGAGCATGCAATCTAGATCCCTTGCATGCACAGCTCACAATAGAGTTCACACTCCTCTGAAGATCTAATGCTGCTGCTGATCTGACAGGAGGTGGCACTCAGGCAGTAATGCTCGCCAGGTTGCCTGCTGCCTACCTCCTGCTGTGCAGCCTGGCTCCTAATAGGCCACAGACTGGTACTGGTCAGCATCCTGGGGCTTGGGGACCCCTGCTTTAGGATATTTCCCTACAGGCTTTTAAGTTTGAATTCTTTTATTTTTTATTTATTTTATTTTTATCTTTTTGAGACAGGGTCTCACTCTGTCACCTAGGCTGGAGTGCAGTGGCTTGACCTCAGCTCACTGCAACCTCCGCCTCCCAGTTTCAAGTGATCCTCCTACCTCAGCCTCCCAAGTAGCGCATGCCTCCACACCTGGCTAATTTTAGTATTTTTTATAGAGATGGGGTTTCATCGTGTTGCCTAGGCTGGTCCTGCCCAAGTTTTAATCCTTAAAGGAATTACACAGCAGTTAAAAGTTTGTAAAACTGGAATGCTCAGCAAGGAAATGCTAAGATCATATTGTCCAGTCACTCACTCAGTATAGGAAAGACTTTCTTCCCTAACAACTTCCTCTAGGTGATTTCTATTCAAATGCTCACAGCAGGTTAGCCTCTTCTGCCTAATGGTTCTACCTGTGAAAAACTTTTTTCCTTCTCATGAAGACCTTCCCTTGCTCCCCTGGGACAGACTTTCTTGTAGCTTCAAGGGACTGCTTTTTCAAGGGCACTTCAGTGCTGGGTACCATTAGATGTTGTAATTGCTGGGTTTCTCTGCTTGGGTGGCCGACCGTGTCTGTTCCCTTGCAGCACAGCAATGGCCAAAGATGAACGAGTGAACCTGCTGTCCTTCACTGGGAGCACTCAGGTGGGAAAACAGGTGGGCCTGATGGTGCAGGAGAGGTTTGGTAAGTGTTGGCTTTCTAATGAGGATTTTAATTCTCTCAAATATGGAGGTGAAATCTAAAAGTTGAGTTTTTGTTTTCCCCTCAACCTTTTCCATGGAGGCAGTGGTCATGTTTATTTGAATGTCTAAGTAAAAGAAAAGGGTACAGTTATTAGCAGTAGAATATTAGGGAAGTCCTAAATTTAAATACCAAAATTTATGAAAATCCCAGCACTTTGGGAGGCCAAGGCAGGTGGATCACAAGGTCAGGAGATCCAGACCATCCTGGCTAACACGGTGAAACCCCATCTCTACTAAAAATACAAAAAATTAGCGGGGCGTGGTGGCGGGCTCCTGTAGTCCCAGCTACTCGGGAGGCTGAGGCAAGAGAATGGTCTGAACCCGGGAGGTGGAGCTTGCAGTGAGCCGAGATGGCGCCATTGCACTCCAGCCTGGGCGGCAGAGCGAGACTCCGTCACAAAAAAAAAAAAAAGAAAAAAAAAAATTCAAGCCAGGCACAGTGGCTTACGCCTGTAATCCCAGCACTTTGGGAGGCCGAGGTGGGTGGATCACGAGGTCAGGAGCTCAAGACCAGCCTGGGCAAGATGGTGAAACCCCGTCTCTGCTAAAAATACAAAAAGTAGCCGGGCGTGGTGGCATGTGCCTGTAATCCCAGCTACTGGGGAGGCTGAGGCAGGAGAATGGCGTGAACCCGGGAGGTGGAGCTTGCAGTGAGCCGAGATCGCGTCACTGCACTCCAGCCTGGGTGACAGAGTGAGACTCCGTCTAAAAAAAAAAAAAAGTTATGAAAGGAAGTCATTTTCTCTCTAAATGGGTATAATTGAATCACATAGAATATTTATGTTTGAAATGTTTGTTTTTGGGTGCTGTAAAGAAATAGTACTTGAACATAAATTTATTTAGTAAGGCCATTTTTACTTCCTGTAGAAAGGGTACAGTCGCCAGCAGTTTTGCCAAGACAGTACACTGAACAAAGGAGACAGGGTCATTTATAACCTGATGCGTCCACCCTACTGCTGTGTCCAGTTTCCATTGGCTGGAATGGGACCTCACATTTTGTATTTCTCCCAATTGGCTAGCAACTTAGAACTTTTTAAAAGAGGCAAAAGTAGAGGAGAACAAAGGAAGGAGAAAGTAACTTGTGGAATGCTGAGAAAGGTAAAAACACTTAAATAAGGAAGAGGAACAGGCTATGACCTAATGTGTGCTTGGACCAGTATAAGCATGCCAGGGCAAATATTTAGGAGCACAAGTCTTTGAATAAATTTTGCTTTTAAGAGAAGTTATTATTTATTTTTAATTAGATGGGGAGGAAAGTCTTTGAAGAGGAAGCTCTACTTTACTTTTTACACTTATCAAATTGTACTAGTCCTATTTGGCAAATTAAAGAAGAAAAATGTCATCATTTCTCATTAGTATAGTGGTGAGAAAAATGTCATCATTTAAACAGGAGCACTGAGTACAGAACTTACAGTGAGTGTGGAATAGAAGGCTTAAATCTGCTCTTCTCTCATGTATATGGATCATGGATATGGATCCATATGTATCCATATGCATATGGATCATGGATATGGATCCTGGATACATGATTGAAAAGGGTTGTATAGACATAGCTTTGTATACTGTACTGTGCTTTATGGATGATTTCCAAGGTTTTTGAGGATAATATTGGCTATCAATTTTTGGCTGTCAGGATGAATTTTAGACTTTAACCCCAGCATAAGATAACATTTGACTAATCTGTCAACTGTTTAACTATGTAGGCATTGCTTTTAAAAAGGAATTTATTAAAAAACAGCTAATGAAAAAGGTCAGCAAGGTTGCAGGACTCAAGATTGAGATACAAAAATCAATTATATTTCTATGCATTAACAATGAACAATCCAAAAATGAAATCCAGAAAACAATTCAATTTGTAGTAGCGTCAAAAAGAATAAAATACTTAGGAATACATTTAACAAAAGAAGTGTAAGTCTGTTGCACGGAGCACTACAAATCATCATCAAAATAAATTAAAGATGACCTAAATAAATGAGTAGATATCCCCTTTTCATTTTTTGGAAGATTTAATATTGTTAAGGTTTCAATATGGTCCACATGATTACAGATTCAATGCAATTCCTGTAAAAATCCCAGTTTTCTGTTTTGTGACAACTGACAAGTTAATTCTAAAATTCACATGACAATGCAAAGGACCCTAAAAGGCCAAAACAATCTTGAAAAAGAAGATAATTGAAGGACTCTCACTTCTCAGTCAAAAAATTTACGGCAAAACTATGATAATCAAGACTATGTGGCACCAGCATAAGGATAGACATAAAAATCAATGGAATAGAATTGGAAGTCCAGAGATAAACCCTTGTATTTATGGTCAGTTGTGTCAAGGGTGACAAGACATTTCAATGGGGAAAGGATGGTCTTTTTAACAAATGGTACTGACACAAGTAGCTATCTATACACATGAGTGTGAAGTCAGGCCCCTACTACATCTCCTATGCAAAGACAAACTCCAAATGTATCAAAGACCTATAAAACTCTTAGAAGAAAACATAGGAATAAGTTTTCATGACCTTGGATTAGGCGATGGTTTCTTAGAAATGACAACTAAAGCACAAGCAACAACAATTAAAAGACAAATTAGTTTTTATCAAAATTAAAGCATTTTGTGCTTCAAAGGACATCAGGAAAAAGTGAAAAGAACAACCTACCGAATGGCAGAAAATGTTTGTAAGTCATTTGATAAGGAACTTGTATGTAGAATATATAAAGAACTCTTAAAATGTAAGAATATAAAAGACAACCCAATTAAAAATGGGCATTGGATTTGAATAGCCGTCTTTTTTTTTTTTTTTTTTTTTTTTTTTTGAGATGGAATCTCACGCTCTGTTGCCCAGGCTGGAGTGCAGTGGGGAGATCCTGGCTCACTGCAACCTCTGCCTCCCAGGTTCAAGTGATTCTTCTGCCTCAGCCTCCCAAGTAGCTGGGATTACAGGCATGCGCCACCATGTCCGACTAATTTTTGTATTTTTAGTAGAGACAGGGTTTCACCATCTTGGCCAGGCTGGTCTCAAACTCCAGACCTTGTGATCCGCCCGCCTTGGCCTCCCGAAGTGCTGGGATTACAGGCATAAGCCACCGCACCAGGCCTAGAATAGACATCTTAAATGGCCGATTAGCACATGAAAAGATTCTCAACATCATTAGTCCCACGAGCAGATTTCATCTTCTCACCTTTCTCCCCTTTTCCTTACTCAAGGCGGTAGTTTGTTGTTCTTGGCTAAGTAGTAATAGTAGTAGTAGTAGAATTATAATTTTTAAAATGTATCTGCCTGTCTTAATTATAGGTGCTTTTCTTGGAGGAGTTGGTGGTTAGGAGTATAGTCAGAGAGCGCCTGATAGAGAACTGGAAGGATGTAGAAAGTATAGATCCCTCCTCTTCTGCCAAACATCACTTGCAGCCAGGCAGGAGAAGCTAATGTCAGGCGTAAAAGCTTCCGTTTCCTTCCTTCTCTTCTTAACACCTAGCATAGCGCTATGCTATAGCCAGCAAGCTGTCATTAATTCAATGATTGCAGCAGAGACTAGAGTTGGTGTAGCATTTGGTGGCTTTTGGTAGTAACAGCCATGTCTTCATAATTAATATTCACTTGATGCTTACCTGTTTCAGAGCAATGGAAATGAGAAGATACTCTGCTGTTGTCACATATGCTCCTGATATCACAAATGAATAAAAGTTATTCACATGGAAGCTGATTTTAAAGTGCACTTAAGGAAATCGATGATCAAAAGATCAGTAATAAATGTATGTCTAAGGCTGGGCACAGTGGCTCACGTCTGTAATCCTAGCACTTTGGGAGGCTGAGGTGGGTGAATTGCCTGAGCTCAAGAGTTCAAGACCAGCCTGGGCTACATGGTGAAACTCCCATCCCTACTAAAATACAAAAAAATTAGCTAGGTGTGGCGGCATGCCCAGCTACTTGGGAGGCTGAGGCAAGAGAATTGCTTGAACCCAGAGGCAGAGGTTGCAGTGAGCTGAGATTGCACTGCTGCATTCCAGCCTGGCAACAGAGTGAGACTCTGTCTCAAAAATAAATAAACATATGTCTAAAATTGAGGCAAACACATCTCTCAGATCTTTATGCTGGGAGGAGTAAGGTAAGAATGGCATTTATAGGCCAGGTGTAGTGGCTCATATCTGTAATCCCAGGACTTTGGGAGGTCAAGGTGGGTGGATCGCTGGAAGCTAGGAATGAGACCAGAGCCTGGGCAACATTGTGAAAACCTGTCTCTTAAAACAAAACAAAACAAGCCAGGTGTTGTGACACGTGCTTGTTGTATGAGCTACTTGGGAGGCTGAGGATGGAGGTTGGCTTGAACCCAGAAATTGAGGCTGCAGTGAGCTATGATAGCACCACTATATTCCAGCCTGGGTGACTCTTGAAAAAAGAAAGAAAGAAAAAAAAATGGTGGGCCGGTTGCGATGGCTCAAGCCTGTAATCCCAGCACTTTGGGAGGCTGAGGCGGGCGGATCACCCGAGGTCAGGAGTTCAAGACCAGCCTGGCCAATATGGCAAAACCCCGTCTCTACTAAAAATACAAAAAAGAGCTGGGCGTGATGGTGCATGCCTGTAGTCCCAGCTACTTGGGAAGCTGAGACAGGAGAATCACTTGAACCCAGGAGGCGGAGATTTGCAGTGAGCCGAGATCACGCCACTGCACTCCAGCCTGGGCAACAGAGCAAGACTCTGACTGAAAAAAAAGAATGGCATTCATGGCCTGCTATATAACTTTTCTAGAATATAGGTTGGCAATGTCTGTCAAGAGTCCTAACCTAAGTAAATAATCAACAAATATATTCAACACTGGAGAAACAGCTAAATAAAATTTGGTATGTCATCATGATGGAATGCTATGGAGTGGTTTTTCTTTTCTTGACTTTTAATAACTTAGGGGAAAGGTGTAAGACATCAGAAAATAAAGTAAAATGAAATAATATAATCTCAACTAGATATAAATGCACAGAGGAAAGATTGGAAGACACTATCAAATTGTAAGTAGAGATTTTTGTGGTGGCCTTATGGGCCATAGGTTTCTTTCTTTCTTTTTAATTGTGGGGGAAAGTCCACACAACATAAAATTTACTTAAAAATGGTTAAGATGGTACACAGTTGAGTAGTGTCAAGTACATTCACATGATCATACAGCCTATCTTTAGAACTTTTTCGTCTTGTAAAACTGAAACTCCATACCCTATAAACACTAATCCCTCCTTCCCACTACACCCAGCCTTGGTAGCCACCCTTCTACTTCTTTCTGTTTCATTGATTTGGACTACTTTCATTTGAGTGGGGTTATAAGTATTTGTCCTTTAGTGACTACCTTATTTCACTTAACATAATGTCTACAAGGTACAACCATGGAGTCTCGCTCTGTTGCCAGACTGGAGTGCAGTGGTGCAATCTCAGTTCACTGTAACCTCTGCCTCTTGGGTTCAAGCAATTCTCCTGCCTCAGCCTCCTGAGTAGCTGGGATTACAGGCATCCGCCACCACGCCCAGCTAATTTTTGTGTTTTTAGTAGAGACAGGGTTTCACCATGTTGGCCAGGATGGTCTTGATCTCTTGACCTTTTGATCTGCCCACCTCGGCCTCCTAAAGTGCTGGGATTACAGGCATGAGCCACCACGCCCGGCCCAACGTACAACTATCGTGTAGCATGTAGTAGGATTTTCTTTTTAAGGCTCTATAATAAGCCAGGTGTGGTGGCTCATGCCTGTAATCCTAGCACTTTGGGAGGCCAAGGCGGGAGGATCTCTTGAGCTCAGGAGTCCGAGACCGGCCTGGGCAACATGCCAAGACCCTGTCTTTGCCAAAAAAAAAAAAGTACAAAAATGAGCTGGGCATGGTGGTGCATGCCTGTTGTCCCAGCTACTTGGGAGGCTGAGATGGGGGAATTGCTTGAGCCCAGGAGGTTGAGGCTGCAGTAAGCCATGATCATGCTAGTACACCCCAGCCTGGGCAACAGAGTCAGACCCTGTCTCAAAAAAAAAAAAAATTAATAAAAATAAAAAAAGGCTGCATGATATTTCACTGTATTGTTATACCACATTTACTAATTCATCAGATGATGCACATTTGGGTTGCTGCCACCTTTTGGCTATTGTGAATTATGCTACTATGAATATTGGTGTACAAATATCTATAGAGTCCCTGCCTTACTATGTTTGGTTATATACTCAGAAGTGGAATTGCTCGGTCATGTGGTAATTCTCTTATTTATTTATTTACTTACTTGAGACAGTCTCATTCTGTTGGCCAGGCTGGAGTGCAGTGGTGTGATCATGGCTCACTGTTGTCTCAAATTCCTGGGCTTCACGAGTAGCTGGGACCACAGGCAGACACTATCATGCCCAGCTAGTTTGTTTTAATTTTTGTAGAGACAGGGTCTTGCCATGTTGCCCAGGCTCTGTTATTTAATTTTTTGGGGCAATTGCCATACTGTTTTCTACAGTGGCTATCCCATTTTACTTTATTTTTCTTGAGTAATGTCAGATAAGACTGGGCACGCTCAGGGTGGTTTGGTTTGGCTGTAGACTTTCCTGTTAATTTCAAACCAAAATTATATGACCAACATAAGGAATTCCTGTAAACCCTTTAATCAGAGTCACTAATTGCTTACATTTTGCCCCATTTGATTTCTCATTTTCTCTCTCTCCAGCAACATCTGTGCGCGCGTGCACGCACACGTACACACACACACACACACACACACACACACTCTGTGGGTGCATATTATTGTTGAACTGTTTGGAGTAAGTCAAAGATGTGTCCCCTTTATTACTAAATATTTTGGTGTGTTTCCTAAGAATGTGGACATTTTCTTGTATAACCACAGTAGTTACTAAAATCAGGACATTTGATATTGATACAATAGTAATGCTACTTTATAAATTAGAAAATAAGTTGAAAAATAATTGGGATAGGGTGTAATCAGGATAGGCTATATGATTGGGATAGGCTATATAAAAAATAATTGGACAGGCTATATAATTTAATAATTGGGATTAGGCTGTGTAGCAGTGTGCAGTAAATATGGAAGTAGGCATTAATTTTTATATATAATTTTTTTCTTTTAAGGGAGAAGTCTGTTGGAACTTGGAGGAAACAATGCCATTATTGGTAAGGCTGCCTCTTTGTTTTTGTTTGTTTTCTGTTCAGTTTCCACAGTCGCCATCCTGAATATATGGAACTTGTTTGGGATCTCATTTCGTCCATGTTGCATATGCCTGAGACCTAGTTCCTGTGTTTAGGAATTTTACTTGGGAGACAGGACACAAGCTTGTTTTGAAGGCAGAGGTAACTAGGAAGGAAAGGTATTCATGTTTAGAACATGTTACCTGGGATGATCTAGAACCTGTGAATGAGACTTCCATTGCCATTGTAGTATGGCATTATTTCTTGTTTTTTCTTCTTCTGTTTGCTGAAAACTGGCCACATTTCTCTAGAATAACTTAAGTAACTCTTATGTGACTTGATCATTTCTTTAGATTTCAAAAACATTATTTTGTCTTTAGTGGAATATTGAGTGTTTTTATATTGGGAAGGAACATGTCCTTAAGGCATTAAAAAAATCACTTACCTATAGGCTTAGAGATTACTTATGCTCTTTTTTAACTGTTTGAGTTTGTCACAAAAATGCTTAGATATTTGTAGTTGACACACATAAGAAGTATGTGTAAGATATAAGAAGTATATGGTGAAGTGTTTGTTCTGGATGAACTTTTTTTTTTGAGACGGGAGTCTTACTCTGTCACCCAGGCTGGAGTGCAGTGGTGCGATCTCAGCTCACTGCAACCTCCACCTCCCAGGTTCAAGCTGTTCTCCTGCCTCAGCCTCCCGAGTAGCTGGAATTACAGGCGCATGCCACCATGCCCAGCTACTTTTTGTATTTTTAGTACAGATGGGGTTTCACCATGTTGGCAGGCTGGTCTTGAACTCCTGACTTCAGGTGATCCGCCTGCCTTGGCCTCCCAAAGTGCTGGGATTACAGGCATGAGCCATCACGCCTGGCCTCTGGATGGACTTTTAAAGAGAGACTTCAGTAAAAAATATAGTTCGCATTTAGTGAGCACTAGTGTCTGCCGGGTACTGTGTTCAGCTGTTTTATATGCATTATTTCATTTAATCCCTACAACAGTCCCCACTGGGAGGCTGAGGTGGGAGGATTGCTTGAGCCCAGGAGGTCAAGGCTGTAGTGCCACTACACTCCAGCCTGGGTGACAGAGTGAGACTCCGTCTCAGAAAAAAAGAACAAACAAAAAACCCCCCGAGAAATAAAAGATGAAGAGGCCAGAGGAGTGAGAGCCTCAATTTACCCTTGTATATCTGGGTAAAGATCATAGAGCTCATAATCTTCCTTGGAAGAAGAGTGTGCCTTTCCCCCTCGTCTATATATGTCTTCGTAACGTGCATATGGTTACTTTACAACAATAGTTTTGATGTTCTTTTACTGCACTTTATAAAAACGTTTGCCGGGCACAGTGGCTCACGCCTGTAATCCCAGCACTTTGGGAGGCCAAGGTGGGTGCATCACTTGAGGTCAGGAGTTTGAAAGTGGCCTGACCAACATGGTGACACCCCATTGCTACTAAAAAGACAAAAATTAGCCAAGCGTGGTGGCACATGCTTGTAATCCCAACTGCTCGGGAGGCTGAGGCAGAATCTCTTGAACCCGGGAGGCAAAGGTTGCAGTGAGCCGAGATCGTGCCATTGCACTCCATCCTGGGTGACAAGAACAAAACTCTGTCTCAAAAAAAAAAAAAAAAAACCAAAACCAAAAACAAAAAACAACATTGTTTTATACCAGCTAACAAATACCTTGTCTACCTGTTTTGGTTCGCTGATGGAAGTGTTTGTGCTTTCCTAAGCCTTTGAAGATGCAGACCTCAGCTTAGTTGTTCCATCAGCTCTCTTCGCTGCTGTGGGAACAGCTGGCCAGAGGTGTACCACTGCGAGGCGACTGGTGAGTATATCTGCATAGGCCCGATTGTCTTGCTCTTAAAACACTACTTTTTAATGAGTTCTGCTGTTAGAGAGGTGTCAGCAATACTGCTAGAACAACATGCTCTCTAGATGTGGCTGGCAAATATGTGGTCCAGTTCTCTTTCTGTGCTCATGGCAGATGTTGTTAATCATTCAGGGACTTTGCCTTTTTCCCACCCCAAGATAATAGGGGTTCCACTACCAATTGACTGGAGTTGGACTAGGAGATGAGACTGATATTCAGTCCTACTCCTAGAACAATATGGACGAAGTCCAGTGTCATTTAGAGAACAAAACAAGATAAAAATAAAAAGAATTATTAAACTATAGCTAAAAATAGAGTCTTGCACTTTTATAAAAACATTTTAAGTAGTAAAACATTTTAAACATTTTAGACTGGGCATGGTGGCTCAAGCATAGAATTCTAACACTTTGGGAGGCTGAGGCAGGAGTATTCCTTGAGCCCAGTAGTTCGAGACCAGCCTGGGCAACAAAGTGATTCCCTGTCTTTATAAAAAGTTAAAAAAAATTAGCAAGGCATGATGGCTCATGCTTGTAGTCCCAGCTACTTGGGAGGCTGAGGCAGGAGGATTGATTGAGCCCAGGAAAGGGCTCAATGAGGCTGCAATGAGCCATGATTGCACCACTGTACTCTAGCCTGGGCGACAGGGCAAGACCCTGTCTCAACCAATCAATCAATAAACACTTTTATTTTTAGCCTCAAGTCTAGAATTAGATTTGACTTGAAATGACATGATTCATTGAAAAGCAAATGGCTATGTATATGTGTGACCTCTCTATATACATATATAGCCTGCATACATATATATATCGAGAGGACAGATTAATATTAAGTGTATATAAGGAGATGTGGTTTAGCTTCAATATGGGATTTGGGAAGTTGAATCTCTACACTTAGATTGAGCTGGTCTTGAGTTTAGTATGTGTTACAACTTTGATTTTCATGACTTTATGGTACTAAAAGACTATACTATAACTGAGCAAGTTTTTTTTGTTTTGTTTTTGTGTTTTTTTTTTTTTTTTTTTTTTTTTGAGTTGGAGTCTCGCTCTGTTGCCCAGGTTGGAGTGTAGTGGCGCGATCTTGCTCACTGCAACCTCCACCTCCTGGATTCAAGCGATTCTCCTGCCTCACCCTCCTGAGTAGCTGGGACTACAGGCACGTGCCACCCTGCCTGGCTAATTTTTGTATTTTTAGTAGAGATGACATTTCACCATGTTGGCCAGGCTGGTCTTGAACTCCTGACCTCAGCTGATCCACCTACCTCGGCCTTGCAAAGTGCTGGGATTACAGGTGGAAGCCATCATGCCCAGCCCTGAGGAAGTTTTAGTTAGGTACAAAATTTGGCTGCATTTGCCATTTAAAAAAAATTATTTTTAAGCTCTGTTGGACTTGAGCCTTTTTTATTATTGTTGAGTTTTCCTTTTGTAATGAAAAAAGCCTTCAGTTGAATTATTAAGGAATTGGCTTTGGGTTTTTGCTCTCATTCATATTGAGTGTGAACAAATTCTTTATAAGACTGACATAATCTAAATTAATTAGAATAAGCTAAAAGATATATGAAAATTATCTTTACCTTACACTTTTCTTTTTTCTTTCTTTCTTTTTTTTTTTTGAGATGGAGTCTCTCTCTGTTGGCCAGGCTGGAGTGCAATGGTGTGATCTCAGCTCACCGTAACCTCCACCTCCAGGTTCAAGTGATTCTCCCACCTCAGCCTCCTGAGTAGCTGGCACTACAGGCACCCATCACCGTGCCTGGCTAATTTTTGTATTTTTATTAGAGATGGGATTTTGCCATGTTGGCCAGGCTGGTCTCAAACTCCTGACCTCAGGTGATCTGCCTGCCTTGGCCTCCCAAAGTGCTGAAATTACAGGTGTGAGCCACCGCACCCGGCCTCTCACACTTTTCATATTTGTTTTTTCAGGTGTTTTGCATAAATGAAAATAAATCTTTATTTTTACACAGCTGACATTCTCAAATAATCTGATACTACATTTGTAACTTTAAAGTTTATTAAATTTGTTCACCATAAACATTAAATTGCGTTAAAGATTACGTTAAAGCTAAGAAAAAACCATGCACTCCAAATGATTATACCCTTCATTACATGGTAAAATATGAAATGACATAAAAGCCAAATATTTCTCTATTCAGCCAATTTTTATTTTTTTCATGTGTTTTGGAGCAAATATTCATAGACGTCTTTTATATTAGTTTTAAATATTAATAGGTAATATTAGTCATTGTCCAAATAGATTTCCTTAGAGTTAGCAGTAATATTTTTAAAAATTCCATTACTATGGACTGCTTCATGACTAGTTCTCATAATGTCAATTCATTCATCACATGTGGAGACTAACCCAGAGCATAGATGGTTTGGCAAGTTCAGCTCTGCCACTTGGAGCATAGCATGGACCTGACAACTACCCAGAGAATGCAAGGGTTGTCCTCACCTAATTAAGGCCTCCTCTGGAGACCTGTGTGGCCTGGGGTTAAGTGTTTGTAGTTACCCAGCAGAGGTCAGTTATGACTATGCTCTGTGTTCACTGGGACTTAGGGTTACAGTATGGGACACATGTACTTGAGGCCTTCTTTAATGTATTTGTGAAGCTTAGACAAATACATCCTTGGAAACTTGATGAAGATGTGGCTTATGGACCGGGTGTGGTGGCTCACACCTGTAATCCCAGCACTTTGGGAGACTGAGGTGGGTGGATCACCTGAGGTCAGGAGTTCAAGACCAGCCTAGGCAACATGGCAAAAGCCTGTCTCTACTAAAAATACAAAAAATTAGCCAGGTGTGGTGGTGGGTGCCTGTAATTCCAGCTGCTCGGGAGGCTGAGGTATAAGAATCGCTTGAACCCGGGAAGTGGAGGTTGCAGTGAGCTGAGATCATGCCACTGCACTCCAGCCTGGGTGACAGAGTGAGACTCTGTCTCAAAAAAAAAAAAAAAAAAAAAGACATGGCTTATGATTTTATTCTATTATCTACCTAAAAGGAAAATTTTGACTTCATATAGTTAATATTAAAATGATAAATTATATAATTAAAAAAATAAACATGCTTTGATTTTCTTATATTTTTAGAGATTACAGTATTTCAGTAACTATCAAGGAAATTATTCATTGTTTAAAAATGTGTGCATTTATCATACTATGCCCTTGAATATCTTTTTTCGTTTAGTTTATACATGAAAGCATCCATGATGAGGTTGTAAACAGACTTAAAAAGGCCTATGCACAGATCCGAGTTGGGAACCCATGGGACCGTGAGTATCTCCTTCTGCTTTCAAAGCGATCCCTTTTTGAGAGCTGTTGTTAACAAGTGTTTCTGATCTGAGTTTTGGAGTTTCTTTCCCTTTCCTGAGAGGCGTGAAGGCACATGAAGCAGGTTATTAGGCTTTGGTGTATCGTGTCTGCTCCTAGGTTTCGACCCTGGCTGCTTGATGTGTGCTAGTGGGTGAGACTGGGAGAGGTTGTTTAGATGGAATGAGATTTAGTGTGCTTCTCTCTCATTACTATTACCCTTGTCCAAGCCGACACCATCCCTCTTGTGCAAGGCTGCAAGAATCCCCTAACTGACCTTTCTGCATCCATTGCTACAGAATGATTTTTAAAATGCAATCAGATAATTCACTCTCCTGCTTAAAATACCCCTCAGTAACTTCTCATTGCTTTTAGATTTTTTTTCCTTTCTTTTTTTTTTTTTTTTTTTTTGAGACACAGTTTCACTCTGTTGCTCAGGCTGGAGTGCAGTGGCTTGATCTCAGCTCACTGCAGCCTCCGCCTCCTGGGTTCAAGCAGTTCTCCTGCCTCAGCCTCTCGAATAGCTGGGATTACAGGTGCATTCCACCACGCTTGACTGATTTTCATATTTTTAGTAGAGACAGGGTTTTGCCACGTTGGCCAGGCTGGTCTCGAACACCTGACCTCAAGCAGTCTGCCTGCCTGGGCCTCCCAAAGTGCTAAGATTACAGGTGTGAGCCATTGCGCCAGGCCTGCTTTTAGATTAAAACCGAGAGTCCTCTTGATTTCTTCTTTTTTGCAGGCTCCCGATCCTTCCTGGTCTGCTCTCTGCCTCCTGCCCCGCTTGCCTTCTCACCAGCCTTTCTGTGTCTATTTTCCCTCTTGCTCCCAGAGCTCCACCTTCTCCAACATCCTTTCAGTGTTCCAGGCATGCCAGGCTCTATCCTACTGTGCTGTCTGCTGGAAACATTCTTCACCCAGAGTGGGGATGGCTCTGCTAACATGCCTCCTCCTCATAGAGGCCTACCTACATCTTCCTTCTTCTTTGTTGCTGGGTCACTGTCAGTGCTCTAGTCCCCAGCAGCCGTAACATAGGACAGCATCATTCTCTTCCCCCTTGAATTATACACCAACTACTGAGACTGTGATGTTTCCTTAGAGAATGGTCACACTGTAATGAGTAAACTGACCCTATATTTTGAGTGCAGTGCTTTGAGTAATTGATAGCCATTCCTTTAAACTAGAGATTGGCAAACAGACTTGGCTCTGCCTGTTTCTGTAAAAAAAAGTTTCTCGGCACATACCCACTCATTTGCATGTCATTTATGGCTGCTTTTGCACTACAATTACGGAGTTGAGTATTGGGATGGAGATCACGTATGTCCTCCAAAGCATAAAATATTTACCATCTGGTTCTTTATGGAAAAAGGATGCTGACTTATGTTCTCAATTGAGAGCATATAGGAAGGGATTGGTCTGTTCATTGAGAAAGCTGTTCTAATAATAAAACGATGCCATAAAGGGCAAAATGATGAGCCAGCCTTCCTTTTCTCTCTCCAGCTAATGTTCTCTATGGGCCACTCCACACCAAGCAGGCAGTGAGCATGTTTCTTGGAGCAGTGGAAGAAGCAAAGAAAGAAGGTGGCACAGTGGTCTATGGGGGCAAGGTAAGGGATGCTCTGAGATCAATTGTGACAGCTTTTTAACCTTCTTTTCCCTGAGACACAAGCAGGGCTCTGGGCATATTGGAAAAGCCACCCCATTTGACATCCTTCTTCTCCTGTCTTTATTTATATATATTATTATAAAACAAGGAAACACATGTTTTTGTTTGTTTGTCTGTTTTTGAGACAGAGTCTTACTCTGTGCCCAGGATGGAGTGCAGTGGCGCAATCTTGGCTCACGGCAACCTCCGCCTCCCAGGTTCAAGTGATTCTCCTGCTTCAGCCTCCCGAGTAGCTGGGATTACAGGTGCATGTCACCACACCCAGCTAATTTTTATATTTTTTGGTAGAGATGGGGTTTCCCATGTTAGCCAGGCTGGTCTCTAACTCCTGGCCTCAAGTGATCCACCCACCCTGGCCTCCTAAGGTGTTGGGATTACAGGCATGAACCACCACACTTGGCTCTGTTTGTTTTTGTGACAGGGTCTTGCTCTGCCACCTAGGCTGGAGTGCAGTGGTGCACGATCTCAGCTCACTGCACCCTCTTCCTCCTGGACTAAAGCAATCCTCCCACCTCAGGCTCCTGCGTCTTGCTCTGTTGCCCAGGCTGGAGTGCAGTGGCGTGATCTCAGCTCACTGCAACCTCGCCTCCCAGGTTCAAGCGATTCTCCTGTCTCAGCCTCCCGAGTAGCTGGGATTACAGGCACCCATTACCATGCCCAGCTAATTTTTGTATTTTTAGTAGAGAAGGGGTTTCACCATGTTGGCCAGGCTGGTCTGGAACTTCTGACTTCGTGATCCACTGTCCTTGGCCTCCCAAAGTGCTGGGATTACAGGCGTGAGCCACCGTGCCCAGCCAGAAATACACGTTTTAAAGAATGACAACAATGCTTGCTTTGGCAGCACATATACTAAAATTGGAAAGATACAGAGAAGATTAGCATGGCTTATGCACAATGATGATATGCAAATTCATATCCGTATTTTAAAAAGTATTCCATATTTTAAAAAAAGACAGCAGAAAATGCATGGGACATTTCTGGAAGGACATAGAAGAAACGGAGTCATGGTTGCTTTTGAATTGGGTCCTTAATATTTGTATGGAAAGGAAAATTCCTTTTCAAGTACAGTAGGAGACTTTGTATTCAGAGCAATTATAATCTATTTATTGGTTATTTTAAAAAGTCAGTTAAGGCAAGGAATAAAAAAATACATATCATAAGCATTAAAAAAGAAATTAACACATATTGCCAGGTGCAGTGGCTCACACCTGCAATCTCAGCACTTTGGGAGGCTGTGGTGGGAGGATTGCTTGAGGCCAGGAATTCAAGACCCACCTGGACAACATAGTGAGACCCTGTCTCAAAAAAAAATTAGCTGAGTATGGTGGCATGCACATGTAGTGCTAGCTACTTGGGAGGCTGAGGTGGGAGGATTGCTTGAGCCCACAAGTTCGAGGCTGCAATGAGTCATGATGATGTCACTGCACTGCAGCTTGGACAACAAAGCAAGACCAAATCAAAAACAAAAAACCAAATAATAAAAAAAAAAAATCAAAAACAAAAAACCCCCCACATATAAAGATTTGTTTGTGGCCGGGCATGTTGACTCACACCTGTAATCCCAGCACTCTGGGAGGCTGAGGCAGGTGGATCACTTGAGGTCAGAAGTTCAAGACCAGCCTGGCCAAAATGGTGAAACCTGGTCTCTACTAAAAATACAAAAAAAATTTAGCTGGGCATGGTGGTGCATGCCTGTAGTCCCAGTTACTTGGGAGGCTGAGGTGGGAGGATGGCTTGAACCCGGGAGACGGAGGTTGCAGTGAGCTGAGATCAAGCCATTGCACTACAGGCTGAGTGAAAATAACCGCTTGCAGCAGTGTTTGTTCAACATAACTTGGTTGTGTCACATGGCATGGCTCTCTATCCCTGCCTGACTCCTTATTTCCATTTTTCTCTGACCAACTAAGTTAGAACCAATATCAGGAAGAGAGAATTTTCTTTCATGATTGGAAGTTATTTTGGAGAAATAATTCACCTATAAATGATGCTAATTTTTTTCTTTATAAATGTAGGCAAAGATTGCATCCTCTGACCCCAAGTCCTAGAAAACAAAATGCTTTCATTCTTTTTATTTCATTTCTCTGCATTAGGTTATGGATCGCCCTGGAAATTATGTAGAACCGACAATTGTGACAGGTCTTGGCCACGATGCGTCCATTGCACACACAGAGACTTTTGCTCCGATTCTCTATGTCTTTAAATTCAAGGTAAAAATGCATTCTGTTCGCTAGCCTGATGTTGAAATAAATGATAAGAGGAAAATGATGGTGGATTAAATTTCACTGGATGAACCTTTAAGAGGGTTTTAGAAAGTAATCTGAATAGTAGATATATGAAGGTTCAGGATAAAATATGAGATAAACACTTTAAAACTCTATAGCATGCCAAGCTAGCTGCCAGGGAAACCAGATTGGGTAGTGGACCAGTGTTGGAGTTTATGAAGTGTGTGGTCCTCATTTCCTGTGTCATCTTAATCCTGGGCTGTGTAGGCCATAGAGTCACCTTCTCCTGAACCGTGGTACTGGATAGTTTGATAGCCTGAGTGCTGTGAACATGTCAGCAGACAAAATGAGAACATGTGGGGGTAATACAAAGACCTATAGTTGGCCAGGCACGGTGGCTCACACCTGTAATCCCAGCACTTTGGGAGGGTGAGGCAGGCAGATCACCTGAGGTCAGGAGTTCGAGACCAGCCTGGCCAACATGGTGAAACCCCGTCTCTACTAAAAAACAAAAAAATTAGCCAGGCGTGGTGTTGGGCGCCTGTAATCTGTAATACCAGCTACCTGAGAGGCTGAGGCAGGAGAATCACTTGAACCCAGGAGGCTGAGGTTGCAGTGAGCCGAGATCGCACCATTGCACTCCAGCCTGGGCAACAGAGTGAGACTCCATCTCAAAAAAAAAAAAGACCTATAGTTATAAACTCCAGCAGAGGACAGGCTGCGGAGTTTTGTTTTGTTTTCCCTGATCTCATATCTTGATCTCAAACTGTAAAGGTTTTAATAGGTGAAGAAGCTGGGCACAATGGCTCATGCTTGTAATCTCAGTGCTTTGGGAGGATCACTTGAGGCCAGGTGCTCAAGACCAGCCTGACCAACACAGTGAGACCTTGTCTGTACAAAAAAATTAAAAAATTAGCCAGGTGTTGTATGTACCTATAGTCCTAGCTACTCGGGAGGCTGAGGTGGGAAGAGATCCTGTCTCTAAAACAAACAAATAAATAAAACCCAAAAAACCCACACAGGTGGATAAATTAGAAGATCTCATTCCCTAGCTTGAGACGGGCCCTAGCCTCGCCAGTAAATATTTAGGATTAATTTTGAGACTGCAGAGATTGAATCAATATTTGAATGTACCATTATTAACAGTAAAATAATAGTGAGAATTGCATCTTGTTGCAATTACATCATTGCTTCTTTATTTCTTGCTTTAAATTGCCTATCATTGTTTCACGTATGGGGACTAGAGAATATAATTTTGTGTTTTGTAATGTGTTTGTGTACATTATGAGGCTGTGTGAGCTCTTGAGCAAATTAGTCTCTGTAGGCCTCAGTTGCCCAATCTGTAAATTGGGAGGTAGTAGGAAACCTGTGTTATAGGATGAGGATTAAATAACTAAATGCATGTTAAGTGCTTAGATTGGTGTGTTACACACGTAAGAGCTCAATAGATATTAGCTATTATATGTAGTAGCTTGAATGAAAGGAAGAATGTGTTAATATTTGTTTCTGATAATTAGGGGAAAAATCCCAAAATTTTTTACTTATTATCAATGATCTGAATTATAAGAGAAACAGAGTGAGTAAACTTGACTCTTTGGTTTCCTTTTGTACACTGAAATTATACTGGTACACTTCAGGAAATGAGTTTAATGTCAGTGAACTTTGACTTGAACACTATAACATCTTACAGCTTCCAATGTCTCTCCTTTTAGAATGAAGAAGAGGTCTTTGCATGGAATAATGAAGTAAAACAGGGACTTTCAAGTAGCATCTTTACCAAAGATCTGGGCAGAATCTTTCGCTGGCTTGGGTACAACTTTGTCTATTTTGAAAATTTATATAAGTCTGATTTATGTGGTGAGTGGACTTAAAAAAACTGCTGTAGTCTAAAATCAGTTTTTCAGTATTGAAAGCCTTTGAGCTTTGGTTTAGATTTTTTATTTATTTTTGTTTGTTTTTAATTTCCTGTTCATTGCTCTCACCATGCCTCCCTTTTTACACAGACCTAAAGGATCAGACTGTGGCATTGTAAATGTCAACATTCCAACAAGTGGGGCTGAGATTGGAGGTGCCTTTGGTACGTAGAGAATCATTTCTCCTTTTCCATGTTGGGCAGCAAAGAAAAACCAGTAGTAGCTTTTAGAAAAGGCTGACCAAGAGACTGAAACACTCCTTATATTCTGAAATAACCTTATGTGATCTAACATATCTGAAAAAGCTTACATTCTGTATTCAAAGTTATCGCATAGAGTCCTGCGTCATCTCCTCAGAGGCAGCATCAGGTTAGAGCAGAGGCCCTTAACTTGAAATGTGTGAACCCCTGAAATGGTGGCATTTGTTTTCTGGGGAGAAGTTTCCAGACCCAAAAAAGATTAAGAATCCCTGCTTCAAAGCCAGAAAATTTTATATGAAATATTCTGGTTTTTATTTGCAAAGTAGGCATATAAATGTTAAACATACTCTTTTTCACTAGATGGAATACAAAGTTGTTTCTTTTCACTGGGCCCTGCTCCTGTTTCCTCTTAATAAGCCATACATTATTAATGCTGAAACTTGGTAGTAGTTTTTCCTTAAAAACTCTCCCTAACCATTGTATATTAAGTATTATTTATTAAAAATGATCCAAAGTAAAATAAAACAGATTGCTTGTTTTTTTTAAATATAGAAGCAAAACAAACATGCATTAATACTTGTAAAAGTTTATATCATTAGTAGCATTCTTTTACATTTTTAGAGCAGATACTACAATTACTATTTGATGCACGGACTTTGCTGTTTTCAGTTCACCCCTTGCCCCTGCACTCCACTGTGCAGTTGCCTGAATGCATGAGTGTCTATCTTCTCCTTTTGTACTAATTTAATCCCTGTTTCCAACCCATGCCTGCTCTCTCTGATTGACTATTCCTTTTTTTTTTTTTTTTTTTTTTTTTTTGAGCTGGGGGCTTGCTATGTTGCCCAGGCTGGAGTGCAGTGGCGCGATCACAGCTCACTGCAGCCACCACCTCCCAGGCTCAAGCATTCCTCTCGCCTCAGCCTCATGAATAGCTGAGATTACAGGCATGTGCCTCCACACCAGCTAATTAAATTTTTTTTTTTTTTTTTTTTTTTTTTAGAAACAGGCCCTCACTATGTTGCCCAGGCTGGTCTTAAATTCCTGGGCTCAAGCCATCCACCTGCCTTGGCTTCCCAGAGTGTTGGGATTACAGGCATGAGCCACTGCACCCAGTCAATTGACTATTCTTCATTTAAGCTTTTATAATTAATTTTTAAAGTTTTGGTGCCCAGGCACAGTAGCTTACACCTGAAATCCTGGCACTTTGGGAGGCAGAGGTGGGCCGATCGCTTGAGCTCAGGAGTTCAAGACCAGCCTGGGCAACATGGCAAAAACTCATCTCTACAAAAATTACAAAAATTAGCTAGGCATGATGGTGTGTGCCTGTAGTCCCAGCTACTTGGGAGGCTGAGGTGGGAGGATCTCTTGAGTCTGGGAGGCAGAGGTTGCAGTGAGCCAAGATTGTGCCAGTGCACTCAAGTCTGGGGACAGAGTGAGACCCTGTCTTCCCCCGCAAAAAAAAAAAAAAAGTTTTGGGCTGGGCATGGTGGCTCATGCCTGTAATTGCTTAAGCCCAGGAGTTTGAGATGAACCTGGGCAACATGGTAGGACCCTGTCTCTACAAAAATTAAAAAAAACTAGCCAGTTGTGGTGTCACACACTTGTATTCCCAGCTACTCGTGAGTCTGAGGTGCAAGGCTCGCTTAAGCCAAGAGTTTGAGGCTGTAGTAAGCCATGATCCCACCACTGCACTTCAGCCTGGGTGACAGAGTGAGTGTGACCCTGTCTCTAAATAAATAAAAGTTTTAAAAAAGTCTTATAATGGAAAAAGTAGTTTTGCTCATACTTTTCTTCTCCTCCTCCTTTCCCAGAGGCTACATTGAGATTCTTTTTTTTTTTTTGAGACGGAATCTTGCTCTGTTGCCTATGCTGGAGTGCAGTGGTGCAATATTGGCTCGCTGCAACATCCACCTCCCCAGTTCAAGCAATTCTCCCGCCTCAACCTCGTGAGTAGCTGGGATTACAGGTGCACGCCACCATGCCTGGCTAATTTTTGTATTTTTTTAGTAGAGATGGGGTTTCACCATGTTGGCCAGGCTGGTCTTGAACTCCTGACCTTGTGATCCACCTGCCTCGGCCTCCCAAAGTGCTGGGAATACAGGTGTGAGCCACTGTACCTGGCCGAGATTCTTTTTACTAAAAGAAAAAAGCAAATTTACCTTTGAATTGATGTCAGTTTTTCTAACTAGTGTGCTTTCACTGCTGTCTCCTTGAAAGCTTTAGACATTATGTATTGACCCTCTATTATGATAGAGGTTTCTGTCCAGGAGCAGGACACATGGGAGTCAACTAGTAGGAGAAAGTAGAAGAAGCTGTTCTTTTCATTTTCTTCTTGGATGCACCCAGTACCCTTGCATACTGAAGAAGCAGTAGAAAACAGAGGCAGGGAGGGCCCTGCAGGCCTGGCTAGCAAGCGGAGGGCAGTGGGGTACCAGCTCTCAGAATAGTGAGCATGGTCCTTGAAAGTGGATTAGTTCATTCCCCCAGCATGTGCGTAGCTGGATAGGGAGTCTCTTGGGAGATTTTGACTAGGACTTGTTTCTTCTGCTTTTATTCGCTCTCTCCCTACTCCCTCCCTGCCCACCTTGGGTAGAAATAGCTTTTATTCAAGTGCAATAAAAGAGTTTGTTGGGGAAGACCCATGAGGTGTTATCTTGTAGAATGAGCACTGGGTGAGGAACCAAGAGACACCATCCCAGTCCCATTTACTGCTGTCACTAGCTCCGGAACCTCAGGCAGGTGCTCAGCCTTGGTTCCTTAGAGCCTCTGCGACTCTGTTCCTGCCAGGAGTTTCAGAGGCGCTGTTAGCTGTGGTTTGTTTTATTTCAAATGTGTGCAGGCTTTTTGCTGGCTTCCCATTCTTTGAAGTCAGTTATGTCTCTTTTTACTTTGCTTGTGCATTTGAGAGCTAGAAGGGCAAACATTCAGCTGTGATTTTTCTGGAACCCATTTAATGGAGATTCTTTCCCTCTCATGAGAAAGACCAGGTGAGTAGTTAATAGAGAAGCTTTTATTTCAAAATTGTTATATTTTCTTAATGTATTTCTATCAAATGGGAATATTTGTGTTTTCCCTGATAATTTAATACAAGTTATTGAGAGAGATAAAGAAGACAGTTACAGCTCCCATATTCTTGTGCCCTGCTCAAAAGAAAAACTATGAATAACATGTGTGGGCTGGGCACGGTGGGGTTACAGGCATGCACCACCACGCCCAGCTAATGGGATTTTTTTTTTTTTTTACCGTTTCTTTCTGTTTCCATTTCTTCTTAATTCCTTATATTTTATTTTCCCTCTTAATTCCTTTTTTCTGTTTGTTTTGGTCTCTTGGTCTCTGTCTTTGATTTGTTTGCAGGGGAGATATTGTGGGCTAAATGTAAAGTAAATAATCAGGTTGTTCTGGTGTCCTTTTGGTATCTTCTTTTCATTGATACCAACTATGAGCCCACATGGAAACTGCTCAGAAGATATGATATTATTTTTTATTTCTCTAGGAGGAGAAAAGCACACTGGTGGTGGCAGGGAGTCTGGCAGTGATGCCTGGAAACAGTACATGAGAAGGTCTACTTGGTAAGAAAAGGCTTTGGGAAGATAGGTTTGGGCTTAAAACCCTTGGGAATGGGCTTTTACACTTTCCTACTGTCTGTGCTGTCTTTGTGCAGTGTCATTTGATTTGATTTTTCCAGCATTCCACAGCTGTCTCCTCTAAGTATCTATTTGGTGCTATTTTTCTAGCCTTCTTGTCTAGCTTCAGCTAGTGCCCAGCACCCAACAATGAAATGGTCTCGTGCGTGGTTTCTGTATTTTTAGTAGAGTTGGGGTTTCTCCATGTTGGTCAGGCTGGTCTCGAACTCCCGACCTCAGGTGATCCACCCGCCTTGGCCTCCCAAAGTGCTGAGATTACAGGCGTGAGCCACAGCACCCGGCTAATTTTTGTATTTTTAGTAGAGATTGGGTTTCACCGTGTTGGCCAGGCTGTTGTTGAACTCCTGACCTCAGGTGATCTGCCTGCCTCGGCCTCTCAAAGTCCTGGGATTACAGGCATGAGCCACCATGCTGGGCTGTTTCTTGCACTTTTGAGGGCACACTTTTTTTTTTTTTTGAGATGGAGTCTTGCTCTGTCACCCAGGCTGGAGTGCAGTGGCCTGATCTCAGCTCACTGCAGCCTCAGCCTCCGCCTCCCAGATTCCAGCGATTCTCCTGCCTCAGCCTCCCAAGTAGCTGTCATCACAGGCCTGCACCACCATGCCAGGCTAATTTTTGCATTTTTAGTAGAGACCGGGTTTCACCATGTTGGCCAGGCTGGTCTTGAACTCCTGACCTCAGGTGATCCACGCCTGCAGTGGCTCATGCCTGTAATCCAAGCAGTTCAGGAGGCTGAGGCAGGTGGATCATTTGAGGTCAGGAGTTCAAGACCAGCCTGGCCAACATGGTGAAACCCCGTCTCTACTAAAAATACAAAAATTAGCCAGGCGTGGTGGTGCACAGCTAATCAGGAGGCTGAGGCAGGAGAATCGCTTGAGCCTGGGAGGCGGAGGTTGCAGTGAGCTGAGATTGTGCCATTGCACTCCAGTCTGGGTGACAGAGTGAGACCCTGTCTCAAAACAAAACAAACAAACAAACAAAAACCACCACCAACAAAAAAAACCATGTATGGTATGTCTTTCCAGATTTTTATGTTTCTGTCTTTTTTCTTTTAAATAAAACGGGATCCATACTAACATTGTCTTTTATCTTAAAGGTTTGTCTTAAAAAGTTGTAACTTGGAGATCTTGCCTTGTTAATATATACAGATCTGCTACATTTTAAAAGTGGGCATGAAAATCTTCTGTTATGTATGTACTGTCATTAATTCTGTTATTTTTTCCCACTAGTACTATCAACTACAGTAAAGACCTTCCTCTGGCCCAAGGAATCAAGTTTCAGTAAAGGTGTTTTAGATGAACATCCCTTAATTTGAGGTGTTCCAGCAGCTGTTTTTGGAGAAGACAAAGAAAATTAAAGTTTTCCCTGAATAAATGCATTATTATGACTGTGACAGTGACTAATCCCCCTATGACCCCAAAGCCCTGATTAAATCAAGAGATTCCTTTTTTAAAAATCAAAATAAAATTGTTACAACATAGCCATAGTTACTAAAAGATGAGTTAGGTGGATTTTTATTATGTCAACTAGTTGTACATGGCTTTTTAAAAGTTAATGATTATTTTGTAATTAGAAAAAAATAGTACGTACCAGGGTAGGAATTTGGGAAAATACAGAACCGAGGAGAAAACAGAAGTCTTTGCAGTAGATACAGGGTGTCTCCTGACCAAGTGAAGGATTCAGGGGCGGGGGGTGAATATTGCTTGACATTACCCACCTATGGCATGTGTTGGATGTCGTGTGATTGAAAGGGGGATGCATTCCCCTGTATGCTTGGACCACAGTTCAGTATTCATGTGGAATAACTTGCAGTGCTTAAAATGACAACAGGCATTCATCACAGTTATGGCTCTTGCTTATGAAGGCTGTGTCAACTTGGAAGAGATTTCTGGGGTAGACAGATTTTGTTCCTGTGCTGGAGTCTGCCACCTGCTGGAGGACTCTGAGGCCAAAATTGCCCGTGCAGAGTTGTATAGAAAATGCGTCTGGAGGCTGGGCAAGGTGGCTTACGCCTATAATCCCAGCACTTTGAGAGGCCGAGGCGGGTGGATCAGTAGAGGCTAGGAGTTTGAGACCAGCCTGGCCGATATCGTGAAACCCCGTCTTTACCAAAAAATACAAAAATTAGCCCAGTGTGGTGGCAGGCACCTGTAATCCCAGCTATTAGGGAGGCTGAGGCAGGAGAATTGTGTGAACCCAGGAGGCAGAGGTTGCAGTGAGCCTAGATTGTGCCACTGCCTGGGCAACAGTGAGATCCTGTCTACAAAAAAAAAAAAAAAAAAAAGTGCATCTGGATTTTTTTATACAACCTTAGACCACCTTCTTTAGCTTTAGGCGTCTGCGGTTGCCCTTGGATCTGTTCTCAATCCTCAGTGTGTGTGGCAGCATGTGGTCATAGAGAGCTGGGCAAAGTTCACTTTCTCTTTGCTGACAGTCTCACCTTTTCTCACTGGGAAGCTGCACAGGAGCCTTTGGGCTGGTTCAGCCCAGAGGCCCCTGTTCTCCTGCCTTCCTGGCATTCTCTGCTCCCCTTCTGCATGGCACCCCTCTACTCCTGCCAGGTTAGAATGGAGCAGAGGCCTTTGAACAAGATGACATTTGTAGACAACCTGATCCATCAGGATGTGGAGAGATCTGGACAAATGGCAAATAATTTGGGGTTGAATTATGGCCCAGAGAAGTAAGCAAATGAAAAACTAAACAATTATAAATGTATCTGGGAAGCAAAGGTATTCATAATATGTCCCATGGCCAGCTGCGAGCAGTATTTAACTAGACATGCTGTTGTCAATATTGAACATGAATCAAGCCAAATACTGATATAGCTATTGAGAGAAGGTTGGCAGGAAGAAATCATGGGTGAGGGTATGTGGGAGTGATAATCTTAGCTATAGATTTTAGGTAAAACTGATTCTGAAAGCTTTCTTTGAAACAAATTTATAATTTTTCTTCTACATGTTTCTAGCACAAGGACTCAATTTTTTTTGGTTATAATGTTCATTAAAACATATGCCTTCAATTTGTTCCTCTTTGTTCTTTTTTGCTGATTTAGCAGATATAAATCACTTGTTAGTATTTTTAACTATCCAAGTTAAAATGTACATTTGTAAGTGTTATTACTGGTCTTATATTTGAAGGTGCAAGGGGTCTTGTGCTGCTCATTACTGGTTATCTTGAGCATTTCATAACTGCTGCCTCCTCCTAAATCCTGTGTTCCAACCGCTACTGCTGGCAATGCCCAGCCTCCATTGTGGATGCGGGGAATTGTGTTCAGCATGCTTGCTTCTGCCACGGCACTAAAGCCTAACTTGCTTAGGATCTTGCTGTACTTGGAGAGAGCATCCATTCGCTGAGCCTAGCAGCCAGGCTCTTGTGACTCCCTGGGAAGTGGGTGAAGACCTGGCTCCTGGCTGCAGCAGTGAGGAGGCAGGCCCTCCAGGTGAAGACTTCTCACAATGGAGGGAAGGCAGTTTTCTCAAAGGAAATTGAGTGCTATTATGTACTCTGCTTCCTACTTTCTCTTTCAGGGTGGGAATCTGTTAAGCCTCCTCTCTCTCTTGCTCTGCAACCACAGAACACTTCTTTTTTTTTGGTGTCTCAGTTTTGCCCACACTGGAGTGCAGTGGTGCAATAGTGGCTCACTGCAGCCTCCAACTCCTGGGCTCAATCTATCCTTCCACCTCATGCTCCCCAGTAGCTGGGACTACAGGTGCATGCCACTGTGCCCAGCTGATTATTATTTTTTTTTGTAAAGATTGGGTCATACTACATTGCTCATGCTCGTCTTGAACTTGTGGCCTCAAGCGATCCTCCTGCCTCAGCCTCTTGAGTTGTTGGGATTACAGGAGTGTGCCACCATGCCCAGCTCTGTGGAAAATTCTCTGTGGCATTCTGTCTCCTGAAAATGCTGAAGGGACCAAGAGGGCTCTGTGTCCTTCCTCTTCTCTTCCCTGGCACTTTCAGACCATTTTCTTGTTGCCTTCATTCTAACAAAGGTTGCAGATTGGAAAGCTGATTTGGAATGCTTTTTAAGTGTTTTCAGTTTCAATATTTTTATGAAATTCCTATGGTCTCCAACAAACTTTTTTTTTTTTTTTTTTTTCTACACCTGGAGCTTATCCTGCAGAAGCTTCCTGCCAATGATTGTTTTGGAGGAAATTAAAAGAAAACCAAACGAAACCTCTCCTATCCAAGGGGAAGAACTTTATCCCCATATTGATTGAATATAGGATTCTAGATTTAAAATGTTGTAGGCAGTTAGAGTTTGCTCTTTTTTTTTTTCTATTGGAAAGGTCCACAAATGTTTTATTGACATTTTTGTCTTTAATCCATTTGGATTTGGGGTACATGTTACGATTTGTCTACGTTAATTTCCCTTTTAAAAATAAAAATAATTCCTCAACTCCAATTAGACAATTGGGTTGTCCTTTTCACACTGATACCTCTTTTATAGTACACTGCATTCTTACATATAACAGGATCTGTTTTTAGCTGTGTATCCTGATTCAGTAATTGGTATATGTGTGTGTGTATATAGATAAATAGAATGCCATTTCCCTGTGCAGACGGAAGGGCAAGCTTATTCCCTTTTCTGCGACTACATCTCCTGTCAGGTGTCGCCTCTGCTGTGGCTCTATAGGATTCTGTTAGATAGTGGTGGTCATTGCACAACTCTACAAATATACTAAATGCTACTCAATTGCTCATTTTAAAATGGTTAAAATGGTGAGTTTTATGTTGTATTTTACAATAAGAGAAAAAAACATACAAAGCAAATTAAGCAATAAAAAGGGCAGTTACTAACTCCAGGGAAAATAACATTTGATTCTGTGATCTTTTAAATTTCTTCTACTTAAATTGTTTTAGAGTTCTACATATATTAGCCATGTGACCTGCAAAAAGTAACCTAATCTCTTTGAACTTCATTTTCTTGTCTGTAACGTGGGTTGTATCAGTTCGGTTTCTTTGTGGCAAGCTGCGGAAACCAATTATGGCTTTAGCAAACATGGTCTGTTTTGGAAAGCCCAGATCCAATTTGCCTCTCCAGAACCACTCTCTGACATTCTCCTGCAGTGTGTCCTTAGGGACTGATCTCTACGGTCCACTTCATCTGGGCTTGCTTTATCCTCTGGCTTCTGATTGTGTTTGGCCAGTGGTAGAAAATCAGAGCAGAAAAAAAAATGTCAGAGTATTAATTTTCCCACTCCTTCCCTGCCAGTCTGTGGTAGTTACTGTCTTTTTTTTTTTTTTTTTTTTTAAGGAAAATGTACACAAAGCGTGTTTATTGGGATGATTTCTCATTCATCCTGATCACGGTTGCTGCTTCCTCCTAAGGAACATTCTTCTGTAAGCTTTGCTTGTCCTTCTGTAGGCTGATAGGACAGTGGAACAGCCAACACACACAACTTTGGGCATGACGAAAGAGCATGGTGACTTGATAGCATCCTGGTCATTTCACATCCATGAAGAAGGAATTGGTTCGTCACCAGGAGCTTCTCATGTTTTCTGGAGAGGCATGAAGGAGATCCTTCTCTAGAGACATCTCGCTGGAAAGCTTATTCCTTTTTCTGTGTCTACATCTCCTGTTAGATGGCCCCTCTGCTGTGGCTCTGTAGATTCTACTAACATGACTCCTTTTTTTTATTCTTTAGTCTGCAAGTGGAGATGGAATTCTGTTGCTATTTTCTGAGTTTGTCTCCTTACCTCTAGGGACCTAGCTAGGTAACAGGTAAAAATCAACTGTCTTGTGGAAACGCCACTGCTAGAATGAGTGAACTTCAACTGTTTTTAGGCTTTTTGTTTCTCAAAATTAAAACTGCAGGAAAGGACCAAGCAATTTGCCTAGCATGGATCATTTACCTTTAAGGTAATTTACCTGCCCCTTGGCAAGGGGAGAGCAAAGCACCTGGATTAATAGTCCTAATGCTGAAATCAAGGACAGATAATTCCCCTAAAAGAAATGAGAGTTGTTATCCTAGGTAAGAAACACAGATGCTGCTAAGCTTAAATAATCTATTTCCACTGTATGAGGATGCTGATAATATCTGTCCCATACAATTGTTAGGATTAAAGCGTAAAATTATAAAAGTTAACAGTGCCTGGTAAGTTCATGATAAGGGCTCAATAAATGTTGGGTACTGTTATTAAGATGTTTTCCACATTCGTTTTCAGCTTTTAATATTTTAATTATTTTCCTAAATAAAATTTAGAAACATTTTCCAGGTTTTTAAAAAATTTCTTTGGGATTTTTATTGGACTCAAATTTATAAGTTAGGAAGAACTAATATATAATACTTAGATCTTAAAAACATCAATGATACGTATTTTGATCAAATTTTTATGGTTCCTAGCAAAATTCTGCAGTTTATTTCATGCAACGTCTTAACAACTTTTGTGTTTATTCCTATATATTTTATGATTTCGGATTTTTTTTTTTAAGTCTCTGTTGCCCAGTCTGGAGTGCAGTGGTGCTATCTCAGCTGACTGCAACCTCTGCCTCCCGGGTTCAAGTGATTCTCATACCTCAGCTTCTGGAGTAGCTGGGATTACAGGTGCGCACCACCATGCCTGGCTAATTTTTGTATTTTTAGTAGAGACAGTGTTTTGCCATGTTGGCCAGGCTGCCTTGGCCTCCCAAAGTGCTGGGATTACAGGTGTGAGCCACCGTGCCCGGCTCAGTTGTTACGGTGAATGGGATTCCCCATCTTATGCATAAATTACTGCAGAGACCAGTTACTTCCTAAGGTAGATTAGGTTTGAAAATAGAAATATAGATCCAACAACTACTCAATGTTTGCTATTTGCTTGTTGAGAATCCTTACAGCCTGGCAATTCCAGGGTTATAGAAATCTGGCCCACATTCAGATATAATTGAATTGTCTTTACAGTGTTGACCTGTAGGTGTCACTGTTGGTCAAAGCAATCATCTGTTTAGCAGGGAAGTGAGTTGTGTTGACTTTGTATCCAGGAGGTCACCATGGAAAAGTTTTTGCAGTCAACAGACAATGCCCCACATTTATGAGCTGCTTTACTTTCCAGCACCATTGGTAACTTGCCTTTCCTACTGCCTATAATTGCAGGTTTGTATCTTTTAAGTTAAAAATGTGGCTGGACGTAATGGCTTATCCCTGTAATCCCAACATTTGGGGAGGCTGAGGAGGGAGGGTTGCTTGAGCCCAGAAATTTGAGACAAGCCTAGGCAACATAGTGAGACCCTGTCCTAACAAAACAAAACTTTTTTTAAAAAAATTTTCCATCCATTCTTCTTTCCCTGCAGTGAGCATATGTGTGAGGTTATTCCATTTTGAATAACTCCATGGGTCATTCGTTTTATTTACACTTAAATGATGCTTACTGTGTTCCAGGCACTTTTAAAAGCACTTGGCAAATATAAACCCATGGAATTCTCATAACCCTAGGAAATAGATACTATTATGATCTTCACTTTATTGATTTGGAAACTGAGGCACAGAGAGGTTGAGTAACTTTCCCCAAGTCACACAGCTGATAAATGATGGGGCTGAGATTTGAATCCAAGTAGCCTGGCCTCATAGTATTCTTGTGAATGTGAATAGTGTCCCTGAAATAGCAGAGTTCTTATTTGCTCACCTTCCCTGTCTGACTCTTAATTGTTGACTTTTCCTTTTTTTTGCAGTGTCTTTTATTGTGACATAATCGTAACTTAAAGAAAAGTTGCAAGTACATAGAACTTTTCCCCCTAAATTATTTGAGAATGTTGTTGATCTGATGCCCTGTTACTCCCAAATGCTTTAGTGTATATTTCCCACAGACAAGGACATTTTCCTGCATAACTACATTACAACCATCAAAATCAGAAAATTAGGATTGATGTGTGTATTAGTCTGTTCTCACAGTGCTATAAAGAACTACCTGAGACTGAGTAATTTATGAGAAAAGAGGTTTAATTGACTCACAGTTCCACAGGCTGTACGGGAGGTGTGGCTGGGGAGGCCTCACGAAACTTATCATGGCGGAAGGCGAAGGGAAGCAGGCATGGTCTTCACGTGGTCGGAGCCGGAGGAAGAAAGTGAGGGGGGAAGAGCTACACACTTTTTTTTTTTTTTTTTTTTTTTGAGACGGAGTCTCGCTCTGTCCTCCAGGATGGAGTCCAGTGGCGTGATCTCCGCTCAGTGGTGCGATCTCTGCTCACTGCAAGCTCCGCCTCCCCTCCCGGGTTCACGCCATTGTCCTGCCTCAGCTTCCCAAGTAGCTGGGACTACAGACGCGTGCCACCATGCCCGGCTAATTTTTTTGTACTTTTAGTAGAGACGAGGTTTCACCGTGTTAGCCACGATGGTCTGGATCTCTGACCTCGTGATCCACCCACCTTGGCCTCCCAAAGTGCTGGGATTACAGGCGTGAGCCACCGCGCCCGGCCGCGCTACACACTTTTAAACCACCAGGTCTCTTGAGAACTCTATCACAAGACAGCACTATGGGGATGGCGCTAAACCATTAGAAACCACCCATATGATCCAATCAGCTTCCACCAGGCTCCACCTCCAACAATGGGGATCACAATATGTAAGATTCGGGTGGAGACACATAGCCGAATCCTATCAACGTGTTACTAATATCTAATCCTCAGATCCCGTTCAACTTTTGCCCCTTGTATGTTGTCATATCTCTTTAGTCTCTTTTAGTCTTCTCTTGACTTTCATGCTTTTGAAATTACACGCCACTTATTTCATAGATCATCCCTCGACTTGACGTTTCCTCATAATGTAATTCAGGTTGTGCATCTTAAGCCCTACACTCACAGAGAAACACCGTATTCTCACCTGCATCCTACCAGGCAGTGTGTGATGTCATTTCCGTTTGCCCATACCAATGATATTAACTTTGATTCTTGATTAAGGTGGTGTCTGCCAGCGTTCTCCCCTGTGAAACATCTCTTTTACCCTTTGTAAATTAATAGGTCTTTGTGAGGGGAGATACTTTGAAACTATGAACCTGTCCTGCTCTCCATCAAACTTTCCATTGATTCACTTATTTATATTTGTATGTACTTAAATTTTTCTATTTTATCCAATGAGTTATAATCCATTTATTACATTACTTACTTTGATGCTCGAACTAAATTTTTATATCCCTGATTTGGCCAGCAGGACTCCCTTCAAGCTGGCTTCACTGTCCTTTCAACACGTTCCTGTCCTTCTCTGAGCACTTCCTTTCTTTTTGGCACAAGATGTTCCAGGTTCAGTTTGTACTTTTCCTGCCCAAGCCCTAGAATCAGCCGTTTCTTCAAGGATCCCAGGTCTTTTTTGGTAAAGCATCATGTTTATAAGCCAGAGTCTAGTGTAGGGATGCCTGTTGATGTGGGCATGTCACTGCTCCCAGGCCCTTGCAGCTGGCAGACATTTACATCTACATTTATTTATAAATCTGTTTATATGGACAAGTGTGAGTTTACATAAAACTTCCGAATCCTATCCAACACCACAGCGTTCCTTTTTAGTTTTCCCTTTCACTATCTGCAACTCTTGTCTCTGATGAGAAACCTGCCTCACTACCCTTGATGCATTTTTTTGTAGATCACTCCTTGTGTATCACTTATCTCCCATCTCATGAGGACGCCCTCCCCACCTCTCTCCGGTTCTGATGGTGCTGGACTTGTCCTTACATGAGTGCCCTCATCACCTAGTTGAGGCTCTGACACCCATGTACAGCTCCTCTACGTGGAGGCACTCTTCTCACCCATCTAATGGCTTCAGGACTGAATTGTTTGGGAAGAGAAGAGGTAGAGAAAGAAGAACTGATCTTTCCTTAAATGCAGAATTTTGAGTCAGAATCAAAATAGTACTTGACTGCCCCATGCTTGCTCTGGGGCAGAAAGGAGAGATGCCTGGACTTAAGCTGGAAGAGTGGAATAGGAGGAGTGGGCACAGGTCCCGGAGGTAGAGCACCTGCATTCCAGGCACAGCTCTGTTTCTAAGGGGCCAAATGATCTTAGAGAAGTAATTTGATCTCTTTGTGCCCCAGCTCTTCCAATAATGAATTGGACCAAATCTAAATCAAAGACTGGTGCCCTATGGCCAAAATTGGTCTAAGTGCTTATTTTGTTTGGGAGTCAACTTCCTTTCTTTCTTTCTTTTTTTTTTTTTTTTTGAGACAGGTCTCCCACTGTTGCCCAGGCTGGAGTGCAGTGTTGTGGTCATGGCTCACTGCAGCCTTGACTGCCTGGGCTCAAGTAATCCTCCCACTTCAACCTCTCAAGTAGCTGGTACCACAGGCGCATGCCACCATGCCTGGCGAATTTTTGTATTTCTTGTAGAGATAGGGTTTTGCCATGTTTCCTAGGCTGCTCTCAAAATCCTGAGCTCAAGCAATCCACCCGCCTCAGCCTCCCAATGTGCTGGGAGTGATACAGAGAGGAGGCAGGGAGATACTGCGTAGAAGAGGGTGGTTCCCTGGCAAAGTCCCCACCCTGAAGCTTGGAAACCCACGGCCCTAAATGGGAAGAAGCATTCCTGTTTTTGTGCCCAAATGTTGCTTTTTGGCCCACCATGCCCCCCATCCTGTACCCATATAAATCCCAAACCTCAGGCTCCACGAGCAGAAGAGCAGAGGAGCATAAGAGCAGTGCAGCAGAGAAGGAGAGAAGGGAAGGAGCATCTGAATGTTGAGAGGAGTTTGCCTGGGGATGATAGGAGAGGAGATTGGCTGTGGGTCTGCCTAACTCCAGGGGAAGATCATCTTCCCACTCCATCCCCTCGCCAGGTCCCCATCCATCCCGCTGAGAGCCACCTCCATCTGGCAATAAAATCCCCCTCATTTACCATCCTTCAATTTGTCCGTGTGACCTGATTCTTCCTGGATGCCGGACAAGGACCCGGAGAGGGCACTGAGCTAGTTAACACTTAAGCCATCTGTGACGGCAGAGCTAAAAAAGTACTGTAATATGCCCACTGGGGCTTCAGAAGTTACAGGCACCCACCCCTAGATGCTACTGTGGGGTCAGAGCCCAGAAGCGCTTGCCCCAGCTCCTGCGTGCTCCCCCTCCTCTAAGGGGTTTGAGTGCACAGTGGCCGAACAGATGAGCCACATTCGGTCACACGTCTCTGAGGGGGGTCAGGGAACTCTCCCATTTCAGGATTATAGGCGTTAGCCACTGCACCAGGCCAGGAGACAACTTTCAAAAAAATCAAATTTAAGTTTCTTTAGTTGGAGGCTGTGCACTCCAATTAGCCCTAGATGGGTGACAGCTCAGACCATCTTTCCCAACTTTATACATTTCTCTCTCCAGGCTAAGTTACATTTCAAGCCTCTTCTAGCTCAGCATGGCCTCTTCTCCATTTGCTATGCTCTGGCTCAGCAGATTCTTAATCTATGGCACCAGGCCTGTCAAGAGACCTGCATTTGATTCCCAACTTTTAGCCAGGAAACACTGGGAACACCACATCTGAGTGTGTTGCTGCTGCTGGCTTGGGTGGCCAGGTTTTATTCCCTCATTTGGCCCTGCCCACATCCTGCTGATTGGTCCATTTTACAGAGTGCTGATTGGTCCATTTTAGAGTGCTGATTAGTCCATTTACAATCCTTTAGCTAGACACAGAACACTGATTGGTGAATTTACAATCCTCTAGCTAGAGAGAAAAGTTCTCTAAGTCCCCACTCCACCCAGGAAGTACAGCTGGCTTCATCTCTCAGTGTTATTGATGGAAGCGCTTAGAGCTCCCTGCTTTCTGTGTGGAGCTGGTCTAGGCCTGGACCATCCTTGGGGCACTCATTTAATTAAGCGAGGCTCAGAGGTCTGGACTGATGGGTCACCCTGATTCAAAGAGTATTTCTTCAGTAAACAGGGTCTAGGGGAAACCACATAGTCTGGGGGCTAGGGCCCCGTTTGGCAGGTCCAGGGATTGAGCAAGAATGAGCAGAGAAAGGAGACGGGGCTGTGTCTTGAGTCTATAGGCTGGGTCACTGGAGGTATGGTAGGATCTCTAGAGCTGCCTCTAATGACAGCGGAGTCTCTTCAAGAAACTTTTGAAAGGGACCAAATTCTTTTTCTGATTACCTTTCTAGCTTCTCTGGCTGAGCCCCTATGCATTGGATTGACATAGACAGATTAACAAAAGAAAACAATCAGAATTTTATTAGTATGTGCACTGCAATTACATGCGGGAACACTCAGAGATGAATAAACTCAAAGGTTTGGTTGGAACATGGGCTTATAGCATTTTAGCAAAGGACCAATACATTTTTTTTTCTTTTTTTTGAGACAGAGTTTCACTCTTGTTGTCCAGGCTGGAGTGCAATGGCACAATCTCAGCTCACCACAACCTCTGCCTCCCGGGTTCAAGCCATTCTGCTGCTTCAGCCTCCCGAGTAGCTGGGATTACAGGTGTGTGCCACCTCACCCGGCTAAGTTTTGTATTGTTGGTAGAGACGGGGTTTCATAATGTTGGCCAGGCTGGTCTTGAACTCCTGACCTCAGGTGATCTGCCTGCCTCGGCCACCCAAAGTGCTAGGATTACGGGCGTGATCTTCTCAATTGCCTTCAGCTCAAAATAATCCTTATGTCAAAGTGTCATATTTTGAGGTGGCATATTCTGCCAGCCGACAGACCCAAGAACCTTGGCTAGAATGGATTGGTCTTGGATTGCAGTGAGTTGAACCCCTGTACAGAAGTGTAGAAGAAGGAAACATCTTCTAGTTGAGTTTTAGCTTCTGTCTGTTTTGAGCTGGTGAACTCAAATTGTTCACTGAATATTTAAATTCTTTGACTTTCACCTGTGAAAATCTCCTGAATGAAATGAGATATTTGATCCTATTTAGTGGGTCACTGAACATGCTTCTAACATGAAAACATTCAGCTTTGAGCTAGGAAGGTGAGCTGTGCTCACAATCTCAAACAGGGTAGGGGAGAGAAGATTTACATGTTCTGTGCCCTGTGCCCTTTCTTGGGGCCTAGAGGACACATTGACTTATCTTTTCTGGGGATAGTATAAAGGAACATCAACTTGCTCCTATTTTGTGCTGGAGAAGCTTAGAGAATCAGATGCTAGTTTTATACTACATCCCTCAGTATTAAAAGCTTTAATTTAAAAAAGAAAAAATAACAGCTGGGCACAGTGGCTTATGCTTGTAATCCCAACACTTTGGGAGGCTGATGTGGGAGGATCGCTTGAGGTCAGGAGTTGGCGACTAGCTTGGGCAACATAGCAAGACCCTGAATCTACAAAAAGTAAACAAATTAGCCAGACGTGGTGGTGCGTGCCTGTAGTCCCAGCTACTTGGGAGGCTGAGGCGGGAGGATCCTTGAGCTCAGGAATTCAAGGTTGCAGTGAGCTATGATTGTACCATTGCACTCCAGCCTGGGTGACAGAGTGAGATGCTATCTCTGAAAATAAGTGAATAAATAGATAAAAATAAAAAAGGAAAAAAGTTCATCTTTGGCCAAATGTCAACAAAGAAAATAAAAGGAGAAAAAAAGAATTAACGATTCATTGAAAATTTTTTTTCCTTCCTTGAAGAAACAATTTGTTCCAACCTAAAAAATTATGCAAAATCATTGTAATGTTTCCCCGGTGCTTTAAATCCAGATTTCAGGTGCCCCAAAGAGAGAGATCAAGTGATTTTAACCACCTGAAATGAAAAAAAAAAAAAAAAAAAAAAGAGGCCGGGCACAGTGGCTCACGCCTATAATCCCAGCACTTTGAGAGGCCGAGGTGGGTGGATCACCTGAGGTCAGGAGTTCTAGACCAGCTGGCCAACATAGTGAAACCCCGTCTCTACTAAAAATGCTAAAACAAAAATTAGCCGGGTGTGGTGGTGCACATCTGTCTGAGGCCCAAGAATCGCTTGAACCTGGGATATGGCAGTGAGCTGAGATCACACACTGCACTCCAGCCTGGGAGACAGAGTGAGACTCCGTCTCAAAGAAAACAAAAAAGATAAATAAAAAGCATCAGACAATTTTCTATAGCTTCTAGACCATAGAACCTGCAGCAATAACTCAATGAGTTTTTATTCTCATGTTTGCCCTGTGCAAGGAGCAGACCAAGAGAAGGGATTTGCCTGCCCTTGACTTTCTCTGCCATCCACCCCAGCTGCCAGGTAAATCACAAATCATGTAGTATTTTCTGTGAATGCAGGTAAGCTTAGCACCCCTGGCCTCATTCCCTTCCTTTTATTTTTTGACCTCTACATTTAACTATGACTTTTCTGGCGAACACATTGCCTTCTTTCCTCCTCAAGGGATTTCATTTTATTCTTGCTCACCGGAAGCACAGAACCACCCCAGCTGTGGCTAGTTTAGCCTTCCCAGGGCTCTCTCCACTGTGGCCTCCCAGAACTTCTAATCTACACAAGAAGCCTGCCCTACTGTTGACATTTTATAACCTATGTGCCTCTGTGACTAAATGGCTAGAGTTATCACATCTGCTCAGTCCTGCATCTTTATTAAAAAAAACCTGGGCAATGTGCCATCCTCTCTGTCCACCAACAAGATTTTTCTCTGTGAAACGCTTTCTTTAAAGTCTGTGCACAAAAGCATAATTGTTCCCTCAGAGTTGCTAAAATGACTTGAAGGGCTTGAGTTTTTTAGTAGCTTTCAGAAACAAAAGGAGCTTTCTAACTGGACAAGCTATTCCCTCCAGCAAAGGATCCTTGGCTGAACTTTGTTTACCATATTAAGCAGCATAGCGCAAGCTGCACTGTGGCTTATTGTTAAATAGTCACTACAGAAAATTCACTTCAGGGTTATTTCTGGTTTGTTATAACATGTATTTCTTTTCTCTTGTCTGTATCGCTTAATAACAGTAAGGAAGGTTACAGAAAGCTTTTTATGACCATCCTCACCCCAAAGTCAAATTAACTTCTCCCTCCTTTTGTCCCTAACAGATGCAGCGCACCCTGATTTTTTCATGTCTGTTTCACTCACTCAGTGGACGCTCTGTGAGGGCAGGACCTTGTCTAGTTTGTTCACGCTCTCTTGCTTTCCTGTGTTCATTGAGCAAGATGCCTGGCATATAGTGTGAAATTAGTTAACATTTGTGAAGAAGCAAATAAATGGATGAATTTGTGGAGGTATTGGCTTCTTTTTATATGTTTGGTAGAATTTGGTGATGGTAGAGACAGCTATTTCCTACCCCATATCCATCCCCTCTGTTCTAGGGTGGGCACAAAGCTGCTTGGAATAAAGTCAGCCTCTTCTGCCTTCTGACTGGAGGTATGGCCAGGTGAAAAAGTAGACAGGGTTCCTGAGGACTTCTAGGCATCGCCAGACCAGCTCCGAATTGCCTACCTGTAGGCTCTTAAACTTCCATTTTGTTCATTTTTTAAAAAATCACTTGCAGCCAAATCTAGTCATAACAGGTATGTTGGTTTAACATGTGTGTCTGTGAAGACCAGGGAGAGATTGGGATAAAAAAATCTAAATCCAAGGATGGATACAATGGTCCATGCCTGTAATCACAGCATTTTGGGAGGCCAAGGAGGGAGGATAGCTTGAGCCCAGGAGTTCAAGACCAGCCTGGGTAACATAGTGAGATCCTGTTTCTATGAAAAATGAAACAAAAAAAAAATTAGCTGGGCATGGTGGTGTGTGCCTGTAGTCCCAGCTACTTGGGAGGTGGAGGCAGGAGGATCGTTTGAGCTCAGGTGGCCTAGGCTGCAGTGAGCCATAGTCATGTCAACCGTACTCCACCCTAAGCGACAGATAGAGACCCTGTCTCAATCAATCAATCAACATAAATAAAAATAAATAAAATGAAAATAAAAATCTAGATCTAGCTAGGATGACCATAGAAAACCATGCCAGTTTAGAGGTGTTTAGAATTAACTAAGCTTATATTCTTTAATTTATTTCATATCTATTCAGTTACAAATGCGGGGCATTTCCCCTTTTTATCTTCTTACTCATTGGTTTAGGAATAGTAATAATATTATTAGTATATTAAAATGTTGATATATTTGAATGCATCATGCTAGGCTCAAAATATCTATGTAAGTGCAACTGGCAACAAAGCAGGAAGTTTGATACACCCACCTTGGTATTTTTTTCACTCTCAGACATAAGGGGAAGGCAGCCAATTGTGATTTTTTTATAAGTTTTTCTCCTATTATTTTTATGTCACAGAAGCCAATTTCTATTTTATCTTAAAGAATTTTGTTATTATTATTATTTTTTTTTATTATTATACTTTAAGTTTTAGGGTACATGTGCACAATGTGCAGGTTAGTTACATATGTATACATGTGACATGCTGGTGCGCTGCACCCACTAACTCGTCATCTAGCATTAGGTATATCTCCTAATGCTATCCCTCCCCCCTCCCCCCACCCCACAACAGTCCCCAGAGTGTGATGTTCCCCTTCCTGTGTCCATGTGATCTCATTGTTCAATTCCCACATATGAGTGAGAATATGCGGTGTTTGGTTTTTTGTTCTTGTGATAGTTTACTGAGAATGATGATTTCCAATTTCATCCATGTCCCTACAAAGGACATGAACTCATCCTTTTTTATGGCTGCATAGTATTCCATGGTGTATATGTGCCTCATTTTCTTAATCCAGTCTATCATTGTTGGACATTTGGGTTGGTTCCAAGTCTTTGCTATTGTGAATAGTGCCGCAATAAACATACATGTGCATGTGTCTTTATAGCAGCATGATTTATAGTCATTTGGGTATATATCCAGTAATGGGATGGCTGGGTCGAATGCTATTTCTAGTTCTAGATCCCTGAGGAATCGCCACACTGACTTCCACAATGGTTGAACTAGTTTACAGTCCCACCAACAGTGTAAAAGTGTTCCTATTTCTCCACATCCTCTCCAGCACCTGTTGTTTCCTGACTTTTTAATGATCGCCATTCTAACTGGCGTGAGATGGTATCTCATTGTGGTTTTGATTTGCATTTCTCTGATGGCCAGTGATGGTGAGCATTTTTTCATGTGTTTTTTGGCTGCATAAATGTCTTCTTTTGAGAAGTGTCTGTTCATGTCCTTCGCCCACTTTTTGATGGGGTTGTTTGTTTTTTTCTTGTAAATTTGTTTGAGTTCATTGTAGGTTCTGGATATTAGCCCTTTGTCAGATGAGTAGGTTGCGAAAATTTTCTCCCATTTTGTAGGTTGCCTGTTCACTCTGATGGTAGTTTCTTTTGCTGTGCAGAAGCTCTTTAGTTTAATTAGATCCCATTTGTCAATTTTGGCTTTTGTTGCCATTGCTTTTGGTGTTTTAGACATGAAGTCCTTGCCCATGCCTACGTCCTGAATGGTAATGCCTAGGTTTTCTTCTAGGGTTTTTATGGTTTTAGGTCTAACGTTTAAGTCTTTAATCCATCTTGAATTGATTTTTGTATAAGGTGTAAGGAAGGGATCCAGTTTCAGCTTTCTACATATGGCTAGCCAGTTTTCCCAGCACCATTTATTAAATAGGGAATCCTTTCCCCATTGCTTGTTTTTGTCAGGTTTGTCAAAGATCAGATAGTTGTAGATATGCGGCGTTATTTCTGAGGGCTCTGTTCTGTTCCATTGATCTATATCTCTGTTTTGGTACCAGTACCATGCTGTTTTGGTTACTGTAGCCTTGTAGTATAGTTTGAAGTCAGGTAGTGTGATGCCTCCAGCTTTGTTCTTTTGGCTTAGGATCGACTTGGTGATGCGGGCTCTTTTTTGGTTCCATATGAACTTTAAAGTAGTTATTATTATTATTTTTAGATGATGTCTCATTCTGTCACCTAGGCTGGAGTGCAGCGGCACAATCTGGGCTCACTGCAACCTCCACCTCCTGGATTCAAGCAATTCTGTCTCAGTCTCCCCAGTAGCTGGGATTACAGGCGCTAGCCACCATGCCCAGCTAATTTTTGTATTTTTAGTAGAGACAGGGTTTCACTATGTTGGCCAGGCTGGTCTTGAACTTCTTACCTCAAGTAATCTGCCTGCCTCAGCCTGGGATTACAGGTGTGAGCCATTGCACTCGGCCAAATTTTTATTACCTCACTTAACTTAGCTCATATAAATATGAGCTTCCTTATTTGGAAGGAAAAACACTGGAATGTTCCTATATTTCTTTAACTGGTGCTTTCCCATATATACTCATTGTCTAAACTATGCTTTACTTACCATCTTAGCAATAAAGGAACAAGGAAATTCTATCTTTTTAAAAGGGGTGATAACTGTGGGTGGCTGTGGCAATGTGAGCAGACAGTGGGGAGGTGGTGATCTATGAGCTAAGATAAACAGATTTGTGAACCATTGCTTTATGGGAAAATTCTTTTTCTTCAATTTTAAGTGAGTCATACTTTTTTTTTCTCTTCTTATAGAAATTCTCATGAAGCACAGACAGTCATGAAGTTGGGAACTTATCAATCTAGTTGGAGCCATGGGACATTAAAATAATGTTTTCTCCTCAGTGCCCCTGGACCTTGAACTAGTAGGAAGCAAAAAGCAGAGGTTTCCATTGAGTTGGGCTATTTGGGGAACTTCCATTGACTTGGACAATGGAGGTTCAGCTATCCATCAAACTATTTGCAGAGTCCAAATTTTTATGCTTCCCACTGAACCCCCAAGTCAAAAAAACCATAAATTATGTTGTACCATATCAAATTGTCATTTTAAAAAAAGTTTAAAAATAATCAAATATTGGCAGTTTTATTTGGTTCAAAGTATAGATGAGTTTTCAATTTTCATGATTTTTTGAAGAGTTAACTTCTAAAAATAGCAAGCAAGAATATTACCAGTAACAAAATGTTAAATATAGAGCAATAGTTGAAAATTGATATTTAAAAAATAATTTATATATAAGAACACTAAGGCTTGGAGAGTTTAGACTGTTTGCCCACATGCACACAGCTGGGAGCTGGAAGGGTCATAATGAGAACCTGGATCTGGCTGAACCTGAAACCCAGGCTGGAGTGCAGTTGTGTGATCATGGCTCACTCCAGCCTTGACCTCTCAGGCTCAAGTGATTCTCCTGTCTCAGCCTCCAGAGTAGCTGAGACAACTACAGGCCTGTGCCAACACACCCAGCTAATGTGTTTTTATTTTTTGTAGAGATGAGATCTCACTATGTTGCCCGGGCTGATCTTAAACTCCTGGGCTCAAGTGAGCCTCAAGCCTTGGCCACCCAAAGGGCTAGGATTATAGGCGTGAGCCACGGTGCCCAGCCTCAGCATGTTGTTAACATTAACAACCATCTTATCTTATTTTCTTGTTATGAAACAGGGCATTTGAAAAAAACCTAGAAAATATAGGTAGGCAAAAGAAAAATTTGGAGAATAAGCAGATATCAGTTTTTGCCCTCAGTCTAGAGAAGGGGGAAGTCAATAAACAAGTAAATCAGCAAATATATTGACCACAAATTGAGATATTTGAAACAAAATGCCATTAAAAAGAGAAAAGACTTTTAGAATATAGAATAATGGGGTCAGGGAGGTGTGGGGGAATATCCTAACTTAAGGAGGTCAGCAAAGCCCTTGTTGAGGAGATGACAAGATGACATTTCAGCTGAGATGAGAATGGAAGGAGTGATGCAAGCAGCTGAGTGTCCAGGCAAGGGTCAGTCAGGGCAGTGTAAAGGATTAGAATGTACCATCTCAAAATATGCTGCTTTGGCATATTCATTATTTTCAGATGAAGGCAGTTGAGAAACAGCATATGCAGGAAGGGCTCTCTGCCCTCCCCTTTTCTACCTAAAAGCAGAGCATAAATTTCCCATAAGTACCCTCCCTGTACCAGGAAGAAGAGTAGAACATTCTTATCATTGGAGATGGAGAGTTGATACTGAGATGAATCTATAAAAACAAATCTTACTAAAATAACTTATATCTTCCATTAGTTTCTTTATATATTTTATAGTCACTTTTCCACAATTCACTACCCCTAGCCCAAGCCTTTTTTTCCTTTGTCTTGCCACATCTTCACAATTTATTGCCCTTTGTTAAAATGGTATGTGAGCCCCTAGGTCTAACGGTCCTTTGGATTTTCATTTTTTTCTATGAAGCCTCTCATGTTATATAAAAATATTAATTAATATCAAATAAAATGTGTATAGTTTTCCTCCTGTTAGTCTGTTTTTTGTCCGTTCAAGCTATCATCTCCAGACTCAGAACCTAAGGGGGTAGAGGAAAAGCCTTTCCTCTTCTACAGCAGGAAGGAGGTTGGCATATTTGATATTCTTCCCAGGAAGAGGAAAAAGAGGAGGAAGCCAGTGGGGCTGGCTTGGAGTGAAACAGGGGATGTGGGTGTGTGCAGGATCCCTGCTGTTGTAGGACTTTCTCCTTAGTTCAGCTAACAACGGGGTTCTTGTCACACAACCATGAGAGATTAGGCTTGCAGACACTTCGAAGGTTTGAGAAAAATTGAATTTATTAGGCAAAAAAGGGAAAAAACAGGAAACAGGGACTCTCAGCAAAGCAGAAGTCCTGCTAGTTGGCTTCCTGCCTCACGGACTGAATCCCGGGTTCCACCCTGGAACAGGAGAGGCCAGGCTCCTCCCACCTGCAAATGACATGAACTTCCTGAGGCTCCACCCCATCCTCCCAGTGTGCAGGCTGGTTGAAGTTTCTGCCAGGGGGCAGAAACTTTTTACTTGGCTGTCTCACTGCCACACACTTTTGTAGATTTTGGAAGAGAGTTGAAATTCTGTCTTATGAGGAAATTAATTATTTATGTAATTAAAAAAAATGGAGGCCCAGCATGATGGCTCATACCTGTAATCCTAGAACTTTGGGAGGTTGAGATGGGAGGATCACTTGAGCTCAGGAGTTCAAGAACAGCCTGGGAAACATAGTGAGACCTTGTCTTTACTATTATTTTAAAGAAAAAAAAATATTTAAAATGGAATAATTCTAGGTACTTGGTGATTTGTAACTTTCCTTAATTGCCAATACATGTATATTGGGTACTTAGTCCTTTTGATATGTCAAGTGTCCCTACCAGCTGACCCTATTATAGATAAAACTGTTAAATAAACAATAACTGGGTTTTGTTTTGTTTTGTTTTTTTGAGAGAGTCTCCCTCTGTTGCCTAGGCTGGCGTGCAATGGCGCAATCTTGGCTCACTGCAACCTCTGCCTACTGATTTCAAATAATTCTCCTGCCTCAACCTCCTGAGTAGCTGGGGTTACAGGCATGCACCACCACACCTGGCTAATTTTTTTTTTTTTTTTTAATTTTTAGTAGAGGCCGGGTTTCACCATGTTGGCCAAGCTGGTCTGGACTCCTGACCTCAGGTGATCTGCCTGCCTTGGCCTCCCAAAGTGCTGGGATTACAGGCGTGAGCCACCGCACCTGGTCCAACAATAACTGTTTATTGCTAACTATTCTCTTACTGCCTTTGTAGGACAGAACTAGACTTTCTATTCCTACTACATGAGGTAAATTGGAAACAGAAAAAAAACTGCCACTTCTCTATATATGCATCTTTAAAAGCAGTTCCCCTGGGACTGAGTAAAAAAAATGCCAGAAATGGACATTTCTGTGGCAGGAAAAGATTCTTTCTTGTTACCGGCTTGTCTGCTGTTCTTTCTGAAGCCCTGGCAGAAGATAAAATCTAATTTGTACACAATGTTAATGTCATTAATTAAACTATGACACCTTACAAATCACATTATGTACCTACTCTTATTTTCTTCAGAATCTGACATAACTTAGCTTAGTATTTAGCCAGAATGATACTTTGGTTTCTCCAGGCGCTGATGTTGATGTGCCTCTCTGCCCTGCAGCTGGTGGATGAGGGGGATCTGGGGAAGATACTTTGTTTCCTGCCTCACTATATGCTCTTTTTGGTCACTATCGCTGTTTTCAGTTGACATTTCTGAATGACCACAGGGAGTGTAGCACATCCCAGTGCTGAGACATGAGTTGCTTTTAGAGTTTTAACATTGAGAATCACAATATCCAGTCCTGCCAAGTCAAACTTCGTAGGCTCAAGTGAGAAATTAATGTTTTGAGAGTCAAGTACAGCAAGAATGCTTTGGCATATTTTCAGTGGTGCTTGATAACAGGCTTACCCAAGACAGAGCAAATAAACAGAACAAGCCAGGGACCACTTTAGACATGATGGGTAATTTTCCATGGCTTATAGGGGTCTCGGAGAAATTCTTTTCAGATTTGTGTACTGAAAAGCTTCGCTCGATTAAGCGTGAGCAGACACCTCCAGAGTCTCACACACCCAATCTGAGGGAAAAACCACCTCAATCCGCACCCAGCTTGAATTCCCCACTTGATGCACTTCACCATAAAACCTAAGATCTGGTATGTGACAGCTGGCTGTAGCTGCAGTCCCATGAGCCCAGAACATTCTATGTTTGTGGTGTGTGTGTGTGTGTGTGTTGTTGTTATCGGTGGTGGTAGCAGCCTTTCTATCCACTGCAAAATTAGGCCAGTCTGAGATTTAGAAGATTTGGGACTGTTACACTGGGCAGTTGGTTTTCTGAAATATAAAACAAGGAATCAATGGAATGCAAATAGGCTGGGCGCAGCGGCCCTGTAATCCCAGCACTTTGAGAGGCCGAGGCGGGTGGATCACCTGGGGTCAGGAGTTTGAGACCAACCTGGCCAACATGGTGAAACCTTATCTGTACGAAAAATACAAAAATTAGCTGGTGGTGCATACCTGTAATCCCTGCTACTCCGGAAGCTGAGGCAGGAGAATTGCTTGAACCCGGGAGGCAGAGGTTGCAGTGAGCCAAGATGGCTCCACTGTCCTCCAGCCCTCCAGCCTGAGTAGCAGAGCGGAAAAAAAAAAAAAAAAAAAAGAATACAAATAGATATTACTTTTAATAGATTTTCTTTGAATAAACATAGTTGTCACATGTAGAGGGAGAAAGACACATGAAATGTATTTTACTTACGCAAGTCTGATGCACAGAGAGAGGATGGAAAAACTGCCATATGTGAATCAGGATCTACGGAGGCTGCAAGTAAACATAGGTGTTCTTGGGTACAGCATTTGAATGAATGGATGGAAGTCAGGGCTTAGATTTTCTCCACAGAATGGCTTCCAAAAGCACGGGAGATTTTATTTAATTGCACTAACTTCGAAACAATGCTCACTGGCACAAGAGTAAAGTTGTCATTAAAAAAAAATCCTTGGGGCCAGGCATGGTGGCTCATGCCTGTGATCCCAGCACTTTGGGAGGCCGAGGCGGGCGGATCACCTGAGGTCGGGAGTTTGAGACCAGCCTGACCAACATGGAGAAACCCCGTCTCTACTGAAAATACAAAATTAGCTGGGTGTGGTGGTGCATGCCTGTAATCCCAGCTACTTGGGAGGCTGAGGCAGGAGAATCGCTTGAACCTGGGAGGCGGAGGTTGCGGTGAGTCGAGATCACGCCATTGCACTCTAGCCTGGGCAATAAGAGTGAAACTCAGTCTAAAAAAAAAAAAAAATCCTTGGAGTTTTTACTGACCTTTGGAATCTTAAGCACTTTAATACATGTACTCTCAGGAGATTATTAAGCAATTGAAAGTTTAGACCCCTAAAACTGCTTTGTGCGAGATTCAAATGATAACTGATTTGAAATGGTCCCTGATATCTTTGGTTCCAGGGCAATGGGTGCTAGCTGGGCAGGTCCTGGCTTGAGAGAGAATTAGATGAAGGTCACTGTGCTGCTGGGGCTAACAGTGCCTATGCTGTCCTCAAGAGCTGGGGCCAGAGGCAAGTGGTAGAAGGACCTGGTCCAGCCTCTGAGGCCTATTGAAAGGTCCTGGGCAGCCTTGTGCAGAGCTTTTGTTCCTAGGAATTTCAATTTTCTATTCCCTTCTCTGAAAAGGAGACTTTTTCTGTGAATGTTTATCTTTAGGAAGCAAATTAATGGTATTAGGACATGATTCCCAGCCTAATAAGAAATGACCCCCAGTATTATTTACCTGGTTTCTCATTTTGATTTTGGCCTCCCTTGGTTCCAGATGGTGAAAATACATTTCAGGTATTATAAGATTGGAGGGACCTGATGAAATAGTAGAGTTTACTGATGTTGTGCTATTAAAAAGAAACAATAATAATCTCAATTATCCCACATTCTGAGCTCAGAAGTCAGTCTGGGCTAGGTGTGGTGGCTCATGGCTGTAATCCCAGTACTTTAGGAGGCTGGAGTGGGAGGATCACTTGAGGCCAAGAGTTCAAGACCAGCTTGGACAACATGGAGAAACTCCCATCTCTACAAAAAATTGAAAAAAAGAAAAAATTAGCCAGGCCTGGTGGCATGCACCTGTAGTCCCCGCTGCTTGAGAGGCTGAGGTGGGAGGATTTATCTTGAGAAGCTGAGGTGGGAGGATTTTGCTTGAGCTGAGAAGTTCGAGGGTGCAGTGAGTTAGGATTGAGCCACTGCATTCCTGTCTGGGTGACAGAGAAAGACCCTGTCTCTTTAAATAAACAAATAAATAGAAGTCAGTCTGGATATGTAATTTTTTTCAGAGTGCTTTGTAGTTACTAGACTTGGAAATTGATCTAATTTTGGTCATCTGTAAACACGTTGCAGACTTCCTTTTCTTACACACTGTATACCAAGTGTAGCACTTGGTATACAGTGCTACACTGTACACTGTACAGTCCTTTGTTAAGGACACTTCTGTGAACTTCAGTTTCTGGAGGTGCAGAAGATGTGGGTTTAGACAGGACACAGCTTAGCATAGTGGTCAGAAGCAAGGCTTCTGGAACCAAAGCACCAAATCCTGGTTCTGCTATTGACTAGCCCTGACTTTTGATAAGTTACTTTATTTCTCTGTGACTCAGTTCCACCACCTACAAAATGGGAATGTGTGGTGGTCACTAGAATGTGCTTTGCAAATCTTCAACTACAGGGAGTATAATTGACTAAGGGCCCCAGCTGCTGTGCTCTAAATCTATCACTGTGTGGAAGGGCCTGCCTGGCTGCTTCTGGCCAACTGAGTGCATCAAGGATACTAAGGCACACCCAATCCTGGGCCACACAGAGCTCCTTTGATTGCCACTTTGGCTTGTGGACTCCTTGATGGCTTTTCTAACAAAAGCTTTATCTTGTTTCCACCCTACCTTCTCTCCCTGTCTCCTCACTGGGATTAGACCTGCATCATGGCCTGAGGGCTCTCCAAGCCTAGCCAGCTCTTTCCCTATTTTCTCTCACTCAAGGATTTCTCCTAAGACAGAGTTGTCAGTTTAGAAACAAACAAGCATCAGGATGTCCAGTGAAATTTGAATTTCAGATAAAGAACAAATAATTTTTTATTATAAATATATTTATACTTTCATTTTACTTATTTTCCAGCTGGAAAAAAATTCAGACATCTTTATTCTCATCTAGGCATTTGCTTCTTGGAGGACCTAATCTAACAGTGGGCGCTAATAATTGTACCTACCCCCTAGGTAGAATTAAATGAGTAAAAGATATAAAGTAATTAGAGCTGGATTTGGCACTTAATAAGTGCTCAACAAATTTTAGTTACTATCAAAGACACAGGATGTGATCAGTACTGAATGGCTCTCCTTGGGTTGTTGTGCCTTTCCCCTAGAGGGGAAGGAAAAAAATCTCTGTCTTCTACTCTCCTAGATTTAGTGTCTGGGGTCTTGCAAATTGAACCAACAAAAGACAGATTAACAGGAGAAAAAGATTTATTTAATATGCATAATGGGGCCTCACAGAAATTAAATGAAAACCCCAAAGAGGTGACCAAAGACTTATATAGCATTTTAACAAAGGATGATAAATTTGTGGAGAAGTTGGATCTCCTAGGCACCGTACCTTGTGGGAAGGTAAATATATGGGTAATGAAAGATAAGGGTTATTTCAGCAAGGTTTATTTATGCAGATTCAAGCCAGTGCATCTCCAGTGATAAGAATTGTTTCTTTTTCCTGGTATGGGAGAGGAGAGAAAAGTGCCTTCACAAAGAGAAATTTATGTCCTGCTTTTAGGCAGATGGGGGAGGGTAGAGAGCTTTTTCAGCAGTCTGTTATTTCTCAATTGCCTTCAGCTCAACACAATCCTTTGCCAAAGTGGCATATTTTGGGGTGGCATATTCTGATCCTGATCATTCCCAAAGGTGTCAGTGGGACTAGTTGGCCTCCAGGCCTTGTGCCAGCTTCAGGGCAGCCCCCACACGGAGTGGTCTTGTGTTGGTGCTTGCAGGGTGGGTAGAAGTGAGAATGATCCCTCAGGAAAGCAGCTCTGTTCTCTTTTCTGCTGTCTAAATGAATGCTGCTGGGCTCCCTGCCTGTCAGTGTTTTTCCTCTGCACGGCAGCAGCTGTTTCTTACCTCTTCTGCTGTTTTTCTCTTATGATCTTGTTTCTCCTTTGCTTTAGTAGCCTTCATACAAAGAATCAGGCTTGGTCATCAGAAAAGCAGAATGCTTTTTTTTTTTGGCAAATCTCCAAAAGTTGTGTTTCTAGTTAGTCTTTCTGGCACTTCTCTTTATAGTTGTTTGATTTACTTTTGCCTTACAAGTTCCTTTATCACCAATGATGTTTTCTTCTTTTTCCCTTAACTATCAGGTTCTGCAGGAGTCTGGTTGCTTGAGAATCCTGGAGGGTTGAAATCTCGATATTTGAGGTGATGTGAATAAATTGTATAGAAGTAGGTGGACACTAATGGAACAAAGGAGGAATTTCATGGCTACCTGGGAGAATTAAAAATGTTAAAGCTCGGCCGGGCATGGTGGCTCACACCTGTAACCCCAGTACTTTGGGAGGCTGAGGTGAGCAGATCACCTGAGGTCAGGAGTTCAAGACCAGCCTGACCAACATGAAGAAACCCTGTCTCTACTAAAAATACAAAATTAGCCAGGTGTGGTGGCACATGCCTGTAATCCTATCTACTTGGCAGGCTGAGGCAGGAGAATCACTTGAACCTGGGAGGCGGGGCGGAGGTTGCGGTGAGCTGAGATCATGCCATTGCATTCCAGCCCGGACAACAAGAGCAAAACTCTGTCTAAAAAAAAAAAAAAAAAAAAAAAAAGTTAAAGCTCAAAACAAAATGCCTTGGGTGTTTCAAATAGATTCTGGAAGTTTGACTCTTATGTGTTAGGACCAGAGGCATTTGAGAAATTCAATAGCAGTAATACATTATTGATTTACATTTTCCTAAAATCCAGAAAAACAGTTGTTTCAAAATACCATGTGGACATCAATTAATTTTTATCAGTTAACTTTGGGATAAATTTTTTTCCCCCTTAATAGCAGCCTTACCTTGTCAACAAAGAGTCAAACACTGCAAAATATTTGAAAAGATTTATTCTGGGCCAAATATGAGTGACCAATGGCCTGCGACACAATCCCAGGAGACCCTGAGAACATGTGCCCAAGGTGGCTGGGCTACAGCTTGTTTTTTTTTTGTTTGTTTTTTGAGACGGAGTCTCGCTCTGCCACCCAGGCTGGAGTGAAGTGGCACAATCTAAGCTCACTGCAAACTCCACCTCCTGGGTTCAAACAATTCTCCTGCCTCAGCCTCTCAAGTAGCTGGGATTACAGGCGCTCATCACCATACCTGGCTAATTTTTGTATTTTTAATAGAGACAGCGTTCCGCCATGTTGGCCAGGCTGGTCTCGAACTCCTGACCTCAGGTGATCTGCCTGCCTCAGCCTCCCAAAGTGTTGGGATTACAAGCGTGAGCCACCACACCCAGCCTACAGCTTGGTTTTATACATTTTAGGGAGACATAAGACATCAATCAATACAGGTAGGATGTACATTGGTTCAGTCCAGAGAGGTGGGACAACTTGAAGTGGGGGCTTCTAGGTCACAGGTGGATTTAAAGATTTTTTGATTAAAGACCTGGAATCAATAGAAGGGAGTGTCTGGGTTGAGATAAGGGGCTGTGAAGACCAAGGTTCTTATTATGTAGATGAAGCTTCCAGGTAGCAGGCTTCAGAGAGAATAGATTGTAGCTATTTCTTTTCAGGCTTAAAAAGGTACCAGACTCTTAGTTAATTTTGTCCTGGATTAGGAAAAAGACCTAGAAAGGGAAAAGGATTCTCTTCAGAAAGTGGATATTCTCCACAAGAGACAGCTTTGCAGGACCATTTCAAAATATGTCAAAGAAATATATTTTGGGGTAAAATACTTTGATTTCTTTCAGAGCCTATCTGTCATGTTGATATCTTATTGCTACAAAGACTCTGTTTTGTCAGTGTTAAGGTCTATCTTAATATTAATACTAGTCAGCTGTGCCTGAATTCCAGTGGGAGGAGGGCATAATGAGGCATGTCAGACAACTCACTCATGTCATGGCATGAACTACGTTTCGGGTTTACTTTTTATTTTTTATTTTCGAGATGGAGTTTTGCTCTTGTTGCTCAGGCTGGAGTGCAGTGGCATGATCTCAGCTCACTGCAACCTCCGCCTCCTGGGTTCAAGTGATTCTCCTGCCTCAGCCTCCCAAGTAGCTGAGATTACAGGTGCCTGCCATCATACCTGGCTAACTTTTGTATTTTTAGTAGAGACAGGGTATAATTATGTTGGCCAGGCTGGTCTCGAACACCTGACCTCAGGTGATCCACCTGTCTCGTCCTCCCAAAGTGCTGGTATTACAGGCATGAGCCACCACACCCAGCCCAGACCGACTTCTGAGCTCAGAATGTGGGATAATTGAGATTATTATTGTTTCTTTTTAATAGCACTGGGCCCAGGGTTTACTTTAGAATGCCCTTAGCAGGTCAGGCGTGGTGGCTCATGCCTGTAATCCCAGCACTTTGGAGGCCGAGGCGGGTGGATCATGAGGTCAGGAGTTCAAGACCAGCCTGGCCAAGATGGTGAAACCCCGTCTCTACTGAAAATGCAAAATTTAGCCCAGTGTGGTGGCAGGCACCTGTAATCCCAGCTACTCGGGAGGCTGATGCAGAGAATTGCTTGAACCTGGGAGGTAGAGGTTGCAGTAAGCCGAGATTGCACCACTGCACTCCAGCTTGGGCGGCAGAGCGAGACTCCATCTCAAAAAAAAAAAAAAAAAAAAATAGAGAATGCCCTCAGCTGAGAGGAGGAGCCCATTCAGTTGGTTGGGGGGGTCTCAGAATTTTATTTTTGTTTTACAACATGTTGATTAAAGTTCTTCATACTGATGCAAGTTATTAGTGGCAAAATTGTAATCACAAATGCTGGTCTTACAACTAATTTCAATTTTAGGTGTCATTAAAAGTCATAGAATCATAGAATAAAAACTGATTTTGAAAGGCTGTTGAGTCCAAAGCTTTGCCCTTAAGCAAAGGCAAGTCATTCCAAACAAGATAAAAATCAATCTTATTTCAAAGTTCCCAGAGCAGGCTTTGCATAACCTAAGGCAAAATTTAAATTCTTGAGCTGTGATATACTTAACAAAAAAAGCAAACTGAGTTATTTAAAGAAGTATTGTGCCAATAATGTCTATGTAATAGCTTGTTTGTGATGTTTGCTGGTTAATGGAATATAACATGTAATCTACAATTATTTTAATTTCAGGAGTCTTTGGAATTAATATTTTCTTCTACTAGTTATAAGGTTCCTCAAAGGATTACACTGTATTTAGGACATTCATGAGGTATATAGTAGGAAGGTGCTGGGATTTTGAATCAGAACACCTGGATTTAAGTGTGTTCCCCTACAATTTAGTCCCTTGGGAAAGTCATTTAGCTTTTTGGAATTTATCTTCTTCATCTGTAAAATGTTAATACAAATTTGTGTCTGGACTTTTTTTTTTTTTACCAGATTTTTGTGTGCCCTGAAGGTGGGGTTGTATAAACAAGGCTTTGTAACAAGTTCTTGTTACCATTTGTATGAATAACATAATGTTCATATAATTTGTCGATCATGAGAAGAAACTGCAGGTTTGTTGTTAATTCCATTCAATTATGAGGTGCTCATCTCCAACACAAGTGATCCTTAACCAAGTAAGAAATCCCCCTAAAGAGGGAATGTGTATGTGTATAATGTTCATTGTAAGTGAAGTTCTGGCTCTCTTCCAGCGATGCTACCAGCAGCAGCTGCCCTGGGCACATAACAACACTGTTACTGCATCACTGTGCTCTACTGTGTTTATTATCTCATTCAATTATCCCAACAAGCCTGCAGAATTTTAAGTCATTATTCTCATTGCAGGTGATGTGACTAATGCTTAAAAACTTAGGAAACTTTGTCAAACCTCACTATTAGTAAGTCACAGAAAAAAAAAAAAAAAATGAATCCAGAGACTTGGGCTCCAGAATCCATGCTCTCAAACTTGAAAAATTTGCCTTCCAGCTTACAAAAGTCATTGGGTTTGGGAGCATCGTCTTCACTGGTATATTCCTTCTTTCAGGACTTCTGGAAATATCAAGAATATCAAGGTTCTTTGGCTTGGCCAGATCTGACCTAAGAATACAAAATTCTTTTTTATTTCTTATGTTTTTGGAAATTTTCATAAGATGTATGAGTCAAAGAAAATGCAAAATTCTTCTCGTTGTTCTAAAAGGTTAATGGCACAAATGGTTCACATTTCCACAAACTTAGTATTGTAAAAAAGAAGAAACTGTTCCTCTATTCTCTTAAATTTAGTGGCTGGGGCCTGTGAGTTAAACTGACAAAAGACAGATTAGCAGGAGAAAACATATATCGATTTTATTGATGTTAATTTTATGTGCACAGAGGGCCTTATAGAAAAAAGTAAAAAGCTCATATAAGTGGTTAGATGTGGGGGTTTATATATACCTATCTTAGTAGAGAAAAGGGAAGGGGAGAAAGGGCACTTGGGGAAAAACAAATGACTTTTTGGAAAGATAAGTGGGCCCTTGGGAGAATAGATGGGAGATACAATAGTCTTGTGAAAGTGTCCCAATCCTCTAATCATGCCTCTGTCTGGACTTCTTATCTCAGAAAAGATTAAAATTGCTCCCAGGGGAGGAGATTTGAGATTGAGTTCTTTTGAGATGCTTTTAGGGAGATCAGGGATTTCAGCAGCTCAAATGCTTTTAGCTCAAAATAGTTTTTATGCCAAAGTAGTATATTTTGGGATGGTATATCATGATCCCTGAGATATGAAATATATGTATAGGTTTTGTCCATGGTACCTGGCTCCCAGCACCCATAATCCTTGTAATTTCTTAAATGATTAGAGAAATAGGAGTATCTTTAATTAAAATATTTAGCCTTTGGTTCTTGGTTCTTGAAACAGCTCCAGAACACCTCCAGAGTGATAAAGGTCAACGATGTTGTAGTGAATGCTTATAATTCTATGTTGCCTCCGCATCCATTTCGAATGTAGTTTGGCTTTCTTGTGCCGAGACAGGGCTCAGTCACCTGTGATGCAGTTGCCAGTTCTATATCATGTCCCAATGCCTCAAGCTGGTGGCCAGAGATAAGAACATAGAGGCGTCTCTCCTGCCTAGCAGACTGGGCTCCCCACGATCCCTCCTCTTCCTTTAAAGGGACCATTTATTTGTCTGTCAAGTTAAAGTGACCCACACCCTATTCCCTTATATACATTGCTGGTTGCCACCACTTTGTTTTCTCTTCTCTCTTCCTGTCTATGCTCCCTAAGGCTTTCTTCCGTGTGGCCTCCAGGAGTGCCATGTTCCTTCCTGGGTCTGTAAGCACTAAAATCTCTTAGACTTTCACATTGTGATTATGTAATTGAAGCCCACAATACAACCCTTGTAGACCATCCATACAGGTGGATTCCTTCCTGATGCTTTTTGGTCAGTCAGGGTTGGGGACGGTAACTACCAGCTAAGTTGACGGAGAAACTCAAAGACTTTCATTGAAAATGTCAGAGACGTCTGAACAAGAGCAACTCCACCTTGAATAGGGGCTGGGTAAAATAAGGCTGAGACCTGCTGGGCTGCATCCCCAGGAAGTTAGGCATTCTTAGTCACTGGGTGAGATAGGAGGTCGGCACAAGTACAGGTCACAAACGCCTTGCTGATAAAACAGGTTGCGATAAAGAGGCTGGCCAAAACCCACCAAAACCAAGATGATGAGGAAAGTGACCTTTGGTCATCCTGACTGCTCATAATATGCTAAAAATAATGCATTAGCATGCTAAAAGACACTCCCACCAGTGCCATGACATTTTACAAATGCCATGGCAACGACAGGAAGTTTCCCTATATGGTCTACAAGGGGAGGAACTCTCAATTCCAGGAATTGCCCACCCCTTTTCCTGAAAACTCATGAATAATCCACCCCTTGTTTAGCATATAATCAAGAAATAAGTATATGTATACTTAGGCAGCCCATTTCAATGCTCTGCCTATGGAGTAGCCATTCTTTTATTCCTTTACTTTCTTAAAAAACTTGCTTTCACTTTATGGACTTGCCTCGAATTCTTTCTTGTGTGAGGTCCAAGAACCCTCTTTTGGGGTCAGGGTCAGGACCCCTTTCTGGTAACAAAAACAGACATGTTATTCATAACAAGGCTGTTTTGGAAAAAACTCCAACAGTGTTTTCTTCCCCTCTCTCTCACACAACATCAACGCAAAAGACTTCTGTGACCCTAAAAATATGTGGGGATTTCTCTGCACCAGTGAGCAAGCAATCAATTCGGCAGCAGATACCAGCTGGGTGTCCTTCAATTCAATTCCAACACTGTCTACTCGGAGATAGTTTCAGACTGTTTCCCCCTTAGACACCAGTCCCAAGTCTGAGCCTCTGGAACTTCTGACCAATTGCCTTTAAATTGGAGTTCCCTAGGCCCTTCTTTGTGTTCGATTAATTTGCTGGAGTGGCTTGCAGAACTCAGGGAAACACTTATGCTTACTGGTTTATTATAAAGAATATGACAAAGTATACGATGAAGAGATTCATAGGGTGAGGTATGGGGGAGGGGGTGTGGAGTTTTCATGCCCTCCCTGGGTGTTCCCCTCCCCCCATCCAGGAGCTTCCATGTGTTCAGCTATCCAGAAGCTCTCTGAACCCTGTCCTCTTGGGTTTTTATGGAGGCTTCATTACATAAGCATGATTGGTTAAAACATTGGCCATTAGTGACAAGCATGGCCTTCAACTCCTTTCTTCTCCCTGGAGGTTGGGGATGGGGTTGAAAGTCTCAACCCTCTAATTATGCCTTCGTCTTTCCACTGACCAGCCCCATCCTGAAGCTGTCAGTCAACATTAGCCTACAAAAAGACAGCACTTTGGAGATTCCAAAGATTTTAGAAGTTATAGCCAGGAAAAAGGGAGAAGACCAAATGTGTATTTCATAATATCACAAAGCTCCTTTCAACTACATCTGAGTTTATGTTAATAAGGTGATTTGGGAAAGTTCCTAACCACAGGATGGGAGCTGGTTGCCAGGGGAACCAAAAGTATGATTGGAGGGTTCCAACTCACAGCCCCAACCCTGAGAAAGGGAGAGGGGCTGAAGGTTAGGAGATCACCAATGGCCAATGATTGAATCAGTCACACCTACATAATGAAGCCTGCCTGAAAATCTGGAAGGACCAGGTTTGAGGAGCTTCCAGGTTGGTGAACAAAAATATATCCACTTGCTGGGAGGGTGGCATACCCCAACTCACGGGGACAGAAGCTCTGGCCCTTGGGACACTTCCAGACCTCATCCTATGTATCTCTTCATCTGGCTGTTCAATATGCTTTGTAATGAATGGGTAAATGTAAGCAAAGTGTTTTCCTGAGTTCTGTGAGCTGCTCTAACAAAGTAATCAAACCTGATGAGGGAAGCATGGAAACCCTGATTTATAGCTGGTCAGTCAGAACCACAGGTCACAACCTGGGATTTGTCATTGGCATCTGAAGTGGGGGGCAGTCTTGTGGAACCGAGGCCTCAACTTGTGGGATCTAATGCTATCTCCAGGTAGACAAGAGTTGGAATTGAATTGAATTGAATTGAATCGAATTGAATTGAATAAGAGGACATCAAGCTGGTGTCTGCTGGAGACTCGGATATCAGAAGTGTTGTGTTGAGTAACTGTGAGAATAGGACAATACAGCTTGGTTTTTACACTTTGCTTTTTTCCTATGTATCTCTACAAATCCCCTTCAGCATGTTTGAGAACTACCTACAAGTTACCTAGTAAGTGTGATATTTAGTTACTATCATTTGATACAGTCTATGAAGACAATCTTACTCACTTTGCAGCTGGTAAACAAATTCCTTGCAGGGAGGGCTGCCTCTTTCGGGGAGGCTATGCATGGACAAGCCCCATCAGGGATGAAGGTGGCCTCCAAGGTAGGGGGTGCTGACTGGCTGGAGGGCTGCTACCTGTGGTGCATGCTCAGGAAAGCTCAAATGGTATGGGTAAGGACCTTGGCAAAGGGCAGACTCTGAGAGATCAGGGTGAGGAGGAGGAAGAGCAATGTGATAGGTGTGATAGCCCAAGGCTAGGTGAAGCATGGTGAGTGCTCTCCCCAGGACCCCTCATATCACTAGTCAATTTATACATTCAGGAACCTGCACCACATCTTTTGAAAACTGATGAAGATGGTGGTATACAGGTCACCAGCACCTACAGACACAGAAGTGGCAACATGGCCACCAGGAGGATGTAAAAAGTGGGCGTGGTAAATGCTTTCTTTCTTTTTCTTTTTTTTTTTTTTTTTTGAGACAGGGTCTCACTCTGTCACCCAGCTTGGAGTGCAGTGGTACGATCTGGGCTCACTGCAACCTCCACCTCCCTGGTTCAAGAAATTCTCCTGCCTCAGCCTCCCAAGTAGCTGGGATTACAGACATGCACCACCACGCCCACCTAATTTCTGTATTTTTAGTAGAGACAGGTTTTCACCATGTTGGCCAGGCTGGTCTCGAACTCCTAGCCTCAAATGATCTGCTTGCCAGGGCCTCCCAAAGTGCTGAGATAACAGGTGTGAACCACTGTGTCCAGCTGATGCTTTCTTATTGAGCAAAAACTAAATACTAAAATATATAAAATATATAGATATATACATATATGTGTACACACACACTAGGCCACATAGAATTCCTCAATAAATTCCAAAAGGAACAATATCATTATATCATCTAGACTATGTTCTCTGACCATAATTGTCAATAAAATTAGAAATCAATAACAGAAAACAGTCATTATGTATGGAGTATGAAGGTCCCTCAAAAAATTAAAAATAGAACTACCATATTATCTATGAATCCCACTTCTGGGTATATATTCAAAAGAAATAAAATCAGTATGTTAAAGAGACATATGTGCCCTCAGGCTTATTACAGCACTATTCACAATGGCCAAGATATGGGACCAACCTATGTCCATCAATGGATGAATGGATAAAGAAAATGTGGTACATATACATGATGAAGTATTATTCAGCCTTCAAAAATAAGGAAATTCTGTCACTGGAACAACATGAATGAACTTGGAGGATTTTATGTTAAGTGAAATAAGCCAAACACAGAAAGATAAATACCACATTATCTCACTTATATATGCAGCCAAAAAAAAAGTGAAACTCATAGAAATAGAATAGAATGGTGGTGACCAGAGACTGGGGATAGTGGGGATTGGGGAGATGTTATGATTTGGCTCTTCATCCCCACCCAAATCTCATGTTGAATTGTAATCCCTAGTGTTGGAAGTGGGGCCTGGTGGGAGGTGATTAAATCATGGGGGTGGACATCCCCCTTGCTGTTCTCATGATAGTGAGTGAGTTCTCCTGAGATCTGGTTGTTTAAAAGTGTGTAGCACTTACTCTTTCTCTCTTCCTCTCCTGCTCCACCATGTGAAGATGTGCCTGCTTCCCCTTCACCCTTCTAACATGATTGTAGGTTTCCTGAGACTTCCCCAGCCATGCTTCCTGTACAGCCTGTGGAAGTGTGAGTCAATTAAACCTCCTTTCTCAAAAATTACACAGTCTCAGGTAGTTCCTTACAGCAATGTGAGAATGGACTAATATAGGAGATGTTGGCCAAAGGGCACAAAATTTCAATTACACAAGAGGAGTAAATCCAAGAGATTTATTGTACATCATGGTGACTATAGTTAATAACAATATATTGTATATTTGAAAATCACTAAGAGACTAGATTTGAAGTGTTCTCACAAAGAAACAAGTCAGTGAGGTGATGCATTTGTTAATTTGCTTGATTTAGCTGTTCCACAATGTATACATATTTCAAAACATAATGTCGTATACCCTAAATATATATAATTTGTAGTTGTCAATTAAAAAATAAAGAATGAAGGAAATCAATAACAGAAGAATAGCTTAAACATCTTATATGTTGGAAATCAAATAATGTTACTAAAGAAATTTTGGGCAGAGTGCAGTGGCTCACGCCTGTAATCCCAGCACTTTGGGAGACTGAGGTGAGTGGATCACTTGAGACCAGGAGTTTGAGAGCAGCCTGGATTACATGGAGACACCTCATCCCTACAAAAAACAAAAAAGCCCCAGAACATAAAAATTAGCCAGGTGTGGTGGTGCATACCTGTAGTCTCAGCTACTTTGGAGGCTGAGGTGGAGGATCCATTGAGTTTGGGAGGTTGAGGCTGCAGTGAGCCATGATTGCACCACCGCACGCCAGCCTGGGCAACAGAATGAGACTCGGTCTCAAAACAACAACAAAAGAAGTCTTGGAGTTAAAAAGAAGTCATACAAAATTTTAAAATATTTTGAACTGAATTAGAGGTGAGGCAGTCCCAGATGTGGATCCTAATGGACTGAAGTCAGGTTGACCTAAATCTCTGAGATACAGAAAGTCCACAGCTGTCAGGAGTGTCTGTGCACTAGAATTAGTGGGTTGCTAGATAATCCTGAGGCTACGTTCTCAGAATTTTACTGCCAATAATGTTGCAAAGTTCTTACTGAGCAAGTGCGTATCTAGATGCTTGGAATTCCCACACTTTTCTTGAAGGATGTGTTGTTTGTGAATTATCGCTTGGGTGACCATATGTACTAGATTGCCTGGAACAGTTCCGGTTCACGTTGGCTGTCCTGATAAAATTATTAAGGGCACCACCTTTTACTTTCAGAAGTGTCCTGTTATGAGTGATATATTATGTCATCACCCTAATTATCAGTTTTAACTTAAGTTGGCCATGATCTTAAAGGGTTGATATTTTTGCATTAAATAATGTATTTGTAAATTATCATCACAGTATTCTTTTGGTCATTGTTTTTTTTCTTGTATAATTACTGCATTACTACCATTTTGATTGATTTGTTCCTCTCCTCTAATTCTTTGTTATGATGCTTTTTGTCCCATGGGAAAGTTAGAATGGATGAGATGGGCAAGCTGTGGGGAACATTGTGTCCCCAAGTGGAGCACATTCAAAAGACTATGTGAGTCACATTTCTTTGAGGTCTGCTTCCTGCTGTGAAGCTGACTTCCTGTTTCAGTACATTCTCATTTCTGATCCAGAAGTAAACACATTTCAGGACACTTAACATTTAAATTCTATCAAGAAATTTATTTTCTTTGATGTGGATGCAGCCAATTTAAATTTCATCACAGGTGCAGAAGAACCAGAAGCAATAGAAAGAGGAGCAAATCGATCATCATCTAGTGCCTGTGAGCTGGATTTGGGTCACCTGGGTGCCTCCCTGCTTCGAGAACCAACAGTGTGGTGGTTTCAAGGACCTCGGCTTCTGGTTTGGGACCACAAATATTTCCTAATCTCTAGAAATGCTCTCAGTTTACGATCTGCTTTAGACACGCACTACTAAGTTTATATCAAAGGACACTCTGGTTTGAAATGTGCTCTGGTATCCATCAATGAACATTTTTCTTCATGCTCGGTAGCAATGATGGTTTAAAACTGTTCTTGCCATTAATAAATCTGGAATAGGGGCGAGGTGCGGTGGCTCACACCTGTAATCCCAGCATTTTGGGAGGCCGAGGCAGGCAGAGTACTTGAGGTCAGGAGTTTCAGACCAGCCTGGTCAACATGGTGAAACCCTGTCTCTGCTAAAAATACAAAAATTAGCTGGGTGTGGTGGCAGGTGCCTGTAATCCCAGCTACTCAGGAGGCTAAGGCAGGAGAATTGCTTGAACCTGGGAGGCAGACGTTGCAGTGAGCCGAGAACGCACACCTGCACTCCAGCCTGGGCGGCAGAGCAAGACTCCATCTCAAAACATAAGTAAGTAAGTAAATAAATTTATCTGGAATAGGCATAACCAACATATTTTGCAACCATAAAGACAGTCCTAGGTTATGTCCCCAGGGCCGAAAAGAAATCTGGGGTGGCACAAAGCAATTTAAAACGAGCAGAAAATAATGTGAGTTGCTTCTTCCTATTTCCTTTTCTGCTTGGGTCTCACAAAATTCACAGCATGTCTGCTGTATGGCTTTTTGTTCTTTAAGGTTCCTGCAGGGGAAAGGACAACCTACGGGCAAGATGTGTGGAGGCCAGGCTTGGTTGCTTATGCCTGTAATCCCAGCACTTTGGGAGGCCGAGGCAGGCAGATCACATGAGACTAGGAGTTCTAGACCAGCCTGGCCAACAGGATGAAACCCCATCTCTACTAAAAATACAAAAATTAGCCAGGCATGGTGGTGCACATCTGTCGTCTCAGCTACTCGGGAGGCTGAGGCAGGAGAATTGCTTGAACCTGGGAGGTGGAGGTTGCAGTGAGCCGAGATCATGCCACTGCACTCCAGCCTGGGAGACAGAGCAGGACTCTATCTCAAAAAATAAAAAAATTAAAAAAGATGGATGGAACATGTATGAAGTTTTAGGGTATGTATGTTGATACACTACTTTGCTAGAGGGTAGACTTGTAGCAGTCTGGAATATTTAGAAACATGGGTAGAAACTGGAGGTTACTGGAAAAGATCTTTGAACTCTGGAAATTAGTGCTATGAAGCACAGTACCAAAAAGCCACCAACTGTCCTCCTAGGAAAGACCCTTCGCTCATTTTCTCATAACACCTTGATATGGTTTGGATGTGTGTCCCCTCCAAATCTCATGTTGAAATGTGATCCCAGGTGCTGGAGGTGCGGCCTCTTGGGAGGTGTTTGGTCATGGAGGTGGGTCCTCATGACCTCGTGGGTGCTATCCTCTTGGTAATGAGTGAGTTCTCGCTCTGGGTTTATGTGAGATATGGTTGTTTAAAAGTGTGTGGCATCTCCCCCACCTCCTCTTGCTCCCTGTCTCACCATGCGCTGCTTCCGCCTTCACCTTCAGTCATGATTGTAAGCTCCCTGAGGCCCTCACCAGAAGTAAATGCTGGCATCACACTTCCTGTACAGCCTGCAGAACTATGAATCCATTAAACCTCTTTTCTTTATAAATTACCTAATCTCAGGTATTCATTTATAGCAACACAAAAAATGGACTAATACACACCTAAACTCGAATTTTGCTCATAAGGTTCCCTTACACTTTTAAAGGGCCTGACAGTTTATAACCACGGACTAGTGAGCCAGTTTGAGTTCAACCATTTTACTTTCTTCTGATGTACACTCTCCTAAGTGGGTGGCACTACAATCCCAAACCCACCACTAGAGATTTTAATTCAGGAAATCTGATGGAGGGGTGGGTCTAAGGATCAGTTTCAACAAACATCTACCTCCCTTGGATTCTCTGGTGGGTGTTCCTAGGACCACACCGTTGTGGCGGGAAGGCCACGTTCTGTGGGACAGCTGGGGAAGCACAGGGTACCAACTGGAAGAGCCCAAGCTGGGATCCTCCTCAGGCTGAGTCCACGGTCTCGGATTTGTGAGATTCAGAGTCCGGGGCAGATCTGTTGCAGCAGGTCTGTGTTTTCTCCATGGCCAAAGCAAGTCAGGTGAGCAGTGCACCTGTGACAGCTGGCAAGGCAGGTGAAACTTGCATACCTAGGAAAATGAGCACTTATACCTTCAAGTGTTTCAACCTTGGGAAGGTTGTATGATGGCTGCTTAAATTAGGATGTCTTTGGATTATTGCAGTGTCCAGTTATTGTTGGGTGCTGTATTCATTATTGGTGCCAAATACCAAGAAATAAATAATATTCTCAAACATGAAATAAAAATGTTTATATGATTCTAAATATTTAATAGAAACCAAATTCATGGGAGGAAAAACTAAGTCCCATGTTTTTTCATTTCCTCAAACCAGTCTAAATAGCATGGGTATGTAGGAGGATAAACATCCGCGTGACACGCTTCCAGGTTGAAAGGAAGCAGAATGGCCTAAAGTCAGTCCCCATTGTTCTATCGTGGCTGCTTGGCCTCTGGAAAATTACTTAATATTGCTGTCTCAGGTATTGTTTGTGAAGTTGGAAGCAGGGGATGGGAGTGACATATTTTGTCCTTTATAAACATCATGGGCTGATTTATTAAAATTCACCCAAGTGACAGGATGTCTTACAAAGCATGAAGGTATTGGAACAAAAGGCTAGAAAAATACTGATTTAGAAATGGTCGAACTTCCTATGTTTCCAGGAAGACCATGTGCCTGGTTCTACACATTCACTTGAGTAGCTGGTGTGGTCACGTGGAAATATTTACCAGGAGGAGAACCAAGTAGAAAGCTGACACTTTTCACACAAATCTACCTAAGCCATTGTGCCTACATGTATTGGAGAAAATGCAGTTCCAGCTCTCTAGGTGCCATCGTCAGAATATGGTTTTATGCTTTAAGCGTTTTATGGTTGTCCTCATTTCATATTCATCACTACTTCCTCAGACAAAATTTAGCAAACTTTAATCTTTATTAAGGTTTCATATAAAAATGGAGGCCAGGTACAGTGGCTCACGCCTGTGATCCCAATACTTTGGGAGGCTGAGGCAGGAGGATTGCTTGAGCCCAGGAGTTCAAGAATAGCCTGGGCAAAAATTAGCCGGGCGCGGTGGCGGGCGCCTGTAGTCCCAGCTACTCGGGAGGCTGAGGCAGGAGAATGGCGTGAACCCGGGAAGCGGAGCTTGCAGTGAGCCGAGATTGCGCCACTGCAGTCCGCAGTCCCACCTGGGCGACAGAGCGAGACTCCGTCTCAAAAAAAAAAAAAAAAAAAAAAAAAAAAAAAAAAAAGAATAGCCTGGGCAAAATAGTTAGATCCTGTCTCTACCAAACAAAAAGAAAAACAAAAACAAAACCCGAAATTTGCTGGGCATGGTAGCATGGACTTGTAGTCCCAGCTATTCAGGAGACTGAGGTGGGAGGATCTCTTGGGCCTGGAGGGAGAGTCTGCAGTGAGCCAAGATTGAGCCACTGCACACCAGCCTGGTAAAAAATAAAATAAAATAAAAATACATAAAAAATAAAAAAAATAATGGCACCGGGCTTTGTGGCTCACGCCTGTGATCCCAGCACTTTGGGAGGCCAAGGCAGGCAGATTACCTGAGATCAGCAGTTCAAGACCAGCCTGGCCAACATGGTGAAACTCCATCTCTAATAAAAATACAAAATTAGCCAGGCATAGTGGTGCACACCTGTAGTCCCAGCTACCTGGGAGGCTGAGGCAGGGGAATTGCTTGAACCCGGGAGGTGGAGGTTGCAGTGAGCAGAGATCGCGCCATTGCACTCCAGCCTGGGTGACAAGAGTGAAACTCCATCTTAAAAAAAAAAAAAAAAAGGAAGATTCTAGTTCTGAGTGAACCCAGCCATTTTCTTTCCTTCCCTGACTACATCATGGGAGAACATATTTCCAAGATCCTTTTTTTTGAGACTGCACTTGATGTAGAGTTTGAATTCCCACCTAATTTAATACTTTGCCCCTCAAAAGGAGAAATGACCCAATTGTTCAAGGCTTTATAGTTATTCCAAATGACCACCAAATTCATGTCATTTTGGAGACCTGCTTTCATGTCATTTTTCTTTGAAATTAAGATTATTCTAGACATTGAAAATAGAAAGAAAAAGATAAGTAACCTAAGGGAGCTGAAGCCCCTCCAAGCATCCATATATAGTCATTTTTTTTATAAACCTTAATTCAAAAATCTGTTTGGGCAGTAGGATCAATGCAGTCACAAGCCTATGAGACAGAACTGCCTTGGGCTTAATTTGTTGCAGTGTTAGAGAAAATAATGTTAGGGGAAAGTATCAACATCCTATACTACACACTGATTATACAAAAGGGTATAAAATACAATTGACAGTATCTTTTAAGGTTTCCCAGGAGTTAAAAAAACAATGACAGCAAAAGGATATGTATGTCGACCCAAAGCTTATTCACTTCTTTTAGCAAGACTGCCAAAAGGATTCTGTTCCTGGGGAGTCGTTTGAGCCAGGATGGAGACCGATTTATTGGGTTTGGCACACTAGGTCACTGGTGGACCAGGAGAGGCAGGTAGGAAGGTAGGAATCACCTTGTGTTTCATTGCTGAGTGAATCCCTTTTCCTCCCTGTTATTTAATTTTTTTTTCTAGGGTGACTTTAGGATTTATATAACATGTTATTCGGTTCAGCAGCCACTTGGCTTTGATTGTGCAATCAGTACTCTGCCGTCAATTTTCTTCTATCAGTAAACTACTTCTCTGGAACAACTGCCTGGCAAACAAATTGGGTCACAATATGCTTGTCTGTAAAGCTGACAGCACATCACATCCTCCACGCAGCGTTACCCAGATCAACTGTGTCAGAGTCCCAGCATTATCACATGACTGTTGTTCTTCTCAGTTTAGCAAGAAATGACTTAATTTTCTATAGATGAGCTTAACCCTTGAATGGGACTTTGCCAGTCTTAACCGTGAAAGAATGTGCAGTGGAGGAAATGCAGATTTCTCATTCACCACTGTCCTCTCCTGAAGTAGTCAGCATAACCATTTAACACCAAGCAATCCAGGAAATATTTTCACACCCTCCAGACTGCTGACTGGCTCTGATGACTTCCTAACTGAGCAATCACTAAACAAATAACTTTTAAACAAGTCCAATGTTGACAGGCAGACTGTGAATATCTTAATTTTTTTTGGAAATGTGGCTATAAGTGATAGAGTCTTTGCTTTGTTTTCAATCTAAAATAACTCAATCAAATGTCAATTTTCTGGTGTTTTTTTTTTAGATGGAGTCTCACTCTGTCACCCAGGCTGGAGTGCAATGGTGATCTTGGCTCACTGCAACCTCTGCCTCCCAGGTTCAAGCGATCCTCCCATCTCAGTCACCCTAGTAGCTGGACTATAGGTCTGTGCCACCACATATGCTAGTTTTTGTATTTTTAGTAGAGACGGGGTTTCACCATGTTGGCCAGGCTGTTCTCGAACCCCTGACCTTAGGTGATCTGCCCACCTCGGCCTCCCAAAGTGCTGGGATTATAGGCATGAGCCACTGCACCTGGCTTTTTTTTTTTTTTTTTTTTTTTGAGACAGGGACTCACTCTGTTGCTCAGGCTGGAGTGTAGTGGCATGATCATGGCTCACTGCAGCCTCAACCTCCTTGGCTCAAGCAATCTTCCCACCTCAGCCTCCTGAGTAGCTGGGACTACAGGCGTGTGTCACCATGCCCGGCTAATATTTGTGTTTTTTGTAGAGATGGGTTTTTTCTTTGCCTAGGCTGACCTCTAACTCCTGGGCTCAAGTGATTCTCCTGCCTTGGCCTCTCAAAGTGCTGGGATTACAGGTGTGAGTCACTGGGCTCAGCCCAAATGTTAATCTTTAAATAGAGAATAAATATGATTATTACCAAGTTTTGTTCTGGATTCACCCATACAGACTTCCCCTAAGGAAGGCTGACTCGACTGAGTGCCTAACGTGGCAACAGCAGGCACTGTCACTGAGCCCGGATTTGGTGCCACTTCCCTGCAAATCAACAAGCCATGTGGTGGCAAGGTGATTACATTGGACGTTTCCCCATTGGGGAAATAAATTTGTCTTATTTGGGATAGACCTATGTTCTTGGTATTGATCTGCCTTCCTTGACTGTAATGTTTCTGCTTTACGCGCTATCAATAGTGACTTCATATTCCACATCATATTGCTTCTAATCAAGAAAGTCATTTCACAGCAAAAGAAGTGTAGCAGTGGGCTTGTGCCTACTTGCATCCACTGTTTTTACCACATTCTCCATTACCCAGAAGCTGCTGGCTTAGGGCAGTGGCATGACCTCCTGAAGACGCTGTCAGGCCATGAGGGGATGCACCCCAGACGCATGGAATTCTATCTTAGAGGATGCAGTAGGTGCTATGAAGCAGAAACCAATATTTGTGTGCCCTTTATCTAGCCAGAATGTATGGACCCAGGAGTCAAGTTTGGAGGTAGGAACGGCTTCTCTCACTATGGATAGGGACAGGAGGCAGAGAAATTCGAGGCAGAGCAGGGTGGGGTGCCTAGCGAGGGCCCCACCCTCAAGCCTGGAACCGCGGTCCACAGTGAGAACTTTACATCCTTGTTTTCCTGTTCAAATGTTGCCTTTTCCGAAACCACTCCTGGCCTGCCCCACCCCTCATCCTGCACCCGTAAAGACCCCAGGCTCCACTGGCAGAGAGTAGAGAAGGGGAGAAGAGAAGAAACGGCTGAACGTCCGAGAGAAGCAGCTTGACTTCAGAGCGATGGCTTGATGGCGGAGCAGGACTTCGGAGAAGAGTTGTCTGGGGGTGGCTGGACTTCAGGGGAGGAATATCCTCCCGCTCCATCCCCTTTCCAGCTGAGAGCCACTTCCATCAGCAAGAAAATCCTCTGCATTCACCTCCCTTCAATTTGTTTGTGTGACCTGATTTTTCCTGGACACTGAACAAGAGCTCGGGTGCCACAGTACAGATGTTAAAGGCTGTCACGCTGACCCTCTGTCCTCGCTGGTGGAGAGCAACCACCTCATGAAAAGGCAGAAGGCCCAATGAGCTGTTTAACACCTAAGCCGTCTGCAGACAGCAAAGCTAAATGACTCACTGTAACGCATGCCCTCTGGGGCTTTGGGGGTCACAGGTACTCCCCCACTGGTCATTGTCCTGGGCCCCACATGGAGCTTTGCTCCTGTCAACACCCAGAAGCACTTGCTCTGGCTCCTGCGCCCACTCACCCGTATGCTCCCCCTCCCACGAGGGATTGAGAGCTGTGGGCCTAGTAAGCGAGGCAGTCCTGTCGTGAGGCCTGCAAAAGGGACAGGGAAGATTCCCTGTTTCACTATTACAACTAAAAACCCATTTGCAGAATTCTTGCTTCCCATCTGTACAATTCCGAGCTCTGCTGGTTTGGAGGTTTTCATTTCCAAGGGAAGAATGCTTCCATGAGGGGACATAAATGTTTCCATTGAATTGGAAGCTGAGACTTCCAAATATCCATTTTGGTCTATTTATGCTCTTGAACCAACAGAAAACCAAATACTAGAAGAAGAAAAGAAAAGAAGAAGAAGAAGAAAAGAAAGAAAGAGAGGAAAGAAAGAAAAAGACAGGACCGCTGAGAATCCATACCCTTCAGGAATAAAGATTTGGGTCATCCTTATCAGGTAAAGAATTGTGAAAAGCTGAGCTGTCTGAGGGCAAAGAAAAGATGAAATGAGTAATGGAAGAATAAAGATGGAAGAAGAAACATTTTGTGGTGAGTTACAGAAATAAGAATTATAGTGGCTATGCATATTCTCTTGCTTTGTGTGTGTGTGCACGTGTGCACAAGCATGTGTATGTATGGTATATAGATCCTCAATGAATGTATGTTAGCTATTTTCTTCTCTCTTTTCCTTCCCTTTAGTGTTTTATACAAGTTTTATTGATGGCTAACTTTACAATTTAATCATTACACTATAGAATATTCAGATGGCATTATACCAAATTTGAAGAATAACTAATATAGCTGAGAGATGAATAGTGTGACTGCCTTCCAGAGATGGATACAATGAATGTTGGGACTTTGCATATCTTCTTGAGGAAAATGTGAGAATGTCTTCTTGCTCTGCTGCCCAGGCTGGAGGGCAGTGGCATGATCTTGGCTCACTGCAAGATCTGCCTTCTGGGTTCAAGTGATTCTCCTGCCTCAGCCTCCTGAGTAGCTGCGATTACAGGCGCCCGCCACCACACACAGCTAATTTTTTTTTTTTTTGTATTTTTAGTAGAGACAGGTTTTCACCATGTTGGGCAGGCTGGTCTCAAACTCCTGACTTCAGGTGACTTGCCCTCCTCAGCCTCCCAAAGTGTTGGGATTACAGGCATGAGCCACTGCGCCAGAGTTGTGTTTCTTGTTGCATGAGAGTTCAAATATTTGTAGAAGGGTGTGTGTGTGGATGCTGAATAGTCAAAGGGGTGGGTAATAGCCAGTTAACTAAGCTGTTATTATCTCTGCTTGAAGCCCGCCTTTCTACATTCTGTTTTGTGATGCTAATGCTGAATCTTCAAACTATTTTCATTTTGCTAGTAGCTCTGTTAGATTCTGCCAATAGGGGGCACTAGAGAGAGAGAGAGAGACCTGGCACCTGTGAGGCTGGAGGGGAAGAAGGGGTTGCTCTTGTTCTCTGCTTAAGAACTTTTTGACTTCTTCCTGTTCTGGTGAGTTTGTCAGTCTGGCAATGGCAGCTTATTTCTGTAAGCTGAATCCAGTTTGCAGTCTCCCTATCATTTGCAGAACCAGCCTCATTATGCCTCCTCTGCGACTTTAACACCACCTGGCTGTGCCCCTTCTTCAGAGGTCTGAGCTTCAGCTGCAGGAAGCCCCTCCGCTGAGCTTCTAGACTGTTGTAGTTTCAACCACTTCTCTCTTGTTCCCCCAAACCTAGATTTGCCACTTCCATGCTTTCTTTGTGTTCTGTTTCCCTTTTCTGTTACCAAGTTAACAATCTTTTCTACTTGGTTCACAATTCTGGATGTTGAGTTTTCTGTGATGTGGGACTTCCATCTCCACTCAACATGGAGTAACAGGTGCTAGATTTGACTTCTTATCTGAAACAACCAAAAAACCCAGACAAAATATATGAAACAAATGGTGTACAGGACACTGGAAATTAGCTAGTGAAGGACAGTGATGCCTGAGAGAAGGAAAATAGTGGAGATGAGCCTATGATTGCGTGGCTTACTGCCTTGAGGGCTTTCAGGCTGCAGTGTAGGGAGGGGAACCCAGGCAGAGCCCAGGGAGAGATCCAGAAATGGTGCTGGGAGTTGGCCAGGTGGTGGAGTTTGCATAATAGAACATCAGAAAGAACTTCTCTTCGAAAGACATAAAGGGAATAAAAATACAAGCCAAGGTCTGGGAGAAAATATTTGCAAATTGAATATCTGATAAAGGACTTTAGTCCAAAATATATAAAGAACTTTCAAAGCTCAATAATTAGAGAATAGTCCAGTAAAAAATGGGCAAAAGATTTAAACAGACCCTTTACCAAAGAAAATATACAGATAGCAGATAAGTCCATGAAGAGGTGCTCAACATCAACAATCTTTAGAAAAATGCAAATTAAAACTACAATGAGATACCAGAACACACCTATATCATTATGTCTAAAATTTAAAAGACTGATTATATCACATGTTGGTGAGGATGTTGAGGAACTGGTGCTCTCACCCTGCTTGTGGAAATGTTAAATGTTATACTTTGGAAAAACAGTTTGGCAGTTTTCTCTGAAGTTAAACATATACTTTTTTTTTTTTTTTTTTTTTTTGAGACCGAGTCTCCCTCTGTTGCCCAGGCTGGAGTATAATGGCACGATTTCTTGGCTCACTGCAACCTCTGGCAATCAGGTTCAAGTGATTCCCGTGCCTCAGCCTAGCAACTGGCTAGGACTACAGGTGCATGCCACCATGCCCTGCTAATTTTTGTATTTTTAGTAGAAATGGGGTTTTGCCATGTTGGCCAGGCTGGTCTCAAACTCCTGACCTCAAGCAATCTGCCCGCCCAAAGTGCTGGGATTACAGACATAAGCCACTGAGCCCAGCCTTGAAGCTAAACATATACTTACCATATGACCCAGCAACTCCACTCCCAAGAGAAATGAAAGTGCATATCCTTCCAAAGACTGGTGCCAAATGTTCACAGCAGCTTTATTGGTAACAACAACAACAACAACAACAACAACAACAAAACTAGAAACAACCCAAATATCCATCTACAGGCAAATGGATAAACAGTCTGTGGTATATACATACAATGGAATACTGTTGAGCAATAAAAAGGCATAAACTATTGAAACATGCAAAAAATGGATAAATCTCAAGATAATTATGTTGATGGAAAGAATCCAGACCAAAAAAAGAGTACATATTATATGGCTCCATTTATATAAAATTCTAGAAAATGCAAACTAATCTACAGAGACAGAAAGAAGATCAGCAGTTCCTTAGAACGGAGAATGTAGGTAGGGGCACAAGAGAGGGATTGCAACGTGATTTCTCCAAGGGGTGATGGATGTTTATTATCTTGATAGTGGTGATGGTTTCTCGAGTACACATGTACATAAAAACTTATAATATTGTATACATTAAGTGTGTAGTTTACTGTATGTAAATTACACATCAACAAAGGTATTAAAAATGGAAAATAAAACAAATCAGAATGCTGTTAGGATGGTGCTGTTAGACAAAACTGTATAAATATTCCTTTTAGAAGCCAACAAATCTACTTCTCTCCTGCATCTATGGCCTTGAACTGCATTTTCACTAGAGAACTTTCAGCTTGGGGCAAAAAATATTTAGCTCTGGGTGTGGGGGAAGATTTTTGTTACTTCCTCCTGTAGCCTATATAGGTGCAGAGAGGAAGAAATACAGTTCACAGTCATAGTCCTCAAATGAAGGAGCAAAGGAGTAATAGGGTCACAGCCTGGACAGAGCCCAAGAATAAACGGGCAAGAGCTTACATAGGCAGATGGACATCCTTCTGTCTATAATATGCTTAGCATAGGTGCAGTGGTGGCAGGGCAGAGGGATGCATGCTTCTCTGTACAACATGTTCTCTCACTTCCGTGTTTCAGAAGACATCTTATAATCATGGTTGTTTTCAGAAAGAACAAAATGAAACTTTCTGGTGGCATTCATAAAGACATAAAAATAATGGTTTGCGTAGCTCATCAGGATCCATTGAGGCGGGGCGCTGTGGCTCATGCCTGTAATTTCAGCACTTTGGGAGGCCGAGGCGGGCAGATCACTTGAGGTCAGGAGTTCGAGACCAGCCTGGCCAACATGGTGAAACCCCATCTCTACTAAAAAAACAAAAATTAGCAGGGCATGGTGGCAGGTGCCGTAATCCCAGCTACTCAGGAGGCTGAGGCAGGAGAATTGCTTGAACCCGGGGGCAGAGGTTGTAGTGAGCTAAGATTGCACTACTGCACTCCAGCCTGCGCAACAGAGTGAGACTGTCTCAAAAACAAAACAAAACAAAAAAACAAAAATGATCCATTGAGATAGTGAGTTTGTCTGTGAGAAGCAAGGGCCATTTTTCCCTTCCACTTTTCATTACCACATACTGTGATTATTGGTATGGTGGATGCTCCGTGTGTGTGTAGACAGAAAAAAAGAGGCACTACATAGAGTGGTTAGAAACAGAGATAAGAGAAACTACAAGAGATAAACAGAATCAGGTCTCCAGTTTTTTGTTTTTTTTTTTTCAAATTAGAAAAGGGCTTAGCATCTAGACACAACAAAGAAGTGCTGGAAATTCAGTGATCAAAGATACTTCATGTAACGACTCTGGTGTTTTTTTTTTTTTTTTTTGGCAAGAATATGGTAACATGATGGTAATTAGCAGGGAGAGGTGTAAAAGAAGCATATGAAAATAATATTATATCACTGGGCTTCTTTGTCAGTGGGTCAGGTTATGACCTCAAATGGCAGTATAACTATTACTGATGTGTAGAATTTTGACTTAAAAAAATGCTTGAGAGTAAAATCACCTGAGCTATCCATAATGCATTAGTGTCCATATCCTTTAGATCACCAGAAACAAAAAAATAAGAAAGCATCACCTGAATTTTACTATTGTTAGGATATACAAATCAAAATAGCATAAAAGATAACTCATATTTAAGTCAGAATTTTTGTTTTGGCCTGACTCCATGAATTTATGAAATTGTGTAAGGCAAGGAAAAGGCATTTAAAAAATGTCTCTGGGCTGGGCGAGGTGGCTCACATTTGTAGGTGGATTGTTTGAGCCCAGGAGTTCAACACCAGCCTGGGCAACATGGAAAAACCTGTCTCTACTAAAAATACAAAAAATTAGCTGGGTGTGGTGGTGTGCACCTGTAGTCCCAGCTACTTGGGAGGCTGAGGCGAGAGGATAGGTTGGGAGGTAGAGGTTCCAGTGAGCCGAGATTGCGCCACTGTACTCCAGCCTGGGCGATGATAGAGTGAGACCCTATCTGAAAAAAAAAAAAAAGTATCTTGGTTGGTTTCAAGGAATTGCATAAATGAATACCTGGGAAATGCTTTGGAGTATTGTGGAGTATATATAGGAAGGTATCTTAAATGTTTACAAAGTTTGAGAGGGCAACAATAATAATAATAGCATTTCCAGCTTATGGAAGATTGGTAATTTCTATTCACCAAAATAGTATGTATTTAATTATATTATAAAATATTAGAGTGCATAGAAATAGTATTACAACTGATAATCTTTTTAAGATTACACGTTTTGAAGGGCCAAATATATTGTGGACATTTGCTATTACTTTGGCCATTCAGCATCTGAAACCCCATGTTAGAATTCCCATTTATAACCTAGTTGGTAGAGGCGTAAAAATCCCAGATGCTTGCTTTCCCTCGCTTTGTAGTTAGTATGCAGGCTTATAACCTGGATTTCACCATTCGGATCTAGCTGCACCAGATTTTCACTTGGAAGCTAGTAAAGGAAAACCAAACAAACAATAGTATCCGCAAAGAAACAATAACTAAACCTAGGAATGGTGGAGCTGTCTTTCGCTCTGGATGAGTCAACTGTAGTGGTTGATGGAAAATAAAGTTTCAGTTAAAGAACTAGCAGCCATGTTGTGGGGGGTGGGAGTTGTGAGTTCTGATTCCTTGCAGAGAGCCACCTAATCTTGTAAATTAACTTATCTGATTAAAAAAAGGTAACGACTTCATTATACAAAACCTGTAGGATACAGAAAAGGTGTGTGGGCTTCTGTGTGTATGTATGTATGCATATACATATAAATATATATATATATATATATACACACACACATTGAGGGTTTTCTTCTTAAAGTTGGGATCATACCCTATAGTTTTATGTCTTTTAATGCAATTTTCGATATTTTCTATGCCTTTCTTTGACAATGCAATTTTAAATAACTGCATCATTTAACTGTTCTTCTATTGAATATTTAGACTCTCTAATATTTTGCTGTCAGAGGTTTCAAAGAATATTCTTGTATATAAACTTTACTATACTTCTGATTGTTGCTTTAGGATAAATTCCTAGATGGCAGATTACTAAAACTGAGTGAAATCTGAGGCTTTTTAAAGCTCTTGATATGGTTATAAAGTTGTTCTCCAGAGGTGGCTGACCCACTCTTGAATCACTAATGGGTTTTGAATAGAAAGTGCTGACACTGAACTTTAATAAAACTGTAATGTCAGACATAAATTTTTTTTTTTTTTGAGACAGAGTCTCGCTCTGTCGCCCAGGCTGGAGCGGCAGTGGCATGATCTGGGCTCACTGCAACCTCCACCTCCTGGGTTCAAGTGATTCTCCTGCCTCGGCCTCCCAAGTAGCTGGTACTACAGGTGTGCAAAAATATTTTTTAAAATAATGACTATTGTAGCTGTTATGAAAGCATACTACTTGCCTGACATGGCTATGTGCTTTAGAGACATCATCACATTGACTGATTGATTGACTGAGACAAGGTCTTGCTTTGTCACTCAGGCTAGGGTGCAATGGTGTGATCGTGGCTCACTGCAGCCTCAGTCTCCCAGACTTCAGCAATTCTCCTGAGTAGCTGGGACTATAGGCATGCATCACCACACCTGGCTAATTTATTTTTATTTTTAGTAGAAATGGGATCTTGCTGCGTTGTCCAGGCTGATCACAACCTCCTGAGCTCAAGCAGTCCTCCTGCCTTGGCCTCCGAGAATGCTGGGATTATAGGCATGAGCCACTGCACCTGGCTGACATTATCACATTTAATCCTCACACTGATACTTTTTACTGGTACTTTCAACCTCATCAATAAAATGGGGGGATATGGCCAAATATTTTGCTAAAGGTCACATAACTCATAAATGTGGACTGAGGAATGAAGCATTGTCTTTTTTTTTTTTCTTTTTTTTTTGACTTCAAAGTTCATTTTCTTTCCTTTAAACCGTTGTAACCCAAGAACTTAAATCCTTTTTTAGTTTTGAAATGATTACTTGGGAGGAAGGAAGTATAAGTGAGTTGGTAGTAGTAGATGGCAGGTGGAAAAAGAGTTAAAAAGCATAGTTAAGTCTTGGTTAAAGGAATTTACGAACTGACAAAACACAGTGTTAGCAGGGTGTTTCAACCAATGAGTATTTATTAAAAGCCAGAGGTGCACCAGGCACAGCTGTCCACTAGGCCAACAGATACAAACGATGTAACCAATTCGCTTATTAGCTTATCTGATTAAATAAAATACATTTCATAGAAATGATTATCAAATGCATTGCAGATAGAAACAGAATATCCTTTGTACTTACAGATCTTATGATACCCTAAACAATTATTAATAAAAACCAGCCAACCCATATGGTAAATAGTTAGCAAACCACCAGTTATTTTATTTTAGTCAGCAAAGGATAAAAACATACAAATTTCATGCTGAAAGGGATTTTAGCATTATTGAATGCTGAATACAGACATCCTGCTTGAAAACTACTAACATAGTCCACCTACAGTCTTAAAAATTCAGTGTTTTTCATCCTGTATTAAATCACTATTACACCTTTTGGCTTAAAAATTAGGTTTGGTTTCAAAATAAGTTTAATTTAGTACTTCAGTCACATGCCTCACAGATTCTTGACCAGGGCTGGGTAAGAATCAGTCCAATTAACTATTAGTTACAGCAACAAAACAAAACATAAACATAATGTTAAATTCACCTTGCTTGATATTCTTGCCAAAAAGGAATTGAGAAATTAAGACACACAGGTGATTTCAACCAGAACATAACAGGAGAACTGAAAAAAAAAAGACAAAATGTAGATGTTACTTGTTTGAAGCAAACCTGTCCACTTAGAGCCATTTATTGCCTTTTTGAGACTCATGGCTAATTCTTGAAAGGACCACATTGAGTTTGTCAGTATATGATGTATCCTTTAGTTTGAAAGTCGTTAAGAGGGGTGTAAGGGAGAGGCAGGAGGGCGGGAAGGACTAAAAAGGCACAGGGTGGAGTGTTTGCTGACGCCATCGTGGTAATTATCCAAGAGAGTGTGTTCGCTGGGCCCTTCCTGAGACCTCCAGAGATGGGTCTGTTTTCTTCAGGCAAAAGCAGCAAAATCTTCCTCAGAGAGTCAAGGTCAACTTTTATTGCACAAGAACCAAAATTATTTCCCTCCTCACTTTCCTGAGCTGGAGACCTCCACATGCAATGTCTGGATTCTCATCTGCTTGCACCTCTGACCAGCAGGGTGCACTCAAACAAAACGCCTCAGGAAGCACCTTCTTCAAAGGGAAACATGAGGTATTCCGATGGCCCAAGCAATCTGGTCGATCAGTCACCATTCTCAAGCAACTTCTGTAAGTTATTTTGTATCTTGAAATAAAAGAAAAGAAGTTCCTATTATTAAATAGAATGGAGTATATTAAGGGCATATTTGTTATAGTCTATATAGCATTCTATATTATTCCACTTTGAATAAAAAGCTACAAAAGGGTTAAATTTAGGTGAGGCAAATAGATGCTTTTTCATAGACTAGAACTCTGACAATCCACTTTTTCTTTGGGAAAAAGAAAGGGTCTCGCTCTGTCACCCAGGCTGGAATGCAGTGACGTGATCATGGTTCACTGCAGCCCTGACTTCCTGGGCTCAAGTGATCCTCCCACCTCAGCCTCCCAAGTAGCTGGGACTTCAGGCGTGCACCATCATGCCTGGCTAATTTTTGCACTTTTTGTATACATGGAGTTTCATCATGTTTCTCAGGCTGATCTAGAACTCCTGGGCTCAAGTGATCCTCCTGTCTCAGCCTCCCAAAGTGTTGAGATTACAGGTGTGAGCCACCATGTCCAGCTGACAATCCACTTTAAAATGAGGAAATACAGGGCTTAAAAAAAAAAAAAGAGAGAATGGCAGAAAGATGAAAATGTCAGTAGAGACTGAGATAAATGAGATGGAAGAAAAAGAACAAGGAACTGGCAACACCAGTGTGACCCAAATGCATTAGAAGACAATGGGAAATTGGTCTTTACACAACCCATTTGATGGTTTTAATCAGAAAAATCCCACATAATAATGTTTAACACTCCTGTTACTCCAATTAGATATTATTATTTAACATTTCCAAGAAGGTTGTGGATTTCACAGGGACAGAGACCAACCACGTCAGATGTTTGGATCTTAAGACGGGTCCGATGTTGGACATCAAAAATGTTCTCAGTAAATGACCGTTGAATAAAGGAACTTGTAAGAATTCATAGAAGCCGGGTGCTGTGGCTTGTGCCTGTAATCCCAGCACTTTGGGAGGATGAAGTGGGCAGATCACGAGGTCAGGAGTTCCAGACCAGCCTGGCCAACATGGTGAAACTCTGTCTCTACTAAAAAATATACAAATTAGCTGGGTGTGGTGGCAGATGCCTGTAATCCCAGCTACTTGGGAGGCTGAGGCAGGAGAATTGCTTGAACCTGGAAGGTGGGGGTTGCAGTGAGCCAAGATTGCGGCACTGCACTCCAGCCTGGGTGACAGAGCAAGACTCTGTCTTGGGAAAAAAAACAAAGAAGGAAAAAAAAAAGAATTCAGAGCAAGGAATTCTCAACAACCAGCCCTGTGATGGGAGTAGAAACCTTGCAGACGAAAAGAAAGAACATATTGTTTTTTAGAGGAACAGTCTGTGATGTCCTATGGGTGTTCTCAGGTGAGTGAGGAGGAAGGGGATCTGATATGTAAGTGCCAGCAAAGGCATGCCTGCTCCTGAGCCATACAACACCACACAAAGACAGGCTTTACACATGAAACCAAGGGCCAGGGAGCTGAAGTAGCAGGATGAGTTATGTGGGTAGTAAGCAGTGGAGCAGGGATAAGAACAAAGGCCTGACTCCAACATTTATGCTCTTTCTACTATACTGTTCCACCATTAATTCCACTTCCAGAACTAAGAAAATAAGTGTTTACTTCAGTTCCCGTAAGAGACATTGCTTTCTTCCCCAACTTTCTTGCTTTGTTTCTTCCTCATGTATCCCTCAGGACCAAAGATAAATGGAAAAACAGGAGTGGGAGGTAGAAAAAGGAATAAAACAAAGAACTGACATCCCAAATCCACAAAACACACCTACGATGACACACACACAAAACCCAAAATTAAAACAAAGGAGAGAATTAAGCAATTTACAGAGGAAAACCCAAATGGCCAGTAAATATATGAGATGTTCAGCCTCAGTAATAATTAGGAAAATACAAGCAAAAACCACAATGAGATCCAGCTTCACACTATCTGACTGGTAGTGGGAAGGCTGAATGGACTAGGATGGTACCTGTGGGAAGAAACTTTGAGGAGACATTTGAAGACAGACTTCACTGGATTTGCCAACTAGTCAACCAGTGGCAGGTGGAAAGAGGGAGTTAAAAATTATTCTTAGATTTCCAATGAGGATGACTGAAAGAGCAGTGATGCCATGAACAGAAATAGGGAAGTTATAAGCAGAGAAAGATCATGAGGCTTAGACATCACCGGCCCCCGAAGGTGAGAAGAAGGAATTGCTGGTATGGAGTATAAGACCTTCAACAGCATGGAGCTGCTATTTCACCGGCAGGCTGTGCTGCGCTAGTGCCCAGCTGCCTCTGAGGAAAGGTGCAGATGAATCAAAAAGAGCACGGGTGTGGCCTGGTACCTCTTTTTTAATACTTAGATTCTTTTGAGCAATGTGTGCAACTTCTAACTTTTTAGAACATCAACACGCGCATTTTGACCCCAAATCCACTTTTTACTGAATCAGTTTCTGCTTTGAGACAAAGGTAGTCTCCACTGGTGCTCCTGTAAACCTCCCCGGCCTCCCTGCTAAGCTGTCTGAACCCTGCACAAGACCTGAGGCTGTTTGCCTGCTGTGAACAAGCTCTTCTGTTTTCAGTTCCCTGGTTACAGAATGTGGTGTCCCGGCCAGGCCCAGCGGGAGAGTGGGAAGAAACACAAAAGAAGGCGGCAGGATCCCATGTGTTTCTAATCCAAAGAATATCACTGGTATGTAAGAGTGAACAAAATTGAAAATTAATACCACTTCATTCTCTGGGTTGCATGAAAGCCAAACATTTGTAAGCATTTCATTAAAAAAAATCGTTTATCTTCAATTCTCAGAAACTAATGTTTTAGAAAGGAAGAAAGCTAACTCATACCTTCTCTAGGTTGATTCTCGATGTAAAGAACTTTCTACATTTGCCCATAAATAGAATGATTTAATATGAATTCTCTGACCTGACTTGGTTTAGAACATAAGTTTGGAAACTCCTTTGCTCTTAATACTTTAGCTGTTAAATACTAACTAACACTGAGTGTAGGAAAACAAAGATAATTTTATTCATTTGTATTTAATATGAAATTTTACTAATTTGTATTTAATATGAAGAAATATGTCTTCCCAAGTAAGCATAACTGTACTATGATGTAAAGCTACCAGATACTGGGCGTTTGTGACAGCAGTTGTAATTGAACACTGAATTCTCTCTAAGCCTTTCCTGAAGGATTAGGGTAAAAACAAAGTAGTTATCAGATAAAGGAGAAGAAAATAAGACATGTAAATCAGGTTTATTTCTGGGATATTTCTGGCATGCCTATCTTCTTCTCCAGCTCACCCTCCTGCTGCCTTCTAAGAATGCCACAGGCTAAGGACAGTTTTGCCCTAGCGTTGTTTGGACTGTAGATACTTTGAGGTAAAGGTACATCTGTGGCCTTATCAACAAAGCCTAAAGCTGAATTCTGAGGAACAGTAAAGCAGAGAGCTTCTAAGCACAACTTTGCAGTCAGACAGGCCTGGTTCAGGTTCCAGATCTGCTGACTTTATTTATGTATTTTTCTTCTAATGCTCTCTCAGCAGACTCACGTCTGCTGCCTTTCTAGGTGTGTCACCTTCAGCAAGCTAATTTGAAACTCTTGATTCTTCCCCTATCAGATAGGGAACAATGACGTCTATCTTCCATGGTTCTAATAGGACTTACATGCAATATTTTACCTATGGGAACAGTCAGCCTTGGTGGAGTTGGGGCTGTACTTTCTGGCCAAGCCAGTGGTTGGTCTCCAGTTCACTCCCTACTATGTCCCTACATTAAGCTCCGATGTCAGTAGTCACTTACCACTGGGCCCTGTGCTATTAAGTAATATGTCTAATCAAGGAGGAAGAACAAAAGACCTACAAGACTATGTATTTCAAGGAAAATGAGATTAAGACCTATTTCTTTGTGGAAATAAAAAATATTCTTCCACATTTACTATAAAAAGCCCCTAGCCAGGGTTGATCATGTAGGTTTATTGCGGCACACTAACGGCGTCTGAGTGTGTAATCCCTGACCTGACCTAGGGCAACCAACAGGCACTACTGTGACTGCCCCCATACACAGGAAAGAAATAGGTCACCTTTTCTAATTTCACTATGTTAGCTGTAAGCTCTTGACAGAGAACCTCCACATTGAATTGTACTTGTGACCTCAGGCCAGATGGTGCTGCCTGTCTGTAAGAAAAAAGAGAAAAATTATTATGGGCAGGGATGACAAGGAAAGAAGTGGAATGAACACATTTAAAATTTATTTGAACAGAAAATTGGTTTATAATAGAAGAGAATGAACATTTCATTTGTTAATATTAGACAAAGCCCTGCAGTAATCCGCAACTCCAGGCTAGATGTTTAGGGAACTAATTCTTAAAAGCTCAGCGGGAAATCTCTTAAGCTATTTTTGTTTAAGTGGATATGGTGTGTTTCGGCTTCTAAACAAAAATCAGGCAATTATTTTCAAGCACGTGGTTTCTTAGAACCCTTTTATTAACCCCTAATATCCTTTCTGTCTCCACCAGAGCATAAACTTACAAGAATTATTGTACTTTTGAGCTATTTATACTAGAACTTTACAAGTTTAGGAATGTCCTTATCTAGTTAATCAAATGTCCCTTGAAACACGAGACTTTTGTAGTTTCTTCTTTGAGATTTATCATACAACTATAATTGCCCTTGTCTCATAATCAGGCGTGAGCCACTGTGCCTGGCCTGGAGTCACTTCTTATCTCTATGCCAATATTAACTTTTTGAACAAGATGGGAGAAACTAAGGGCAGAGTATGAATCCATACCAAACTGTTTATTAGGCTTTTGTATTTTATTAGTTCAAGTGTATATTTATGGGTCAAAAATAACCTGTATGCCTGCATACATGTAAGCCACCTAAAGGTAATTCCTATGGAGTAAAGAAAGGTCCTAGAATGGTATAACACAGTATTTCTCAAAGTATAGAGCTCAGACCATTGCCATCAGCACCACCTGGGAACTTGCTGGAAATGCAAATTCTCAGGCCTCATCCCAGACCTACTATATCAGGCACTCTGGAGATGAGCCCTGAAATCTGTTTAAACAATTCTAGATAATTCTGATGCAAATTAAAATTTGAGAGCCACTGGTAGACTGAGGAGCCCATGGTCTTTGTAGTTATATAGACCTGCAGCTGAATCTGCAAACTGTAAGACATTAAACTAATTATTACTCTGAGTCTCAGTTTCTTCATCTGTAAAATGGGAACAGTTCTATTCTAAGGTTATGGTGAAAATATAATGAGGAAAAATCATCTGTATTTGTATGTGTATGTATCCATTCTAATAGAGCCTTCAGCATGTGGTGAATACTCTGTCAGGAAATATCTCTACTTCAAAAACTTGGGCTAAATGTACACTTTCTAACATGGCATAAATTATTTCACTTTTTAGGCAATGTGTCAAAAGCTTCTTGTAAATAGGTTTAAAGAAAAGAGCTCTATGTCTGAAAAGGTTTAATTAGGCCAGGCATGTTAAAAAAAAGACTGATGGAAAATCTTCACAGACACATTCAATTAATTACTAGTCACATTGATCTTGACAGTGGTCAAGAGTTTTGCAAATAAGTGAGTTAATATAAAAAGTTATACATGATAAAATGTGCTGAGTTTCTTGAATTGCTTCTTTCTCTGAGTGTCTTGATTTATTGCCATTTTACTAAGGTAAACTTGTGTAGTTTAATAAATGGGGCAAGGTCACAACTGCATCTTAGCATATTCGAGCAAGATAATGTAAAATTAGGCTTGTTTCTTGCCTTATTACTAGCAACATTACCACAACTCCAAAATAGTACAGGGTTAGGTCATTCATTTCTAGACCCTCCTACCTTTTTACTTTCCACATATACACTTAACAAAATGTCACATACAGAATGTATCTCCAATTAATGTTTACTAAGAAGGATGCTAAGTTCAGGTCAATTATTATATTAAGCAGAATGGCAAGCAGATGACAGCTAGAGGCAATCGTCTTACTCAGTATTATGGGTGTCCACAATGGAGGTTAGTAACCCCAGCTGCTCCTCCAGAGTATTAATTCTGTATCTCATGTAGAAGGTCGAGATGATTAGTGCACAGACACTGGAAACGGATGAAAGAGAAACTTTCGTTAGGTTAACGGCCAGGATCTGATGTTCATAAAACAACTCAGTGCCAATGTGGTACACCCGAGGCAAGGTATTTTCCAAAATAACTTGGTAAAAAGATTTTAAAAACATCCTTTTTAAACAGGCTGATGCTTGTTATAAAACTTACAGCTAGAAGAGACTTAAAATCCTCTAGCCCAAGTCCCTTAATTTGCAAATAATGGCCCTTCTAATAGCACTGGTCAGAGCCAGACCCAAGTTGGAGTACCAAGCCAGTGTTCCTCCTCCCTGCGGTACTACCGTCCTCTGCCAGAAGAGCCTGGGCAGATCTTAGCCATGTTCTCTGGTGACTCCCTCCTTTATCTGGAAACCAGACTGGGCATATTTTCCTTGGTTGGGAGGAACAGCCTAGAACTGGGTCAGGCTATTTTCAGAAGAACAATTGGTTACACGCTAGAAGTTAAAAAAGTCTATGCCTACATTTTTGGTAAAGGGGATGAGGACAACATTTTCAAGTTGTGTTGGCCCCTGTTCAGGGGACATGGGACAGATGGCAAAACAAAATTATAGCTAGATAGAAGGAATAGGTTCTGGTGTTGAATATCACTGTAGAATGACTAAAGTTAACAATGATAGAGTTTCAAATAGCTAAAAGAAGGATATTGAATGTTCTCAACACAAAGAGATGATAAGGGTGATGGATATGCTAATTACCCGGATCTGATCAGTATACATTATATGTATCAAAACATCACTATGTAGTCCATAAATACCTACAATGATTATATGTCAATTAAAAAAATAAGGTAAAAAAAATAACAAGGGTAAAGATGCTTCATAATTCACAGAGCAATTTCCCAACTAATGGTACCCACTCAGAACTTAGTCCTCTGCAGGGTTTGGCACAACCATGAAAATGTGACCTAAGCCTAAGGAAAAAAACCTGAAGTAGGAGACAGAAATTGTCAAAGTAAAGATGTAGGTCACATTTCAGACAATTGAGATTTACAGTAGGTCTTGGCAGTGTGAAGAGATTATTCCTTTAGCGAATGGAATCATTTTCTTAGTCACTCACAGTAAATTCATGTACTTACACAATTGCATAGAATATAAGAATATGGTGAAGCATCGGACATTTCTGAGACTTGACTTTATGTAAGATTCCAACAGTTTCTGACAGACCTGTTGGGAGGAAAACAAAAAACAACTGTTTAAAACCATAACACACTTCTTTTATCCAGCAATATCCCTATGGGGTACTTGAGAGAGGTAATTGTTCCCAGGTAAAAGAAATCAGAGAAAATATCAAGTCTCCCAGTTGTCATTTTAACCAGTGGTTACAATTCCTTCCAACACATTCCATTGATTACATACCTATCCACAGCCTTCTTTGTGTCAAGCATTGTACTGGAATCAATGATGGACAATATAACAATATCCTTGCTCCCTTACCAGTATAGCTAGTTATTAGAATAATTAGTAAATAAGAAATTTGAGTTTTACTGGAAAATTTTTTATTTTTTTGAGATAGTCTCACTCTGTTGCCCAGGTGACAGTGGCGTGATCACAGCTCATTGCAGCCTTGACCTCCTGGGCTCAAGCAATCCTCCTGCCTCAGCCTCCCAAGTAGCTGGAACTACAAACATGTACCACACCCAGCTGATTTTTAACTTTTTTGTAGAGATAGGGTCTCACTATGTTGCCCAGGCTGGTCTTGAACTCCTTGGACTCAAGCAATCCTCCCACCGCAGACTCCCAAAGTGCTGGGGTTACAGTAACAGAAATTTTTGAAAGATAATCTCATGTATTCAGAATCATGAAGTGACCTCCATGAAGGCTATTCACTTTTGTATCCCCCACTGTAAGCACGGAACTGGGTACTGTTTGCTAAAAGAATAAGTGAATTAATATGCAAAGACCTATAATACAAAGGGAGGAAAGGGAATATGAAAAGCAGTCATAAGGTGAAACCCAGTTACAAATAGGCCGGGCATGGTGGCTCAAGCCTATAATCTCAGCATTTTGGGAGGCTGAGGCGGGTGGATCACTAGAGGTCAGGAGTTCGAGACTAGCCTGACCAAAATGGTGAAACCCTGTCTCTACTAAAAATACAAAAATTAGCTAGGCATTGTGGCATGCGTCTGTAATCCCAGCTACTCAGGAGGCTGAGGTACGAGAATCGCTTGAATCCAAGAGGCAGAGGTTGCAGTGAGCCAAGATCATGTTATTGCACTACAGCAGCCTGGGTGATAGAGCAAGATGCTGTCTAAAAAAAAAAAAAAAGTTACAAACAGACATCTCCAATCCTTCTAAACCCACCCCCCTGAGACATCCATTCCTTACCCTGTACAGGGAGACTCTTGGCTTTTCCTTCAGGTACTCTGTTCACATGGGCATCTGCCCGAGTTGGCTTTGCTTCTCCCTTGGAGACATTCAGAACTGTTTGGGATTCTGTCGCATGGAAATCTACTAAGCCAAAACAGAGCTGGGTAAGTGTTCTCTCCAATGTATTTAAAAACAGGATTAATCTCCAAGTAAATCAATCCCTTAACATGCATAATGGTCAAGAATGTGAATGGATGGTCTCACAAGTTAGTTGTGGTGGCTGGGGCTGAAATTGAATGCTTAAGCAAATAAGTAATAAAGTGATATAAGGATAGTCTTTCATTTTCCAACCAACTCACATGGATAATTCAGCTGTAACAATTAAAAATATTATTGAAATAAGAGGGAAGAAAATAGGCCGGTGCGGTGGCTCACGCCTGTAATCCCAGCACTTTGGGAGGCCAAAGTGGGTGGATCACGAGGTCAGGAGTTTGAGACCAGCCTGACCAACATGGTGAAACCCCGTCTCTACTAAAAATAACAAAAATTAGCCGGGCTTGATGGCGCATGCCTGTAATCCCAGCTACTCAGGAGGCTGAGACAGGAGAATTGCTTGAACCCGGGGGGTGGAGGTTGCAGGAGCCGAGATTGTGCCATTGCACTCCAGCCTCAAAAACAAAAACAAAAACAAAATTGTATGTTTTTTTCTCTCAACCACCCCAACGTTAGGTCTATTTAAAAGACCTCTGTTAAATGTGCATAAAAGCAAATGAATTTTTACCACATAGGCAATTCTTTTCCCTCCAACTCTCAAGGCATCCTTTCTCCAGATTCCATTCCTGATTTTTAACTAGGAAGACAATGTGGGTTTTTTTCTTTCTTTTCTTTTCTTTTTTTTTTTAAGGGGGTGGGGTGAGGATGTTTTGAGGGGAATTAAATTTTAGTCAAAATACAACAATTTCCCAAACCTCGAGAGTTCTCAGATTCAGGAGTTTGAGAACCAGAACTGCTATATCCTTCCATGTCTTGCCTTCTTTGTTGAACCACTCCATCCAGATCTGAGAATTCATCATTGAAATCCTGAAAGGAAACAGTGAAATGAAGACAGGCTGATATTCCCTTAGTAAACAGGCAGGCCTTTGTAACTCCCAGCCCTTTCACCTAGGCCTGACCTATAAAACATAGAATAGAAGGAAGGATTACTCCATACGACTGGGATTTTCCCAACAGATGACTGAGTATCTGGTTACTGAAACAGATTTTTCAGGCAGTTAAAATTCTGTCAACAAACACTGGCCAACTCGTTCGAAACAACAAATGTCTAGGAAAACACCCAGAATGCCAATAATTGAGAAGCTTCCAGTGTGAAGCTGAAGGTTTCATTAGCACTTCGTAATGAGAAAACCTGATTACTACAGACATATATAAGAGAAAAAAATAGAAAGCTTTAAATCCAAGTTCAAATATGTAGACAGAGAGAAAGATATTACTAACTTATAATTTTTTTAAAAAAGTATTGGAAACAGAAAAGGAAAAGTGGCTTTAGCCAATTAGACCCTGAAAGTAAAGTTTAAGCTTTTTTTCTCCCCTCAACTAAATCAAAACAGGGTTAGTGATAGTACATTTAAATTTTAGAAAGATGATGTAGGAGTAAGGTAAAAAGCACAGACATTCTACTTTGTATTCTACTGGTTCCCCAAAGTGCTTAAGAACTGAAGAGACAAATGGTGTCATTAAAATGTCCTGGCAAAGGTACAATTAGGCTGAGCTTTTAACAATTTAGTCAGCTGCCAAATGAAGAAGAGACTCATCTTGTAAGCAAATTACCAACCTTTCACCTTGAACTAGCTGTCTTTTGTTCATCTCAACACTCATTTCGATTTCATACAAGGATTTATAGGAGAAGGAAAATTGAAAATTTCTTCAATGTAATGATTTCTTGAATGCCTATCTCATATCAGGCAGTATGCAAAGCTCCTTACATACATGATTGCATTTAATCTTCACAGCCACATCATGAAGCTGGCATTTTAATGGATGAAGAAACTGAGTCAAAGCAGTTAAAGCTTGCCTGATGCTATAACATAGCTGGGTGGAGCCCAGATTTAAAACCAGGTTTCTTGGATTCCAAATCAAGTGTGTTACATTATATTCTGTACTGCTTCCCACCACTGTTTTTCAAGGTAGATTTTTAAGAAATTGAGATAAAATTCAGGTAACATAAAATCCACCATTTAAAAGTATACAATTCAGTGGTGTTTAGAATATTCACAATGTTGTACAGCCATGGCTACAATCTTGTTCTGGAATATTTCCATCAACCCCCAAAGAAAGCCCATACCCATTAGCAGTCACTCTCAATTTCTCCCTCACCCCATTCTCTGGCAACCACTAGTTGACTTTCTGTGCCTATGGATTTTCCTGTTCAAGATATTTCATATAAAGGGAATCATACAGTATGTAGCCTTTTGAGTCTGGGTTCTTTCACTTAGCATACTGCTTTCAAGGTCCATCTATATTGCTATATTGTAGCAGGTATCAGTACTTCATCTCCCCTTTTTTTTTTTTTTTTGAGATGGAGTCTCATTGCACTGTCTCCCAGGCTGGAGTACAGCGGCGTGATCTCGGCTCACTGCAACCTCCACCTCCCAGGTTCAAGCAATTCTCCTGCCTCGGCCTCCTGAGTAGCTGGGATTACAGGCATGCGTCACCAGGCCTGGCTAATTTTTTGTATTTTTTAGCAGAGACAGGGTTTCAATATGTTGGCCAGGCTGGTCTCGAACTCCTGACCTTGTGATCCACCCGCCTCGGCCTCCCAAAGTGCTGGGATTACAGGCGTGAGCCACTGCGCCTGGCCCTTAATTTCCTTTTTATGGTTGAATAATATCCCATTGTATAGGTATACCACATTTAAAAAATCCATTAATCAGTTGATGGACATTAGGGTTTTCCCCACCTTTTGGCTATGATGAATAATGCTATTAACATTCTTGTACAAGTGTTTGTGTGAAAACGCTTTCAATCCCATTACTTTTAAACTGTTCTCAAAAAAAAGATTTGTGGGAGTTGTTGAAACCATGGGCTCATATTGCTTCACTAATGTAGAATATTTATAATCATTTGAATGGTATGGTTGGAACTCTCTTGGGAAAACATTATAACCATTATGGGTACAAATCTTACACAGAGGGAGCTACTTCCCACTGGAGATTTACTCTACGGTTTACAAAGTCTAAGGGAATGAATCAATCTTTACCTGTCACTTGGGCATTATAGCTTTCTTTTTTTTTCTTTTCTTTCTTTCTTTCTTTCTTTCTTTCTTTCTTTCTTTCTTTCTTTTTTTTTTTTTTTACAGTTAATTCTGAGCATATTCATTTCTCTTCTAAGTTGTGAAGTCTCTGAAGGCATAAATTAGTTTTAATTTTTCCTGGTATCCTACAGTGTGCACTAGCATGGTGCCTTGAACACAGAAGACATTTAAGGATTTGTGGGATGATTCAGTCCTACCTCAAATAGATTTGTGAATCCCTCTAAGCCAATATTGACAAGCAAACAGAGCAAGATTTTATGAATGCATTCACTGACCAGTAACTCACCAAGATAGTCTACTAGGTGTTTCTTTCTTTTTGCAGGACAACTCTTCAATTACTTGGAAAAAGTTTATGGCTACTATGGTTTCCTCTTCTTCAAGGAAGATATGCCCTGTTTCTTCAACTGTACCTCAAATATTTTGGTCCTAAGCTCTTCCCACACCCTGGTCATGGTGTAAGCACAAGTGTAATTGTGGGACATATTCCCTTTCTTTTGCATTTAGATAGTTATGTGGGCAACTTACCAGAGGCAGAGATGAAGGGCGGTCTGCTCGGAAACTGTTTTCAGCAGAAGATGGATTGGGACTGTTACCAACACTTGTATTCTGAAATTATTGGAACAAAACGAAAAGCCAGATTAACTATGAAACCATAAGAAATACAGAAGAGAGACAGTAATTGAGGCTCAGGGACATCATACTCACTTCTAAGTGTCCACACACAGATTTTAGTAGTTTGTAAGTTGAATCTCTGGAGAGTAAGGAGACAAATATGTACTGAAAAACAAAACAGGATAATTATGAATAGATATTGCCGGATGAGAAGTGAGAGTTGAGAGTTCAGAAAAGTATCTGTATACAGCTTTTGCATTTTCAAACAACATGGACCTCTCTTTGATCTATATTCTCATTCCTCTCACTCAAACATTCCATTTTTATTCCATTCCTGTAATAAAGCAAACATTCTCCCATAAAAGCAACAAAATCTTCAAACCCAATTTAAGAGTAATAAATACATGTAGGGCAAAATGAAGGCTCCAAAAGCCTGTCACTGGTGCCTCAAACAAGCCCAGAGAAGAAAAGGCCTGGACATTAAGAAAAGGCTGGTGACATTCACTAGATCCCCTTTAAAATCTCTCTCCCTCTGTTTTTGTTTTTAAGGGTATTTAACAATTCCCGAGGGTCCGCCTTCTCTGCTCTGACCTAGATTTCCACTGAAAACTTCCCAGTGGCTCTAATAGGCTAGCTCTCTTTCTTGCCACTTCCAGATTCTTCCTTGTACAAATATGGAGATTTTCTAGTGGAGACTTATAAGTGAGCCATGGGAAAGGAGTAAAATCAAAGCTAGACAAATCATGTGAAGACAAATGACATGAGGAAAAATGATTTTACCATAAACAATATGTTCAGAAAATATAAAAATTTACTTTTTTTCCATCTATTTATGCCATAGAATGTTTTCAGACCTCCTTTCCATGAGTTTGTGATTATCCTTCTCATTCACCAATGAGGGAACTTGAATTATTTCCGAGCAAGTACTATATTCCAAAGTAATTAATATTGTGGGTTCTGGCATCAGGCAGATCCAGTTGCAAATTCTGGCTCTTACACTTACTAAGTGGGTGACATTGGGAAAATTGCTTAACCCCTCTAACTTTCAGTTTTCTTAATAACAGTTATCCATTACAGGGTGGTAGCAAGAAAATATAAAAAAAGCATTAGTGCATGGCCTGACAAGGAGGAAATACTGATGCCTGTTGGCTATTAGTATTTCTAAAAAATCCCCAAATAGATATTAACATATTTTCTAGCTTATCAGAATGGTCTCTTTTATCTTTCCTTCTTTCTTCTCCTCTCTACAAGTTTTCTAGTATGGTTAGAAAGGAAATCTATAGCCAGTCATGGTGGTTCATGCCTGTCATCCCAGCACTTTGGGAGGCTGAGGTAAGAGGATCACTTGAGCCCAGGAATTTGAGACCAGCTCTTGGCAACATAGCAAGACCCCATCTCTATTGAAAAAAGAAAAAATAAAAAAGGAAAAAGGAGAAATGAAATCTATAGAATGTAGAGTTTATGCTTTCATAGAAATAATTCATGAAAGATTAAAAAAATTCATGTGAAAAGTAACCAGACCACTCCACTCCCTCTTTCTTGCCAAGCTGAAATAGACACCACTTTAATGTAAATTTTTCTGATTGTGCATGTCTGTGGTAGCCCAATAGTCAATTCAGCTCTGGAATTTCTATATAGAAGGTAGTTTAGGCAAGCTGTTAGTAAAGCAGGTCTAAAAACTGATCCTGTACCTGCAGTTGCAGAGCAGGTGCAAGTTTTATTTATCTGGAATGGCTCTAGGGAGGTATTGATTGAGGTTATGGGGAGGCTGGCCACCCCCACACCAGGAACTCCTCACTATCAACCTGCCTGCCTCACCCTGTCAGTAAGGTGGTGGTTTTGTTGTTCTTGTTCTTTATATATATTTATTACTTTTTTGAGACAGGGTCTCGCTTTGTCACCCAGGCTGGAGTGCAGTGGTGCTCGATCTCAGCTCACTGCAACCTCTGTCTCCCAGGCTCAAGCAATCCTCCCACCTCAGCCTCCCCAGTAGCTGAGACCACAGGTGTGTGCCACCAAACCCGGCTAATTTTTGTATTTTTTGAAGACAGAGGGTTTCACCATGTTGCGCAGGTTAGTCTTGAACTCCTGGACTCAAGCGATCTGCCCATTTGGGCCTCCCAAAGTGCTGGGATTACAGGTGTGAGCCCCCATGCCTGGCCTTGTCCTTTTTCTTTTTCTTTGAGACAGGGTCTTTCTCTGTTGCCCAGGCTGGAGTGCAGTGGCACAATCATGGCTCACTGCAGCCTTTACCTCCTGGGCTCAAGTGATTCTCCTACCTCAGCTTCCCAAGTAGCTGGGATCACAGGCACATACCACCACACCTGGCTAATTTTTATATTTTTTGTAGAGACGGGGTTTCACCATGTTGCCCAGGCTGGTTCCCAACTCCTGGGCTCAAGCAATTCTCCCACCTCAGCCCTCAGCCTCCCAAAGTGCTGGAATTAAAGGCCTGACCTCCTTTTTTTTTTTTTTTTTTTCCCTTTAAGACTATTATTAAAGGAACTGAATGTATCAGTTTAGCCTGACCTAGCAGAAGTTGAGAAAGAATTTTATTTTTTTGACCTTGGTCAGGCAAGTATAATTAAGTCAGCAGGAAATTCAAAATTGGCAACACTTCTATGAGAATAAATCACTTTGTGAAGGGAAACAGCACTACATGAATGTCTACAGGCTATAATTTTTAAAATTAGTCTTATGGAATTTTCCTGATTCACCACAGGAGATGATATTTATGGTTTGGAGTCTTGGTCCTTGGCAAGAGACCCCTTAGGCAGCAGAGCCCAGAGCAGGAGGACAAAGCAAAGATGCCCTCGCTCGGCTGCATACTCACCCTGTCTGTGACTGTTGCTATGATCAGGGCGTTTGGCACTAGAAGAGCAGTTTTGGTTTTCTTTATTAGGGTTACCGAGAAAGCTGGAATAGAGATCTGAAACAGAATCAGCAAGTTAATGCCAGTTCAGACTTGACAGAACAGCACTTCAAATCTTCACATTTAAGGAAAAAAGAAAAAAAAGGTAAACAGAAATCAAAACCAGCAGCAAGCTCTCCAGCCTCCATGAAAAAAAGCCAGTCTTACAGAGTGGCAGGGATGTATCACTGAGCTCCTCAAAGTGGGGCTTACTAAGCCAGAGGATAAATCTTAATCATCAATTGGACTGAAGATCTTGGTGGGAAACGTTTATCTTCAGACATGGAAATAGAATGCAAAATATGTATTCATTTTAAAGATAAGCACAAGGCTCTAAAGAAATTTCAAGCTTGTGGTCATCCACTTTGGGCTAACTTCCACATGCCCTACTCTCCTCTGTCTCTAGGTGCATGTTAAAAAGCACTGGTATAATAGGACCATCACTGGATAGAAAATCTGGGACCTGAATTCTTGGCTCAGTTCTGTTACTACAGGTTGAGCATCCTTAATCTGAAAATCATAAATCCAAACTATTCCAAAATCTAAAAGTTTTTGAATGCTGATATTGATGGTCAAAGGAAATGCTCATTGGAGCATTTCAGATTTTGGATTTTTGGATTAGGAATGCTCAGCCAGTTATATGTTGGCAGATATTGCAAAAATCTGAAATCCAAAACACTTCTGGTCCCAAGCATTTTGGATAGGGGATTCTCAACCTGTATCTACATGACCTACTCCCCCTTGTAAGCTATCCGTTCTAGGCCTCAGTTTTTTGATTTATAAATTGGAGATAGCCTCGTCTGCTTCTCAGGATTTTCTGTGGATTAAGTGAGATAATATATGCAAAATGCCCAGTGTTGAATAAAAATTTCATTCGCCTCCTCACTTGTTTCATGAAATCAGGATGGGTGACATAAAAGAATTCTAAATACTTTTCTGGTTCAACAAAGAATAACAACAACAGTAACTATAGAAGCTACCATTATTGATACCTATTTACCAGATAGAATTTAATTTAATTATGATCATACATAGTCAATATTATGAGAAATAAAGAAATTTATTTAGAGAGGTGCATGTCCTACATAAGAAGTTACAAAGATGGAATTCAAGCCAATCTGATTCCAAATGTGGGTTCTTTTCAATACAATGTGCTATAAGAATGTATCAAATGGCACAAAGAACAGAGAAGTTCATGATAATTTATGTTATACCTCTCCAACCAAGTTTGATCTCAAAGGAAAATGGATCACATCACTTCAATCCCTGAAAATAGAGTCACGCACAGCCATGGTAAAATGATCTGACTTCCCCCTTCCCTAGGAACTCACACTCACTTGAACATCTACTTCTTGAAAATGCCTCACATATTCTCAAAGAGATGGGCTTTATGTAAGTACTGCCAGCTTGAAGGAAGCAAATGAGCTTTTTTTTTTGAGACAGAGTTTTGCTCTTGTTGCCCAGGCTGGAGTGCAATGGTGCAATCTTGGCTCACGGCAACCTCCTTCTCCCAGGTTCAAGTGATTCTCCTGCCTCAGCCTCCTGAGTAGCTGGGATTACAGGCATGCGCCACCACACCCAGCTAATTTTTTTCTTTTTTTGAGATGGAGTTTCGTTCTTGTTGCCTGGGCTGGAGTGCAGTGGCACGATCTCGGCTCACCGCAACCTCCACCCACTGGGTTCAAGTGATTCTCCTGCCTCAGCCTCCCTAGTAGCTGGGATTACAGGCATGTACCACCATGCCTGGCTGATTTTGTATTTTAAGTAGAGAAGGGGTTTCTCTATGTTGTTCGGGCTGGTCTCAAACTCCTGACCTCAGGTAATCCGCCTGCCTCGGCCTCCCAAAGTGCTGAGATTACAGGTGTGAACCACTGCGCCCGGCCACATCCAGCTAATTTTGTATTTTTAGTAGAGATGAGATTTCTCCATGTTGGTCAGGCTGGTCTTGAACGCCCGACCTCAGGTGATCCGCCCGCCTTGGCCTCCCAAAGTGCTGGATTACAGGCGTGAGCCACTGTGCCTGGCCACAAAATGAGCTTTTAATTTTGAATATTTGCATTCACATCTGGGTTTATGAGATGGGCTTATTTATTGCCCTCAATGATCTAGGCTGGAAGACTATGGAAGAACAAGGGGCTAAACCAATCAAGACATTTTCTAAAAACTGTTTGCCAAAGAACTCTACTCACAACATTTTTCAAAGGGAGGAGGCAATTCAGAACTTACAAGTTGGGATAAATTTGGAAAAAAAGAATTTGAGATCTACTTAGATGATGATTTTTAAAAAATGAGTCTAATTTTGTTTCTGAGCAACAATACAAACATGCAGTGACAAAGGGCTAGAAATTTAGATTTTTCATAATCTAAGGCATGGAACACCCTTAAGAAGGAGTTTTCAAGCAATTGCTTCATGAGTATAAAATTACAACCAGATAACATTTGTAAAATAAAGCTTAAATCACTTTTCAGTTTGAGCTTAGACAGAATGTGATACATGCATGTTAATTTTACTGGCATCTGAAAATACCGACAGGCTGACTAAAAAGGTCCGGATTAAATTAAGGCTATACTTTATTAATATTTTTCCAGGGTAATGGTAACATTTTTCCAGGGTAAACTGCTTTAGAAGGGGAACTTGATTGGAAAGTTCCCGTTGTAGAGCAATTGTTTGGGTGCCTTCAGCTCATATTGGACCATGTTGGACTGAGGTCCATTGGCAGTGAGGAAATTCTGCAACATCTCTGAAGCCCAAATCTCCTTTGACACCATCCTTAGAAGGGATGGAACATACAAGTCACTATCATGGTTCTTATTCCCATGGCCTGCTAATTTTCAGTCTCCTGCTTCTGTAGGTTACACGTTGTAAAAGCAATCTCAGTATATCCATGTCTTCAAAAAACCAGGGTCACTCCTTCTAACTTCTTTTTATCAGTTCTTAGGTAGAAGTAGAACTTTAAAACCATTGCTAGAGTCAGATTAGCTTGAAAGTGCACTGACTGCCTTTGTGAATCCCCCATCCCTTAACAAAGACTAATACTTTGTTCATTAGTATCTTCAGTCCCTGCTGCTCTGCTCAGAGATGTTGGCTCTCTATGAATTCCTGAGAACTATATCACATTGATCAGTACTACCCAATCCCCTTCCCCATTCCATGAACAAGACCTTTAATCCAGAAATGTAGAAATATATGAAATACTGCTTCATATTGCTTTGTATTATACTGATTCAGATAATACTGTCGATCAAATAATGCTTAGCTAAACATAGCTCTATATGATAAAAAATCAATAAAAAAGAATATGTTTTACCTAAAGAATAGTATGTTAGCCTCTAGCTCCAACACCAACAAAAGAAAATATTCCTATTAGATTTGTTAAGTGGTCTTTATGCAATTGCCAGTGGTTTTAGAGAGAATATTTAAATAAGGCACATCTACTACTCAAAAAGAAGTTTTAATCAGCGACTTCATGAGTATGAAAGTTGCTTCTTCATAATCATGAATCAGAATGACTGAAAACTCACTAAGGTCATGCAAACCCAAGAAGGTGTTTCTCTGGTGTTATTCTGGAGGCCTGAATGAACTGTGATGTGACATCATAGCTCAAAGGTAAAAAAATGTCAGTGGGATAGAATTATCTTTTCTTTGATAGGCCATAGTCCCACGGTCCCCAGTTTAGAGGGCAGTGCCAATTCCTTTAGGCTGTTCTCCTTAATGCCTCAGGATGTCATGTGTCTCTGCTCCCCCAAATCTATATTTAATAATAATGAAAAGATGTAATATCAGAGTACACTTGGGATTGAGGATGTCTGACTTACCCAGGCTAGGCCTTAACTGCTCCACCTCCTGCTCATTTTGTGCTGGTGAGGGTACAAAGGGAGTGCTAATAAGTAGCTTATTTATAGGCCTGCTGTCCTACGCATCACTGGTAACTGGTATAAATATGGTATAAAAATTGATGTTTCTTAAAAGAAATGATTTTGGTTTAAATGTATGTCTTTGAAAATCATGGCACACCCTCCATATAAACAACTTTGAGTGCTCTCTGGTGACATCTGAGTAAAAAGGATTTAGGGTATGGTTATGGGTGAGGTACATGTGTATATATGAGGTATATGTGTATAAACAAATGAGTGAGAAAATAATGTTTAGGGAAAAAGGGAAGTTAGTGTCTTCTGGAGGCATTTAGAATGCATAGTATTTGGAATTACAACAAAAGAAACTTGACATAAAAGAATAACCATGATACAAATATCTACAAATATAGCTAAATTTAAGATGATTAATATTTACCATATATAATAAAGTATAGGGTTAGCATTTTTTTTTTTAATTATACCAACCTTTGTGTCTTTTCCAAAGACTTTGGAATGAAAACAAATCCAGTTTTCTGATACAAAGAGCTTTCCTTGGTATAGTATTTCTTTCTGTAGAGCACAGGTAAAGCCTGGGAAAATATACACAGGCACAGCATCATTTAGAATTTCCACTTAAAATAAAAACCGTGTATATATTTTGGTGACTCAAGGATGGGCAGAGATAATACATTCACACTCAAAAGTTTTATTACCTCTTCTTCTGTCATCTTTATGGAAAGAAAGCTGTGGCAACCAGTTTGCTTTTAAGTTCAAAGTCTTACCAACTTCAGTATAAATATCAGAATGAAAAGGCAAATCTACCATTGTACCTGAGAGACCAAGAATGGGGTCTTACAAGTCTCCTCTATTTAGCCTGGTGTGTCACCATGTGCTGATATTAGTACACCTGTTCCCCTTTTCCCCAGTATTTTCAGGAATGACTGTTTTCAAAATACATGGCCTCACTAGGGGAAGAGCACATAACCCACACCTCCTGTTTGAAGGTCATGGCAGGAACCCAGCATCTTGCCTCAACTTTTGCACATCAAGAGAGGCTAGAATGGAACTTTGGGCCCCTTGATGAACCACTGCAGAGTCTAGTAGGCGTGCTTAACTAGCATGCTGGGCAAGATATTTAGGTGACTATCTTACCCTTCATAGTGGCATCAGCACATGTCTGTCCATGTCTAAGGATGTGAGTTTTCTTTTAGCCTTCTTCTAGTGGCCTCTCTTGCCCCAGGCTTGTTATCCTAAATCTTAAAGCAATGTAACCATGTGCATTTCAGCAATAAATAAAGAAGGGAAGGGCATCACGGAACCATCTTGGGTGACTCCATACCCCATGGAGAACTGTTTCTTTTTCTCCTCTGTGATCTTTTCACGCTGCCTGGTGAAAGCTGACTGAAGCTGGTGTTATTGTTATGTTATTACTTTCAGAAACCTGATCCCCTTGGTGACTCAGTCCATGGACTATGCCCTTTTTCTTCCCCAAAACTAATGATCAACTTTTCAAATATGTAGCTTAAAAAGTCAAACAGGTCAGAACTTACTTTGCTTCAGTGGTTCCTCCGTTGGGACACTAAGAAACAACTTGTGAAAGTGCATATTGGCCTTGTACTACAATGAGAACAAAATACAAGCATCACCATTCTCACTTTCTTGTGAAACATCACAAATTCAACTTCAACAACAAATTTTCCCTCCCTTAATAGTATCTTTAGGAATTCCTTCTCACTGATCTTACAGTCTCTGACACAAGCCTTCAGTAAAACACAGTGAAAGTCTGGGCACACAGTTTCATTTTCTAACAAGTTTAATGCTTTGCTGGTTGGATATAATGATGCAGCTGCTGGTCAGCCTACTGCCGAGGTAACAGGGCTGGACAAGGATGTCCCTGATGAGAAATGGGATGAAATTCTAAGGAATCTCATTAGGGAAGATACTGGATCCCAGGTACTAAAGGTACCAGTGAGTACTCTCAGAAGAGTACAGTGGTTCAAAGCTTTGTAGTCAGGTAAACCTGAGTTGAAGTCTTGGCTGTAGTGGCTCTAGCTCTTGTTGTGTGACCATGGCTTAGTCACTTAATCTCCCTGGGCCTTGGTTTCCTCTTCTGTACCAGAGGGCAAAAACAGTGCCAGCCTCAAGGGATGCCATGAGGCTTAAATGGGATAATACATGTAAAGGACCTATAGTCTAAGGCAACATATGGCCACTCTTCCTACTGTATTATTGTGAAGGCATTTCCTTAGCCAGTGACAGGAGTAGGATGCAGTAGTAGGCTACTGACAAGACAAGTAGGATTTCATACAAAGACTTCACTCTCCAGGGCAGCAGAAGGCCCAAGACCATGAAAGCTGTAAATCACTTCATCCTCAAGGGATCTGTTTTCACAACTGTGACAATAACAATGGATAGCCAGCAATTTACAGCTTGTAAAACACTTTCACCTGCATCATATAGCTATTAAGAGTAGAACTGTTAGCTGGATGTGGTGGCATGTGCCTGTAGTCCTAGCTACTCGGGAGGCTGAGGCAGGAGGATCTCTTGAGCCCAGGAGTTCAAGCCTGAAGCGAACTATGGGGTAGAACTCGATCCTCCCTCCACAGGATCAATCTGCCTCACGGGATGCTTCTGAAGAAAAATTCTTATAAGGAGAATGGGTAGGAGGCCCTGGATGGCTTTATTATCCAAACCAAGAGTGGTCTCAATGGCAAAACTGGCCCTGTTTTGCCATAAAGAACTACAGACCAGGTCATCAAGATGATAGATGGTCCCTGCAAGTCAACTATTTTACAGATAAACTCCTTATAGAAAGATACCTTGATTAAAGCTAGGTGTTCTATGGCTTCACTGAGCTTTTGTTTTCAATGGCTACAGTGAGCAGTGGTTGCACGCTTGATTTAAAATATGCTAGGCCATAAACGCTTCAAAAATGTCAACGTAATAAATGGCAAAAAAGGTAGTGGGGCTGCTTTCAATTAAAAGGGACATAGCAGGCTGAGTGCGGTGGCTCATGCTCGTAATCACAGCATTTTTGGGATGCAGAGGTGGGTGGATCGCCTGAGGCCAGGAGTTTGAGATGAGCCTGGCTAACACGGCAACACCCTGTCTGTATTAAAAATACAAAAATTAGCTGGGTGTGGTGGTGCACATCTGTAATCCCAGCTACTCAGATGGTTGAGTCATGAGACTCACTTAAACCCGGGAGGTGGAGGTTGCAGTGAGCCAAGATTGTGGCACTGCACTCCAGCCTGGGCAACAGAGCAAGACTCTGCCTTGAAAAAAAAGAGAAAAGACATAGCAATTACATGCAGTATGTGACTCTTGATTGGATCCTGAAGAGGAAAAAAACACCTTTATAAAGGATATTTATTACTGGGACTACTATGGAAATTCAAAAGTGAATTTTGTATTAATAATATTTTAATACATTTCATATTTAAATTTCTTGGGTGTGCCGATGGTTTTTGGTTTAGCTCTTAGGAAACACATATTCAAGTATTTAGAGGGGTGAAGAATTAAGAAAAACCCCAAACTCCTGTCCCCAGCACATGCATCACACTCTCTGATGACATAGAACTAGGCTTTGTTTCCTATCTGGGTATATTTTAAAGCAGAACCAAAATTAGTTCTGGAGAAGAATCCTGACCCTGTTCAAAGGTCTAACTCCTCTGTGTGCAGTTGGCTGGCCTACTACTATTCAGGCAGGTGCCTTATCAGACTCTTCAATTTCAGTACAAGGATGTCACAACTCCCCTTGTCCTGCCAATTATTGGATAAGCACATGACTTTGTGTTGGTCCCTGATCTCTGGGTATCTGTCAGAGTTCGAGGCCACAGCATGGAACTCACTACCATGCAATGTGCTGAAAAATGAGTTGTGGAATATAACGTTGCTGAAAAATGGACTGGAGGAACTGCTGCCTGTTTGTTCTTCTAAATTCTCTAAACTCTATACCTATATTAGTCTTGACCAGCAGGAAGGTGCATACTTGGGTTCCTTCTTGTCACTGGCTTCAGTAGCCCTGTCACCCTCTAAGACAATACAAATTCCATTCTCAAATTACCTGGCTGGAAGATGAAGACTTTTTTCTTTCAGTCTTAGGGTCATTTTTGCTTTCTGTTTTACAGTCGTTCTTATCACTTGCTAAAGAGGCACCATCAAAACTGGATTTTGACCTAAAGAAAGAAAGTCCAGGGTGTCTATAAGATAATTTTTTTTTGAGACAGTTTTGCTCTGTTGCCCAGGCTGAAGTGCAGCAGCATGATCACGGTTCACTGCAACCTCCCCGTCCAGGACTCAAGCGATCCTCCCACCTCAGCCTCCTGAGTAGCTGGGACTACAGGTGTGTGCCACCATGCCCAGCTCATTTTTTTGTAGAGATGGGGTTTCACCACGTTGCCCAGACTGGTCTTGAACTCCCGGACTTAAGCAATCTACCTGCCTCGGCTTTCCAAAGTGCTGGGATTACAGGCATGAGTCACCACACCTGGCCTATGAGATACATTTTTCATTAATTTATTGTAATAAATCTTGATTATTATACTATCTTCTAAGAAAACCTGACATTTGTTTTTCTTTTCTGGATATCAAAAATCATTCATGATACTCTGAGAATATTTACACAGCACATGCTTTAGGACACTGCAATGATTTCATCAGGCTGTAATCAAAAACTGTAGAAATAGTAACTTACAGAGGGTGAAATAACAATCAAGTTGTGAAAATAATTACATCATTTTAAAACGAAACTATTTTAATCAGTATTTAAAAAGGAGTACTTGAGGCAAATTACTAAATAATATTGCAGCTATAGTTCAATCAAAGAATATTTTTGTTTCAGAATTCCACTAATATATAACAAGTATTAATTGAGTAGGGCATTGTATTAAATGTCTTGGGGCCCATAACACAGTTTGTATCCTTAAGGCGCCTGTGTATGCATGCATCAAACACTTTTTTAAAAAGGCAGTACATGATTTAGCACCAAAAAAAATACATATTATAGGAGTTAGGAGAAGGTATGGAGCCAATAAGTCTAACAGGAGGTAAGAGAAGAGGAAAACAGGCCGGGCACAGTGGCTCATGCCTGTAATCACAGCACTTTGGGAGGTCAAGGTGGGCGGACCACCTGAGGTCAGGAGTTTGAGACCGGCCTGGCCAACATAGCGAAATCCCATCTCTATTAAAAATACAAAAATTAGCTGGGCATGATGGTGGGCGCCTGTAGTCCCAGCTACTCGGGAGGCTGAGGCAGAAGAATCGCTTGAACCCGGGAGGCAGAGGTTGCAGTGAGCTGATATTGCACCATTGCACTCCAGCCTGGGGGACAGAGCAATATTCTGTCTCAAAAAAATAAAGTTAAATTAAAAAAAGTAAATAAATAGAAGAGGAAAACAGTAGAATAATGTGGGCTTAAAATGCTGGGCCTAACAGGATAAGCAAGAATTGGGTATGAGGAAAAGAGACAAAACATCCCAGAGTGGGAATACAATAAAAGTGAAATCAGAATAAAAAAAATGAAACCACAAAACATGTTTGAAGCCAAGTCTTCCTTTTTCCTGTTAAGCACAGAGGTCAGAGCTCCAGAGTTTCCTTCTAAGATGATTCTAGTCCTGGTTTTCCATTTTAGTGGATGTGTACATTTGTACGTAACTTCAACCCTACGGCTAAACGCAGTCATTTCAAAGTAGAATGCATAGATGATTTTTGGAGTTATATATATGAATAAGTTTTATGATTATGAAGTTGCTTTAATGTTTATTGGGAGGAAACGACACACAAAATCCATGATTTCACAATATTATTCCTTAAAATGAGGTTCAGTTAAAAAAAATTGGTTCAAAGTGGATTTAAGAACAATCTGAAGTAATTCAGGTGGTACATGGGTGTCACAGAGAAACAGAAAGGACTGAAGTTAGAGAATTATGCTCTGGTTTTCTCAGCTGTGAAAAGATGGACTATATGATGTCCTAGGCCTCTTCTAGCCACTACAGTGTATGATTCCACAATGCTGAAATCACAGGGCAAATACCCCTCAGCAGTTCAAGGTAAATGAGTTTAATTTCAGATACAGGCCATTGAAGCTATTCACAGACATAAATTCCCTGGGAATTCTAGGGATTACATTTTTTTGGAAGCTATGAAAAAACATTTGTTCTCTATTTGAAAATAAAATTATCTGTACAAATGTCAACTTGCCTTTTATTTATATTATTCACAGATTTGAATTCATCACCTCTACTGATTCCCATTAATAAATGTTAATGGAATGGGCAAGGAAATGATCCGACCTTTTGAAGATCCATGGACTGCAAGCAAATATGACGAGTAGGGTGGCTCTACCCTTGATAATTTCAAAAGGCACAAGCAATAAGGGGGTTCATCTGCATGACACTGGCCCCTGTGGACAGGGTATGTATGTATACAATATGGATTTCTTTGGGTCTTTTCAACCCTGTTATTCTCACTTCCTACAGGTGACAAGAAGCCCAGTGCAAAATGAAAATGTGGGGTCCTTTATATAAAAATTATTAATTAATTAATAAAAACAAGTAAAAATTATTAATTAATAATTTTTATATAGAGACAAAGTCTCACTCTGTTGCTGAGGCTGGAGTGGCACAATCTCGGCTTACTGCAACCTCCACTTTCTGGGTTCAAGCGATTCTTCTGCCTCAGCCTCCTGAGTGCATGCACTACCACACCCGGCTAATTTTTTATTTTTAGTAGAGATGGGGTTTCACCATGTTAGCCAGGCTGGTCTCGAACTCCTGACCTCAAGTTATCCACCCACCTCAGTCTCTCAAAGTGCTAGGATTACAGGTGTGAGCCACCGTGCCTGGCCCCCTTACATAAAAATTATTAAGCATTTCTGGATAGCAAGAGGGGAACATTAAACCAAGTGTGGGCCCTTTCCAACTGCAGGAACCGCATGCCCATGAAGTTTAGCAAGCATGCCCTGTGAGAGTGTATTATTATTACGGAAGCCTGGGGAAGTTGGAGTAAAACCAACAGTGTTTTTAAGGTGCCTGCTGTAGTCAGCCAACAGTGGTAAAAGACATGAGAAATAATGTGCCTTGTGCCTTTGTGAAGAGAAGCATTAGGTGAGGCTTTGAGGGGAAACAACTAGAGGAAAAAAAATTGTTAAAGTGAGATGCTGGCCCTTTGGGAGGCCAAGGCCGGTGGATCACCTGAGGTCAGGAGTTCAAGACCAACCTGGTCAACATGGTGAAACCCTGTCTCTGCTAAAAGTACAAAAATTAGGTGGGCATGGTGGTGCATGCCTGTAGGCCCAGCTACCAGGGTGGCTGAGGGAGGAGAATCGCTTGAACCTGGGAGGCGGAGGTTGCTGTGAGCTGAGAATGTGCCACTGCACTCCAGCCTGGATGACAGAGCGAGACTCCGACTGGAAAAAAAAAAAAGGTGAGATGCCACAAAACAGCATGCAGGAAAGATGGAGAGATAATTGGGAATTAGAGTCAGAAGAGGAAAATTTCGGGAGGAGTTAAGACTTACTCTTGGTCCTGAATGAAGCATAGATTTGGAGAGAAGATATGGGCTGGGAAGCCAGGAAGGAAGCAAAAAGCGGAGTTAATAATCTTTTAGCAAAGACCAAAAGAAGTAGAAGGTAGCAGTTCTCAAAGTTCTAATAATGGTGAAGGACCACAATGATTTCTGTACTCAGTTTAGATAAACTGCACTCACCCATCACACACTGTTGGTTTAACCGCTATCTTTTAAGTGCCCCAAAGCAACTTTAGTCTCTACCAACTTTAGTCTCTACCAAATGGTAGTTGGTGCCTCTGAGAAAGATGAGGCTACAGCTACACATCTCAAAACCACCTCTCCCCTCCGGCCCCACAACCAAACCAACCCTCCCTCTTAGTCTGTCACAGGAAACTGGTGGCCTGGTGGGTCCCCGGGATGGGGATTCTTTTCCTCGGCTTTTTTTCACGGCCCCTAGGAAAGTGAGACACCAGGTGTGCACACCCAAGGCCGGGCAGACACTCCAACCTGGCCAGCCTTCCCAGCTTTCTAAACATATGCCAGAGAGGGGTCCACCCTGGCCTCATCACTTAGCAAAATCAGCGCTTTCAGAAAGGTGCAGATGCTCTGCTGAAGGCTGGGGCAGGAGGGAGAAAAAGATGCTACCTGGGTATCAGGGAAAAATGCTCATTCTTTCTCAGGAGTATTATTTGTCTATAGTATTAATACATCCTCACTCTTAACAAAAAACCCCTGCTCCTCCTGTAACGCCTTCTCCCCAAAAGACAAAAGAGAACAAAGAGAGTCAACGGAGGACTTACCATAGGCTAATGATTTTCTTCTGGTCTGGGGAGTCCGCCTCCACAGATGGGGTAGGGGATTGGGCTGTTGGCGACCTGCAGGCTTTCTTTTTCTCCTCCACACCATTCTCAGCCTCTGAGCTGAAGAAGAAAGGAAACCGCTTCACTTTAGACATTCAGAGAGAGGTAGCTGGAAGGAAAACGATGAAGTAACATGGTTTTCTAGAGAATGGAATGATTTTCATTCCTCACTGATAGGCTAGTTAACTTTGACAGCGAGGCCCTTTCCCAATCTCCATTCTAACCCCTTGCCTGGTGTCCCAACGGCAGTAGCTGCAGGTCGCACCTGTTTCACTTGTAAATGCCAGACTGTGTGGACTTGCTGGCTCCCAGGTCTGTGCTGCCCAGCTCTGCTCTGCATGGGCTGTGCTGGGGCAGCAGATCACCTGGAGGCTGGGAGCGCCCTGCACAAGCACACACGCACATGTACACACGCTCACGTGTGGCCTCCTGCAGGTGTGAGCCTTCCTGCTGGGAACCCCCACCCCTTTTGTTTGCATTTCTCTTATGTCACTTACATGTTGTTTAACCAAGCAGTTCCCTAAGCAATTTACAGTCTCTAATCTTTACAACCACCCAGACTAGGTAGGAATTACTACCCTCATTTTACAGATGAGGAATCTGAGGCTCTTGCTATCTTGCCTAAGTTCAGAGAGCTAGCATCTATCTTACTTGAGATTCAAACTTAGTATGTCTGTCTGCAAAACCTTTGTGTTCTCTCTCTCCATTCATCCCCCCAACCACCTACTCATCCATTTATCCTCATAATTAACTCTTCAGTGTGAGAGCTCCAGGGCAGAGTGGGAATCTTACTCATCTTTGTCTTAACCACGGGGTCTAGGATAGTGTTGACTTACAGTCATGATCAATAGGCGTTGGAAAAACTAGGTCTGACCTTGGTAAAAGAGAAGGTGGAAGGGAGTAGAGGGGAAGGTGAGTCAAGAAGGTTTGTGCATAGAACCAACAAACAGAGGACAACCAGCTTGGGGGATGCAGAGGTGAGTTCCCTCAGTCGGCCGGTGAAGATCTCTTGGGAAGCAGGGGAAACCACTTCCAATGGGAAAGTGGGAAAGGAAGGGATGTTGAAGGAAGAATACAAAATGTTATTTATGGATCAGAACTTCTTTGGTGTGTCAGCTCAGTAAAACACAAACGATACTTCTGAGGATGTGAGGACTCCATGGAGACTGAGCCTAAAGAAAGACATGTTAAGATGGCATTGCTATGAGAGATTAGCTAATCTTCACTTTCATTTACCACCTATTTGGTAGTCTCACCTGCATATGACTGTGCAGGCAGGAAATGCCACTGGATAGTTTAAGCTGTGTGGTTGCTTTGCTGATCACTTTTCACAGCATATGAAAATTGCAGCCTAGGCGAGGAGTCCTATTGTAGTGTCAGAATCAAGGCCAGTATATCTGACAAGGGTATCTAACTAATAACACCCACAGATGGTTGATGCTCTTTTTTTTTTTTTTGAGATGGAGTTTCACTCTGGTTGCCCAGGCTGGAGTGCAGTGGCACGATCTCGGCTCACTGCAACCACTGCCTCCTAGAGATTCTCCTTCCTCAAGATTCTCCTGCCTCAGCCTCCCAAGTAGCTGGGATTACAGGCGCACGCCACCATGCCTGGCTAATTTTTGTATTTTTAGTAGAGACGGGGTTTTGCCATGTTGGCCAGGCTGGTCTCGAACTCCTGACCTCAGGTGATCTGCCCACCTTGGCCTCCCAAAGTGCTGGGATTACAGGCGTGAGCCACTGCACCCGGCCAAATGGTTGACGCTCTTAATTTTGTGGTAAGCATTTCTCTTTTCCTAGTAGATACATATCTGAGGACAGAGGTCCAACCTTCTATTTCTTCAATTTTTCTCCAAGTACTTAAAACAGTTACATACATTAAAAGGGCTCAGTCCATAACAGAATTGCATTATGTGACAAAGGTACATGGAAGGCTGAGGCATTGAAATATTATTAGGAAAACCCTGTTTTGGTTTAAAATAATAATTGGACTTTATTAAACTTAGCACCAAGTTTAATTTGTGGACTCAAAGAATTTTAGAATAGTTAAGAGGCCTTAAAGCACATCTCTGCCTTTTTTCGCTTCCCCCAAGACACAAACACATTATCTCTTTTCTTCAACAGATTCAGGCAGAAATCTACTTGAGAAGCCCTCTTTAAGTAGAGACTGGGTATAGAACTTCAATAATCCATCTCAACATTTATTCAGATATTTACTGGATTTTATGCAGGATCAGATGAAGACTTAGAGGGAGAGCTGGAGCTGTCCTATACAGCATCTTTGTGTACAGAGAGCCACTCTGCAAAAGGTGCTCCTGGCAGAGATAAGGTGCTTCTTGCTCTTGGCAGAAACAGCCCAGCACCAAGGTCAGAAGGCAGCAAAACTGAGGCTAGATTTCAGCTCCTCTTTGACCCTGACCCATCTTGGTCAGGCATTTGTGTGCAGTGCAGGTGACTTAAGTGCTTAACCACATAAGGTGGTCCTGTTTCGGGACCCCTAGCTTAGCACTGAAAAGATTACAGTGCATGCCTCTATATTGTCCTACTAAAACAATGTCTTTCAAGGATGGAACATACAGTGTACTCAAAGTAGCTTTTTTCTACATACTCTCCACTTCACTTCTCCTTCAACTTGTGTCTTGTCTTCAGCACTGGTTCTCTCCTTGAAGGCCCTAGCCAGGGGACACATCCTCCACACTGCTTAAAAGTCTCTATGCTGCCTGCTGATTTTATAACTCACTAGGCATCTAATTAATTAATACCTTGTACTGGTACCTTTTCTCCCAAAAATCTTAGTTATCCAGCACTAAACCAAGTTCCTTAAAGGCAGGGAATGTCTGGTTTTTTTCCACAGCACTCAGCTCAGCATTTGCTCACAGTGGTCATTTATACGTTCAATGATATGGATTAATTATGTAGTATCTCAAAGAGGAAGTGAAATTCATCTACGAGTCAATTTGATCTTAGGTTTTTGCTTAAAGATGCTACAGGCTCAAGCAAGTTAATTCCTCACACAGGCAAGATTATTCCTGCAAGCGTCCCTTACCTTGGAGGTCTTGTCAGCAGCAGACTGAAACTATGTAGAATTCAAGCAGCAGAGGCTAGCGTGTGTTTGAGTGAGCAGCGTGGGAGGGGAAATGGAATGCTTCCTCAAGGCCTTTTGGAAACTTTTAAGTTACTGTCAATGAAGCTGAACCAGGCCACTTAGTAACTTTAAAGTTACGGTCAACGAAGCTGAACAGGTTTCATTTAAATCATGAAAATAAGGAAATCAGTTTTTATTTATTTTTTAACCAGAAGACAAAGCCCTGTTACGGACTTTGACTAAAAGAGTCAACTGAAAAAACAAACCAAAAAACCAATCCTCCTTTTTCAACAAATATTTACTGGACTTGTCCCTGTTGTCAGGGTGCTCAGAGCTTTGTAGATGAGACAGGTAAGTGAGCTGGCAGGTGTAAGTATCCACAGAAGCAGTAGAAAATGCTGGAGACACAGGACCAACCTTTACTTGGCCTTGGCAGGTTATTTCTCCTCCCATCTCCAACCCACTTTAAGCATCAGTTATGGTCCCTGCCTGAAAGGCTTTTAGTAGAAATTTCAAAGCAGTGAGACAGTCATGCTTATAACAACTAAACCTGACTTCACCTATTAGGGGAGAGCATTTTTATTTTTATTTATTTATTTTTTTGAGATGGAGTTTCACTCTTGTCACCCAGGCTGGAGTGCAATGGCGTGATCTCTGCTCACTACAGCCTCCACCTCCCAGGTTCAAGTGATTCTCCTGCCTCAGCCTCCCGTGTAGCTGGGATTACAGGTGCCTGCCACCATGTCTGGCTAATTTTTGTATTTTTAGTAGAGACGGGGTTTCGCTGTGTTGGCCAGGCTGGTCTCGAACTCCTGGCCTCAAGTGATCCACCTGCTTCGGCCTCCCAAAGTGCTGGGATTACAAAGCATAAACCACCATGCCCAGCCAGGGAACAGCATTTTTATTACTGGCTAGGACAATCTTGTTTCAATAAAACACTGCCACACACTGTTACACAATTTATACATACAAAAACAGGTTGTACAATCCCTATCAGCCATCTAATATTTGTCACTTCCCAGACATCATTAGTTTGATGATGACTTAAATTCTCATTTCACAATTTTTCAGAATTAGAACTCTTATGTGGAGTCAAGTATCATTCCTGCTGGAGATAGTCTCTGTGAGTTTCAGCTAAACTCAATACACCTTTCTCTTGTCACATCACTGGCCCTTTGCCGCTCCTGCTGGGAATGTATTGTATTCAGGCACATCACATGCAAGTCCAGGTAAATAAGTAGCTGAAGGTAGAAGCTATGATTCAGCTGTGTCTCAGGTGAAGGAAAACAAGTGTTTCACTGTGGTTCAGTCCAAGAAGGTGTGTTCCCTTCTAATTACAGTGATGAGTCCCTGTGTTTGAGTCTACCCACATGTTAATCTAAGCTAAAGGCATAAAAAAAATCACTAAGCTTCCTTATGGTAGTAGAAGTAGAGGTAGTTTTACATCTACAATTATTTTTTAAAAAGTCTCTGATCATTTTAAAGCCACAGTCTTGATCAACAAAGGTTTAGAAGTGTCTGAAGATAGGATATGTTTCATCAGAGGGTCTTCATAGAATAAATGCCTGGCAATGGGATTGCTGTGGTCATGGGTGGGTCTGTGAAAGTAGAGTGTTCCTGAAACTGTAGTGAAAACCATGTTGGCACCTGGATTCACCAAGATCTGGGGCCTCATAGACGCTTGTTTTTGGAGTGCTGCCTATTCAGTGGCTCCGTGGCTGGCAGACACAGGCCACGATACTTGGGAAGCAAAGAGTTGGGCTATAGAGATGGAAGAGGGCTGGACAGCAGCCATAGTACAAATAAAGAGAGGCCTCACAGTGACCAAAAGAAGGAAATAGAATGGAGTGCGGAAGTGCAGGAGTGAGCAATGGAGACAGGATGGCTGGGAAACCCTTTAGCTTTTCCAATTTCATAAACTCAGAATCTCCCAAACTAGATTTTTACAAGTCAAGAAGAATGATCTTCCATTTACAATTCTGATACATATATTTTTGTTTGGACAACTATAAATTTCATTTATCTGTCTACATATTTATTTCTGAATAGGCACTATAAGCATAAGTATAAAATTTAAAAGTTACAAATGGAAAAACAAATTTTCTTTTTACCCCTGTTTCATGGTGACCCAGTTTCTCTCCACAAAGGCACCTACTCTTCCCAGCAACTTGTGTGTCCTTCCTGGGAGAGACTGTGCGTATGTAAACGTGTGCATTTTTGAACCACAAATGATAGACAGCATGCTATTCTGCACCTTGCTTTTTTTTTAACTTATTTTATCTTGGTGTTCTTTCAGTACCCATAGATCTTCCTCATACTTTTTAATGACTGCATAAAGTTACATCGTAAGGATGAAATGTTATTTAACCAGTTCCTTACTGATGGGGCATGTAGGTATATTTCAGTCTTTTGCAAATACTAACAACATTGCAACAAATGTCCTTATATGTTTATTACATGTGTGAATAATTTTCTGGAAATGGAACTGCTGTGTCAAAAGGTATGATAGAAAAAATGTTACAGCTATTGCCAAATTGCCCTCGGTAGACATTTTGTGATGCATACCCAAATATTCAACAGTGTCTATATCTTCTCACTAATAAAGTGTTAGCCTTAAAAATATTTATATTTTGAAGTACCTAGCATAATAGCTGGCACACAAAATAACAATCATCATTTTAATCGTGACTAGCGCTAAACTTTTTGATCTTTGCAAATGTAAAAGGTTAAAAAATATTCCACTACAGTTTCATTTGCATTTTCTTCTTAAGAGTAAAGCTGAGTGTATTTTCATATATTTAAGCACTTATTAAAATTTTTCTTGTTTTGTGAATTAGCTGTTTGTATGTACATTTTGCCAATTTATCTAATGGGTTGTTGATTGAAACATTTAGTATAAATGATTCTTATCATAATTGCTTCACAGATTCTTAGTAACATCCTATAGTTGACTTTTAAAATAAATAATCTTAAGCATTTAGAAAAGTTAAGTGGAAGCCAGGTATGGTGGCATGTGCCTGTAGTTCCAGCCACTCTGGAGGCTAATGTGGGAGGATGGACTGAGGCCAGGAGTTTGAAACCAGCTTGGGCAACATAGAGAGACCCCATTTCAAAAAAAAGTTAAGTGGATATTAGCGGCTGGCATGACATTAAAATAAAATATTAATGACAACTAGTTTTGTTGTCGATAGATTTATTAGCAGATAGATAAAAGGAGTGTCAAAAATATAGTATTCTCTAATTTCAGCAAAACCGTCAATGAAATGTGAAAGGCTTTCAGTTCAGGATGGAGAATGGGAGCACAAATGTTTGCTTCTCCTTTCTTTCTAAGGTCTTTAAAATGAATATGTACAAAAGAAGTGATAATCCTGCTACAATAATGGAGGGAAACCATCAACAGAAGACTGATTTCTGAAACTTTCTGAAATATGGAAAAACGGAAAGCGGAAAGTAAAGTACAATATTTACTCATGCAGCAAAGCAAGGGAAGCCATAATCTTGAATATAGGCATCAACGGGGGATAAGAAAACACCGACCCGTTTGTCAGAAGTCCAGTGAGGTGCTACAGGAGGAGTGGGTGAGAAGTTTCCGAAAACACTAGATTTAATTAAAGATGTGGCTGTGAGAAATCTTGACACTTCCTCCTCACTCGCCCTGGCTCAGACCCAAATTACAGGCAGTTAATAGGGAAAAGCATCAGAGGGGTCATTGCTAAAATAACTGAACAACTTGGGTGCAGGAAACTGTGGTAACTAGTTATATATAACCGTGGCAGCTAGTTATATACAACCGTGGTAGCTAGTTATGGAGCCCCAGAGTAAATCCTCATCCTTCCATTTTGAATATGGTAGTCCCAGGAAAAGTGCCAACTCCCTATCCATGAACGTACAAAGATGAGGAGCAGCTACTCCAGTCCCTTATTATTTTTTCTCTAGCCCCTCATTCTTTTTTTTTTTTTGTTTTGAGATGGAGCCTTACTCTGTCGCTCAGGCTGGAGTGCAGTGCAGTAACGCAATCTTGGCTCGCTGCAACCTCTGCCTCCCAGGTTCAAGTGATTCTCTTGTCTCAGCCTCCTAAGTAGCTGGGATTACAGGCGCACAACACCATGCCTGGCTAATTTTTATATTTTTCTTAGAGACAGGGTTTCACCATGTTGGCCAGGCTGGTCTTGAACTCCTGACCTCAAGTGATCCACCTGCCTTTACCTCTCAAAGTGCTAAGATCATAGGCACAAGCCACTGTGCCTGGCCCAGTCCCTCATTCTTAAATATGAAATAACAACCAAGGATTGCCATTTCTTTGAAGAAAACTTGAAGTCTGAAAGAAAAGACCAAGATGAACCAACAAGAAAGTAAAATCCCAGGGAAACTGGCTTTAGTGAACAGATGAAAACAAAAGACAAATATGCAAACAAGAAAAACAAAATCTAAATCCTATGAATTAATGTCTTCAGAGAAAGAAGGTAGCACCCATGAAAAAGAATCACAATGTTATGGAGAAGGAAACCCTACTTATCCCCCAATTTTTTCAGAGTCCAAATCCTTGCAATAGCCTATCAGGCACTTCAGGACCTGACCCACACACCTCCCCGATCCTCTCTTCTCCTTCCCTCACCCTAGTCCAGCCCCACTCCAAGCCCCCATGAGAAACCTGTGCCCTAGTGTTCCCTCTGCCTGGGATGCTGTACCCCAGTTAGCCAAGTGACTCTCTCCCTTTAAGATTTAACTTGAATGTCACCTTCTCAATGATATATATACAATTTTTTTCCCCCCGAGACAGAGTCTTGCTGTATTGCCCAGGCTGGAGTGCAGTGGTGCAATCTTGGCTCACTGCAACCTCCGCCTCCCAGGTTCAAGTGATTCTTCTGCCTCAGTCTCCTAAGTAGCTGGGATTACAGGCACGTGTCACCATGCCTGGTTAATTTTTGTATTTTTAGAGGCAGGGTTTCACTATGTTGGCCAGGCTGGTCTTGAACTCCTGAGCTCAGGTGATCTACCTGCCTGGGCCTCCCAAAGTGCTGGGATTACAGGTGTGAGCCACAGTGCCTGGCCAAGACCTATATATTTAACCAAAAGAGATAAAGCATTAAGGGACCAAAGTAAGATAGCATCAAGATACCAAAATTCAAAAACAGAATAGGTATAAGAGGGAAAAACATGACATGTGTCAGCCAGGTACTTCTTTTTTTTTTTTTTTTTTTTTTTTTTTTTTGAGACGGAGTCTCGCACTGTCGCCTCTGCTGGAGTGCAGTGGCGCGATCTTGGCTCACTGCAAGCTCCACCTCCCACATTCATGCCATTCTCTCGCCTCAGCCTCCCGAGTAGCTGGGACTACAGGCGCCTGCCACCATGCCCAGCTAATTTTTTGTATTTTTAGTAGAGACGGGGTTTCACCGTGTTAGCCAGGATGGTCTTGATCTCCTGACCTTGTGATCTGCCTGCCTTGGCCTCCCAAAGTGCTGGGATTACAGGCGTGAGCCACTGTGTCCGGCCTCAGCCAGGTACTTCTATATCAAATGGATAGGCATTCTAAACTGAAAAAGAGAGCAGACATTATTAAAGAAAAAACAAAGGGGGAGGTAAAATGGCAGCGGTTACTAATTTCTTACCCTAAAAAGTGGGGAGTCAAAGTGATTTCATTAGAAATTTATGTTGCTGTATTACTTAAAAGAGGCAATAAACAAATGCATGAAAATAGGAACTAGAAAGATACGCCTGTTAAAAGGAAGAGAGGGAAGGAGGGAGTTAGTATAAGGGAGTTGATTCTTTTCCATCAAAACAGGAAGTTGAGAGATAAGGTTTAATACTGATAAACAAAAAGAGCAAGATACACACATTTTTACAGATAATGAAGTAACCACTACACTAAAACTGGGTACAGTTAGAAGTGGTAGGCTGGGTATGGTGGCTCACTCCTGTAATCCAGCACTTTGGGAGGCTGAGGTGGGAGGATCACTTGAGCCGCAGTTTGACACCAGCCTGGACAACATAGGGAGACCCCATCTCTACAAAAAAAAACAAAAAATTTAGCCGGGTATGGTGGTGTGCACCTGTGGTTCCAGCTGCTCAGGATGCTGAGGTGGGAGGATCACTTGAGCTCAGGGGTTCGAGGCTGCAGTGAGCCGTGATTGTGCCACTGCACTTTACCCTGGGTGACAGAGTGAGACCCTGTCTCAACAACAAAAAAAGTGGTAGCTACTGAGGGGGCAGATAGGGGATGGGAGAGGTGGGATTGAGCTCATTATACAATTTTAATGAATTATATTATTTTGGTAAGCATTTAAACAATTTTAAAAGTTTTATTCATATCCTTGTAGCAAAGATGTGAGATACAGAGTGGATAATAAAAATCAGTGGATTTACTATCTTCAAATGTTTGAGCTGTTACTATGTGTAAAACCTAATACCAGATTTTATGTTCTCAAAGGATTTAGGCTTTATTGGGAACTTAAGTTCAGTACATAAACACAGAACAATACATGTCATAAAGGATATTGTGTCATAAAGAAGGTGTCTAAGGAATTCAGAAACCTCTTCTAATTGTAAAGAGGAGACTCAGAGAAGTTGTGTGGAAGAAATAAGCATGACACCCTTGTGTATGGGGAGGGCACTATGTCTTTTCTAGTTAAGTAGAAAAATATTATAGCTGTCAGAAATATATTTCAGTACGAGAAACTAGAAATGTAAATTATATTTCTATTTGTTATATAAAACAGTAAAAATAAAACAGTCCTTTGGATTGGAGAAATCAAAACTTTCATTACTGCATCACAGCCATTGGTGCTACCTCTCTGTCCAAAGAAACACTGTAGTTATACAATGATTATTGTGGAAGGATTGAGATTTGTGCTGGATACATACAATTTGGAGTCAGAGATGCCATAAGGTCATGAGAAACACAAGGAAAGGCAGAAGCACAATATGCAGACAAGGAAAAGTCACTCTCACAAGGAAATCCAACAGTTTGTTTTTTTTTTCTGAAGTACAGGCAGCAGGAAGAAGCAGAAATTAAGTTGTGAAGTTTGACTCCTAATGAGGGAAGGCTACTTTTAGACTTCATTTGACTGGTGGTAGGTATTAATTGAAGATTTTTAAACAGAAGGAATAAAATGACAAGATATTAAATGCCCACCTTTTATACATCATGGACCTGATGAGCTATGGGCTTCTGGAGGACTATATTCCTATTTGTACAAGAACAAGGGAGGGTGGAAGCTGGAGACAAGAGAAAACAGAAAGGCAGGTAGGGAGTGAATCTGAAGGCAAGAAGCAGACACTGCGTTGGAGGGAAAATCCAGAGACAACATTGGAATGATTAGGGAGAGCACGCAATGGAGAGGAACATCCAAGAACACCAAGGTTATCTGGGGGATGGAGAGGATGGCATTGCCACTAACAGTTACAGGGAACACAAGAGAAATTGTAGTTTGGTGGGAAGGATTTTGTAAATTTAGTTTTAGACATAATAGATGTATATTGATAGCAGGTAGAAAACTGTATCTAAAAAAACCAAAGGAGCCCCAAATAGGTCAACAATAAAAAGAATATCAGATTTTGCAGAGGAGGGGTTCCGCCAGTTTGGAAACTAATTCCACTGAGTCTCAAGCACACTGCTGTAGCAAAAATGAATACCTAAACACCAGCAGCAATAGCAGGGCTAGAGAAATGGTTTAGCAGAGGCCACCATCTGGCTCCAGTAACCTCTTTAATATGGTCTCAAAGAAGACCCCTCTGTTCTCATGAAAGTGGACAAGTCATTGTCCCATGAACAATCATGTGATTCATTCCTGCCTCTATATCTACTCCTAATTCTGTTTTCCTAAAATATTATGTCTCTTTGAAAGCCTAAGGCAACTCATATAACTCCAAAAAGCAATTAATTGTTAAGATTCTGATTTTGGAGAGACAGAAACCCAACTCAAACTAGCTTGATTTTTTAAAAAAGCAACCAAACAGCTCCCAAGGGCTTTTGTCACTGCTTTAAGACAAAGTCAACAGTGGACAGTGGGTGCAGCTGCAGTGATTTCCCTTCCACCCTTGGAACGCACAGCAATGATCTCTAGGATCTTCCTCTCCAAGATTCTGGGACATCAATGTGCGATTCATCCTCCTGAGACACGGCCTCCATTATGTCATGCCACTGCTCCAGAGTTAACAATGCCTTTCTATTGAGCACCAGATCGAGGCATCTGGACACGAGCCAAGACCCTCCAGTTTTGCAATCTCCCTCTTCTTTTCAAAAGGAATTCTCTGTTCCAGCCATGTTGGTCGTCTTACCTTGGCCGCACTTATATCATGTTCTGTCCTTCCTCTATGTGTTGATTCTCAGTTCTCTGCTCCCTCCTCTCTACACACAGGAACCCATCATACCAGATTCTGAACAAATCCAATTACATTCCCACTTTTATACTGACTTCCATCTCTTTATTATCAATAATATAAGAAATTATGCAATTAATACTTATTGCCTAGACATCTATTTGCAATACAGGAAAACAATTAGCATTTTAAAAAGGGCTTGGGCTTAAATTTTATCTCAAAACCTACCTCATGAACTCCTTCCCAAGTGTGGCTGACAAGTTTTGGAAGAGGGGGTGGGAGCAAGAGAAAAAGGCCAGTCTTTTAATTTTCCCCACTGCTGAATTGGCATTGTGTGCAAACTTATTTTTTCAAACTGATTATTAGTTAGATGAGTAATAATTTGAAACCATATGGAAACTTGAAAAGACTGTTTTCATCAAACTAACTTCACAGCAGTAGCATTTTGAGGCCAAGCACAGTTGGAAAATAACAAAGTAAATTGTAAAATGCAGCAAGGAGGTAGCAATGGACTTTTCTAGTTTCCAGCCAAGGAAGATTGATGCTGCTGATAGTGAATTCTCCTTTGTTATTTACAGCCTCAGTGCATGAATGCTATTTTGCATTGCATAATAAACTTCCTAAAAACATATACTGAATATATCTCCTCCAAACTAGACTATAACCTTTTTAGGGGCAGGGACTTTAAGCATTTTTTTGAATTTCTGTCTTCATTCCTTTTTTTTTTTTTTTTTTTCTTTTAAGATGGAGAAGATGGAGTCTTGCTCTGTTGCCCAGGCTAGAGTGCAGTGGCGTGATCTTGGCTCATTGCAACCTCCACCTCCTGGGTTCAAACAATTCTCCTGCCTCAGCCTCCTAAGTAGCTGGGATTACAGGCATGTGCCATCATGCCCAGTTAATTTTTGTATTTTTAATAGAGACAGAATTTCACCATGTTGGCCAGGCTGGTCTTGAACTCCTGACCTCAGGTGATCTGCCCACCTTGGCCTCATATCTTCGTTCCTTTTTGGGGCTCTTCTCCACCAGCAATTGGATGTCACAATGAGCCACTTTTCATATACCTAAGATATATTAGAGGATATCTATTTGATTAAGGTTTTTTGTTCTGAAGACTGTGTTTAGGAAAGAACTAGTTTTTAACTAGAATGAAAAGCTTACCCAAACAAAAAGATAGAAATGCAAAAGAATAGGGCATAAAGTCCAGAAAAACATACTTAGAGAAACTGAAATTTTTCATTACTTAGTGAGGTCTATCATAAAGGAAACCAATTTGGAACCTCATGTTAAAGGAACAGAAGATCAAAGAGAGAACAAAACTGTGAGGATGAGAACTTCAGGCAAGAGTCATAAAAGGTTCTACTACTAGTATACAAAGGAGGAGAAAGGAAAGAACTGACTTATATATCAGGAATGCCAAGGAGAAGTGGTGTCTGTAGTATGAGAACTGCCAGGAGAGTAGAATGATAAGGAATAGAGTGGCTGAGGGGCTAGACTTACTGATGGACGGATAAGGGTGCTTCTGAATTTAGGGAATAAAAGGCCCTGCCATGGTTTCCTGAGATGTGACAGTTTATGAACCTGATACTCAGGAGAAAAGTATTGTCTATTTTTTGATAGATGGGTATTGCAAGAGAGTAATGTCAGGGAAACCAGGTGCTATGGTCTGAATGTTTGTGTCCACCAAACATTTACATGTTGAAATTCTAACCCCCGAGGTGAAGGCATTAGGATGTGGGGCTTTTGGGAGGTGATTAGATTATGAGGGTAGAGCCCTCATGAATGGGATTAATGCCCTTGTAGGGAGCTCATTAGTCCCTTCCACCACATGAGGATCCAACAAAATACAGCCATCCATGAAACAGCAAATGTGCCCTCACCAGACACTGAATTTGTTGATGACTTGATCTTGAACTTCCAGCCTCCAAAACCATGAGAAATAAATTTCTGTTGTTTACAAGAATGTCAGTCCATTTGCATTGCTATAGAGATATACCCAAGACTGGGTAATTTATAAAGAAAAGAGGTTTAATTGGTTCACAGTTCTGCAGGCTGTCTAGGAAGCATAGTGCCGGCATCTGCTTCTGGTCAGGGCCTCAGGGAGCTTACAATCGTGGTGGAAGGCGAAGGGGGAGCAGGCACATCCCATGGTGAGAGTGGGAGCAAGAGAGAGAGAAGGGGAAGTCCAAGACTCTTTCAAAAAACCAGATCTCATATTAACTAACTGAGTGAGAATTCACTTATCACCAAGGGGATGGTGCAAACCCATTTGTGAAGGATCCACTGCTGCGATCCAATCATCTTCTACCAGGTCCCGCCTCTGACACTGGGAATCACACTGGAACATGAGATTTGGAGGGGACAAATATCCAAACCATATCATTCTGCCGCTGGCCCCCCACATCTCGTCCTCACATTGCAAAATACAATCATACTTTCCCCAAAGTCCCCAAAAGTCTTAACTTGTTCCAGCATCAAGTCTAAAGTCCTAAGTCTCGTAAGAGACTCATCTCCTACCACTAATGAGCCTGTAAAATAAAAAAAGTTATTTACTTCCAAGATACAATGGTGGTACAGGCACTGGATAAACATTCCCATTCCAGAAAGGAGAAGTCGGCCAAAAGAAAGGGGAAGCAGGCCCCACACAGGTCTGAAACCCAGCAAGGCAGTCATTAAGTCTTAAAGCTCCAAAACAATCTCTTTTGAGATTGTTTACACCATGCTTCCTGTATAGCCTGCAGAACTGTGAACCAATTAAACCTCTTTTCTTTATAAATCACCCAGTGTCAGGTATTCTTTTATAGCAATGCAAATGGACTAACATACTTGTAAACAACAGAAATTTATTTCTCATGGTTTTGGAGGCTGGAAGTTCAAGATCAAGTTATGGAGCTCACTGGTGCAAGGAGTGGGCTCCCAAGGCCTCGGACAGTTCTGCCTCTGTGGCTTTGCAGGGTGCAGCCTCGCTGGCTGCTCTCACGGGTTGGAGTTGAATGCCTGTGGGTTTTCCAGATGTAGGGTGCAAGCTGCCAGAGGCTCTACCATTCTGGGGTCTGGAGGACAGTGGCCCCCTTCCTACAGTTCCACTAGGCAGTGCCCTGTTGGGCACTCTGTGTGGGGGCACAACCCCATATTTCCCCTCAGCACTGCCCTAGTAGAGTTTTTGTGTTGGCTACGCCGCGCGACAGGCTTCTGCCTGGGTATGTAGGCTTTCTGAAATATCCTCTGAAATCTAGGTGGAAGTTGTCAAGACTTCTTCACTCTTGCATTCTGTGTGTCTGCAGGATTAGCACCCCATGGAAGCCACCAAGGCTTACAGCTTGCACCCTATGGAGTGGCAGCCCGAGCTGTACCTGGGCCCCTTTGAGCTGACGCTAGAGCCAGACTGGCCGGGACAGAGTGAGCAACATTTTTTTTTTTTTTTTTTTTTTTTTTAACAGCAGGCTGGATGGACTGTCACTGGTTTTAGAGGTTATCTTCTAGGACAGAGAATGAATGAAGGCCAGGTGACGGGTGAGAAAGGAAATGGGAGGAGTCAGAAATGATAACCCAGAGTGAGGCATTGCTAGTAAACTTCACAGCAGAATGTTTCATTACGTTAATACAAATTCCCCTTGAATTACACTTCAAATCTCTTGTCTGACCTTACAAAAATTATGTTTATGCTGATATGCTAATAAATTTTATCCAGAGAGAGAGAGAGAATATATTATGCTAGAAATACATGTATTTGGTCAGAAGAGAATTTTTTACCTGTTAATAGTGCAATAACCTTTTAGGTTAAAACAGACAAAAACCAGGGCCATTAGAAGCCGACTTAGAAGAGAGAAATGTTCACTTTTGTTTTGAGGCACCCCTCTCCACCCCCGTGGAGACGAGCTGTACTACTCTGGCCCTCAGCTAAGCCCCTGAAAGAAGAGCTGCCTCTTACCACTCTGGCATCTACGATAACTACAGCTCTTTCTTTCCTCCTATACCCTTCATTTCCTGTAACTCTGTCTTCTGTTTCATGTAGGAGGAAAAAAAAAAAGAGATCAAAAGCCAGAGAGAGCTTAAAAGACCAAGTACATGGGCATTGTAGCAGAGTTAAAAGTTACTACGGGAGTCCAAAATAGTTCCAGAAACCTGTCGCTTTGTTTCTCCCTCACTCAAACTCTGCATTGCTACTTCCTCAGTCTCCTGTGTTCTGATCTTACAGTGCAGAGCCACACACATATGAGGACAGAGTAGGGTGTTCACAGGATGTGACACACAGGACTCTCCCAGAGGCCAGGTTTCGGTCTCATGCCATATCCCACCAAGTGAATCAACACGGGCATCAGCAGCACACGTGAAAATTCTCTTTGCTTAAATGCCAAGTATTATTACAGCTCAGGATTCTTTTTCTAAAAAAAATTAATGGGACTCAACTTCTAGAGAAGAAAGACACTGTCACTTTAAAAAAGTGGAATATATCTATATATTGGTGAAAGCAGTTTTATGTAAAAGGCTTTGATTTAACCAAAACACCCTCATATTAGACATACGTAAGGAAAAAGAAGCTCATGATATCCCATGGCGAAAAATAAGAGAGTATAGTTTTAGTATTTCAGATTGTGAGGTTTCAAAGGTGTTAATCTACCTAAGGATGTAAATGTCTCTTATCTGTATTTGGCTTTCCTTAGAAGTTATCCATGTGGTTTGTCATGTTAGTGTCAACAATATAGAATTATTCCATATTGTTATTATGTAAAAATATACATGATTTTAATTACAACTATCAAGATATGGAATAATTGTGGAACTAGTGATAGCTCCTCACTGCTGTTAAAATGTTTACCCCAATATTTTAAATATAACTAACTTTTACGGGATAGAAGAATTAGATTGAATATAATTTGTACATGACAGTACCACTTTCAAGGAAATAAGCAGTGGATCTAAAAGATTTTAATTTTATATTTGACATCTTTATTTACTGTCCTTAATTTCTCCCACCACAAATATGCATTTTCTCTATCTGGACTTGAAACGCATCGCTTTGGAAAACACATCTCTGCCTCTTCCCTCTTCCTTGCCACTCCTTTCTACTGGATTTCCCGGATGACTTTATATTTGCATGGTGCTTTGCCGTTCAAAAAGCATTCATACCCGTGACACCATGATACCACACTAACCCTCATGCAGGCATGAAAGACAGGTGTGTTAGACAGGTGTTTGAGGCCGGCATGTAAGACAGGTGTTATCCACATTTCACAAATAAGGAAACAAAGATGAGTTCGCTGAGGGCCCACACAACTCCAATCTTAGTGACTGAAGCCTCTATTACTCTCATACTATGACTAGCCTTCTCTTTCCAAGCCCGGTCAGACACCAAGACCTGTAGACTTTACCTCCTTAATATTTTCCAGTTAAGTCCCCTCTTTTTCTTTCCCTAATTTGGTTGGCTTAGCTAGGGTCCTTAATGCCTCCTGCCTGGACCACTATACCTCCCTACCTCATTTGAGTTATATGTGACCCCTCCTCCTTCCATCTATATGGAAGATCACTGTGCTCTGTGATCTTTGTAAAGCCCAAATATGATCATATCATTCCTTCTCCTCCTTTAAAACCCCTTTGGTTCTCTGTTGCCTACAGGATAAAGCTGAAGATGAGTACAGAAAACAGGTCCTCTGCAATGTGAAGCCTCCCTTTCTGGCTTTGAACCTCTTGTCATGCTGCCCCCAAGCACCCTCCTCCTGGGCTGCCATGCCTTCTCTGTGGTCCCTTGCAAGCACTGTTTATCTTTCAAGATTTAGCTCTTGATGGGGTCACCTCCTACCTGGCAACTTCCCCAACCCCCTCTAGGTCCTAAGGACTGACCTCTTCTTCTTTGTGCTCCTTTCCAGTACCCTGTGACTGTCATGGCAACTGTATCACTTTAGTATGTGGTTTATTTAAAAATTATAAATGGGGTCAGGTGCTGTGGCTCACACTTGTAATCCCAGCACTTTGGGAGGCTGAGGCGGGTGGGTTACTTGAGGTCAGGAGTTTGAGACCAGCCTGCTCAGTGAAACCCTCTCTCTACTAAAAAATACAAAAATTAGCTGGATGTGGTGGTGCATGCCTGTAATCCCACCTACTTGGGAGGCTGAGGCAGAAGAATTGCTTGAACCTGGGAGGCGGAGGTTGCAGTAAGCCGAGATCATGCCACACTGTGCTCCAAACTGGGCAACAGAGTGAGACTATTTTTTAAAAAAAAAAAAAATTATAAATGGGCTACTGTTTACTTGTCTTTGCCCTGCTTTGACCATATGCCTCTGGAGGGCAGGATCCTGGTCTTTTCACATCTCTGTATCCCCACAAAAAGGTTCAATTCATTTACCTTAAGGACTTCATGTTCCTTAAATCAGCTCTAAAGGCCAGGCTTTCTGATCTCTTTCTTTTTTTTTTTTTTTCTTTTTTTGAGACGGAGTCTTGCTCTGTCGCCCAGGCTGGAGTGCAGTGGCACGATCTCGGCTCACTGCAAGCTCCGCCTCCCGGGTTCACGCCATTCTCCTGCCTCAGCCTCCTGAGTAGCTGGGACTACAGGCGCCCGCCACCACGCCCGGCTAATTTTTTGTATTTTTTTAGTAGAGACGGGGTTTCACCGTGTTATCGAGGATGGTCTCAATCTTCTGACCTCATGATCTGCCCGCCTTGGCCTCCCAAAGTGCTGGGATTACAGGCGTGAGCCACTGCGCCCGGCCTAGGCTTTCTGATTTCTAGCCCAGGGCCCATTTTGGCTACACCAGACAGTATAAATAGCAATAGGAATGGATGTACTTCACTTGGAATTCCTGGGCTTGGGAAAACTGGCATGGGAAAGGCCAGGAGTTTTCTGCTGGGGTTTGGATCCTCTTCTGGAACAACCCCCCATAATTCAGTAGACTAAAGTACTGAGGGTGCTTTTGGTGAGGCAACCGCCTGCCCTTCCAATTCCTTCAGACAAAGATTAGACAGATGGATCCTGTGAAGGTTATGGCGAAAGAAGGAACATTTCCATCGAGGGAGCTTTACCATTTCTTCCCACGAAACTAGGTGAAAGGTAGTGGAGTCTGCCTAGTTACTGAGGCCAAATGATCTCATAATTACTGCTGGGAGGGGCCGTCATGCCTTAGTTTGCTTTACTTTGCTAGAGTGTAAAGGGTAATGCTTAGATATTAGATTCCAAGAAACGGAAAGGAAAGAGGATTGCTTTCCTTCATTTTATGCCTTCTTGGAAATGGAGAAGTTTCCAGGAGAAGAATCTGTATTCCATGGTCTGTGGCTTCCTAAGAGTAGCTCAAGTCCCAGTTTCTGGGAGTGGCATCTTCATAAGGATGTTTATCATATTTCAGTGTCTTAGTAAGGGCCCCAGTTTCCTCGCCTCCACACCAAATCCTCCTCCCTCAGCCTGTGTCACAGAGCTGCTCTCCGTCACACCTTACTCAAATTGAGAACACATAGGTTTTTTTTTTTTTTTTTTTTAATTTTTAAAAGCTTGGGGAATGTAAACATTTTCTACATGACTAATGAAGCTAGGCATTGTAGATAAGAGAAGCAGTGAATGTTTTAAAATCAGTCACGGTTACTGCTGGATTTTATTAGAAACACTCAGACTGGTCTAGTTTTGGGGGGTTAATATGAAATTTATAGCACAGCTGAGTAAATAAGGGTATCCACTTATTTTCAGAAATGATTTTTGAAGTTTAAACCACTTACTATGAACATTTTATAACATAGAAAACAGGTACAAAGTAGATAGAATAGTATAAACAAGGCAATCTTGTTTCATCTATATACCTGTAGCCCACCACTCCTACCTCCTACTGGTTTTGAGACAAATCCCAGACCACACTATCTTTTCATCTGTAACTATTGCAGTGTATAACTCTACAAGATAAAGATTCTTTGAAAAAATAAACACAATACCAATATCAAACCTTAAGGCTAAAAATTGTAATTGATTTTTAAAAAAATGAGTGAAATATGGCTGTTTTTCAGGGAAACTATTAGCACAATGTAGTAGTATTTAGGATTGGAGTGGACTAAAGCATCTCTAGGCACACTGTTGGGTATCTGGTTACCCAGTAGGGGACTTGGGAGAGTTCCTGTTCTCACACTAGTCCACATGGCTCTTGCTAGCACAGCAGTAGGAGCTGCCTACTTTGACATCACCAGGTACCAGGACCCCTTTTCTCTTGCCCTTCCTGCTCTGGCTATACTGGAGAGAGGAAGAAATGGAAATGCCATTCCCCAATCTCAACACCTGAGTCAGATTCGGCTCTCTTGAAGCTGAAGAAGAGAGATTCCCAATGACACGAATCAGCATGAAAGGAATTATGGTTGTGAACAGAATGTATCAAAGTGGGTGGTGTCCATGACTCTAGGTGGGATGATGGAGTCACTCTGCATCCTGTCTGTGCCTCAGGCTGCAGCTGCTTCTCTTTAATCTGCCCTCCCACCCCCTCCTCACCCCCCACTCCCCACCACATACCCAAGAGACAGTGAGAGAAACCTGAGCAGCAGCAGACATGGGGTGATGTGATATCCAGGCTGCCCACTTCCTCTGGCCCGTCAATACTTTGTGTCAGCAAGTCCTCAGGCTGTGCTGGCCCTCAAGATTGTCTGGATTTTTCATATGAAAAAAAGCTCAACATCACTGATCATTAGAGAAATACAAATCAAAACCACAATGAGATACCATCTCACACCAGTGAATGGCGATTATTAAAAAGTGAAGAAAAAACAGATGCTGGCAAGGCTGCAGAGAAAAAGGAACACTTTTACATTGTTGGTGGGAGTGTAAATTAGTTCAATTATTGTGGAAGAGAGTGTGGCAATTCCTTAAAGACCCAGAGGCAAAAATACCATTTGACCCAGTAATCCCATTACTGGGTATGTACCCAAAGGAACAGAAATCATTCTGTTATAAAGATACAGGCACAAGTATGTTCACTGCAGCATTATTCACAATAGCAAAGTCATGGAATCAACCCAAATGCCCATCAATTATAGAGTGGATAAAGAAAATGTGGTAAATATACACCATGGAATACTACGCATCCATAAAAAAGACTGAGATCATGTCCTTTGCAGGAACATGGATGGAGCTGGAAGCCATCATTCTCGGCCAACTAATGCAGGAAAAGAAAATCAAACACCGTATGTTCTCACTCTTAAGTGGAGGTTGAACGATGAGAACACATGCACACAGGGAGGGGAACAACACACACTAAGCCCTGTCAGGAGAGGTGGGAGGGAGAGCACCAGGAAGAATAGCTAATGGATGCTGGACTTAATACCTAGGCAATGGGTTGATCTGTGCAGCAAACCACCATGGCACCCGTCTACCTATGTAACAAACCTGCACATCCTGCACATATACCCTGGAACTACAAATAAAAGTTGAAGAGGAGAAGAAAAGAAAAGATTGTCTGGGTTTTCATATGAACATCCTCATTTATCTTGGAGACTTTACAAGGTTTGTAACAATTCTGTATAGATCTAAAAAATGAGCAGTACGTTTGAAACAAAATATGGAATTCTAGGTACAAAAATCAGCTCTCAAAAGTATTAGATTCTCTGAATTGATCAATCATAAACATATACTTCAAAGGGCACCTGTCCCCTTATCTTTGCAAAAGGTTCTTGCCAATTCTTAGAACAAAAAATCTGCGGAATTCAGTTCATAAAAAATGGCTTTTACAAAACAATAATTCATAACATCTCCTTGAATGGCTTCAGATACCAAATAGGCAAGTTACCTTAGAGAGGGCACGGAAGAAAGGTCTTTTCTAAGCTAGAAGGCCAGCTTGTTCTTAAGGCAGACAGACATCTGCACAGTATGGTTTGCTCAGTAGTGGGGGATAATGGAAAGGGCTCTTGTCCTTAAATTCCATAAATTCTCTTGCCACCACCCTGGCCCCTACCACAGTGTGCTCCACCTGTTTTTTTCTTGGAATAATCTTCTTTGGAAAAGGTAGGCCAGGACTGGTGGTGGTGGTGGTATTAGTGGTGGTGGAGTGCTGGAAGGCCTCTCTCTTTTTTTTTTTTGAGATGGAGTTTCACTCTTCTTGCCCAGGCTGGTGGGCAATGGCGTGATCTTGGCTCACTGCAACCTCTGCCTCCTGGGTTCAAGTGATTCTCCTGCCTCAGCCTCCCTAGTAGCTGGGATTACAGGCGCCCACCACCACGTCCAGCTAATTTTTGGTATTTTTTAGTAGAGACAGCGTTTCACTATGTTGGCCAGGCTGGTCTCGAACTCTTGACCTCAGGCGATCCACCTGCCTCAGCCTCCCAAAGTGTTGGGATTACAGGCATGACCCACAGCACCCAGCTGGCCTCTGTATGTTTTACAGCTCATTGTTTTCTGTTATGCATATAACAACATGCATGCATGAAGTCACTGATGGAGTCTTTCCATCACAGCTGAGAGAAAGCCAGTTTTACTGAGAAAAGACAGAAAACTATTGTCCAGGAAAGTTCAATGTCAACATCTCTGTGGGGAGAGCAGAAGGTGACTGGGCAAAGATGTCTTTGAAGAGACAAAGGAAGGGAGACATGAAAGAGGATGTGGGAGGACTCTGAAGCCTCAGGGTTTTGTCTGCAGGGGTCCTGTTTTCTTTTAACTAGTTAATAGGACACTGGCTCTGCAGAGAAATACACAGACTGAAACAACACTTACTAAAACTAGAAGTGAGAATATAAATAAGGCTGAAGAATTTTCCTCTCTTCCATTAAAAGTCATTTCAGGTGCGCCTGAGCCATACAGTTTCTGAAAGATCAGTCTGTGAATTCCATAAACTAGAGGTTCTCAAACTGTGGCCTAAGAACTTTCTATGTCAGAACGATTTAGGCATGGGACTTGTAAAAATGCACTTCTTAGGTCTACTTCAGACCTTTTAAAAACTTAAATCTTATACCCACCAAAATCTTGGGACTACTGAGCTGAGTGTCAACCAAGCCAAGACTACTGGGCCAACTGGGAAGCGAGTCAATTACTATTGTTACTTTCATCCAGCAATCTTCTAAGGAGGGCTGGGAGAGAGTGGTAAATTTATCAGTACTACTGATAGATAATGGGGAAAAACAATCCCCATTAATGATCAATCTGTAATGCTACTTCAGGAAAGAAGTTTCCAAATACTTAGTAATTCGGATTTTGGATGATTAGTTAGATACATTATCCAAAATCAAAATATGGGCCACATCTGAGTTTTCTTTGGGAAATGAAATTACTGGTTTTTTTTAATTTTATTTTTTGCTATGATCTGTGTTTGTCAAGGTTTCTACAATGAGCTTTGTAGAATCATAGATTTTAATTAAAAAAAATCTTTAAAGAAGAGAAGTAATAGAGACCACATTTAATTTAGAGACACCAGTTGTACGTGGTACCTTAAACTAGACCAGATTTCAAGGAAATATTTACAGACGGATTTTAAGCAGGGGGCTCACAGAAAAATCTAGAAGTTTTATAATGCATACATGTAAATACACATTAGGAAAAGCATTTTAGGCCAGGCGCGGTCGCTCACGCCTGTAATCCCAGCACTTTGGGAGGCCAAGGCGGGTGGATCATTTGAGGTTGGGAGTTTGAGACTAGCCTGGCCAACATGGTGAAACCCCATCTCTACTAAAAATACAAAAACTAGCTGGGTGTGGTGGTGGGCGCCTGTAATCCCAGGCTACTAGGGAGGCTGAGGCAGGAGAATTGCTTGAACCTGAGAGGCAGAGGTTGCAGTGAGCCCACATCACACCATTACACTCCAGCCTGGGTGGCAGAGTGAGACTCCATCTCACAAAAAAAAAAAAAGAAAAAAAAGAAAAGAAAAAGCATTTTAGGGAGGGGTTTGAATGAGTTTGCTTCAAAATTATGACTGATGTAAATATTCAGGTGAAGAACGTGAAGATGAGATTAGGAGTTAGTGGGTGAATGTGCTGAATTCAAATCCTATCTGTTTTTGCTTTTGTTTTATCTAGTATTCAGTGGGATAGTTAGCCTTCTTGTTGAAGTATCTTCATAGGCATATTAGGAATAATAATTCCTTCTTAGGACATTGTGAGACTTTAGTAACATTCATAGATTTTTTACATAAAAAGGTATGCATAAATACACTAAGACAAGGCTTAAAAATGTGTTTTAGCCAGAAAAAAAGTGTTTTGATTTGATTTGAAAATTTTTAACGCGAGGAAACAGAGATTTCAGCAGATATAATCCTATGACCATCTAAGGTTGTCACAATTATCAGGTAGGTTCTGTCTCCTGTTTACCATTGAAATGCCTGCAATTCAGAAGTATATTTTATCAAGAGCCTCTAACGAGCTGGTTCCTATATTCCTAAAAAAATCCTCATTGGGGGAGCTCTGCTTATTAGAATTAAAACTATATTATCTGTTTTAGCAAAAAAAAACTTATACCAGGACTAGCCATTGCAGTGGTAATTGTGAAATGTTGCTGTGTGCCAGCATTATTATTTATAGTTCTCCCTTGTATGGCATGATCAAATGGCCTAAATAAAGAGAAGGAATATGGGAAGAAGAGGAGAAAGGCTGGAAGCCTACTGATTGTCCTTTGAGCACCTGCATAGTTTTCAGGCTATAAAAGGCAAGGAAGATAACCACTGAAACAGTGTGAAGGTGACAAAGTAGAGGACGGGGGCCCTGAGTCAATCCTGAAAGCAGTTGCAAACAGCCTGCTTTCCTCTGCAGCGCCAATGAGGACCCAGTCTGTAGTTTGGAGCAATCCATAGCCCAGAGCCTACATGCATCTGTGTACCTAATTTCACAGTTTGATGTGAGACTTAATTTGAGGGACAATGATTACAACATTACAAAGTTGTCTTCATGCTGTTACATTTCAGATAAACCCAGCTAACAGTATTTTAATGTCTAAAAGGTATCTATCTCCTCTACAAAGTAGGGGATCTTAAGCTTAAGAAAAAAATATATAATTATGTTCTTTATATTTTTTCCTCTGCCATAATACACGCTCATTCTAGAAAATTCAAACATTACCAACACCATGAAAAAAAAGACACAAAAAATAAGAAAACATAATTTAGAGAATTTAGAGAATATCATCATTTTTAACATTTTAGGGAACATTTTTCCAGGCCTATTTCAATAAATAGACATGTCAATATAGAATTTTGTATAATAGGATCATTTTATACATGTTTTATGCAATTAAAAAAAGGTCAAAGATAGTCCTGAGACTATTCTATCCCCATGATTAGAGATAAATGCCACCTTTCATGAATGCTATAAAATATACCATTGTGTTAATGTGTAGTTCATTAATCTAATACAGAACGATGGTCCTTTGTAATGCCTTATTTTATTATGTCACACAATTTTTTCATTTTGGTTAAATTTATCCATCTTTCCCTTTATAACTTCTGAATTTAATTCCATGCATTGTAAGACTTCCTACTTCCATATTATATAGTAGTTTTTGTTTTCTTCTAGTACTTTTATGGTTTCTTTTTTTCTGTGTTTAAATACTTGATTGATCAGGGGCTTATTTTAATTACGAAATGGAGTAGATTTCCAGCTCTAGTTTTTCCCAAATGGCTAACCAGTTGTTCCATCTTTTCCCCATGGATTTGAAAATACCTCCAGATATATTTGGATTTCCTTCTGAACCTTCATTAGGATAGCTTCATCATGATAAGCTATGGGTCTATCTTTTTATTACTCAGATTTGACTTGGCTATTTCTGAATGCTTCAATCTTTCAGAATAAGTTTAGAATCATTCTGAAATGTTTTCTCAAGAGAGTCACTGAGATTTTGTTTGGAGTTGCAGTGACCTTATACATTTAAGAAATACTTCATAAGTTTTCCTTTTGAGGAAGGTAAACTCCATTTATTCAAGTTTTCCCCTTTAGTAGGTGTGTTGTTTTACTTGAAGTCTTATTAAATCGATTTCTGGGTATTTTATATTTTTTGATGCTAGTCTGTAACTCTTTCTCCAATTTATTTTATTAACTTTTTATTGTTAATTAAGAAAGGTAATTGACTGTATTAGTCCATTTTCATACTGCTTTGAAGAAACACCGGAGACTGGGTAATTTATTAAAAAAAAAGAGTTTTAATGGAGTCACTGTTCCACATGACTGCGGAGGCCTCACAATCACGGTGGAAGGTGAAGGAGGAGCAAAGGCACGTCTTACATGGTGGCAGACAAGAGAGCGTGTGCAGGGGAACTACCCTTTATAAAACCATCAGTTCTCATGAGACTTATTCACTACCATGAGAACAGCATGGGAAAAACCTGCTCCCATGATTCAATTACCTCCCACTGGCTCCCTCCCATGACATGTGGGGATTATGGGAGCTCCAGTCAAGATGAGATTTGAGTGGGGACTCAGCCAAACCGTATCATTGACTTTTATAATTTTTCTGATAATCAGTCAACTTACTAAGTACTACTATTTCTAATTGCTTTTGTGTTTGTTCCCTTGAGTTTTAAAAATACAATCAATTTTGGCCAGGTGCGGTGTCTGTAATCCCAGCACTTTGGGAAGCTGAGGCAGGATGATCACTTGAGGTCAGGAGTTCAAGATCAGCCTGGTGAACATGGTGAAACCCTGTCTCTACAAAAATATAAAAATTTTTTGGGCATGGTGGCACGTGCCTGTAATCCCAGCTACTTGGGTGACTGATGCACGAGAATCACTTGAGTCCAGGAGGTGGAGGTTGCAGTGAGCTGAGGTCATGCCACTGCACTTCAGCCTGGGCAACAGAGTGACTCTGTCTCCAAAAAAAAAAAAAAAAAGCAAAACCAAAAAACAAAGAAACAATCAATTTTATCTATATTCAACATATAGACATATATGAAATATCTATATATTTCAACATACGGAAAGTCCAACCTCTTGCAGGTTACTTTTGATCCACTGTCTTTAGTGTTCCTATTGCATTCAACCTCTGACATACTTCTTTCTTGAGGACTTTGCCACATGGAATCTTCAATGGCCATGTGGGTGGAATGGCATCCAGTAATAATGGCCTTATCACCAGCAACCTTTACTGACATTTCACATAATCCCTCGTGGTCAATACCAGGCTTGCATCATGGCTCAGACGGTTGTGTACAGGAATGTTTTGTCAATATGTCATCTCTAATATCCCCATATCTGCCTGTAATCTCCTATCCTTCCAATTCTCATCCCTTGCCATTCTCACCACCTGTGTGTTTCAGCCTCAGAGAAAAGCATCAGCTATTGATGTTTCCATATTCTCCTCATCAATCAACCTCTTCTGGACTTATTTCTGGAGGCAGCTCAGGCCATATATGTGATTGTTCACTCCCAATTTCCAATCATGCTAATCGTTCTGCCATGCCCACTCAGATAAAATCCCCAAATCAGCCTTTTAAACTTCTAATACCAAGATTCTGACCACATTGTAGGGAAAAAAATACCAGTCTTTATTGTGGATCAGTCCTTTTGCTGGGCCCTCAACGGTGCCTAGACATCCTGTTTTATTTCGTCAGCTCGTATTTCACACTCTCCATGTTCCTCAAGCCCCTGATGAAACACAACTCATCTTTCTTGGTGAAAGGGGCCTTGTCATGACTTCACTAAGAAAACTGAAACTTGAAGTCATTATACAAGAGCACCCACATTTCTTTCCCAGACCTCTAATTACTTATATCTGCATAGACTGCATCTATTCATTCCTCCACTTTCAGAAGGCAAGGTCTCTCTCTTACTCATGTTCAAGCCCATTTCTGACACCTCTGGGCTTGTTCTGTCACTTATTGGGTGTGCCCCTTCATATTCTCCCTCTCTGCAGGCTGTTTCTCCGAGGTTATGTACAGGCTCACAAGGCTCTCTCTCACCTAAAAAACAAAACTTTTCATTGACTTCGCTCCTCCATTTACCTTTCTCTCTTTTCTTCACTTCTCAGACAAACTTCTTAAAGCCTACGTAGCTTCCTGAGCCACCTAGAAAATAAGTCCAGAAGGGGCTGATGGGCTAGGAGAACATGGAAACATCAAGAGCTTATGCTTCCCTCTGAGGCTGAAAAGCACAGGTGGTGAGAATGGCAAGGGATGGATAGGAGATTACAGGCAGACATGGGGACGTGAGGATGCCATATTGACAAAGAAGATTCCAGTATGCACCAATCTGAGCTGTGATGCAAGCCAGGCACTGACAGTGAGGGATTATGTGAAATGGCAGTAAAGTCTACACAGGCTATGCTGGCTTCCTCATTTCCCACTTACCCAGCCTGCAGAGTCTGGCCCTCATGCTCATCATGCTACTAAAATTTATTTGGAAAGGTTCTCTGGTGATTTCTCTATTTCCAAATGCCAAGGGCAATTTAGTAGCTGCTCTTGGTTGTACTTGCCACTGGTGACTATCTTTTGGGATTCTCCTTTCCTTGTTTGTTTTTTCATGATTCTGTTCCTCTGTTTTATTTTGTTTGGTTGTTTTTGTTTTGTTTTATTCTCTGCCGTTCTGTTTATTTCCCATCACCTTTTGTGGCCTCTTCCTTTTTTGATCTTCATCCCAACACAGAATCATTCTCAGGTTCTCTCCTCAGTTTCCTACTCTTGTTAGTGGGAAATTGGACCCACTCTCATGATTTTAACTCTTACCTATAGGCCAACAATTGCCAAATCTATCTGCTAGCTCTAAACTCTATCCCACAACTATTAAAAAAGGGAACTCATTTTTAATACCCCAAATCCCCTTCCATGGCATAATGCAATGGCATCATAATCCACGCAGCCTTTCTGAAGAGAAAAACTAAGTCATTCTGGCTTTCTCGCTCTGTCAATCCATTCCGTCACCTGGTCCTTCCAATTTTATTTCCTCAGAATTTCTCAAACTCATTCTCCCCTCTCCCCTACCAGAACAATCTCACCTGGATTGTTTTACAGCCAGCTAATTCCTGCTTCCTGCTTTGTTCTCCAACAAATCTATCTTCAACTGTCACTAGCAATATCTCGAAAAAACTCAAACCTGGCTATATCACATCCCTGGGTAAACCCTGTCAGTGGCCCCTGTGCCTTATAGATAAACCAGACCTCCTTCTCATCACAAAAACATGTCCTCTGGGACCTTCCTCCATCCTACTGCTTCTGCCTTATGTGCTGCCCTTTAAGTTTATACATTTTATCTTCTAGTAATATTAATTCTTAATAGTCACCTGGCTGTTTCACATCACTGTGTCTTATTTTAGGCTACTTTTTCCAGTTAGAATGATTTCTGTCTTTTTTTGGCAGAGTAGGCAACTGACTCCTATTCCTCCTTCAAAATTTCTCTCAGATATCATCATTTCTTCCAAGAGGCCTTCATTCAATCCCCATGCTGGGCTAGTTTCTTCCCCACTGTTCTTTTAAAAATGCCTGTACATAACACAGTAGATTGAAATTCATAGTTAATGTCATAGTAAGACATTGCTCAAATTATAGTGAACCTGACCTAATTATTATTGTTATTTTTTAAATTAAGAGACAGGGTCCTCAGGCTGAAGTGCAGTGGCATGATAAGAGCTCACAACAGCTTTGAACTCCTAGGCTCAAGCGATCCTCCCACCTCAGCCTTCCAAGTAGCTGGAACTATAGGCTTGTACCACTGCACCCGTCTAATTTCTATATTATTTGTGGTAGAGGCAGGGTCTTGTTATGTTGCCCAGGCTGGCCTCCAACTCCTGGCCTCAAGTGATCCTCCCATCTCGGCCTCCCAAAGTGCTGGGATTATAGGTGTGAGTCACCGCACCGGGCCTAATGTTCTAGGGGACACAGTTCATGCCTAATACATGCTAATAACTATAACACAGTATAATGTCTAAAAATAGTAGGTCCTCAAAAAATGTGCATTAAATTCAATTATTATGTAAATATAAGTACTTAAATGAATATAAAGTAAATTAAAATGCTAGTATAATTATTAAGTTGAAATGGGAAACTGGTACCTCTTAGGTATTCCCCAATTTCATTTCTGAGGAAAAGGGCTTTTTAACCTAAAATTGTATTCTCTATTTAAGTACAATCTTTGATTATTTTCAGACATTAAGTATATCAGAGAAGCTTGCAACTCCAGTGATAATGAATTTGGTCTCCATTTGTATTATAGGTTTAAATTATGTTACCCCATTAGGCATCTCTGCTATGACCAGTCCAGAAGGCACTGTGGCAAAGCAGGGTTGTCTGATGCAATGTGAATGCTCATATGTATCTATAAACGTGTAAGAGGATAGTTTAGGTATGTTCCAGCGGCAGTCCTGCCTTAAACAGGTATATGTTTACCTAGGGAAAGAAAAGGAAATAAAAAAATAAAGAGGCCAAACCACATAAGAAAGCAAGGACTCTATTCATATTAAAAAGGCTTTCCTTGGTTTGTTCAGTCTAATAGAATTCTTTATACAAAAACTACAGAAGCGTGCAGAGAAGTAGGGCAGTTTCTTCAAAGACTCTTCAGGTTGGAAGGGATCTAATAAATCAGGTCATTCAGCCCTCTCTCTTTACAGAGGAGGAAACTGAAGACCAAAGAGGAGAACGACTTCCCTAAAGTTTCAAAGAGTCGGTAGTAGAGCCCAAAGCCGGAAAAGAAGGAAAGAGCAAAGCAAGAGGGGACACCTAACCGGGGGCTCTGAGTCCTTCCCCCTTCTGCTCTCCCTGCGAGTCCTGCCAGCCCCAGCCAGTCACGCCACAGGAGACCCCTAAGTGCCCATCAAAAACATGCATTTGAACTTTCAAGTATCCTATCCTTGTTCTTCCCTCTGCCTGAAATAATTTTCTCCCTCCAGTTAAAGACACATTCTTCCTTGTCCATCAACCTCGCTTCAAACAGCGCCTCTAATCTCACCCCACAAAACACAAATTGGCTACATCTCTATCCTCACAGCATTTAATTACTGTGAAATTCTTATCACATGGTATTAGTTATGTGGGTATGCATCCCATTCCCCTCTCCCCAGACTGGACGCTCTTAAAGGGCAACACTTATACCTCATTTAGCCTTGTATTCCCTGCACAGAGTAAGCATTAGGTAACTGCTTGCTGAATTACTTACTTTGGATTAGAGAAGAGCGAAGATATAGCACATAAAAGTTACTGAACAGTACAGTGTCAAACTCAGATCTTAGATAAAATGGTTGTGTAACACTGCTGTGCTAATGAGTCCATTCTGACCCAAAGTCAAGAACAGGAGAATATGCTTGTCCATAGGTATGCTCAGGAACTTCTCAGGGAGTAAACCAATCAGCTAACAGAGGTTAACTCTCAGGTGCCAGACAAAAATGGAAAGCTTAATGCTAAAAATTGATAATTATCGGCTGGGCACGGTGGCTCATGCCCCTAAGCCCAGCACTTTGGGAGGCCGAGGCGGGTGGATCACAAGGTCAGGAGATCGAGACCATCCTGGCTAACACGGTCAAACCCCGTCTCTACTAAAAACACAAAAAATTAGCCGGGCGTGGTGGCGGGCACCTGTAGTCCCAGCTACTCGGGAGGCTGAGGCAGGTGAATGGTGTGGACCCGGGAGGCGGAGCTTGCAGTGAGCCAAGATCGCACCACTGCACTCCAGCCTGGGTGACAGAGTAAGACTCCATCTCAAAAAAAAATAAAAATAAAAATAAAAAAAAGGATAATTGTCATGTGGGAAAGTCAAGAATAGTGTCTTGTAGACAGTGAAAGAAAGGCCATTTGGAATATGGGGAGGGGGTTTGAAAAAGTGTGATGTCTATACAAATTACCATAATGTACAATAGAGTAGAAGCTAGTATAAGAAGATTGTGATAGCTGAACTTTCACTGCCTAAGCTCATGGACATTTAAAAAAATAATTTTTAATTTAAAAGTAATTTATAATACTTATGACATACCAACACCTACCTGAGTACATTATAAACACTGACAAATGAATTTAGGACAGAATAATAACTATAAAATTTTACTATTTTCATAATATGGTTACAAAGTAATAAATGTTGAATTGGATGTATAGAAATTAGTTTGTTAAGTATTGCCAGAAACTCAGTCTTATTATTTTATAGTCACATCTTGTTTCTGATAAAAAATGATCTAATCCAGAGTGGTTTAAAGATATTTAAACTATTCTTACTCACCAAATTTGGCTTCAAGTAACTCCAGGTTGTTTTTCAGAACCTGAATTCACTCTCAAAAGAAGAAGATTTGCCAACCTTATGACTATTCCAAGAATTGGCTCCAGGCTTTGAAAGTAACACTACAAGAAGAATTTCAAAAAGATTTTGTGCAATTGCTGCATTGTTGGAAAAGTTCTTGGGTTCCTTTGGTGACTACTTTTAAAGACACAACATTCACATGCTTTTAAAACACATCAGTCACATCACTTTATAGAAACACTCTGTACTTGTGCAAAGAAGAACCCATCTATGGTTTTTAAAAATTGGAATCCATGAATGACTGCTGTGCCAATTAGGACGTAGAGCTTCAACTGAAAAAATGAACTTCTCTACTGCTAAGCTGGAGCACAGATAAATATGCAAGTATCCAAAGAGGTACCTGTGTTTAACAATACAGAGAAAGCACAAGTGCTTAATTGACAGCTAATCTTGTCTTCTACAGAACATTAGAAATTCTTTCAATGTTAGAATTGTAGAATGGAAATAAATCTTCCTTTTATGATTAGAAAACACACACACAAAAGTTAAGAGAGCTACGCAGGGATGCACAGACTTTAATGGGAGTTACTTTGTCTTCTGCATCTTTGCCCTTCGTAAATCTAGTGAGGTTGTATAATCAGTGATTTTAGGAAGCTGGTTCAGTTTAGACTGCCTGCCTTTCTATTTTGGCTTCAACACTTTAACAGCTGTTATGACTTGGGCAAGTCACTGTGTTCCTCCTACATATAAAATGTGATGGAAATAGTACCTACCTTATTATATGTATATCTGTAAAAGCGCTTTGAATAGTGTCTAATGAATAGCAATGATATTACTTCATCTTGTCTAAGCTTTGATATATTTTCTGGAGCTACTTAGTTTCTTCTTTGAAAGAAGATCGAATCTCAAAACAAAACATTCCTTTCCTCTCTATTCCATTCTCCTTATGGCAAAGGCTTTATGTGTTTCATCCTGGTGATATTCAAGACACTTAGCATGGTACCCATGGTGCAAAAGTACTTGTAAATGTCAGCTGAGTACTCAATCAAATCCCTCTGTTCATCATCAACTGTCAAATACTGCTTTTCTCTTATAGCTCATATACCATTTATTATTCTGATGCAAGGTCTGATATTTTGTGATTTTAGAATTTGAGAAAAGGTGCTGTCATTCTTTCTAAAATTTTCAGAAAAGATCCTGATCAAATCGAGAACATACCTAAGAAATCTACCAACTTCACATCAAAACAAGTCCAACTTTATATACTATGGAACTTTGTTATTAAGGGAGGAAGGGAGAGCGGGAGGAAAAGAAATATATTCTTAACAATAAATGTAGGCTCTTTGAGGACCACACTGTATATTACACAGAGTAACCTGCATAATATTTAAGGATTAAATAGATCTAATGAGGTGTTATTTTCTAATGAATTATAGAAACAATGTAGTGATAATAAAAGTTGTCATGATGAATTGATAGTTTTTCATCACTATCGATATATAGCAATTCAACTCACAATACACATTTCACAGCAATACACACTAAAGCTTTCAGAATCATTTGTAGAAACACAACTGCTTTCAGATGATAATTCTTAATTATTATAAAGGACACAAAAATTAGCATACTGTTTTTCTGAGGTTCTTCCTGGTTTTTAACTTACTGCACAAGTTGGGCGTAATGTGAAAGACAACAAATATGGGTATAATCATACACCTGATATATATGGACTTTAAGAAAACACCAACATGTATACACAGATCAACATCTCCACTAGGGCTGGTTATGGTGGCTCACGCCTGTAATCCCAGCACTTTGGGAGGCTGAGGTGGGCAAATCTCTTGAAGCCAGGAGTTCAAGACCAGTCTGAGTAACATGGTGAAACCCTGTCTCAACAAAAAATAAGAAAAATAGCCAGGCCTGGTGGTGCACGCCTGTAGTCCCAGCTACTCTGGAGGCTGAGGTGGGAGGACCACCTGAGCCCAGAAAGGTTGAGACTGCAGTGAGCTGTGATCACGCCACTGCACTCCTGGGTGATAGAATGAGACCCTGTCTTGAAAAACAAAACAAAACAAAACAAAAATCCCCATTAGGGAAGAAGAGCCATGTCAAAACCTCATCTCATTGCCTGAGACAAGACATGGAATAGAATACAGAGAGAAAAGAAGGAATATCTTCCAGGGCAGAAGAGGAATATTATGCAGGTTAATGGTAAATTAGCCAATTTTTTTTCTTTCTCCTTTCAATATAACTCAGTATTATTTCCCTCTCTCTTTTCCCAACTCTCTTCTATTTTCTCCTCATCTCTTTACTCACTTTCTCCAACTTCACATTTCCACTTCTCTTACCTTGGTCTCTTCCCTTTTAAAACAGGTCATATCACCATTGTGCCCTCTATTGAATTGTTCAGAGGGTGGCCCAGATATCACTACCTCATCTAATTAGGGGGTCTGTCTAGGATCATCCAGACTAGAAGAGAGGAACAGAAGAGATTAAGAAAATGAATTGGCAGGATGGCTCAGTCACAATTCCTCTGTTTAACACTGGGGGTCTACCTTGCTAAGGTCATCACCATAAGATCATATTCTAATGGGTTTGTTTACTACTGTTAAAACTATGAATTCATTTTATGGGTGGATAACTATTCTGCAAAGAAGCTTGGAAAAAATAGTATTTGAGAGTAATGCCTGCCATTTACTGAGCTCTCCTATGGTGTGCAGATACTGTGTGATCACACTTAATCATAACAATCTCACGAGATGCTTCAAGTCGCCAAGTTCAACACATTTATAGTCGGCTAAAGTTGGATAGTCTAAAAAAAAAGAAAACTAATCAATAAAAAACTTGATTCCGGCCTTAAAATGACAATAGCGTAAGAAAAAAAGACCAAAACGTTGGGAAGTGTTAACTTTGAGACAAGGAACTATAAGGTGGGAGACAGGATGAAGGCCTCCGTTTTTCATTTTGTATCTATCTATATTGTTTTAATTTCTGACTTTATACATGTATTTCTTTAAAAAATATCAACCCATATGGGAAGATTATGTTCCAATTCTGTCACTTAAAAAAACCAGTAATAAATATTAGTTGCAAAATTTTAAGAGGTCATAAACAAAAGTACCCAAGTATCACAGCCTGAGTTATCTTTGATGTTGTGGTTTGGGAAGTTTTCAAAACCTTAAGTATGAATGTCACTTAGTCAACATTCAACAGATGTTTATTGTTACAAAGTATAAGGCACTGACCTGTCTTTAAGATGCTTACAATCTTGTTTCTTTTGCTACATGAAAGCCCTTTCTTTTCTTTTTCTTTTTTTCTTGTGAAAAGACATATATTTATAGAGTAAAAGGCTTAGTAAAAGATCTAATCTAATTGTCTTTAAATCAAGCCTATGGAACAAAGATTTCTACGAAATACCCAGAAAAGGCAGATTCATAGAGATAGGGAGTAGGTAGTGATTGCCTAGAGCTGGGGTTGGGAATTGAAATAAGGATTAAGAATAAATGTACCTGAGGGATATCACTGGAGGGATGAAAATGTTCTTAAACTGGGTTATGGTGATGGTGCATCACTTGGTAATGTTACTAAGAGTCATGGAATTACACCTGGAAATGGGTAAATTTTATGAGGTAAAAACTCAATAAAGTTGTTACAAATACTATGCATCTTGGGACATCATGTCCATTATAAATACAGAAATCTTTGACATACGTGGAGTGACCAATGACGGCTACATATGTCTATCTTAGGGAATGTAAATTAGTCTACTTAAGGAAATTTAGTTTAAGTTGGTTCTGCTTCTCTTCTCAAGGTAACGAATCAAACTTCGGATAAAACACTCCTCTTTAAGGATAAAGAAGCAGTCATTAAGGTGGCTGAGGAGGAACCTCTCTCAAGGATCTTTGCTTTATTACATTTGAAAATGTGCAAAGTGGCTAAAGCTGAACATTTAAAAAATTAGAAAGGTGTTAAAGGACAGTTCTGTTGAAGTTTAGCAAGTGGAAACAGTTTAAAGCTGAGAGTCCATGAGTAAAAAGCTCAGTGCCAGGAAGCAGAATGTGGAATCAGTGGATGATGGATAGAAGTATTGGACAACAGATGTATAACACCAAATCAGTAAGCAATATTTAAATTAGCTGGAAGGTCACAAAATACTCATGGCATGAGATCCTTTTAGCATAAAGTAAAAACCAACACACCTGGTTAGATTCAAAGAAATGCTCAGGTGCTGTCACAAGAGTCCTCACGGTCACTTTATGGAACATTGTTGCAGGCTACTGTAAGCATTTGACCTCTTTGAAGTTTGACCATTTAGTTTAATTACATTTCATGTCATCCTCCCACCTCCACCCCATAGCATGTCCCAGATGTTAAAAAGTGAGGTCTAATACAGCTACAGTTTATAGAGAGCTGATAATATGTAGGCACTAGGTGAAGTACATTTCTTTTTTATTTTACTTTTTTCTTTAACATTGAAGTTCAGGGGTACATATGCAGGTTTGTCATATAGGTAAACTTGTATCATGGGGGTTTGTTATACAGATTATTTTGTCACTCAGGTATTAAACCTAGTACCCATTAGTTATTTTTCCTGATTTCTCCCTCCTCCCACCCTCCACCCTCCAATAGATCCCAGTGTGTGTTGTTCCCCTCTGTGTGTCCATGTGTTCTCATCATTTAGCTCCCACTTATAAGTGAGAACATGTGGTATTTCGTTTTTTGTTCCTGCATTTGTTTGCTAAAGATAATGGCCTCCAGCTCCATTCATGTCCCTGCAAAGGATGTGATCTCGTTTTTATGGCTGGATAGTATTCCATGGTGTATATATACCATATTTTCTTTATGCAGTCTACCATTGATGGGCATTTAGGTTGATTCCATGTCTTTGCTATTGTGAAGAGTGCTGCAGTGAACATACACATGCATGTGTCTTTATAAAAGAACAATTTATATTCCTCTGGGTATATACCCAGTAAAGGGATTGCTGAGTTGAATGGTATGTCTGTCTTTGGGTATTTGAGGAATTGCCACACTGTCTTCCACGATGGTCAAACTAATTTACACCCCCAGCAACAGTGAATAAGCATTCTTTTTTCTCTGCAACCTTGCCAGCATCTGTTATTTTTTTGACTTTCTAATAATTGCCATCCTGACTGGTGTGAGATGGAATTTCATTGTGGTTTTGATTTGCGTTTCGCTAATGATTAGTGATGTAGAGCTTTTTTTCATGATTGTTGGCTGTATATATGTCTTCTTTTGAAAAGTGTCTGTTCTTACATTTCCCATTTAAACTTCAAAGCAAGCCTGTATCAAATAGCTGACTTAAGTACTCCCCATTATAGATGATGAAACAGAGACTTAGAGGTGCTGAGTAACTTGCCAGGTCACACCTGTAGGAGACAGGAAAGCCAGAATTCAAATACTAGTTTCCTAGAGCCTGCATTCTTAACTACTTCATGTACTGCCCAGATAAATCAGCATTTTCTGAGATATTAACCTCCAGTCATAGAGCTGATTTGGTTCACTATATATTTTTTTCAAAACCTTTCAAACTAGAACACACACTGTTTATTTTTCTCCATTTTTAAAAACTCCTCTATTGGGTGTCATACTTTAATATAATTTGTTTAATATAATTTATAAATATAATATGTATACCATTTTAAAATATGAGTTTTCATATATTGAAGGCCCATATTTAGTGGATTAGTGGGTGAATATATGTTAAAACATGTTATACATCATTCTTTCCTACCCCAAAGTTTATAATGAAAAGTGAACTGGATCTTGTTATGTTGCCCAGGCTGGAGTGCAGTGGCATGATCCATGATCTTGGCTCACTGCAACCTCTGCCTCCCAGGTCTCTCACCTCAGCCTCCCTAGTAGTTGGGATTACAGGCATGAACCATCACGCCTGGTTAATTTTTGTATTTATAGTAGAGACGGGGTTTCACCATGTTGGCCAGGCTGGTCTCAAACTCTTGGCCTCAAGTGATCCACCTGCCTCGGCCTCCCAAAATGCTGGATTATAGTGAGCTACCACACCCAGCCTGTCAGATCTGATGACCTGGAAATTAAAAAAAAAATTATATGCACACACATACATAGATAGAGAGATAATCTTCTTTTGCTAAATGGGAGCTTTCAAAGTTTGGAATTAAGTAAGCACTAAGAAACTGAGTTAGGTCCAACAATTATTTGCCTTTATTTCTCTTGCTTCTAATTCAGGATCAGTTCCCAACTTCAATCTGTGTTCTGTTTGTCAAGTACTCCAACATGCCATGCACAAAGATGGATAGTTTAGATGAGAGATGTTGCCACTGCGGTCATTTATTTTTACTTGAATTCACTATTTTAAGTAAAAATATATACTAAAAATAACCAACCTTTATTGATAATACCAGAGCGCTTCCTTTTAAGGTAAATGTTCTTGTTGCCCACATCTATCCTTTTCCTACATCCGTATGGAGTTGGACATATTTCTAAAATTCTTACACCTCAAGTTATTAAAGTTCAAATGTTAAAAATTCAAATTGCAATTTGAATGATATTACATGTAATTTAATTCGTTATTTGAAACATGAATCAAGATAACTTTTGCTCAGAATATATCAGCATCATTTTGGGTATTTGGGTACTTGTTGAAATTCATTAAAAGTAACCTGGATATTACTAAATGAGATCCAGAAGAAACTTTAAGAAATAAAGGTGTGTTTCATAAAATGTGTGTCAAGGGTAGGGGTTTGGGGGAGGGATTGCATTAGGAGAAATACCTAACGTAAATGATGGGTTGATGGGTGCAGCAAACCAACATGGCACATGTATTCCTATGTAATAAACCTGCACGTTGTGCACAGGTACCCCAGAACTTAAATAACAAACAAACAAACAAAAGTTAGAGCAAGGGTATTCTGGCCTCTTGAAGGAAAACAAAAATGTGTGTCAAAAAAAGTCTGGCTACGCTACGACTATTAAAGTACTGGGAACATAAAATTCAGAATGAAAAAGGTAATAAAAGTGGAGAAAATTAGGATCTCAAAAGGAAATATACAGCTAAAGTACTTATTCTTGGTCAGAAAGGGATTCATTGTATTTTTTAATCAAATATGCAGTTCGGTGATGAGTGTATCAGCAGCTTCACCTTCTAGCACAAAGATGAACAAATTAGCCACAGCTCTCGGGCAAGTAAATGTACCTAGAAATTCTAACCGCTACTGATAGGAAATGTGATTAAGAAAAATTTTAAACATAGAATTTCCCCTGACATAGTCAAGCTGAATGTCAGCTACAAGCGTATTACAGTATATATCTTAACTACTGGGTCTGGGGTCTTAGCTTCCCCAGCTCACCAACAGATGGTACTTGAAAGTGACTGTTGGTTGGGTCCTCTGAGAAATTCAATAAGGAAAAATGTAATCTGAGTCTGCAACCTATTTAGAGGAAAGATAACTAATACAACTGGATTAGTGGGTGAATTAATATATGTTAACAACTTGAAACAGTACTTTGTACAAACTAAACTGTCAATAAACATTAATTGTTAATTAATCGTCATAATAACAGCAGATAAATTCTATGAGGCGGAAGCCACATATGTACAAGGTGAGCACTGGTAAAGAAGAGATGAGTATGGCCAGTAATGAAGGAAGGCTTCACATGAAGGAAAACTTGAGTTGATTTCTAGAAGTAGATGAAGAGAGAGGAGAGAGGGGAAAGGAATAGCAGTAAGGAAAAGTGAAGACAGAAGGGGATTCATTTGCTCCTATGTTTGGCATACCAGTTCCTTATTCCTTCTGCATATCACTTCTTTTTTTGAATTTTATAAGAAATATATTTTTAAATTATTTTAAAATTAATATTATTTTTAATTGACAAATCATAATTGTTTACATTTATGGGGTACAGGGTAATGTTTTGGTATATGTATACAATGTGGCATGATTAAATCAAGCAACATACCTATGGTCTTGCTTACCTATCATTTTTTATGGTGAGACATTTGAAATTTACTCTTAGTTATATTGAAATATACAACATATTATTATTCACTAATCTCCTTGCTGTGCAATAGAACTCAAAACTTATTCCTCCTAACTGAAACTTCGTACCCTCTGATCAACTCCCTATTCCCTCCTTCCCCACCCTTTCTACCTTCCAGCGCCTGGAAACCACCATTCTACTCTCTATTTCTATGAATCCAACTTCTAAATTTATTTTTAAATTAAATTAAATTTTAGTTTTGAGACAGGGTCTCACTCTGTGTCCAGGCTGGAATGTAGTGGCATGAACATGGCTCACTGTAGCCTCAACTGCCTGGGCTCAAGAGATTCTCCCACCTCAGCCTCCCGAGCAGCTGGGACCACAGGTGTGCGCCATCATGCTTAACTTATTTTTTTTTGTCTGTAGAGACAGGGTCTCACTTTGTTGCCCAGGCTGGTTTTAAATTCCTGGGCTCAAGTGATCCTCCAGCCTCGGCCTCCCAAAGTGTTGGGATTATGGGCATGAGCCACAGTCCCTGCCTGGCCTGAGTCAACTTTTTCAGATGTCACACTTAAGTGAGAACATGCAGTGTTTGTTTTTCTATTCCTGGCTTATTTTGTCTAACATACGTCCTCTAGGTTCATCCATGTCACAAATGATCTTTCTTTTTAAAGGCTGAATAATATTGTGTATATATACCACATTTTCTTATCCCTTTATCCATTGATAGACACTTAGATTGATTTCGTATCTTGTGTATATAGCACATTTTCTTATCCATTCATCTGTTGATGGACACTTAGGTTGATTTCATATCTTGGCTATTGTGAGTAATGTGCAATGAACATGGGAGTGCTGCATATCACTCCTTTAAGTATAGGGCTGCTAGTATGATTGTTTGGCTATAAAAGATGTGCATGCTGACTAGTATTAGGAAGTGAGGTTGCAATGGTCTGTGTGGGTCCAGATCATGAAGGATCTTAAAATCTTGGCAGAGAAGCCTATTTTTAAGAGTAGGCCATGGAAGGCCATCATAGATTCTGGAACAGAGGAACCAGTGTACAGCATAGTGGTTCTAAGTTCATGCTGTAAAGTTAGGAGACCTGGGCTTGAATCCTGGCTGCTCTTTTATTAACTTTGTGACTCTGCCTAGCTGCTTAGCTTCTCAGAGCTTCAGTGCTTTTATCTGCAACATGGAAATAATAGCACCTGCCTCATTCTTTGTGAGAATGCATTTAAAGTATTGAGCACACTCCCTGTCACATAGTAAGCATTCTCAGTAAGTGCCAGCTACTATTATTTAGGAGGCTAAGGCTCTAGGTGATGAGGTCTACATGGGTGCAGTTACAGACGCAGGGAAATTGTGAGGAGCAAGTCATTCTAATCCTCTTAGAAGAAATGTCCATGGGGACACCCAGACTTCAACAAGACTTTGAGCCTAGTGATAATTAATGTAAGTTATGAAGTTCAAAACAGAAGTTAGACCGGGTTTCTAAGCACAAAAATTTGGCAACTTAAAATGATTTCAAAGTGGAATTATCACATCAGTATAACCTTATGATAATACATATCCCTCCTTCCTAAATTACTCATATCCTGATACCAGAACAAGAGTTTTAGAGCTCAGAAGGGTTAGTGTCTAAAATCATAGACTGAATTAGAAGTGACTTCAGTAGGCTTAGAAAATACCACTTTGTAGGAAAAAAACAACCTCTCCTCCCAAACCAATTTTACCAAAGACTGCAAAATAGATAAATATTTTAAAAGTAGAGAAGACTCAATTATAGGCTAAACTCTTTATCATACCTTGTCTGTGTGTTTAATGTGGCAATGGTCACCAAAGTCCCTTGAAGTACAGTAATATTCATTTGTGCCTCCCCCATCCCCACTCTGCTCTTGAAGTTCCAGAAGGGCAGATCCAAAATAACATTTATCCTTGTATTGCCCATCGTTATTGAACAAGTAGATACTCAATTATTTGCTGAACTAAAATGAATTTGTGAAAATGGTCATTCTAAACGAAGGGCTGTGTTGGGACTTTGAGCTTCAATGTGGTTAGGCTTATTTTCTACAAAATTATTTTCCCAACATCCAGTGAGTTTTGAATTAAGAGAATTTGTTTAAATCCTACAGTAGACTTTTCAATCAATCTAAACCATCTCCTTAACTGAATATCTAGACAGAGAGAGAGAGTGAGAGACAGAGAGAGCGCGCCACAAGATTGTCCATATAGGAGCTCCAGAAATCCGCATCCACCCAAAATGCGTCCCGGGGCAGAGAAGTTTAGGCTGCGCTCCTCCCACCTCCTTGGATGGGTCCCAGCTGAGAATACTCACTGGGCTGAGCCAAGTTTGCTCTCCCTCTTCCCGAGCACTTTCGCAGGCTTTGTGTCTTCCACATCTTGCTGTAGTTCAGTCATCGGGGCCGTGTCTGGAGGGCACCTTCAGACTTCCGCGCGCCTGGCTCTGCCCCGGCTCGTCCCGGCTTCTAGGTCCGGGTGCGCAGGCCAAGCAAGCGGCGCCGTGCCCTCCCCTGCACCCTCCGCCCAGCGCATCCAGGCCGGGCCGCGCCAAGCTCCCGGGGCCGCGGACCTGGACACGTCGGAGCGGGCGCGATTGGTCCGACCCACTGTGGAAAAGCCGAGAGGGAGGGAAGGGGAGGGTCGAAGCGAAGTGACAGCCTCTTTCCCCAACCCAGGAGGCAGAGAAGAGAAAAAGGAAACCTGTTGAACGAGTCTTTCGGGAGAGGAAGCTAATTGGCCAAGCAGGTGGAACATTTGCCTAAGAAGGCACAATCTGTTTAGCCTCCTGGTAAATTAAGCTTTTTGTTTTCTATCCCGACTGTAACAGGGGGATTTTTAGAGGGCAGCCGGCTCTAGATACCGGAAATGGAGACGTCTGAGTGGGACGCCCTGTCACACAAATGCGCTGTGTGGGCTGGCCTATGCCCCATCCTAAATTATTCAAACAGGATATTGCTTCATTGAGGGACTGCCTCTTCTGCTTAAACAATAGGTCTGCTCAATTTTTTATGTGGGAATAACAAAGGTAATAAGTAGTTGCCTTTGGTGGTGTTTTGGTTAACCCTTCATCGTTCTGGGGTGGGGGGGGTGGTTAGAGGGGCAAAGAAGAAGCAACCATCAAAATCTTCAAATATTGGGTTATGACTGTTCTCATCAAAATCAAAATTGGTGTTTGATAATTCCCAAGCCGTCTCTTTGTTGCCCATAGTTGTGCAAGTACCTTATTTACTATGCACTCAACCAGTACCGTGAATGCCTCTTCTTCCCACCTTTTGGTGACATTTTGACTTGCCTGTTCTAAGGTTTTGTATTGGAAGCATTCACTCATTCATTCATTGAACAAACTTTTGAGAGCTACAAAGTTCCAGGCATTGTTCTCAATCAGGGGTGTCCAATCTTTTGGCTTCCCTGGGTCACATTGGAAGAAGACGAACTGTCTTGGGCCACACATAAAATATACTAACACTAAGGATAGATGATGAGCTTTAAAAAAGGTCTGTGCAGGGGCCAGGCACGGTGGCTTACGCCTGTAATCCCAGCAGTTTGGGAGGCCGAGGCGGGTGGATCATTTGAGGTCAGGAGTTCGAGACTAGCATGGCCAACCTAGTGAAACCCCATCTCTACTAAAAATACAAAAATTAGCTGGGTGAGGTGGCGCAGGCGCTTGTAATCCCAGCTATTTGGGAGGCTGAGGCAGGAGAATCACTTGAGCCTGGGAGATGGAGGTTGTGGTGGGCCAAGATGCACCACTGCACTCCAGTCTGGGCAACAGAGTGAGACCCTGTCTCAAAAAAAAAAAAAAAATCCGTGCATAAATGTCACCATGTTATAAGACAGTTTATGAATTTGTATTGGGCTATATTCACAGCTGTTCTGGGCTGCAGGTTGGGCAAGCTTGTATAAACATTGACTTGTTATAGCAAATGACATTTGTATTGGTGGTTTTCTAATTTGCAATGGAGTAGTTGACAATTAGAATAATTAATATAAACGTTATTATTGGAAGCCTGACTTGACTTCAAAACAATTACAAGTGGCAACAGTAGAGCATGACATGCCTGGGAAAAAACGACTAACTATGTTCTGGGGCTGCAAGTCCTTCATTTTTCTCTTAAAATAAAGTTTAGATTTAAGAGTATTACAAAGACTATACAACCATAGTATGTACATGTATGTATGTAGTTTGTAGGGTGTATGTGTGTGTAAAACACCTAACCTTCTAAATAACTTCAAACATTTTGGAGGTGCAAGTTCTTTCCAAAGTTTTCTTATTCCTTCTCTTTTTACATATATATCATTAGGCTGAGAGAACAAAAGCATCTTTTTGTAGCCTGCTTGCTCCAAAATTGATGTTTGTGACATTTGAAAAATAAGTAAAAGAAAAAGCTTACATAAATTCCAGAAGAGTTGGCTTAGTCAGGCCTCTCTCTCTTTTTCTTTCCTGACCACTGACTGCTTTGCTATAGGAGCTGTGCTAGGTGGGATGGGGAAAACTCTGGGTGACCTGAAAGCTTGAAGGCTGTCTCCTTGGTGCCCATAGTTGCCTCTTCCTGGGGACATTCCTGATGCCTTCACCTCTAGATCCCCACCCTCCTCAGAATAGGGATAGGTTTGGAACAGAGATGAGGTTGTCAATTTCCCAAACTCTGGATGAGGACTCTCAGATCTCAGGTGCACTCCAACTTCTCATTACAGAGCTCAGATCAGACTGACTTTTCCCCGCTAAGTAATTTATTTATTGTGGTAAAATATACATAACATTACTATTTATCATTTTAATAAGTGTATAATTCAGTGGCATTCAACACTTTCACAATGTTATTTAACTATCACCACTTATCTGTACCCAAAACTTTTTTTTATCATCCTTGGCATAAACTCCCATTAAATACATTAAACAATAACTCTTTCTTTCTCACCTCCTCCCAGCCTCTGGTAGCCTCTAGTTTACTTTCTGTCTCTATAAATTTGTCTGTTTTAGGTACCTCACATTAGTGGAATCATACAATATTTTTCCTTTTGTGTCTGGCTTGTTTCACTCAGTGTAATGTTTTCAAGGTCAATCCATGTCATAGCATATATCCAAATTTCATTTTTTTTTGGCTGGATGATATTCCATTGCATGTATATACCACATTTGGGTTGCCCGTTTATCTGTTGATGGACCCTTGGGTTGTTTCTAGCTTTTGTCTATTGTGAATGATGCTGCTATGAACATGGGTGTGCAAATGTTTGTCTGAGTCCCTGATTTCATTTCTTTTGGATATATACCTAGGAGTAGACTTGCTGGGTCATATGGTAGTCTATGTTTACCCTTTTGAGAAATCATGGTCAGCCCTCTTTTAATGCATGAGTAAGGGCAAGTATTCAAAGCAGTCTTAGCATGGGCTTATGGCTCAAATAAAGAGCACTCAGTTACCCTAAAATAGCTTAAAGTTCTTTAGTGCATGGTATAAGGACTTCCAATGGTGTGGTTTTAAGTGAGAAGGAGCAGGTGAGGTTGAAGTGGAAGGCAGGGCTGGTAGGGAAAATATCAGTCTTTTCCTAGAGTGGAAGAATTAGAAAGGAGCAAGTAAGCTACAATATTTTACCTACTGATGTTTGCTTACGTTTAAAAGGCATTGTTAAACAACTGCCTAATTTGTTTATTCTTGGGGCTATTCTACAGTAATATATGGAATATAGTATTCAAGAGGCACGGCAGATAAACAATAAAGGAAATGTCATTGCCATGTGACAAAATAGAGATGTAAGATTATGCCTATGATATGTGAGAGGAGACAAGATAAAAAGATTATGCCTAAAATATGTTTTAGGATGCCCTTTGATATTGTACCAATAAGAGACATTATTTTTCTTCCTCTAAGTCTCTGGGAATCCAAATTCTTGTTTTTAAAAGCAAAGAAGATTTCTTTTCTTTTCTTTCTTTCTTTTTTTTTTTTTTTTTTTGAGAAAGAGTCTCGCTCTGTTGCCCAGGCTGGAGTGCAGTGGCACGATCTCAGCTCACTGCAACCTCTGCCTCCTGGGTTCAAGCAATTCTCCTGCCTCAGCCTCTCGAGTAGCTGGGACTACAGGCACACACCACCACGCCCAGCTAATTTTTGTATTTTTAGTGGAGACGGGGTTTCACCATATTGGCCAGGCTGGTCTCGAACTCCTGACCTGGTGATCTGCCCACCTTGGCCTCCCAAAGTGCTGGGATTACAGGCGTGAGCCACCATGCCTGGCAAAAGCAAAGAAGATTTCTAGCTGATACTTTTTCTAGTTTTTAAAACCACTTTGGTAGAAGATGCCAGACATAACACCTTTGGTGGGTGGGAGCTTCTATGCAAACAGCTTTGATGTTTGATATTGGTCAGATATTGGCCTTCCTTAACATTGAGCACATACACTGTGCATCTGTTCATACTCTTGGGGGCAGAGTACAAATAATGTGTTTGGAGACTTGAGTGGAGATTTGGTTGCAAGGTGATATGGTTTGGCTCTGTGTCCCCACCCAAATCTCATGTTGAATTGGGATCCCGAGTGTTGGAGGTGGGAAGTGATTGGATCATAGTGGTGGTTTCTAATGGTGTAGCACCACCCTCCTAGTGCTGTCTTGTGATAGAGTTCTCATGAGATCTGGTTGTTTGAAAGTGTGTAGCACCTCCCCCTTTTCGCTCTCTCTCGCTCTCTCTCTCTCTCTCACCTCTCTCTCGCTTCACCATGTGAAGATGGTGCTTGCTTCCCCTTTGCCTTTCACTATGATTGTAAGTTTCCTGAGGCCTCCCCAGAAGCAGAAGTCTGCACTGCCCACAGAACCATGGCTGATTAAACCTCTTTTCTTTATAAATTACCCAATCTCAGGTAATTCCTTATAGCAGTGTGAGAATCGACTAATACACAATGTATGGTCAAATATTATAGTTACCTAACTTAAAACATGTGGTGGGGTATTTATTAACCAATATAAGTATAGGTAAGTATCATCACATGCCTGTAAGTTTTTGCATATTGTCTGATGATAGGTTTTAGAAGATGTTAATGACCTTATCAAGATGAAACCTGGAAGCTCTGTGATAACTTAACTATGCATGATATTTTATAAGTAAAAGAATTCCAGGAACACTTCTCAGACCATTCCTGTTTTCAATTAAAGCCAGTGTCCAAAGAAGAAAATAGGAAAAAGGGGGCAAGTTCAGAAGAGAAACACACAGTGACAATTAAGAACTTAATTCTAAGACTTTCAAAAAAATTGTAAGAATGAAAGTTGAGAAGCATTATCTGAATGGCTACCTTTGTTGAATGATTTATGTCAATATGAAGAAAAGGTTCCCAATGAATATAACCATGAAACATTGGAATGGAACTCTGTAGTAGATTATGGAATCTTCTATGCTGGAGGACTTTGAAAATAAGATTTAAAAATTTAGTAGAGTAGTTTTAAGCCAATATTTCCAAAGCCAAGTGACACTGCAGATTGAGATATTTGAAATCTTCTATTTCTCTTCCTAGAGATGAAGCAACCACTATGCTTAGCACTCATGCTCAGAGGAATAGGCAAGATGGCAAGGGCTTACTGGTCCAGGGGCCAGAGGATAGTTTTGTAACACTAATTTAAATCTGGTTAATTGAGAAAGCAGAAGCAGTAAAAAAAACTCTTCCAGTTCATGTTATTTTTTAAGAATTAAAATAAATGATGCCACAGAAACAATACATTAATATCTATCTCAGAGTTTTAAAGTACATGCCTATTTTGTATATGGCAAATGTTACAGATCACGATGTGTGAATTGGGAGGGTCCCTGTGATCATCCAGCATGGTGGTTTTCATGCTGGGTTCTGTAGGAGGCCAGGGCTCTTTGGTCTAGTGAGGGGAGGACCCAGCACTTGAACTCAGGTGTTCTGACTCCTGGGCCTATTTCCTGCTGCTATTTCAATGCAGTCTCTCCTGCTTCAATTAAAACTCTTCTACTTGTATCTGTTTAATATATTTGTGTTCTTTCTTAATTTCTATTTGGCCTGCCACACACTGAACACAATTTAAAAATAAAATTCCACCATCATTTTTCAGAGAAGAGCCCAAGCTTTCACGGAGTTCAGTGACTTGGCCAAAATTACAGTCGTCTCATGAGAACAAAGATCCAGTTTTCCAGACTTGCAGGGGGGTACTTTTAGGGTTGTAGGAGAGTGAATGTGCCAAACAAATTTTGTTAGTGGCAAAGACACATATCTTGTAGGAGAGTGTGTTGGAGAGAAAGCCCAAGGACCTTCAGGTGTGAATACAATGTTTGTGGGGAAAGAAATGTTTGAATCTAGAGTTATCTTTGGTGGCTGCATTTTGCAGTTATCTGTTGGTGTACAACTAACCACCTCAAAACCTGGTGGCTTAAAACAATAATTTATTATTACCTCTCATGGTTCTGTGGATTGACTGGGCTCAGCTGAATGGTTGTCACTTGTGATCACTCATGCATTTGCACTCAGATAAAGGCCGGGTTTGAAGTCATTTGAAGACTCAGCTAAGCTGGATGTGCAAGATGGAATTTTCATTCCCAGGTCTGGTGCTTCAGCTGGGATGGCTGGAAGAGCTGAAGGCTAGCTGAGCATTTCAGTGTCTGTGCAGTGCTCCACGTGGCTAGCTTTGGCTGCCTTACAGCATGGCCATCTCAGTACAGTTGGATTTTTTTTAACTTGTTCTCTGGCATCCTCCAGACCATGTGTCCTATAACACCAAGGTAGAATCTCCAAGGCTTCCTATGAGACAGTTGGAGGTCATGCAGCTTTTCCTATGCTGCATTCTCTTGGTCAAAGGTAAGCCATAGGGCTAGTCCAGATTCAAGGTGAGAGAACTACACAAGATGTGAATACCAACTCACTAGGGGCCATCTAGAGAGACCAGATATCACAGTGCAGATAATAGATTAGGCCCTCTGACTATAGATACTTTGTCATTAGGCATGTGGGTAAATGGACATTTCTAACAGTACTGTTGTAAATGCATGAGATATAGAAGTGAACAAAACAGGTAAAACCCATGCTGTTGTGGCTCTGACATTCTAGTGGGAGAGACTGAGAATTTAACAAGTCAGTACATAAATAACACAGTTTCAATGAGTAAGAGATGTAAAGAAAATAAAATAGAAATGGATAGAGCTTGAGGGAGGCCTATTTTAGGGGATGATCAGGGAGGCTTCTTTGAGAGGTGACATCTTGGCTGAGCCTTCAGTGAAGAGGAGGAAGCAATGTGAAGATCTGGTTGCAGAGCTTGCCAGCCAGAGGGAAGAGCGAAGGTACAGACCCTGAGCCAGGACTGGGCTTGGCATATTTTAAGAATGGAAAGAAGGCCAGTGTTCTCCAATGTGCCTGGAGTATAAGGGAGGAGGAGAAGGTTGGCGGGAGAAGGATGGAATCTCAGAGAAGATGTTTTCTGTCCCTTGGTTTATTATCTGTCCTCTCCCACAAGAATGGAATCTTCTCAAAGACAAGAACCTTGTTGGTCATGTTCGTTCCTGTGTTCACAGAGTCTAGTTCATGTTAGATGCTCAATAAATATTTGTTGAGTGAATGAATCACTGAGTGGTTGTTTCTAACCACTGAGTTTCAACCATACTCCTGTGGAACTCTGACTGACCTGAGATGTTCTAATGTTGAATAATTACTCTTTTTTTTTCACTTTGCAGGAAGAAAAGAAGTAAGCGAAAAAGAAATATGACAATAATTTCCTCCTCATAACAAAAAGGAAAATCTTTGGTTCATGCTACTTACCAAATGACTCCTAGTGGAGTGCAAGTGCCTCTACCAGATTAGAAAGGTCCCATGACTCTCAGATGGTTTAGACCCGGAGCAAGTCCAAGAATCACTGTTTATAATCCACAGGCAACAATTTAGGGTTATGGAATCTCTCATATTTTCTCAGAGAAACATTCATACAGCTACTTCCTTTCCTTGTTTTGGGAACTAATGATCACACCATCAATATTAGTCCTGGCCTTTCTCTTTCCTCCTGCCATGATTGGCATGTTCTTTTTCTTCGTGTGAAATGTTTTGACAATGCAATTCATGCATTGCAACTGACAGATCATTTTGAAGTAGTTAATATTGAATCATGGTTAGTGTCTTTATATTACATATTTTCTATCACTTGTATACTTTTTATTGCTTATTCTGACTTTTCGTCTTTTTAAATATATTTTCTTTTTCTTTTTTGACAACTTCTATTATTACAGCATTTCGTTATCTTTTCTCCAGTCTTTTCTCTATGTAGCATTATTCATTTTTAAAAATCATTTGAAACTAGTAAGTTGAAACAAGGAAGGAAAGGGGGAACAAAAGAGAAGGGAATGCAGAGGACTTCTACTCCTCAGGCAAATAAGAAAGTTTTTCTACTTTTCTCAAGTAGCCACAGATTTATTTTACTTTCACTTTTTGGTTGAATCTTTTAAATAGAACCTTCATTTGAGGCAAATTGTGTAGCCCTCCCTCTTTCCCTCCTTCCCACCCTTCCTTCCTTCCTGGCTTCCTTCCTCCCAAAAACATTTTTTTTGCATGCCTTTTACATGTCAGGCCATATTCTGGGTGATGGAGATATAAAAATAAATAAGCACCATGATTGCTATAAGTGAGTTTGCAGTCCAGTAGAAGAAACATATCAATAAACAGATATTTACAGAACATACATGCACACACAGAACCTTACTCAGAAACCATCATGTTCTTATATCACAACCAGATACAGTGCCAGGTAACATCATGGTGTTAAATGGAGAGAAAGGAAAAGGGCTGACCATTTGATGCTTCGTGTTCTTTTGTTTTGGGTCACACACAAACCACTCATTCCCAATTGTCCACCCCCTGCATCCCCCATGCATCTGAACAACTTTTAGAACAGGCTCTAGGCTGGAAGTCAGGAGAACTGGGCTCTATTCCAAGCTCTGTGCTTTGTACTGGAATGTGATTCTATTAATGGAATACAGCACTGAAGTAATAGAACTACTGGCCTTAAGGAAAGGGCCCTAGATTGCATAATTATAGCAGTATCTCTTCTTTCTGTCTTTATATAGACAAACTACAGAAATGGGGTAGGGGAGACTTTTTACATAGAAATGTTGTATAAACCAATTGCAAAACCTTAAAAAAATTTTCATGAGGAGAGGGTAGTTATTGAAGTCTATTCACCTGAGAAGATAAGTGCATTTACCATCTTCCTATAGGGCTCTGTGATTTGCATTAGCTTCTACGTTTAAAAGCATACCAGGCGGGGCATGGTGGCTCATGCCTGTAATCCCAGCACTTTGGGAGGCTGAGGTAGGAAGATCACTTGAGCTCAGGAGTTTGAGCTCAGCCTGGGCAGCATAGTGAGACACTGTCTCTACAAAAAAAGAAATTAAAACAATTAGCCAAGCATGGTGGCATGTGCCTGTAGTCCCAGCTATTTGGGAGGCTGAGATAGGAGGATCACTTGAATCTAGGAGATCAAAGCTAGAGTGAGCCATGACTGACTGAGCCATTACACTGCAACCTGAGTGATGAGTGAGACCCTGCCTCAACAACATACGAGAATACCAGATGAAAACAGAACATTTCACTGTGTGTTAAAATCCCAGACTAATTCAAGTCAGAATTTAGTTTTTATTTTTAGTAGTAGTTGAGGAAATCAAATTAAAGAGTTATCTTTATTCCATATCAACAAATATATGATAAATTCTCTAATAAGACACCTATCAGAGGGTGATTCAGACATTGGAAATAGACAGACATTGGTCTTATAGAAACCGAAGCCCCCAGATTTTGAAAAAATATTGTATAAATTTGCAGTAGACACTACAAAGAATCAGGTGATGAGAGCTGGTGGGAATAGTCTTGATTCCTGGCTTCTTAGCTGTATTTCCCAGGTGGTCCTACAGTATTTACTTTTCTGCACTGGATGTCTAAGGGATTGTCGATGGTATTTTTTTAGTAAACAACTCTCCTTGTTTGAGCTAGTTGAGGGAGTTGTCCTGGAGATAAGAGAGTCCTGAATGGGGGTAGAATAAGGGAATGGTTAAGAGTCAGATTAATCTGAGAATCCTAATATGCACTTTACTACGTTGGACAAGTGACTTGCCTTCTCTAAGCCACAATTTTTCTTATCTATGGGGAAAAATGGGAATAGTAGTAGCAACTGTTTTATAGAATCATTAGGGATAAAAAGTTCAATTCAATGAGAAATCTTAACTATCCTGAATATATACCCACACAGCATTGGAGCACCCAGATTCATAAAACAAGTACTTCTAGGCCTACAAAAAGACACAGACAGTCACACAATAATAGTGGGGGACTTCATTACCCCACTGATAGCCTTAGATCATCAAGGCAGAAAACTAACAAAGACATTTCTGGACTTAAATTCGACACTTGACTAATTGGACCTAAGAGACATCTACAGAACATTCCACCCATCTACCACAGAATATATATTCTCATCTGCACATGGAACATACTTCAGGATTGATCACATGTTCAATCTCATGTTCAGTCTCAATAAATTAAAAAAAATTGAAATCATACCAGCCATAGTCAAAATGTGGTAGAATAAAAATGAAAATCGATTCCAAGAAGATCTCTCAAAACTACAAAATTACATGGAAATTTAAAAACTTGCTTCTGAATTACTTTTGGATAAACAACAAAATTAAGGCAGAAATCAAGAAATTATTTGAAATAAATGAAAACAGAGACACAACATACCAAAATCTCTGGGATGCAGCAAAAGCAATGTTAAAAGGAAAGTTTATAGTGCTAAATGTCCACCTCAAAAAGTTAGAAAGATCTCAAATTCATGATCTAACATCACCCCCAGGGAAACTAGAAAAACAAGAACAAAACCCTAAGTTACTAGAAGAAAATAAATAACTAAAATTAGATGAGAACTGAACAAAATGGAGACTCTGAATTCCATTCAAAGAATCAATGAAACCAAAAGTTGGCTTTTTGAAAGGATAAACAAGATCAGCAAACTGCTAGCTAGATTAATAAAGAAAAAAGAGAGAAGATCTAAATAAGCACAATCAGAAATGACAAAGGTGACATTACAATCTATCCCACAGAAATGCAGAAGATCCTCAGAGACTATTATAAACACCTCCATACATATAAACTAAACTCTAGAGGATATGGCTGAATTCCTGGAAACACATAGTCCCCAAGATTGAATCAGGAAGAAATTGAAACCCTGAATAGACCAATATCAAATTCTGAAATTGAAATCAGTAATAAAAAACCTACCAATCAGAGAAAGCCCTGGATCAGATGGAGTTATAGCCAAATTCTACCAGAAATACAACGAAGAGCTGGTACCAATCCTACTGAAACTATTCCAAAAAATTGAGGAGAAAGGACTCTTCTCTAACTCATTCTATAAAGCCAGCATCACCCTGATACCAAAACCTGGTAAAGACACAACAAAAACAGAAAACTATAGGCCAATATCCCTGATGAACATAGATGCAAAAATTTTTAAGACAATACTAGCAAACTGAATCCAGCTGCACATCCAAAAGGTAATTCTTCATAAACAAATAGGCTTAATTCCTGGGATGCAAGGTTGCTTCATTTTATGCAAATCAATAAATGTGATTCATCACACAAACGGAATTTAAAACAAAAACCATATGATTATCTCAATAGATGCAGCAAAAGCTTTTGATAAAATCCAACATTCTTTCATGATAAAAACTCTTAAGAAACTAGGCATCAAAGGAACATACCTCAAAATAGTAAGAGCCATCTAGGACAAAGCCACAGCCAACATCAGATTGAACAGGCAAAAACTGAAAGCATTTTCCCTGAGAAGTGGAACAAACAAGGATTCTCAGTGTCACTACTCCTATTCAACATAGTTCTGGAAGTCCTCGTCAGAGCAATCAGGCAAGAGAAAGAAATAAAAGGCATCCAAATAGGAAAAGATGAAGTCAACTTATCTCTCTTTGCTGATGATATAATTCTATACTTAGAAAACCCTAAAGACTCTGCCTAAAGACTCCTGGAACTTAAAAATGACTTAGTAAAGTTTCAGGATACAAAATCAATGTACAAAAATCAGTAGCATTTCTATACACAAATGATGTTCAAGTTGAGAGCCAAATCAAGAATGCAATCCCATTTAAAATAGACACACAAACACACACACACACACACACCAGAAATATATCTAACCAATGTGGTGAAAGATCTCTACAAGGAGAACTATAAAACACTGCAACAAGAAATCATAAATGACACAAACAAATGGAAAAACACTCCATGTTCATGGATTGGAAAAATCAATATTGTTAAAATGGCCATACTACCCAACGCAATCTACAGATTCATTGCTATTCCTATCAAGCTATCAACATCATTTTTAACAGAATAAGAAAAAAATACTCTAAAATTCACATGGAACCAAAAAAGAGGCTAAATAGCCAAGGGAATTGTGAGCAAAAAGAACAAAGCTGGAGACATCAAATCACCTAATTTCAAACTATACTATAATGCTACAGTAACTGAAACAGCATGGTACTGGTACAGAAACAGACACATAGACCAACAGAACAGAATAGAGAACCCACAAATCAAGCCACATGCCTACAGTCATCTGACCTTTGACAAAGTTGTCAAAAATAAGCAATGGGGAAAGGACTCCCTTTTCAATAAATGGTGCTGGGATAGCTAGCTAGCCATATGCAGAAGAATGAAACTGGACCCCTGCCTTTCACCATATACACAAATTAACTCAAGATGGATAAAAGATTTTAATGTAAGACCTCAGACTGTAAGAATCCTAGAAGAAAACCTAGGAAACACCATTTTGGACATTGGCCTTGGGAAATAATTTATGATTATCCTCAAAAGCAACTGCAACACAAACAAAAATTGACAAGAGGGACCTAATTAAAGAGCTCTGCACAGCAAAAGAAACTATTAACAGAGTACACAGACAACTTACAGAATGGGAGAAAATGCTCACAAACTATGCATCTGACAAAGATCTAATATGCAGAATCTAGAAGGAACTTAAACAATTGAACAAGCAAAAAACAAATAACCCTATTTAAAAATGAGCAAAAGACATGACCAGATACTTCTCAAAAGAAGACATACAAACAGTCAACAAACATGAAAAACGTTCCACATCACTGACATCAAAGAAATGCAAATCAAAACCACAAGAAGATACCGTATCATACCAGTTGGAATGGTTATTATGAAAAAGTCAAAAAACAACAGATGCTGGTGAGGCTGTGGAGAAATAGGAATGTTGTTGTGTATAAAAACAACAGTTGTTATACTGTTAGTGGGAATGTAAATTAGTTCAGACACTGTGGAAAGAAGTTTGGAGACTTTTCAAAGAACTTAAAACAGAACTACCAGATAACATGATTGTATATCTAGAAAACCCCATTGTTTCAGCCCAAAATCTCCTTCAGCTGATAAGCAACTGCAGCAAAGTCTCAGGATACAAAATCAATGTACAAAAATCACAAGCATTCTTATACACCAATAACAGACAAACAGAGAGCCAAATCATGAGTGAACTCCCATTCACAATTGCTTCAAAGAGAATAAAATACCTAGGAATCCAACTTACAAGGGACGTGAAGGACCTCTTCAAGGAGAACTACAAACCACTGCTCAATGAAATAAAAGAGGATACAAAGAAATGGAAGAACATTCCATGCTCATGGGTAGGAAGAATCAATATCGTGAAAATGGCCATACTGCCCAAGGTAATTTATAGATTCAATGCCATCCCCATCAAGCTACCAATGACGTTCTTCACAGAATTGGAAAAAACTACTTTAAAGTTCATATGGAACCAAAAAAGAGCCCGCATTGCTAAGTCAATCCTAAGCCAAAAGAACAAAGCTGGAGGCATCATGCTACCTGACTTCAAACTATACTACAAGGCTACAGTAACCAAAACAGCATGGTACTGGTACCAAAACAGAGATATAGATCAATGGAACAGAACAGAGCCCTCAGAAATAAAGCCGCATATCTACAACTATCTGATCTTTGACAAACCTGAGAAAAACAAGCAATGGGGAAAGGATTCCCTATTTAATAAATGGTGCTGGGAAAACTGGCTAGCCATATGTAGAAAGCTGAAACTGGATCCCTCCCTTACACCTTATACAAAAATTAATTCAAGATGGATTAAAGACTTAAACATTAGACCTAAAACCATAAAAACTCTAGAAGAAAACCTAGGCATTACCATTCAGGACATAGGCATGGGCAAGGACTTCATGTCTAAAACACCAAAAGCAATGGCAACAAAAGCCAAAATTGACAAATGGGATCTAGTTAAACCAAAGAGCTTCTGCACAGCAAAAGACACTACCATCAGAGTGAACAGGCAACCTACAAAATGGGAGAAAATTTTCGCAACCTACTCATCTGACAAAGGGCTAATATCCAGAACCTACAATGAACTCAAACAAATTTACAAGAAAAAAACAAACAACCCCATCAAAAAGTTGGCGAAGGACATGAGCAGACACTTCTCAAAAGAAGACGTTTATGCAGCCAAAAAACACATGAAAAAATGCTCACCATCACTGGCCATCAGAGAAATGCAAATCAAAACCACAGTGAGATACCATCTCATACTAGTTAGAATGGCAATCATTAAAAAGTCAGGAAACAACAAGTGCTGGAGAGGATGTGGAGAAATAGGAACACTTTTACACTGTTGGTGGGACTGTAAACTAGTTTAAACATTGTGGAAGTCAGTGTGGCGATTCCTCAAGGATCTAGAACTAGAAATACTATTTGACCTAGCCATCCCATTACTGGGTGTATACCCAAAGGACTATAAATCATGCTGCTATAAAGACACATGCACACGTGTTTATTGCGGCACTATTCACAATAGCAAAGACTTGGAACCAACCCAAATGTCCAACAATGATAGACTGGATTAAGAAAATGTGGCACATATACACCATGGAATACTATGCAGCCATAAAAAAGGATGAGTTCATGTCCTTTGTAGGGACATGGATGAAATTGGAAATCATCATTCTCAGTAAACTATCGCAGGAACAAAAGGCCAAACACCGCATATTCTCACTCATAGGTGGGAATTGAACAATGAGAACACATGGACACAGGAAGGGGAACATCACACTCTGGGGACTGTTGTCGGGTGGGGGGAGGGGGGAGGGATAGCATTAGGAGATATACCTAATGCTAAATGACGAGTTAATGGGTGCAGCACACCAGCATGGCACATGTATACATATGTAACTAGCCTGCACATTGTGCACATGTACCCTAAAACTTAAAGTATAACAAAAAAAAAAAAGAGTCTCAGGCAGAAGCTGCAAGGACTTCTTAGGAGCTAACTTCAGAAGTCACACAGCATGATTTTAGTAGTATTCTGTTGAGCAAAGCAGTCACAAATCAGGCCACATTCAAGGGAGCAAAGGAATAAACTGCAACCCTGGCTTGTGTGGAAAAAAAATAAAAAACAACCAACCAAACAAAAAAAAAACAGAACTACCATTTTGACTCAGCAATCCCATTACTGAGTACATATCAAAAAGAAAATTAATCATTGTACCAAAAAGACACATGCACTTGTATGTTCCTTGCAGCACTATTCACAATAGCAAAGAAATGGAATCAACCTATGTGCCCATTAATGGTGGACTGGATAAAGAAAATGTGGCACATATATACCATAGAATACTATGCAGCCATAAAAAGTATGAATTCATGTCCTTTGCAGCAACACGAATGCAGCTTGAAGCCATTATCCTAAGTGAATTAACACAGGAACAGAAAACCAAATATCACATGTTTTCACTTATACATGGGAGCTTAACATCAGTTACTTATGGACATAAAGATGGCAACAGTGGACACTGGGGACTAATAGAGCAGGGAAGGAGGGGAGCAAGGGTTGAAAAACAAACCTCTGGGGACTATGCTCAGGACCTGGGTGATGAGATCAATCGTACCCCAAACCTCTGCATCAGGCAATGTGCAGGTAACAAGCCTGCACATGAACCCCAAGTCTAAAATAAAAGTTGAAATTAAAAAAAAATAAAAAGATACTCGTTAAAACAACACAAAAATAATATAGAATCATTAAGGAATATAAAGAGATAATATATACAAAGGACTTAGTACAGTATACCAGGCACATAGCACGCAATTCATATCCATTATTGGTTATCACCATCATCACATCATTATTAGCCAGAGTAGTAGTTTTACAAATTGAGAATATTGCCCTCCTTTAGTTCATCAGCCCTCTTAATGGCAACCCACGGTGTGTGGAGTATTATGACACGTGCTAGAGGAAGTTACTAAAGATATACAAGATGTGACCTCTGTCCCCATTTGAATCCTATTTGAACCCTATTTATGCTGAATCCTTGTCAGAAGTTAAGCCTGTATATTTAGATCAGAGCCATTTTTACGTTTAACTCACTAGATCTCAGCCATAATCTCTCTTGTCTATTTGCTTTTTCTTCCTCTTGTGAGCAGAAGGAAAGGAAGATGCTTTTGCCACCCCGAACGCTCTAGCTTAAGTAGTAAGAGTCATTGGAATTAAGAGTTAATCAATATGAACCCTGGTGGAATAGAGGCTTACGATAGCTAGGGTGACTGTCCTGGTTTGCTTAGGACAGTCTTGATTTAGTCCTGCTGTTCTGGCATGTTTATAATAGAGACTCTTTTCAATCTTAACACATGTCCCTGTCTGTAACATTTGTTGATAGCCAATCTATACTAGGGACCTAACTAAAATATCATATTAGCTCAGTTGTTTAGACTAGGCACCTAATGAACCAAAACCTTGGATCTGCCTGCCTTGCTGTCCAAGTAGGCTACTTACCTCTGTCACTCACTGTACTCCCTACTCCTATTAAATGGCTTGAAATTTATCAGAAAAGTAGGGTGAAAGCAAATGTAGCAAGAATGTCAAATTATCACAATTACTTGAAAAACACTCAAGCTTCTGCTCCATTGATGTCAAATCAGAAGCATTTCTTTATGCACAGAGCAGATAGCTTTATGATCCAATACAGAGTTTGTTATTGTTATTACTTATCTTGGCTTTCAGAACCACAAAACAGAATTTGTATTCAAACTTCATTGAAAATCATACTTCTGTTGACAGTGAGGTTGAAAGCAATCTGGCTTACTTCTCCAGATGCTTTCTTTACCTATTTTTCTCTAGAAGAAAGAAATCATCAGGAATCTGACTCTTCCACAGTAAAAACCTAAAGGCTGCTTCTTTGAAGCTCCCAGCTATGATTTTTCAGTTTATCACCCAGTGAACCAATTCTTTAAAGCCTTGGGTATCCAGGGGTTACTAAACCTCCAATAAGTAAGCTCTGTAAATAGTACACAGCAGAAAACATAACAAAATCAAATTTAGGATTTCTTTTTCATTTTCTATTTTTGTTATCTTCTCTATTTAAAAGTTTAGATAGGGATTGCCTTGGGGCTGTAGACTGAGAAGGGGGTAGAGGACTTTTAGGGGCATTGGAAATATTCTGCATATTGATCTAGGTGGTGGTTAGTTACATGGGTATATGCATATATAAAAATTGAGTGTATGCTTGAGATTTGTGCATTTTAATATATATAAGTTAAATCTCAATTTTATTTTTATTTATTTATTTTTATTATACTTTAAGTTTTAGGGTACATGTGCACAACGTGCAGGTTAGTTACATATGTATACATGTGCCATGTTGGTGTGCTGCACCCAGTAACTCGTCATTTAACATTAGGTATATCCATTTTAAAAGGTAAAAAGAAAAGCCTCAAACTTCTTTAGCCAGAGCTGGTAAAAGATGTATTCCGAGTTAGTAAAATAATAGAATGAAGGACAAAACAACAACATAAATATCTTTTTTCTTTTAGACACGAATATGATCTTTGTCTCTATATTTACTTTTTTTCTGTGGATAAATGCCTCCTTTTCTCTGCCTTAGTCTTTGACAATAAAGCTTCAAATTATGACAAATGAGTTTTTAGGTAGGACTTTTTCTGCCTACTTTTATTCAAATATTTATTTTAGTATGTAACACTAGAACATTTTAAACTCTTAACTACACTTTTCTTTGGCTTTATAAAATCTATGTAATATCTATTGAAAACCTCCTAGGCCATATCAGTCATGGTTTATGAATGGTATGCAACTTTACTACTTGGTTCCTAGCTTATCGTGTGGCTGTTAACTAAGTTTGTTGAGTTGCATAATCAAAAGAACCAAGAAAAGCAAACGGTGTTTTAATATAAAATAGCAGGATGGCAACTTAGAAATTTCTAGATTGAAAAAAAAAAAAGGATATCCTCAAGGAGACTGTCTTTTGCCATCTACTGCCAAAGGGTATTCTAATAATGTGTAGCTAATCATGTAATGATCTGGTTCACTAGACTTAGGTGAATTCAAGGACTGAGATTATATGCAATTAAAGCAAAAGAAAGGGAGTGGGGAGAGTAAAATTAATTGAGTGCTTCCTCTGTGCCAGGCACTGTGCCTCGCACAGATTATTTAATCTTTACAACTCTGTGAGGATTGTCTTATTGTACCATTGAGGAAGCTTAGGTTCAGGAATGGCAAATAACTCACCCAAATCACACAACTGATAATTTAGTTGTGTTGGTTTTCAAAGGTTGCTCTTTTCCCACAATGTACTATCTCTGGTGATGTCACAGATGAATTAAGAAGTACTTAAAAGAGCCAAAGGGATTTTAGAGATAATGTCATCAATCCCATTTGTTTGGAGATAAACAGCATCCAGGGAGGTTATATTGGGTCCAAATGGGCAACACAGAACTCAACTACCAGTTCTTCCCAGACTCTTCCTCTACTCCTCTTCCTACCTCCTCACCTTATTCTGCATCCCCAGTCATAGTCAGGATTAAAATCTTTTGCATGTTTCATTATGGGTGGTTAAGAGTAAGCAGCCTCTGGAACCTGGGTTTAAATCCATGATCTACCACTTATAATTTGTGTGACCTTGAGTAAGTAACTTGACCTCTCTGAGCTTTGGTTTCCTCAGTGTAGAAAATGAAAGAGTGGTTGTGATAATTAAAATATGGAGAGTCTTTAGAATGGGATGTGACCTGTAGAAAGTGTCCTATGAGTATTCATGATTTATTTTTTGTTATTATGTTGTATAATTCTTCTTCTGTGATTTATTGTTACATGTGTACAGGGTTGTCTACCTGTTGACATGGAGATGGTGTCTTATACACCTTTGTAATGCACTCCTCTTCCTCTCCTCCTCTTAGTGCCAAGATCAATGCTTAATCATTCTAGACATGGAACAAAGGCGTATTGGATGAATTTGGTTTTCCCAGTTAATGACTTTCCAAATTTTCCCAGTTAACGACTCTATCAAGTATAGAATCCAAGACTCCCCTGTCATAATCTGCTACTCTTGAGGATCCTGATTGTTGATTTCCAGGCTGGCATTTTCTCCCTGTATTCCTCATTTCTTTTAGGAATCCGAAAATATAGGAGTAGCTGCATATGACCATGATTTCACTTAGGAATTGGTTATTTGTTTGTTGTTCCTTTAGGGGGTTAACATCAAGCATGCACTGACTTTCTATTCTTGGCATCATGTCCTTGATGCAAACTGGTCTAAGGTAACAAGTAATCCTAATATGTGCTTTTTACACACAGCTTCCCATTTCTGTTGACACTGGTACTTTTAACTCCCTCTACTAGCTACCACAAAGAAAAAAAGGGGCTTAACTTTTTTTGCTTTCCTTGACATTTTCCCTCTCTACCAAATATTACAATCACAAAAAGGGTTTCATTTCCTTGGGTTGTGTTGAGACTGTACAATCCTGGGATTTCCTGATTTCAGGGGAGGTAGCTATTGTCTTTTGATTTCCACTCAGAGAATTTAACATTAGCATTTCCATAGCACCACAATTGTTTTCAAAAGTATGGTATGTAGAACTTTGTGACAAACCTTCTAAAAATGTGGACAATAGCTATCAGACTTTAGCATTCCATCCTTTTTTGGCAAAGTGGTGGATTTTTTTTGAAACAACAAATTTCATCTGTATTAAGATTTAAATACTGCTCAACATCTAATGCTTGAAAAAATGATGCTATTATTCCACTGTGAACTTTATAAGTTGGTTTGTTCCAGATAGCCTCTTCCTTATTAGCAGAACTTGGGGGATAATTATATGTATTTAGAAAATCTTTCTGACCTTTGTGAAAGTTTAGAGACTTTTATGTTCCTCTGCGTAAGTCTTTCAGTGTGTGGAGATATAAGTTGCCTTAAGTAAGAGGAAACTCAGTATAGGAAGGTTTTGAATAAAATTACAACAAAATATGTAACTGTATTAAACACTCAATTTTACATTAAGATGAGTTTATTTTAAACTGTTAAAATTTTTTCCCCCCTGCTCTTTTTTCCCCTAGAGCCTAAACTTTGTAAAGGATGGTTCATTTTCTTTTCTGCTGAGCCCTTTATTTCTAGTACCTATTACGAGTGCTCAATAAATATTTCTGAGCAATAAGTGATGACTTAATTAATCAGAAAAACACTCTGCATAGTACAGGCAACAGCCAACGTAGAAGTGCATTGTGTTCCACATGGCATTTTGTAATTCATTATTAGGATGCCAAATATATTTTCCTACATAAACAGTAATGTGGAAAGAACTCAGATTCCTAGGTTTGCTCATAAAATGAGTTTATCACATATTGCAAATTCTACTGTTTTAACTACTCCAGTAGCAAACTTTTCTGGGTTAGCTTGGGAATCAAATCATTTTTTAAAAACTTGTTTATGTGGAGAAGGTACTTCTTATCCCAAGGTGACCTCTACACTGAATTAAGAAATATATTTCTTTCTGTGTGAATATTAGTCAAATGGTATTCAGAGAGATGTAGAACTGGCTGCCAAGGAGGAAATGGCATCTTCTTCATTGCTTTGGAAAGACTTGATCCTAACTCCTGGCTCTATAAAAATACTTGCCTCCTACTAACTTCCCCATTACATTATGAAGATTTCTAATTCCTTATGTGACCCTCTCCTTTTAGCCTCACATTCTACATAATTATCTCAGCCCCTATGGAAAAGAGAAGGAATATTCTAGAACAAATTCTGAATTTACTACAGATTCCTAGGCCTTTATCCAAAACTCATGGGGCCAGATGTGTTTTGGAGTTCAGAGATATTTTTGGATCTTAGAAAGGTAATATGACACATATGCTGTATATTACATAATATCCTTGGCCTGTAATTCAACACAATAATATTTCTTTGGCTAAATGTAAGACTATTCCCACAAAGTGAGATAAATAGATACTGCTCATAGCCTTACATCACATAAATTGAGGTTCTGCTTGTAAAATTATAAAAGTTGTTTGGTGTTCAGTAACCCTTCTATCTCAGAATTGTGGGTAAGTGATTGTGGATCTGTCAAAGAGATAATGTATCAAATAAGAAAATTATAAAGGTGGTTCCAGTCTTCAGACTGAGTTCTGAGCTGCAGGGACCCTACTCAGAGACAGAGCAGAATTACATTCTTTGAAGAGGTTGGTGTTGTCCTGGAATGAAGGCTCAGTTTATAATTCAAGGTGGTATTTACCAAGGTAGTATTTCCTTCCTAGGTTAGCCAACCCTTGGGTTCATTAGCCTTAAGTGTTATTATTAGTGAGCTTATTTCTTAGTAAGCCAGGCTTTCTGCATTGGCTAAAAGAATGGTACACTTGGAGAGAAAATTCTTCCACTTTTCCTTTTTCCACTTAGGGTGGGTGACAGGAAACCATAGTGATGGCCTGGAGTCCCAGCAAGGATGCTGGTAGAAGCCCTACAGATACATAAAAAGGAAGGATGCTATTGAAGGCACTGGATGTGAGTGCTGATACTAGAACAGGATGGAGGCTGAAAACCAATTCAGCTGGGCCTCCCTACCTAGGCTTTTGATTTTCCCTGTGGCTAATTCAGCAGTCACAAAATAGACTCTCAGCTATATATGACCAGTAAGTTTGTTTTGTTAGAATTTGAAAGCCTACCAGTGAACCAGGCACTTTCCAATTTGCTGTGTCACTTGCTGGGATTAGAGTGACCCCGGTATATGACCTGGGATGACAGGGTTACCTCAATATTTAATTGTCTGAGTCAATCAGCAACAGTGATATCTTGACTAAGCTGAGTAGATATGGTCTACTCAAGATACAGTATTTAATGTCTACCCAAAACACTGTGTAATAATGTAAGCTATCATTTTTCTATATGGTAGTAAACTTTTCTAAGTGCTAGGTAAAGCAGATCTATATTCAGATGTTTCCATAAAACACTCCTTGTTGGAACAAGAGAAGTGGAGCAGGTGCATCCACAGAAAAGATTTAAGAGGCCCTGCAAATTTCTAGCTTGGATGACTGGTAAAGGTCTTTCTCTCTTGAAGCCAGTCAGTAAAGACTGGAGGAGCTAACTGATTCTTCAAATGTGAAGATAGCAATGAAAGACTTCAAAAAACATGAAAAAAAATCAAGGAAACATGATTCCACCAAAGGAACACAGTAATATTCCAGTAACTGAACCCAAAGAAATGGAGACCTATGAATTTCTGACAAAGAATTAAAAATAATTATTTTAAGAAAGCTCAGTGAGCTATAAAACAGCACAGATAGACAACTTACTGACTCAGAAAAACAATACATGAACAAAATCAGAAGTTTAACAGCAAGATAGAAATAATAAAAAAGAACCAAACAAATTCTGGAGCTGAACACAATTACTGGACTGAAAAATTCAATAGAGAGCTTAAGCAACAAACTTGATCAAGCATGAGAAAGAATCTGTGAACTCAGAGACACATCATATGTTATTTTTCAATCCAGGGAGATTGAAAGAAGAAAGAAAAAAGAATTTTAAAAAGTAAAGAAAGCCTAAGAGATTTATAAAACACCATCAACCAAACCTATATATGCATTACGAGAGCCTCTGAAAGAAAAGAGAAATGGGAAGAAAGCTTATTTTTAAAAAATTGGCTGAAAACTTCCCAAATCTTGGGGAGGGATATGGACATCACGTTCATGAAGCTCAGAAGTTTCCAAACGGGATCAACCTGAAGAAGATTATATGGAGACACATTATGATCAAAAGTCAATGACAGAGTGTTTTGAAAACAGCAAGAGAAAAGTTACCTGTCACATACAAGGGAATGTATATAAGACTATCAGAAGATTTACCAGCAGAAACTAGCATGCCAGGAGAGAGTAGGATGATATTTTCAAAGTGCTGAAAGAAAAAACTGCCAACCAAGAATACCATACTTGATAAAGCTGTCCTTCAGAAATAAAGGAGAGACAGACTTTCCCAGACAAACAAAACTGGGAATTCATCACCATTAGACCTGCCTTATAAGAAAAGTAAAGGGCATTCTTCATGTTGAATGAAAGATGCTAATTAGTAACATGAAAACATATGAAAATGTGTAACTCACTGGTAAAGATAAGTATATGGTAAAATTCAGAATACTCTAATCTTGTGATTGGCAGTGTGTACATCACTTCTAACTCTAGTATAAAAAGATAATAGACAAAAGTATTAAAAATAACTACAGCTATAATAATTTGTTAATAGATACATGATATTAATAGATATAAATTGTGACATTAATAACATAAACTGTATGTGTGAGAAATAAAAGTGTAGAGTTTTTGTATGAAATTGGAGTTATTATCAGCTTACAATAAGCTAACTGTTATAACATAATTATAAGATGTTCCTTGTGATTACCATGAAGTTTAGATTTAAAATCTATTTTTTCTTCTATACTCACTCCTGCTTTCTTTTGGTTATCATTTGCATGAAGTATCTTTTTTTATCTTTTCACTTTCATGTGTGTCTTTAAATCTAAGAAAAACCTCTAGTAGACATACAGAAGATAAAGAGAGAGGATTCAAAACATACCGCTATCAAAAAAAAAAATCAAATCACAAAGAAAGGAACAAAGGAACCATAAAACAGAAAATAATTAACAAAATGGCAATAATGAGTCCTGTATTATTGATAATTACTATGAATGTAAATGGATTAAACTCATCAATAAAAAGACATAGAGTGGCTGAATGGATTAAGAAAATGGGATCCAGTAATATTCTGTCTACAAGAGATTCACTTTAGATTTAAAGACATACATGAAAGTGAATGGCTAAAAAAAGATATTTCATGCAAATGGTAACCAAAAGAAAGCAGGAATGACAATAGAAGAAAAAAATAGATTTTAAATGTAAAACTGTCTCGAGTGAAAGATCACTGTATAATGTTAAAAGGGTCAATTCAACAGAAAGATATAGCAACTATAAATATATTGTATTAGCCCATTTTCACACTGCTATAAAGAACTGCCTGAGACTGGATAATTTATAAACAAAAGAGGTTTAATGAACTCACAGTTCTTTATGTCTGGGGAGGCCTCAGGCAACTTACAATCATGGTGGAAGGCGAAGGGGAAGGAAGACATGTCTTACATGGTGGGAGGAGAGAGCAAAAGGGAGGAACTGCCAAACACTTTTAAACTTGTGAGAACTCACACACTATTACAAGAACAGCACAGGGGAAACTGCCTCCATGATCCAACTGGGGAAACTGCCTCCATGATCCAATTACCTCCCACTAGATGCCTCCCTCGACATGTGGGGATTACAATTCAAGATGAGATTTGGATGGAGACACAGAGCTAAACCATATCATATATACAAAATATCAGAGGACCTAAATATATTATATAAAGCAAATATTGACAGATCTAAAGACAGAAATTAAGAGCAATACTATAATAGTAGGATACCTCAATACCCCACTTACACTAATGGATAGAGCACCCAAACAGAAAATTGATAATGAAACATCTGACTTGAAAAACACTGTAGACCAAATGTACCTAACAGACTTACATAGAACTTTCCACTCAACAGTACCAGAATACTCATTTTTCACAAGTGCACATGGAATATTCTCCAGGATAGATCACATATTAGGTCACAAAATAAGTCTTAACAAATTCAATAAAGTCAAAATCATTCCAAGAATCTTTTCCAACCACAATGGAATGAAACTAGAGATAACAGCAAGAAAACTGTAAAATTCACAAATATGTGGAAATTAAAGTACACACTCCTAAATAATCATTGGGTGTAAAAGAAACTCAAAAGATAACTTAAGAAGCATCTCCAGACAAAGCAAAATGAAACACAACATACCAAAACCTATGAGATACAGAAAAAGCAGTTCTAAAAGGAAAGTTTATAGTGATGAATGCCTACTTTAAAGAAGAAGAAAGATTTTGCATAAACAATCTAACTTTATACCTTAAGAAACTAGAAAAAAACCTCAACTAATTAAGCCCAAAGTTAGCAGAAGGAAGGAAATCATAAAGATTAGAGTCAATGTAAATCAAATAGAGAAAAAAATCAATGAAACTAAGAGTTGGTTTTTTAAAAAGTTAAACAAAATTGACAGAGTAACCAAGAAAAAAGACAGAAGACTCAAATAATTAAAATCAGAATTGGAAGAGGAGACATTACAACAAATATCTAAGAAATAATAGGGACCATAAAAGATTATTATGAATGATCATATGCCAAAAAACTGGGTAAATTAGAAGAAATTCCTAGAAACATAAAACCTACCAAAACTGAATCATGAAGATACAGAAAACCTGAGCAGACCACTAGCAAATAAGGAGATTGAATCAGTATTAAGAAATCTTCCACTGAGATGGGAGGATTGCTTGAGCTCAGGAGTTCAGGACCAGCCTGGGCAACATAGAGAGACCTTTCTCTACAATAATAAAAAAATTAGTTGGCATGGTGGTGCATGACTGTGATCCCTGAAACTTGGAAGGCTGGGGTGAGAGGATCACTTGAGCCTGGAAGGTTGACGCTGCAGTGAGCTATGGTCATACCACTGCACTCCATCCTGGGTGACAGAGCAAGACCCCATCTCAAAAAAAAAAAAAAAAAAAAAAATCTCCCAACAACGAAAAAACATTCAAGGACCAATGACTTCATAGGTAATTCTACTGAACACTCAAAGAAGACTTAATAGCAGTCCATCTTAAATTTTTCCAAAAAAATAGAAGAGGGAACACTTCCAAATTTTTTCTATGAGGCCATCATCATCTTGCTACCAAACCCAGACAATGACACTGTATGAAAATAATCCTACAGGCCAACATTACTGATGAACACAGATACAAAAATTTTCAACTAGCAAACTAAATTTTATAGTACATTAAAAGGACCATATATCATGATTAAGTGGGATTTATTCCTGGGATGCAAGGTTAGTTCAACATATGCAAATCAATAAATGTGATACAACACATTAACAAAATGAAAGAAGAAAACCACATGATTGTCTCAATAGGCACAGAAAAAGCATTTGACACAGTTCGACATCCTTTCATGATTAAAACTGTCAATAAAATATATATAGAAGGAACTTAAGAAAATAAACGTCAAAGCCAGGTGTGGAGGCTCACACCTATAATCCCAGCACTTTGGGAGGCTGAGTTGAGTGGATTACTTGAGCTCAGGAGTGAAGACCAGGCTGGGCAACATGGAAAAACTCTATTTCAACAAAAAATACAAAAGTTAGCCAGGCGTGGTAGTGCATGCCTGCAGTCCCAGCTACGCAAGAGGCTGAGATGGGAGCATGGCTTGAGCTTGGAAGGTGAAGGTTGCAGTGAGCCAAGATCACACCACTCTGTTTCAGCCTGGATGACAGAGCCAGACTCTGTCTCAAAAATAAATAAATAAAATAAAAGTCCAAATGAAAACCACACAGCTAACATCCTAAACAATGGGGAAAAACTGAACGCTTTCCCTTTAAGAAACTATCAACAGAATGAACAGACAACCTACAGAATGGGAGAAAATTTTGCAAACTATGCATCTGACAAAGGTCTAATATCCAGCACCTACAAGGAACTTAAATTTACAAGAAACAAACAACAAACAAACAACCCCATTAAAAAGTGGGCAGAGGACATGAAGTGACACTTTTCAAAAGAAGACAAACTTGTGGCCAAGAATCATGTGAAAAAAAGGTCAACATCACTGATCATAAGAGAAATGCAAATCAAAACCACAGTGAGATACCATCTCACACCAGTCAGAATGGCTATTATAAAAAGTCAAAAAATAGCAGATGCTGGTGAGTTTGCTGAGAAAAAGGACTGCTTAGACACTGTTGGTGGTAGTGTAAATTAGTTCAACCATTGAGGAAGACGTGTGGCAATTCCTCAAAGACCTAAAGACAGAAATACCATTCGACCTACCAATCCATTACTGGGTATATACCAAAAGGAATATAAATTATTCTATTACAAAGATACATGCACATGTATGTTCATTGCAGCACTATTCAAAATAGCAAAGACATGGAATCAACATAAATGCCCATCAACAATAAACTGCATAAAGAAAATGTGGTACATATACACCATGCAATACTATGCAGTAATAAAAAAGAATGAGATCATGTCCGTTGCAGGAACATGGATGGAGCTGGAGGCCATTATCCTTAGCAAACTAACACAGGAACAGAAAACCAAATACTGCATTTTCTTACTTATAACTGGGAGCTAAATGATGAGAACACATGGACACATAGAGGGGAAACACACACACCGGGGCTTATTGGTAGATGGAAGGTGGGAGTAGGGAGAGGATCAGGAAAAATAACTAATGAGTACTAGGCTTAATACCTGGGTGACAACATAATTGTACAACAAACCCCCATGTCATAGGTTTACCTATGTAACAAGGCTACACATGTACCCCTGAACTTAAAATAAAAGTTAAATTGAAAAAAAGAAAGAAAATTTGCTCAACATCACTAATCATCAAGGAAATGCAAATAAAACCATGATGAGATATTACCTAACACCTGTTAGGATGGCTTTTATAAAAATGACAAAATATAAGTGTTGGTGAGGATGTGGAGAAAAGGGAACCCTTTTACACTGCTGGTATATTGTATACTTCACATTTGCTAAGATAGTGGACTTAAGTGTTCTTATCACACACCCACAAATCAAAGGTAACTATGTGAGGTAATGGATATGTTAATTAACTCAATTGTGGTAATCATTTCACAATGTATGTGTATATCAAAACATCACATCATACACCTTATACATATGTACAATTTAATTTGTCAACTATACCTCAATAAAACTGAAACACATATACATGTGCATGCGCGCACACACACACACAGACACTCCCTCCCTCTTGTTCTGGAAACTGAGTAGCAGGCTCTCTCTTGCTGCTTTTGAATTTTCAGTCCCCGACGTTTGTTCTTTTTCTCTTTTAAACTTCTGGCATTCTAAAATTGATTAATACAGAGTTTACTAATAGATTTTTTTGGATTCATCTTAGCAATTTAAAAAAGCATAAAAAAATAAAGTGAATGTTTGTGAATGCAAGTTCATTTCCCATCAAGACATGTTTGTGAATTTTGTGTTGCCTGGAGCCATGCTGGGAGGTTCAGTGAGAGTCACCTCTGGAATTTCCCCATTGCTTCTCTCCCCAGCCTTGTGTCAGACCAGGCAAACTATGAGGGCTTTCATCCACAAGACAGCATAATTCCAAACCAGCCGGGGACTTCAGGCTCAGACCATAGTTGTTTAATTCAGATTAAAGCGATCTTATCTTGAAATATGCTGACTAAGAGATGGTTAAAAAATGAACTTCATGATTATAACTAATAGGCAAGAATAGATTGTACTTAAGCAGTTTTGTGTATTAATTTAATTCTGAGACTTAGATATTAACTGTATTTTAAAAATCCCTTTTCATGTGTTTTTAACCAGTCTTATGTTTCTTTCCTAATTATAAAACATTATTATTCTATTTTTCTGAAGGAAAAGTATCTTCTAACAAAAAAAAAAGTGTAACTCTAAGTTATAAGAACTGCAACCAAAAGCAAAAGGCTGACAATAACTGGCTCACTTTAAGAGAATGGTTTTGAGTCTTCTTCATTAATATACTTTGGAGACCCACAGTTATAACTTTAATGCCCAAATTTCAATAGTATCCAAAATAATCTCTGAGCTAGCCTTAGGATGTTTCTTAGCTAAGCGTTATTAGTTTGGCTGGCTCACTCTTGGACAGAAAAAAAACATATTTATGGTACTCCAAATGTAGAAAAACCCATGGCTTTTATTTAATACATTTACAGTTTCTTGAGATTACAAAACATTTCACAGTTTCTATCTGTATGTATATTTAAATTTCCTCTAAATATCTGAAATCACACCATCAGAATCTAAGTTAGATGAGAGCAGGAACCCTGACTATTTCACTCACGTGTGTAGAGCCAATGTCCCGTCTCCAGAGTAAAGATTGGATGGAATGCAGAATATTGAAATGGAAGGCAGAATATTGAAATGGAATGCAGAATATTGAAATGGAATGTAGAATATTGAATGAATCAATCAAAGACTTTAACACTTCCAGCTACAGGCAGCTCATTATGGCTCAAAGCAGCCAGGCCTCAGAGTTCTTTTTTACAATGATTGGACTGTCATCTCTTCCCACTTGTTTGTTCCAGTTTTAGCTCGTCAGGTCATGTAGATTTACTCTACCATATAACAAACCTTTAAATACCTGAACTGATACTCATGCCCTACTTTCTCCACCTGACCTCTGAGGTTTGCCTCTGCAGACTAATATCCCTAGTTTTCTTTTCTTTTTTTTTTTTTTGAGACAGAGTCTTGCTGTGTCGTCCGGGCTGGACTGCAGTGGCGCCATCTCGCCTCACTGCAAGCTCTGCCTCCCGGGTTCACTCCATTCTCCTGCCTCAGCCTCCCGAGTAGCTGGGACTACAGGCACCCGCCACCACTCCCGGCTAATTTTTTTGTATTTTTAGTAGAGACAGGGTTTCACCGTGTTGGCCAGGATGGTCTCGATCTCCTCACCTCGTGATCTGCCCGCCTTGGCCTCCCGAAGTGCTGGGCTAACAGGTGTGAGCCACCGCGCCTGGCCTAATATTCCTAGTTTTTTAACAATTGACATAGTTATGAGTGTCTTGTGATACTCTCATATGGTCCCTTCTGAGCACATACCAGATAGTCACCTTTACATGGTACTCAGGATGGTTCATGGAAGGCCTGGTCTGTGTGGGATTATGATCTTATGCTTTCTAGAGTCTGTTCATGCTCTTTGCTATCAAATTAACTTTTTCATTTTTTTCGAGGAAACATTGTTTTTTTCCAGTGCTTTAGGGAGAACCATTTTATTCTTAGTAAAACCCTGCCTCAGTGGAAGGCAATTGAAGTGGGAGATAATTGTTATCTTGGGGCTGGTATGGTCTGCAAATGGTTCCATATGTTGTGTCTTGCTTCCAGGTTGACTTATTTGGAGGTTCAAGATAATTGACCACTAAGTCTGGTTCTGGAGAAGTTGGGTTTCCACATGCCTTACAGGTAAGGTGGAACTTTGAAGATTTTTGAAATGTTGTAGTATTTAAATGCTGCTGCTAAATAAGAATTTACTATATATTTTTGTCAAAGGGCTGAAGTTGCAATTTGGCAAAAAATTTTATTTATTTCCATGAACTTTGATATTTTCTGAAGATAATTTTTAAATCAAGTTATTAATTTGGAAGATGCAGGTACATGTATATGCAAACATGTAAAAATTTTTATGAGAATACATCTATTAGTGAGATAATATTTTACACTTGGAAGACCTGTGAAATAAAATTGTAAAAGGAAACAATTTTTACAGTGATTTGAATGTTTTGAAATTAGTCAGTTTATAATTGGGGAGATGGTCGTGATGGAAAAGGGGAAAGTGAAGGGGATGAAGCTGATGGGTGAAAGCAGGGAAGGGAAACAGAGGAAGGGGAGAAAAAAGGGAAAAGGTAGTGAAGGTAGGTTGTCTAAGAAATTCCAAGTACCCACTCAGTCCTTAAACCATTTTCTTGCGTGAACTTTGAGTCCTGCGGTGTAATTATGTATTTTGTAACAAACTGTTCAGAAGTTAAATAATTCCTATGAAACAGAAATTTATTGTTCTGTAAGAAAGATGACCTTCCACTTTATTTTTCAAATAGATTCTAATTCAGGGGTCCTCAACCTGCTTCCTGTCAGATCAGTGGTGGCATTAGATTCTCATAGGAGCACAAACCCTATTGCGAACTGCACATGCGAGAGATCTAGGGTCAGTGCTCCTTATGAGAATCTAACTAATGCCTGATGATCTGAGGTGGAACAGTTTTATCATGAAACCGTTTCCCATCCCGCACCCCCTGCCCCCACCTCACCCTCCCATGAAAGAAGAATAATTTTAAAAAAGAAAAAGAATTTTTCTTTCATGGAAGAAAAATTGTTTTCCCCAAAACCAATCCCTGGTGCCAAAAAGGTTGCGGACCACTTGTCTAAACTATGCAAATAATAGGATTTATGTTGAACCCCTGCTTTTATTCTGGGAGCTCAAATTTGAGGTATGTATTGGTTAGAGAGTGCCTGTGTGACCAGCCTCCAATACAAATCTTTGGTTCTGAGTTGCTAATGGGCATCTCTGGGCAGAAATATTGCACACATATTGCTACATTTTTGTTGCTGGTGCAAAAGTGTGCTCTCTGTGCCCTATCACGGGAGGGAAAGAGCCTAAGGAAGCCTGTACATGGATTCCTGCAGACTCCACTTGTGTCTTTCCCCCTGTGATCCACCTTACTATGTCACTGTAAGAAATCTTAGCCATGAGTCGAATAATGGTGAGTTCTATGAGTCCTTCTAGTGAATCTCTGAGTGTGGCTGGTCTTGGGGAACACAACCCCTTTTCTTGCAGTACTCATCCTGATACATCCCTTTTGTAGCGTTACACAATTTTAGTGAAAAGAGAAAAGGGAAGTGTTTTGGAAAACTTAAATGTCAGATAAAATACTGATCCAGAAGATATAGTTTAGCAAAGGCATGTCAGTCTTTCTGAAAATCATCAAGCCAATTTAGTCATGGAAAAATTATTTGCTTACTTTGTATTTACAGAATATGAACTTCCAAGAAAGAAATGCCTTTTAAGGATCTTTCTTACCTTTTAAAAAATAATAGTTTTATTGAGATATAATTCACTATACTACAAAATTCACCCTTTTGAAGGGTAAAATTCGGGTGATTTTAGTACCACAAACAGAATTGTGTAACTTTCCCCACCAATTCTAGAACATTTTCATCACCCTCCCCAAAAAACCCTGTACCCATTAGTAATCAATCCCCATCATTCCTTCCCTGCAGTCCCTGGGAACTAATTGACTTGCCATCACTATAGATTTGCCTATTTTTCATATAAATGAAATCATGTGGCCTTTTATGACTAGCTTCTTTCATTTGTGTTGTGGCATATAATAGTACTTCATTCCTTTTTATTGCCAAATAATATTCCGTTGCATGGACATACCACATTTTATTTTATCTATTCATCAGTAGATGACATTTGAGTTGTCTCCATTTTTTGGCTATTATAAATAATACTGCTGTGGATATCCATGTACAAGTGTTATTGTTATTTGGACAGGTTTTATTTCAGCATTATAAATAATACTGCTGTGGATATCCATGTACAAGCATTATTGTTATTTGGACAGGTTTTATTTCAGCTTTGTTGAGCTATAACTGACAAATAACAGTGTACAAGTTTTTTTTTTTTTTTTTTTTTGAGATGGAGTCTCCCTCTCTTGCCCAGGCTGGAGTGCAGTGGCACAATCCTCCTGGGTTCAAGCGATTCTCCTGCCTCAGCCTCCCGAGTAGCTGGGACTACAGGTGTGTGCCATTACGCCTGGCTCATTTTTGTATTTTTACTAGAAATGGGGTTTTACCATGTTGGCCAGGCTGGTCTCAAACTCCTGACCTCAACTGATTCATTTTTTTGTCACTCATGCTTTTGGTGCCACATCTAACTCCTGTACCAGATTTTAAATCATCCCACTAACATTAGGAGGTCTACATCTTTAAGCCCAATCTGTTACTATATGATGGATGGAAATTAAAGGTGGGAGGAGTTGGAGTACAGCAAAGTGGCTAGAGTATGGAATTTAGAATTTTCATGTAGAGTCCAACTCTTTTATTACGGGAATTAGGCAGAATATTTTTAAGCCTCAGTTTCCTACATGGAAAATGGAGTAATAATAGTTCCTATTTCATAAGGTTATTGTGAAGTTTAAATTAGCCTATTTGTGAAAAGAGTTTAGGAGGAGACGTCTGGCACACAGAAGACATCTAGTAAATGTTAGGTTGTTATCATTTTATCAAGAGATTATGGAACTGGCTGGACCAACTCAAGAATTGACTAGCAGAATTAAAGTTATCACTCTTCCAGCTGCATTTATGAAAGGCTGCTGAAATTACTTTACTTACGGTTATATAACTTTCTGGCAGCATAAAAAATCCTGACAGATATACTGCAGAATGATTTTATTTCTTCTGGTTTCAGCAATAAACAATGATATTCCTCTTTGGGGTCTAAAGAAGAATCCTAGGCCAAAAAACTGTAGTGTCAGCCTAACTGAACATTTCATCATGATGTGTGATTATTATTTATCATTAATTAATGGCCATTTATATAACTACATAGAAAATAACAAACAAAACTCCTTTCCTGTCAGTTGGATATAAGTAGGAAAGGTCACTTGACATTTCAGTTAACTATTTACCATGCTTTACAGCATGACTTCAGAACTTTTATATACATGTCTCAATCATTTGGTGTTCATGGGTACAGAAGCAGGTTAGGGCCATAATAAACACATTCTTTTTTATTATTATCAACCTAGATATCAGTGAAAGTTCAAAGTCAAGTCATCTCAGTTCAGCCTATTTCTTTGTGGCATGTAGACTAATAAATGAGGAGGCACCTTCCAGTAGAGATATGGTTATTTATATGTACTATAAAGACATCTTTCAGTAATTTTTATATAAACAACTCAACCTAAAATTTTACTATTTTATTCATCTTCAAAAGTAAAACCCTTTGTTAGCAATTGGCATAGTTATATTTCCCAATGTGGACAATTTAACAATTCTTTTTTTTTGAGACAGAGTCTCACTCTGTTGCGCAGGTTGGAGTGCAGTGGCATGATCTTGGCTCACTGCAACCTCCACCTCCCAGGTTCAAGAAATTCTCTTGCCTCAGCCTCCCAAGTAGCTGGGACTACAAGCACGCACCACCACATCCAGCTAATTTTTGTATTTTCAGTAGGAACGAGGTTTTACTATGTTGGCCAGGCTGGTCTTGAACTCCTGACTTCAGGTGATCCACCCACCTCAGCCTCCCAAAGTGCTGGGATTACAGGTGTGAGCCACGGTGCCCAGCGCAATTTAACAAATATTAAAACATCTTTTGAAAAAACATATAATAATCTTACGCTGTGAAACATTTATTTTAAGCACACAGTTTTCTATTTTAGTTTTTCCTGTATTAACTTGCAATAATAATAATAAAAAAACCATTCAGGGGCTCTTACTAAGAATAGAAGACTATAAAACAATAGCTTAGGAGGATACAGGGATGAGTAATATAATTTCTTCCAGTACAAGTGTGGCAATTCAGGAGGTGATCTAGAAGCAAGGTGTCCTTGCTCACGGAAGAATGACAGCGGGAGAGAAGATCGAAATCACTGCCCAGGTTAATAAAGCAATATGTGAGATGACAGTCCAAGTTAGAAACCAGCCAAAGGTATTTCAAGTAACACTTTTATAGTGCTTATATGTGGTAGGTAGTTTTCTAAGCACTTCACAGATGAGGTGATTCATTTAATCCTTACAATAACCCTATGAGGGGTAAGCTTTCACCCCTCCTTTAACAGGAGAGCAAACTAAAGTGCAACATGATAAGTTATGTAGACGACATTAGAGCTCAGGCAGTCTGGCTAAGAAGTTGGGGCTCTTAACTACTATCCTATGCTACTTCTCCATGCAAATAAGAATTATTGTTAGTAAAGTCACTTTGTGGTTTTTTGTATTTTTAGATTTTTATCGATTTAGGAGGTACCAGTCAGGTTTCTTACATGCATATATTGCCAAGTGGAGATGTCTGGGCTTCTGGTATGCCCATCAGCCTAATAGTAAATATTGTACCTAATAGATAATTTTTCAATTCTCACCCCCACCCCACCCTCTTTGGTAACTTTGGGATTTTTGGAAGCTTTAGTTCTTCAAAACCCCCCAAATGTGGTATATAATAATGTAGATAACTAAAAGATTCAATAGGTTTTTTTTCTCTTAAGAAGGAAAATAAAGATACATTTATCCATAATTTACTCTAAAATAAAATTCTACATTACAAATATGTTGTATAATCTAGTGTGCTGAATTACATGGCTTATACAACGTGATCGTCTTATATTAAGATGAATATTCCCAAAAATGTGATGATTGTGTAGGGAATAAATTTCATATTCATATTTTCCAGGAATCAATGATTGATTCCACAATGGAATAAACCTTTCATAGCATAATGATAGCTTCTTGTATAGGTTTGTTAAACTACATGTTAGTAAATAACATCTCACTTACTGGCATAAAATCTTCATTATAATATTTAGAAAATTTGTCTTGGTTGAAAACAGCATCTTTATTTAATTAATTAATTTGTTTGTTTATTTTTTGAGATAAGATCTCACTTTGTCACCCAGGCTGGAGTGCAGTAGCATGAATATGGCTCACTGCAGCCTCAATCTCCTGGGTTCAAGAGATACTCCTGCCTCAACTCCCTAAGCAGCTGGGACCACAGGCAGGAGCCACCACACCTGGCTAATTTTTGTATTTTTTGTAGAGATGGAATTTCGCCATGTTGGTCAGGCTGGTCTCAAACTCCTGGGCTCAAGTGAATCACCCGCCTTGGCCTCCTAAAATGCTGAGATTATAGGTGTGAGCCACTGTGCCAGGCCTGAAAATTGCATCTTTAAGTTAACAGCAGTAGCAACTGGGACAGATTCAGTTTTGTAGGGCCTGAAGTTTTATAGTATAGGGGGTTTCTTTAATAAAAAACCCACAAAATTAGGTGCAAACAATGAATATTGAATTAGAAGAAGTTCATTCAAGTGACAGACTCTGAAGTTTCAGCTTCATTAGCTTTGTAGTAAATGTAGCACTTCAGATAGTGACTATCTAAATTTTTTTTAAATGCCAAAAGAATGAACTAGTCCCTAAAGACAATTCTTCATTTTTTCCCCAGAAGGAGCTTATAAATTTATGTGTATATATAGTCTCTGTTGATTTTTTCTCTCTTCTTTCTGTTCCTCCATTGTCTGACAAAATTCTGTTTACAATTTGTTCTCCATTTGTGAGATGAGAAAAAAGAGAGACTTAGTGCTTTGCCACAGGAAACAAAAGCCTGCCAGGGCCAGGTCTGGACCCTTTCCACTTATACTCTCAGCATATGAATTTGGAGAAATTATATACATATATATAATTATAAATACATAAATATATATATTTCTTGTTATAGCAGCAATAAGAGAGAAATAATATTTTGAGTATACAGATGGAGAACCATCTTCTCTTAGTGTCTTTATTCTTATATTTCCAGAAAATAAACTAAGCCCAGAGACATTTAAAACCAAGCCAAAGCACAGTTCTCAAATTCCTGAGTACAGAACATTTGTTTAGCCTCATAAACCAGTAGCAATGTTGGGAAAAAAAGTTTTATTTTGACTTGAGACAGAACTTGTCTTTTTATAAAAAGAGATAATCCTTTTTTTTTTTCAGAAGAGTTAAAATTTTAAGAAACCCACTTAGCTCAGTATTGGTGGTTTTTCTTTCCCCTTCTATTTTCTTTATTATTATTTATTTATTTCCATGTTTACTTAAGGTCATCAAAATATGGACTTCAGTCATATGGGAGAACTGAAATAGCTTGACAGTTTTTTGACTCTTCAAGTTTGGCCCTTAAAATTCTTATGGTTTTTACATGTATCCAAATACATAAAAGTAAATAATTTTTTAAAGCCTCATGCACCTTTCGTTTTCCCTTTGTTTGGCTCTCACTAGGTTATAAAAGAATATATGGTGATAATAAAACAAATAGGTAAAACAAAACCTTAGAATTTGACATAAGGTTTTGTGGATAATGACTTCCAACTGTGTTTTTACAGTGACAATTCACCTATGTTGTAGCTATAGTGATAACAATTCTTCAGTGCCTCCAACTTGCCAGCCTCCAAAATTATCTGTACCTAATCCTCAGAATAGTCCAATAAGCTAGATGCTATTAGCCCCATCTGACAAATGAGAAAACTGGAATTTAGAAAGATTAGTTAATGGGGCTAAGGTGGCGCAGTAAGTGGCAGAGTTGTGATTCAAATATAGATCCAAGTAACTCCAAGGCTAATGTCCTTTCACCAAATACTGCCTTTCAGATTAGAAATATTCAGAGTTTTTGTGGTGGCCAGCCTCCATGATGGTCCCCAGTGATCACCCTTCTTGGTATTCTCAGCCTTGGATTGTCCACCTCATGAAAGTCCCTGAGCCAGAGCTACCTAGCCAATTTACTTCCAGATTCAGAACCCACAGATACTGTGTAAGATAATACATGCTCATTGTTTAAGAGGCTAGGATTTGGCATAATATGCTGTGAAGCAATTGACAACTCATCTAACCCTTATCATTCTTACTCAGCTTGGAACGTGCTTCCTTGGGGATTTCATGTTCATATCAATGACTGATTTGGAATTCGGATTTGCCTTTGAATGTTGGAGAGCATGGAATCATGCAAGGATCAGCAGACAGATCCTGGGTGGTGATCCGTGATGTCCAGCTACACAAAAGAAATGAATGTCTTTTTTTCCCAAAAGATGATGTATTACAAGAGTCACTACTAAATCAGCATCTACGTCAACCAAATACAACCTCTAAAAGAAAAACAAATAGGATGATATTAATCCTGGAGAGTTTTATTTTGTTTATAATTTGGGATAATTAAGCTTTGAAGTTTCATGTTTACTCTTTGAGGAAAGTGTGTCTGGGCTTTACCTCATTTCCTCCAACCCTCTCTCCCTCTCTGCTCCAGAGACCCAGTGTTCTTTCAGCAACTTGAAATGTGTTTTCTCTTCCACAGAGAATAGCAAATGCTATTTCTACAAATGGGATTCTACCTCTCCCTCTCCCTCTCTTCCAGTCTCATGTTCTGTTTCATTTCCTCAGGGACTGCTGCTTTACGACTCCATGGACTGGGTTGCACCCCCCATTGCTCCCTCTGCCTTCTACTCTACTTTCCCAGTATTCAAGACACTCAGAATCCTCTTTAATGCCTGTCTTTTTCTGATTATAAGCAACATAAGAACCTGCCACACTGGTTTTATTCACCAATGGATCTCTAGTGCCTTATTACACAATAAATACTTTTTGACTAAGTATTGTTTGAGGAAAATGTTATTTCCGGCACAGAGAAAATAATAGCAGAGGCATGAAGATATGAAAGTGTGTGGCATGTGTAAGGGAATATTAAATTAAAAATGGATGTTTTCTTTAAGTAAATGGTTATCTCTTTCCTATGTAACTTAATTCAACTTTACCATAATTAATTTTTAAACAAATGAATTCAATGTGAAATTAAGCTAAAATTAACTTACATTTATATTTATGGAGGTAAAAATTTAAGCCTATATTGCTCATAGTATCCTTTTTGTTGTGTAATTTTCCCCTCTCTTTTCCCAGTTGCAAGAATAAAATATTTGGGATTGCTGAGAGTCAAATCTGAATTCAGATCTATTAATAAATCCCTGTGGAGTAGTGGAAAGTTCCTGGACTATGAATCATAAGGCCTGCGGTATAATTTTATCTGCCACTTGCTATTCTCCCTATATTGAGCATATTAGTGACTTGTGTGCCCTGAATGTTCTGCTGAGCTTCAGCCCTCCTGGGGTGAAGTCAGCAGCACTCCCAGCAAGGGTCAGCCTTGCTTGTCAAACAGGGAAGGTCTTCATTCATCCATAACCTACCTGAAATGTATTCATCCGTCTAGCATTTATCGTTGTCTACTTTATGCCAGGAACTGTGCTCAGTGATCGGTTAGAAACAAAAGGCAGCACAGTGAGAAAGAAGGACAAATATAACAAGTATAATTTAATGTATAATGAATGTTATACCGAAGATAAATAAAAGGCACAATGTGAGCACAGAGAAAGGGAGATTGGTGCCAGGGCAGGCTTTCTGAAGGCAGTGATACCTGGCCCAGTTTTGAAGGACAGCTCAGAATTTACCCTGCCAGAGTATTGTAGGCAAAGAAGGGGCAAAGGCCCTGAACCAGAGTGCGTGCATAGAGTGCGGACTTCTTGGGCACAAGGAAGGGCAACAGATATGACTGGGGAAGCTGACCAGGGTCACAGATAATTCTCCTTAAGAGGCCAAAGGACAACTCTGTGAGACCACTGAAGATACCTGTTCTACTTCCCCATTCCTGCTTCCAGATTTCTTTTCCCTCCAAACAGGAGCATGTTTGAAGTGAGATCTCCTCATGGAATATTACCCTGCCCTTATGGGGCTATTTGAAGGAATAAATAGAAACTTTCCCTTTCTCCGGGATTATACTGGCAGCTGTTAGTTTTTTACATTAGGCAAGGTTTATTTTGTTGCACTAAGCATTGGAAATGTGCAGTTTATTTCTAGATCTAAACACAGCAATATGAGGATGAGCAAGAGACATGTTGTGGAAAATGATAGTTTGGAGAGTTAGGCTCATAATTTAATTTTCAAACTGCATGTACATTGTCTGCCTTCTATAGTATCCCGGATCTGTGTCAGTCACCAACAGAGATTTCAGCTCCTGGAAGCAGGATCTGAGCCTTATTTACTCAAGAAGAATCTATTCTTCTTGAAGAATAGATTTAAGATCTATTGAAGAATAGACTGAAGATTCTGCTTTAGTAAAGTAGAGTTTTTTCTATGTGCTAAGTGCTAGGACTAGAGAGGAAAGAATGTATTTGCTAGCTTCTAGGAGCTCTGGGTGATGAGTAAATATACCATTATTTCTCTGTGGATCTCCCTCGTTGTCCTATAACAGTCACAACCAGCATTAGAACATTTAAGCCCACAGAATCATATAATGAGTCAGTGTAGACCTGGGAATCTCACGTAGTTCTCTCTGACCTTCTCTTTCAAAGAGTATTGTGTCTACTTCTGAAATCTTTATATGCTCTGGGGCTCTAGAAATCACCCTGAGTGAGATAAAGAAATGGAATTAAATGACCCTCGAAAGTGGGTTTGATTTTTGAAAATAGCCCAAATAATTTGAAGCCAAGCTGGGTGAATAAATTCGTCCATGAACTTGGATAATGCCATTTTGGTCATGTATCTGGCTGTATATGTACTACCTGGACTAATTTGTTCGCATAGTTTTGCCATACAGCAACAACAGAAAACTTTTTTTTTTCCTGTTACCTGCTTACTTCATCTAAGTAATGCAGAGAAAAACTGTAATCCATCTACCACAGTGAAAGGCCAGCAAGGTTTATAAAGTAATGCCTATAAAAAGTTCCCATGAGTAAGGCACTGTGCAAATAGAAGAGATGATTATTGTTACTGCTGGGCTATATATAAGCACTCATTCATCACTTATGTGCTTCTTGGCAGGGCTTCCCAATTTGCCCCATGTAGCTCCATGCTAGGTCTTCCACATAATTACACAAGGAGGCAACTCCTAGAACCTTCAATTCAATTACATTTGCCTGGTTTTGTTTTTATGAAACATGAAGCCTAAATAAATAATAAACATCTTTAGAGGTGAAAGCATATAAATGAACCTGATTGAATTTTTTATCTGTTCAAAAATCAAAAGCTTTTAATGAAAGTGAGGACTTTAAGCTAAATTCATCCAAAATAAATGTCCATGAAATTTAAAACTTCATTTAAAAAATAAGTCACGGAGTTTACTTCACTCCCCGGCTACCTCCACTGGGGAAGGTGCTGGTATCCATGGCTGAGAGACCTGAAGACGGATCACAACACAGGACACTTTGCAGACATTCCTCAGTATCGGCCCAGAGCCTGGTAGCTCTGCTGAGTGGCTACATCCGTGAAGAGAAATAATAATCACTGCAGTCTGGCTCTCAGGAAGCCCCATCCCTAGGGGAAGGGGGAGAGTACTACATCAAGGAATCGCCCTGTGGGACAAAAGAATCTGAACAGCAGCCCTTGAGCCCCAGATCTTCCCTCTGACATTGTCTACCCAAATGAGAAGGAACCAGAAAAACAATTCCGGTAATATGACAAAACAAGATTTTTTAACACCCCCAAAAGATCATATTAGCTTACCAGCAATGGATCCAAACCAGGAAGAAATCTCTGAATTGCCAGAAAAATAATTCAGAAGGTTGATTATTAAGCAAATCAAGGAGCCTCCAGAGAAAGGTAAATACCAATTTAAAGAAATTTTTAAAATGTTACAGGATATGGTCAGAAAAATCTCCAGAGAAACAGATAGCATAAATAAAAAACAATCACAACTTCTGGAAATGAAGGACACACTTAGAGAAACGCAAAATACACTGGAATGTCTCAACAATAGAATCAAACAAGTAGAAGAAAGAGCTTCAGAACGTGAAGACAAGTTTTTGAATTAATCCAATCCAACAAAGACAAAGAAAAAAGAATTTAAAAAGTGAAAAAAGCCTCCAGGAAGTTTGGGATTATGTTAAACAACCAAACCTAACAATAATCTGTGTTCCCGAGGAAGAAGAGAAATTTAAAAGTTTGGAAAACATATTTGAGGGAATAACTGAGGAAAACTTTCCTGGCCTTGCTAGAGGCCTAGACACCCAAATACAGGAAGCTCAAAGAACATGTGGGAAATTCATCACAAAAAGATAATCGACTAGGCACATAGTCATCAGATTATCTAAATTCAAGATGAAGGAAAGAATCTTAAGAGCTGTGAGTCAAAAGCATCAGGTAACCTAATAAAGGAAAACCTTTCAGATTAACAGCAGATTTCTCAACATAAAACCTACAAGGTAGAAGGGAGTCCTATCTTTAGCCTCCTTAAACAAGACAATTATCAGCAAAGATTTTTGTACCCAGCAAAACTAAGCTTCATAAATGAAGGAAAGATAAAGACTTTTTCAGACAAACAAATGCTGAGGGAATTTACCAGTACCAAGCCAACACTACAAGAGCAGCTAAAGGAGCTCTAAATCGTGAAACAAATCCTCAAAATATGCCAAAATAGAACCTCATTAAAGCATAAATCTCACAGGACCTATAAAACAATAACACAATGAAAAAAAACCCCAAGGTATTCAGGCAACAAATAGCACAATGAATAGAATACTACCTCACATCGCAATACTAATGTTGAATGTAAATGGCCTAAATGCTCCAGTTAAAAGATACAGAATGGCAGAATGGATAAGATGTCACTAACCAAGTATCTGCTGTCTTTAAGAGACTCACCTAACACATAAGGACTCACATAAACCCGAGGTAAAGGGATGGAAAAAGATATTCCATGCAAATGGACACCAAAAGTAAGTAGGAGTAGCTATTCTTATATCAGACAAAACTAACTTTAAAGCAACAACAGTTAAAATAGACAAAGAGGGACATTATACAATGATAAAAGGACTAGTTGAACAGGAAAATACCACCCCAGTACCAAAACCAGGAAAGGACATAACAAAAAAGAAAACTGCAGACCAATATCCCTGATGAACATAGATGAGAAAATCCTCAATAAAATACTAGCTGACTGAATCCAATAGTATATCAAAAAGATAATTTACCATGATCAAGTGGGTTTTATACCAGGGATGCAGGGATGGTTTAACATCCCCAAGTCAATAAATGTGATATACCACATAAACAGAATTAAAAACAAAAATCACATGATCATCTCCATAGATGCAGAAAAAGCATTTGACAAAATCTAGCATCGCTTTATGATTAAAACCCTCAGCAAAATTAGCATACAAGGGACATAGTTTAAGATAATAAAAGCCATCTATGACAAACACCAGCCAACATTATACTGAATGGTGAAAAGTTGAAAGCATTCCCCCTGAGAACTGGGACAGCACAAGGATGTCCACTCTCACCACTTCTATTCAACATAGTATTGAAAGTCCCAGCCAGAGCAATCAGAAAATAGAAAGAAATAAAAAGCATCCAAATGGGTAAAGAGGAAGTCAAACTGTCACTGTTTGCCCGTGATATGATGGTATACCTAGAAAACCCTAAAAACTCATCCAAAAAGCTCCTAACACAGATAAATGAATTCAGCAAAGTTTCTGGATACAAAATTAATGTACACAAATCAGTAGCTTTGCTATATACCAACAGCGACCAAGCTGAGAATCACATCAATAACTCAACCCCTTTTACAATAGCTGCAAAACAAATAAAATACTTAGGAATATAACTAACCAAGGAGGTGAAAGACGTCTACAAGGAAAACTACAAAACACTGCTGAAAAAGATCATAGACAACACAAACAAATGGAAATACATCCCATGCTCATGGATAGGTAGAATGAATATTGTGAAAATGACCATAATGCCAAAAGCAAGTTACAAATTCAATGCAATTTCCATCAAAATACCACTATCATTCTTCACAGAACTAGAAAAAAAAAATCCTAAAATTCATATGGAATCAGCCCACATAGCCAAAGCAAGACTAAGCAAAAGGAACAATTATGGAGGCATCACATTACCTGACTTCAAACTATACCATAAGCCATAGTCACCAAAACAGCATGGTACTGGTATAAAAACAGGCACATAGACCAATGGAGCAGAATAAAAAATGCAGAAATAAAGCCAAATGCCTACAGCCAACTGATCTTTGACAAGGCAAACAAAACAAAAAGTGGGGAAAGGACACCCTACTCAACAAATGATGCTGGGATAATTGGTAAGCCACATGCAGAAGAATGAAACTGTATCGTCATCTCCCACCTTATATAAAAATCTCCTCAAGATGGAACAAAGGCTTTACTCTAAGACCTGAAACCATAAAAATTCTAGAATATAACATCAGAAAAACCCTTCTAGACATTGGCTTAGGCAAAGGCTTCATGACTAAGAACCCAAAAGCCAATGCAACAAAAACAAAGATAAATAGGTGTGACTTAAGTAAACTAAAAAGCTTCTGAAAAGCAAAAGAAATAATCAGCAGAGTAAACAGACAACCCACAGAGTGGGAGAAAATCTTCACAATCTATACATCTGACAAAGGACTGATATCCAGAATGTACAAGGAAATCAATCAAATAAGCAAGAAAAAACCAAACAATCCCATCAAAAAGTGGGCTAAGGACATGAATAGACACTTCTCAAAAGAAGATATATAAATGGTTAACAAACATATGATAAAATGCTCAGCATTACTAATGATCAGGGAAATGTGAATCAAAACCACAATGCGATACCACCTTACTCCTGCAAGAATGGCCATAATAAAAAAATCAAAAAAATAATAGATGTTGGTGTGGATGTGGTGAAAAGGGAACACTTTTACACTGTTGATGGGAATGGAAATCAGTACCACCACTATGGCAAACAGTGTGGAGATTCCTTAAAGAACTGAAAATAGATCTACCATTTGATCCAGCAGTCCCACTCCTGGGTATCTACCCAGAGGAAAAGAAGTCATTACATGAAAAAGATACTTGCATATACATGTTTATAGCAACACAATTCACAATTGCAAAAATATGGAACCAGCCCAAATGCCCATCAATCAATGAGTGGATACAGAAAATGTAGTATATATATACCATGGGATACTACTCAGCCACAAAAAGGAATGAAATAATGGCATTTGCAGCAACCTGGATGGAATTGGAGACTATTATTCTAAGTGAAATAACTCGGAATGGAAAATCAAATATCGTATGTTCTCACTCATAAGTGGGAGCTAAGATATGAGGACACAAAGGCTTAAGAATGATACAATGGACTCTGGGGACTTGGGGGAAAGGGTGGGAGGGGGGTGAGGGATAAAGGACTACACATTGGGTACAGTGCACACTACTTGGGTGATGGGTGCACCAAAATCTCAGAAATCACCACTAAGGAACTTATCATTGTAACCAAACACTACCTGTTTCCCAAAAACGTACTGAAATAAAAAAAGTGAGTCAAATATTTCAGAATGGGTAATTGAATAGTGTGTATTTTTTAAAATAACAATTTTTGGTGGTCTGAAAAAAATGGCAAAGTAAAAACTACTCAAAACCATTTGTGTAAAATTAGTTTTCCTACCAATATTTTCAAAATTTCCAAAAATGAGGGGCTGATAACAGGCAGTCACAAGCCAACATGCATTCCTGTTGGGAGTTCATTCCGCTAGCTGAGAGTTCATTCCCCTAGCTGGGAAAACCACATCCATTCCTTCACTCAGTGCTGCAAAGTATACAGTGTGTATCAAGTTCTACGAATAGAAAAAACAGATCTGTTGGAGACCATGGGCATAGAAGAAGTTATAATCAGAGGGCAGATCCAGGTTTTATGGGCCTGAAGCTTATACAATTTTAGAGTCTTCTTTAAGAAAAGTACGAACAAGGAATTAGGCATGAAAGTGATTATACATTTAAATGAGGAAAAAAATCAAATTATGAATTGGAAAGAGTTTACAGATTCCATAAACATCTCCAAATCCAGAAAAGTAATATAGTGCTCTTATGAACTAACTGTCTGACATATTCTACAATATTTTTTTATAATTTATAGCTGATACTCATTGATCTCTTCATATGGCAACAACCTCATAATATTTTCAGTAAACAGAAAAGAAGGTGGTTTAGTTTTTTTTCTCTAGAAAAAAACTTACCTTTTTATTGATGGGCTAAAGATTTATTTCAAATCCAAACCCAGTTTTGATAATGTGATGATAATCTACTATGTGACACATACACAAATGCAGTGGGTGTTTTTAGTATTACTTCGGGTTTGTGCCTTATAAACACAAGAATTCTGATAAAGTCTATTATGCACAAATATCACCAAAAAAGAAAGAAAAAGAATAAGGTTGGTATAATTATATTAGCTGCATTATCGAGTATATAGTCCTAATAGGAGAGAACTGTCTTGACTAGGCAATAAAAAGAATAGAATCTACCACTTTATATATTTATGTATATTATGATTTATATATCTGATGATTGGAAAAATTTGTCAGAAACTAGTTTCTGGCTCTGTACATTTCAAACTTATTTTCTTTTCCACTACCCACACACTTCTGATGCATGACACCATGTTCATATCATGATCCCATCTCTGACTCTGCCCCATGCCCCAGAGCAGGGCATATTGGCTTAGAGGGTGGTAGGAGTATTCCTGGAAGCCATTCTAATACCATACAGCCAGTGATAACTTACGTGCACACAGAAATGAAGGCAAATCACACAAATAGATTCCACAAATACCAAACTAAATGTATCTCTGAACAACTTCCCCTTAGTTCAGAATGCCAAAAATGCCTTTGGCTACATATCTGACTGGAGGAAAAGTGTGAAAGAGGAAAAATAGGAGTGGAAAGAGACAGAAATTATACTTGCAGTTAAAATACTATCTGCAAATTTTTCAGGAATGTAGGACTATCTGCGCACCTTACCAGTGGCCCTCCCAGGGCCTTGGACAGTAGAAGCTGTCTTATAAGTGAGGGTAGAAACTTAAGCTGCATTGGCTTTGTAATAAATACATCCTGATGGCAATACATTCTGATAAGTGGTTAATATAGGATATAGTGCCAACAATTAAAAGGTTGCTAGTTCTGAGGGATGAGAGTGGGGGTGTGGGTGGCAAAGGGAAGTTACGCAGAGCTTAAACTAGACCTTCCAGGTGCATCTTGAAAGGGCATAGGAATTTTTGAGGCCATCAAAGAGGACTTCCAGCATGTTCAACAGCCTGGCAACTAGATAGAGCATGTGCATTGAGAAAATATTGAATGTGCGGAAGTATCTGGTGAAGTCTGGGAAAGAGACCAGAGGTCCTTTCGCTCCTTGCAATGACACTGCTGGCGAGTTTTATTCTTTCCTGCTGGGAAAATTCTAACTCTCCTAAGAGAGCCTAGTCCTCTGACAACCTCCTCATTTTAACTTCCATAGCCATGTCTCACTATATCCTGGTGCAATTTGTTCTTTCTCTGCCTCCTGTCTTAGCCTGCCCCTCACTCTCCTCTGTGAAGCTCTGCAGAGTTCATAGGTCCTCCTGCCCTGACCTTGCCCATTTGCTGAAATACCTGCTCCACACCCAGAAAACTAATGCCATTATATATCCCCTTAAAACAGTGCTGCTTCCTTTGAATGCTTCCATCTCATCCCTGCTCTTGGAGAAGTAACCTCATTTTCCAGGACTTGGCCCCACTCCAGCCTCTACATAGCAGTCTTGTGAACAGGCGCTGAGCCCATGGGCTTGACTAGTGAAAATGGGTCATGGCACAGTGTCTGCTGTGTTCCTGTTCATCTGGTGCCATAGAGTGCTCCTGTCCTTTTTGTAACAGCAGGAGAAGTGGGGTTGGCTAAGAAAAGACAAAGCTCTTGAGAGAAGAGGGCAGAAGGAAAGAAGGGCAAACATTTTCTTTCCTACCCACTGGTGGCAGCTAGAATAGAGGAGAAGACACAGATGCATTGGAGCCACTAAATGGAGGCATAATGAGTGTGACTGTGGGGCTGCCTTGGACACCAAGGTTATCGTTGACTGCAGCCTGGAGTGGACCTCATCCCAGAACACAGAAGGACTTTGAGCACCCTCCTAACATTTCCGATTAGTTCTGCCTCATTTTTGTCCTCTTCAGTTCCCATCTTGGGCCTTGTTTGTACTCCCAAAGGCCATGGTGTCCTATTCTACACACTAACTCCACTGAGCAACTTTCACTTTTGCCTAATGGCTAATTTGCATAATAAATCTCCAAAAGCTTCTTGATCCAATAGAGGTTTTTGATTTCTTAAATTTCCGGAGTGATAATTTATGAAACTCTTAATTCACCAAAGCCTTTCCCAGTCAACTACCTATAGACGTTACAGCAATTCATGTTTTTCCAAGTCTGCTTAATGTTCTGTATATTTTGAGAAACGATGATTTCTGCAAATTTTGAATTTTGAGGTACTGTGCACATTATCAATGTCAAAGATTTTCAAATGGGGATTAACTCAATGGAGGCTGGGAAAGCACTGAATAACTTTAACAACCTCTTGGAAAACTTTAACTAGAAGGAAACTTTTAATCTGAAAACAGCTGATAAATCCTGAAATATTAAAAGCATTCCCTTTAAAATCAGGAACAATACAAGGATATCTAGAATTATTGCATCTACTCAACATTATACTAGTGTTCCTTGCTTGTGTAATAAAGCAAAAGAAGATTTAAAGGAGTGGCCGGGCGCGGTGGCTCATGCCTGTAATCTCAGCACTTTGGGAGGCCGAGAAGGGTGGATCACGAGGTCAGGAGATCGAGACCATCCTGGCTAACATGGTGAAACCCTGTCTCTATTAAAAATACAAAAAAATTAGCCAGGTGTGGTGGCAGGCGCCTGTAGTCCCAGCCACTCGGGAGGCTGAGGCAGGAGAATGGTGTGAACCCAGGAAGGCAGAGCTTGCAGTGAGCCGAGATCGCGCCACTGCACTCCAGCCTGGGTGACTGAGCGAGACTCCATCTCGAAAAAAAAAAACAAAAAGATTTCAAGGAGTAAATTTTGGAAAGGTAAAAATAAAATTTTTATTATTTCAATATTATTGTCTACAAAGAAAATCTCTTAGTGTCTACAGGTTTATTATTAAAAGTTTAGCAAGGATGTTGAACATAAGATCAATTTAGAAATCTAATTATATTTCTGTACATTGACAAAAGAAAATACAATGTAAAATATATTTACAATAACAACAAAGGTGTAAAATATCTAGGAATAAATCTAACATGATGTGTAAGATCTTTATGCAGAATATTCTAAAACTTTATTGAAGGACATTAAAGAAAACCTAAATAAATGGAAAGCTATACCATGTTTATGAATTGGTATATTTAACATCGTAAAGATGTTGAATTTTCTCAAGTTGAACAATAGGCTTAATGTAATTTCATTTTTAAAAAGTTTTACTTGATAAGCTAATTCTAAAATTTAAGTGGAAGAACAAAGGGTCAACGTAATGAAACACTTCTGAACTGGGTAAGGAGTCTTGTCTTAGCAGATTTTTTATTATAAAGTGATGGTAATTAAGACAGTGATATATGACAGAGCTGGCATTACAGATTAGTGACGAAAGGACAGTCTATTCAATAAATAATGTGGGACAATTTATTATCTCTACAAATAATTTAGAATGATGCCCTAATTCACATCAGAAAAGGAAATACGTTCTAAACACAGAAAGAATCCTAGTTTGAAAGGAAAACACACTTCTAGCAGAAAATACATATGTTCTTAAGACTTCAGGGTATGGAAGGATTTCTTAAGTCATAAACAAATCATAAAGAAAATAATTAATAAACTAACAAATTAAAATAAGAACTCAGACATAGTAGAGAGTGTAAACAGACAAGTCATATGTTGGAATAAAATACTTGCAACACATAACAAAAGATCAGCGTCTGGAGTATTTTAAAAAACTATCTCAAAAGAAGAAAACGATAGTGACCTCTTTCCTCCAAAAGGGATATAAATTCATAAGTAGGCATTTTATAGAAGAGAAAACAAAAAAAGACCACTAAACATGTTGAAAAGATGTTTCTCCTCTTAGTTTAACATATATTAAACCCACATTGAGTTACCATTTCACACCTTGCAGATTGAAAAAGGTAAAAAAATCAGACAATTCCAGTGTTGCTGAGACAGCAGAATAACTGCTGGTGGTAGCGCAAATGACACAGAACTTTGGAACACAGAATGACATTGGCAAAAAAAGTTAATCATGTTCATAATCTATGATGAACATTTCCTCTAGGTATGTGCCTTAGAGACACCCTTCCACAATGTACCAGGGGAAACAGGCAAGATGCAGCATTGCTTGAATGCTCAGACAACTGGAAATCAACCACAAGTAGGCCAGAGTGCTCTTTTAAAGTGAATGTCACGTTATGACACTCTTCTATTCTAAACCCTCAGTGGCTTCCTGCCACAATTAGAATAGAACTCTAACCCCCCTTATCATCTGTTTATCTCTCTGATTTCATGGGTGCCACTCTTCGCAGTTTCCTCTAGACTTCTTCCCTATCTTCCCTATGCAGGGCAACCACGCTCCTTCTCAGTCTTATGATGACTGGTTCTAAGTCAGCCTAAATATCACTTCCTTGGAGAGTCCTTTACTTACCACCCCATCCAAAGTAGTTTTCTCTATCTTACTGTCTGCCTCAGCTTTGTTTCCTATAAAACATATTAATTTTTGAATTATGTATTTATGTATGCACATATGCATTCATTCATTTTTTTGGCCTGTCTTAAACATTAAACTAAATCTCCATGAGAGCAGGGACTAAGTCTATCTCACTCATGATTGTAACCTCTGTGCCTTGTACATAGCCTGGCATATAATAATTACTCAATAAACTTTTGTTGAATTGAGTGATTGAATACAAACACTGTGTAAATTGTATCTGTGCCTATTTGAAGTGGCTTGTTGATCTGCAAGTACATTTTATTAGCTCTAGTTCACTGAAAGGATAATGTGATACTAAAACAGCCACATAAATTCTCAATACTTATTTAGAAGGTAAAGGAAAGTGTTTACCTGGTCTTATTTTTTTATCTCAAAGATTTAACCAATGTGTGCCTGAATGCTTCCACAAATTATTTTCAGTGATTTTCTACACAATACATTAAATAGATCTTTCAACTAGACTAAAAGTCCTTCAATGCCTGACCTACTTAGAGATATGTTAAATTTTTTTAGGTCGGTTCTAATACACATTTAAAAAAACCACTTACAGATGCTAACATAGAAATTTGATATTGAATACTCAAATATGCGGGTGACATAGGCTGGAGCTTTTTTTGCAAGAGGCTTGAATTTAAGTTGATGTGGGTTTTATTTTACTTTTATTCTATTTATCTATAATTATGAAAACATTTATTTTGTTTCAATTATACTTTATGTATTTTGTATTTGTTTTAATATTTATTTGTTTGTTGATACATTTTGATTTAATTTAATTTTTTTCCTGGTTAGAGCTTGAGCTCCAAAGAAGAATTTGCATGACAGTCTACTTAAGAGATGGATTCCACAGACAAAGCAATTCAAGAGGCACTTGAAGCTCAGCAAAATATGGAAATAATGGATGAGTTTTACATTTTATTTTATTTTTATTTTTTCTCTTTGTTTGCCTAAGTTTTACATTTTAAATCACAGAATTATACCCTTGCTCAACTACTAATACAAGTAAGATAGATTCATTTTAATAATGGATAGAAAAATTAAGTAACTTGAAAATAGATATATTACAAAACAATTTGCACACATTCACTTTTTTGGTCTCTAAAACTTCTTTTTAAAAGTGTTTAATTTATTTTCATAACCTGGCATTCTGATATGTGAATGCAATTAAATAAAATAGAACTTCTTTGTTTTCTATTAAATTTTTGAAAGCTATAATTTAAAGTACTTTTTGTGTAAATGATTTAAAACCATTTAAAAAAGAAAACAACGATCATATTTAACTCTTGAATTTCTGGATATGGTGCTGTCAAAAAGTAAAGTTTGGGTGTGGGGGTTATTCTGAGAAGTTTACATGAATGCTACGTTAAAGTTTACATGAAAGTTGGATGAAAAACTTTCTTTTGAATATGTGATTTCCACTTATACTAAATTTCTACATTCTATAAATTGCTAGATAAATATAATGAGACAAAATGAATAAAGAATTTGAAAAATAAATTTTCATGAAAAATATGTAGTTATTAGAGTGGTGTTGATGTGGATATTAATGTGCTGATTTGGATACTGATGAGTTTATAGCTAAAATGAATATGTTCTGAAATTGGCCAAAACTGCTATAAATCACTATGCAGTAAGTACTTGAACCAGAGAACAGTTGCTACTATTTTAAATTTAAATTGGAAAGGCAAAAAGAAGGCAATTATCTTAATATTTTAATAATTATTATTTTAATAATAGTTCATGTAATTTTGATACCAAAGTCGATTTGGGGTTCAACGATTTGTTTTCACTTCTTATGAACCTGAGAGTGAGTCAAGAATTGAGGAATTGCATAGTGACCAGTTATCCAGTACTAAGAAAGTACTAAAGAAGGCACTAAAAATTATTTTTCCTTCATAGTAATAATAGTTCTATTTGCTCAGAAGAGCCCATCCCTTATTACATACCCCCTTCGAATCCACTGGTCAGGATGCCTAGGCTGCACCTTCTCTTCCCATGGCTGATCCCTACCTCCAGGAATGAAAAAGGAGCTCTCCAAGGGTCACCAGTTGGGTAGCTGAGGCCACCAGGGGGACAGACGTGGATGGCCAGGCCCAGGCTGTACCCACCTGAGGAACACCGAGCTGGGGCTGTCTGTGGAGCTGCGTGAGGCCTCCACGTTGGCCTTCCTTGGGCTGCCCGGAGTCTCAAACCGGAACACCGTGTCACTAGAAGGCAGCCTTTTCTTCACCATTGTGCGCTTATTGACCCGCAAGTCAAGGAACAACCTTAAAAGCTCATTTCTGAGTCTCCCAAATAATATGAAAATCTCTGCGTTTCAGCTTTGTACAGTCCTTGAATTGCAGGAAGCTCTTTCTTCATGTGACTCAATCTAGCTGAGGCTATGTTTTTAAAAGTCAGTTAATGATTAACATATCAGTGTGACACAGGGCGGTTTTCATCCTACCTATGTTTGCTGTAAAGAAATAAATGTGTTTGGGAAATTCAACTTTTAGTTCACTAAGATGAACACCACTGAATCTGAATTTAGTCAGAAAAGCATGGAAAAGTAAACACCTAAACAAAACAAAACAATGAGGTGCAGAGACTGGCAGCATCTAAACATTAAAAGCAGGATGCTTTTTCTAACCACCTGAGCCTGACCAACAGGGTGAGCAATGTGGATGTGCTTTATGCCTGTACTCACGCAGGAAATGACCAGCACACTGTGTGTGTTGCAGCCAATGTTTGGCAGATGTACAGCAGTTTTAAGGCTGCATTCCTTGGTCCTTGGGACCTGAAGAGTTCTGGAGTTCTTATGGAAGTGATATACACAAAGTCAAGGGAGTCTCAATATTCAGGTTGCATATTTTGCTGGGTTATAGGAGGCTGTGACTTGTACCCAAACAGTAACAACAAATACAAACAAACAAACAGTAGGAAGCGAGAGTTCGAATGTGTCTCTTGCTTGCTGGCTGGGCAACTGCAGGTGATCCCAGTTCTGCTCTGTTTGATATCTGTTATGCTGATTTCACAGGATTAGAATGAAATACGTAGGAGAATATGCAGTAGAGATTTGCAATTATGTGTCATTATTGTTACCTAGATATGCATTTTACTAACAAATAAGTTCAGAAAATGAGTTTCTTCATGCGACAAATGTTCATGCACAAGGAAAACATCAGTGTCCCTCCACCCTCGTTACTAGCACCAGTGAAAGATTTGTTCCACAGTAGCTATGCTCTCTCTCCTTGTTCCCCTTGTGATTAGTCAGTGACATTGCAGAATGGCTGGCTTAAGAGAAGTACACAGTTTCTGATTGTGGAAGAGAGCAAAGTTTCCTGGGAAATCAAAGCAAACCTTTAGCCTTGGCCTCATTAGCATTTTGCTCTAACCAACTGCTAACCTGGCAGGGACAGGTCTGTGCTGCTCTACATGCTGTATTGACCCTAAGAACACTTTTGAAGTGAGTCTTTCAGTGATATTACATTATTTTGGACAATATTTTCCTGCTGAGTTTTCTTGGTTTTAGCACTGAATGCCCTAAATTCCAGGAAATCTTTAGTGCTGGGCAAACTGGGGCAGGTGGTCACCTTAGTACTGCTGAGCGCCCTCATGCTACAGTTCTGAAGGTGCACCGCCCCCAGCTTTCCTCCCTGTCCTTCCTTGACAGAGCACGGTCTATATTTCTCTTTCCTCTCTTATCTCTGTGCTGAAATTGAGTTGAAATGTTGGAGACATTAAATAAGCTGTTATATTAAATTGCTGAATTAAACCAGTCACCATGCCTCATACAATAGCAACAACCTGCATGGGAGTTTCTGCTCCTTGTAAACAAAAGACAACTCTTACTGGCACAGATGTTAATGGTCAGTGAAATGTAGTCTGTTACTCTCTGTCTCATGCAGGTTTGGATTAAACAGGGGCAATTCCTAACTTAGAACAAAATGTCTCTAAAGGAGGAAATTCCAGTGTCAGTGAACAGTCTTTGAACTTATTTTTCAATAGATAAGCTTTCCTCGTACTCACTCAATCAACTGATATATATTTATTAGCAAAGCTCTTTGCTAGCTGCAGCGAGTGATATAAAAAGTTTTAAAAAATGGGTCCTTGCTTCAACAATGAAGCTAGGAAAAAACAGTCTACATAACTGAAAAGTTAACTAAAAATAAAAGCGATAGAAAGGCAGTGAATTAGGCTAATATTTATTGACTCTCTGTACTAGCTAATATCTTTTGAGTCAATATAGCATCTCTACTAGATAATTTCGTATATAACATCTCATTTAATCGTTGCCCAAATTACATTTTTATAGATTAAAAAAACTATATCTTTAAAAGGTTAAACCACTTGGCCATAATTAAATAGTAAGCATGTGGTCATGCTGGAATTCATTCATTCATTCATTCATTCATTCATTCATTCAACAAGTATTTATTGAGCATTTACAGTTAAAAGGAGGCAAATCAATTGAGACTGGTATGACTTATAAAAGTCTAATGGAAAATGTGGGGTTTGAGTTTCAATGTGGGGTCATGGGGAAGGCAGAAAGGGAAAGGAGTAGTGCTCATGAACAAATAAATGGGCATGGACCAGGTATGTGTGTGAGAGTGGAGAGTGGAGAGTTTGTTGGTGAAGTAGAGGAATAGTGAACATTTATCTGGAGGCTGAATTATGAAGGAACCTTGATGCCAGTGTGGTTAGTTCAAGCTTTATCCTGTAGGTAATGGAAATAAAATGATGAAAGATGAGCTCGATGGCCATATGCACGATGCTTTGGAAGCAGAATGAGATGAGTTGGTCCCATTACTCCAGTCAGCCGGGTGTTACGGTTATTTCAGTTACGCAGCAATTTACTAGCCTATGGGAAGCATACTGACGTAGTTAAACAGTATTGGCTGAACTCTTATGTAAGATGTTGAGTTAATCCTTATTATAAGAAATTGTGTCAAAGGTGAGATTTTCTGAAAGTCTAGAGCAGGGGTCACAAACTCAAAGGCCTTTAGGAACCGGAAAGGTAAGTAAAACCCTGGGGGAGGGACAGAAGCCAGCAGAGAGTGGTAAACAAAGGAATGCTTTTGCCTCCCTCAGGGCATTCAAGTTTTAACACAACAGATTCTGGTGGGAGGAGGCATCCTAAACCTGTCTGAGGGCTGGAGCCAGCTGGGGCTTGCCCGGTGAATTTCACTTCTTGATATGAGCTGCCTGTGATAAAGCTGACAAAATGTGCAAGTAGTTATAGCTGGACTTTATGTTTAAATAGGAATAAGGTTTTGATAGTACATGATCATTGAAAGAAAATGTGAATTCTGACAGCTTTATTTTCAAGATTAATGGCAGTTGACTGCTGTGCAGCCATCCACAGCCACTGCCTGAGCCCTTTGACTGTTTAGACATGGCCTCTGCCCAAGCCCTCCTAGCCTGTGCCACAGCTTTCATTTGTGTGTGTGCAAATTAAAACAAAGACCAGGTGGTCAAAGATAAACAACTGGAATAGGACGTTTATGTAAATATAACTATAAAAGGAACATGCACAGTGGCCAAAATGAATAATATATAATAAATAAAATACAACTAAAATAAAAATCACAGAGACTCTTTTATATCCTTCCATGGGAATTGAGAAATAATGTTGAAAGTCTTCTCGGCCGGGCGCGGTGGCTCACGCCTGTAATCCCAGCACTTTGGGAGGCCGACGCGGGCAGATCACGAGGTCAGGAGATCGAAACCATCTTGGCTAACACGGTGAAACCCCGTCTCTACTAAAAATACAAACAATTAGCCGGGCGTGGTGGCGGGAGCCTGTAGTCCCAGCTACTCAGGAGGCTGAGGCAGGAGAATGGCGTGAACCGGGAAGGTGGAGCTCGCAGTGAGCCGAGATGGCGCCACTGCAGTCCAGCCTGGGCGACAGAGTGAGAATCCAAATCAAAAAAAGAAAAGAAAAGAAAAGAAAATCTTCTGAAGCTCTAGTTTTCTTTGCTTAAGCCCTACAAATTAAAGTTTGGCCATAAGAGTTTTTTCTTTCTTCAATGAAACAAGGTCCATAATTCAAAGAATGTAGTCTTGTGCAATGATGATAATAATCTTTGGTTATTATATCCGAGCATTCTGGATTCCATAAATAAGAAACTAATATGCCTACTGATGCTAGGCTCGATGGATGGGAGGTGCGGAATTCATGCCTGTATATTCCCCTTTTCCTCCTCTCCCTCCTTTTCCTCTACTTCCTCCTCCTCCTCCTCCTCCTCCTCCTCCTCCTCCTCCAGTTTTTACAGGTGTAGGATTTGGATATTGAGACATAAGATCAAACCAGAACCACCAGATTAACAGAGCTTCAAAATGGAGTTTTCCAGAGCCATGGAATATAAATTTACACTTAGAAATAAACGAGATTTTCTCTACAAATAAGCGAAGTTAGAAATATTTGTGCCTTAAGATTTATTTGATAAATTATGCTGTGTTTAGGCTATTATTAATACAATTAGCTTGTATACTCTAAGCACATAGTACTGTGATTTGGATAAAAAAAGCCTTGGTCTGGGCCGGGTGTGGTGCCTCACGCCTGTAATCCCAGCACTTTGTGAGGCCGAAGTGGGTGGATCACCTGAGATAAAGAGTTCGAGACCAGCCTGGCCAACATGGTGAAACCACCGTCTCTACTAAAAATACAAAAATTAGCCAGGTGTGGTGGTGCGTGGCCTGTAATCCCAGCTACTCTGGAGGCTGAGGCACAAGAATCGCTTGGATCCGGAAGGCGGAGGTTTTTGTGAGCCGAGATCGCGCCACTGCACTCCAGCTTGGGTAACAGAGCGAGACTCCATCTCAAAAAGAAAAAAAAAAAAAAAAAAAAGCCTTGGTCTGGTAAAATCACCTTGAATTTCAGTTGTCACCATATTTCCATACATGGAATAACCATGTATGGAAAACCGGTGTGTGGGTGTAAATTAAATATATCCACATTCCTGTGGTTGGCTGTTTGATTTCATGGTTTAGAGTGTTAGTTTAGGGGTCAGGTTGCCTGGAAAAGGGTGGCTTGATTATTTCATTGCTTTGTTACTTTAGAAAGGGATTTAACTACTCTGAGCTTTTGTAAAAATGGGAATAACAATAATATCTATCTCAAAAAATTGTTTGGAGGACTTGATATAATATGTGTAAACTTCAAGTATGAAGCCTGTACATAGTAAGCATTCAGAAAATACTACTGATGGTAATGACAATGAAGATTAGGATCTTTGAGTTGGTCATACTTTCACTCATGTTGAGTGGAGTCATATGATATAAGTGAAAGATATGATTTGCTTTACTCAATGGGACAACAGCTGTGTGTTTGCACGTGGTTTGTGGAAGACCTAATCCTAGAGGGAGGGCAAGCATTGACAGTCTAGGCCCATGGAGTGTTGACACTGGTGATAATGACCTTGCCAAGCAGCTTGGAATATTCCAGTCTAATTCATGGGCTAAAGCATATCTTAAGTCCCTTCCTCTCTCCTTCAAACTTCTTTATTCTACGGTTTTTATGATAAAGAGGGGAGGGGGTTGATTTCTCTCCCAAAGTTGTGAACCCTTTGAGAGGATGCAGAGAAAGGATATATGTTATCCCCTTGTCAGAGAACTATTACTATCTGCCACAGCTCATGACTTTAGAGGGAGTTTGCCCCCAGAAGATTAGAAAGTTGATCTTGCAGCTTCAGTAAACATGTAAGTAGACATGGCAAGATTGGACTTTAGATAATCTTTCTTTTTTTGTGTGCATTTGGGGCTTTAAGATATAAAGGTAAGAAATTTGAAAACCCAAGTTCCTATTCTAGTTTATCCACCAGCTTGGGTAAGTCTTTTTAGTGCTTTTAACTATATTTGCTTAAATTTATAAAATGATTTGAGATAGTTGATTTTAAAAATTTTGTTTGCAGAACTTTCTGTTGATTGATATGTTTATTATTTAAACAGTGATGCATTGGTAAACCGGTTTTCCAGGAAAAAAAAAAAAAAGCTCTGATTTGTAGCACTGGCCAATTTCCACAGCGTAAATACTCCTACCACAGCTGATTTCAAGCTGCTGACATGATACACTGAACGTGACTTTGGGAATTGAGCCTGTAATGAACTGACAGTTGAGCAAGCATGAGCTGACTCCCTTACACCGCTGTAAACATTTAAACATTCACATTTGGGTGTTTGATAAAACATACACATTTGACCTCAGAGTTACCAGATTTTAAAAAGCAGCATTCTTGATTTCAATAGCATTATTATCTGTCAAATTGCATAGTGGTTATTGCATATTCTGCCTTTGTTTGATTTTATGCAAATTGATAATTATTTTCAGAGAAATACTTCTGAAGATAGTATGATTATTAGCGTCCCCCATAAGGTTATTTTTTGTATTAATTTTACTGGCCTAAGGGATACATAACATAAATTTACTATTTTAGTCAGTTTAAAGTATATAGTTCAGTGGCATGAACTACATTCACAACTTTGTGCCACTAAGGTTTTTAAAATATACTGCTTTTTTAGTTTACAAAACAAAATGTATACTCATTACAAACATTTTGAAAATAAAATATAAAGAAGAAAAATATCATCTGTAATCCTCAGCCACCAGAGATAATCACAATGAACATTTTATCATCATCAAAATTATGTTTTACTCTAAAGGATTATCAAAATCATTTGGTAATTCTGAAAGTATATCCAATATTCACTAAATACAGTCATTATTTTCAAGAGGCCTTACCCTTCAAAGTGAGAAACCGACACATCTTCTCTGTTCCCTCCCACACCTGGAGCACCAGGGGCCAGAGTAGTGGAAACAGAATCAAAGACATGTTTGGAGAATTCTATGAAACATCTCAGAAAGATTTGTTTGGGAATGAACATACCACTGGCCAAGATGTTTTTGAGATTAGTCTAGAAACTAGATGATAGAGGATATAGAGGGAGAGGTTTTAGAGCCAATAGGAACCTTAGAATGCATGTACTTAAAATACTTCCTGTTATAGATCTATCACTAGTGGGGATAGGTCACTTGAATAGTTGGTGGCAGAGCTAGGGCTGCCTCCTGATTCATGTTCCACTCCTGACCTGGTAATCTAGATCCTCTTCACATCATGCTGCTTTGTAGAATTCCTCCCTGTTGTGACTCTTGAGAGAATGAAAACGTACCAGCAACAGACCATCTGTGTTAAATGTTGTCTTTGTACGGGACAAGAGCGGGAAGCGATCCTACAACCTACACTTTCATTTTCCACTGCTATTGTGTGAAGTAATTAGATAGATATTTACTCTGAGGCATTAGCTGTGTTAGGTTCCATCATTAATTATAATATTTCAAAATTTCCACAATTTTCTGAATTTCAGGAATTTCCTCCCCATAGTTTGCAATTAGATCCAGACTCAGTACATACTTTGTTTAAAAAATGCAGACTCTTTCTGTTTGTATTCTTACTGTGCTACTTAATAGCTGGGGAATTTGAAAATCTCTATATTTTAGTTTCCTAATCTGTAAAATGGGAATAATAGTACCTACCAAATAGGTTTGTTAAGAAAGTACAATAGCTAGTATTTGTAAAGACTTTAAATATTGCCTTGAACATAATAAGGATTTAGCAAATTTTATATTTATTTTGATCAATACTTATAATAAAATCATAAGGTCTTATTTAAAGTAACTATCACTTTAGAGTTTTTTTAAAGCCTTATTAAGATATAATTTACATAATACAAAGTTCACTTGTTCGAAGTGTACAATTCAGTGGCTTTAGTACATTTACAGAATTGTGCAACCATCACCACCATCTAATTTTAGAACATTTTCATGACTCAAAAGAAACCTTGTACCCAAGAGCAGTCCCTGCCCATCCTCCCTATTTTCCTCTTCCATTCTGCCCTAAGCAACCACTAACCTACTAATTTACTTTCTCTCTTTAGAGATGAGACATTCATATCTCATCTGTATATATAGAAAAAGTACCTATTCTGGACATTTCATATATAGATGGGATCATACTATCTGTGATCTTTTGTGACTGTCTTCTTTCACCTACAATGTTTTCAAAGTTCATCTCATTTTGTGACCAAAAATATTCTATTGTATGGATATACCACATTGTATTTATCCATTATTTAGTTGATGGAGACTTGGATTGTTTCTACTTTTTGGCTATTAAAAATAATGCTATTATGGATATTTGTGTACAAGTTTTTATGCAAACACATGTTTTCAATTCCCTTGATTATATACCTAGGAATGAAATTGCTATATTTAACTTTTTGAGGAACTGACAAACTTTTTTTCCAAAATGGTCGTAACATTTTACATTTCTGACCAGCAGTGGATGAGAGTTCCAGTTTCTCCACATGCTTGCCAACACTTCTTTTTTTTTTGTTTTTGATATAGCCATTCGAGTGGGTATGAAGTGGCGTTGCATTGTGGTCTTGATTTGCATTTTCCTAATGACTAATGATGCTGAGCATCTTTGCATGTCCTTATTGGCCATTTGTGTATTCTCTTTGGAGAAAAATCCATTCAAATCCTTTGCCCCGTTTTAAAATTGGGTTATTTGTCTTTTTATTATTGACTCGTATGCTTTATATATTGTGGCTACAAGTTCCTTAAAATATATGATTTGTAAATATTTTCTATCATTTCATAGGATGTCTCTGCACTTTCTTCATGGTGTCCTTTGAAGCACCAAAGAAAGTTTTCCATTTTGGTAGAGTCCAGGTTATCAATTTTCTCTTTTATCACTTGCGATTTTGGTGTTGGGCCTAAGAAATAATTGCCCAACCCAATGATTATTTACTCGTATGTTTATTAAGATTTTTATAGTTTTAGCTCTTATATAAGGTCTGTGATCTACTTTGAGTTAATATTTGTGTATGTTGTAAGGTAGGGGTCCAATTTCATTCTTTAGAATATTGTCCTGGCACTATTGTTGAAAAGGCTATTCTTTTCCCATTGGATTATCTTGCCCATTTTGTTGAAAATTAATTAACCATAAATGTTAGTGTTTATTTCTTGGTAACTATTTTAAACAATATACATAGAAATGTATTCAGAATTAATGACTTTGAGTATCTCTGTTCCTTTTGAAGATCTTGTGTTTTTATTCTTTTTTATGTATGTCTACATAAGTCCAAGGCCAGGACTTTTGGTACTTTTCCTTAATTCTTCCTGATAATCCTGAAATCATAATTTTCTAGGTAGTTGTTTACTTCACCTGTTTGTAATAATGGCAATAACAAAGAACACTAATAATGATGATTGTCAACAAAATCTTAAGTTATTTAGAAAGCATGAAATTAAAGACAGGTAAAGTGAAAGGCTCATATACTATTATATAATAGTTTGTATCTATGTTGCTGTTGATTATACATATTTCTTCAATTTAGCATTCATCCTGCAATTTTTTAAAACAGTGAAGTGTAGCAAGGCCAGGCCAAATTCAGAAGAGGTGACTGAAATGATGCTGCCCGATCAAAAAATCGTTTGGTCTTCAGAATTGAGCTCATAGGATCTTTTAACACGTGAGTCAGGTCATAAACATGCAATTTATAGCTGAAGAAATGCATGTGGCTAATAACAAATGAAAAAATATTCTCCACTAGTAATAAAAAACAAAGGAGGAGACCCAACTGGGTAACAAACTGGCAAGGAGTTTTTGAAAGGTCACCACATTTGGGGTGATGGTGGTAGGCTTAACATGCTTGTGTGCATTGCTGGGAATGCTTCTGGGAGGTAGGTATTACACTGATTTTGCAGAGGAAGAACTGAGGCTCAGAGTGCCTATCGAACTGGTCTCATGTCCCACAGTTTGTGACACTCAAACACAGATATAGAGGCTTACCAACTCCTCCACAGCCACAGTGAGCAATTAACCCAGACAGGAAAGACATCATTTTGAGATTTTTGGTAAATTAGAGTTAGAATGGGACCTCTGCCCAAAGCACCTGTGAAAACTCTATAGCGTGAGGTAGGGTTTGGTGACTGGGCTGGGCCATCACGAGAACTGCAGAGCCCTGGGCAGTTTATCTGAGATACCGTGTTTCAGTGTTTCTTGTTAGATTTTCAGAAATGGAAGATGAGGAGCAGAGGGAATTTATTCATTGTGTAATTTCTATATGCCTGGCATTTTACATATAGAAACTTACTCAATCCTCTTAGCAATGCTAGGAAACAGAATTTTTTTTTTTTTTTTTTTTACCATTTCGGAATTAAGAAAACTGAAACTTGAGAAACTGTCTCTTTTCCTAGTCAACACATTCAGTTAAATGGCAGCAGAGTTGGGATTCAAATGCAGGTTTGTAGAATCCAAAGCCCAGTCTGAAAGGAAACTAGAGATCCTAATCTTCCCACCCATTTATATTTTATGTTATGTTTTCAGTTCCCATCATGCCTCACAGACAGTGTTTTTCTTCACAGTGTTTATGTGTACCCTTCACATGTCTTTCTGAAGACATTCTATTTATTGCCCTAGCTCTGGGCTAAGCCTAACAACCCTTCAATACAATTATTTATTCTTTGAAGATAGGATTATTTGAGGGATTTTAAAGCAATTATAGTCAGAATAATAGAGGAATTTTTAAACAAATTAAATATCTCTACATATACTTGTTACTCTGCTAGCAGTTGTACAAAATTTAAAGTAAAAAGCAAAGCAAAACCTAAAAAACCAAAAAGCTAACCCATAGTGCCTGCTTACAAGGAGCTCATAAAACCTAACCCAAACCCAAACCTACCTTTCTAGGTTAAAAGGAACCTAAAACCAAAATGTAGAGAGTTGACATGGCAAGTGTGACTTCATGCAAATATCTTATAATCCTAGTTTTCCTGAGCTGAAATGGCAAATACTGAGTTCTCCCGAACACATAGAGTCTTAGATTGCAACTGTATCTTTCAAGCCACTCCTAGCATTGCTCACTGCTGTCTCCACTTGAATTCCCCTTTCAGCTTGAGTGACATGACAAACCTCAAACTTCCAGTTTTGTGCAATACACCTATAAGCAAAATGTACTTGTATCAGGGGTTTCTGAGGACATTACAGTATGTGGGATAATTCTTGCTTTTACTCAAGACCCTGATGATAAACAAGGAAAACTCCCCCAGTGGGCAATCAAAGACATTCTCCATGTGGAGACACTCTGTCCTTAAGATACCAAAAAGGCCTTTTAAACCACAGAAGCCACACTCCACTCCCAAATGGTTTTTCCAGGTCTGAGACCTGTCACTTACAGTTCCAGGTCCGGACCCACTGGCTTCACTTCTCTCCCGTGGAACATACTCTTCCAGGGCATAAGCTGTGCTTGGAATGTTTGCTGAATGCTCCTTTTTGCTTGTAGGACTTGCTGTCTCCTTGTCATCTTCTAGAGGCCAGGTGATCTTCAAGAAACTCTGGGAAATGTCGGGAAGGAACTTTGTATTTACACCAGATCTGCCCAACCACAGCTCTTTGAGCCAGTTGGTGTGCTTTTCGCTCACAAGTGCTATCTCAGAAGTTTTCTCTTTCAGCGTCTGCTCAGAGGGATGGCACCAGCCGCACTTGAAACCCACATGTGTGAGAAAGCAAATGACCACAGAAACATTCAATGTGACCTTTAAGATAATGTTACGTCTTTGCCTTAAGAGCTTCATCTTATCTTGATGTTGACTTGGAGTCACATCACTGACCCTTTACTCATGATGACGTATGTCTTTCCGCAATCCTGATGCCTTTCTTCACTTTAGAAGACAGTGATTGTGTGTTACCTCAAAGGCTCTACCATAATTCACCCCAAATGGTCCTCAGTTGTCCTACAAGTTCATGCCTATTCATTACATAAATTAAACAAACCTAACACAACTTTGATATTCACTATTGAATGGCATGATCAATGTCTTATCACCC